>NC_000011.10:27560000-28810000 GCF_000001405.40 Homo sapiens | reverse complement strand
TACTTATGTGAACTACTTTAAATTCTTTGTAGAATGAGAAGTGTAAATAAATAAGTGACGTTATTTAAATAAAGCTTTTGGTGCCCTTGTTATGCAGTTTCCTCTGCTTTCCTTTCCTCCCTCTCTTCACTCACCTCTAAGGTCTATCTCAAACACTCTCTCTTGCATGAAGCTTTTCCTGATATTTAGCCCACACCACCCCTGGAAAACCAAGCAGAATGAATCACTCACTTTTCCGGGTTTCTGCAGCACTAAGATTCTTCTATATTTTATCACATCGTGTTCATTGTTCATCCATCTGCATGATGGGAAATCATGGTTTGAAGAGGCTAGTTTGTGATGTATTCATGAGGATTTATATACTGTGCCAGGAGGTTTAACTTTTCTTTTACTAAGACTTCATACAGGTGTGATAGAACATCTTAAGTAGAAATGTATTAATTGGATATAAGGGACTAATGAAATCCCCAAACAAAAATACAAGCAACATACTGTATCTTTTGGCACAACTTTGCAGACAATCACATTGTACATGTATTTATTCATTCAATAAGTGTTTCACAATATATTGTTACTTTATTAGTTGCAACAAGATGAACCTGATTCTTGCACTCAGGGTGAAATTTAGTAGAACAGATAATTATCAGACTGATAATCCAACAATTAGTAATCTTTGTGTAAAGTGCTAGAATGGAAAAATGCATGTTATTATGACAACATTTAAAACAGACAACTTAAGCAAGTTAGGGAGGTCAAGACATTGATTATTAAAGTAATTTGGTCAAATAAAGACAGATATTCTGTGGTATGTGTGAAAATGCTTATTTTTATAAGGGAAAGGTTAATAACATTTGTATATATCTGTTCATTTAACCAACATGTACTGAAGTATGACTAGGTATGAAGCACTTTGGGAGAAACAGGAACAAAAGTTCTCAGCAGTATGGGTACTACAATCTATTGTAATGTAATCACACACCTTTCATGTAGTCTACTGGTTACAAACAAGTCATGTCCTGCACAGACTCAAGAGAAGGGGATTATAAAAGGTCATGAACACCAGGAAGTAGCAATCATAGGAACCACCCTAGAGACTATCTGCCTCAGCCCTCTTGGGAAAGGAACAGCATGAAACACAGGAGATGATTCTGGAGTCTGAATGAGCCAACATAATGAATCCAACCAGGTCAAAACACAGAAGTCCAAAATCAAACACAGTAATGGTTTTCCAGGTTCATTGTGCAGTGCTCATATTTCTGCAGATAATCATGCTTAATTTAGATGTAAACAATATGCAGTTTTCATTTCTTAGTGTGATGGGTAAATCATTATTTAATCAGTGGATTAGTCATAAAATTCTATATCGATTTATAATAATTGTATATATAGTTTTATATTTACAATTCATAGTTTTTATTAATTAAAAAAATTACTTTCTAGTTCCAGGAAGAAAGCTATAAGCAGGCCCTTTTTTCTTTTATAAAAGTGAGTTGATTATTGAGAACACAGACCAGATTCATATCCCAGAGAAAGAAATATTTGGCTCTTCATTAAATGATCCAAATAGTTATAAGTCAGAAGTGCCCTTGCATTTTAGGGCTGGACTACCCAGACACAAGAAATCAAAATCCTTTAAAAATATGTGGCTACATCCTAGTCTAATCATACCTCTCAAAGTGTTTGTGCTTACACACAAACTACTGTGTCAATCAAGTTGCAACTGCCTGTTTTTATATTAATTCCAAAACTTTCAAACACTTCAGGAAAGAGTCTGATAACTAAACAAAGTCAGGATTTGTTAACAAGAGATATTTTCTTAAAAGAGAGGATTTTAAATTTGGGACTTCTGTAAAGGTGTTTGTTCCTGAGAGCCACCTACAAAGGCAAGCGCAAAGTTAAATATTCCTCTAGGTGTTACTATAAATAGAAATAGACACCAACTAGTTCCTACATAACTACTGCAGTTCAGAAAATATGCCGAAGGTGAAAAACACCTGATACAGTGTGTGTGTGCTGGGTTAGAAGAAGAAGCTGTAAATTTGACTTCCAACTATTCCATAAACTGTTTTGATTTTATCAATTTCCTCCTCTGAAAAGTGCAAAGGGATTGAACTTGAAAAATCTAAAAGCCATTTTCTGCTCTAAAAGCCATGCTTAGGCCATTGGTACATTTTATAGCAACACTTTTATTGGAAATACTCAAACATAATCTTTTAAAATGTGTAAATATTTATGAGATTTCAAAAGGTACCCCACAGATGCATTTTAAAACCTCCTTATTTGATAAATTTCATAACTCACATTTGCAATAATAACCTGGTAATAAGAAATCTTTTTATTTGTTTGTGCTTTTTCCCAAGTAAATTTTCTTTCCCTGCTGTTAGCCCACCCTTTCAAATAAAGTGCCCTAAATGGAGTTTTCCTTACAGCCAGCTCAGTAACACTTTTGGCATCAACTTCCTTGGAGCATATCTGATATAGAATTGTTGGGAATGTTTTTTCCTGTCTCCAATGCCATTTTAGCATAATTCAGCAGAGAGAAGTCGGCAACGCTCATGTGAGTGGGCGCTTTCTTGGCATCTTCATTATGGGGCGTAAAAATGTGGGTGCATTTTTCTAAGCCATCTTGGAAATAAAAATGCCCAAATGGCTTATTATTAATGTATTAGAAACCAGTCTATTTCATCCCCTAAAAAAGAAAACAGTTTTTTTATGTACTTGTCATCTGCTTCAAAACCCAAAGCCAAACAGTAGAACTTGATAAAAAGCCAGAGAAAATTAGTCCCACTAATTGAATGGCCTTTGGCGTATAGAAGAAGAGCAATGCTTGATGCTCAATTTATAAATGAGAAAATTATATGTACCACCTGTGAAGAAACACAGCCTCATTTTTTTCCTATTCTAAGGTTGTTTATATTGTATATTCCTAAAGAAAATAAACCACTAATTGATACACAATAAAACTGCACTGATCCCAAATAAATCACATGTCTAGGAAGTAAGATGTAAAAATACTTAAATGCTCATGGTTAACACTCAAAATAAACACTGAAGATTAAGTAATTTTGAGAAAATGAGTCCCATTTAACTTAAGAACATTGAATTCATGAGATCTGAATAAAAAATAATTCAACACTGATAATACGCATTTATACTTAGGGTAATTAAACATTTCACTTTATACCTCCTGCTAAGAGCATCCCTCTTCACCCCAAATGTGCCCATGTTTGAATGCTAAAGTATATGGTCACCCTGTTTATAGTTGTCAATGTCTTATATGACAGCAGCTAGCAAAGGTTACAAAACATTCTAAGGCATTGATTAGAACATCTGTCTTTTCATGAGCTGCTTCTTTAATTTTTTTCCATTGTCAACCTTTAAATTGAGTAGCACAAAATGTCAAAATTATTCTTCAAGGTATCTGTGTGAAGAACCAACTCATGAATATGGAAATGGAAGATTATAATTGCGGGCCCGACCAGTGATCTTCCTGGCCCAGAACTGTTCCCGTCGTAGATGCTAAGGCAGATGTTACAAACTGGCAGCCTGTGGGCTGAAAAAAATCCCATAGGTACTTCTTGAGAGGCTTTAAACATTTTTAAATTGGCAGATTTCATATAAAAATATAGAGTTTTAGCTTTTCTTGAAAAAGTCAAATATCTGGCAACATTGACCCAGATTCCCACAGGGCAGTAACAGGCAGGACCTAGATAACAGCTGCCTCATCTATACAAGATGCTCTCTGGCATATGACAGTCCCCCATCATTATCCTACACCCAAGCCTCTCTGCTCATTGAATTACCTGCCTGACTCCCATAGGCATTTAAATTTGCTACTTCAGGGTTAGAAAATGAGAGTAGCGGCTACCACAAGGTTTGCTTTATATCTTAAATATACTCTCCTATCTCTTTCTATTTTACCTGGCCTTAGGCTAACCCTCTGATATTTCTTATACCTCTTAGTGGCATTCCTCTTTTTATTTTTTTTCCTTTTAAAGTGTAATGTTCTCTAGGGCTTCATCTTAAACCATTTTATTCTCCTCTCTTTCCTTGGACAAATTTAATCATACCTGTGGTCTTAATTATTCGTGGATGTCTCTTAAATATATATCTCAATCCCCGACCTCTATTCTGACCTCAAAGCCAATAGATCCAACTATATAGAGGACATTTCCATTGGAATATTTCCTATAAATACTACCAGCTAAATTGGACCAAAACTTTATTATCTTTTTTTAAACAAAATCTTCCTCTTTTGGTATATTCCATCTTACTGAGTGCATTATTATCTGAAATAGATCCCTGACTCCTGTCTCTAACTTTACATATTTTGTTGATTCTATATCCACATCTTCATTTTGCCACCCCTACTCATACCTATTTTCATTTTCTTAGTCAATATCCTTATTACTTCTCAACTGGATTACTGAATTATTTTATTTAGTTATTTACCCTCCATGTATTTCTCTAGTATCTAAACCAGTCTTGATATGCCACCAAAATAAATTTTTCATACCACAAATATAATTGTTTGACTCCAAATATGGTGGTCAGCCTCATGGCCTATCACTCTTCTATCTTGCCATATAAAATAATTCCCTGGAGAATTATGTTATTCTATTATTTTGACTATGATATGGACTCTTCTCTTCCCCATGAAGGCAACAGCCGTTTTTTTCTTGGACTGTCAGGTCAAGGCAATAGCTATTTTTTTCTTGGACTCTCAGGTCAAGTGTTACCTACAGGAAGCCCTACCTCCCTGACCATTTTGATGTTAGAGATGTTCGCACACTATATTCCTCCACCAATAGTGCCTATCACCCTATACTCTGGTGTTTGCTTGTTTTCTTACTTTCAATGTAGACTCTTAAAGCCTAGAAGACAAGAGTAGTATCTTATCTATATTTGCATTTAAAACATTTACCACAGTGTTTGGCACATAGTAAGAACTCAATACAGATAAGTATTTTTATCTGATTGAATGAATAGGTCTTTAAGGTTAAATGTTTAGTTCAATGGTCTTTGAAAATTTTTGAAACTTAATTGATTACACTATTAAGCCAACTTGCTCATTCTCTAAAAATGCCAGTTTTTGAGTTCCCTTTTTAAATATTATTTTTCTAAAATTACTTATTTTACATTTTAGTATGGGTAATACTAAATGTATTTCTCATGTAATAAGATCTGATGATATTTATGGACTCTCTATACATACCAAAAGTGATTTTATAGAGATAAATCTCATATCCATTATCAGTTATCCTTACTGACTACATAGCCCTAACTAGTTTTATCTTCACAGTGCAAAGATCATGTTAGGCTCTCAGCTCTGCCTTGAATGATTATGACATCTGTAACCTTGTATTATAAACTTTGTGTCAACCATGATCACTTTTACCCAATATTATAGTGGAGGCTCTAACTAAAAAAGAAGGAAAAAAGAAGACAAAAATTGCCATTTAATGATCACTTGTATAGAAAACCCAAACTAAATTATGAGAAATAAGATAATTTCTGGATATACTATCAATATGTAAATTATCAACAGTGTTCTTGTCACTAGCAGTAAATATTTGCACAATCTAATTTTTGAAGGGAGGCTATTTAACTTGCCCAAGGTCATACAGCTGTAGTAAGCAGGAGCTGGGATAGAAGACGGAATTCTGTGGACTGGCAAGTCAGGCTTTTAGTGATGGGTATGTTGTCTCTCTAGCACAGTGAGCAAATCTGATGCACTATTGTTTTAATCCAAAAGGTGTAATTATATAAAAGTTATCTAGGCTGCAGCAAAATGCCTTTTGTTTTCATTGTTTATAAAATAAAAACCTAAAATATGGGGATGAGGGTAAATGATCATCTAAGCAAATTTTTGGGAGAAACCATTTGAAAAATGTAGTTCAGTTTTAATTCAGCAAAAAGACTCAGTAATGTTTACTTTTCTCTAAGTTAAAGTTATTATTATAGTTTTTCTGAGACCCTGTAACACTTAGAGTCAAGCATTTGTTGTCATGAGTCCCTTGTTATATTTAGATAAATATTTTATCCTAAGCAGGCATCTTTCTTATAATAAAATTGGTAATTAGCCAAACACTGGATTTTACTGTAGCCTTGGTGAGCCAAGTATGTGGATGAGTGAAAACTGAAAAATTATTAAAAATTTCATCCAAATTTTCTGTCTTTTAAATTTATCCTGCTTAGGAGATTTGTAAAAATAATTGTCTCTTGATCTAAACCTTGTGCTTTAGGATGAATAATGCTCCTCAAATATGTCTATGTCCTAATTCCTGGAAACTATGAATATGTTACCTTAAATGGCAAAAGAAACTTTGAAGATGTGATTAAGTTAAGGATCTTGATATGGGAAAACTATTATTGACTATCTATTGTAAGCATCCTTATACGAAGAAGACAGGATGATCAGAAAGATAGAAGGCAATGTAACAATAAATGCAAAGATTGAAATGATTTGCTTTGAAGATGGAGGAATGGTGCACAAGCCAAGGAATGCAGGTGTGCTCTAGAAGCTGGAAAAGGCAAGGAAATAGATTGGCCCCTAAAGCCTCCAGAAGGATCCAGCCATCCAGACATCTTGTTTTTACCTCAGTAAAATGGATTTCAGATTTCTGGTCTCCAGAATTACGAGGTAAATAAGTTTATGTTGTTTTAAGTCATTACGTTTGAAATAACTTTGTACAGCAATAATTGGAGGAAAATACAGATTTGGGTACTTGGAAATGGAATGCTGCTGTAATAAAACCTAAAATGTAAAAGTGTTTTTGGAATTGAATAATGGGTAGAGGTTGGAAAATTTTCAGAGAGCATGATAGGAAAAACTTACATTGATTTGAAGAGACTGTTAGTACAAATACGGATGTTAAAGACTCTTCCAGTGAAGACGCAAGAGGAATTGACGTGGGACCTGTACCATCTGTGGAATACCTATACCATCTGTGGAATATCTAAATTGTGATAAACAGTCTGTTGGGTAGAAAAATGGACATTAAAGGTACTTCTAGTATGGTAGAAAATGAGGAATGTTTTATTGGAAACTGTAGGAAAGAGGATCCCTGTTACATAGGATCAGAAAGCCTCACTGGGCTACATCCTGCAGTTACGTGAAAAGCATAACTTATAAACAATGACTTGGATATTTAGCTAAGGAGATTTAAAAATACATATACAGTGGAAAAGTGTGAAAGGTGTGACCTGTATTCTTCTTGCTGCATATAGCAAAATGTGACAGAAAAGGGCAAATTAAGGGAAGAACTGTCAAGCTAAAAAGAACCAGAAGTCGATAATTTAGGAAATTTTCAGCCATTCCACACTGCAAAAGACGCTAAAATTAGGGAGATTCTCTTCTGGAGACAAAGCCAAGGTTTGGTTGGAAAACCTTTTTGAAGTGCCTCTGAAGAAAAAAATCATTATAAAATTTAATCACACAGAGGGATATCTGAAGAGATTAGGTATGTGATTTAGGGAGCTCTTTAACTTTCTCAGCAGATGTCAAAAATAGTGATGGGATTACCTTAGAAAGACTTGTGTAAGAACTTCCCACCTAGGCTGGGCGCGGTGGCTCAAGCCTGTAATCCCAGCACTTTGGGAGGCCGAGGCAGGTGGGTCACAAGGTCAGGAGATTGAGACCATCCTGGCCAACACGGTGAAACTCCGTCTCTACTAAAAATACAAAAAATTAGCCGGGCGTGGTGGCGGGTGCCTGTAGTCCCAGCTACTCGGGATGTTGAGGCAGGAGAATGGCGTGAGCCCAGGAGGCAGAGCTTGCAGTGAGCCGAGATGGCGCCACTACTGTACTCCAGCCTGGGTGACAGAGCGAGACTTCGTGAAAAAAAAAAGAAAAAAAAAAAAAGAACTTCATGCCTAATGGAGTAAAAGGCTGTGGCATACATAGGAGACCTATAAGGTTTTAGAAAATTTTATGTATCAGCAGAAACACTGTCAGCTTAGACTGAAATAAACAAGAGACGATGTAGTGAAAGAAGGCTGCCAGACTCAAAATTCTACATGGATGAAACAGACTAATGAAACTACTCAGCTGCAAACATATGCTACTTTTATGAAAAAAAATCATAATTCAGAGGACCATGCCTTGAGTCCAGAGGGCAGAACTTCAGTCCCAGAGGTTAGAGTCACGTTCCCACAGGGCAGAGCCAGAACCACAGATAATTAATCCTAAACTTTGAAACCTAATTAAATTTTCCTGATTAAATTTTAAAATTGCCTTGGGCTAGTGACTTGTCTTCCATTTCCTTTCCTTCTTTTTTGTGAATGTAAATGTCTATAACTGTTACCCTATTCTTATCCCACCATTGTATTTTGGGAGCAGATTATTTGTTTTCTAGTTTCACAGATTCCACAGAGGAAGAATAATTTTGCTCCAGGATGGATCAAACCAAACTCTTAGCTTATCTTATTTAGATAATGAGATTTGGGTGTCTTAAGATGATAATATTGAGATGAAATTTTGGCCTTTGAGTTGAAGCTGCAGTGAGTTGAGAATTTTGAGGATGTTAAGATCAGTTTAATGTATTTTGCATGAGGGAGTGACATGGCCAGAGAGGGCCCTGTTACAGGCTGAATAATGACATCTCCCCTTTCCCGAAAGATGTCCGTGTCATAGTCTCCAAAACCTGTGAATGAATATGTTACTTTACACGGCAAAAGAGACTTTACAGAGATGATTTAATAATTTTGAGATATAGAGATTATCCTAGATTACCCAAATGAACCAAATGTAGTTACAAAGGTCCTTATAAGAGGGTGGCAGCATGGTTAGAAAAAGTGAATGCAATGTAAGGACTGAAGCAGATATTGGAATGATGTGCTTTGAAGGTGGAGGATGGGGGCATAAGGCAAAGAAGGCAGGCAGCCTCTAGAAGCTGGAAATAGCAAAGAAATAAGATTCTCCCTGGAGCCTCCAGGAGGAATCAACTTTGAAGAAACCCTGACTTTAGCCCAGTGAAACTGATTTCACTGAATCTGTTTTCAATGAAACTGTCTTCTTGCCTCTAGAACTGTTAAAGAATAAATCTGTGTTGTTTTAAGACACTAAATTTGTGTTTATTTTTAACAGCAGCAATAACGTTTTAATATATCTCGGGTTTTTTTTTCAAGTGTGTTGAAACAAAACTCGGCCAGCTTAAACCTTAGTATGTAAAAGTTACAAATACACATCTTAGACTGATGTTGCAATCTTATTTTTAATTGAAATTTGAATATTAACTAAAATGGCATTGAATGAATAATAATATAGGTGGCACATGACATTAATTTTGTATGTAAATTGGGTCTCGAAGTACTATCATATAGAACATATACTTTGGAGTCAATGTCACGGTGCTTCTTTGCTGGTTCTCCTGCTTAATAGATGAATAACTATACAAGCTATTTTCCTTCTGTAAGCATCAGTTTTTCCATACGTAAAATTATACCACTTACTGTCTCATAGTAATGTGAAAATTAAATTATAATGATGACAACTTAAACATACATACTTTTATGTGCCAAAGAATGTTCTAAGCACTTTCTATCTATGGATTCACTTATTATTTACAAAATCTCCATCAAGTGGGTACTATTATTCCCATTTTACAGAAGAGGAAACTGAGGTTTTTAGTAAGTCTGAGGTCACACAATTAGTAAGTGGCAGAAGAAGTCTGGTGCCATAGTTTGTGCTATTTAACAACTGTGTTAAATATATTTAGACCAGTGGCCACAGAAAGGGCATAACTAGTTATATTATTAAGACTTCCTGTATCTGACTTAAGAGTCCTTTATCTTTTTTACCTCAACCCACTTCAAGTAAAATACTTCCAGAACTACACAGTTCTTGGAATAATCCCTGCTAGGTTGATCTCTAAGGTTCTTACGGCTCAAAGAGTCTATGAAATGGTCATTGTTAGTCTCCAAAGGTATTAGGTGATCAAAGTTCTTGCTCTGAGAAATAAAATGCAACTTCAATGTGTACAGATGTTTTGGCTAACTGACCAATTCTATCCCATTTAGACCACTGAATCTATAATAAACTACCCAGGAAAAATAATTTTAAAAAAGAACCTCATTAAAAGTATCTTATTTCAAAAGGCAAAAAGGATTATTATTGGAAAATGAGTTTATCACTTATTAATCCCAACATATCCTTTCTGGGAATATGTTTGTCATATTACAAGTCAAAGGTTTTGCTTCAGTACAAGATGTAGAAGGAAAAATACAACCACTTCTAAAAGGTCTTAATGGGATTTTTAGCATTTTATTTTTATCTTCAAACAAACTGAGAAAATATTTCTAAAGAAAGCCATAAAATTCCTTCCATTCTACCCAAAGCATTTGCATTTTCAGAGTAGCACTTTATTTAGCCCACTGTGCTCGTATTAATTTTCAGTGCTGTGAGCAAGCATGTCAGTGTATATTAACACCTGATCTATAAAGGGAACACTGAGGCCTTACTCAAAGTATTAGTCACTGTACCTTGGGAATGCTGTTGTGCTTCTGCTGTTGGCTTCAATGCGGAAGGATGCACATGCTTTGATTCTTAATGAAACATGCATATGAGCAAATTTATCACCAAGAACCCTGAAACTTGAACAACTTTTCCCAAGTTCAGATGGACTTTCTATGTATCCTCAGTTATATTTTTAACTTCCAGTGGTCTCTGACATATGAAATACCACTTCCCAAATAGAATGCTGGAAAGAGAATTGTAATGTGCAGGAGAGAGGCCTCTCTTAAAGATTTTTCTGTGTTTAGCACCTTTGTCAAGACCTTTACACCTGATATTCCCCCAGGTTTAGTTTTCATAAGTCAGAATTGAAAACCTCAGTTTGGCTTATTTGTCTCTCTCATCTTCTAGGCTATAAGTTAATACGGTACCTTATTCATTGTTGTGTCCCAAGCAGTAAGTGTAAAGATAGTAGCACCATAATGGGCATTCAATCAACATCATCTGAATAAAAAGAAGAAAGAAGCTCTGATACTTACCAGTTGTGTGACCTTAAACTAGTTACGGAAAACCTGTTTTCTCTTCTTTAAAATTGGAATAATAATAGTACCCACTTGATAGAATTTTTGTAAATATTGAGTTCATAAGTAGATAGTACTTAAAGAAAAGTTTCTCCCCTGGGTATTTATCTATCAGATATTGGTTAATATTTTTCATGCCTAAATAAATGTTCAGATCTCGCCAACAACTTTTTGGTTTACTCAGTTTCTCTTTTTTTTTTCCTTTTACTATTAAATTCCTGAAAACAGTAGTGTTTATTCTTTGTTTCCTTTTCTTCAAAATGTGTTTACTTCTTAGCTCTGGCAGACTGTTTTATTCTCCCAATTTTCTACATAAATTTTTCTATCGAAGACCATCAGTGACCTTCCTGTTACCATTTGTTCATTTTCACTACTTAATCACTTCATAGCATGTTGCATTGTTACTCATATATTTTTCTTGGAATTGTTTCTGTTTGGTTCTTTATTCTTGCTTTCTCAGGTCTCCCCTCAACTTTCATGATAGCAATCTTTCCTTGAAAGTTATTCAGGCCCTTCCCTCAGCCTTTTGTTCTTCTTTCTCTGTAATCTCTCCCTTGGCAGTCTCATTTATAGTTGTCTATCTCCTGACTTTATCTACCTAGTTTCAATACCATATTGTGGCAGAGACGATATACTGGCTACTTATTTTTTGCCTTTCCCTGTTATAGAGGCTAAAACATGCATGTGTGTAGTCCAGTGCTGGTTATATCAGCAGAAGTCATTAGGTAGGACTTCCTGGAAATAATTTCTAAAGTGGCAATCTTTGATAAAACACTTTTTTGGCTCTTCCTTTTATCCTTTTCCCTTTTTATTTCCCAAATACAGAGGTGTAGCCTGAAGACACAGTGGTCACCTGGCAGCCATGGAGTCAAATGCTTTTTCTAAAAAATGGTGAAGCAAGAAGACTTATAGTACCTGTATGCCTAATAGTGTCAGAGAGCAACTATACAGTCCAAAATTTTTATTCTCAGGATTTTGCTAGGGTAATATTTTATTTTATCTAAGGTTGTGTAAGTAATATGGTTTGGATCTGTGTCCCCACTTAAATTTCATGTTTAATTGTAATCCCCAGTGTTGGTGGTAGTGCCTGGTAGGAGGTGATCAGATCGTGGGGATAGATTTCCCCGTTTGGTGCTATTCTCATGAGAGAATTCTCATGAGATCTGGTTGTTTAAAAGTGTGTGGCACCTCCCCAATTTCTCTTCCTCCTACTCTGGCCCTGCAAAGTTCCACTTCCCCTTTACCTTCTGTCATGATTGTAAGTTTCCTGAGGCTTCCCCAAAAGCCAGTATGCTTCCTGCACAGCCTACAGAACCATGAGCCAATTAAACCTCTTTTCTTATAAATTACCCATTCTTGGGTATTTTTTTATAGCAGAATATAGTAAGTCAATAGAAGCTAACTTAACATCCACGTGGACATCTAGATGTTTTGCTTTCACCTAAAGCATATTTTCTAAATAGAACTAATTATCATTAATGCCAAAGCCAACTTCCATTTCAAACATCCCTCTTTCTGGCCATGCTACTACCATTTTCACAATCATCCGAATCTTAAATTCCTTTCCTTTTTCCTCTATGTTGTCAATCTCTGAGCCTTATACATATTTCTTCACAAAAACTGTCCCACAAAGCTGTTGTTCCTGTTCATAACCAGTGCCACCACTCAATCCAGTGCGCTTAACATCTCCAATGCACTTAACTACATTGTTGCCTCTTGTCTCTTATCAAATCTACATTTAAGACTCCTCTTTTGAGTTCCTTTTTTTTATATACTCAGTTCCTAATACTGAGCTGTTACATCAGAATTATCCAAATATCAATGCCATTATGATAATTATAATGATGAACGTATACCAAGAGTTATTTGATTCTTTGAGGTCATCCCATCAAATATCACTTTCAAGTAGTCTGCTCAAAGATCCCTGACCTTGCTAATGTTTGTGTTTTATCATCTTGGACAGTGCAGGATTTCAGATTCACACTTTATAATCCCTAGCTATACTTGACTTTTTATTGTTCTTTGAATTTCAGAAGTCTGACTTTTTGGACCTTTAAATCAACAAGTCATCTCTTCAGGATAAGATAGATACCATATAAAAGTGGGATACTGGAACATTTTAACTACTTGTGGCTTCAATCCTAAATTTATTATCTGACTTGCCTCAAATTATACTTTCTGTTCTAGCTGATACCTCTGCAAATAAAAATGCCAAAAGCTGTCTATATTCAATTGCATTCCAGTCATATAATCTGATCATTTTTCAATAGTTTTGACCTTTTGCTTTCTGCCTCAACTATAACTTAGAACCTCTGTTTAGTTGTGTTTCTTATATAAGCACTCAAGTAAATACATTCCCTCTTTTTGGTCAATCACCCAGGAGTTTTGTTATCCCTAGATCCATGCGGATATTGATGGACCTATAGACATAAATTGAAAACTAGTGTTTTCCAGGGTTTCTGACTGCCCCATTTACCCTCCAAGCTATATCACGATAATATCAATTAATAACAAAACAAAAAAACAGTATGGATGACTCAGAATAAACTCATTGCCACCATTAGAGAATAAAAAAATCTAAAAACAAATCTTAGAACATGGAAAATGTTAGAGAAAAAGTTGTTTCCATGCAGTCTTTTAATAGAGTCAAAATCAGAAATTGTGTTCAGTGAGAATTACTCACCTTTAAAGTCAGATTCTGTAATTCAAAATCTTTCCATTCTTAAGGCCAAAGCAAAGACTTGAACGCAAAACTGGATGAATGCTGAGGCACTGACAACAGGTGTAAAAAAACTTTTCACATAAAGAATAGAAAGCTTGATGATCTTTCTTTTCTGGACTTGACACTGAAGCTAGGAATTCTGTATGGCAGATAAGACCAGTATCAGTATTCTGGTCTCCATATAGACCAGATGAAAAATTGTATGTTGTAACCACAGATGACAGTCATACCCAAGCCTATCTTCTGGAATGTTTGTCTTCGACTAAAATGATTGCTGCCTCTTATTTGTATGTCTCTGAGTTTATAAATTTTATCAACTAACATTGACTGAATACATGTCATTAGTCAAGTACTATACTAGGTGTTGGGGATACAGAGATGAGGAATAAAACATAGTCTCTTCACCACAGTGGGCAAGACGATTTACCTCATGCAACATATTGCTAAAATGGCAAAGGGTATGACTGAATAACAGTTGGTGCAATAGTTTAAGTTCTGGACTTAGTGGAAGACTACGCATAAGCCAGTACTGTTAAGGAAACCTCATGTTTCCCTTTATGATGCTGATTAGGCCAAAATAAATTTAAATTTACTATCTGTTTTGCAGAAACATCAAGTTTACAAACCAATAAAAATAAAGAGTTTAAAGAGTTGTGAAGGGAACATATTTTGACAGGAGAAAAGTACTTGTTCCCTATGCAGATTTATCTGCCTGTCTGTCTGCTTACCTACCTATATATCTATTTATCAATCTCTGCTTTAATATTTTGGAGGCAGGGTCTTTTTAAATTCAGTTCTGAACATAAGGAGTTTCAAAACCTTTCACTACTTCCTACTATTTTTAAAAAATTTTTCTTTATCGAATAGATTTGTTGCCTGCACTAGAGTATTAGCTCCTGTAGACAAGTTCAATCAAAAAACATATGAAGAGAAAGGGCCTTCACTATACCATGAACTGACTCTCTCTCTCTCTCTGTGTGTATATATATATATATATATATATAGTTCTATATATAATTTATATTATATATTTATATATAATATATATATATTTATATATATAATTTATATATATAATTTATATATATTTATATATAATTTATATATATTTATATATATATAATTTATATTATATATATAAATATATATATATATTTGTAACCCATTAATGCAGTGGCTTATGTTTTAGAGGGAAAATTGCATGATTGATATGTTACATTCCTTGCATAGTTGTCTATGCATGAATTTATCTGTCTCCCAGTGTTAAATATATTGAATTAAAACAAGAATATTGTGTATTAATTAACATTTGCTAGTAAAACATCACTTTTTATAATGGTGATGGCAATTATGGTGATTTGTAAAACAAAAGCCATGTGCATTTTGATTATATAAGCACTTTATCTCTTCATCTCTTCCATAAAGCTTACCAGATCACTTTAGTTCTAAGTATTATTTCTTTTCTAGGAATTCATAGCACAGATTGTTTATAAATCTTCATTGACAACCACAGTTAGTAGCACCTCTTTTCAGTTTACTTCAAACCAATAAATATATATTCATTGTTGATTTTAAGAAAGGGAGTTTATGAGGTATTGTGGGAATAAGGGAATGACTAAGGTATGGTTGACCCAATCAAGGAGTAAGGTGACATATTCATAAAAAGTTAACATAAGATAGATTATGAAATATGCTATAAAGTATACAAAAGGAGCACTCAACTGTATAGGGTAAAAGAAAAACACTGAGAAATCAAAATATGTACTTACAAAATACATTCATTGTTGATACAAGATTCCATTTCCTGAGAGCTTACTTCAAGGATATTTAGTCTTATTTTAAACACAGCCGCAAGGGAATTTGTTACCACTAGACACGACTTACAAGAGATCCTTAAGAGAGTTCTAAACATGGAAATGAAAGACTGATACCTGCTACCACACACACTTATGTACATAGCCAACAGACCCTATAAAACAAAACTATGAAACAATGAGCTAACAACTTCCCAATATAATCAAAACCTCATATATCAATATTAACCTGGAATATAAATGGTCTTAATACCCCACTTAAAAGGCACAGAGTAGCAAGGCAGATTAAAAAACAAGACGCATCTTTCTTCTGTTTTCAAAAGACCCATCTCAAAACAAAAGACACCCATAGGCTCAACAGAAAGGGTTGGAAAAAGAGCTATTAAGCAAATGGAAAACAAGAGCAGAGGTCACTATTCTTATATCAGAAAAAACAAACAGACTTTAAACCAAAAACAGTAAAAAAAGGTTAAAGAAGGGCACTACATTACGATAAAGGTTTCAATTCAACAAGAATACTTAACAGTCCTAAATACATATGCACCCAATATTAGAGCATCCAGATTCATAAAATAATTTCTTCTTGACCTGTTAAAAGACTTAGACAGCCACACAATAATATTAGGGAATGTCAACACTCCAATGATAGGAAGACAAAGATCATTAAGTCAGAAAACTAACAAATTCTGGGGGCGGGGCTGAGATGGCTGACTAGAAGCGGCAGCCATCAGTGGCTTGAATGAAAAAGAACCATAATTAGCATGTGAATACTTCACCAGCAACCAAGGTATCCAGATTCTCTCATCAGAGCTGACTAGGCCGCTGATGTGATCCATGGAGAGGAAGGAAGAGCAGTGTGGTGCCATGGCTCACCTGAGAGCCACATGGGGCAGGGGAGCCCCAACCCCCTAGTCAAGGGAGGCAGTAAGTGAGCATGCTAGTCCGCCGGGAAACCATGTTTTTTCCACGGAACTGTGCAACCCACAGATCGGAAAGTCCCACTCATGAACCCATGCCACCAGGACCTAGGGTCCCAACCTCCGAGCTGAGCAGATGCTCAACAGCCTCTCAGGTGGAATCTGCCTAAGCCTGTGGAGCTCCTGGGGGGAAATGTGACCAGCACAGCTGCCTGCTGCCTAAGCCATTTGATTTCCTTGTGGGAGGGCAGCAGCCAGCACTGGGACTCATAGCTGCCTAACATGCTAAGCTTCCTAGTTGGGGGAAAGGCAGCATCCATCTCTACAGCTCCAGGCCACATTTTTGACCCTGCTGACGCCAGGGAGGTGTGACAGCTTGGTCCCCAAGAGATGTCCCCCACAACACAACACACCAGCTGTGGCAAACTGTGGCCAAAGCACTTCTTCAGGCCTGACCCTGACACATCCTTCCTCACTGGGCAGGGCTTCCCTGCAGGAACTCCAACAACTCCAGCCAGAGACTTAGGGACAGAAGCCAGATCTCCCTGGGCCTGAGCACGTAGCAGGATGGGTGGACACAGTCTGTGAGGACCAGCAGACTTAGCCTTTCCTCCTGGTAGTTCTGAGGAATCCATGCAGCCCAGATGAGTGGGTTTCCTGTAGCAAAGCATACTCTCTCCACTAAGGGACAGTCAAAGTGCTTTGTTAAATGAGCCCTTGCTCCCCGTGCCACCCAACCGGGTAAGACCCTCCAATGGGGGTTGTCAGACACCCTCCACAGGAGCGATCCTACTGGCATCAGGTTGGTCCCTTTCAAGGTCACAGATCCCAGAAGAAGGAGCAGGCACTCATCTTTACTGTTCTCCAGCCTCCTTGAGTGACATCTCCAGGTGTGGGAGGAAACCAGATGAATAGGTCCTGAAGGGAACCCCCAGCAAACTGCAGCAGCCCTAAAGAAAAGGGACCTGACCATTGAAAGAAAAACAGAAAGCAACAACAACAGCATCAACAACAACAAAAAGTCCCCACAGAAACCCCATCGAAGGGTCAGCAGCCTCAAAGATCAAAATTAGACAAACTCACCAAGATGAGAAAGAATCAACAAAAAAACACTGAAAACCCAAAAGGCCAGAGTGTCTCTTCTCCTTCAAATGATTGCAGCGCCTCTCCAGCAAGGGTGCAGAACTGGACAGAGGATGTTATGAATGAATTGACAGAAGTAGGCTTCAGAAGATGGGTAATAATAAACTGTACTGTTTTAACCCAATGCAAAGAAGCTAAGAACCTTGATAAAAGGTTAGAGGAGCTGCTAACTAGAATAATCAGTTTAGAGAAGAACATAAATGACCTCATGGGGCTGAAAAACACAGCACAAGAACTTCATGAAACATACACAAGTATCAATGGCTGAATTCACCAAGCAGAAGAAAACATATTAGAGTTTGAAAACCACATTGCCAACATAAAGCATGCAAACAAGTTTAGAGATAAAAGAATGAAAAGGAATGAAAAAAGCCTCCAAGAAATATGGGACTTCGTAAAAAGACCGAACCTATGATTGATTGGAGTACCTGAAGGAGATGGGGAGAATGGAAACAAGCTGGAAAAGCCATTTCAGGATATTATTCAGGGGAATTTCCCCAATCTAGCGAGACAGGCCAACATGCAAATTCAAGAAATACAGAGAACACCACTAAGATATTCCACGACAAAATCAACCCCAAGACACATAATCGTCAGATCCTCCAAGGTCGAAATGAAGAAAAAATGTGTTAAGGGCAGCCAGAGAGAAAGGCTAGGTCACCTACAAAGAGAAGCCCATCAGACTAACCATGGACCTCTCAGCAGAAACTCTACAAGCCAGAAGATATTGGAGGCCAATATTTAACATTCTTAAAGAAAAGAATTTTCAACACAGAATTTCATATCCAGCCAAACTAAGCTTCATATGCAAAGGAGAAATAAAATCCTTTCCAGACAAACAAATGGTGAGGAATTTCATTAACACCAAGCCTGCCTTGCAAGAGCTCCTGAAATAAGCACTAAATATGGAAAGGAAAAACCAGTACCAGCCACTGCAAAAACACACCAAAATATAAAGACCAATGACACTATGAAGAAACAGCATCAACTAGTGTTCTAAATAACCAGATAGCATCATAATGACAGGATCAAATTTACACATAACAATACTAACCCTAAGTGTAAATGGACTAAATGCCCCAATTAAAAGACACCAACTGGCAAATGGGATAAAGAGTCATGACTCATTGGTGTGCTGTATTCAGGAGACCCATCTCACGTGCAAAGATGCACATAGGCTCAAAATAAAGGTATGGAGGAAAATTTACCAAGCAAATGGAAAGCAAAAAAAGCAAGGGTAGCAATCCTAGTCTCTGAGAAAACAGACTTTAAATCAACAAAGGTCAAAAAAGAAAAAGAAGGGCATTACACAATGGTAAAGGGAACAATTCAACAAGAAGAGCTAACAATTCTAAATATATATGCACCCAATACAGGAGCACCCAGCTCATAAAACAAGTTCTTAGAGACCTACAAAGAGACTTAGACTCCCACACAGTAATAGTGGGAGACTTTAACATCTCACTGTCAATATTAGATAGATCAATGAGACAGAAAATTAACAAAGACATTCATGACTTGAACTCAGCTCTGGATTAAGTGGACCTAATAGACATCTACAGATATCTACAGAGAGTTCTGTAGATATCAACAGAATCAACAGAATATACAACATCAACCGCATTATTAGAAGTAAAACACTCCTCAGCAAATGCAAAAAGAACTGAAATAATAAACAATCTCTCAGACCACAGTGCAATTAAATTAGAACTCAGGATTAAGAAACTCACTCAAAACCACACAATTACATGGAAATTGAACAACCTGCTCCTGAATGACTCCTTGTAAATAATGAAATTAAGGCAGAAATAAAGAAGTTCTTTGAAACCAATGAAAATAAAGAGACAACATACCAAAATCTTTTGGACACAGCTAAAGCAGTGTTAAGAGGGAAATTTATAGCACTAAATGCCCACATCAGAAAGCTAGAAAGATCTCAAATCAACACCCTAACATAATAATTAAAAGAGGTAGAGAAGCAAGAGTAAACTAATCCAAAAGCTAGCAGAGAACAAGAAATAACTAAGATCAGAGAAGAATTGAAAGAGAGACACAAAAAGCAGCCCCCCCAAAAAAATCAATGAATCCAGGAGCTATGTTTTTTTGAAAAAAATTAACAAAATAGATAGACTGCTAGCTAGACTAATACAGAAGAGAGAAGAATCAAAAAGACACAATAAAAAATTATAAAGGGGATATCACCACTGACCCCACAGAAACACAAATTACCATCAGAGAATACTATAAACACCTCTATGCAAATAAGCTAGAAAATCTAGAAGAAATGGGTAAATTCCTGGACATATACAGCCTCCCAAGACTAAAATAGGAAGAAGCTGAATCCCTGAATAGGCCAATAACAAGTTCTGAAATGGAGGCAGTAATTAATAGCCTAACAACCAAAAAAAGCCCAGGACCACATGGATTCACAGCCAAATTCTACCAGAGGTACAAAGAGGAGCTGGTAACATTCCTTCTGAAACTATTCCAAATGATAAAAAAGGAGGGACTCCGCCCTAACTCATTTTATGCAGCCAGCATCATTCTGATACCAAAACCAGGCAGAGGCACAACAAAACACAAAAACTTCAGGCCAATATCCCTGATGAACATCAATGCAAAAATCCTCAATAAAATCCTGGCAAACCGAATCCAGCAGCACATCAAAAAATTTATCCATCACGATCAAGTTGGCTTCATCACTGGGACGTAAGGCTGGTTCAACACATGCAAATCAGTAAATGTAATCCATCACATAAACAGAACCAAAGACAAAAACTACATGATTATCTCAGCAGATACAGAAAAGGGCTTTGATAAAATTCAACATCCTTTCATGTTAAGAAAAAAAAAACTCTCAATAAACTCGGTATTTATGGAACATATCTGAAAATAATAAGAGCTATTTATGACAAACCCACAGCCAATATCATATTCAATGGGCAAAAGCTGGAAGCCTTCCCTTTGAAAACCAGTATAAGACAAGGATGCCCTCCCTCACCGCTCCTATTCAACATGTATTGGAATTTCTGGCCAGGGCAATCAGGCAAGGGAAAGAAATAAAGCGTATTCAGAGAGGAAGAGAGGAAGTCAAATTGTCTCTGTTTGTAGACAACATGATTTTATATTTAGAAAACCCCATCACTTCAGCCCAAAAACTCCTTAAGCTGATAAACAACTTCAGCAAAGTCTCAGGAAACAAAATCAATGTGCATATATTACAAGCATTCTTTTACACCAATAATAGACAAGCAGAGAGCCAAACCATGAATTCCCATTCACAATCGCTACAAAGAGAACAAAATACCTAGGGATACAGCTAACAAAAGAAGTGAAGGACCTCTACCACTGCTAAGGAAAGAGAGGACACAAACAAATGGAAAAACATTCCATCTTCATGGGTAGGAAGAATCAATATTGTGAAAATGGCCATACTGCCCAAAGTGATTTATAGATTCAGTGCTATTCCCATCAAACTATTATTGACATTCTTCACAGAATTAGAAAAAAAAAAAAAGTACTTTAAATTTCATAGCCAGGACAACCCTAAGCAAAAAGAACAAAGCTGGAGGCATCATGCTACCTATCTTCAAACTCTGCTACAAGGCTACAGTAACCAAAACAGCATGGTACTTGTACCAAAACAGACACATAGACCAATGGAACAGAGCAGAGACCTCAGAAATAACTCCACACATCTACAACTATCTGATCTTTGGCAAGCCTGACAATAAACAAGCAATGGGGAAAGATTTCCTATTCAATAAATGGTGCTGGGAAAACTGGCTAGCCATATGCAGAAAACTGAAACTGGACCCCTTCTTTATACCATATACAAAAATTAACTCAAGATGGATTAAAGACTTAAATGTAAAACCCAAAACCATAAAACCCTAGAAGAATATCTAGGCAATACCATTCAGGACATAGGCATAGGCAAAGACTTCATGATGAAAATGCCAAAAGCAATTTCAACAAAAGCCAAAATTGACAAATGGGATCTAATTAAACTAAAGAGCTTCTGAACAGCAAAAGAAACTATCATCAGAATGAACAGGCAACCTACAGAATGGGAGAAAAATTTTGCAATCTACCCGTCTGGCAAAGGTCAAATATCCAGAATTTACAAGGAATTTAAACAAATTTACAAGAAAAAAACAACCACATCAAAAAGTGGGCAAAGGATATGAATAGACACTTCTCAAAAGACAACATTCATGTACCCAACTAACATAAAAAAAAGCTCAACATCACTAATGTTAGAGAAATGCAAATCAAAACCACGATGAGATACCATCTCATGCCAGTCAGAATGGTGATTACTAAAAAGTCAAGAAACAACAGTTGCTGGCAAGGCTGTGGAGAAATAGGAATGCTTTTATGCTGTTGGTGGGAATGTAAATTAGTTCAACCATTGTGGAAGACCATATGGTGATTCCTCAAGGTTCTCAAACCAGAAATACCATTTGACCAAGCAATCTCATTACTGGGTATATACACAAAGGAATATAAATTATTCTATTATAAAGACACATGCACATATATATTTATTGCAGCACTATTTACAATAACAAAGTCATGGAACCAACAAATATGCCCATCAAAAATAGACTGGATAAAGAAAATGTGGTACATATACAGAATAGAATACTGTGCAGCTATAAAAAGAATGAGATCATGTCCTTTGCAGGGACATGGATGAAGCTGGAAACCATCATCCTCAGCGAACTAACACAGAAACAGAATGCCAGACACTCCATATTCTCACTCATAAGAGGGAGTTGAACTATGAAAACATATGGACACAGGGAGGGGAACAAAACACATCAGGACCTGTTGAGGGGTGGGAGTGAGGAAAGGGAACTTAGAGGACAGGTCAATAAGTGGGGCAAAGTACCATGGCACACGTATAACTATGTAACAAACCTCCACATTCTGTACATGTATTCCAGAACTTAAAGTAAAATAAAAAATAAAACTAACAAATTCTTGACTTAAATTCAACATTTGACCAATTGGACCTAATAAATATCTATGGAACACTTCATCCTTCAACCACAGAATACTCATTTTTTTCTCAATCACACACAGAATATACCCCAAGATTGACCACCAGCCAGGCCATAAAATAAATCTTAATAAATTCAAAAAAATTGAAATCAGACCAACTGTACCCTCAGACCACAATGGAATAAAAACTGAAAGCAACAAGATCTCCCAAAACCACATAATTACATGAAAATTAAACAACTTGCACCTGAATGACTTGTGTAAACAATAAAATTGAGGCAAAAAGAATTCTTTGAAATAAATAAAAACAGAGACACAACATTCCAAAATCACCAGGATGCAGCAAAAGCAGTGTTAAGGGGGAATTTTATAGCTCTAAACATCTACATCAAGAAGTTAGAAAGATTCCAAATTACCAATCTAACATCACATGTAAAGAACCTAGTGAACAAACTAACCCAAAACTAGAAGAAATAACTAAAATCAGAACAAAACTGAACGTAATTGAGACTCAAAAATACATATAAAAAATCAACTGAGCAAAAATTGGTTTCTTGAAAGAGTAAACAAAATTGATAGATCACTACCTAAATTAACAAAAATAAGGAGAAAAGATCCAAATAAGAACAATCAGAAATGACAAAAATAGCATTACAACTGCTCCCACAGAAATACAGAAATCTCCAGAGAGTACTATGAAGACCTCTATGTACACAAACTAGAAAATCTAGAAACAAAATTATAAATTCCTGGAAACACACCACCTGTCAAGATAGAATCAAGAAGAAATTGAGGCTGGGCATGGTGGCTCACACCCATAATTCCAGCACTTTATGAAGCCGAGGTGGGTGGATTGCTTGAGCCCAGGAGTTCAAGACCAGGCTGGGCAATATGGCAAAACCCTGTCTCTACACAAAACACAAAAATTAGCCAGGCATGGTGGTGCATGCCTATAGTCCCAGATACTTGGGAGGCTGAGGTGGGAGGATCACTTGAGTCTGGGAGGTCAAAGTTTCAGTGAGCTGTGATCGCACCACTGCACTCTAGTCTGGGTGACAGGATGAAACCCTGTCCCCCCCCAGAAAAAAAAAAAGAGAAAGAATAAGAAATTGAAATCCTGAACGATTGAAATCAAGTTCTGAAATTGAATTAGTAATAAAAAACCTACCAATCAAAAAAAAAAAAAAAAAAGCCCCAGACCAGATGGATCCACAGCTGAATTCTACCAGATGTAAAAAGAAAAACTGGTACATATTCTACTGAAAGTATTCCAAAAAAATCAAGAGGAGCAACTCCTCCTTAACTCATTCTACAAAACCAGCATTATCCTGATACCAAAACCTGGCAAAGACACAATGATAAAAGTAAACTACAGGCCAATATCTCTGGTGAACTAGATGCAAAAATCCTGAACAAAATACTAGCAAACCTAATTCAACAGCACACCAAAAAGTTAATTCACCATGATCAAACAGGCTTCAATCCTGGGATGCAAGGTTGGTTCAACATATGCAAATAAATAAACATGATTCACCACATAAACAGAATTAAAAACAAAATCCATATAATTATATAAATAGATGTGAAAAAGTTTTCAATAAAATTCAACATCCTATAATGATAAAAACGCTTAACAAACTAGGCATCAAAGGAACATAGCTAAAAATAATAAGAGCCATCTATGAGAGACCCATTGACATCATACTGAAGAGGTAAAAGCTAGAAGCATTCTCTTTGAGAACTGTAACAAGATAAAGATGCTCACTCTCACCACTTTTATTCAACAATGTACTGGAAGTCCTAGTCAGAGCAATCAGGCAAGGGAAAGAAATAAAAGGCAGCCAAATAGGAAAAGAAATAAAACTATCTCTCTTCATAGATGATATGATTCTATACCTAGAAACTTCTAAAGACTCTGTTATAGGCTCCTGGCACTGATAACTGACTTCAGTAAAGTTTCAGAACACAAAATCAATGTGCAAAAATTAGTAGCATTTCTATATATCAATAACATTCAGGCTGAGAACCAAATCAAGAATGCAGTCTTATTTAAAATAGGCACAAAAAGAATATACCTAGTTATATATCTAGGAGGTAAAAGACCTCTACAAGGAGAACTACAAAACACTGCTGAAAGAAATCACGGATGACACAAATGGAAAAATGCCCCATGCTCATGTATTGGAATAATCAATATCATTAAAATGGCCTTACTACCCAAAGCAAACTACAGATTCAACACTATTTCTATCAAACTACCAATGTAGAAAACACTATTCTAAAATTTATATAGAACCAAAAAAGAGGCTGAATAGCCAAAGTAATTCTATGGAAAAAGAACAAGTTCAGAGACATCCCATTACCCTGATTCAAACCACATTACCAGGTTACATTAACCCAAACAGCATGGTACTGGTACAAAAACAGACACATAGACCAACGGAACAGAATAGAGAACCCAGAAAAAAAAAAAAGCTGCACACCTATAGTCATCTGATCTTTAACAAAGTTGACATAAATGAGCAATGGGGAAAGGACTCTCTATTAAATAAATGGTGCTGAGAAAGCTGACTAGCCATATGCAGAAGAATGAAACTGTACCCCTACCTTTCACCACAAACAACAATTAACTCAAGATAGATTAAAGATTTAAATATAAGACCTCTAACTATAAGAATCCTAGAAGAAAACCTAGAAAACACCATTCTAGATGTTGGTGTTGGGAAAGAATTTATGGCTAAGTCTTCAAAAGCAATTGTAAGAAAAATGAAAATTGACAAGTGCCTTCTAATTAAACTGAAGAGCTTCTGCACAGCAAAAGAAACTACACAATAAACAGGCAACCTACAGAATGGGAGAAAAAAATTGCAAATTAATTATGCATCCAACAAAAGACTAATATCCACAATCTATAAGGAATGTAAACAATTCAACAAGCAAACAAAACAAAACAACCCTTTTAAAAAGTGGGCAAAAGGCATGAACAGACACTTCTCAAAAGATGAAATACAAGCAACCAACAAACATATGAAAAATGCTCAACAGTACTAAGTATCAGGCAAATGCAAATTAGAACCACAATAAGATACCATCTCACATCAGTCAGAATGGGTATCATTAAAAAGTCACAAGATAACAGATGCTGGTAAGGCTGTGAAGAAAAGGAGATGGCTACATACTGATGGTGGGAATGTAAATTAGTTCAGTCACTGTGGAAATCAGTTTGGAGATATCTCAAAGAACTTAAAATGAAACTACCATTCGACATCCAATGTCATTACTGAGTATATGCCCCAAAGAAAATAAATTACTCTACCAAATATACACAAGAACTCCTATGTTCATTGCAGCACTATTCATAATAGCAAAGACATGGAATCAACCTAGGTGCCCATCAGTGGTGGATTGGATAAAGAAACTATGGTACATATACACCAAGAAATACTATGCAGCTGTAAAAAAAGAACAAAATCATGTTCTTTGCAGCAACATGGATGCAGCTAGGGGCCATTATCCTAAGCAAATGAAAAGAAGAAACAGGAAACCAAATACCACATGTTCTCATTTATAAGTAGGAGCTAAATATTGGGCACTCATGGACGTAAAGATGGCAACAATAGACACTGGGGTCTACTAGAAGGAAAAGGAAGGAAGAGTAGAATGGGCTGAAAAGTTAACTGTTGGGTACTATGCTCACTTCCTCAGTGATGGCTTCAATCATACCCCAAATGTCAGTGTCACTCAACACACCCATGTAACAAACCTATATATATATCCCCTGAATCCAAAATAAGTCAAAATTATTTTAAAATTAAAAGAAAAATAAAAACTAAATGTAAAAAGAGCAACAAATATGAAGTAAAATAAACACAGCCATAAGTAATTAGCTCATATGATATTTGGAATGGCCAAAACTCATAATATCTAGCCGTATTCAAACACTGTTCCTTTCTAAGGAGTTACATCTCAATGAGTAGCTAAATTGGCACCAAATATAACTGGCCTTTTAACTTGGAAGGTGACTAGGGAATTCTAAAATGATGGGGCATAAAAGTTCCACTTACATCATCAGGGTTAATTGAAACTTTTATGAATGGTTGACAGAAATACTAAGACAAATAATAGAAGTAGAAAGAGAGTAGATGAGTGGGTGAAATTAGCCAATTTGTTTTGCTAGAGTCCTGAGGATGAGAAGGTGATGAGATAACCTAGTGTTCAGAATTGCTTTGTATCCTGAATGACTTTCTAGTTCCCAAACCACTTTCTAGTCTCCTTTGATTGTTGCTAGGTTCCCTTAGGCATGATCATCTGAGAGACATTTCTATATTTGTTATTTCCACATGCATTCTAATGAAAATCCCTCTAGCATTTTAGGTATAACAATTCTGTTTCTTGAACTAAAGGAATCCAACACACACACACAGACATACACAAAGAAACACACACTTACATGCATTACACACACATTCAGATATACTCACCCACTCTCAAAACAAGCCTTATTTTCTAGTCCAAAGAACAAGTAGTAGAATATTTTTAAGTAGCACATCAGAAGACAGAAGAACAATTTTTTAAAGAAAAATGTTTGAAGTCCAGCCACTCAACATTTTTCATTAGGGTTCATTAAATGTAAAGAATATACTTTAGGTTTCCCTGTTTTATAACACAGTTAAAATTTATAGTTTTTATCACCAAAAGAAATTTAACATGGCTACTAATATGGTTACAAAGTAAGGGGGATATATATAAAGCTTCAACTAGACTGCCATCGAACAATCATAAAATTAAGAACCCTTCAGGCTGGGCATGGTGGCTCACATCTCTAATCCCAGCACTTTGGGAGGCTGAGACAGCAGGATCACTGGAGCCTAGGAGTTCAAGACCAGCCTGGCCAACATGATGAAACCCTATCTCTACAAACAATACAAAATTTAGACGGGCATGGTGTCACATGCCTGTAGTCCCAGCTATTCAGGAGGCTGAGTTGGGAGGATCATTTGAGCCCAGGAGGTTGAGGCTGCAGTGAGCCATTAATATGGTTTGGCTCTGTGTCCCCACCCAAATGTTATCTTGTAGCTCCCATGATTCCCACATGTTATGGGAGGGACCTGGTGGGAAATAATTAAGTCATGGGGGTGGGTCTTTTCTGTGCTCTTCTCGTAATAGTGAATAAGTCTCATGAAATCTAATGGTTTTAAAAATTGGAATTTCCCTGCACAAGCTCTCTCTGCCTGCTGCCAACCATGTAAAATGTGACTTGCTCCTCCTTGCCTTCTGCCTTAATTGTAAGGCTTCTCCAGCCACATGGAACTGTAAATCCATTAAAACTCTTTTTTTTTTTTAACTGAAGATTTGATTATTGTTTATTGGGTCAGGTTTTTGATTTTTGTGTTTTTTTTCACTATACTTTAAGTTCTAGGGTACATGTGCACAACATGCAGGTTTGGTACATATATATACATGTGTCATGTTGGTGTGCTGCACCCATTAACTCAACATTTACATTAGGTATATCTCCTAATGCTATCCCTCCCCACTCCCCCAAAACTCTTTCTTTTGTAAATTGCCCAGTCTCAGGTATATCTTTATCAGCACTGTACAAAAAAAAAAAAAAAATGTGTATATATATATATATATATATATAGTAAATTGGTACCAGAAATGGGGTGCTGCTGATAAAATACCCAAAAATATGAAAGCAACTTTTGAACTGTGTAACAGACAAATATTGGAACAGTTTGGCAGGCTCAGAAGAAAAAAGATGTGGGAAAGTTTGGAGCTCCCTAGAAACTTGTTAAATGGCTTTAACCAAATTGCTAATAATAATATGAATAATGAAATCCAGGTTGAGGGTCTCAGATGGATATAAGGAATTTGTTGGGTACTTGAGCAAAGGTAACTCTTGTTATGTTTTAGCAAGAGCCTGGCAGCATTTTTCCTTGCCCTAAAAATTTGTGGAACTTTAAACTTGAGAGAGATAATTTAGGGTATCTGGTAGAAAAGATTTCTAAGAAGCAAAGCATTCAAGATGTGACTTGGGTGCTGTTAAAGGCATTCAGTTTTATAAGAGAAGCAGAACATAAAAGTTTACAAAATTTGCAGCCTAACAATGCAATAAAAAAGAAAAACCCATTTTCTCAGGAGTAATTGGCTGCAGAAATTTGCATAAGTAAAAAGTAACCAAATGTTAATCCCAAAACGATTGGGAAAATGTCTCCAGGGCATATCAGAAGTCATCATAGCAGCCCCTCCCATCACAGTCCCAGAGGGCTAGGACAAAGAAAGTAGTTTCATGGTACAGGCCCAGGGTCCTGTGCTGTGTGCAGCCTAGGGACTTGGTGCCCTGTGTCCCAGCCACTGCAGCTGTGGCTGAAAGGCACCAATGCACAGCTCAGGCCATGGCTTCAAAGGGTGCAAGCCTCAAGACTTGGCAGCTTTCATGTGGTACTAAGCCTGTGTGTGCACAGAAGTCAAGAATTGGAGTTTGGGAACCTCTGCCTAGATTTCAGAGGATGTATGGAAATGCCTGGATGTCCAGGCAGAAGTTTGCTGCATGGGCCAGGCTCTCATGGAAAACCTCTGCTAGAGCAGTGCAGAAGGAAAATGTAGGGTCAGAGACCCCACACAGAATCCCTACTGGGGTGCTGCCTAGTGAAGTTGTGAAAAGAGGACCACTGTCCTCCAAACCCCAGAATGGTAGATCCACCAACAGCTTATACCATATGCTTGGAAAATCCACAGAAACTCAACACCAGCCCATAAAAGCAGTCCACAGGGAGGCTATATCCTCCAAATCCACAGAGACAGAGCTGCCCAAGGCCCTGGGAGCCCACCTCTTGCATCAGCGTGACTTAGCTGTGAGACATGAAGTCAAAAGAGATCATTTTAAAGCCTTAAAATTTAACTGGCCTGCTGGATTGCAAATTTGCATGGGGCCTGTAATCCCTTTGTTTTGGCCGATTTCTCCCATTTGGAATGGCTGTATTTACCCAATGCCTGTACGTTGTATCTAGGAAGTAACTTACTTGCTTTTAATTTTATAGGCTCATAGGCAAAAGGGACTTACCTTCTTTCAAATAAAACTCTGGACTGTGAACTTTTAAGTTAATGCTAAAATAAGTTAAAACTTTGGGGTACTCTTGGGAAGGCATAAGTATTGAAAATGTAAAGACATGAAATTTGAGAGGGGCCAGGGGCAGAATATGGTTTGGCTCTGTGTTCTCACCCAAATCTCATCTTGTAGCTTCCACAATTCTCACCTGTTGTGGGAGGGTCTCAGTGGGAAATAATCGAATGATGGAGTGGGGTGGCGGCTCTTTCCCATGCTGTTCTCAATAGTGAATTAGTGTCACAAAATCTAATGGTTTAAAAAAATGGGAGTTTCCCTGCACAAGCTCTCTCTTTACTTGCTGCCATCCATGTAAAAGGTGACTTGTGCTTCCTTGCCTTCCTCCATAATTATAAGGCTTTCCCAGCCATGTGGAACTGCAAGTTTATTAAACCTCTTCCTTTTGTAAATTGCCCAGTCTTGGCTATGTCTTTATCAGCAGCATAAAAACAAACTAATACAGCCCTGGTTGTGCTATTGCACTCTAGCCTGGCAACAGAGCAAGAACCTGTCTCAAAAAAGAAAAACAAAAAAATCACTTCAGTACTTAACAAGTGTCACATAATTTTTAGGAGAATATTTTTCCCTAATATTTGCCAGAAAAAAAAAAGGTTTTAATGTATGCCTTTGGAACTTATTTCATAATATCATTTTTAAGTTTTACTGATCAACTGTGTTGTTATCTAATGAACTTTATTTATATCTTGGCTCTCTCAATGAGATTTTAAGTTCCCTGGGCAGGAACTAACAAACATTTGCATCATTCCTCTTGATGAGAAAATATAGAAATATTTACTTTTTAATATTCACTTACAAAGACGTAACCAAGAAAAACCTTTATTTTATATTATTTTAAATCACAAAATCCTGAAATAAACCTCAGCTCAAATATAACAACACTTTTTAATCATTACATTAAGCTTTTTCATTGTCAGCGACATGAGGATGAGATTGGGAAATAGAATATCATTAAGTCAATGATTTAGATGAAGGATAATAATTTGCTTTTGAAGTGCAGAGCACATTTCATTCACGAAGAAGATGAGTAACTAGATTTATTTTCTTTCCCCATAAAGTACTAGAATTCAAGGGCATAGTAATTATGACTGGCCTGATTGCTTTCCATGTTTGCAGCCTTTTCAGAGTTACTTACAGCATTTAATCTAACATTTAAACAAGCTCCCCAATTTGGGTTTCAATGATGCTTTCTATGCTTTGAAAATACAAGTTTAAGTTTAGCTCAATTGTACATAAACCATTTGGCCCCCAGTATCAACTGGATGCTTTGTTTATGTGTAGTTTTATGCTGGGCCTGAGTGGTTAAAGAATAGCATCTTTTATTTCTTCTTTTTTTTAAGATGGAGTCTTACTCTTTCATCCTCCCAGGTTCGAGGAATTCTCATGCCTCAGCATCCCAAGTAGCTGGGACTACAGGCACACACCACCACACCCAGCTAATTTTTGTATTTTTAGTAGAGACGGGTTTCACTATGTTGGCCAGGCTGGTCCTGAACTCCTGACCTCAAGTGATATGCCCCAAAGTGCTGGGATTACAGGTATGAGCCACTATGTCCAGCCTAAAAAATGTCACCTTCTGAGACAGGGTCCTCTACCTCATTAGGATAATTATTGAATAAAATTAGAATTCTAAAAGCAAAAAGATAACTTATTTTATAATCCAAAAACATTTTCCCAAAAGTAATCGGAACATGTTTAAATTTTGAATTGAAGTCACATGCCTCCTAATGATTTTCCAAGGTGAGTTAGATCTTAAAAACTATCTGTGAGTTTCAGGCATAATTTTTCTACCGATTATGTCACCAAAACTTCACCTTACATAGCCAAAAATTGTGAGAGTTTTTGGATGTTTGGTTTTCTGGAGCAGTCAGGTGGTTTTATAGAACATATCTGCAAAAGTGGCACCAGTTGAGGTTTACCCACAAAGGGAGGTAATCCTCCCTTGGTGTTCTTGCTTCTCAAATTATTTCTTGGCTTCTCTGAAAATTAAAGAGAAAATACATAACATTTTGTTGCTTTTGTTTTCAATTTCCTTTTCAGTTTCCACTGCAATTCTTTGAATCTTACATTACTTGCATACATACCACATATTGTGAAAAAAATATATTAATACAGAAGCTATTGTTTTACTAAAACAGGGCTTCATGACATATACATTTCTTATCATTTTCTTTCTCTCCCCCAAATACATTATACATAATTGATTTTCTTAGAAACACTGTTTTTCCCTTTGAAGTCCAGTGTAGTAATTTTCAGATAGTTCTGAAATCTGCTGATCTCAGTTAACTTTTCATGCCAGTGAAGGTCATGATTGACATAAATTTAAAGATGAAGACCAAAACTTGAACAAAAAATATTTCAAGAGAATCTATTGTTTTAACCACACTGAAAACAAATGTAAAATTTATATGTTCCCATCTTTTAATGCAATTTTTGTCTCCAGTGAAACTTAACACAAATTTGTACCTCCCAATGTATGAGAAAGGGTTGTAAGATGCAGTGAATGTCAAACAGGGGAGCTGAAAGACAACTGAGAATACTGTACCTATAGCTGGAGATCTCAGAAATTTTAAAAAGTATTGGAACATCGTTATCCAAAGTAGATGACACACGATGAGGGGCAAAAAAACTAACAATTCCTTGTTTCATACAATAGGAATGAAGTTTACCAGTGTAATCTTCATAAGACCAAATTTTGTACTTAACCTAAAAAAAAAAAAAAGCATAGGGAGATGGCTTGAAGGAAAACTTACAAAGACTCCCAATATTTACCCAAAACAGTGCCAATAGAGTGGAGGATAGAAACTCTGTAAATATAGCTGCTCATATCTTTGCCTGAGGTGAACTAAAGGGTAAAAGAACTCCCTCACAGTTAATACTTTGTCATGGAGAATGTCGGTTTAAATACTCCCTAGCCGAAAACACAATCCCGGCCTTGAAACAACGGAGACTTTCATTAACGTTTGGCCAAAGAACATAATTTACTCATTGAAATGCAAGTAATAGTTTCTAAAAATTCTGATGCCTCTTCACATATTAATTTTCTTAAAAAAAAAGAAAAGACGACAACAAATGGCAACTGACAGAGGATTACTTGTTTAGCAACACTACCTTCAATATATCCCTGTACATCGGGACCAGGCACTTGCACAGAAAAATTAAACCAATTATTTAAAGAATAATTAACATTAAAGATATTTCTAGAACATAGAAGAAGAAGTAATACTTTAAATTTTGTTTGTATAAAATTAGCAAAGCATTAATATAAGCCCACAGAAAGACAACTACAAGGAAATCTCATCTATACAACTCAACATAAAAATCTTAAATGGGCCGAGCGTGGTGGCTCAAACCTGTAATCCCAGCACTTTGGGAGGCTGATGTGGGTGAGGTGGGGGTATCACGAGGTTAGGAGTTCGAGACCAGTCTGGCCAACATAGTGAAATCCCGTCTCTACTAAAAATACAAAAAATTAGCCGGGCGTGATGGCGGGCGCCTGTAATCCCAGCTACTCGGGAGGCTGAGGCAGGAGAATTGCGTGAACCCAGGAGGCAGAGGTTGCCGTGGGCCGAGATCATCGCGCCATTGCACTCCAGGCCGGGTGACAGTGCGAGACTGTCTCAACAACACCCCCAAAAAAAAAAAAAAAAAAAAAAAAAAAAAATTTAAACGAAATACTGACAAACAGAATCCAATAGAACATTAAAAGATGAGTGCACCATGATCAACAACATAAAATTTACACAAGGAAAGCAAAGACAACCCAGTATTAGAAGCTATATTGTGTAATTTATCATATTGATACACTTAAAAGTCAAATCATAAATACACTATCAAAATGCTAAGAATATATTTGATAGACTTTTTTAAATATTCAAGAAAGAAATATTGTAAAAAGATATCTTTTAAACATGATAAATGTACATATATCCTCAAAACAAGGATTATATCTTCTGATGAAGCTTTAGTGGTACTCAAATTAAAATTCAGAGAGAAGAACTTTTTGCATACTATTACTACCGTTATATAACATTTTTCTAGATAAAATATGGAAGAATATATAATCAGTATTAATATGAGTAATCTTGGGAAGGGGGTGATGTGAAATACAAGAGACATAAAGGAGAAAAAATGACCAAACTAAAAGGAAAATTTAAAAAATTACAAAAATGATGAATGTAATTTTCTTAATGTATTACATACATATAATCAATCAAACAATAATAAAAATAACAAAAGCACTATACTGCTTGTACACCAGTGCTTCTCAGACTATATTGGTAAAACACCAATCTTTCGATTTTCAACTTATTATGGTTAATATTTTGTTTTTTTTTTATATAGGGTCTCACTGTGTTGCCCAGGTTGGAGTGCAGTGACATGATCATGGCTCACTACAGCCTTGACCTCCCTGGGCTCAAGTGATCCTCCCACCTCAGCTTCCTGAGTAGCTGGGACCACATGTGTGCACCACCATACCCAGGTAATTTTTGTATTTTTTTTTTTTTTATGGAGACAGGGTTTCACCATGTTGCCCAGGCTGTTTTTGAACTCCTGGACTCAAGACATCTACCCATCTCGGCCACCCAAACTGCAGGGATTACAGGCATAAAGCACCACGCCCGACCAGGTAATTTTTTGAATATGATAAATATGAATTTGCAAAACCATCACAACTTCAATAAGAGTCATAATCATGTAAAATTACTCTGAAAGTTTATGTTTAATTCTTGTTTTATTCTTATCGCATTGCAAACCAGTACCAGTACACAGACTATTTTACTCAAGAACTTGAAACAGTGCAAAGCTGTGTTTGTGGATAGGAAGGCCCAATTTCAACATGATAGCAATTCTCCATAAGTGAATTTATAAATATTGTAAAATCACAAAAATATACCAAGAGTTTTTAGAACTATAAAGATCCTAAAGTTTATGTGAAAAAAAAAATAAACTAATTTTGTCAAAATAGCTCTAAAAATAAAAACTGATAAAGAAGAATTAGACATAGCAGCAATTAACATATTTAGGGCTACAATAATTAAAACAGTAAAATAATGACATATGAATAGATACATATCAATGGAACATAACCGAAAGTTCAAACGTAGGCTCAAAATTATTTAGAAATTTAGTTTATTATGAATACAGCACTTCAAATAAGGGGATAAACATTAGCTTATTCAAATAAATGGTGCTGTGAAAACTACATAGCCACACTGAAAAAAAGAACATGGATTTATTAATTATAGAAAAATACATATTTGTGTCAAATATTTTAATGTAAAATATTAATTCATAAACTATATAAAACAAAATGGGAATTTTAGAAATGATCTCAGAGTGGGAAATATCCAACAAAAAGAACAAATGAAAGCTAAATTTTATTGCATTAAAATAAAAAGTACATTGTAAAAATAAGCACGTTAATCAGGTAAAACATGTATCACACACTGGAGGAAAATTCATAACTCATATCACTAAGGTTTTAATTATTTAATATATAAATAATGTCTATCAAAATGAAAACTCAATAAAATAGTCAAATTTTATTAATAGGTCACAGAAACAATAGGCAAATAAATCTTAAATATATGCAAATATACCCATATTTACCCTTAAAAAGAGGAACGCAAATTAAAACAACAATGAATTACCATTTTGGTATTTGTCAAAGAGCAAAAATTTTGATAAGACACTCTATTGAGCAAAGTGTGAAAAACCAGCACTCTCAATGATTGCTAGTGGAAATATATAGCTTTATTTTGTTTCTCATCAACATTCGTTAAAATATTCAAAATGTACATATTCTTTAAACCAGTACTTGTATCCTTAGAAATACTCTAGAGATAGAAACCCACATGATGAAAATAATATATAAATGATATTTGTTAAAATATTTTGATCATGAAAACATTGCAAAAATAAAATCCCCTTAGATGGAGGTTTAATTAAATAAATGATGGCACATCCATGAAATAGAATGCTATATAGGTATAAAAAAGAATGAGAGCAAGATAGCAGAATAGAAGTTTTTAGGACTTAGCCCCTAAAAAAAAAAAAATCAATTTAAACAACCATTTATATGCAAAATTACCTTCACAAGAGCTAAGAAATCCAGGTGAGAGATTATACCACATGAGTGGAGCATAGAAATAAGAAAAGACACATTGAAATGGATAGGAAGGACAGTTTTACATTAATCATGTAACTCCTCCTCTAAGCCCATGAAACACAATACAGAGAGAGATACTCTCCTGGGAGAAAAAGAATAAAGTTTTCAATAACTTTGCTGCACAGCCTAATTTCCAGCACCAGACTGATCTCTGCAACCCTAGTCTTCAAGCCCATCCTAGCACCAAATGTGCCATAATGGCCCTGGGATCCAGCATGGTTCCTGATGTCCCAGACTCCAGGCCTGGCTCAGCACAATGGCAGCCCTTGCAGACTCAGGCTCCAGGTCTGCCACTGTGCCAGGGCTGCTCCGACAGCTCCAGGACAGTCCCTGCAGATTAAGGCTCCAAGCTCACTGCAGTACCAAGTTAACTCCTATAGATCCAAGGCACAGGCAAGCCCACAGACCCCACCAGCCAGCACACTCAAAATCTCTGAAAGGACTTACTAGTGAAGGACTTTCCCTGCAGAAGACAGTCTATAAAGATTGGAAGAAGTGCCTACTTCTTCAAATTCAACAGATACCAAAATAAGATCCAATGATTATGAATAATTAGAGAAACATAATACCAACAAATGAACAACGACAACAAAAAAGCAAAAGTAACTCCCCTTAAATAAATGGAGATCAGCAAACTGCCTGACAAAAAATTCGAAATAATTGTCTTTAAAAGGTTTAGCAAGGTACAAAAGAATACAGAGAGACAACAAAAAGAATTTAGGAAAACAGTCCATGAACAAAAGAGGTTTAACAAAGAGAAAAAAAAAAAAAAACTACAGAAAAGTGCTAAACAAAAATTCCGTTTTTTTGTTTTTTTTTTTTTTTTTTTTTTTTTGAGATGGAGTCTCCCTCTCTCACCCAGTCTGGAGTACTGTGGTGTGATCTCAGCTCACTGCAACCTCCACTTCCTGAGTTCAAGCAATTCTCCTGCCTTAGCCTCCGGAGTAGCTGGGATTACAGGCACACACCACTGCACCCAGCTAATTTTTGTATTTTTAGTAGAGACGGAGTTTTGTCATGTTGGCCAGCCTGGTCTTGAACTCCTGACCTCAGGTGATCTGCCCACCTCGGCTTCCCAAAGTGCTGGGATTACAGGCGTGAGCCACTGTGCCTGACCTCCAAACAGAAACTCTAATGTTGAAAAACACAATAAATGAACTGAAAATTTTCATAGACAGCTTCAATAGTAAACTAAATCAGAAGAAAGAAGCAGCAAGTTCAAAGACTTGGGTCATTTGAATTACCCAATTAGAGAAACAAATAGACAATAATAAAAAAGAATGATGAAAGCCTAGGGGCTTACAGGACATCATCAAGCAAATCAATATGTGCATTATGGGAGTCCCTGAAGTAGCAGAGAAAAAGAAAGGGGACTAAAACTTATTTTTAAAATAATGACAGAAAACTTCCCAAATTTGAAGAGGGAAATGAACATTCTGATCCATGAATGTCAAAGAACTCCAAATAAATTAAACATAAAGAGATCTTCACCAACACACTATATTCAAATGCTCAATAATCAAAGACAAAGAGAATTTTAAAAGCAGCAAGAGAAAAGCAATCTGTCACATACAAGGTAAACTCCATAAGGCTATAAGAAATATTCTCAGCAGCAATAGTGCAGGCTATCTTAGAATGGGCTAATATATTCAAAGGACTAAAGAAAAAAACTGCAACCAAGCATACTATACCAGGCAAGCCTGTCCTTCAAAAATAAAGGAGTGAAAGGCTTTCCAAGATAATCAAAAGATGAGGAAATTTGTCACCACCAGTCCTGCTCTACAAGAAATGCTAAAAGGATTTAAGTTAAAACTGAAAGATGCTAAATAACATTATGAAAACATATGAAAGTAGAAAACTCACTGCAAAGGTAAAAAAGTCAAATTTAGGATATTCTGAAATTGTAATGGTGGTACATAAGTCACTTTAGTGTAAAATTCAAAAAACAAAAGCAATAAAAATAACTATAGCTAAAAATAATTTATTAAAAGATACACAATATAAAAGCTTTAAATTATGACATCTATAAAATAAAATGTGAGGGGGAGAAAAGTTAAATCGTAGAGTTTTTGTATGTGGTTGAAGTTAAGTACCTGTTATATTAAAATAGACTGTTATGTTTTATGCAAGCCTTGTGATAATCACAAAGAAAAAAACTGTAGTAGATACACAAATGATAAAGAGAAAGGAATCAAAGCATACCACTACAAACAAAACAAATTCCAAAAGACAACATGAGAGGAAAATAGAAATAAACAAACTACAAAAAAATTTTTTTAATGGCAATAGAAGGTGCTTACCTATCAAAAATTGCTTTAATTTAAATGTAAATGAGTTTAATTATCTAATCATTGGACACATTTAATTAATTAAAAAACAATATATTACTACATACTGTTTACAAGAAGCTCACTTCAGCTTTAAGAAAACACACAGGTTGAGAGAGAAAAGAAGAAAAAGTATTTCATGCAAATAATAACCAAGAGAGAGCAGGGGCAGTATATTAGTCTCTTTTATGTTGCTATAATAGAATACCAACACTGGGTAATTTATACTGAACAGAAATGTATTGGCTCACAGTTCTGGAGGCTGAGAAGTCCAATATCAAGATGCTGGAATCTGGCAACGGCCTTCTTGTTGTGCCATAACATGTTGGAAAGCATCACATGGTGGAGGGGGCAAGGGAGAGTGAGAAAGAGAAAAACTTGCCCTTTTATACTGGCACCAATCACACCCATAAGGATAGAGGTCTTATCGACTAACCACCCCTTAAAGGATCCACCACTTAATACTGTTAAAATGGCAATGAAATTTCAACATGAGGAGGATACAAACATTCAAATAAAAAATTCTGCCTCTGCCTCTCCAAAACTCATGTCCTTATTATATAAAAATATGAATATTTGGTCCATCTCAATAGCCCCCAAAGTCTTAAATTCTTCCAGCACCAACTCATAAGTCTCAATAGCCCCCAAAGTCTTAAATTCTTCCAGCACCAACTCAAAGTCCACAGTCTCATGTAAATCAGATATGGGTAAGATGCAAGGCATGATTCATCCTGAGGCAAATTTTCCTCTAGCTGTGAGCTTGTGAAATTAAACAAGTTATCTACTTCCAAAACGCAATGGTGGAACAGCCAAAGAATAGATAGTCCCATTGTAAAATGGTGAGAAGAAAGGAGTAGCAGGCCTTAAGTAAGTCCAAAACCCAACAGGCAATATTGCCAGTAGGCAATATTAAATTTTAAGATTCATAATCTGTCACTTCATGTGTCACCTCCTGGACACACTGGAGTGGAGGTTGGGCCCCCAACGACTCAGACAGCCCTGCCTGTATGGTTTTGTTGGGCTTGGCTCATGCAGCAATTCTCATGGGTTGGAGTTTTGTGCCTACAGCTCTCCCAGGCTGGAACTGAACACTAGTAGCTCTACACTTCTGGAGTCTCAGGGGAGGTCCCACTCCCATGGGTCCACTAGACATTACTCTAGTAGGGATTCTCTGTGGTGGCTTTGATCCTGTAGTTCCACTGGACATTATCCTAGTGGGGGTTCTCTGCAGTGGCTCTGCCCCTGCAACAAGCCTCTGCCTGGGCTTCCAGTCTATCCACCACATTATTTGAAATTTAGGTAAAGGAAGTCATGCCTCCACAACTCTTGCATTCTGCATTGCTGCATAATTTGCACTACCACATGGATGCTTCCAAGATTTGTGACTTGTACTTTCTGGAGCTGTGGGTCAAGTTTCACCTGGGCCATCCTGGGCCATGGCTGAGGAGTGCTGCACAATAAATAGCGGAGAGACACTTGAGAGCAACAAATACTGAGGTCTGGTTGGTGCCCTATTGACGTATTTCTTTCTCTAAGGCCTTGACACTTTGGACCTCTGATAGGTAATTTCCACAGTACCTTTGGGGACATTTTCCCATTGTCCTGATGAATAGCCCTTGGCTTCATTTTAGTCATACTAATCTTATCAAATAGTTACTGGGCCACACCCTTGGTTTTCTCTCCTAAAAATGCTTTCTCATTCCCTACCACATGGCCAGGCTGAAGGTCCTTCAAATCTCTACATTATATTGTTCTTTTAATTATGAATTCCATAGTTGAATCATTGGTTCCTCACATTTTACCATGTGTGGTTGAAAGAAGCCACGCAGCACTCTGAATGCTCTCCTGCTTAGATGGTTTTTTTATGTCAGGTATCCTAGTTCCTTTTTCTTAAACTCTGCTTTTCACAAAGCTCTTTGGCATAGATGCAATTCAGCCAAGTTATTTGACACTTTTTAACTAGGCTGTTCTTTCCTCAAGTTTCCAATACCTTATTCTTCATTTCTATCTGAGACCTCACCAGAATGGCTCTTGCTGTATATATTTCCACCAGTATTCTTATCCAAAGCACTTAAGTAATCTCTAAGAAGTCTTAGACTTTTCCTACAACTCTCCTCTTCTGAGCCCTCACAATAATTTACCTTCAGTGTAGATTAAGTCCATGTTTCTTTGTTGATTTCCTGTTGGGATAATCTGCCCAACTCTGAAAGTGGGGTATTGAATCTCCAGCTATTATTGTATTGGGATCTTTTATTTCATTGGGATCTATCTCTCTTTAGCTCTAATAATATTTGTTTTATATATCTGGGTGCTCCAGTATTAGGTACATATATATTTACAAGTGTTATATCCTCTTGTTGAATTGATTCCTTCATTATTATATATAGACCTTCTTTTCTTTTTTAATACTTTTTGACTTGAAATCTGTTTTGTCTGATATAATTATAGATGCTCCTGCTCTTTTTTTTGTTGCCATTTGCATGAAAAATATTTTTTTCTATCCCTTTATTTTCAATCTATGAGTGTCTTTATAGGTGAAGTGTGTTTCTTGTAGAAAACAGATTGTTGGGTCTCTTTTTTAAAAAATTCATTCAGGTACTCTATGTCTTTCGACTGGAGAATTTAGTTGATTTACATTCAATGTTATTATTGATATTGTAAGGACTTAGTTCTGCCATTTGTTCTCTGCTTGTTCTGTGGTCTTCTCTTCCTTCTTTCCTTCCTTCCTTTTAGTGAAGGCAATTTTCTTTGGTGGTATATTTTGATTTATTGTTTTTTATTTTTTGTGTATCTGTTGTATGTTTTTCCATTTGAGTTTACCTTGAGACTTGCAAATACTCTCTCATAACCCATTACTTTATGCTGATGACAACTTAACACTGATTCCATAAACAAGCAAAATGAAAACTAATAAAAACTCTATACTTTAGCTTCATCCCCCTGCTTTTTAACTTTTTGTTGTTTCCATTTATATCTTACTGTTCTATGTCTTGAAACGTGTTGTAATTTTTGATCAGTTCATCTTTCAGTCTTTCTATTCAAAATGAGTAGTTTACAAACCACAATTAGTGTTATAATATTGTGTTCTGTGTCCTTACTATTACCAGTGAGTTTTATTCCTTCAGTTAATTTTTAATTGCTCATTAATATCCTTTTCTTTCAGACTGAAGAACTCCCTTTAGCATTTCTTGTAGGACAGGTCTGGTGTTAATGAAATTCCTCAGCTTTTGTCTGGGAAAATTTTTATTTCTCCTTGATGTTTGAAGAATATTTTTTGCTGGAAATACCTAGGATACAAGTTTTTTCCTTCAGCACGTTAAAATGTTATACCATTCTCTCCTGGCCTGTGAGGTTTCCACTTAAGTCTGCTGTCGGACATGTTGAAGCTCCATTATATGTTGTTTCCTTTCTCTTGCTGTTTTGAGAATTATTTATCCTTAACCTTTGGAAGTTTGACTGTTAAGTGCTTTGAGGTAGTCTTCTTTGGGTTAAATCTGCTTGGTGTTTTATAACCTTCTTGTACTTGGATACTGATATCGTTCTCTAGGTTTAGGAAGCTCTCTTATTATCCCTTTGAATAAATTTTCTATCCCATCTCTCTCTCTACCTCTGTTTTAAGACGAATAAGTCTTAGATTTTCCCTTTTGAAGCTATTTTCTAGACCTTGTAGGCTTGTTTTACTCTTTTTGTCTCCTCTGTGTATTTCAAATAGCCTGCCTTCAAGCTCACTAGTTTTTTATTGTTTAATTAATTCTGCTGTTAAGAGAATCTGCTGCAATCTTCAGTGTTTCAGTTGCATTTTTCAACTCCAGAATCTTGCTTATTTTTATTTCATTTTTTTTGTTAAATTTATCTGATAGGATTCTGAATTCCTTCTGTTATCTTGAATTTCACTGAGTTTCCTCGAAACAGCTATTTTTAATTCTGTCTGAAAACTCATATATCCCTGTCCCTCAGGATTGTTTCCTGATGTGTCATGTAGTTCATTTGGTGAGGTCATGTTTTCCTGGATGTTCCTGATGCTTGTGTATGTGTGTTGGTGTCTGGGCCTTGAAGAGTTATGTATTTATTGTCATCTCCATAATCTGGGCTTGCTTGCATCCATCCATCTTGGGAAGGCTTTCCAGGTATTCAAAGAAACTTGGTTGTTGTGATCCAAGTCTTTGGTCACTGCAGTCATTATCTGCATTAGGAGGCACCCCGGCCCAGTAATGCTGTGGCTCTTGGTAGACTTCTAGATGTACTACCTTTGTACTCTTGGATAAGATACAGAGAATTCCCTGGATTACCAGGCAGAGACTCTTGTTATCTTATTTTCTCCCAAAATAATAGAGTCTCTCTGTCTGTGCTAAGCTGTTTGGAGCTGAGGGAAGGGTGACATAAGCACCCCTGTGGCCACTACCACTAGGACTGCTCTACATCAGACCAAAATCAAGCACAGCACTAGGTCTTGCCCAAGGCCCATAGTAACCACTCCCTGGTTACTGCCTTTGTTTGCTCAAGGTCCTTGGGCTCCACAAACAGCAGGTGCTTAGCTAGCCAGAGTTGTGTCCTTCCCTTCAGTGTGGCAAGTTTCGCTAGCCCCAGCTGGGTCCAGAGATGCCATCCATTTGGGAGACAGAGCCTGGAGTTGGAAACCTTAGCAATCTATCTGGTGCTCTATTTTACTGTGGCTGAGCTGGAACCCAAGCCACAAGACAAAATGGTTCCCAATTTTCTCTTTTATTTCCACAGGCAGAGGAGTCTTTCCCCATGGCCACCACCACCACAGGTCCATGGGGAATACTGCCTGGCTACCACCAATGTCCACTCAAGACCCAAGGACTCTTCAGACAGCTTGCAGTGATTACCGACAGGCCTAGGACTCTTTCTTAAAAGCACTGGGCTCCCCTCTGGGCCAGGGCAGGTCCAGAAACATCCTCCAAGTGCCAAGACCTGGAATAGGGCACCCCAGGAACCTACTTAGTGTTCTACCCCACTGTGGCCAAGCTAGTACCTGAGCTGTAAGGCAAAGTCCTCTCTATTTTTTTCTCTCTCTGTCTCAAGCATAAGGAGTCTCTCATCATGGCCATCACAGCTGGGAATGTGCTGGGTCATATCTGAGCCAGCATGACTCTAAGTCTCACTCACAGCCTGTGGCAAGTACTGCCTGGGTACTTCTGATGGTTTTTCAAGGCCTAAGGGTTCTACAGCCAGCAGGGAATGAGTTCTTCCAGGACTGGGTCCTTGTTTTCAAGACAGCAGTTTCCCTTCTAGCCCAGAGTTTGTCTAGAAATATAACCCAGCAGCTAGGGCCTGGAATGAGTGTCTCAGGAGTACGCCTAGTGTCCTATCCTGCTGTGGCTGAGCTGGTATGCAAATTCCAAGATGAAGTCCTCTTTACTGTCCCCTCTCCTCTTCTTAAGAGGAAGGAAGGCAGGTAGAGCTGTGAAGTACCTCCCAGAACTGTGAGGTACACTGCCTGGGGTTGGGAGAGAGGTGCCACAAGTATTTCCTTGGTCACCCTAGCTGGTGTTTCACTAGGTCACATGCCACCCATGTCCACTGGCTCTAGGTCCAGCATAGCACTAGGACTTACCTAGGAATTGTAGTCCTTCTGGTCTAACCTGCCTTTTAAGTTTATTTAGGACCCCAGAGCACTTTAGCCTGCAGAGACTAGACTTGTCAGAACTTAGGTTCCAACCCCTGGAAATGGCAATTTTCCTCTGGTTGTTCTAAATGCTCCCTCCTTGGGTGCCAGGTGAGTTCTTCCCCATGCTGCTTTCTGTTGTGACAAGGCAGCACTGAGTTTCAATACAAAGTGTTACAATCACTGAGCTCTCCCTCTCCCAAATGCACAGAATCTCTCTCTGCACCACATGGTGCTGCTAGGGGATGGGGGAAGGGTGGTGTCAATTCAAGACTGTCTTTCCTACTCTCTTCAGTGCATCATTTAGTTATATAAAGTTAAAACCAGGTACTGATTGCTCATCTGATTTTGGATTCTTATGAAGGTACTTTTTTGTGTGGATGGTTGTTCAGTTTGGTGTTCCTGTGGAAGGACAATCAGTGGAAGCTTCTATTTGACCATCTTGCTCTGCCCCCAGAATTTACCTTAATGCTTCACTCATGAATGCCTAGGCTTTCTCCAGCATTCACTTCAAAATTATTTCAGCCTCTACCCACTACCCAGTTCCAAAGCTACATTTGCATTTCTAGCTATTTGTAACATCCCTATTTCTCTACTACCATTTTTCTGCCTTAATCCATTTTTTGCTTCTCTACCAGAATACCACAGACAAGGTAATTTATAATGAGCAGAAGTTTGTTTCTAACAGTTCTCACAGGCTAGGAAGTCCCACATCAACGTGCCAGCATCTGGTGAAGGCCTTCTGCTGTCTTATAACATGGAGGAAATAATTACATTGTAGAAGGGCAAAGAGGGCAACAGAGAAATCAAGAGGTGCAAACCCACTCCTGCATTGATGACATTAGTTTATTCCTAAGAGTGGAGCCCTCATGACCTAAGCACCTCTTAAAAGTTCTACCTCAATACTTTCACAGTGGCAATTAAATTTCAAATTTTGGAGGGGCCAAACATTTAAACCACAGCAGGTGGCTATACCTGTGTAAGATAAAATAGACTTTCAGTCAAAAACTCACAAGGAAGATTATATGATAAAGGCTTCAATACATCAATAGGATATAGTAATGATAAATATATTTGCACTCAACATCAGTGTACCTAAATATATAAAGCAAATATTAACATAAAAGGGAGAAACAGACAGCAATATAACAGGTTTCTTCAATAACCCAGTTTTAATTACAGAGAGATCATCCATATGAAAATCAATAAAGACACACTGGATTTGAACTATACTTCAGACAAAATGGACCTAACAGACACGTGCAGAGCATACCATCTAAGAGCAGAACAAACTTTCTCAAGTGCACACAGAACATTCTCTAGAATATATCATATGATAATCCACAAAACCAGTCTTAATAAATTTTAGAAGACTGAAGTCATCTCAAGTATCTTTTCCAACCACATTGGTATGCTCATTGGTATTGGTATACCAGATATTATCAGGAGAAAAACTGGAAAATTTACAAATATGTGAAAAATAAACTATGGAACAATCAATGGATCAAAGAAGAAATAAAATATAAAACCAATTCCTTTTTGGCATTGTTATAATTGCAGGAGCTAATGAAATAGAATGATTGCCTATAGGACAGTTGGTTGGGGAGAAGGTGATTCTGCACTTTGGCTCTGTCTGCAAGATCCTTCCAGGGCAGCTCATATTCTCATAATTCCCATATAAGCACTGGAGAGGCTTAATGATGATAAAAGACTGATTTGGGTTGTATGCAGTTAAGGATACCTATAAGCAAACATCCCACTGGGAGGTTACAAATCATGTTGAAAGCCAAGTTTGTCCCCATTGACTTCTGAAAAAAAAATTAGGGACAAGGAAAATTGATTCTGTCCTACTACATCAGGCACAGTCAAGATTCTTGCTTGATTTTTTAACAAGGTTTTCCTAGATATTGAAAAGAAAGCACACAGTGCTAAAACCCGGGTTTTAAGTCTCTTTTCAGCAACAGGCAGAAACAGTTATTTTTTTCACAGATCCTATCATCTTATTACAATCAGCTGTGGTCCATTTCATTCCAATCTCAGATGTCTCATTCTTTTTTGCCTGTTGTCCCTCTGACAAAGCAAAAGGGATTCCAAGTTACTAATTACAAGTTACAATTTGCATTATCCACTGTTAACAGAATATCTTTCACCTGGTGCTGTTTTCTATTGTTACAGCCAGTCCCAACTGGAAAGGAGTTTGGAAAATATATTTCTGTGAGATACCTCTGCTTCCTGCTGCCCCTATTTCAGAAGTCAATGGATTTTACAAGACCTTGTTCAAAGTTAACCAGTGGATGTTCCAATACATGCTCAGTATACTCATTGTGGAGGAAACAATTTGGAGGAAAAAAAGTGTGAAGAGAACTTGAATTATCCAGAATAAATGCATTCACAAACCCTACTGACTTATAAAGAAAACATTGCATATTATATGTCACTTCCAAAAGATGTTGGACCAAAAGTTATGAAACTTTTTTGTGTGAGTCTTGTTATTGATCAATTGAATTTTTCAAGCAAAAAGAATTCTTACCAGTAATTCCTCAAAACCAACTGCCATAGGCACTACTGTGACCTTACTCTCACTTTTGCAGGGAACACTGGTTCTACATTGAGTCTGGGTATTTTAACTTTAAAGAATGCAGCATCAATATTACTATATGTCTAGTCATAAAACTAGCACTTTCTGTCAACTTCTCCATAGTTCCTAATATGTAATAATTGGCATCATAATCCCAGACTTAAGATTTCAGAACTGCATAAGCAGCATATTTGCACGCCCCAAAGGATGATCACATTACTGAAACATGATAAAACCAAAAGCATTTTTGTAAATGCAAATATAATATATAATTTAGGCACTATCTCTCCAACCATAGATTACTATGCTTTGTTTTGTCATTTTTCCCAAACATGTCTTTAGCCAATGTTCCACCAGAAAACCATTTCTAAAGCACAAAGAGAAACAGAGAAGTATGACATATATAGTTTGTGTGTGTGTGTGTGTGTGTGTGTGTGTGTGTGTGTGTATAAACTAAGTAGCTAACTTTTAAAAGGGATCAATTTAAACAGTTACAACATAAAAATTCTGGAAAGAACTCTGCATGTGAGGACAACAATTTCCAGGGAAAAAAGACTAATGTATTAGAAATAGCCTGAGGACAGAGGAGAGATGGCATTAATCAACCGGACCTGGGACACAGGATAAGATACAGCTTGGAATGTTAGGATCTATGCAAAATATCTCAAACAAATGACTTTATAAACTCTATAAATAAGTTTAGCTTCCTCTGAGAAAGGTATTGGGTAGCTTAAGTATTATGGAGGCTCTTTTCCTCTCTTTGAGACAATCTTCGTCTTTTGCCTTTTTTACTCTTCAATGCCACACTAAATTCATGTGGCAAATTAACCCTGAAAAAGCTGAGAAATTACTTTTCTGCAATCATTTGGAATAACTGAAGTTATGAAGCTTTCACTGCATAAAGTGCTTTGGCCTGTATCATTGCTTGTCCTGAAAAAGAACTCCAATATATAGTGTGTTTGTTTAAAATAATAATGCCATAAACTGAAATAATGAAAACCCAAAAGTCCAGTTTTATTTTAAATAAAAAATATGGAAAAGGCATCACTAGTTTTTTCCAGTACATCTAAGGATGCATTCTATTGATTGCCAATCAGTGGGAAGACCCAAAAAGTTTCTAAAGATTATCTCTGTACCATGCCTATGAGGGTAAGCAAACCCATCCTGCTTGAATAATATGGAGACAAAAAGGAACAACTGGAGCTATAAAATTTACCTCCAGACTTAGTGTCTTAAAACAACAAAGATTTATTATTTCTTATTCTTTTGAGAGTTAATTGTGCAGTTCATAGTGAGCCAGCTAAGATGGGCCTGAATGATGTTGGAAGGCCTCACTAACATGGCTAGTGATGGACTGGATGCTAGCTAGAGTGAGAGAGAAAATCTTGCCATGTGTCTTTCATTATCCAGAAGGCTAGCTCAGCCCAATCCACATGGTGGTGGTCTCAGTGTTTCCAAGAACAGCAAGAAGAAAAGCCCCATAATGCAAACACGTTTTAAGGGTCTGCTTGCATCACGTTTGCTAACAATCCTTTGACCAAACTAAGACAGATGGCCAACCCATATCCAAGGAGTAGAGAAATAAACCCCATATCTACCTTTAAAGGAGAAACTGCAAAGATGAATTGTTAACGGGCATGCATACATGAATGAGAAGAATTCGTGGTCCTTTTTGTACTCTACTGCAAGTATCACAGAGGTAGGATGGCCTTTGAAACTAAGTTTGTTCCAGGTCCTCTACGGAAAGCTAGTGTCCAAAAATTGTCTAAATGAAAATTTTTTTGTGATTTGTTGATGCCAGAATTTCCCTTGAAACAGATATATATTTCCCTAGCATGGTTCAAGGCTATACTACAGGTTTTTCCCATTCCAAAACCTTGATGTGTGGATAAACACAAACACAGCCCACCTGGAAGAAAGTGGAATCTACTGGGTAGAGAAAAGACGCTGCTTGCCATTGGAGGCTAGTAATTCCTGGGTATCATTATTCTGTCTGTTGTCACTTGTCCTAAGTTGCAAATCAATACAGTCTGAGTAGCTCAAGAGGTTAAAAAAAATCTAAATACAAAATATTTCATGTTGTGATTTTCTTCTAATTCTGTCTTGAAGCCTCTTTCTATCCCTGCTCTGTTAGAACTCCAGCAAAGGTGGTCTTGGATGTTTACGGTATGCTTTCACGGGATGATTCTTTATCCAGGCAGACAGCCTAATGGTTAAGTGCCCACCCCATGACCAGGTGTGCCTCTCACAGAAAACTTGTTTATACTGGCAGATGTTCTGTGGCTCTTTTCTGGCCTGTATCCAGTTTATTTCTACCAAGATAGCCACTTTGTAGGAGAGCCCTGACCAAAAGGAGTGTTACGTTTGAGCATGTTGGTCAGGTGAGACACAGAGGAGGCAGAACAACAAAACACATGACATAACAGAAGCATTTGATTACTTACAAATCCACAAGAAAAAAGGATGTTCACAACAGCCAACAGGAAGCGCAGAGATAGCAAGCGTTCTCAACCAGCAGGAGAGAAGTAGGAGAGAGAGGACTAGGCTTTTATTAAGCTTCATGAGCATTATCTGTTTTGCTTTTCCTCAGGGGTTTTGAATTGACTGGTTTAAAGGAAACACATGCGAAGGGGGAAAGTTACTTATATGAGTCAGGTGTTAACCATTAGGTTTATTGTGGTCAGCGGCTTTGGGATTTGTTGGGTTTTGGGTCAGTGAAATGAACAGAGGGCTATATTGCAAAGAACCACACAGAGAGGAAAAGTTTTAACTAGGCCAAAGGTGATGGAGTATAATTGAATTTCAAATACCTATGTCTGGCATAAAAATGGATCCCGAGGCAGCAACTGTATTAAACAAATTGATGTAACTCATTACTCGAATTAGTAAATAAAAAAGGTAATAAATATATGTATCTGAACAAAATAGCTGAACCTGTAATTAAGTTTAATAACATATACTAGTAAATTCTAGGGTAGATTTTTGAGCCATTTTAGATCTTGCATTCTACAAACTTTAAAAGACTACTTAAATAGTGATTCTTCTACCATTAACAAAATAATTCATGGTGAATGGCAATTTGTTTACAGTAATAATATATTTATTTACCATCAGCAATATAATATATAGTTTTAAACCTCAGACCAATGTCCTATCTTTCTTTTGTTCAAAGAATCATCTTTATGGTCTTAAGGCAGAGGATAAACAGCACATTCCATAATGGAGTAAAGTTTTCCTTCAACATCTCAACATTCATAATGAAAGCTAGTCAAGTTTGAAAATATTTTCTTTCACTTCAATCAGACATTACTGGATTAGCTACTTTATGAGTCTATTCCTGCCTGGTCTAGGTTCTTTCTAATTTTCTAAAATAATTTAACTAACAATACTTCTTAGTCCTGGAACTTCAAAGAACATTGACACTCTAAAGAAATGTAATTAACCTCTAGTTCAGAGATGTTTGTGGGATTTTATCTTATTTATCAGCTCTAATAATTTGGTAGTTGCTGCCAGAGTACTATATTGAGAATGATTCTGAGGTTATATCTGGTCTCAGGATGGAAGAATACAATGATCAATTAGTAATGTCTGGCATAGGAAAAAGAGGGATGGCAATGTAATTGCCACTTACTTCCCATCCCTACCATAAGTCAAATTTGTCATTTTAGACTGAGAAAAAAAAAAAAAACAAACAAAAACAGGCTTATCCAAGGTCTCACAGCTATTGAATGATAATGTTTAGTCTAAAAACCCACCATGACTTCGAAACAATATTTTTTGGGGAATAGACATTTGTCACTTTCCAACTTACCATCATCCACTTCCCAATATTTTTATTAGTCCTTTACTGTGTGCCAATGTGGTTGGAAGATGATTTCTAGTTCTTGATTCCTTTTGCTATTCCTTTCTCAACCACAGCAGCTGGGACCTTCCTCTACCTGGCTATACCACAGAACAGGCCAATAAGCTAGGCTTTGCTGATAAGGTGTTTGTTCTGGAACTCTGAATCTTAAGTAATGCAAAGAATGAGGAAATGGGGGAGGGAGGGTTGTTAGATGATCCCATAGCCAGAGTTCATGGATCAGAAAGTTGTTGCAGCATGATTTTGACTACATTTCCTGCTATCTTGATTTACAACTCTTGGTTTTCTAAACCTTAGACTACCAAGTTAATTGTCACTTCTGGGAAACTGATGTCTTTCCAATGCATCTCCTTTTTCTTAAGGCCAGAGATAGGTTCTGTTGCTTCAAACCAGAGATCTTGACTGATAATTTGTTTAGCTCCACAGTCATGAGCAAATGTTAGTGATGCAATGTTTTTCTCAGCCAAATTATACACTTATATTTTCAACCCACAAAAACTGAGTAAAACATTTTTCATTGAAAAATATAAAAGATTCTCCTGTGCCGAAATCATCAATGTTTGACATCAGAAAGTAGTAGGCTGAAGGGTATAAAATGATAAATACCAGTCATCATTTTGTCATTTGATAAAAACATCTACAGTCATGTTATTTCAGACAGTAGACCAGCACAATTATACCATGATATTGGGCCTCTTTTTTTTTTTTTTTTTTTTTTTTTGAGATGTAGTTTCGCTCATGTTGCCCAGGCTGGAGTGCAATGGTGCGATCTTGGCTCACTGCAACCTTGGCTCACCACAATCTCTGCCTCCTGGGTTCAAGTGATTCTCCTGCCTTAGCCTCCCGAGTAGCTGGGATTACAGGCATATGCCATCACGCCTGGCTAATTTTGTATTTTTAGTAGAGACAGGGTTTCTCCATGTTGGTCAGGCTGGTCTTGAACTCCCAAGCTCAGGTGATCTGCCCACTTCGGCCTCCCAAAGTGCTGGGATTACAGGCGTGAGCCACCGTGCCCAGCTGATATTGGTCCTCTTAACATATTTCAAATGTCATCAACATTATCTTATTCTTTCAATGGCAATCATGAAAAAGCAAAAATTAAATAGCTGAAATTACACAAAGACTTGGCTTTATGGATTAAATAAGAACTGACTGGGGAAAATTCCCTCACTTTCTCTGCTCTGTGTTCAGAATATATAATATCTGCTGACGCTAGGTAGTAAAAATATATATATATTTCTAAGATTAAAGTCTGGTTTACAGACATTTTGTTCACATAAGCTGTAACAAACTAGTAAAAAGTCTTACTACAAAAGTCTCCAGTAAAATACATTGGCAAATCTACTCCTAAGCCGTGGTTTACTTATCTGCTGTCAAGAAGAAAAGGTAAGTAGATATGCTGTATGAGAACCTTATAATGTATTTCCATCATACTGATATCACTTTGAGGCTATTCCATAGGGTATATATCACTCTTCTTGACTATTTACATTAAGACTCCATTTAACATTTTTTTCTTTTAGCCTTTCTGTCTTCATTAATGAAAAACGCTACATTAAGAAATTTCTGCTTGCTTTTCCTTCTTGTTTCATATAGAGACCCATGTGTAATCTGCAAAGTAGTCTGAAAAGAATGGCACAAGCAGTCAAAATATTTACATATTTCTCTGTAAAATATTTCATATAAAGATTTAACAGGCGTAAGTAAGCTATGACAAGCATGCTCACTTATCTGAAGAAAAATACTTTGAGCTGATTTTCTGGCACTGAAAGGAAAGCTGGCTAAGTGACATCTTCCTTTATGGAATGCAATGATTAAACCAATGAGTTGTGCTTTACCTTCTCCAGGAAGGTCAGTATGATATGGAGCTGCTTTCAGTGATGCCCAACATATTGCACTTGAACTTACAGAACCTGTCACTAATATCGGTAAGTAAAAGCAAGGCTTAATGTTGAGGTTAAAACAAAAATGAAAGGAATAGAGACCAAAAACAAAATAAAACTGTATGAGAATGTAAATATTATATGAATAATTTCATACAAAAACTGGGAAAACAGTGAGTGCTCCAATATTAAGAACTATCTCAGGTTTAAAGATGAGAAATGGAGTATCTCAAAACCAGGTTTTATCTATAGACTAAATACATTTTTCTCTCCTCCTAAATTGTAAGAAGAAAATAACTGGAGAATATTGCTGTGATCTCTTACAAGTTCTTTCTTCCAGCTTTGGAAGAAAGAGAAAAATAAACAGAAAATTCATTTATCTCGAAAGATAAGTATCCAAGTTCAGAAATCCCTGTTTGCTTCACAGAGGAACAAGCTCTAATCTCACAAGCTATGGAGAAGTCCCATAGATTCTCCTATATTGAAGTCATCAACATCTCACATCAGAGAGTAGTAGGTTGAAGAGTGTAAAATTATGAACACTGGCACATCGGGAAGACCACATTCCAGCCCAAATTTCTCACCCATCACAATGACCTGAACTTAACCTCTACTACTTGCCACTTTTCCTTACTTGGCAATTGAAGAAAATTCCTTTCCCTTGACATAATTACAGAAATGGAATGAGTAAGAAGTTTATAGCCTATGAATAGTATTGGTCCTACTTTGGACAAGAGGGATAACTTGGAATAAGGTTGGATCCTTACTGTGTAGCAAAAAGGCTGGCTACCACAAACTCCCCAAAAAGATTACCATAATATTGTACAGTGCCTATTGGTGAGAGGCCTCCTTGTTAGCAGCTCTGAGCATAACATTCACTCTAACCTATCTTAAATTGCACAGTTTGTAAATGCATAGGCAATAAGTCTTGTCTAACAGGATTTCAATAGCCTTGCAAATTCTACCTTTGGAAAATATTCAAACCAATAATTGTCATTCATATTCTTTACCACCTTCTACTCATCTGCACAGAACAAGAAGCCAAGCTGGGCCTCTTAGAAGACTCGGTTCTGGTTGTTCAGCTTCTGTGATTTGATTCCCTACCAGTGACAGACAGGATGGGCAAGTGAGGCAGGGCTTCCATCCTAACTTAAAGGCTCAGCATTTAAAGGGTGACAATCTGCTCATTCCAATATGTCTCTCAAAGGAGTTAGTAGTAGTTGTCAATGTTTGTTTTCAGTATGATGTTTTTCAAGGCACTTTTAAAACCAGATGGAATTGGCACCAACTTTAAAAAATTCAAATGGGGTTTTCCCTGAATTTAGAAATATCTGGTAATTTTTTTATTTTTATTTATTTATTTATTTATTTTTTGAGACAGAGTCTCTCTCTGTCATCCAGGCTGGAGTGCAATGGTGCGATCTCAGCTCACTGCAACCTCCGCCTCTTGGGTTCAAGTGATTCTCCTGCCTCAGCCTCCTGAGTAGCTGGGACTACAGGCACGTGCCACCACACCCCGGCTAATTTGTTTGTGTGTTTTCAGTAGAGATGGGGTTTCACCATGTTAGCCTGACGGTCTCAATCTCCTGACCTCATGATCCACCCGGCTCGGCCTCCCAAAGTGCTGGGATTACAGGCGTGAGCCACGGCGCTCAGCCTAAAATGTTATTTTTTAAAATAAAATAGGAAGTTAAAAAGCACTGTGTACTCTTACATTCTGCCCCAGAAATAATGGGATGGATGAATAATGGGTTGGATGAAGATTGGGCTGAAAAGAGATTTCACCTTTGGGAGGCATCTCAATACTTCATTTGAACAAGGTAAAATATTTTTCATGAAAATAACCTATGTATCAACCTGAAAGCCGGTATGTATATGGAATCAATTTAAAAGATGGAGTATAGAGTTTGAAGTCAGGATGGTCAGGGGGCTAATCGCAACTTAAACAAGTGACAGCTGTATTAATTATCTGAGCCTCTTTCTTATCAATCAGCGGGACTAGTAATAGTATATGCTGCATGAGTTGTTTGTAGATATTAAATGTGATGTCAAATATAAAGTGCCTACTTGATATTTTTGATAAGGCACTTAAAAATACATGTTTTATTTTATAGCTTAATGACAGCTAAAGAGGCAAATAAATATTGTATATGAGTCTTTGCCACAGCTGCATACCTACCTTTCAATTCCCTGAATCCTTAGGCTTCATTCACTTTATCTCACCTGGATTACTGTCCTCCTGGTGGTAGGATCATTTATTCTTTTGTCATTTACTGACAGTCCTCTGTGTACCAGGCACTGTGCTATGGTCTCAGAGGGCAAAAAGTGCCATACATTCTGTACTCTCTGTCTTCAAGGAGCTACGCTTCAGGTGGTGGTGAGGTAAGCAGTGGCTTCTGATAGCTTTTACAATACATACAATGATGTGTCATGATAGAGGTGTGTAGAAGCTGCTAAACTGCCTTCTTTGGGGCTGGGGGAGATAGTCAACTTCATGATGAAAACTTCTGCTGAGCTGAATGTGATTTCAGAATTAATAGCACAAAGGACAGCAATATTCAAAGACAGAGACTCCTGCAAGAACAAGGTGTTCAGTTTGGTTGGAATGCAAGAAAGGTTTCATAAAGTAGTAGTAAGTGAATGGGGAGGGGTGTCATCTTCTGAAATTACTAACTTACAAAGATAGAATAAACTTGACTGACTGAAATAAAAGCAATCATATCAGCAGTCATTGCATATTATTTGTTATGTGTCAGGACACTTTTCCATATTAACTCATTCAATGCTTAGAAACACCCTATGATGTAAATATCATGACTGTATTATCATCATTTCACACATTAAAAAAAAAAAAAACCTGAGGTACATAAAGGTTTAGCTGTTTGCCCAAGGATATCCCACTAGTAAGTAGCAGAGCTGAGATTCAAACTGAGTCAGTCTAGGTCCTGAGCTGGAGTCTCATCACAACCATATTCTGCCTCTTTTGTTTTTGCATTATTAGTTACAGAAGCTTGTATCCCAAAAGATAAATGATGAGAGCCCATGGCATATGACTGGCCTCCAGCTACAGTGGCCTTATCAGCATTACACTGACAGACTGCCACTGGAGATCTTTCTATGAGCACCGCAGATGCATACACTTACAAAATGGGAAACATTCTTACCTCAAAAGGCTCTGAGGACCCAAAGTCATACATAAGCCTTTAGCCTGAGACATGCTAAAGATTAGTTGTAAATTTCTTTCCTTTCCTTTATTCTCTCTTCCTTTTTTACTTCTTTTTTCTTTCTTCTTTTCCTTCCTTCCTTCCCTTCTTCCCTCTGTTCCTCCCTCCCTCCCTGTCTCCCTATCTTCCGTCTTTCCTTCTTCTTATTCCGTCTTCTGAATTACTACCTAGTAACTCTTCTACTTCCCTGAATGACCTTTTGTGATTGTACCCCATAATAAAGCTTTAGTGACAAGAGACAGCTAGAAAAAATCCACTAATGCTGATAATTGTTGGTGATCATTCACAGGATTACTAGATGAGTTAGGAAAAGTTACTAGATGAGTTAGGAAAAGTTGTTAGATGAGTTAAGACCCAATCTCAGAATCATGGTCAACATTGAGCTATATCCATTTATAGTTTCCACTATTAAAAAATCTCCTTTGGGAGGCCAAGGCAGGCAGATCACGAGGTCAGGAGATCGAGACCATCCTGGCTAACACAGTGAAACCCCATCTCTACCAAAAATACAAAAAATTAGCCAGGCGTGGTGGTGGGCACCTGTAGTCCCAGCTACTGGGGAGGCTGAGGCAGGCAAATGGCGTGAACCTGGGAGACAGAGCTTGCAGTGAGCCGAGATCGCGCCACTGCACTCCAGCCTGGGCGACAAAGCAAGACTCCATCTCAAAAAACAAACAAACAAACAAACAAAACTCAGGCTGTCAAGGTATCAGTTATTTGTAATATAATATCCCCATACTACCACTCAAGGCAACTGTTGGGTAACTAATGTAATAAAATTATTATTCAAGAAAGACTTTCAACAGTGTTATCATTGTAAAATATCAGGATTGAAAGTCATCAAGAAAGAAATGCATTTCCAAAACTTGGCTTGAATTTCCTCTAGAATAGACCAACTAAGTAGCAGGTCTGAGATAGAAAAACCAACCAAACAAAAAAAAAATCAGTCTTAGAGGTCCTCTCTTTATCTTAAATTTACATATACAGTTTAAGCAGGGATGGTGAAATGGCAGGGGGCTTGGGGGGAGCACTCTTTATGCTATGCCATTCTCCTAATTTCATACATATTTATTTATTAAAATTATACATATATATTATATCTGCATTTTCATTTATACACATGCTAGCAAGAATTTTCAAAAATTCTTTATAAATTTGAAACCATCTCGTTTCCAACAGAAGTCCAATTTACCTATTTTTCGACATCCTGTTCATTTGCTACTTGTCTTATGAATGAAAGTATGAAGCAAATAGTAATGTATTCATGTGCCATCTCCTCAAGTGTATAAAGGTTAAGGAAAATTGATTACAAACAAATGATATCTATGACAAAAGCAGAGGAGTAAGGTAACCAGCCCCCCAAATTAATCAGCATATAAATTAATCTTGCTTCCAAACAAAAAGTAGGACAGGAAGCATTGTCATCAATAATCTACTATGCCAAGACATTCTCCAGGATGAATACTAATGAATATAAACAAATAGTAGCTGGAAGAGAAATATAAATTCTTAAAACATTAAGAGGAAAAAGTATGAAAATTTTCTAATCTGTAAACCACACATATTTTATGTATCCTACTATCAACAACAGTGCTAGCTCAGTAATTGATTACCATTTACAGAGCACCTACTGGGTGTCCCACACTATGCAAAGACCTTTCCATATGTTACCTTTAGTTTTCACATTCACCTTTTACGATTTTCACAACTGGGCCTCAGAGAGTTTATGTGACTTACTTACCAAGCTGTAACAATATACCTAAATCTCTCCATTTTCAAAAGCTAGATGCTTTCCACAATCTAGAGAAAGACTGAAAATACTTTTTCAAAAGCAAATAATTTTAATGATATACTCTGTGTTTCTACAGTTCTGATGTGCATTGACTAATTGCTACTTTTGGTTTATTTTAGAAGTTATACAGTTTTTATAGAAAGTATTACATTTTCTTTTGACTACTTAATTTTTGATCTGTTCTAGAAATGACCTTCCATAAAGATCTGGATGAATGAAGGACAGAGATGATCTGAGGTAAAGACTGTTTCTGAGGATAAACTTTCCTAAGGGAGGAAGATTCTTTGATGATGATTTTGCCCTATCTTACTTCACAGTGTTTGCCACAGTCCTCTAGTTTTTCCTCTCTAATTGCCCCTCAATTCTCTTCTCTATCAAGGACAGAAACATATAGAAATCCTATATTTTCAAACCCAACCAACCTACATGATTATGAAGTGTTCTGAGGAGAAAAAGAGCCATGCATGGCTAATAATTCTTAAATAGACTGTTATGCATTAAGGATGAGTAGAAAATTAGCAAAGATTTTAAATGTTGACAATAAAATTGCATATGCTGTGACAGATGAAAGAAAATAAATAAATATTTGTGTGACTGTGAATAAGGGTTTCCTCTCAATTAGTTAAGTCACACTTTGCAAAAAATCAGGTTGCAAGTCTTTTTCTTTTTTTCTGTTTTTGTTTTTTGTTTTTTGTTTTTTGTTTTGAGACGGAGTCTCACTCAGTTGCCCAGGCTGGAGTGCAATGGCACGATCTCTGCTCACTGCAAGCTCCACCTCCCGGGTTCACGCTGTTCGCCTGCCTCAGCTTCCCGAATAGCTGGGACTACAGGCGCCCGCCACCACGCCCGACTAATTTTTTGTATTTTTAGTAGAGACGGGATTTCACCGTGTTAGCCAGGATGGCCTCAATCTCCTGACCTCATGATCCGCCTGCCTCGGCCTCCCAAAGCGCTGGGATTACAGGCGTGAGCCACTGCGCCCTGCTGCAAGTCTTTTTAAAATATCCTTGAATAATACCTGAAAACACTGTGTTTAGTAGCTAAAAACAAATAACCTACATTTCCAACATGACACATTATCTATCCATGTAATACTATACTGCGCAGCCACCGGTGTGTGACTGCTATAGAACAATGTCAAGAAAGAAATCTCCATGGGCCGGGCGCAGTGGTTCACGCCTGTAATCCCAGCACTTTGGGAGACCGATGTGGGCAGATCACTTGAGGTCAGGAGCTGGAGACCAGCCTGGCCAAAATGGTGAAAGCCTGCCTCTACTAAAAATACAAAAATTAGCCAGGCATGGTGGCAGATGCCTGTAATCCCAGCTACTTGGGAAGCAGAGACAGGAGAATCTCTTGAACCTGGGGCAGAGGTGGCAGTGAGCCAATATGGTGCCACTGCACTCCAGCCTGGACTACAGAGTGAGACACTGTCTCAAAAAAAAAAAGATATCTCCATTACATTGTTAATTGAAAAAAAAGTGATTATAATATTATGAACCCATTCAAAATAGTGTATTAAAAAACATACATTTTTCCATAAGGAGAACATTATTTTTATAAATTTTGGATGGACGTATTGTCTCGACAGTTTTTTTTAAGTTAGAATGTATTAAATTTACATGGTTAAGGGGAAAAATTAACATATAATTATAATAAAATATACCCAAGACATTCTATAAAATTCAGTAGCCATTCTTAATACAAACTCTATTCTAAGACATGAAAACTAATTATCAAATGTGATGGAAAATGTTTCTGTTGTAAAACAGGCAATGAACATTATATTAACTACTGAAATACCAAGACCATTCTCATTAAAATGAGACAAAATACTGAAATGACTACCATCCCTACAATTTTTCAGCATTGTGTTGTAGTTTCTAGCCAATACAATAAGAAAACCAACTAGCTATATAATTATGGGAAACAAGAAAACAAGTTTATCTCTATTTGCATACAATTTAACAGTCCAGATAAACTCTATAAAATATATAATAAATAAGAGAAAATCCTGATAAGGTTAACTAGATTTTTAAAAACTATTTATATACTTTTTCTTTATTCTAGCAACCCATTGAAATGTATGTATCTCAAATATAAAATATGTATAGGTTTATGTAATACTAATACCCTGCTGACAATAGTGATAAAATTATTATGTATCTTGTAATAAAATGTTTAAAAGTTATTACATATTTTAAATCAACATAACCTGAATAAAAAGCTAAATGGTATCTTACAGTATTATTGAGTCATAAGACAATGTCATATAAATACATTCCTCAAATTAATACATATATTTAATGAGATTCCACTCAGAATTCAAAGATTTTAAATTAAACTAGGGAGTTTTATTTTTTAAATTTATGTATAAAACACAAATATAAAAAACCTTCTAAAAGATTTTTCAAAAAAGAGATGAGGATAAATGTCCTGCAACATATAAAACATACTATGCTGCTTATTAAAATCAATATAGTAAGTGAAGACCAAATACAAAGCAAAAGTGCAGAAGATAAGTTGAAAAATAAACACACAAATCCAAGTATTTGTGGAAAAATCATAGTTTATTTAATCAAAGATCTTAGCATAAGCAGCTATAGATCTTAGAATGAAAGAATTAAATCCCTGCTTTGCAGTATAAAATATTAAATTCCAGAAGGATTAAAATAAAAAATGTAAAAACCAAAATATAATAAAAATAGGAAAATGTTTGTATAACATAGGGCAAGGAGACATTTATCAAACAATAAATCCAGATGCCATGAAAGTGTTGATAGATTTGACTGTATATGAATTAACATTTTGAATAAAAAGGAAGACCATTAAAGCGATAGTCAAATAAAAATTTGACTATTAAAAATTGTTTGAAAATGCCTTAAAGCTCCTTAGTTCACGAAGAGTCTCTATAAATCAATGTAAACAAGACAAACAATATTATTTAATGTGACAATAATATAAACAAAATAATCACAGAAAAAGGAAGAAATATGGCCAAAAACTTCAGAAAGATCCACAACTCAAGAATAAACCAAAAATACAATCAAATCAACATTGAGAATCCATTATTAACCCACTGCATTCTATTGAAATTTCAATACGTTGATCACACTCTGTTCTGGAGAGGATGTGGGAAAGCATTAATTATATATTGTTGGAGGAAAAAAAAGCATTGTGTGTAATGTAACATAGCAGTAGCTAATAACCTTTAAAACACATGCACTTTGACTCAGAATTTCTATTTTAGCAAAGCTATGCTACAGATAAAAGCATATGATCATTATAACAATCACGTCATTGTGACATGTGATCATTGTAAGATATATTAGTTTTCACAATGATTATATGTAATTTTTATAAAAGCAGTAAAGTTTTAATAAAGAAAAAAGATAAAGATCTTGCTCAGGAGATTGATGTTGAAGTTTAAGGCTGCCAAAGGAGCTAGCATTTGAAGGGAAAACATCTGGAGAGTAGAAAAGATCAAAGAATAAATTCAAAAATCTACATTCAAATTTCCACTTCACAACTGCTGACTTCTAACTTAACTGCTCAGAACTGTTTCTCAAACTGCATATATATGCTGTATTCTTCTAGGTTATTTGGTGTAGTGAGAGAAAGAAGAAAATAGCAGTTGAGAGGCCTGAGAATGAATATTAGCAGCCACATGACACTGGGGAGACAAAAGTTAAAGTTTAATTCTTGTCAAAAGTGGGAGACATTTGCAAATGTCTTGGTATTTCTCAGCCACGACCTCAGAAGGGGTCATTCTAGAATTAATGTGACACTTAGTGCCATACTTTAGAAGTAAGGACTATACCCTAGATGTAAGGGCAAAACTTAAGCATTTTAAAGATGTTTAAAACCCTTGCAAATAAAGCCTAAAACCAAGCCTCAATAGGACAATGATGATCTGCTAGTAATCTATCTACTTGATAGAAGAAAACTTAACCCTCTTTGGACAAATTTCCGTCATCAAGAGCCCCTGCAATGTTTCATCTATCAAGGCAAAAATTATGAGGCAAATAAAAAATAGGATTAAATCATTGAAAAATCAAAGTAAAAAATAGACAATATAAATAGACCTCCAGACGATTCAGATATCAAAAATACCCAACAATGACTTTCAAACAACTATGATCAATACATTCAAGAAAATAAAAGTTGGGCAAAGTAGAAGAAAAAGGTAAGAATTTCAACAAAGAATTATAATATTTAAAAAGTAACCAAACTGGGCATCCTAAAACTGAAAAATAGAAATAAGAGTTTAAAGATCTTGACTGCCAAAGTTCAAAATTCATTTATTAAATCCACAAATAATTATTGAGCAACTATTGCCAGACAGTGTTCTAGAAGTAGAGGATAAAGCAATGAACAAAACAAAATTCCTGCCCTTATGGCTCTTGTGATCTAATGAGAGAAACAGAAAATAAACCATACAAGTAAGTAAATTCTATATTAGAAGGTGATAACCAAGGGTGATATGAGAAAGAAAGAAAAGACTGAAAATGTTAATTGGATGAAATAAATAATAGAACAAGAAATAAAATTTGAAGAAGAGCCTTCCTAAAAGACGCAATAACAAATTTGAAGGCCTCAAGAGGGTGGTGATTTACCAGCTAAAGGAAAACTGAGGAGTTTAATGTCATCTTAATAGTAGGAGATAAAATTATTAACTACCAGAAGGGTTTGGGATTTTACTGTGAATGAGATGAGAAGGTTTTAGAAGGTTCTTAGTGGAAAAGTGACATGATCTAACATACATTTTAACATTTTACATCTGAGATTATAAGAGCTAAGAGCAAAAGTAGGTAGAACACTCTAGAGACTACTGCAACCATCTAAGCAAGAGATGATGTTGACTGAACCAAGATGGTAGCAGTGAAGAAAGTAAGAAATGTTTATATTCTGGATAAATAGCCAACAGGGGATATAAGAGATAAAGGGGGCATATGGGTGACTCCAAATGTTTTGCCTGACCAGTTGAAGAGATGAAATTGCCACTGAATGAAATGGAGAAAACAGTGAGTATATTAGGTTTAGAAGTGAAGGAAGATCAGAAGTTGAATTTTGTACCTGTTGAGTAAGAGATAACGATTAGACATCTAAATAGAGATGTCAAGGGCAAAGTAAAGAGTTGAGTACATTTGGGTAAAGGTCTAAACAGAAATTATGAACATGGAAGTTATTGGCATATAAACTATATTTAAAACAATGAGACTGGATGAGGTCTCCTAGATGTAATAAGCTGAGGAATATAAAAGATTTAAAATTATTATTTGCTAAATAAGAAGAATAAAATTAGGATAGAACATTTGTTTATAGAAAATGAAATGGTTTAGTGCTAGAAGTTGACAGAAAAGATGGAATCACTCAACTTCAAATTTTTTCAGCCTTCTATAGTAATAGAGATAGAAATATAATAAAACAATAAAAAGATTATATTGTACCATAATATAATAATAAAAATAAACATTTGCCCTGTGACCATTTACAACTTTTTTTAAAGATGCAGTCTCTCAATTTATCCGATAGTAAAGGATCATCTATATATTGTTTTATTACTGAATGATTTTTTAAGTGACAATCATCTTTGTAGGTTGCTAATGAATTAACTCATGATTTGAGACCTGATAAGTAAAGGCAGAAATAAGAATCAGGCATCTAACCCATCTTTCCTATCAAATTGTTTCACAGGGTAACCAAATGATAAATGACAGTTAAGATTTCCTTAAAAGAAGTATTCCACTAGTAATATAAAGGAAAAATAAAATTAGAATATCACCATTTGACATCCCCCAGTTAATTAATGGATCTAGACACTGAGAATCAATGACTGCTAAATTCATAAAAAGAGGCACAAAGCAGACAATATGTCCTCCTGATTGAAGTAACTTTGTTAAAAATTTTAACCTGAATCTATCAAGCCACAAGTTCCAACAAGTTTCAAAGCCATGAGACCCCCAAATCAAAAGTCTGAGGGATGAGCTAAATTGATTGTTTGGAAGGGAGGAAAGAAAGATTTGTTTCATCTGAAATGACATGAGGAATTTAGACAGAGAATATAGCATGTAAGTCGGACTCTGACTAGTAAGTATGCTTTGTGAAAGAGGAGAGATTTGAAAGGATTTTTTATGTTGAGAGAGCAGTCTGGGCAAAGACAGGGAGAGTTAGATGTATTTATGAGACTGCCAGTTGTACGTGTGGCTGAGGAAGAAGTTTAGCACAGCAATAAAAACAAACTAGAAAGCGAAGTTTGGGCCAGGTGCCGTGGCTCATGCCTGTAATCTCAGCATTTTGGGAGGCACAGGTGGGCAGATCACCTGAGGTCAGAAGTTCAAGACCAGCCTGGTCAACATGGTGAAACCCTGTCTTTACTAAAAATAGAAAAATTAGCCTGGTTTAGTGGCACACTCCTGTAATCCCAGCTATTTAGGAGGCTGAGGCATGAGAATCGCTTGAACCCGGGAGGCAGAGGTTGCAGTGAGCCAAGAAAGCACCACTGCACTCCAGCCTGGGCAACAGAGTGAGACTCTGTCTCAAAAAAAAATATTTTCTAAATAAAAGAAAGTAAGGTTGGGAGTGTGTGTGGGTGTAGATGTGTTTGTGAGTTTGGGTGTGGGTGTATTTTCCTTATCTATGCTTTCTAAATTTTCTAACATTGAAAAGGAATTATTATATATTATATAATTATTTATATATAAGTTTATATAATATATAAATATTATAAATATATTTATTATTTTATATAATATAAATATTATGTAATGATTCTATAATAAATATATTTCTATACTCCTATAAATCTAAATTTTTTAATGTAATTAAACAAAGAGAGTTTTGAGCCAACTAATGGAAGACTTGCAATGTCATGACCATTGTTTTACTTTTGTCCCCCTCAGCAGTCTTGGTTATGCAACTAAAGAAATAGTTGGCTGCAACTCTCCTTCATTAAGTGTTGATGCTAAGAGTGGCACCAGTCATCAATTTCAGAAAAAATTAGGTAGCTTTTTCAGTAAGCTAAAATCATTACCATTACCGAAATATTCAATTTGAAGTCCAGTGAAAGAAGTAGAAAATTCCTCCTCTATCTTCAAGGAAGTCTTGCAACCATATTTAATGGTGATGCTAGTAAACTTTTAAATACACTGTGAATGTAAACATAGTCAATATAGTTTGTAGATGTGCCGATTAAGGCAGATATTAGAGGTATGGTTTGATTTCCAAACTTGTCTTTGTCCTCCAGACTGGGGACGATTTAAGCTTTGTCTTCCAGATTGGGGACTGTTTAAAGCTTAATAATTGATAAAATATGGCCAGTCAAATGGAAAGAGCAGAGACAAACATAGAAGAATGGACAAAAACGGAAAAAGTGATCAATGGGGAAGAGAGGAATCACTTCAAAGACTTGAGAACTGCAAAGATTTGAGAAAACCACAGGTCTCTTGATCTCAGATTCTTGGTAAAGGGAGGCTAGGATAGGAGCCCAGAAGTGCAAAGCAGGTCTGCTCAAGCTGTTATCCAAATTGGCTAAGAGCAGATACACTTCAAGGGGTATGAACAATTTTAAGCTGAAGAATAAAACTAAGATCTGTTCATAGAATTGGTCTCAGGCCTAGAAGTAGTGTTTAAATCAAGAGATCTGGATCCCAGATGATCAAGATTAGATTGAGAAAAAGAGCAGGGAGGCAACAAGGTGACAAAGGGATCATTGTAACATTTGAGACCAGCAAGGATGCTAAGAACTCATTCTTGTTAGATAGTTCTATAAGGAAAGCAGTTTTGCTAATTTAAAGAGGCAATACTGGAATAAACCCTTGCATTTGGATGTCGTATTTTAGGGAAATCTGCCCAAACTTTGTGCTTTCTCTACCTTCCTGATATGGTTTATGTGTGTGTCTCCACCAAAATCTCATGTCAACTTGTAATTCCCAAAGTTGGAGGTGGGGCCTGGTGGGAGGTGATTTGGTCATGGGGGCAGATTTCCCCCTTTGGTGCTGTTTTTGTGATAGTGAATGAGTTATCACAAGATCTGGTTCTTTAAAAGTGTATAGCACCACCCCTCACTTCTCTCTCTTCCTCCTGTTCCAGCCTTGTAAGACGTGCCTACTTCCCTTTTCACCTCCTGCCATGATTGTAAGTTTCCTAAGGCCTCCCAGACATGCTTCTTGTATAGCCTGCAGAACCATGAGCCAATTAAACCTCTTTTTCTTTATAAATTGCCCAGCCTCAGGTAGTTTTTTATAAAAGTGTGAGAACAGACTAATACACTTCCTTACCCTTACTAATCAATATAAATTTGGTGGCAAGTAATGTATATTTGTTAATAGCTCCCGGTGTATGTGTGATTTGTATAATATGAAATTATTCATGGAATATGCAATGTATTCCCTGTTGAGAGCACCATATATTAATTCATTCTACAAATATTAATTGGATACATACTGTTTGTAAGTTCTGTTGTAAACTGCTAAGTATGCAGATGTGAATAAAGCAGACACGTATCTGTTCTCATGGAAGACATTCTAATGAGAGATGTGAGCATTAGATAAATTAAATAGTAACAAATTCCAGGCAGAGTCTCAGAACAATGCGATGTGATAATGACTGAGTGGCTACTCTAGATTAGGGTGGTCAGAAAAGCTCTTTGAAAAGGTGGCACTCAAGCTGCATCCTAAATTTTAAGAAACAGAAATCTGGGCTGATTGGGATTCGGGGTCTAGATGAAAGACAGGGAATAGAAACAAGACAGGTTGCATGATCTAATATCTTGGGAAGTACTGGGGGAAACCACAGGTGTTTGAATTTAATCTCACGTCTACTTTGAGCCCCTCTTTTCAGAAGCATTGCTACAAGAAAAATGTCCAGAGGGAGTTTTTAAAATTTGGAATCTTCTCTAACAGAGAAGAATAAAGAACTACTACTAAGTTGAAAGGAAAATGTAGATTTCTGTAGGGGAAAAAAGAGATGAAGCCACTAGGGTTTTATTGTACCAGCTGAGTTTCATAGCTGAATTTGATACTTGCTACATCCCCTGCACACCTGAATGAAATAAATGAGAAATGCAGGAGATGAAGGTACAAATCCAATTTCCCCTTTGCAACAAGAGTCAGTAAGTCTTTGCTGCCTTCTGCATTTGAGAACCTATCTACATTTTATCCTCCTTCATAAACAATGTTTAGATAAACCCAGTGAATAATGGGGTTGAAAGGAAATTTTAAAGGTCATTTTGTGTATACTCCTTGCTTCAGGCAAGATTGCAGTCATGCCCACCCAAGAAGTAGTCTTCTCTTATGTCAAGTTTTGTTCCAGATGATGTTTATTTTTTCCAGGGCAGGGAGTTGAAGTAGGAAGAAGAGTAATGAAGAATGTGTTTGCCTTAAAAGCATAAGCAGAGTTATTTTTAATGTAAGTGCCCTCCCCTTTTTGTAATGCCAGGGGCAGAGTATTCTCCAAATGCCTTATACACTTACTTTCAGCACTAAATGTATTTGTGCAAATCCCATGAATCATCAAGGCTTTTGAAAATATTTATAGGGAGAGAAACTCAACCCTTTTCATTAGAGTGAGTAAAACTCACACTGGTATCTTGCTATTGTTTAAGGAGAACAATGGATGGGTGGATGAAAGAGAATGTCAGCTGGATCAACAAACAGCTGTTCCAACAGAAGTCCTGCTATCCTATACAATAAAGCAGTATTAATTGCTGCCTTCCCTGGAGTCTCTAAAGATACTCGGTAAGTGTACAGTACCCTGATGAACTAAAGCCAAAAGTTAGGGCTGATTTCGGGCTTCATCACGGTGAACACCTCACCTCCAGAGAGAAAGTTGTAGGCCTTTAAAGCTTTTGATCTCAGAGAAGACTCCACCGCCTTTCAAGGCAATAAATTCTTGCCTCTTCTCCAAATACTCTAACTGAAACTTCTGCTGTTGCAGTATAATTCAATGTGTTTTTTTCCAGACTTCAATGAAAGCAAGAATTCTCATTCTGCATGTAATTATATCCCTTATAATACCCACAGCCTCCTGCAATATTACTTTTTCTAGGCCAAATAAATAATTTTTTTTCTAAAGGCAGTTTGGTATTCAGTAAAAGTTATAGTAATTGGGCACAGTTCTGGATGAGATTCTTGGCTCTAACATTGACTAATAATATGGGCAACTAATTTATTAAGTATGATACCCAGTTTAGTCAACTTTCTTAAAGAGTCGTTGTTAGGATTCAATGTAATAATACATAAGAATTATTTATGATAGCATTCTTAATACACACTGATACACACTATGTAACAATTTTATCACTGCTTATCCACCTTTTTTCTTATCAATGGATGTTTTCCAAGTTTTTATCTGTTGTTTATGTCATAGAGTACAGATACAGGTTCAGTTATCTAAGAACTGTAAATTCTTCAAGTAATGGAAAGATAACCTTACACTTCATAACTAATTCACATTTCTAAACACTTTACTAACAATAAAGTATAAATCTTGTGAATTAATATTTTGCTTATGGTCCAAAGTGACCCATAAATCTTTTTCTGGAATCTTCTTGAAGCCTATCTTAACTAACATATATTCAGAGATCATTTTTCTTTTCTTTACATAGTATTGCAAGCAGTGTTAAATTATATCTACACATTTCTCAAATTCTCAAAGCATTTTAAATACTTTTTTATCTTGGAATCAGATAAAATATTGTCAACAACAGTATTTCTGGTCATTATTCTGTCATCCAAATTATAAATAAAAATAGTAAATAAAGTCTTTATAATTGCCAATTTGGAGGGTAAAACATTTGATATATCCTATGCACATAATACATAAAAATGTGCTTTTAAACCAAATTATCTTGTACTTACGAGTCATGCCGTAGTTTTTTTTCACCAATAAAGTTCCAGAAGTCAAGGTAAGAAGGCTGAAGGGCATATTCTTAGAGACTTAAACTGCAAGAGGAAAAAAAATTGCAAGCGTGTAAGTTATAACACAACTTGGCGACTTGTTATGGAGTCCCTCTCTTTCCGGAAATCCCAGATTCCTGATAATAGAAGAGGATCCCAGACAGTTATCACCCTAAGCATTTTCATTCAAGATCACCTGAGTCTAGCTTCTGCTCTTAAGTACAAATTCTCTACCATGATTTTTACAGCTCCCCACCACTGCCTTCTGTGTTTCTCTCTTGCACTAACCTCCCCTGACAGTAGAGGAGGCAGAGCATTCCAATGAACCTATGTGAATAAAGTCTCAGAGACACAAAAAAATCTTGGCATATTAAGGAATATGTGGAAATTTGAGGTAGCTGGAGAAGACAGGAGCCTGTGAAGAGCAGCAGGAAGTGGTCCAAGGTGATAGGTTGGGGTGAGAATAACTATCAACATAAAGAAGTAGATTTAGTTCTATGGACAATAGAAAACTAACAGAAGAGTTTGGTTCTTCAGTTGTTTTGTTTTATTTTTACACAGAAGCAAGTTCTCATTAGACTTATTTTTGGAAGATGACTGATGAGTAATGGTGAGGAAGATGAACTGGAAGGGTTAACAGGTAGAAGCTGAGATCAGCCAATAGTGGAGATCTAGGTGAGTCATGATAAAGCCCTGATACAAGTCTCTGCTAAATTAATTTTCTTATCTCAGGGTCAAATAATAACGTGTTTGGGTAAGTGTGTGCAACCACCACATTAACTTTTTAATCTGTCACGAGAACATGTCTCAGAAACACAGGGCAGAGAGGGGCCATAAAAGATGTTCCTCCAACCCATGTCATGGTTTAATCTTCTCTAATTTGGAATGTCAGTTTGCAGAACACAGTTCTTGAACTAAATGATGACTGCCTGAGTTTACTGTTCAAATTTCCGAAGATTATACTTAATGTGATTTTTTTTTCCCCCAAGAATCTCTTAACCACTACATTAGCTTGGAGAGTCCTGCTACATCCATCTCTTGACAGTGAGACTGAATCCCATTATACTATAACCCTTAGCTCAGTTTTAAATGTCCTGCACTTTACTAGTAAATTGCCTACATGAAGACTCAGAAACCTACACTGGTTGTAGTCTATTGTGGAGGCTCTGTTATTGTCCCTTGGTTTAGAGTGGATGGCTATCACACATCATGAGATTCTAGAACCTGGGGCTTCTCTCGGATAAAGAAAGATAACCTAAAGTCAGCTGTATTCAAGGCTCTGACAATTGCTGATAAAGCTAAGAGGATATAAAGATCATCATAGCCATTTCACTCCTCCTGAAGTAATAGTCAAACATTATCTAACAATCAGCTGCTGGGATTAAACTGCAGATGGCTTGCTGAGATAGTCCATCTTAGTCCTGGCCCAGTCAGTATCTCTTTTGGCAGCTTAACTCCAGTGATGTCAGAACATTTCATGAGTCTCATAAGATTGACCAAGACATTTACTCTGTACTATCTATTAAAATAAAGGCCTTCTTTTTTAACCTTTCCCTCTAATTACCAGACATTCTCTCCCAGTAAACCACCAACACATTTCCCAGGAACAAATGTCAATTTCACATTTCCCACTACTAACCTTTATGATAGCTATAGATGTTTGACAGCATTTAACTTAAATATATCAACAGAGCTTAGCATATTTCCCCAAGAAGCAATTGGTGGAACTGGGAAGGAAACAATATACCATTCAGTAATCAATCTGTACCTAACTGCCTGTATGTCTCCCTTCCTGTTCTCCTTCCTCTCTGGGAGGTTGCCATGGTGCCAAATTACTTGTGTTGTGACTGCTGCTGTTTACAGTTTAAAATGAAGTATATACCTATTATAGAAAATTTGGGAAAATATGTAGAAAAGTAGAATGACCAAGAGAAAAATCCATCTATAATAAATCAATAATCATTATTTTAGAACAGTTTCAGGGTACTAGTTAATGAATGCAATTTTGGAGTTTTGCTGGATTTTTTGTTTAGTTTTGTTTTTAGTGCATGTACATTACTATGATCCATATTAACTTGTTATAGTCAAGACTCCTTTGCTTGTGAGAAAAACCCAAACAAATTAACTTAAGGGGAAAACAAAAGATAATTATGTTCATGCAGGTAACTTGGGAGAATGTGCTGAGCAGGTGTTTTTCGTAGTCATTACAAACAGGAAACATCCATATAATGTGTCAAGAAGGGGGAGATTGTTTTGATGTCTTGGCAGCTTAGGACCCCAGAGGAATGAGGGGCATTCGGGCTCCCAGGGAAAGACTCTGGTTGACCCTGGATCAGTTTCAGTGTCGGTGCGGAGTACTGTGACTGACACCTCTGGGAATAATAAGTTGGAAAACAGCAATTTCCCAAAGAAAGGTAAGGTGCTGTTACCAAAAGTGCAGCTAGGAGAAACAGTAGATAGTCAAAACCAAAAGATGAATATTTTATAATGTCATAAACCATTAATTTTCCAGTAAGTAAGAATATTTCTTATACTAGGAAGGGGGAGAGTGGCAGAACACCATGAAGTGCATTTTAAAGTAGACCTTCTGCCCTTCCTCAAAAGATTTTTATTTATCGCTTCTTGCTTCTTCAGCTGTCAGTCTTTGCAATAGTGATTCAGTGTTGCAGGTAAAGGTGTGGTGTGCCTCAAGTGTGTTGAGTTAAAAAGAAAAGATTAAGAATCACTTGTTCATCAGCTAAGTGATTAATCATAATTTGCATACCAATTGATTTATTGTTGGAGGTTTATGTTGTATCTATTCTTTTAACATTTTTAATAATGCTCTCTGTAAACGTTTTCAAGATTTATGATTATTTAAGACCAATTTTTAGAAGTAGAAATCAAAGTGTTCATTTTAAGACCCTCAACATACACTCCTCTGTATTGCTGAAACTGTATTTAGTGATTGCAGTAGCTGGACAGCTAGCCTACTTTGGCATTAATTGTCCAGCTGCCTGCTTATATCAGCTCTCATTTAGAGTTGTTAGTGCTAAGTACAGTGTCTTGAGTATGAAATGCATTCCACAAATGGTTCTCAATGATGAACAAGAAGATTCTGATGCTGAGAGTCCAGGGACTTTCCTAATTAATCTGTATTTAGGATAAAGGAGTGAGAAGGAAATTCCTTTTATACACAAGCAGGACACTGATGACTAATGACTGAGAGATGAAAGTAACTCACCTCATTCATTAAGTATAAAGGGTAATTTAAGTTTTACCTGCCTGTCTGCTGCTGGCAGGAGCTTAACCTACTCCATATGTCCAAAGAAGATTAAGCAAACCAGTATTTATGGAAAGAAGCCATTTGGTGCAAATAGCAGAAAGAGCTCCAGCTCTGGAGCTGTGAGACATAAGCTCCAGTGGAGGCTCTTAACCTATCCAAGTGTTAGTTTCCTTATTTGATCAATAGTTAAGAATGCCTGCCATGGCTGCTTCTCAGGGCTGCTGTGAGGAATGAAAAGCCTAATGCATGAGAAAGTTCTTTGTAAATTATACATTTCTCCACAAATAAATTATTCTGCCATTATTACTACATGTCCAGAAGAATTGCTCTTAAATGATGTGAGGTCATAGAACTCTTTGAAAATGTACTTGAAGTTATGAGCTTTCACTCTCCAAAAAATAAACATACTTTAATAATTATATATAATTTCAGGGAGTTTATTAAATTCCTGAACTAAAGGGTAAATGATTCTCAGGCCAAGAATTCTGGACCTAAAATATTGTAATATTTTAAAATTATTAGCTATTTCAAGCCTCAGAAACTTACATCACAGACTCCTGTGTACCCATCACTGACACTTAAAAAACATTAGCATTGTGACATATTTACTACAGATATGTAAAAAATATATAATTATAGATATAGCCGACTCCAAACATGCCACTGTATTCTACAGTATTTTATGCAAATAAAATCTAAACTGTTGTCCCTGCTTACAAATCATTTTCATGCTAATCAAATGGACATTTACAAAAAGAGAAAAAGAGAGAGAGGGAAAAATATAGGATGTGGTCATTATGAAAGCTTATAAAGATGAGAGAGTCCTGGCAAGGCTGAAGCCATCCAGATAATCATCACAGAGGAGCATCATTTGAGACAGCTTTTAACAAAGGGTTAAAGGTATGTAGGTTAGAGATATCTAGCACATAACAAGAAGTCAAGCAATATATATTAAATGAATAATTAAATATATGAATGAATAAATGAGTGGATGGATGGATTTCTTGAATGTCTGTTATGTGCCAGGCATTAAGCTAGGTCTTGGACACATAACATAAATAAATTAGACATGTTTGCTAATCTTAAGAAGATGCTGCTATAAAGGAAACATAAATGAAGGTCAGAAAAGACAATGTGATACGATAAAGTCCAGTACTTTTTGGAGGAGGGTGCAAACAGGCTTTTCAGAGGAAGTATCATTTGAGGTTGGTTTTGAAGTGTGAATAGAATTTAAGTAAAGATGACAGCATTTGGAAGGAAATGGAGATCTGAAACTGTTTGCTATTAGTACTAGAACATAATGGGAAAGCATAGCAAATGAGGCCAGAGCCAGGGAGTAGACTTGCTTTTCTAAGGAAAAGCACCTTCATCCTGAAGATAAATTCAAACTTGATAAGAATCACCAAATGTTTTATTAAAAAGCAGATTCCCAGCCTCTACCTCCCAAGACTCTCATTCAGAAGATGTATTGGGATCTCCATTGTTTATTCATGTCCTAGGGAATTATTACTCTTGGGCAAGTTTAGAAAATAATACTAGAGGTAATATCCAGGCCTGGCACAGTGGCTCAAGCCTATAATCCCAGCACTTTGGGAGGCCGAGGTGGGCAGATCACTTGAGGTCAGGAGTTTGCGACCAGCCTGACCAACATGGTGAAACCTCATCTCTACTAAAAATACAAAAATTAGCCAGGCGTGGTGGCACGTGCCTGTAATCCCAGCTACTCGGGAGGCTGAGGCAGGAGAATTGCTTGAACCCAGGAGGCGGAGGTTGCAGTGAGCTGAGATAGTGCCACTGCACTCCAGCCTGGGAGACAGAGCAAGACTCCATCAAAAAAAAAAAAAAAAAAAAAAAGAATAAGAAGAAGTAATATCCAGTGACAGTGAGGGGTTTTAAGCTGTAAAAAGGTATAATTGGTCCTGAAATTTTAGTCATTTTTTTAACATTCGTTAGATGAAGGTTGAAGCAGGAAAGTATTACAATGTCACTTAGTCACTTATAAACAAACATAACAGCTTTTTTATATCTAGCTAAATTCTTCTTTCTTTTTTTGTTTCATTTTCATTTCTTTCTTCTTGCTTAACCCTAGTGCAGATAAACCAATACCCAGTCCTTCATGACTCTGCCTCTGTTTTCTGAAGCCTTGGCTCTAAGTACTCTTTGCTTTAGCTTAGGCTTTGGTCTCCTTAGTTCTTTCCCACATTTACCCCCCACTAGAAGATGCAAGAGTTTATTTACAACAGTAGACCAATTTCTTAGTAATCCCTGCACCTTTTTATGGCTTGACATTCTGCTTACATACACTTCTTAAACAGCAAAACAAAAATGATGACACATAGTCAACCAATTCTGTCATGTATTCATGCAACAAATATTGATTGGTTATTACAGGCTAGGCACTATGCTAACTACTAGGAACACAACAACGAATAAATATAATAGTTTCTGTGTTTTAGAGTTCAGAGTTGGCAAGGGGAGGGGAAAAAAGAAATAAACAAAATTGCCAGAAAATGTACTTACATTTAGAATAGAGGGAAATAAAGTATTTGAGAAGCACAGAGGATAGAATCGTCTAGTGCTGATCAGTGGGGTCAAGGAAAGTTTCACAGAGAAGGTGATATTTGAATTGAATCTGGAAGGAATAATAGAAAGTTTCAAAGTATAAGTGGTGGATGAGGGGCAGAGGCAATGCCTGCACTCTTGGTGTTCTCCAGGAAAGATTTGGCTTTACCAGCTTCTTTCATTTGAATGTATCTCTGATCCTTGTTACACTTTCCCCTAGAAATGTATGACCACTTCTCCTGCCTGTTTCACAGCTTTAACTCACTAACAGTCCCCTGGGTTTAAGCCAGTAGAACTATACAAATGCGCCCAGGTTCACCTGCACACTCTATCATTATTGTGTGAGTCTTTGGAAACCAGAGCTGAAACCAGATAATTTTTACATAGTTTCAAGTTTCACCAACAACAATTCACATGATACCAGGCCCAATTCATGTATAATATAAGCAGGTGTAAAATTTCAGCCACAAGTTGCTATAGACATATGTTGGATGGGCCTTGAACTTGGCTTCACCAAAATGATTTGAGCTTCCACAGAATAAATTTTTCCCACTTGTCATCACTGCAAGTATCCTCTCCTCCAACACACACACCAACAGCCACTGGTCTAATTGTGGAAAAAACACTACCCGATTTGCACAACAAGGACAGCAGATGCACCATCTCCAAACTGACAGCCTGGTATGTTGAGGCATAACAATGGCCAGCCACAAAGCTTAGCGAAAACTAACACAACATTTTAGAATAATGGGAGATGATGAATTGAATCTGCAATGAGGACTTAATATGTGATTTTAAAAACCACTAACATATGAGAAAACTTTCCAACTTACAGCAGTATGGAAAGTAATGCAATAATATGTTTGATTAGAAAGTACTTCAGGATGTATTAATGTAAGCACTTAGCAAGTCTCTCAAACATACCATTCGGCAACGAGCATATAGATTTTTTCAAACATATCCATTTCCACTTAGGTTGTGCTCTAGCTGATTGCTTTAAATGCAGAGGAAGTTCTACGAGCTCTTTCATTTTATGTACACTAAATTCAAATCTCTTGGTCCCATTTTGCTTTTATATTTATTAATTTAAAAAAATACTAGAATCTCTGTATTTCTTCATAAGCAATGTACATTAGCCTGGTTCTGAAAGTATCTTTCCTCTTTGAATGTTTGTGAAACAACCATTTAACCCTATGCCCTTTCCCTCTGATTCTCTTGAGATCCTGATTTACTTTAAATTCAAAAGGGCAAAACATTCAATCAGATAATAAATCAATAGTTAACCTGGAAAGACTTATGTTTAACTAGTCTTGGCAATGTTTGAGTCCAGCTGTTCTGATACAGGGAGCAATGCTTGAGAGCCAGGTAGAAAAACAGAGAATGCAAGATTCGTGGGGTGTGTCAGGTAGGGGGATAGAGAAAGGGTTGTTTCCTTAAATAAATATGATGGGAAAGCCCAACCTCAGAGAGAAACTGCAGAAGTTTTATCAAGACTGAGTACTATATGTGAATTTTGAAAAATAGGAAGAAAGCCAAACTGAAAATGAGAAAAGGTTGCAATTGTAAAATTAAACAGGTTTATCATCAGTGAGCAGAGCCTCATCCGAAAATGAACGAGGGGGTCCTGTCTCACACTCGCTGCAATCTGACCATTAGTGAAATGCACACAGAGAAGAAAAGGTAACCCAGACGGAGGCAGTGCAACCCTGCTTGAGCCAGCCTGAGGTGGCAAAGGAGAAGGTCATTACTTCCCAGTCACTCACTTGGGTGTACACCCAAATCACCTGGGGTGGTTTTTGTAAAACTACACATGCTTCGATCAGTCATCTAAGAATCTATTTCTGAACTGTAAAATACAGATTTCCCCAACACTCCTTAACACAAGAATCTGTATCTTTTTCCCAACACCCACAAAAAATCTCTCACTAGCCATGGTTGACAGTGAATCTTAAACTTCTGCCTTCACTACATCCACAATTTTCATTAATAGCCACTGCAGTCTTCCTACAGATTCATACTAGTCCCTGGATGTGCTGAAAATACCTAAACCTTTACTTCTAGGTATGTTAGTTTCCTAGAGCTTCCATAACAAAGTACCACAAACTGAATGGCTTAGAATGACAGAAATTTATTGTCTCAAAGCTCTGTAGGCTGGAAGCCCAAGAACAAGATGTTGGTAGGGTTGGATCCTTCTGAGGGCTACAAGAGAGAATCTGCTCCATTCCTTTCTCTGAGCTTTCATTTATTTTCTAGCAATATTTGTCATTCCTTGGTTTGTGGCAGCATCACTTCAATCTTCACATGGCATTCTCCCTGTGTTTCTTTCTGTGTCCAAATATCCACTTTCCATAAGGATGCAGTCATATTGGAGTAAGACTCCCACTACTGACTTCATCTTTACTTGGTCATCTGCAAAGAACTTATTTCCAAATAAGGAAATAAGGCAGAGCTACTACAGATGTAAGATTCAACATCTTTTGGAGGGATACAATTCAACCCATAACACTAGATTCCTTCATTCATTCAAGCAACAACAAGTATTGATGGATCAGAGTCTATGAGCCAGGGACTCTAAGGGACTCATCCTAGGCAATGGATGTACCAAAATTTACAAGAGAACTTCAAGATGACTGAATTTTTCTATAATATGTGATATCAGTATATAAGAATAGTGAACACATTGCAATCCTGGGAAATAGAAGTACCTCATTAATTCATTCATCTCTCGATAATTTCTGTTATGCAGAGTATAGTGTTAGGAGTCATATATGAAGAGATAAAACATAGTTCCTGCCCTCAGGATGCTTATTTTTTAGCAAGACACACACACACACACACACACACACACACACACAAACTATTAATTTTGAAATACAGACTAGACGAGAAGAATGTATATTATGAGAAAACAAAGGAGGATCCTCTAAGTGAAGCAGGGAGAGTCAGGAACTGCTTTTATGGGGAGAGAATACTTGATATGTGTCTTAAAAGACATGTAGAGTTTGGGCCGAGGGCCAAGAGATGAAGGGTGGTTTCGGGCATAGAAAAGAGCATGTGTAAAAGCAGGGAGACCAAAAAAAGCATAAAATGTTTGGAAAATTGTAAGCAAATCAGTGAGTTGAGGAAAGGAGAAGTATGGACATGAAAATGTGACAGGAAAAAAGGTTCTGAATAGTGCTTGGGGTCTGGGTTTCCTCCAGGAGTTGGTGGAGCCAAAAGACGGGAGCCATGGGGTTGGGTATGTGTTTCAAGAAACTTATTCTGAGAACAGTGTGGATAATAGGATGGAAGGCAAGGCAGGAGGCAGGAAGGCTACTGTAATAATAGTCCACGGAAGAACAATGAGAACCTGAACTAAGGCAGTCGTAGTAGGGCAAATATGAGAAAAAGAGTTGAGTTTCATGAGATATGGTGGGGTGGGAGGAATCAAATTTACAGTGACCAATTAAATATGAGGGTGAGGAGGAGGAAAAGTATGAACCAAGAACACATGTTATCAGAAAAGTTAAATTTTGTTCCCTATTTATGGATGCTTCCAATACTTGCTCTCTGCCTGAAATGTATTTTCTTCCATGAATAAGAAAGAACTCATCCCTTAATATTCAGTCCAGCATTATGGCTGGAAAGCGTCCCAGTTCATCTCTCCCTACTATATTCTCATAGTAGTTTGTATGCTCATATTCTTGTGAACTTTGCAGATACACTCTTTGAAATAGCACATCCTTATCCCCTAGTACAGTGGTCAAATCATAGTAGATTTTCAAAAATTGTTAATTGAATAAATTAAATGTGTTTGATATTCATTCTACCTAGGCCATGTAGGTGGAATTATTGGCAATTTAGACAGTTTTTCATCAAAAGAAATTGGTAAATAAATCAAACTCTGTTGCTGGAAAAGTTAAGCTACAGTTTTCTGGAAATTTTGATAATTCTAGATCACTGTAGGATAGCCTTCTCTTGTATTTGATAGAACTTAATTAGTGTTAGTACATAGTTATTACTTAGTATCAACACTTTAACACTGAAAGTAATTATAACAAGACTTCTGGCTCCCAGTCCTTTAGTCTTTATGCTTTATCAAGTTGGAATGCAATAGTATTTTACTCGTTTTGCAAATGGAAATGGGTTGAACGCACCCATGTAAAGTACAGCAACAGCAGCACCATTCTCCTTCCTTTTATTGTTTATTTTCCTAGCACACCACCCACAGGAAAGTGGCTTCATCCATGTCCCCACATTTCCACTTCAGTTGGGCTTTTAATGTGTTAATGAAGTTAGTTAGTTGTTAAAGAAACTAAAACATTTTTCCAATGGTTAATGCTGGAAGCAATTCTTTGAACTTTGGTTCCAAAGGCATTACAGGAATCTATGAATGAAATGAAAATGTTTGGAAACCCAAGTTTCTTTAATAGGCCAAGCAATCATCAGTAAATTGCAGACTTTACAGGTATCATTTTCAGTAAGGGTCAGGAAAATTCATTCATTAGAATTACGGGAGATAAAAATTTAAACGTCTCTGTAATATTTATAGGAAAAGTGTCATCACTATAAAGCGGCCTTAAATCACATTCATTCATTCATTATTAAGCACTCCTCTACATTTCTGAGTGAAGTTTCTAATGGGATGAAATCTCCTCAGCTGCAATAACATCATGACTATCTATTTATAGCCAAGTTGTCTTTGGTTGTGGAAGTGCCCGTTTAGATTGAGTATTAAAACAGGTTTTCCCTTCAATAGCAGACATCTAACTTTAAATGAATGTAAACTATTACTTAGTAAACAGGAGAGTTCACTAAAATTGGAAACACCTACTATTTATCATTATAAAATGCATGACATGAAAGTATGGTACCACAGGTTTTCTAAAGTCTGGGCTTTGATTGAATTGTATTTTGTTTTGCCTTTTAAGGGCTAGAGTTCCACTTTCTATTTAAAAGGAAAAAACAAAACCAAAACCAAAATACAACCCAGGGAGCATAAAGCCTCATGCTTGTGCATGAAGATCTAGTTGAATATGTTTCCCCTTTACCGTTAAGCACTCTGGAGGTTAAGTAGACCATTCTCTCTTTATATCATTAAAGATCAATTATCATCCTATTAATGCTCATTTCCTTCCCACACATACCTGAGCTTTCGACAATAATAGCCCCCTTACAACTATCACTCATGAATGACAACATGCTATTTAAATATGCAGAACTGGAAACACACTGATGATGTAGCTGTTCATTTTCTATTCATAAATGATATCACCTATGTAATTATTTGCAAAATTGTGCCCTTTGCTAAGAAAGCCTCAGGTTGCAACCAAATCATTAATTATGATATGTAAAATATTTAAAGCCAGTGACAGCACTAGTGAAACATAAGAAGAACAATGCAGCAGGAGCAGAGCTTAAAAATAGCAATAGGCAATATTCTTTGCTTGCACTTCTCTGTCCCAATTACACAGATAATTCGGGCATGAGCAGGGATAATTGAGTCATTCCTCCACTTTGTTCTGAAGTTGTAGAGCTGGCCAAATACCAGCATTCATCAGGGCTGATGAGGATCTTCTTTTAAATATGCCCGGAGGCTAACAAATGATAAGTGAAAAGAATGATGAAATATACCCTCATCAGTTGGTAGGAGATATTCAATTGCATACTATGTGTATTTATTCAAGGTATAACGTTCTTTATTAGGTCAATTTAGCATGTCTGCTAAACTTTTGCCTTACAGAAAAGTTTAAGAGTCAGCAGCCCAATCAAAGAAATTCCTAGAAACATAACTATAAAGGTGATGGAAAGCAGATTGACAAGTCAGGCTATAATTTTTAAGAAAATGAGAACCAGGAGATCTAAACTTTAAACTTTGGAGAGACAGAATCAATAAAGGTTAGATAAAACTCCAATGAAGCTTTGGATGTTATTCATCAATATGGATTCAAATTGTTTTATTCCAAACAGCCTGGTGACTAACTTAAACCCTATGAACCCTCTAGCAAAGAGGGTATCTATACAACACCCTGGTCAAGTTGTATAGGAGCAATGTCCATGGTAGATGACCTAAGAAACAAAGATTAGATGTCAAGACAACTGCCAATAAAATATATTTTTACATGTAACCTTTTCCTGAAACCAAAATGAATGAATGATGTGACCACTCTCCTCTGGTAACTTTTCACCCTTTCTATTGGAATGGTGCACAAAACTAACTGAACAGAAGTTCTTGGAAAACCAATAAAATAATTTTAAACTGACAATTATAAAACATGCCCCTTTAACATACATTGGGCATATAAAGGGCTTAAACATCAATAACTTATATAATCCTCCCCAAAACCCTGTCAAGTGGGTTTTCTTATAAATGAACGACGCAGGATTTTTCTTGGTCACTTTGCAAGCTGGGGACTTCTGTGGCCAGCAACATCCTCGCCTGGGCCTTGGTCGGACCCAGGCCTGCCACAGGAGGCACCCTGTCCACTTGGCCTGCTGGGCTGCATTTGGCTTGTGCACTGGCCCACAGGTGTTACAACTCATACCCACATTTGGCGGTTCCCAAGTTTGGCCCACGTCCAAGAAGAATGAGGTTATGCTGACAATTGAAAGGTGAAGAGGGCAGAGAATAATTTTATTGAGTGATAGAACAGCTCTCAGTGGAGAGGGGACATGAAGGTGGTCTCCCTCCAAGTGTGGCTGGGTCTGGGGCTTTTATGGGTTCATAATGGGGGAATGCATGCTGATTGGTTTGTGAGTATGCAAAAAAAGTCTAAAACAAAGGCATCATTCAAAGGTGGGCATGATAGTGTAACAAAAACAATTAGGGAAGGGTAGGTATATGTAAAATAGGTGAAGGGTGAGGATCAATCAGAGGAAAGCATGCTAAACAGGAAGAGAGGTTCTCAACACAGTCTGTGGATTTACCCAGGACTTGTAGCTTGGCCTTCAGGCTTTAAACTGTTTTTGGTTTGAAGGTTGGGTTTCACCAGGGACCCACCCCTATCTGCCTAGGCATTTGACTGCCTCCTGCTGCTATCATGAAGAGGTAGTCAGAATTCTGGGAAGAGGTAAGCTGAAATCTGATTCCAGAGCCCTGTATGTTTAAGGTAATGTTTTTAAATAAAAATTAGCTTTCTTTTTCTATCTAATATCTGACGCAACTTTTACTGGCAGCTATTCCCCTGGCAAGGGATTCCCCAAATATACTAAATCAATAATTAAGACTCAGAACTCAGTGTGTTAGTGTCACTGCATTTGGTTTTCTACCAGTCTTCCATCTCTCCATGTGAGCATAACTAGGCACACAGACACTCAGGCCTCCATGCCCACCTTGCTTATCCCCTTCTGTGCATGCAGCTGTCACATCCCTCACTCATCTCAGTATCCTAATATATCATCCTAATACTGAGATATTTTTGTTGGCTTATCTTATCTCAGGTCTATACTGTTGTTATCTCTTTAAAAGCTCCTTCTCTAGAATAAACTTTCCTTTAATGCCTCCTTCTCCTATTCTACTACCTATTGTCTTAAGATAGCCTTTCTACCCACTATTCAAGGCATAGTTATCCTTTTTTTTTTTTTTTTGAGACAGAGTCTCACTCTGTCATCCACGCTGGAGTGCAATGACATGCTCTTGGCTCACTGCAATCTTCACCTCCAGGGTTCAAACAATTCTCGTGCCTCAGCCTCACCAGTAGCTGAGACTACAGGTAGGTGCCACCACACCTAGCTAATTTTTTCTATTTTTAATAGAGATGGGGTTTTGCCATGTTGGCCAGGCTGGTCTGGAACTCCTGGCCTTAAATAATCCACCTGCCTCGGCCTCCCAAAGTGCTGGGATTACAGACGTGAGCCACCAGGCCTGGCCTGCAGTTATCAATTTTACACAGCAGATCATCTGTCATATCACTCTGAAGCCAGTGGCTTTGCTGGAGGGTTAAGGAATGAAGGATGAGGTATACATGGGATCAGCTCTGAGGTCCTATGTTACATAATAGAGAATCAAGAATTCATGAAGGCTGGGGAGTCTATACTACAACATTATTCCTGCTTTGTCCAGAGCAACATTTTCTAAGCTTAAATAAAATAATGAAGTTCCATAATGATAGCTCCATATCAATATAAAACCACAGACTAATTAATATACCACTTCTTTCTCATATCTTAGTCTCTAATTAGAATTACTTCTTCATCTGAATATTTCCCTACATAAAGGTTACTAAGTTTGTGCATTCTGCAGTTTTGTTTTGTTTGTTTGTTTTTCATTTTTTGGCATTTAAAAATCAAATCATAGCACACAGTAAGTCTGGGAACAATTTGCTTTAGAGAACAGATACTTCTCTTTGTTTTAGAGAACTCAGGGTACACCAAGTCACAGCAACAGCTGACCTTCCACATACGTTCACCAAACATGTTAGGCAAAACTCATTCTTGTTCACCGTACAGTGTATGAGCAATAAATCCTGAAAACATTTTGAGCCAGACTTTTTTTTTTTTCATTTAATGTTGGAAAAGTTTAGATGGAAACCAAAATCACTACAGAGATCTCTGTACTCCAGCCAAGTGCAATTGAGGACTTTCGTTCTTTTCTGGTGTTTGTACTCTTGATTAAGCTGATTCACAGTTGGGTATTTCTCAGCTCTCCCAACAGCACTTAAAGAAGGATTCATTCTCAGGCTACTGAGCATGGCTCCACCACTAGCAACAGAATCAGTCTACAGAAGGTGGTGTTTCTTCTACCTCGCACCTATTTTGAGCCTTCTTCAGGGCTGGAGTATATTAGCCAGGAAGAGATATACTCCATTCAAGCTGTGAAGATTTGCTTAATATCTTTCAGTGAAAACCCCAGCAGGTTTCATAGGATGGGTCTCAGCTTGTGAATAAAGCACAATGACTTCCAGGTAAAAATGCAGTTAGAAAAGACAGGCAATGATGCCTAACAAGAGATACAAAAAGAGTTCAGAGGCAGCAAGAACCAACCACATGAAAGGAAAACAAGAAAGGGAACTGAGCCTGGCACTGAAGCTAAAAAACAAAAGGCTTGACTAGGCCTGGAGAGGATGGGAAAGGGTTTTTGGAGAGCTGTCCTGTGACTAGAAATGAATGAGGCAGGTGATGACAGTACAGACCTCAAAAGACCAACAATCTTGTGTGTATAGAGAAGCATTCAGAAAGGACCTCTATTGGGAAATATTGCTTGGAAAAAGTTTTAATCTCTCACAAGTACAAGAAAATGTCTTAAAAGTTGTCACTGATTGAAAGCATTTCAAAGAGCTTTGCCAATCTGGCCAAAATCAATTAGAATTAACAGTTTCTCTCAAGGAAAAGCTAATTTGACAAGGGAAATACAGAAGAATCTAGGAAGAACAAGAATTAATGTATTGAAATCTTTCTCAGCACACATGCACATGCACTCACACCCATATATAAATATTTATGAGACTTGAGAACTAGAATTCCAATTGATGTTTATTTTTTTAATAAATATTGTAGGCTAAGATATCGTCTGCATGCTTATTCACCTTTTTCATCTTCTGGAAACCACCCTGTACTTTCCATCCCATGATAGCAGTATTTCTGCCACTCCTTTAAAGACACCTGTAACAATGTTCCATTTATCACAATCCATATTTATTCTCCTACTTATTCCATTTGTTTTTACCAAAATAAGTGATTATCAAGTCTACTATATCAGTAAGTTGCTCCCATCTAAAATATTCATATCTTTGCGGATTTTTTAATTTGCAACTCACCTCTCCAAATAAAACAATAGTATAGTCAGTCTTCCTCTTAGCTCTCACTTCAGATTTATGTAAAAACCAAAATTATATCAGGCAAATGTCTGTAATCACAAATGTTGTTATAGAGAAAAGACATGCTGAACCTTGATTATTTTATTGTAGCCTGCTCTTTTTCCAACATATATCCAAAGAAACTCCTCAAAGTCCACAAGTACACTTCTGACGTGGATATCACAAAGAATCATTGTTCCCATGAAATTGCCAAAGAGGTCATTCTGATTCTCTTATATCATAATTTCACATTACACACCTAGTGTGATTTCATCAGTATTCTAGTTTTTATCTTGGCAAAATAAAAAACTACACTGAAATCACAGAAAACGTAAGTGAATAATAAGTGTGAATATAGCTATCTCCAGAGTCGTGAGGATTAAATAGGATAACCTGTGAAAACACCTTCTGTGATGCTAGTATATTAAGGCATTCAATAATTCCCCTCCCCATTATTTGATTTTTATAACAATTTCTGTGTGTATATTATCTGAGGCAGCATACTTACTATAGAGTAGTGCCTAAGAATATTTACCCTGGAATAAGAGACCTGAATTCAAACGTTTCTGTCAAATGATGTTAAGCAAGCACTTAATCTCTTTGTGTTCAAGCTTTACTTTCCCTATGAGATAAGAACCATAATGCTTACTGCCCAGAGTTTTAGTGATTATTACATATAAAAATAATAAATTTAAAGTCCCTAACCCAGGCACTGGCCCATGGTAGATCCTCAGTAAGCTATATCTATTATTCTTATTTTTTCCCTAATGCCCCTGAGGTCATTATCTGTATTTTATGCCTAAGGACACTAAGGGTGGAGAAGTTAAGGGACTTCTTAATTGCTATAAAAAGGATGATGAAGATGAGACAAGCATCTCTTGACCCTGGCTAAACTACCTCATTCACAATGGAAGGTTACAATCACAATGGTCTAGAGACATAGACGTAATCCAGACTGCATTCTCCATTGCTGGCAAAGCGAATGGACTCCAATACAGTAAATAAAGAGCCTGAAATATATTCACCACGTTAAGACATTTCATTCACTAAGTGAAAAGCCACAACTCATTTAGTGGATAAACGTCAGAAAGGTGCATGTTGAAAGGAAAAACATGCATTGTAATTTTTAGTCTGCTGTGAAATTAGAGACTTGAGGAAGAACAATGTTGACTCTTTTAGATCAAACTTTGCAGCCAGCTGATGGAATATTCTCTGCAGTATCATTCAGGTTGGTTGATTGACATCATGACAGTGTTAATTATTTAGCTTATACATCATTTTTTCTCTTAGTGTTTGGTTTTCAGATATTCTCTGTAGTTCAATTATCACCTCAACTAATGTGGAGAATCTGTATCTGAATTATTTTCAATACAGCCTATAAGAGGGCAAGCAATATCATTCTTTAGGCACCTACTATAAGCCAGCTCCACGTTTGGCTTAATAAGAATCTAAAGTTCAATTAAGTAAATACTGATTTTCCCATCATTTTGAATCTACTATTAGCTGTGAGTTCACTAACTAGGCAGATACTAAATTTTCCCAATGAAGAGGTCAAATAACAAATTACATAATGGCAGGATCCAAGTATCTATTACCGATTCAATAAAACTACCCATGCACATCTATGCATCGTTCTTTAATATGACTTTGTCATTTATATGATCAGCTCATAAACTATCTTAGCATGAGCCACTGTCAAATAAGTCTTTATTTTTTAATGGTTTCAAAAAACTATCAAATGCATGCACTGAAGTTAATAGCCATTTCTACTAAATTATAGCACAAGCATGTAACTCCCAATGGTAGATCTAATAAAACATATATGGCTATGTGTAAGCCAGCTTGATAATTATTTTAAATTGTGCTCATTTCAAGCTACCAACAAATCCTTTATTTATTTACTTATTTTTTCTGTGTGTATTTCAACAGGAGTGAACGCCCTTGGCTATTTCTGCTACAACTTATGTAGATGACCTTGGGAAAGTCAAATCACCCTTCAAACCTCAGTTTCATCATCTCTAAAATGGAGGCATTGAACAAGATGACGTATAAGGACATCTTCTAGCCCTAATGCTCTTGGATTTTGTCTCTCTTGAGGAAGCCATGCAGAAGATATAGAGGTTACTGGGTACTCTAAATCCACTTTTGGCCCCCTATGTCCTCTTGAGGCATGAGTGTTCTATTGCTTCAAGACTTTGCAGGCACACTTCATACACTTGTTGAATCAAATAACTTCTCTTAGGTATTATGTGACATAGAGCCAATGTTTTGAATAGCATTGATGAGAAGGATGGTTTTGGGGTCAGATGGATCTAGATTGGAGTCAAGGCTGTGTCATTCAGTTGGCCTGTGATCTTGGGTGAGTCATTTAATCTCTCTGAACAGTAATTTCTTCATGTGGGACTAATAACAATATCTACTTTAGGGTTTAAGGATTAAATGAAAATTCAGGCATAAAGTTCTTAATATAGTGCCTGGAACAAGGTACCAATTAGAAATACTTTTAATATTTTTTTGTTAAAAAGGAGATTCTGTTTTTAATTTCAAGTCTCTTAATCTAATCAACACATCCTTTCCTCATTAGAAGACCCAACAATTTACTCCAATAAGTTTTCTGGTTTCTCAGGTATTGTGCTTTTACATGGAGATTTGTAATGTAAGAATTGTTGGAGAAAGATTCACTTCCATAAATGGTCCCAAAGGGGTAGTTTGAATTTAAGATAGGAAAGATATTATTTGAGATAATTATGTATGGAAGCTATTTCTTCCATTTTACTAAGTCTTTAAACTCATTTAGCAAGTATGCAATGAAATCTTATTCTGTTCCAATAATCCTGTTGCCTACCCTCATGAAATGTATATTCCAGTAAGTATTCAAGAAAATTCAGAGATGTATGATGCATGCATCAGTGATAAGTTTGCTGTAATAGAAAAGTGCAGGGAAGGGACACATGTTCCCAACTTCCAGGATCAGGAAAAGTCTCCTGGGAATCTAAAAGTTGCATACGAGGAATCAAGGAAGTAGACGAGTAGCGTTCCTGGAGGAAGAATTATTGTATTTTCTGGTTTTACTATTCAATTTCCCCCATTCTGTAAGAGCTAAACCCCCCAAATTTTACTTGTTCATCTAACAAAGTGATTGTCCATTCATTTATGTACTATACAGTCATCAAGTGTGCCTCACATTCCATGCTCTGTACTTGGTGAACACAGTAAAATAGCAGTGAACAAAGTAGGTAAATGTTCTGCCTTCTTGAAGCTGAATGTATAAAGCAAGAGACAGACAATAATGAAAATAATTAGACATGCTGCCAAAAATTAGTTATCAAAAAATGTAATGAGAGAATATGTAATTAGAAGGAACATAGGGCAGTTTTTGATAGTTGTAGGAGCCAACACCCTTTTTCCCCCAAAGATTCACTGAAAAAAATCACTTACATGGGGCAGATTGATTAAACGGAGAAAAGACACACAAATTTATTTAATGTGTATACAAAAGAGCCTTCAGAATGAAGACCCAAAGATACAAGAAAAATTGTTCATTTTTATGCTTAGTTTCAACAAAGTATAGACAGCTATTTAGAAATATGATTGTACAAAAATGTTATAATCTAATGCTTATAGATATTAGCATTAGTCAAGGCTTTTCTGTCTAGATTCTTCTTGGCCTGAGCATGTATTACTTCTCTCTGTGTGTGAGATAGGGCCCTGTCTGGAATAGGAGTCTTATGACTTATGTCAAACAAGGTAGGTTAGATAACTTCTTTATGGCCAGTTTTTACATTTTATGGCTGGATTTCAGGAAAAGAGGTTCTGGTTTCCATGACCTGCCTTGGAGAAAAGGGATCCTAGTTTCTATGGCTAGCCTTGGGGGAAAATGAAATTGAGATGCAGGCGAACAGGAGAAGGTCAGAGAAACATTTTTGTTTCTGATGCTGCTGCTGAGGGCTGCATTTTGGAGGATTGTTTTCTGAAACAATACCCAACATAGTACTGTCAGGAAAGGCCTCAGAAGAGGTAGCAGTTGAGTAGAGATTTGTCAGAAGTATGTCAGCCCTACAAATATATAAAGTATATTCCATGCAGAGGGATTTCAAGTGCAGAAATCCTAAGGCAGGAATGTGCCTGGTGTTCAAGACAAAGTAAGAAGGCCATCTGTCTGAATCACTTTCCATGCGCCATGAGCTATGCTTGGCAATGATCCGTCATGGGCAAGACATAGAGCTCCAGTACTCACACAGCCTAGAGACCAGGCTAGCAGATACTAATTGAATAATAACAAATAATAGTGTGAGTAAATAAAAAACTACAAAGGAAATAGGTACTTAGAAGAAAAACTGTACATAGAAATGACAAAGTCAGAGGATTTATGGTAGATCTCCCTGAGGTAGGTTAAAATGGATTTTGCATCTTTCCACTGAAATATGAGATCACAATAGCACAGAATACAGAGACAAGATCTGCTTCAAATAACTATTTCTTTACCTATAATTATAAAACTATCTTTGTGTTATAGACCAAATTGTGTCCCCTCAAAATTCATACATTATGTTGAAGCCGTAGCCCCCAGTGCAACTGTATGTAGAGACAGGGCCTTTAGAGGGATAATTAAGGTTGAACAAGGTGATAAGGATGAGACTTTAATCTGACAGAATTAGTATTCCTATAAGAAAAAGAAGACACCAGAGCTCTCTTCGTCTCCCAACACCCCTGCCTCCCGTGTGTGCACAGACAAAAGGCCAGGTAGGACACAGCAGAAAGGCTGCCATATAAAAGCCAGGAAGAGAGGCCTCACCAGAAAACAAACCTGCCAACACTTTCATCTTGGACTTTCAGCCTACGGAACCGTGAGAAAATAAATTTCTGTTGTTTAAGCCAACCAGTCTGTAGTATATTGTTTTGACAAGCAGAGTAGACTAATACACCACCTATCTATCTATCATCTATCTATCTATCTATCTATCTATCTATCTATCTATCTATCTATCTATCATCTATCTATCTATCTTTATGTATTCTTTTCCTGTTTTCTCATGGCTTTGGTTAGCTTCTCCTAGTAGCTGCTTCAGTTAGCTGCTTTGGATAGACTAATGAATTATCTTCTCTTGCATTCATGTGAGCAACAAGTGCCTCTCCTAGCCCAGTCATAATGCAACCATCAGTGGCTGCTGGAGGTTGTCTTCAAATTGAAGTCATTTGAGCCTCTTTTTACTTTCTGCCTGAGGGTGCATAAAGGGGAAAACAAAGAAAAAGAGAGAAGGAAGAACACTGCGTCCTGCGTCCAGGTCAAAGTATGAATACCAAAGGGTTGTTTGGAGAATATTCTCTGAAGTTAGTATGTTCTCTTTAGTAAATCAAGAGGAAGGTAGGGAAAATCCCTTCATCTTAAGATACCTCCAGAGGGATGAAGAAAAATATTTTTCTTCAAACCAAGAATACTATTGAAAGTTTAAAACTAAAATCTTTCCTTCCTGAAGATAACAATAACAATAAAACAGTTAATGTTTACTAGATACTTTCTATATGCCAGACACTGTGCCAGGTACCTAACAAGTATTATCTTATCTAAAAATAACAGCTAACATTTATTTAATGCTTAAAATTTTTCAGACATTTTTCTTAGCTCTTCACGTGTATAATGTCATTCTATTACATGCCACTCCTACAAAGTAGGAGGAATAGTTTACATTTCATAAATGAGGAAATAGGCCACGAGTGGTGTCTAACGCTTGTAATCCCAGCACTTTGGGAGGCCAAAGCAGGAAGATCCCTTGAGGCCAGGAGTTTGAGACCAGTCTCAGCAACATGGTGAAACCCCATCTCTACAAAAAAAATAAAAAAATTAGCCAGGCATGGTGGCATGCCTATAGTCTCAGTGACTTGGAAGGCTGACTTGGGAGGATCACTTGAGCTTGGGAGGCCAAGGTGGCAGTGAGCCATGTTTGTGCCACTGCACTCTGGCCTATGTGACAAAGCAAGACCCTGCCTCAATAATAATAAATTAATACAAAATAAAATAAACAAGGAAACAGGCTTAGGGAGAGAACAAGTGAATTGTTGAGGTACAACTCTGGCAACCTGAAGAGCCAGGATTCAATTCCTGGCTCTCCAATATGCAGCCTCAGTGACCTAGCAGAAAGCGGGAAGGTAGGGAGAAATGCAGAACAAGGTAGTGCTACTCATTATGGAATACTAGATCCGGAAAGAACTACAAAGACGGTTTCATCTGAACTCCTTGTTCTACAAGAAGATCAACTGAGGGCTAAGGTTGAAAAAGGCCTTTCCCAACCAAAGACACACAGCTAGAAAGTGATAAAGCTAGGACTGGTCCTCAGGTCTCCTTACTGTCTATGGAAAAAGCATAAAGCTCTTTGCAACGTAGAAACCAACTGGAGTCACAGTCCATAGAAGGAAAGGAGGCATTACTCAGTGAGATGCAGACAGCTGAGGATGTGCAAAGTCCCGTAACTTCCTCCTCTTTCTCTCCCAAATAAAATAGGCTTCTCAGCAATATTGTCCAAGGTCTACATATTGCCATGTGATCCTAGTCTCTAAATTGGAGGGATTGAAAGGGCTTTGTTCCTTGAGGGAATCTGTGTTTGTTTACTAACATGAAAAGGTGAGGGATTGGACTACAAACCTCAGATAATGTTTGGGAAATGGTAAATCAAAAAGAAGAATGTTTATACTCTCTGGGAGCAGATGCTCCTTTAGAGGAGTTAACTATGCTCTCCTTTTTAATTCTTTGAATTGCTTAGGTACAGAGATGTTACCACGTTTTGCTGTTACGTTCTGGTTTTGAGGAGCCCAGAATCAATGTGGCCCAAGTCAAACTTTAGGGAGAAGAGTCAGGAGAATTTGTTGCTTTGTTTTTATTTTGTTTTGTTCTGTGTTTCTTCACAGGCCCAAGGCCTAGGAAATCAAACCAGAGGAACATCTGCCCATTCTTGCTCCCAGTCCTAGTTTTCTAACTTCCCAGCAGTTCATCCCACAGTTTAGTGACTAAATAAACCAGGACCCATTGGAGATCCTGACACTCACCTCTTAGGAAGCAGCTTTTCTGCCCTAGTACAGGGAGGTGCTGGTCATTGCAAGAATGCATCAAGTTCACTAAGGAATTTGCTATTTTCTAACATAAGAGCCATAATATTTTTCCTCTTTGCATTGATTTGGAAGGCAGCTTCAGAAGTACATTGAGAAATATATATGTAATTTTTTTCTGTCTTTGATAGCTCCCCAAAACGCAGGGCAAAATGTAAGATTTCCTTTTACACTTGGCCAGATACAAATTGCCATAAACAGCTGAAAATACTTTGGGAAATTACGAGTTGCTTGTGGATGGATGTCAGAGTGCACCACTAATTGTGTCAAAATTTCTATTGCTTCCACAAGAAGAACACTTTCAAAATAATGAACATTTGTATTGAGGGTTGGCTGGAAAAATAGTTTGTTGTTGGATGACAATTGGTTTTTGCATTTTGTTTGTTTGTGCTTTTAATAAGCAGAATATCACATATATCCAGACTGTTAAAAAGACCCTTTCTGACTTCAGTATATCTTTCAAATCAGACACCTTAGATCTTCTCAAACATATCTTTGTTTACCTTTTTCAGTAACCCACTCAACACTAATAATCCCATCAAAATATTTTCAAAAACATAAACCAACAAGAATGAGTCAAATTGACCAAAGCTTAGGAAATATAATTTCAGAAGGTGGCCCAGAGATTTGAAACTACATATTCCAATGCTCTAAACAGTAAAAAGAAAACCCTCTTTGCTCAGGAAAACAAATTTATTTCCATTATTAAAGGGTATGTTAGGCTTAGGAAATAGATTATCTCTTCTCGCCATTTCCCGGGTACAAAATATTATTTGAAATTTACAAGCTCTCTGATAATGTTAATTTTAACATCTTATTTGCACTAAAAAGGAGTTTTGAACACTCCCCAAATCTAGAATATTTGGTGGAATTTGGTGTGTTAGCAGCTGTGGTTGAGTTCTTGTTTTGCCTTGTAATGCTGTATAATTCCATATGTTGTATATGTCAAAACTGAAGATAATTTTTCTTTTGATCTAATAAACAAACAAACCCTTCTACTCAAGGAGAGAGTTTTATTAGCACTGGGCAGACTGAAGCTTTGTGTCTGTGGAGAAGTATTAATAATCTGCTAAGACACACCTGTGGATTGTGAATGGCGGCCTATGGCATGCATATTTATGAGGTACCACATCCCAGGGCATGTTTTATTGCCTTAGAAGAGCAAAATAGATGCTGACTTATCCTGTGTAAGGAAGCAGGGAATGAATTTTGTCTCAGGAAAGCAAAGTCTTGCAGATCATGGCAACAAACGCAACTCTAAATGTGTGTGTAGACGTCATAGTGAATATCAGACAGTCCCACAGCTTCTGAGTCTGAGCCCCTGGAAAGCAATGTGGAGGGAGAAAAAAAATCTAAACTCAGGTTCCTGCTCCAGCAGTGGTTAAAAATTTCTAAGCGCTCATCCCAGCTCTGCCTTTGCCAGCTATGTCCTTGTGTAAGTCACTTATATCCTCAACTAAGAACTACAGATAATCATAGTACCTATTCCTTGAGTTTACAGGCAGACTAAATGATACATTTATTAAAAGATGTCCATCACATTATTTATACTATTAAGTACTGAAAAAACCTATATGCCCAATAATAGGGGATCTATCAAATACACTATAGTTTATCTATGCAATATTATATTAAAATTAAAATGGTGCTTATAGATCACAGTACAATTTGCAACATATATGCACAAACTTGGACATTAATAAGAATTGCAAGGAAACACATCAAAATGTTAACTGGATTTGTGTCTGGGTAGTGGAATTTTGAGAGTTTAATTTTTCTTTTTATTTGTCACATCCTCTATAATGATCTTATAATATTTTTAAATCAGAAAAAAAGTTTTATAAAATGAATGAAGTTTGCTTGCCAGAGACAAAAAAGTGATATTTGCAAAAATCATCCCCTACAACGAGAACATGTAATCTGAAGTGAGCAAAGCAATTTAGGTAGCAGTGTACTATGTTTGTTTAAAGTTAGACATTGTAGCTGAATTTTTGCTGTACTATCTACTGGTTGAATTACTTTATGCAACTTACTAACTTCTCTGTTTCTGTTCCTTCCTCTGTAAAACATTACCTCATGAAGTTTTGTGAAGATAAAATAATAATGCATGAAAATTTTTTTTAATTTTTAAAAATTATTTTTAAAATGTTTTGTGGGTACATAGTATGTATATATATTTATGCGGCTTGAAATCTCTTTATATAATGCTTGTTGTTACAAAGTAGATGTTCCAAGTAGATATTAAATAAATATTTAATAAATATTCCACACTTGATACATTGCATCATTTTAAGAGCCTGGGGAAATCTTACCCCCAAGTATCCTTTGCCACAGTTTTTGTTGTCATTGTTGTTGTTGTTGTTGTTTTCAACTAATTTAAGAAAAACAACCCAAAACTTGGAGATAAGGCAAAAAGATTATAGCATTCTCTTTCAAAGCCCTACAGGGCCATTGTTGAAAAAGCCCACATTGGGGTCACTCTTTGCTTTAGGGAAAGGCAGCCGTATTTGACTTTGCAATCATCTTCATTAGGGCCTGGACTTGGTAAAGCTAGATCTTAACTTGCAGAAGATGGATAAGCTACAAATTATTTTTATCTAGTAGAAGTGCAAATAATTTCTGTCCCATAGAAAATATAACTCCAAAGGTTAAGATTTTATTCTACTGCAGAACATCAATCAGTGTTGAATCTAATTCTGCAGCCTTATTTTGGCATTGGTTTTTCTTCTCTCTCTCTCTCTTTCTCTCCATCTCCCTCTCTCTATATATACATATATTTATGTGATTTTTTTTCTCATTTTCTCTTTTGAACTAGGTCTATCATTATGCAGGTTTTCTTCTTAATGAACTAAGTAAATATTTGGCACATGCTCACTATGTATTTGTATGAAAGCCATGTTTTTAACTTATTGAAAATTATATTTTAACATTGATATTAGACCTGTTTTCATTAGAGATTCATTCCCATCTAAAAAATTTTTGACAGATGCTTACCTTTATGATCATGACATATAAAGTTTATCAGTGATGAATATAGCAGTCAAAAAGAAAGATGTTACATGAGATCTTATGTCAGGATGCCCAGATACTTCCCGGGGAGATGCATCCCTCAGAGTGAGATACACAGGAAATATATTTTGAAATCAGGAAATGTTCATAAATAAGGGTTTAAAAGGTAGTATTTACCCCAGGGATCCCATTTAAGATACTGTGCCTCTTGATCTGTCAAGAGTGCTGGTGGACGGGGGCATAGTGGCACCGGCAGTGAGAGAGGGTGGGTAATTAGCCTAGAGTTAGTCATGCCTTAGAAATGGATTTTCTCAAAGAATGGTCTGAGAACCCACAGAGGTGCTTAAGAACTTTTCAGGCACAAGGTCAAAAAGATTTTCATAACAATACTATGATGTTGTTTACACTTTCATTGTGTTGACATTTGCGTGGCTGGTGAAAAAGTAACGGTGAGTAAAACTGTTTGCACTTTAACATGACACTAATCTGTACCAGTAGTCATTATATTCTTCACTAAATGAACACACAAAAAGAAAGCCAGTTTTACTTATTAATGTCCTTGATGGAGCAGTAAAATTTGTCAATCTTATTAAATCTCACTAAGAGATTAATGTATATTTTGAATATGTATTTTTAATATTTTGTGTGATAAAATGAAAAGTATGCATAAAGCTCTCCTGTCAAATACTAAAGTTGTCTTAAAAAATGTGCATAATTATGATGCAAGCTGAATTAGCAGCTTTTTTTTCCCCATGGAACATTATTTTTACCTAAAAGAATGACTGACAAATTGTGATTATTCAGACTTGGGTATCTGGCAGACATGTTTCTCAACAGTAAATGAAGCAAGCATTTCACTTCAAAGAAAACCACCGGTAGAATTTGTTGTCAGTTAATAACTTTTCATCTTGCAAGCAAATATTCAAATTTTAGAAAAGTTGCAACCACCACTGTGAGTTTGTCAATTTCCCAAAGCTTAAAGACTTTTCTGTTGAAATAAATGGTAACATTCAGAGATGTAATTTTTATGTTGTGTAATGGACTCAGTCAACATTTAGAAGAGCTAGCTACATAACTCAGTGAACTAATATTTTCCAAATGACCATTGAATGATGCTACAGAGTTATGCACGGATAAAGGATTCACTAAAATATATGCCAATAAATTTTAATATACAAAGTACCACCTGTCAAGTTTTGATATAGTATCAAGAAAGAACATCCTCAATCTTATATGTAAATCATAGTATATAATCATAGATTTAAAACCAGTTGTAGTACTAATGTATCAGGAGAATAACACAGCACAAGCTGAGCTTAAAAATAACATCAGGTGTTAGGCAAGAATATCCTCAATGATTTAAAAAGTCTCTTAAAGTACTCCCTTTTCAGACCACATATCTACATGATGCAGCATTTTCTTCCCATAATGCAATCAAAACCACATATTACCATAGATTGAGTGTGGAAGCAGATATAACAACCCAGTTGTCTTCGATTCAGCCAGACATTAATATTTTTTGTTTCGGAGAATATATCTATATATCATTTAAAAATGTTATTAATGTTAACATATGAGTTTATTATTGTAATTTTTTAATTAATATATGTTTTTTATTTCTTAGTCCTAATTTCTAATATAGACTGTACCAGTGCATATGACCCACATAACAAAAGCTCTTTGGGGGTCTTCAATAATTTTTAAGAATGTAAACAAAAAGTTGAGACACACTGTTCTAATATATTGAAGCAACAGAGATATCACCATGCTCAATTAGATTCTACATCTGAAGAACAAAATCATTTGTTAACTGACAGCAGAAATAAATAAAGAGTTTAGGAACTTGAGGCATTGCAGAGTTTGGGAATTATTTTAAGTACAAAAGTTCTGTAAAGTTTTCACAACAGCTTGGAAAACAAACAATGAAACTATGATTTGATGAATAATTTTTATCTGTAAAGAGTCTGGGAACAGCTCATATTGAGGCTTCCATTTAAATAAACACAATGCTTATTTTAAAAAGCATTTACTTTATGAGTATCCACATAAAAGGCTTTCGTTTACAATACTGTTGATATTAATTCTATTTCTTTGTGTTAAATCTATGACCAAACATACAAACGTACCCAATGTTTACACAGATGTCTGGAATGGAAGGCCAAGAGACTACATTTGATTTTCAGTTAGTTCCAACATGGAGGTGACATCATTATCTACCTGGCACTAGAGGTCTTACAAATCCTGTTATTAAAGCTCCTTTATTGACTGTCTTTCATTTTTTCCCACATTAACTTCCCAACACAGTAAAGAATCACAGGATTCCATTTAGGTGTCAGGCGAAGTCATGAGATAATGAGGAGCCCATCAAAATAATTTTATAATTTATGTTTGGAAATGTTTCACACAATTTCTGTGCCCTAGAGCCCCCAGTGACCCTGAATTACAGGCTCAGGCTAAGGTCTAGAGAGCTATAGGCAAAGGTCTCCTCCTCATATGAGCTCTCCTGATATGTTAATTACTTTTAAAACTCATTTTTTTTGTGTGTTCTTCAAAAGACAGGAAATAATTTCTGAAAATCTGAATCCAATACACTGACCCATGCTGGTTAACAGAAAAAGTGATGAAAAAGCCCAAAGGTGCCCAATCTCACTGATTAGTTGAAAATGTCTTTGTTCAACTGCACATACAGTATTCATGGTCAAGTCAGATTTAAAGTGGTGGTGATGATGATGATAAAAGGAAGAAGGCTCCTGGGATAGTAGAGGAGGAAACTACAGGATTTCCTATTTTTCATTTTGCCAAGTAAGGGCATTAAACAACAACAACAACTCTACTATTTTCTATCTTCACTTAGTAAAAGAAAAGGCATTTTAACACCAAGAAATAAAAATGTGAGTGACACAATCTCAGAATAAAGGAAAGTCTTTCTTAAAATAAGTTGGCTAACAACCTTATACTGATTAAGTATATCAATAGAATTTGTACATATAACTATGTACTTGAGGTATATAAATACACACACACACACACATATACATAGCACAGCACAGTGCCTGGCACTAGAAAGTGTTTGATAAAATGGTAACTATTTTAACTAGGTTTTGCACAGTTAGCTTTTTAGAAGAAGAAGTCATAGTGGCGTAACACTAACAGGAGATGGTTGGCATAATTTTAAAAATTGCCTGCCTTACTGGCTTTTTCCTTCATTTTATATTCTTGCACACCATAAAAAGTTTGAAACCACTGAAGATGAATCTCCATGTTCCCCACGAAGTCTTCTAAATGGGCTTCCAAAAGCACAGTGAGGACCTAAAACAATATTAAATAAATTTCCAGGTGTGCCTGCCACTATTTAAGGGACCTTGGACTTACGTCCAAACAACAGCTCAGTTTGTGTTTTCTTTAGAAATACTGTCTTTCAAGAGATTACAAACCAAGCAGAAAGACTTGCTTAGCAATGAAACTGGCAATAGGTCCTCAGGTGAATCACAGTAGCAACTGTGTATATAAATAAGTTGGTAGTAGGCATTTAATTAGAAAATAAGCTTTCTATACAAATCCTTAGAGTTACATGAATTTAGCCCAATATTCTAGTCAAGAAAATCAAATAACTTAAAATGAATGCATTCACTCTCCTCTCTCATATCCATTACAGGTGTCATAACCATGCCTGTTTCTTCCAAGTGCAGAAAGAGTCTCAGAACGCCTTTTGACACCCAAGAGACTGATACTATCAACTGGCCACATTTAGCATAGGGAATGAAATGCATTTGCTATTTCTGATCTAGATTTCCATCTCTTTTATGAGACGGGGTTTTGTTCTGTCACCCAGGCTGGAGCACAGTGGCATGATCACAGCACACTGCAGCCAAGAACTCCTGGGCTCAAGTGATCCTCCCACTTCAGCCTCCCACGCCTGGGACAAGAGGTGCCTGCCACCATACCTGGCTAATTTCATTTTTTATTTTTAAGATATGGGGTCTCACTTTGATACTCCAGCTGGTCTCAAACACCTGGCCTCAAGCAATCCTCCCTTCTAGGCCTCCCAATGTACCTCCTCCAGTCTAACCAACTCTTCGCATCCCAGAGTTTCTCATTCTGCTTTATAACTTCATTGACTTGCAAATGCCTTCTCTTTCTCTAAAATGTGTTTTCCCCCCAACCTCCATTAACTTTAATGAAGTCCTGTTATTATTCAAATGTCGGATGAGGGCCATCTCTTTTTACCAATCCTTCCAAAATGACTTCTCCAGAGAGGGTCTGGTATCTCTTCTTCCGGTTCTCACAGGACCTTTGCTCAGCAGTTAGCATCTTGCAGTGTAATTAATAATTTATTTTTCGTCTTTCTCACCAGTCTTTAAGGTTTTGGAGGTCAATTCATCCTAACTGCCTCCATATCCCAGGCATCTAAGTCATGTTCACCACAAATAAGGAACTGAATCAATGTGTATTTAATGACTGAGTAATTGAAGTTTTTTGAGGAAATGTCTTCACTCACAATGTCTGCAGGAGTTGAAATAGAAAATCTAGAACAGGTTGGGTGCAGTGGTTCATGCGCGTGGTTTTACATCAACCACTAAAGAAGAACTTGAAAATTTGTCTTTTAGATCACCCATCAAAGAAGAACTTCAAAAATTCCACATTGGGAGTTTTACTCATTATTAAAGCAATTTGGCATATATGATATAAAACTTAAAAATGTATCAGGATCTGGTTAATCACCAAACCAGAAGAATAGAAGGAATATGCTTTGTAATTATCAGTGTATCTAATTTCAAAGTTAGGAATTTATAATCTGAACTATTTCCCTGGATAAGCCACCTAACATTACTAGGTATCAACTTTGCAGTTTTAAAAATAAGGCTAGTAAGATGTTCTTAATAGAGCTACTGTAAAGACTGAAGAATTGTGGTACTTATGACAACTATTTAAGTGCTCATCTCAAAGTTTCCACCTTTTAAAAATTATAGCTTTATCTTTACAATTTCTCTGATTAAAAACTTTAGATTTGCCCCTGACTCCTTTCTCTCTTTCTTTCACACCCCACGTCTGGTCTGTGAGCAAATCCTCTTGATTCCACTTTCAAAATATATATCAATCATCTCACCCTTTCCCACCACTTCCATCACAACAATTCTGATCGGAGCCAGCATCATCTCTCAGCTGGGCTGCACAACTCAATCACCTCCTTCCTCACACAGCAGCCAGAGATACTATAAACATATAAGTCAGACCACATCTCTCCTTTCAAAATGCCTAAAGCCCGCCAATCCCACTCAGCCCAAAAGCCAAAGTCCTCACAGTGACCTTGTAGGCTCTACCTTATCCAACTCCATCTCTCTCTCTTTGACCTTCTCTCCCTTGCTTCCTCCATTTCAATCACCCAGACCTTCTTGTTGATGTTCAAACATGACAAAAATAACCATACCTTTACTCTGGCTGTCTTCTCGGACTAGAGTACTCTTCCTTCAGATAACTGCAAGACCTACCCCTTTGCCTCCTCGTATCACCACTGAAATGTCACTTTATCATTAAGGCCCTCACTGACTGCTCACTATTAAAGAGCATTCTCTCTCTCAGTGCTCCCTATTCCCTGTTATACTCCTTAATTTCTCTTCCAGGCCTCCTATCACTGTATGTGATCACCCTCAGGGCTATTGTATGTTCCTTCCAAACATGTAGCAGCATTGTACTTCCTTACCCAAGCTGACATGAGGCACAAACATGCGACTAGCTTTTGCCAATGAAATGTATGTGTGTTCTGGCTTTAAGGGCCAGTCCACAGCTCACCATCTTTTTGGGGATCAAAATGCATGGGGGAAAATGAAGCCTCTATCCTGAATCCCTATGTAACTGAATTTCAGATCCTCTCTGCTAACCTGCATGGAACATACAGCATGAGTGAGAAGTAAAATTCTAGTGGGTTTAGCCACTGATATTTGGGGTTGGTTTTTTTTACTGCAGCACAACCTAGATGATCCTGATGAAGCTATCACCTAATCCACATTTACTTATTGATTCATTTATTATCTGAATCCCTTACAAAACATAAGCTTCAGGAAGGCAAGGCCTTTGTTTCTTTTATTCCCTGCTATATCATCAGCACACAGAATGATGCCTGGCACACAGTGCATGTCTATTAACTATTGGTGGAATAAATAAATACATGAATGAAGTCTTAATATGTGGCCAGCAATAAGTGATTTGCAGCTACCAACAATAGATTTGCAGCTACCAACGATATTATTGGTAACTAACATAATAACTATTGTTATTATGTCCATTTCGCAGATAAAGGAACTAAGACTGAGAAGGGAATGGCACCTGACACAAAGTAGAAAATCAGTAAATATTATGTCTGTGTCTTTCCTAAGAAGAGAGACTAGGAGTAATAAGGCACTAGAGCCCTTACCTAAGAAGTGGTCAATAAATGATGGTGAATGGATTTGGATAAACATAGTATCATAGAGTCTATTGAATCAAAGTAAAAGATGATTAATTTGTACCCTCATTTTGCTCTCAAAAAATGTCATAGTGAGAGAAAATTTATAGATTATTCCAAGGGCATTATGTATTTGCACCAAAATACTTCCACATAATATTCAGAGCTTTTCTTCATAGGTCTGTATTCCTTTTTTAGTCCAAGTTCATCATAAGAGGAAGAGTGGATGAGTTAATAAAAAGTAACTTCAGAAGTGGGGAGGTGGAGGGGAGGAGATGCTATTCCTAGGTTTCAATCCCAGCTTGGAAATGCACTAGATGTGTGACCATAGATTAGTTCCTTAAAAGCTCTGTCTACATTTTTTCAATATACTATAAAGGTATTAATATCTATTTATAATAGATAAATGGTACTGTGAGGAGCAAATGAAGCTATGTATACAGAGTGTTTGACAGAAACTTAACTTTAAAAAGGTAGCTATTAGTTGTAAAACAATGAAAATACATAAATGTGAATTCCTTTTCCCTCTGCCCTGCTCTATGGCAATGTTTTCTAAAATGTATTCTGGGAAACGCTAATTCTGTGGAATTTAAATAGCTGTTGCAAGAAAAGATGTTTACTGTGATCACTATATTAAAGTAAACTTAGGGGAAGTATAGCATTGCTTCCAAATGCATGAATTCCGGAGGTGCACTGCTTGACATCCATCCCATTTACTAGATGTGCAGTTCTGGACCACTTAACCTGTCAGCGCTTCAGTTTTACCAACTGTAAAGTGTAGGTAATAATTGTATTGTGCATATAATGTGGTTTTAGGTATTAAATTAGATCATCTTCATATCAAGTAACCATATAATTTGTCATCCAAGACACTTTTTCCGCAATGTTTTATTATGGAAACTTTGAAACATACAGAGAGAACTTTAAAGAACTTTTATCTGCCAACATATGTATCTTCCACTTAGATTCTATGATTAAAATTTCACAGAAATTCCTTTATTACATGTCTATCCATCCATCTTTTTTAAATTTTTTTCTAAGAAATGTTTGAAAGTGAAAGGTGACACTTAATATTTACGTGAGGACAAAGAGGTTATATTGGGACTCTTCTAGGCAGCTCTGGGACTCTTTCAGACCTGAATATGTGGTCTCCCTGTATGTCATTTACCTAGCAACAGTGATCAGCACATTGTAGGCACAAAATAAATGATAGTTATTTTAGCTTCTAGTTATCTAAAAGTGCTGGATTAAACAAAGATACATGGTGTTCTGTCCTGCAGGGACAATCCTGAATAACGTCCTGATTACTCAGTTCATTACTTACTTGAGGTTGCCTCCGTATCACAGCAAAATTTATTTTATAGTACCCTACAGACTCAATGATTATTAGTGGTCACTGTGGCATCTTTGCCCCACCTCTGTTCCTTGAGAAAATTAATAAAACCTAAAAAAAACTTGGATAGGAGGCATAAAATGTTATCTGCAGAGTTAACCACATTGTAAAATAAAACCCACTTCTGCTTGCAAAGTTTCCCAGTTGACCACTCAGTAACTGGCCTACTGAAATTCAGCCTCCAGCATCCTGACTTGTTTAATTCTTTACAGTGGAGTGATTTACCTGGAGGATAAAAGAATGGGCTCACTAGCTAGGTTTGTAGACATCAGCCAAATTGGCCAAGGAGAGGTATACTTACAAATCAGTTTGAGGTAGAGAATATTAATAAAAGTAATAATAAAATAGAACTACCATGTATTAAGCACTTAACCATATGTCAAATAGTGTGTTCAGCACTTTACATGGAGGATCCTTGGACTTGGTGTCTAAGACCATGTTTATGTCTCTTCTTTTAAAATCTGTGACAGTGTGACTTTTACTAGGCCACTTAACCAGCACTTTCTGGACAAAGATACCTGGCCACCCTGCTTCCCAGGACTGTTGGAAGGATTGATATGATACTGTAAGTAAATGTCCTCTGTCAACTATAGGTTGCTATACAGAGTACATTGTTTTATTTTGGTTACTAGTTCTTTTTCAGTACCTGGAAAATCATTTATGAATTCTACTGGTTCAGTAATAGATACTAATTAGAAAATACTAAGGTTGAAAGAAGTGAGGAATTTCTACCTGGAAAGGGAAAAAAGTTTCTTTATTATAATAAATAATAGTAATATAATAATATAATAAAGAAACATTTTCCCACCACATATAGAATTTATGAAACATCAGCTTGAGGTTGTATAACCCTGAATACATCTTTAAAGTGAGGATGCTATCACCTATATTCCAAGATTATTATGAGAAGTAAATAAGACATGACATATAAAAGCAAGTTATAAAACTGAAAAACATCCCAGAGATATATGACATAATTATTCTTCCCATGTACCTGAATATTCAGTTTCTGTAACACAGAGAATTTAGACTTCAGAACTTCTTATAATTAGCACTTAAGCTGCCTCCAGAAAGGATGTATTTTATATTCCTTTCAAGAAGGCATTTTACTTAAGTTTTAATACTCTGCAGCATTTCTAGACAAATCCAAACTGGGTTACAAAAAAATGTATTATGTCATAAAGTGTTCTGCAAAGACCCTACCAAAGTAATATTTGCAGCTTGATTCCATTTAATAGTACTAAGTGACACTAGTTGGAAATGTCCCCCATTCCACAGAGGGAGCATTATAATTCTGCTGACTGAGACATCCCATTTGCAGGAAAAATTGCAATTGAGAAATAGTGGATGTTGTCTTGTGTCCCCACCCAATATGCTTTTTAAGTTTATAAAATATGCTTTCCATGAAAATCAATCTTGTAATGCAAAATTAGCTTTTGGAGGGTCACTCTGTAGCTGTTTGCTAATAAATATCTCTAGAGTTGTCTTGTACTGACATTGTAATTAGTAACACAAAGAAAGAGAAAAAGTGGGAGGAGAGAGAGAAGAGAAAAAACCTGTAAGAGCTTTTGATGCATAAATTTAAAATAATTATCTAAATATATTTCCTGTTTTTATATTTACTCTGTAATTTCTACTCCAGAAGGAGTATGACATGGCAGAAAACATATAAACTTAAGTACTCAAGGCCCCTCTTTGAATTTCACCTTCATCTCTTCACCTGGAAGCAACCTGTTAAATACCCCAGGCCTAGCCTCATCTATAAAACGGGAATCGTGATCTTTTCTCCATATTGAGAAAATCTGGATAAGTCATGGGAGCTCCAGCCCACAATCAGGGACTAATAAGTATGCATTATCATCTACTTCTCTCTTTCTTCATTCAGTCATTACCTAATTATAACTCATTCATTTACTCATTTGCTATAAAGCAAGCCAAGTACAATATATGGAGACACAAATTCTAATTTTGTTATTTACTATTTGTATGAACTGGCTCTGAATCTCAAATTCTTCATCTATAAAATGGTGATCCGTGGAAGTACCTCTGAGGTTGCCTTAGGGTAATGTCAGGGTGGAAGAGAAGGATGGATGAATGGTAAAGCTCTGGGCTCCTACCTTCTTCCCTCAACCATAGCAGCTCTGCATTTATCTACTTTACAATTTGAGGCTTCCTGCAAGATTTTCTTGTAAAGAAATAATTCCATATATGTGAAATAAAGAAAAGAAAGAAAATATCTGGACCAGCCAAATAGCTAAAGATAGATTTCCATTTTTACTCTAATTTCTAATGATTTTAAGTGTTCCTTGGAGTCTTATTTCGTGCTCAATCCTGAAGACCTAGTTTTTCAGGGAGCTACAGAAGCTATGGGGTTTAAAACTTGGTTCCTACTCTAAAGGAATTCAATCCCCTAAAGAAGATGAGTTTTCTGCCCACATAACGGTTGAAAAATTATGGGATGTTGCAAGTGCCACTGTGAATGATAAAGTGGTGAGTTATGGGAACTCAGAGACAGGAAATTTCCTCAAGGCCTGGCATGATGAGGGTTTCAGCTAGGCAGGGAAGGGAATGTCGACTGGGGTTACAAAAAAGGAAGGCCATATGCAGTAAAGAACATAGTATAAAGCAAAGATGTGGCATGAGAAAAGAACATGGGAGGTATGGGAAACTCCAGGAGGCTGGCCATCCCCTACTGGAAAGTGATGAATGGAGATATTTATAAGGCCTTAAATGGCAAACTCAGGCATTTGGCGCTTCAGTGTATGATAATTAAAACCAGCGAGAGTTGTTTTGAGTAGGACATGATAAAAAACAAGTTTTAGAAAACTAAACCTAATGATATTGAGAAAGTTGGGGTGGGAATACCAGGTTTCTGTTCAAGAAACCTTTCAATTATCCTCATCTTACTTTGCAGCATTTATCAAAGTCAATCTCTTTCTTGAAACACTTTATTTGCTTGGCTTACAGGACACTATGTTCTGGTCTTCCTCCCACCTCACAAGCTGGTCTGATTTGCGGTTCCCTCTCATCTCTCCAGACTCCGGACCTTAGGACACCCTGGGGCCCACCCACTACCCCTCTTCATTCTTCTTTCTATATTAACGCTCTTGATGATCTCATCCAGTCTCATGACTTTTAATATCATAAATATGCTGACTCCTAAACATAAACCTCCCACCTGAACCTCACCCTTGAGGTCCATAGTGTTACAAACACTTGCTACTTAATATTTCTAATAAGCATCTCAAACTTAAATGCCTCAAACATACTCTTCTTAAAATGACAGCTCAATTTTTCCAACTGCTTAGGCCAAAAACTCTGGCAGTCATCCTTGAATAGACTTCCTTCCTCATACACCATGTCCAGTCTATGAGCAAATCCTCTTGGCTCTTACTTCAAGATATATGCAGGACCCCCTGATACTCCTTACAGTCTCCACCAATCCTACTCTGGTCCAAGCCACCATTGTCTCTCACTCTGGTCACTGCAATAGCCTTCTAACTGGTTTCCTTACCTTTTTTACTTGCCCTTTAGAGGCTGACCGCAGCAGCCAGAATAATTCTGTTAAAATATAAGTTAGATAAGGTCTTTCCTCCTCTCAAAGTGCTCCAACAGCTGTGGCTCTTACTTAGCCTAAAAGCCAAAGTTAATGGCCTTCAGGTCCCTGCCCTGCCTCTCCCATTTCCTACCACCCTTCCTCAGGCTCACCTCAGAGATTTTGCTATAAGTTGCTCACTCTCCCTGGAATGTTCTCCCACCAGATATCTACAGGACTTGCTCCCTCAAGATTTTCAAGTTTTTATGGAAAGATTATCTTCCTTTAAAGATAATCTTTAAAAAAGTAAGGATTTCTGCCCTTAAAATTGCCACCCTTACTACCAGGAAAGAAATTGCCAGTTCACCTTCTCACCATGATTTTTCTCCATGGCTCTTAATTCACACAACATACCCTTTTTCTCCCCCCAGTTTTTTATTTGATTTCTGATTTACTTACACTAGAAAGGAAACTCCATGAAGGTAGGATTATATTACAGTTTTATTAATTTCTCTTTTATTTATCTTATTTTTTGCTGCTGCATCCTTGTGTCTAAAACAGTGACGACAGTACAAACTCTAAATATTTGTTGAGTGAATGGATGTTGTTATGTTGATAAGAATTTGGACTATGGTGGCAACAACTGTTTGAAAAGGAAGAAAAGAAAAAAATCAAAGGAGAAGGGAAACAGATGGAAAAAAATCGCAAGTACTAAGTGGTCTGCTGGAAAAAAGGAGGAAGGAAGGAGAAAGACTGAGGTTGTCACAAGAGCAGCCCATTGTCACTCATATTTCTTAATATAATTGCATAAAACTAACTCTCACACAGGCACCCCTTCCCCTAAAAGTAACAATGACACAAATGAAGGGAACAAAAGCCTCCTATCATCAAAAAAATATCACTTTTCATAAGGTAAATCCTCTCAACACATTAAGGAAGACAAAAAGAAACTCAGCATGTCTCAATTTCAAAAAGGTTCTATTTTTAAGCAAGGCACAATTATTGGTAGGAAAATAGGTCTGAATATTAAATGACTTGCCCGAAAATAGTGTAACCATTCCTTGAGCACAGCGAGCCTGATAATTTTCTCGGTATATTTTCTAGTACCCAGATAGTGCCTAGCATTTAATTGACTCCTGATACATGCTTAGAGAACTGAATAGGACTAAAATACAAGGAGAAAGTTAAACATTCGTCTAAATTGCTCTCAAACCTCTATGATCCCTACTACTTGAGTTGTTTGACAAATAAGAGTTACAGTTTTTTAGATGATGTCATATACTACTCAATTTGTTGTCAACAAAGAGTTTCAGTAACACCTGAAATCCATGCTAAGTGCAGTACAAAAGACAGAAATAAATTATACTATATACCATAATCATAAAAATAGTTCAATACATATGTATTTATTAACTTAAAAGCCTGCAGTCTTTTGACCTCAAGAAACCTCCAATCTAGTGGGAAGGTGAGAAGTGCATACTAAGAAAAACTATAGAAAAATCTGATATATAATCCAATTAAATTATTTTTAAAAGGAAAAAGCCAAGTTGTACAGATATTCATGTAAGGGAAAAAATAATGTAGACAGAAAAGCTTTATATAGGTTGTGAAATAAACTAGCCCCTTTGGGGAAAATACAGCAAGGGAGAGTAAGGAACTGATCAAATGGCAGGCGGGGGAGGAGGGTTAAGATAAGAACATTCCAGATGGGAGGATCATTAAGGTAGGCTGGGCACAATGGTGCATACCTGTTGTCTCAGCTACTTAAGAGGTTGAGGCAGGAGGATCACTTGAGCCCAAGAGTTGGAGACCAACCTGGGCAACATAATGAGACCCTGTCCCCCCAAAAAAGGGTATTCCAGAGATGTCACAAACAACATAATGAAAAAATATGACTCTTCCTCAATTCCAGAGTAAGACATAATAGGCAAGAAAACATAATAGGCAACACTTACTTGAGAAACAGCCTCTGAATCCTCAAGTCTTGACCACCCTAGGAGAGTAGATGATAATCAACTCTTTTTAACTTCTCTATGATACAGAAAAGAGCCAGAGCCACAGAGAAGGATAAAGAGAACAGCTCTCTGAAAGTCCTCCTACAAACTACAGGAAATAAAATCATTGAGAAGGGAGAAAAGGAGAGCTGTACACTTCTAAATCTTGACATTGCTCAGCAAAGCACCTTGCCTTAATAAAAATGAAATCTTCACAAGTTATACATATTTAATTTACTGATTCAAAGATGAGTCAGAAGAGGAAAACAATAGTTGTGAACCTTTCAGTGGGAGGAAGAGATGTTTTCTAAAGTGTTCCCAAAGCCTTTCCGAGGTCAATCTTGTCCTGAGGTTGCAGTAAATGCATAGAATTTGTATTCTTAGAAGTGGCTTGATGAGACCAGAGTAATCATAATTCTTATGAAGTAGATGTCATTAATCAATAGGAGGGGATATAAAAAGTCACACTTCTCCCTCCCTGTGCCAGGAAGGAGGATGGCATTCCATTTCTGGATGTATGCCATAGCCGGCAGTGACTCATCCTATGCCAACATACCACAGGGACGTGAGGGGAAAAGGAAGAAGTGAGGACTGTGACAGCCCAGGAAAGCAGTGGCCACCATAATCAATCCAACACAAGCCTTTTGTAATAGCTTCATTAATAAGAGTTTTGCTGAATCAGAGGCCTTTAGAGCTGGAAGAGGCTTCAGTGAGCATGTAGTAAAAAACCCTCTTTTTACAGATGAGCAAACTGAGTCCCAGAGGAAGATATGACTGCTCCAAGGACAGAAAGCAAGTGAATGGCAGAGACCAACACAGAGCCAGGAGCCCTCGATCACATCTCTGTACTACTACTCCTTTCGTAACAATCACAATAATGATGAAAACGTCCCAACCATCTGCATTCCAGAAACCATTTGTAGGTTGGTTGGGGAACTTAGTGTCCCCATAAAAATCATGATGTGTGAGATGGGGCTTTGGAGAGCAGTGATGAAATATTTAAGGGGACTGGAGTTGGGGCAGGGGGGTAATGACAGTTTCCAGATTAGTCCTTAAAACTTACTTCATCTAAAATCTATTGGAATAACCACTCTACAAATGAAACATGATTACAGCCAAGTCCCTTCCATAGCATTCCTATGGAATAATGCAGTTGGAATATAGGTGAAGGAGGCAAGCATGTACATTGTACCCTGAATGCCAATGACTCTTGCCAGAGAATCATGGATGGAATGTGGATGGAGGAGCTGTGTTCCAGCAGCATTAACTCTGCACTAATAGGAAAGGCAAGTCTTTCATTCAGTCACTGCCTAGTTGTCCTGATAAGAGGGTAAAAGGGAAGCAACAAAGGGTAGTGCTTTACTGTGCCACTCCCCCATTCAGATGTAGGCTTTACTAAGTCTGGTTCTCAAGATCCAGGTGTGTGACTGACCCACTGTGAGCTTTGCACTGAACTGGATTCTTTCATATGGTCTAGCTTGTAAGCAAAGACTGACCATTGCTGAATGGCTAGGGAGGATTGGATATAATTGCACTGACAACAACAATAAAGATAACAGATAGCTAAATGTTACTGTTTATATATTATTATGTGCTGCGTAATATGCTAACAATTGTACATATGTTGTTGGTACTCTTTACACCATTTAGGTTGATGATATTATCCTCACTTTATAGAAGATGAAACTGAGGCTTAGGACAATAAAACAACTTATTCAGTACAGTTTATAAGAAATCGAGGATACTAACACAGAATTGTCTGACTCACAAGTTTAGCCTTGCAAAAATGCCATAAAATAAAGCCCTTCAAGCCATATTGGATTCTACTTTGGGCATAATTAGCACTGGATACCAGTCAAATGCCACAGCCTCAGGTGTCACTGAGCTAGGATGTGGCAAGACTAAAATGTGATGATTTTCATTCATCAAATACATTTATAAAATGACTATCTATAAGGAAGCACACACCATGGAAGGCACTAGAATAACAAGATGCATAAAGTCCCTGACCTCATTAAGTTTCAGAATCATATCTTTGCAGTCTTGCCCACCAATACCTTCAACAAGAGCACCTAGATCATGTGTGTGTGTTTTTTTTAATTGACAACAATCATCTACCCTGGATTTTTTAGGCCAGTTTATATTTTAAAAAACTACCTCTTGGTCAGACCACTTTATCACTTTTTTGTACACTGAGATCAATTTCTCAACTGGTCTCTCAACCAGCACTTTCTCATTCCCCTCTAGACTATCATAATTATTTCTGCCAAATTTATTCCTCTGAAGCATAGCTCCTTGTTATCCTGTATTTACAGCTGAAGAAACTAAGGCTTAGAGAATCTCAGGAGCTTGGCAAGAGTATAACAATCAAGAAATGGGGGAGCACAATTCAGAGCCAGGTTCATCTATCACTGAGTCCATGTTCTTCCTCTCACTCCGTATCTATATTTTGGAAGCTGAACCTGAATGGTCATAAAATCACCAGGTCGTATTTCTTGGAGGAGCAATGTACATGAAGGAGTCTATTTTTAGCTGATTGGAAGAAATGCACCTTTAACTTCTAAACAGGCCCACAATCTACAGGGTAGTTGGGGCAAGCACCAAGCTACAGCATGGAAAGATAGAAGCTTCCTGGAGCAATAAAGAAGGAGGAGTAATGGATCAGCCATTCTCAGAGAAGAAGGGATGGGACACAAGATGGCAGCTAAAACCTGTCTGAAAAAACAGTCAGCTTACCTCAGTTAACAAAATGTCACAGAGCTCTGTCAGAACCTTCATACCCAGTAGACTGCCCTAGAAGCTTTTTGACCAAAGAAATTCACTGTAGCCTATTTAGCCTCTGAAGGCAAGGTACTGAATCTCTGAGCTCTGCACTTGACTGCTAAACACAACTGTTCTGTGGCTTCTAATGTTTATTTTTTTTATGTAACAGTGATATTATCTGTGTCACATCTTCCTGAGACTAGGGATTCTGCCTTTCACTTCTTTGAATCTCCATGATCAGAAGCTTACACAAAGTGAGGGAAAATTCTCACTAAATATTTGTGCTCTGATTTACACACTGATCTATTCACATATCAGCCAACATATGGAGGCAGATTATGCTCTGAATAGAAATACACAGGTGGTCTACCAGCGATTATGTAACAATGCCCCTAACTCATTTAAAGATCAGATTTTTGGCGACATCATCTGTCTGAAATATAGCCACAGAGCAGAACTTCATGGGGACAGGGCTGAGGGAATAGTTCTCACAAAGGCCACATGCTGTCTGCCACAGGATGAAGTGAAACAAACCTAACGTTACCACAAAGGGCTACAGGGTGTCAGAATTTCAAACATTTTTGTTTAGTATTATGTAACATAAATAAGAATATTGGTTTCCAAGATGCAGAGGTTTAGCATCAGCAAATAAGAGGTGGGAGAGGGGTGATTAGTACTGAAGAAGTGAGAATGGAGAGCTAACAGCTTATCAACAGGAGACAGAAGTAGTAAAACTACTAAACAGGGATATAAGCATCAGTAAAAATCACTCTAAAATCATCACTCAAAACAGAGGGCTTTTAGAATTGGTACAACTAGTTCTGCTCTACTCGGTAATATCTGAGAAGGTTATACCTGTGTACAGCGATTTTTAAAGTGTCTTAGGTCCTTGGAGATATGCTTCCTCTAGATCATTATATAGGTGATAAAAATGAAGATCAGAGGCTGGGCGAGGTGGCTTAAGCCTGTAATCCCAGCACTTTGGGAGGCTGAGGCGGGTGGATCACTTGAGGCCAGGAGTTCGAGACCAGCCTGGCCAACATGGTGAAACCCCATCTCTACTAAAAACACAAAAAAATATCCAGGCGTGGTGGTGCACACCTGTAATCCCAGCTACTTGGGAGGCTGAGGCATGAGAATCGCTTGAACCCAGGAAACAGAGGTTGCCGTGAGTAAAGACTGCACCACTCTGCTCTAGCCTGGACGACAGAGTGACACTTCTTCTCAAAAATAAATCAGTTAATTAATTATAATGAAGGCCAGAGATATAAGGATCTTATCCAACATCATCCTCCTAGTTACTAAGTCTCAATATATTTTGACACAAATATACCACACACTGATATACATGTTAGAGAGACACAAAAATTTAAAAGTGAAGTGCCATCTTTGCCCTCTAGGGGCTCAGGTTTGTTCACTGTGTATTTATACTCCTATACAATGCTCTGGCCAAGAGTTCAGTTTCATCATGGAGGAAGTGATGGTGCGGCGAGGAAAAAGCTACGAAGAAAAGGAAAGGGATCACAAAGCCATCAACAATCTGAATTCATGCAAAACCAATGTAATCAACAACTGTAGCATTTCACTAACACAGGTTAGTAATTCTCATTTAAAAGAAGATCAGGTTATTGGTGTTAATATATTTCATGTGTATATAGAGACCTATTGCTCCACACAAGATCATTAGGTTTTTTTCAGTGCACACAAACCACATCTTTAATAATCCACTTTGAGATTTTGCTGGGAATTAATGTGACATTATTTAATGTATACTTTCTAGAATACATTTCTCTTTCTGTAGCGAGAACTAAAACAAAATTTGAATGTGAGGGATTAATGCATACAACAAAGGGTTAAGGAGGGCACACCTCCCCTCCCCCAGTTCAAGTAGAGAGGTACTGTCACCAGATGCCAGCAGGGGGCAGCAAATAGCAGTTGAGGCTGGGAATTTAGGGAATTCGGTCTTGAATGAAGGACTGGGTAGAAATTTGGGGTACCCAGAACACTGTAGCTATTTTATTGCAGAGAGTGAGATGGAAAAAAAATAAGAAAATAAAAACTTAGAGTTTAGGGATGGGTCTCAAAGTAATAACTTTTTAGTGGCAAAATTATAACGTTTAAATTATATTTATCACACTTTATTTAAGAAGGTAGAAAAGTGTGCCCAGCATTTTAGGAACATTTTCACTAACAGCAGTTAAACTTTGTATAAAAGTTACTGAGTGACAAGTGGAACTTCCTGTAATCTAGAAAACTCACTTTTCTGGAATACACCTATTTAAGTGAGGTTTCACTGAACTATGGCTCTATAGGTTTGTAGACAAGTGTGTGTGTGCCTATGTGGTAATGGGAGGGGGAGCGATGTAGAAAGAGAGAGAAAGGGAAAAATGAAGAGATACAGAGTTACAGATGACAGAGAGAGAAAGAGAGAGAAAGGTGATGGGGTCAGGGAAGAGTGGGAGGAAGAAATCCTTTTGGGAATAACATCAAGTAAAAGAGATTATTCACCCCAAGCCTATTTTCCAAGTTTTCCCATAGTCTCCTTAAAAATAAGTCCTTCTCAAACTAAAGATATCCACACTTCCTCTGAACTCTAAGGTGAATTTCTTTTAAAAAAAAATTTATGGGACTTCATTCAGCTCCTTTCTCGGCTACATCAAGATGAATTTTAAAAAAATTTCCATTCTATAAAAAAAGCCTGCAATGATTTTTCTTTCCACTCTCCGAACTTAACAAATAGTCAAGGCTGAAAAGTTCAAGGCTAGCAGGATCTTAGCTCTCCTTGAAGAAGGAAAACCACATCAAATATTAAGAAAACAATGGTTACGTATTTTTAAAATTATTAATGTTCAAAATTCTAGATCTCCACAAAGGTAGAACACTTCCTTCCTGGTGTTGTTGAGGACCTTCTGTAAAGTCAGTTCTGCTGAGATGTTCCATGGTTAGGGTGTCAGCTATTCCAGTAAAGTGCTACTAAAAGAAAAGGACAGAGATACTAAAAAAAAATAATTTTAGGAAGGGCTGTCAATTGTGGATTTGCTGTGATAAATTGCCTTCATTTGGTTTCCTGAAATTATGAAAGCAGAAACATCTTGGTCATTAAAGATTTAGGGAGTTGTGGGAAAGGATCAGAGGTGAAAGGGAATTTGAAGTTGTTCAAAATAAATCCCCAACCTGCCCTTTCTGTTTTATCTCCTACCACTTGCCTGTGCACTCTACATCCTAACCACATTCCTCTTTCTTCCCACACTGTCACAAACCTTCCTCCCCTCTGGTTTTGCTCTTGTACCAGTATCTAATGCTGCCTCCCCCAACAGACTCCCAGGGCTCTCTCCAGAAAACCTTGGAAATTCCTATTCATGTTTCAAGAGCTAGTCTAAATGTCACTTTTTCTGGAAGAATTCCTTGATTTTATCGAGGCAGAAATAACCACAGAACTCTAAACAAACCTCTATTATTTTACCTAAAATAGGTTATTACAGTTATCTGGATATGTTGTCTCCCTGGTTAACTGTGACCAGCTTGATGTCAGGGATTTTGTCCCACAAATCTCTGTATCATCAGTATTGTAACCTGTGGTGTGGCATACAGTAGGTACTTCACAACTTTTAAAATTACCCTGTTAATTCCTTAGTCTAAGTGTATAACCATGCAAATTCTATCAACCAACAATTCTCAACCATATTGGTAAGATTGTATATTATTAATATAATAGGAATTAATACTCAGTATTTTAAGCAGATGTCATTGCATCTCTTGAGCAGCTGGATGGCTTCTCAGAAGACTCTGGTGATCTTGAAAAGTAGATGATCATATTCTATTATGTAGAAGACTGAGGTGACCATATCCAGCCAAGATAGAAAACTTTGCCATATGTGAGGAGCATCACTAGAGAAGGAGGGTGGAATAAAGATGACCTTGAATCTATACCCATCTGATAGAGGAAGCTCTTGTGTTCCTCTGCATTGCCCTCTCCCTGGGGGAATTGTCTATTTCCTTTTCCTTGCTTTACTTTCCTCTCTTTATGCCTTCAATACTTCACAACACTTGCCAGTTTGCCAATCTGTCTCCCCTCCTCGACTTAATCTAGCACATATTAAGGGCTCCAAGAATGATTGATGAAGGTCTAGATTCATGACTAGAGAAAAATCTGAGGAGACAGCACCCTCTGTATTTTCTTCCCAGCCAGGAATCTAGGCAAAGATTCTTATCGTGGTCTTTGCACAAGATCATTGGCAAATATTTTGAACATTTGTCTGGCAAAGCTTTAGAATTCACCAGTAGGACTTGATCTACCAATTGAAAAGTCCTCAATGTACAATAGATCTAATCATGAAAACAGGATTATCCAAAATAAACTAGGCCAGAACCAAACAGGAGAATGAAGTGCTTCATGTTAAAGTGTGAACTTGGGCAAGTCATTAACATCTATGAGCAAAGACGTTCTCATGTGTTAAGAGAGAGCTAATGATATTAGGTTGGTGTAAAGGTAATTGTGGTTTTTGCCATTAAAACAATTGCAAACCCACAATTACTTTTGCACCAACCTAATAGTAAGGTTTATTGAGAACTAACTGAGAAAACCCATGTAAAGTTAGCACAGAGCCTGAAATACAGTGAGAGCTCAAGTAATAGCCAGTCACCCAATAACAACAATAATAATAAACCTCAGCTCTGAAAAATGCCTCTAATAGCTGGTGTGTCCTACGAAATAAAGCACAATTGTTTTTATTAGGCATCCCTAAACAATATAATCCCAGTTTCCCCGTCACTCTAGGATCTGCTAGAATTGAAATGACTCCCCTCTTTTATTTTGATTGTTTTCATTGACATGAACCTGAAGTTTCACATCACCAGATGCAAACAGATTAAAGAGTTTCATGAGCCCTTCATTTTCTCCTAAATATGATTCTAAGTGCCACTGATAAGGTGAGAATCCTCACTAGCTTGTATTGCTAACTGGGTAGTGGACTACCCCTCCAGCAAAAGACAAGGTTGTTTTTTAGCCTCTCTAAAAACCTTCCTTGGGGCAAAGATTATGGGCCTGTAAACTGAAATTTGTTTTCACTTCCTATGGTGAAATTTTCTTCCAACTTCCCTTTAACTTACAGGCATACCTTAGAGATATTGTGGGTTTGGTTCCAGACCATCGCAATAAAGAAAATATCGCAATAAAGCAAGTCACACAAAAACTTTTTTATTTCCCAGTACATATAAAAGTTAGGTTTATACTATACTGTAGTCTACTATGTGTGCAATAGCCTTATGTCTAAAAAATGTACATACTTTAATTAAAAAATGCTTTATTGCTAAAAAAAATGCTGAAAATGCTGACACCTCTGTGCCAAAAGTGAACACATGCTGTTGAAAAAAATGGTGCCAATAGACTTGCTCGACACAGTGTTACAACAAACCTTCAATCTGTAAAAAATAAATAAATAAATAAAACAGTATCTGTGAGGTGCAATAAAGCAAAATGCAATAAAACAAGGTATGCCTGTATTTGCTTTACATATTTGGGAGTCAAAGAAACTGATTCTTCTTTGTATACTTAAAGAAATATATATACTAAAAGCAATTTAAACAAAGGAAGCTCTGCCAGGCGAGGTGGCTTACGTCTGTAATCCCAGCACTTTGGGAGGCTGAGGTGGGCAGATTGCCTGAGGTCAGGAGTTCGAGACCAGCCTGGCCAACATGGCAAAACCCCTTCTCTACTAAAAATACAAAAATTAGCTGGGTGTGGTAGCAGGCACCTATAATCCCAGCTACTCAGGAGGCTGGGGCAGGAGAATCGCTTGAACCCAGGAGGCAGAGGTTGCAGTGAGCCAAGATCGTGCCATTGCACTCCAGAGCCTAGGCGACAAGAGCAGAACTCCATTTCAAAAAAAAAAAAAAAGGAAGCTCAAGTAGGGAAATGTAATATATTACACATTCTCCTTTTAAGTATACCATATAGGAAAAAACATAACAATCACAGCCTGTTTAGCTGAAGGTATCAGTTAAGGTGGTATTCAGTTGTGTATATCAGAGACCTGATAATAGCAGCTTAACCAAATACGACATTATTTCTCCTGTAATAAAAAAAAGGAGGTCGGCCAGTCCAGTGCAAGTGCCACTCTTTAATAACCTCATCAAATACGTGGGCTTATTCAAGAATCTTCCTCCATCATTCAAAGTGCATGACATTTGTCTTTATAAAGCAAGATGGCTATTCCTCTAGCATTGTTCCTGTGTTCAGGGTAGAAGCAGGAAAGATTGGGATGGGGTAAGGGAAAAAACTTCTTGCCCCATGAAACTATCCCTTTTTGTCAGGAATATAATTGCTTGCCCAGAATCCTCACCACCCTCTTTGGAATTTTGTTTGACTTTTATTGGCTGGAACAGGGTCTATATAGCCATCCCTAGCTGCAAGGGATTAGAGGAGGTGAACACATTTATTTATTTATTTATTTATTTATTTATTTATTTATTTGAGATGGAGTTTCACTCTTGTTGCCCAGGCTGGAGTGCAATGGTATGATCTTGGCTCACTGCAACTTCTGCCTCCCGTGTTCAAGGGATTCTCTTGCCCCAGCCTCCCAAGTAGCTGCGGTTACAGGTGCCCACCCCCACGCCCAGCTAATTTTTTGTATTTGTAATAGAGATGGGGTTTCACCATGTTGGCCAGGCTGGTCTCAAACTCCTGACCTCAAGTGATCCATCCACCTTGGCCTCCCAAGGAGGTGAACACTTTTAACGGGGCACATTGACACCCTTTACCAAAACACAGTTCTAGTGGTAAAGCAGGAGAAAGAAGGGAAATAATGAAATATGGTAGGCAGCTAACAGTATCTGATGCACTTAAGAATAATAATCATCCATTTGTTCCTGTAGGAAGGACAAATTTTTACAGTATAAGTGCTACTTGGGCAGTTTCCCTAGGATCCCCATTAATAGCCATCTTCTATTCAAAACAGAATGACTAAATGATGCCTTTTCCTTATCTTGACATTTGTAATACTGGTCCCCTCCTCCTGAGAAGGCTTTTTTCTCTCCTAGTCTCCATTGAAATCTTTCTCATGCTTCATGAGCCAAATCTGAAACAACTCTGAAGCCTTCTGCAAACATCTTACCCCACTCTATTCATGGGGTCAGCTTCTCATCCTCTGCAGTAACTCCAGAATACACTAACATCTCAGCTACACTGGGATTTTATTATAATTATTTGTTCATAATTAATTATTAATAGCTAATGTTTATTGAGTGCCACATTCTGCTGCTGTATGCTTCAGATGCATTATTTTATTTTATCTCCACAACAAAAATTGGGCACTCCAATGTTCATTAATGCACTATTTCCAAAATGTAAAAACAACCTATATTCCTATCAAAAAACTGAACAAAGAAAATGTGGTATATATACACAATGAATACACTATTCAGCCTTAATTAGAAGAAAATTCTGTCATGTGTGACAACATGAATAAAGACTGAGGACGTAATGCTAAATGAAATAAGCCAGTCCCAGAGAGACAAATGCCATATGATTCCACTTACATGAGGTGTCCAAAATAGTCAAATTTATAGAAATGAAAAGGGAAATTTGCAGAGGCTGGGGGTTGGGGTAATGAAGAGTTTCTAATCAGCTGGCGTAAAGTTTCAGTTATGCACAATGAGTAAGCTCTAGACCAGTGGTCCACAACTTTTTGGCACCAGGGATGGGTTTTGCGGAAGGCAATTTTTCCATGGAGTGGAGAGGGGGACTACAGGGGGAAATTTGGGGATGAAACTGTTCCACTTCAGATCATCAGGTATTAGTTAGATTCTCATAAGAAGCATGCAACCTAGATCCCTCACACATGCAGTTCACAGTAGGATTTGTGCTCCTATGAGAATCTAATGCTGCTGCCCATTTGACAGGAGGAGGAACTCAGGTGGTAATGCTCACCAGCTGCTCACCTCCTGCTGCGCGGCCCAGTTCCTAACAGGCCATGGACCTGTATCTGCCCGTGGCCCAGGGATTGGGGGCCCCTATGCTAAACAACATTGTACCTATAGTCAACAATAATGTATCATACACTTTAAAACCTGTTAGGCAGATAGATCTGATGGTAAGTGTTCTTACTACAATAAAAAAAAAAATACTTAAGGTAGTCCATTATTTCCTTGAGACAGAGTCTGCCTGTGTCACCTAGGCTAGAGTACAGTGGCACAGTCCTGGCTCGCTGCAACCTCTGCCTCCTGGGTTCAAGTGATTCTCCCGCTTCTGCCTACTGAGTAGCTGGGATTACAGGTGCCTGGCACCACACCTGGCTAATTTTTTGTATTTTTTAATATAGATGGGGTTTCACCATGTTGGCCAGGCTAGTCTCGAACACCTGACGTCAAGTGATCCACCCACTTTGGCCTCCCAAAGTGCGGGGATTACAGGTGTGAGCCATCATGCTCAGCCCATTATTTCCATTTTATTGATGAGTGGTAGGTCTGAGTTTTGAACCCAAGTTAAACTGACTATAGGATCTAAGATCATCATCACCATACCATTCATAAATATCTGAGAAAATTACTATCCTTTTTGAAGACAAAGACTACTTCTTAAACTTCTATTTCTTTACTAGATTCTTTATAGCATTGGACTTGGTTCACTACAGGGGATCAATTAATGTTTCATTTCACAGACAAACAGACAAACAAATTGAGAGTAAGGGAAGTTTATTAGTCACAGAGCTTGGGCAAGAACTATGTTATTTTTGCCCTGCTTCCAGTCCACTTGTCTTTACTCTACACTGTAATATACTACCCAATCTTTCAAAAAATATTGAACACCTATCATGGGCCAGGCAGATGCTATGTTTTGCCTAGGTCGAAGGCCCCTAGCTTTAAGGATTACAATCTTGTTTACTGAGAAGAAACAAAAAATACTGGAAAGGATCACACGAAATATTTTCATCTTTCAGCCTGGGGCTGTGTGAAACTGTTGCTAGCTCTGGGTCCAAGGGAATGCTAGGATGAAATCCATCAAGTCTGTCCTCATTTATCATTTTGTGGGGTTTCTGCCCCTGGTTTCTCCTCTGCTCCCTACAGACCATTTCTGATGTCATAACAGCAGCTTAGCTCTACAGAAGACATATGTCTGGAAATCCTCTGCTTTCACTCTCCTGGGTTCTGAGTCACACCGCTTCTTCCACCAGCTGAGGGATAAGTCTATCAGAGAACCTCACAAGACTTTCAATATGTCAGAATTGTCATTATTTGCTGTGCAAATTTTTTCTGCAGTCTTTGAAACCATTTGTAAAAAAAAAAAAAAAAAAGAAAACATAAACTTCAGATAACTCTAGATTTTATGCCAATGAAAGTTCAGGCCTGGCATGGTGGCTCACACCTGTAATCCCAGCACTTTGGGAGGCTGAGGCAGGCGGATCACTTGAGGTCAGGAGTTTGAGACCAGCCTGGGCAACATGGTGAAACCCTGTCTCTACTAAAAATACAAAAATCAGCTGGGCTTGGTGGCGTGCGCCTGTACTCCCAGCTACGTGGGAGGCTGAGGCAGGAGAATTGCTTGAATGGAGGAGGCAGAGGTTGCAGTGAGCCAAGATCATGCCACTGTACTCCAGCCTGGGTGACAGAGTGAGACTCTGTCTCAAAAAAAAAAAAGAAAAAGAAAGTGTAAAGAAAAGCCTTTGCCCCTTGTCTTTGGGTAAGTCAAGCCCTCCAGCCCCTCTGACATTCAAGTGTGCCCCCCACCAGAGGTAGCAAGCATGGAACTCTGCCTGCAAGGAACTCTTCATGGCAGGAGATCTTGCTGACACCGAAGTCAGCAAAGAGGTTATCTATTTCTTCATATCTGCAGTAAATGCCCAGGTACACAGGGAGAAGGAAAGAGGGCAAAAGTTAGCCATGGCCAGTGGCTACCTGTGGCCCCAAACTTCATCTAGAGAAAAGAAACCAACCTGGACCAGTGGGCTTAATCAATTATGAAGATGGCCTTCAAAGTTCCTTTTGCAGCCAGTGAATAAGCAATAAAAATGCACATCCTACCTCCACCACATGGACAAACTCTGACTTCTTCTTTCTCCTGGCTTTTTTGTTGAGAAGCTAAGGTGATATAAATGTACCTTGAAGAAGACATATTGAATTATTCATGCTTCTAGGAGTTCATTTTAACAGCAATTCTTTTCTTTGAATCTTTACATTCGCTTCTGAGGACACAGGGGTGTTTACGCAAGGCCAGTGAAGATGATTTCCTTCAAATGATCGGGTTTGATTTGGCACTCGCTCTGAGGGAAAGGGCATAAATAAGATGTGTAAAGATGAAAGGGCACATGTAGAAGATGTCTTTGGTGCCCCTCTTCCCATGCCATGGGCATACCTGTGATTTTAGCTGCAGTTATAGTGCATTATTTCAAGAGAGCTAAGACTCACCTTCCTCTGTGAGTATCCTCTGTCTTCAGCTCCGTCTGGAGGTCTTTTCTGAGGCAACAGGAGTCCATTCAGCTGGAAAGGCAGCCCAGAAATGCAGAAGAATTCATGTCTGTGGGGGTAATTCTCAACCAATGAGGTCAAGAGTTGGTGGGTACACAAGCCAGCCTCCCTCCCCCAGATAGACAATTCTGGGAGACACTCACACCTCTCAGGAGGACTGAGCAGCTACCTCGATGCTTTACTCTTACGTTGGCCTTTCCTCCTTCCCTGTCTCTCTCTCTCCTGGACTCTCCATCCCTGCTTACTGGGACTACCTTCCCAGTTCAGAAGTCCCTGTATTAGGTACTTCTTTCAGTAAAATCCAAACTCAGATGCTACTAATACCAAAACAGCTCATTATAGATTCAAGTCCGTCAACCGGATAAATTTGAGAGAAGAAAAAAAATCAACTCATACTTATTGACATTATATAAGCTTAGGAAAAAAAGTGTTTGATTAATTTTTTTAGTGATTATGTTGACAGTGCTTGAAAGCAGACTACAGGTGATATTATACTTGAAACAACTGGTCTACTGTAACAAAGGATTATGTAAAATTTATTAGCACAAATATTGCATACACTAAGCCTCCCTAGCTCCTTTCTATTCTTACCTAACATAGACCTTTTTGCCAGGCAAAATGTCCTCCAATTTGGTGGTCAGACAACAAAAAAATCATGGCTCCTGAAATTTAACTAATTTCCATAGTATAGACATATTCTAGACTATCAATATATTTGCAGTTCAAAGAAGAAAATGCAATAGGCTTCACTTTGCCATAATCAGGCCCCTGTCACATGCTGGTATTGTGCTCTAGGACTATGATTTAGCTGCAGCCTATCTGACAACATGTCATAACAGAGTAATTAAATGTGGTTCAGCTGTATATTGATAATTGTCATAATCTGGTCTGGTTTGACATAGTTATAGAAATACTGTAATTGTCTTACATAATTGAGTCATAATACATTGAAAATCAAATAGATTATGTATTAGTTAGGGTTCTCCAGAGAAACAGCCAATTGTACACACAATGTGTGTGTGTGTGTGTGTGTGTGTGTGTGTATAATGTATAAATGTATATATACACTGTGTGTGTATATACGTGTATATATATATATACACATGTGTATATATATATATATATATATATATATATATATATACACATGTGTATATATATATATATATATATATATATACATACACAGTTGGCCCTTGAGAAGCTGAACAACACATGTTTGAACAGTGCAGGTCCACTTATAAGCAGATTTTTTTTCAATAAGTATATTTGGAAAATTTTTGATTTGTGACAATTTAAAACAACTCACAAACACTGTAGCCCAGAAATATGTTTATAATTATGAAAAAATTAGGTATGTCATGAATGCAAAACATATATGTAGATACTAGTCTATTTCATTATTTACTCTCATAAAATATACACATATCTAATATAAAAAGTTAAAATTTATCAAAACCTACGCACACAAACACAGACAATATATGGTATGTTATTCACAGTTGAGAGAAATGTAAGCAAATGTAAAGATGCAGTATTAAGTTCTAACTGCATAAAATTAACTGTAGTACATACTGTGCTACTGTAATGATTCTTTAGCTACCTCCTGTTGCTATCGTGGTGAGCTCAAGTGTTAGAAGTATTCACTTAAAACTCTCTGTGATGGTAATCATCTCCAGTAAATGGTGTATTGCAGTAAAAATGATATTTCACAGTTCTTGTGTATTTTTCATTGTGTTTAGTGCAATACTGAAAAGCCTGAATAACATCATGGGACCCATATGAAGTGCCACTAGTGATGCTAGAAGGCTCCCAAGAAGCAGGGCAAGGTCATAACATTACAAGAAAAAGTCCAGTTGCTTGATAGTTACCATAGACAGTTCTGCAGCTGCAGTTGCAAACCATTTCAGGAAAAATGAATCCAGTGTAAGGATCATTGTAAAAAAAAAAAAAGCATTCATGAAGCATTTGCTAGAGCTAGGCTAGCAGCCATGAATACCTTGCACTTTTTACAAAATACCTTTTTAACTTGAATTGAAAATACAGTTGTTTTTGTGAGTACAGGATTGCTATAAAAAAAAGCCATGCTTACAGATTCTAGTATGATTTGAGAAATAGTGGACTCATCATATGATAACTTAAAGTGAAAGGGAGGTGAGGGATCTAAGGCTGGATAATTTAGTGCCAGTAAAGGATGGTTTGATAATTTTAGAAATATGTTTGGCTTTAAAAATATTAAGATAGTCCAGGTGCGGTGGCTCATGCCTGTAATCCCAACACTTTGGGAGGCCGAGGCAGGCGGATCATGAGGTTAGGAGATCGAGACCATCCTGGCTAACACGGTGAAACCCCATCTCCACTAAAAATACAGAAAATTAGCTGGGCATGGTGGCGGGCGCCTGTAGTCCCAGCTACTGGGGAGGCTGAGGCAGGAGCATGGTGTGAACCCGGGAGGCGGAGCTTGCAGTGAGCAGAGATCGTGACACTGCACTACAGCCTGGGTGACAGAGCGAGACTCCATCTCAAAAAAAAAAAAAAAATTAAGATAACAGGAGGGGCAGCTTCTGCTGACCAAGAGGCAGTAGAGTTCCCAGATATCATTTAAAAAATCACTGAGGAGAAAGAATATATGCCTGAACAGGTTTTAATGCAGACAAAAGTGCCCTATTCTAGAAAAAAGAAAAAAGCCACAAAGGACATTTATTAGTAAGAAAGAGAAGCAACCACCAAGATTTAAGGTAGGAAGGACTAGACTAACTCTATTGTTTTGTGCAAATGCAGTCAGGTTTACAATCAGGACTGCCCTTATCTACAAAGCTGCTAACCCCGAAGCCTTGAAGAGAAAATATTAACACTAGGCGCCAATCTTTTAGTTGTACAATGAGAAGGCCTGGACAAAGGGAACCCTTTTTTTGGATTGGTTGCATCAAGGCTTTGTCCCTAAGGTCAGGAAGTACCTTTCTAGTAAGTGATCGCTTTTTAAAGTTATCTTGATATTGGGCAACGCCCATGGCCACCCAAATCCCCATGAGTTTAACTTTGAAAGCATCGAAGTGTTCTAGTTGCCCCTAAATAAAAACATCTCTAATTCAACCTCTAGATTAGGGGGTCATAAGGATCGTTAGGGCTCATTACACATGGTACCCTATGGAAAAAATTGTCAATGCTAAGGAAGAGAGCCCTGATAGAATATCATGAAAGTCTGAGAGGATTACACCATTGAACATGCCATTGTTATAGAAAAAGCCACGAAAGCCGTCAAGCACAAAACAATAAATTATTGATGGAGAAAACTGTGCTCAGATGTTGTAAATGACTTCATAGGATTTATGGGAGAGCCAGTCAAGAAAACCATGAAAGAGATTGTAGATATAAGGAAAAAGGTGAGGGTTGAAAGGTTTCAAGATAGAGATCTTGGAATAACTCAAGAGCTAGTAGACACTACAGCAGAGGAATTAACAGAAGATGACTTGATGGAGATGAGTGCTTCCAAACCAGTGCCAGGCAATGAGGAAGAAGAAACAAAAAAGGAAGCACCAGAAAAAGTGATATTAGACAATCTGTCAGAAGAGCTGTGTTTATTCAAAATTGCTTTTAACTTCTTTTGTGACATAGATTCTTCTAAGACGTGGGCACTGAAACTAAAGCAAACAGTAGAAGAAGTGCTACCATATAGAAACATTTTTAGAGAAATAAGTAAAAGAAGTCAGAAATTACAATGTATTTCTATAAAGTTACACTGAATATGTCTGCCTCTCCTGCCTCCCCTTTCACCTCCTTTGCATCTCTCACCCCTGAGACAGCAAGACCCACCCCTCCTCATCCTCCTCCTCAGCCTACTCAAGGTGAAGACAATAAAGATGCAAACCTTTATGATGATCCACTTCCACTTAATAGATTATAGTAAAACTGTTTACTCTTCCTTATGATTTTCTTTTCTTTAGCTTACTTTATTGTAAGACTACAGTGTATAATATATAGAACATATAAAATATGTGTTAATTGACGGTTTATATTATCAGAAACCTTCCAATCAACAGTAGGCTATTGGTAATTAAGGTTTCCTGAGCCAAAAGTTTTATGTGAACTTTTGACAGTGCAGGGAGTGGGCACCCCCAACCTCTGCATTGTTCAAGGGTCCACATATATGTATGCATATATACATATGAGGAGATTAATATGGGAATTGCCTCATGTGATTATGGAGGCTGAGAAGTCTCACGATTGTCTGCAAATTGGAAAAACAAGAAAGGCAGTGGTGTAATTTAGTCCAAAATTGAAGGTCTGAGAAGAAAGGGGGCCATAGGTGTAAGTACCAAGCCCCAAGAACCGGGAACTCTAATGTCTGAGGGCAGGAGAATATGGATGTCTCAGCTCAGAAAGAGAGAGAGAGAGAGAGAGAGAGAACTTACCCCTCCTCCACTTATTTGTTCGATCAGAGGCCCTCCACAGATTAGATGGTGCCCACCCATGTTAGTGAGGGTATGTCTGATTCAAATGCTAATCTCTTCCAGAAACGTCCTCACAGATACTCCCAAAGTTATCTTTTACCAGCGTAAAACTTAATGATTGAATTAAAGGGCATCCTTTAATGCAATCAAATTGAAACATAAAATTAACTACTACAGATTAAAAAAATGGAGATTAGCTTGTCCCTTCCAGGTCCACCTGTGAATGACATTCCATAACATTAACACAATACATTTTAATAATTGTATTTACCTATCCTATATAACTAGATGCATGTTAAGGGACAACATGTTTTAGATGAAATTGGTGCTAAATAAATATATGCTAAATGATAAATCAATCCATCAAATATTCATTAAACCAAAATAGAATTAGAGGAGCAGTTTATTTCATAGAAGACTTAGGAAATCTCAACCAAGTTCTGGATGATAAGAAAGAATCAAAATTGCTATAATCTATGTATTTTTCCTCTTCAGAGTAAGATGCAAAGTCTCCAGAACTCATAAAGTTTCTCAGTCAAAGCACCATTTCCCTCCATCCAGAGCTGCGAATGTATGTTTTCATCAGATCACAAAGTCTGCTCCCAGGCTGCTCAGTGATCCCTGGGCCTCCTAGCCCCCCGACCCTAGCCCCTGCCCCTCCCACCCTCCACCATCCCCTCCCTTGGAGCCTATCTGTCTGGGACCAAAATTAAGTTAAATGAAGCCAATTGGCAATCCATTCTGCTACCGGCATGAACAGCTTTGTCATGTCAAAAGGGTTCCTCTGCTTATGTCTCCTGAAAATTTATTTCCTTAAGTTTTTGTCAGTCTGGCCAAATTTGCTGATCTAGGAAATGCTTGGAAAAAACTGAGAGGAATGTTTCAACTCTACTATTGTTGAATTTTATCTCCACTTAAAAAATCAAGTGGTATACCCCAAAGTGCAGTGTGTACATGAGCTTCTTGTAGCCACAGTGTAAAATCTGCTTTTATAATCAGGTTACCAAATCCCAACAAGAAGTACAAGGGCCAAACAGCTCAAAAATCATGACACTTCATTTTCTCGCCATTATTTAGAGCTAGTCATAGCTCAGAGCTGAATGAACTTAGTAAGCTGTATGGCTTATTCCATTTAACCTTCACAACAATCCTATACATTTGTTCAGTTCTTATCATCTCCATTTAGAAAACCCAGGCTGACAAAAATCAAGGAATTTGCCCAAAGTCATACAGTTAGAAAGAGGTGAAGATAAAGTCATGATGACAAAGGCAAGTTTTAAATATTGTTTTATTTTTAAAATATCACTAAAATAACCTATTAGTCAAGCAAAACTGAGTTTATTGCTCACTGCTGTGAGAATTTACTACCTTGACAGAGATACGGTAATGTTTCAAGGTAGGAGGGCAAAGCTAAGATATTTATGAGGTTGGGTGGGGTGGTGCTGGTTTAAGGTGGGCCTTTGATTTGATTGGATAAGGATTATAATATAATGGTTTATGATTGGTGGATATATCGAAGTAAGGATTTTAAAAGCAAGAGTTTCAAGGAGGCTTAGAGAGGAAGCAGTTGTTTCATGCTGTCTATTAAAAAAACTGAGCAGTTTTAAATGAGTTATGGGTAACTTGCTGAAAGAAAGAGAAGTCATTCTTTGGATTTTTAAATTTATGGGCAAAAGTTTTCTGGAGTAGTAAAATTGTGTTGGAGAAGAATGTGGAATAAAAAAATGGCGTATTAATGTAGAACAGATTGTCAGCAGACAATGGTGTTACATTTGGAAAATATAGTTACAAAACTTATCCTCAAAGGGTTAAAAACTATAAGGAGATGGAAGTTTCCTAGGTTTCAAGTTCACACCGACTACTCTGGCTGAATTTACATACCAACCTTCAGAATGAAGATCCTTCATGGGAGGAAAAGGCCTTCTAGATTAGAGACTGGAAATGAATAAACTCCTGAGGGAGAAGAAAGAATTTATTGTATTCATTGAGGATTCCCAGACCCTAGAACTGTGCCTGCAATAGAAGATGTGCTTGATAAAGATTTATTGAATAAATACTATATTATTAAACAATATAATAATAAATAACATAATTATTAATAAAAGTTCATATTAATATCTAATGAGTTTTTTCTCTGTACCAGTTATCAGGCTGGTACTATTTAATTCCCATTATGCTGGGGACAGATTTCCAAAGCCCACACTCAAAGATGCAGAGCCAGGATTGGAACCTGGACTGTAGAGCTGAGAATGCTGAGCCCAACATCTTTCTCACTATCCCATGCAGAAAAAAAGAAAGCAAAAGAATATTAGATTACAAATTGGGAAGAAGAAAATTATAAAGTGGAAACTTTGACTGTAGGATTGCTAGACATGTTTGGAGTGTGTGTAAATTCCCAGCCTTGTAGTTTCTATCAGGACATGTTTGCTTTGTTTTTGTTTTTTAACTTTTCTTCACACTTTGTACAAATTTATATTGTTATAGCAAATATCATAGTACAAGGAAATTCCTGCTTCTGTGGAGTCCCACCTACTGACCCCTAAGCTCTTTGAGCTTATCTTTGTATCTCAAGAGTCTGGCATAATTCTGGGTACAGATTTGACATTCAACAAACATATCTGCTGAATAAATAAATATCACTTTCTCATATTAAATAGCAATAAACTCTTCAAATGCAAATGCTTAGGGTGTTTCTATTTTGGGAGATTTAAAATTTGAGTCCAACAAATAATACAACTCTTCCACATCCCCGCTCTGGAGACACTGATAAATAAGACACTGATAAATATTTGAGAAAGCTGATTTTGGAGAATGTAGCTTACACCTGCTGATGTGTAGGTTTCTTCATACTAAACTTTAGAATTAGCAGACATCTATGTAGTCATAGATAGTTCTGGAAAGCTGCAGTCATCTGTCCGTAGGAACAGGGCCTTTGTCACTAAACTCATGCCCTCTGCAAGCAGGTAAGTTCCCCTGAAGGTAAAGGAGAGAAAGGGGCTGAGTTTTTCAAAGTCATCTATCAGATTAAGTCTCCCCTCCACCCTGTCCAGGAGTCAGTTAGAAGCAGGAGGACTGCACTAGTAACATTTCATCCACATGAAAGAAAACATTAAGAAAAGGATGTTTGTGGTATCGCCCAACTGTATTCTAAGACAGCCAAGATAGAGGCCATCTTGAGATTACAATGAACTGTGCAGCTAGCCTGATAAACCATAAGAAAATCAAGGAGAGGCTGACAAATTTTTGAAAAGAAGCAGCCATTGAAATTCTAAAAGTTTGAGGAGGAAAGAAAACAACAATGCAGGTTGCATTGTAGCAATGGGCTGTTTTACAAATAGAAGACCTACGTAGTTTCCTGATAAAGCTAATTATCTATCAGTGCAATTTCCGACACTATGAGGATTACAGTAAAGAGTTCCTCTTTAAGATTTTGTATAAATTACATAAAGGGGTGCCAAACCCGCCCTTTCAAGACTATATTTTCCCCAAGGTTATAGATGGTTTCCTACTCATCTTTATTGTAGGTGCTAAAGGAATCCAGAAACCAATTAATCCATCATTCGGTAGGCCAACTGTGCTTGTGATGAAAATGATCACAGACTAGCCTAGAGCTTGTATTTTCCCATAAGAGATGCTGCACAAAGAATTTGACCACTCTCCAAGAAGATTCCCCATGTTTTCACAGCAGTGGCTTCAGACTGGGAAAAGCATCGGTACCATTTACTGGCATTTCAGCGATTAAGTGAGTGAAGGAGAAAAAAGCAATTTTATTTTTAAGTTAGAAAATCCTAAAGCCAGCATCACAGAGAGACTTAGAATTCAACTGTTTGCCTTACTGGAAACCATCTCTTAAATAATGCAAAGGGAAAGCTGCATGTATATCCTCAAAGACTGAGTGTTATGAAAAGGCAAGAAAGCAGGCCTACCAGATCCCGGAAAATCCCAGTGCTGCTCCAGGGCACACCCAGGCTGTCAGGTAGGCTCTGCCTGGGCAGAAGATTGTGCAAAGGAGACCAGTCCAGGGCTCCAGCCTGGAGGTAAAAAGCACAACTCAAGCATTCTTATCACCTCAAGGTATAAGAGACATATGAGATTAGAACCACATTTTGGACACATCAGCCTTTGTTCTTGGGGTTAGTTTCTTTGTTCAGAGATTGTACCTAACACTTTGAGATGAGAGACATAAGAAGTCAGCATAGAGGATGAAAAAAAGCAATTTGGAACTCAGGATCTAAGTTCTTCCTATCTGTCGGAACTTGGGTAAATCTTTCACTTCTTTGAGTCTCAGTTTATACATACACAAAATGGTAATACCAGTCCCTGCCATGCAGGTTTATTGAGATGAACAAGTGAGATAATTATGTTGGTACATTTTGCAAAAGGGAAAGCAGTCAGTGTTCAAGGAAGGCCAAGAAAGCAGCTGCCTGAGAAACTGCCTGCAAATCGGTCTGAAGCCACAGCCAGGTCTGTCTTTAAGGATAAATGTACCTACTAAACTTTAACTTTGATCTTCACCGCTTTCCCTGCCTGTGACCCTCTCCACTTGTTTTAGCCTTCCTACACCTCCCTTCTTTCTCCATACACTTCCCCTTTTCCAGGATCTCCTACCACTACAGTTTTCCCTCGGGATTTTCATTAGGTGATAGCATTTTAAATTAATCGAGTAGCTTTCCCTTCTTTCTTTTCTTCCCTGATCAAAACTTGTTTGTCATTCCATTTCCTCAAAGCTTTTATCCTTTGTTAGGAAGGGGGAAGGAATGACTGACACCAAATAAGCTACTCACTAAACTAGACACTGTACTTATATTACCTCATGTAAGAATTCTCATACTCACCAAGAGCTCAGCATCTCCTGGGAACTTGAGAAAAAAATGCAAATTCTCAGGATCCATTCCTGACCTGTGGAATCAGAGCTCTAGGATGGGGCCAGGACTCTGTATTTTAACAAGTCTTTCAGGTGATTCTGTGCACCCCTCAAATTTGAAACCACTGATCAAACGCAATCCTCCCAACAAGATAATCATGATTTGCTTTATGCATGTAAGAAAATTGAGTCTGAGAGGTTAAGCAACTTGCTTGAAGTCATACTGTTTATAAATAGCAAGGCTGGGGATTCAGATTCAAGGCATTCTGGCCACAGTCTGGCTCAAGTCCATGCCTCCACCCATAACACCATAATGACCATGACTGAAAATGTCATCTTACTCCTAAGAGAGAATAGTTTTATCCCAGCAGCCACACAGTACTGGGGCTAGAACACAGGGTTTGGGATCACTCAAACATTCAAAGCCTGATCATGTATCTCTTAGCTATGCGACTGTGGGAAAGTCATCCTATATCTAAGACATCATTTCTTCATCCGTGTATCTTTAACTTGATTTAATTTTCATAAGCTTTAGCAACAAAGATTCCAGATAGTTCTGTCATCATTCATGCAAGAATGAGTGACATTTTAGGCAGTGACATTATCTTACCTTCACTCCTACAGGTAAACTTTTTGTTTTGAAGCTCTGGGCCTCTTTAGACTCATTCAAGTTCTATTGTCCGAGAGAGGGAGCATGACCAGCTGTTCTGTTTAAAGGAAAAGGAGAGGAAGCTATAAAATAGATATGTTATCCAACCCCCAAAGCCAGATTTAGGAACAAACAAACTCAAGTCCTTAAGGACCCAAGCTCAGTTGGAGGCAACAAGATCTCTTATCTGAAATGAGAACAAATGGAATAAATACTTTTGTGCTTAGAAACTGAAAAGGAAAATAGTCCAACTATTAGTCGAAATCAGAGAAATTGTGTGCCTGAGTCTGTAGTGGACACATACCTGAACGTAGTCTGGAAATAACAAGTCATGTTATTTCCCTGATGGCTGGTCCTGTGGAGCTTGACCCTTGCCTGGAACTGATAGACTCAAAGACTTAAGTTGTCATCTTGGGGGAATAAACAGAAGCACATTTTTCTTAGCTCAGGCCAAAGTGAAAGAAGTGTAATCTTTCTCCTTCAGTGAATCTCAATTTCCTCATCTATAAAATAGGAATAAAATGAATGATTGTTTCTAAAATGTCATTAATAACAATAACATGTATCAATTCAATTTCATTGCCAACTTCTATTAATTTTTAGTGGCAACCTTAGAGAGCTATGTTCAGAAGGATTCTGAAGCTCAGTGTCATAGTTGATTAATAATGAATGGCGCGGACATGGGGAGGCCAATGGGCTACCTTTAAGATACAATCCAAATTCCTCAATGTACCTTAAAATAAAGACCTTTGTGATAGGGACTTCTCCAGTCTCACCTCATCTCATCTCTCAATTACTCACCTCATCCCTGACCACCTAATCTGCTCTAATCAAAATAAATAATTTTCACTGTCTCAGAGATAGCATTGTAATATTGTTTCTTCAGCCTGGGATATTTTTGCTCTCTACCTTTTCTCCTCCCAAGCTTTATCATAGCCCCACACCTTCTGCCCACATGTGTACACATACACACATCCCATATTTTACAGGAAGTTATTATATCCTCCTATGATATGTTCCTTAGTATCCCATCCTAACCTGAAAATTTGATTGGGTGTGATTATCAGTTTTCTTGTCTTTCACTGGATTATAATTGCTTGCAGTCAACAGTACTGACCTAAGGAGTATTGTGTGTAAATATATAGAGAATATTTAGAAAGTGCCTGGTGTATAGCAAGCACAGCACAAATGTCAGTTATGATTGTCATTATTTGGTATTAACCTGTTATTTTGAAATCACCAAAATCTGGACAGTTTCTTAAATCTTGACCATAACAAAATAATGATATTAAATATGTGAAAAAGTCTTTAAATTTAAGTAGTAAAACCAGGAATTACAACCTCAGCACTTAATTCTTAAGTCGGAGCTCTCTCCACTGATATTATAGCTGTAATACCTGAAATACCTCCTTTCTTAAGCACTTAAACATGCAATATGGATCCCACAGTAAACTGAAACTGATTACAGCATGCTATATTACACATATACAACAAGTACAGATGATTTTATTAACATTGAAACATATTCTAACTTTGCCCACTCTAGGCTGATAGACAAAACTTGCACCTCCTATTATATACACTATAAAACTTACACATTAAAATATTAAATAATTGTGACTGGCTATGATCAATAAGTTATTTTGTCTGGCATATAATGCATTATTTATTATAACTTGCCTAATCAGCATTTTGATATTTTAAAAACACAATTTCAGAACAATATTGAATATCTAGACCTATCTATTTATTTATCCAGTTCTAAACTGTAAAGAAAGTGGTTTCAGGGGTCATGACTGAAACCTGGTCCACATTTAACTCTCTATGGCTCTCCTTGCTTTGATGCTCAAATTCAGAACACATCGAAACTCTGTACTAATAACATGTTTTCACCTCATACAATACAGGTAAAAGAGTATCAGTTGAGAAGTATGGAACGCCAAGGTCTTTACTAAGCTTAAATTCAGAATAAGATTCTCATTTTTCCCTAAACCCCTGAAAAATGACATAATTTCAGGTTCTTTGAAGAATCAGAAGTCAATATTACCTCATGTATCAACAAGTGAGTTGCTCAAATGTAGATCTACTATCGCAGATCTACAAAGATTGCAGATTGTAAAGACTGTAAGAGAATGGAAACTAATGTTGGCTGTATATAATTGATAAAGCTATGAATTTATGCACTCATAACAATATGTTTGCTTTAAGTAAGCATCTTTAGAAATAAAAGCTATTGCCATTTTGTATACGTCAAGGTGTTGGAGAGAACTACTAGTTTCAAAACAATGATGGACAACCCCATAAACCTTGGGAAGAAATTATCTTATTGATCTTTAATTGCATGCCTAGCAAAGGAAGAAACACAGACAAAGCAGGCCCTCTGGAAACATCTGTTGAGTTGATCTGAGCTGAAACAGAACTGTCATCATAGAGGATATCTGATTCTTCACAAGTTTAGTCAATTTCAATCAAATATATATATTTCATTTCAAAACATCTCTCAAGCTTGTTTAGTGTCATATACAGCTACATCTTATTTAGGGAATTGCTTTCCATTTGAAAATCCAAGCCTGAATCCAAAGTTCATAATTTCATGTGAGTTTTCCTTAAAACAGCATAAAATGAACCAGAACTCATTGGCAACTAAGGAACGTAAGCAGAATTCAACTCTCAGAATAATTTTATTTGTAAAGGAAAATGCCTCTGCATCTGTACATTATTAAAGCAAATATTGTCAGGTAAATAAGCAATGAGGAGGGAATATTGATATTGTTCATGGCACCCCAGGAAGACAGAATATAGAAGGAGAAGGATTGAATGAGTTTACCTCCTCAGAACCCTGCATATTATATTGACACCAGCTTAGTGAACAAGAGGACAAAAAAGAACAAAAGAGCTGTTTATTAAAAAGGATCTGTGAGCCTGCAGTACCCTGCAGATCCTACAGAATCTACTTGAAAAGGTGCCAAGTAGTGAGTCTGTCACCACACACACTCCAACGACATATGGCCAATAGGTTGTTGGTAAATATTTAATACACTGAAACTAGAGACTCTAATGCCAAACCACTAGGGTTACAAAGGAAAGCCATCACGACAAAGCCCAGGCCTGCTGGTGACAGTGGTGCTGTATTACTGAGCTCTGATCTGCAGACTAAAATTAAAACTCACTCCATTCACATAACACAACTCCCTGCAGGAGACCTTGGTAGATCTTCTCTTTAGTTAAAACTGTCTTCTACGGTTCGGCAGCTTTAGCACAGAGGGAAATTATATTGTTGGACCTTCACATCTATCTTACATACTCTACAGTGACTGAAGTTACTTTTTGGCCTTGGGTTTCCCAAATCCCCAATGCAATAGTGGTGTTTACTTTTTGTCAAACTTGTCATGCTGTCCTTATTCTGATAATGTGGGATATTTTCCGTGTTAGCTAATCCAACGTGAGGGAAACAAGATATCTGATTAGATATATACATATCTATAGATTTTTTTTAAATCAGAGGTCTGAATTTTGGTTGATAACCATAACCCAATTGTTGCATAGTCCTGAAGAAGTTTCAGAGTATTCAACAATCCACCAAATAGGAGCATTCATTCCTACTTCCTACCACCCAATACTGTTGACTCATCCCAAAAATTCAGGTCATCAGGAAAATAACTGGAGAGGAGAAATGTTAATAATATTACTGGCTCCTATTTTTTTGACTGCCTGTTTGCACCAGATCCTGTGCTAAATGTGGTTTGTACATTATTTCCTTTCATCTTCACCATAACCTTGTACAGTAGGTATTATTATCTATGTTTTGTTGAAGAGAAACTGAGACTCAGAAAAAGTCATCTGTCTCAGAGGGATAAGCCCAGAATTAGAATATAGGTGCCTATGATGTAAAACATGTGCTGTTTGTCACCAAACTATGATAACAGTTCTCTGAAAAGTCCTTCTAGGGGAAGGGTCCTATGGGACCAGGCAGGTAATACAGTGAGAAGTGGGATGAGAGTAAGACAGAGGTATATCTATAAAAAACTATTTTTCTCTGTTCTAATTCTAAAGGGGAAAAAGATTAATTGCAATTGACACTTTGTCTTTATATCAGGGATACCTCAAAGGGGAGAAAAGTTTAGAAGTTAATGAAGGGATACCTCATACCAGTAATGAACTTTGGCTGTCCTGGAGGGACTGGTCTGCACTTGATGTTGGAGGACTGTGCTGCACACGTCATCATCTTGCTTTAAGGAACATTTCCCAAGAAGATCACTATAAAGGGGCGATGATGCAGCACATGAAATCTTTCTTCAGATTCAACCTTCCCTTGTTTATTGGGTACCAAATATTTGTAAGACACATATAAATGCATGAAGCTGTTAGTGGATCATACTATAGTCTTACATTTTAATGGAAATTTTAATTTAATATTTTCATAAGCATTTTCACATACATGTTTCAAAACTTATTATTAAATACCTATAAAATATCTCGTCAGCCTAGGACCACCTAAATGGATGAAGGCCATTACTAATTATATGTGCCCATCCTAGTGTTTGGCCTTGGCATCTGTTCGGATCTTATTGTAAGGCATACTATTCTCCCCACCCCCAATACACACATGTTAATACACTTATGCCTGAACTAGTCACCCCTGGTCAATGCAGCGGTCTTTAGGACATAATTTGATTTACAGTCTCAACATTTTCACTGGGATTATAGATCCTCAAAAACCAGAGTGTCTGCCTGAAGGTCAGGTGACCAAGTCTGTGTTGCATTACTCATTGTCAAAATTGCAGCCAAACGAGGAACATATGTAAAATTTATAGACATTCTGGCATCACTCTTAATTAGTAACCACGATCTGAGCATTTGTTATTTAAGCTCATTTAATTCCAGCCAGATTACAGTGTGTTGCAATGCAAGCTGCCTTCTGCATCATGCAATGTTCCATTAGCAGGCTTCAGGGAAGCATGAAAAGTCACATTCAATCAGTTCTCAGAGCATACTGTCCTGAGCTGTGGAGGCTATGTGAGCTACCACGGGCCACAGCTCTGGCATGTGGACCACCAGGTGGCACTATCAGTGAGGGGCTACTGGCCGGCACACTGCAGTGACTGCCACAGGCCTTTTTAATTTTCTACCATATGTTACATAATAAACATTATTTAGGAACCATGCGTTTGTGAGTGTGTGTACTCATTCACCCATGTGAGTAGGGAGAAAGAAATATTTTTTTTTTCCAATGTAGATGGTGTGGTCCGGAAATGCCATTGTTGACCTGGGTGGAGAGTGGGATGCTTAATGAAGATTAATGGATTTTTAAAAATGAAAACAAGTGTCAAGTTATGGGTTCAAAGGTTCTCAGTTGGCCATGTGGTTGCATGTCAGAGGGCTTCATGTACTGTGGTCGAAGTGTTACAGCTCTTTCTAATAAAACCTAAAACTTTTGAATGCAGAATCTGGCAGGGTTTGTCTCTCCACAAACACGCAGGGCAGTTTGTGCCAGTATGTGCAGAAAAGCGAGCAGAAGGGATCAGGGAAGAGAAAGATGTTCAGTAAACGAATGCGCTCTCTCTCTCTCTCCTCTCTTCTCCTTTCTTCTCAGGGGGAAAGGAGGTTATTTAAGGACCTTTTGCCTATAGGGGAGGACTGGCGGGAAGGTACGTGTTTTCGACTAGAAGGAAATAAAAGGAAAACACTGGGGGAGAGTGGGGTGGAGCCCAAGGGAAAACGATGAGTCATCGAAATGTGGTCAGGAACAGTGCAGTCATCCAGTCCATCTCAGCTCTCACCTGGGATTCTAGTCCTGATTCCCCTCCTGTCAGATATGGGCCAGGACTGTATTTCCCTGGATCTCATTTTCTTCACTGGTCCTATAAGGAATTGAATGACATGACCCTACAGATCTCTTCCCAATTTCAGTATTCCATTATTATTTTATGTGATGAAGTCTAACTTCTCTGCAATTCTTATTGTTTGAAATAAACCCCTGTTTATTTAGAGAAATTTCCTCTATTTTAAAGCATAAGCAGAAATATGTTTAGCAACAACTAATCTTTTAATAAAAAGCTTTGTTATTGAACGTAAAACTTCTTTCAATGGATCAATGTGTGTTTAGGACCTTTCCTGGGCTCAGTCCTCTGGTGAGAGCTGCTGGAGATATGAGACGTAAGAAGTAACTCCTGCCCCCAAGGCGTTGGCAGGTCAGTGGAGAGAAGACACAAATACACATGAAGCAATGAGTAAATGGGACAGCATGGGATACAGTGGCACACTATGAGGGGTCCTTGAGGGGAAGAATCTTAGATAGATCTTGGAGGATACAGAATGATACTGAGCTTTGCAAAACAACCACAAAAGGGTAAAGGCAGGGGATTTCCTAAACAAAGAAGAGGAAGTCATTTATAATTTACAGGATGTATCCAAGCAGGGAAAGGTGCAGAAGGGATGGAGCAATAGCAAGGGCATGGCCTAGACTATGGAGAAGTAGTCATGGAATGAAGCAGTGGAAAATATGAGAACAATACAGAATCAAAAGACCTTAAAGGCCGGCAAAATTTAAAATATATACTATATCTATCTATCCATTAGATCTATGCTAGCTTTTGAACATAGCCTTTAATCATACTATAGTCTTACATTGTATTAGGCATTTTAATTTAATATTTTCATAAACATTTTTATTTCATATGCTTCATAAACTCATTAAATACCTATAAAATAGCTGATCAGCCTAGGACCACCTAAGTTTGAATCTTTGCCTTACCATGTGCTATTTGGGGCTGTCCTTAGACAAGTTTTTAGCCTCTCTTTGCCTCAGTTTCCTCATCTGTAAAATTAGAATATTAATAAAATTTCCATTAAAGTTATATGCATTAAGGTATCAAAAGTGTCTAGAGCAGTATCTGGCACAGGGTTAGCATTCAATAAATGTTAGCGCTTAAGTAGATTTACCATAATTTATTTAATCATTATCAAGTTTTAGGAACTTACATTATTTTCAATCTTTCACTATTGAAAGAGACATCACTGTGCACCTCTTTGTGCAAAAAGCTTTTTTGTTATTTAGAATTAGATACTTCTTTAGAAGAAAAGTTCCCAGAATTGGAATTAACAGAGTCAAAGGGTGTGAATATTTGAAGATGTTTGTAACATATTGCCAAAGTAGCTCCCCAATGGACTGTACAGCCTTGCCTGCATGAGATAGGGCCTCCTTTAAAGAGAAATAGAAAAGTCCCCAATTTGATAGAGAGGATTGGTATATCAGTGATGTCAGTTTGATTTGTATTTCCTTAATTATTAGTGAAAACCAACATCCTCCCATCTTTGTAAACAAACAACATTTTCACTTTTGTGAATTATCTTTCAGAATTTTTGCTTATGTGTCTGTTGAGGTCTTGATCACTTTAACACTGCTTCCTCTTGGCATTACGTATTCAGTTTGTACTTGGATGATATTTAACAGGCACTGATACATTCCTCCGTAGTTGTCCTCGTGTCATTTAATCCATATGTGTTTCCTTTTCAGTATAACAAGAACATTATCTCATTCCTTAGCATCCATTTCTGACAATTCTTAGTACCTGAACAAATGCTTTGTATACAGTAGGTATTCAATAAATACCTGATGAGCCAACAGAAGAATGCCATTTTCTTCACCACTTTAATCAACAGTTTTCTATAATTTTAAATTCAGATTATCTATCTATCTATCTATCTATCTATCTATCTATCTATCTATCTATATTTGTAATGCTCAGCACGTGACTCTCAACTATACTCACATACTTTTATTAGAGAAAATGCCAAACTTATGCCTTTTTACAGACTGCATTATTGAAGCTTTGTCAAGGAAGAATAGTATTCATTGATAAATCCCAATAGTATAATCAGATGATCTTGAACCAGGGAACCATTTCCTCAATCCAAAATCTGAACTCTGTTTTTCAACAAGATCTCAGGCCTGGAAAAAGGGAGAAAGGAGAACGCACTGTTTTCCCCTCATACTTTTTGGCCATGGAAGTTTTGATGGATAGCAGAGGAGTAATGAAGTGCATATTCTCCTGGACAGTCTGACGTCAGCAGGGAAAGCAGAGTGGCCTATATTTCAAGAAGTGAAACGTTGACGAGGGCCAAACTGCAAGCTCTCAGCACTCAGGTCATTTAATTAGCATTTGTTATTTTTATACATTGGTAGTTATGGATGTCAATGGCATTTTAATATCCTAGAATGGTCATAGCACCAGTACACTCACTCCCACTAATATTTCATGGCTCATGGATCATTTCTAAATCAAGAGCCTGGTTGGTAATACATTTTAACACTTTCTATAACAGAGCTAGAAGGAAGCAAAAAGTGATACTCTCTCCTGAGTACACAACATACTCTCTCCCACTTAGTTTATGATAACCAACATTATTTTTCATTTATTTTTGTGAGATTTATAGGGCGTATTTGCTCCAGAGGATTCTGTTCAGAATTACAAGTAGTTAGGTGATTTGCTTGCATGCTATTAATTTTTACTTACTCTGTTATAGTTTTAACATATGTTAGACTCAGGAACTGATGCATCATACCCCTCTTAAAGACCCAAACCAAATATTAAGCCTCTCTGTGAAGTCTTTATTTTATGACCAATACCTTCTTAAAAGCAGAATTAATATAAATTGAGCTCTCTTTCCCCACTCTATCATATTGTTACATGATATGTAGCAACATAATATAATTAAGGGAGCTTAGTTTATATTAATTCTCCCTGTTGTGTAGAAGACATCTCTTGAATGGTCTGCTCAACTCCTTACTATGTTAACCAACATCTTAGAGAGCAACAGATCACAGGGTAAGATGGTGAAAGCCACGTTTTACATTGTAGCCCACCCCTATCTACTGCTAATTGGCTCAGAAGTAGCTACCTGACAAGTTAGACCAAGCAGAATCTTTCCTAAAAATTTGAAATTAGGAGCGAGGGTATGGGGGGTGCTTTTTCACCTTTTAGCTAGGATCAAGTGGACAGAGAGGACAGAAGAGGGAAAAACTATGAAAGATGAAGAGGTGGAAGACTGAAGAATGGAAAGGAGAGATTCAGAAGTCCAGTAAGAAATTTGACTGTAATTGATATACAATAAAAAGTGGTGTGATATGGCTACCCCTGTTCAGCCACAGGTATCGGAGGGGCACAGGTGCCATGTGTCCAGGAAGAGCAGAAGAAGCAGACAGGTAGGGAGGAGCAGAATCCAAGGTGGAGAGAGGTTTAATGGCTCTCTAGATCTTGTCTCCAATCTCCTCTCTAGTCCCAGTTATGTTCTTTTCTGCTTGTAATACATGCCCTGTTTTAAACTTAGATCAGATTATTAAATTGGTTTCCAACACTTTTGACTACAGCATCTCAATATTATAATTGTAAATGTCTCCCTAGTTCGACTATGAGTTTCTTAAGGGAAGGGACTCTACTTTATCTGTCTTGATTATATCCTAAAATGTCTAAAGGAGTACCTGGCAATAGTATATGCTCAATTAATATTGGTCAAAAATATTGAATCACTGAATCATTCAACACACACCCAGGAATAACACATGAAAAAGACCCATTGTGAATATTTTGGGATAAATTTAGCAAGTATTTTAACAATTACCACTTCAGCTTGGGACTTAGTATATGCCACCCACCTTTGAATGAGATAGAGACTAGATAATTTCAGATTATTTCAAAGTTTCTTTCTGGCAAAAAGGAAATAATGAGCCACAGTATCACAGTTTTTACTTTTCTCAAAATGTTCCAGTCTAGTGTAAAATATTTTGAACCTAAATATAATTTTTTTAAAGTAAGGCCTTAAAATTTTCTAATTCATAATAGGTGGATAGCTATTCATTTATTCTGTGAACATATGCTGAGCCCCTTATACTAGGTACTATGTCAGGTACCAAATTGGAAAGGAAAGAGAGTGAGAGTCTCTCATCTTGAATCTGTCTAGGGAGAAAGATAGTTATCAAAATACATGATTGTACTATTTGACATGGTTCTAGAGTGGAGGTCTCTATGAAACATAATGGAAATCAGGACTCAGTGGGGGAAAGATAGGAAAGCCCTCCCAAAGCAAACAAGTTCTGAACCGGATACTAAATGATAAATAGTAGTTAGCACATTACAGCAAATAAAAATTATTTATATTAAGTTGTACAAAGTAGAATATAAAATAGCAAGGGTTGGGAAGTTGTTTGGGTCAGATTGTGAAGGCCCTATTAGAAGCTATACCTAGGAGTTCAGATGTTCTTGATGACAAAAAAGTTGAGAGTATAAGACTATCACACATGTGTTTAAGTAATTATTTAATAGATACCATTACTGAGAATTTAGTAAGTGACAGATACTGTGGTAAATATTTTGTAGATGTGATACTATGAATCTACAGGGAGAAATATAACTTTTGTAGACCTCTAAGTGGTATTATGTGAAATTGTATGCATAACAAGAATATGTTAGCTATCCCCCAAATGTTATTTCCCTTTTCCTTGATTGTAACCTTAGAACCAATCCACTAAATAGCAAGCTCTTTGAGAGTGAGTGCTATGTTTTATTTTTCTTGGAACTGAAGGTACACAGTAGGAGAGTAATAAAAGTTTTGATGAATAAATGGATTAACAAATTATATAATCACTAGTGAGTTGGGGAGGCACACTGGAGAATGATCTTATTTAGAGTCAGAAAATTCTCACATCTGACTTAAAGCTCTCTCTTGTATCTTTTGCAATAATCCTTTATTCCTCTCCAAAAGACACTGCCATAATGATAACAGCAATAAAGTATAAAAGAAGGGGCAGCTATTATGGGTCATCAGTGACCTTGGCCATGATAGTGACCACTCTGGAAGTATTCCTTCATTCATAGGAGTCTGCTTACCACGGGTGTGGGAAAATTTAATAGTGTGAAATGTAAGGTATGGTATAAATGATAACAACAGTATGAAATGATAAACATTGAGTTAAAATAGACAGAATCATTATTAACCCAGGGCATTGAATGATGCAAAAATAGAAGGAAATAATCAGGAGAAATAGGAGGAAATAGGAGGAAATTATCAGGAGAAAACAAGATTTTAGGCATTTCTCAAATCTTCCACTACCTGTGTCTTTTCCTTCCTCCCCAACTACAAGATTTCACCAGTTCAGATTCCATGTTCAGGAATGAGACTTAACTAATACAAATTTTTCTACAAAATGCATACAGTAATGCTTTTTGGGAGAAAAGTCAAGATTAAAATAACATAGCTGTTGTACCTCTTCAACCCAACCATCTTCAATCAATACTTAGGACTTATGGATGACCACTGGCTGTGAGCAGAAAGTATTCTCTCCCCACAGGCCTGGCATATTGGGTCAGGTGCACCAGAGGAGGAAAGATTCATCTTCTTTGGAAACATCTAAAATAGGCACTTGCCAGAGGCAGGGAACCAGGATGCAAGGCCCACTGGCCTCTGAAATATTTTGAGAACTGATAGAAAATGTGTTTGCAAATGTGACATTCACCTAACTTTCAAAAGAATCTAGAAGACCACACTGAGGTTATACAGAAAACTGAGGAACCATCTGATAGAGGCAACAGTACTTTCTGCTCATCCTTGAAACCAAAAGATCTAGAGTTCAGGCCCAGAGCCGCCACTTATTTACCAGGTGTCCCTAAGCAAGTCACTTAGGGTTTCCGGGGCTCTGTTACGTCTTGTGCAAAATAAAGGTGTTGGAGTGAACGTTGGGTGTTGGGATAAGGGACAGGAGTGGACTCTGGCTAAATTAAGTTTAAAATAAATGTATTAGAAGGATTTGGGTTGCTCACAGAATTGAAGGAAGGCCTGGATAACCAGGCCAGGAAAGGACAGGGACCAGAGATGCCCTGTGGACCCCAGGAGCAGGAACTCCTGCAGAGCCTAACCAAGATGACCATGCCAGAGAGAATGAGCATCAACTTTTCTCTTCTTTTTTTTCTGTCTTTTTATCACATTATACAAAGCCTAGAGGGAGAGAGCCCACTGACCTGGTTTCTGACTCTACCTGTCTATTGGCTAAGCAGGAGCAAAAGAAGTGCCCAATAAATCCAGTTAAAGCTGCATGTGATTGGGGAGGGATTATTCCCCAAAATGAAGTATGGCCGAAGCCGAAAGAAGATAGGATGAGCTCCGAGTTGCTGAAAATCCATGTGTCCAGTTCAGTGGGCATTAGATTCCTATAGAGCAGTAACATCCAGGGATTTCATTTAAATTTTATTATATCATAAAAGAATATTGATACATAAGTGAAGGTAATCAACAACACAAGGGAGGTATATATTTAAAGGAAAATGGTGGCTTTTCCAAAGAGTCTGATTTAGAAAGTCTTGGATGGGCCCATGAATGCGTATTTTCAGAATGTTCCCAAGCGGGTTCTGATGCCAGGTCAGATTTGAAAGTTACCACTCTCCTTTCAATGTATTGAGCTAGAAATTACACACACACACACACACACACACACACACACACACACACACAAATTTTCCCTTCCAAGAGTGCTTTCACATATTATCTAATGACAGCCAGAGTAACAGCCATACAGCCTAACATCACAGTTCCCTAACCTCCTCTACCTTATACTCTAGGCCTGGAGGGCAAGAGAGCACGCTATTGCACAGTACAGTTTAGCCCAAGGAAAAGCAGCAAATACTCTCCCACTCTCCTTTATTAGAAACACTCAATTTAGCAATCCTCCTCCCTCCTGCTGTGCTCACTGCTCCTCCTCCCCACCTCATACGCCATATGCTTTTAATCATGCCCCCACGGTTTCTCTTCCTGCAATGTCCCGGGCAAATTAAACTTGAAAAACAGAAATCTGAGAACTTGGAGCAAACATGGAAACTCGTGACAATGGTGGGAATCAGCAACCAGGCTGAAATCTCTAGCCTACAAGCGAGGAGATAGTTTTGGCCCTTAGCATAGCTAAACCCATAGTATACAGACTCCCCATGAGAGGGTTTAATTGTACTTCTTGTGACTTCCCTTAAAGATTTTCTTCATGGGCCTCTGAAAGTTCATTCTAAAAGGTCCTCTTAGATCCTTACTCAAAATTTCACAATCTCATTTTTGTATTTTTTTCCTTGCAGTTCCATTTAACTATATTTTAGGGGGTCTATGAAATCTCTGACAATGCCCCCAGAATATTGAATGATGTAATCATGTGTATTTTTCTGGGGATTTTCACAAAGATTTATCCACTTCAGAAAACACAAAATCCACTCATCTTAAAGGCTATAAATTAATGACTAAAGTGTTTAAATCTATAGGTCAGAGAAATCTGCTGCAAATCCTTTCTTCATCACTTCCAAGATATGAGACCCTAGACAAGTTACTTCTAAATCTGTGTGCTTAGTCATTTGGCAATAAGAACATCTGGTTCATCACATTGTCTTACAAATTAGATGAATTAAAAATACAAGTTATCACACAGAACCTGCTACTCCATGAATATTGGATTTTAATATTATTATTAATATTACACATTATTATTATTATTGGCAGATGCAGAATCTGAAAGCCACAGAAGTCCAATATCATCAGGTGCTCACAAAAAAAGAACGTGAAAGCAGGTCTTTCAATTTCCAGGGAGATTCACCACTGGGAACAGATTCCAAATTATTTTGGATTTATCTGGATCCTCTGGCCCAAGAAGGGGAAAATGTTATTATATTAGAACCAGGTTTGCAACATGGCAAACATCAAATCTGACAGGCTTTGCTTCTGTTAAGGATGAATTAAACTAAAAATCTAACTAATGAAATTTACAGCTTCACAAAGATTCATGGGACCTTGGGAATCATTAATCCCAAGCATTTCATTCCTGGGTGGAAAACCGAGGTTCAAATTGGTCAGGTAACTAAACACAACAGAAGTCAATTTGAAAGTAAGCCACAGGGCCAGTTTATTATGGGCTAAAAGTTAATTCTGCATCCTCATTGCATTGCCTAAAATTATACCTGAGAGTCATAAGAATTGGATTTTAATTTTCGGCTGTAATATACATACTAAATGTTTATTCTCAGAGTATTTAGCAAGTACCAATTAGGTGTAAGGCATTGTAAGCTTCAGGGAATTCAGCAGTGAGTAAAACAGATCAGATCTCTGACCTTACAGAGCTTACATTCTAGAAAAGAAGATATATACACTAAACAACAAGTTACAATTGATTACAATTGTGCATAACAACTCCGTGGGTCTAAACACGCCTGCCTCACACATAGGGCTACCATGATTACAGTGTGAACAAATACCTGTTGGGCACAGAATAGAGTGAGTGCTTCACACTCATTAGCTATTATATCATCATATCAGCTTCCCCATTCCCTACATTGTTTGCCAGATACCGCTTTGTGTGTAAAATACAAGTCAAGAAATTTCATCTCACAAAGTGCGTTGAGTTTTGACTCCAGTTTGGTGGAGGTCACCATGATTTTTTTCATGGACACCGCTGAAACACTTTCATGTTTTAGAATACTTTAGTGATCTTCTCCAGGTTTTATTCATTTTTCCCCCAGTTCTGAGAAAGCCTTTGACAGGTAAAATCATGAGTGACTTAAAATGAAATCACTTTTTTAAAAATTTAAACACAAAAAGATGTTTCTTTTTCTTCACCATTTAAAGAGGTGGGGCATAGAGCGATGTTCCGGGAGGTTCTTTTCTTCATGCTGACCTAAAAGGCCAGGACTCTGTGAAGTTAAATTGTATCCTCACTGTATCTCTAGCAGCCAGGTTGAAGCCCAGCCATCCCTGGCTTTACTCACCTTTAACCATCTCCCAGCCTCTCCTTTTTTCTCTCTGCTCCACACTGACACCACATATTCTTCCAATTCTTCTTTTGTGAAATCCCTGCCCCATGCCAGCCCCCGAGTTATCTCCTTATTATTGAAGGATCAAGTTGAACTTCTACTGACTTTCTAATCCCAGCTCTGCCTTGGACTCACTGTGTGGCCTTGGGCGAGCTCCTAATTGTTCTAAGCCTATTTTCTATGCATGTAAAAGGGGCAAATACCAAGAGTGGGTGATTGCAGGATTAAATGAAATGCCATGAATTAGCTCCCAAGGCCACATTCAGTAGGTGTTCAAAAATGTTATGTCCCTTTTCTTCCTCTAACAGGAAACCTAGCCAATGACTGGGGTTTTCTGAGGGTGTTCTGTGGAGCCCTGGCTTTCTGCGGAGGGGCCTCAGGATTACCAAGCCCAGTGAGAGGAGAGACAGACAGCCAGATACTGAACCTGCAGCCCTGCTGCATCTAGAGCAACTTCTTATACATCTGCTCTGTGTATTGGGATTCTGAAAGCATTTTGTTTTAAAAAATAATTTTAGATAAGAATGAGTTGAAAAGTGGGAAAGTTAGACAACTGTAAATTTAGAAGGAAGAGTTCACAAAAGACTCCACTCACTTCTGACACCAACTGCAAGTCCATTGGGTTCTCAAAACCACCCTCAAATACAACAATTCACTAGAAGGACTCAGAACACACTGAAAGAAATTATATTCACAGTTACAGTTTGTTACTGATAGAGGATAAAGATTGAGATCAGCCAAGGTAATAGGCACATAGCACATAGGGCAGAGTCCAGAAGGGTGTCAAACATGTAGCTTGAAGTTGTCCTCTTCCTGTGGAATCAGAGACATGTTATTCTTTTGATTTCACTGTGTGACAGTACTCCCAGAGTACTGCCATCTAGAGTAGCTTACTCGAGCCTTGGTGTCCAGAGTTTTTAGTGGGGCTTCATCACACAGTCATGATTGACTATGCACATGGAGCTGATCTCAGTCTCCAGGCCCTGTGAAGTTGGATTAATATTGTGTGACCCCAAACCCACACCCTAAATCTATTGTTACTGTCTGGTATGGGCAACCACCCCCTAAATCACTTTGTTAGATTACCTAGTATGACCTAAGGCCCTGAGGCAAAGACACTCCTATCAAGCATGACATTTCACATGCCTAGAGATTACCTCCCAGAAGCCAAGGGCAAACATCAGAACTCCTTTGAGCCAGGTTAAATTCTTTACTATACAAAAAGCTACTCTCAAATGCACCCTATCTATTCTAAATAAGTCTGTCAAGATCTGCCTCACCTTGATTTTTTATTCCTTCCCCACCGAGAATTCCCTATCACCTTCATTCTGTTTACCCCCAGATCAAGGCCTATCTCAAGTCATACCACTGCCATCAAAGCCCTCCTTGACCACACTGGTCCATGTTGACCCTTCGTTTTTCTTATTTCCAGGAATGCATTTTATCTATGTACTTTCTAACTCTTCAGTTCAACAAACATTTATTATTTGTATAGTGATCTAGAAAAAAGGAGAGACGGAAATCACCAACACATTGATCACTGATTTAAAAAAGTTTCACATCTAGTAGGACAGGCAGGTTATTTTCATTTGCTTATTTAATAAATATTTATTGAATATCTACTCAGTACCAGGACCTAAACTTGTTTAACTAAGTGAAGTAACTAGTTAAATAAGTGAATGAAACCTAAATACAAGAATATATAGTTATCTATAATTACAAACAGAAAAATATAAGACCCAATGAGAGAAGATGAGAATGACAAGATCTGATTCTTGTAGGTCTCAGTAACACATTATTTCATGAATGGTGAAACATTTACCCTAAGATGATTTTTAAAGTTAGTAGTTTTGTATTTATTTTAATGAACCTCTTAGAACAACATTATGTGACCAATATACTACAACCTGGGATTTCAGTTATTATTGTTTAAAACAAGGCAAATTATAAAGAGTAATTTTTGATTATTTAACAACTACTATGGCCATATTGCTGCATACCAGCTGAATCATAGATAACCTGCAGCTATGACTAAAGTCATGTAATCAGGATTAGAATAGCTGAAGTTTGGGAATTGCTACATTGGTAAAGGGAATGACATGCTCGGATATGGCTTTCAGTAAAGTCTCCAGGGAACTGCCATAAAAAAAATGGATCAAATTGGGATAAGCCAGTAGCTAGGGAGACCAGTGAAGATGCTATTGGAACAGTTCTGGTCAGAAATGAGTAAGATACAAATCAGAGCAGAGGAGTGGGGTTGGAGAGGAGGGGATAGATTTTTAACAGTCTTTAGGACTTTGAGGATGGACCAGAAGTAGGAGTTAAGAAAGAAGGGAAAATCTAGGATGACACCTGGATTTCTAGCTCATAAAACTCAAAAGATTATGGTGGCGACCAAGGAAACGTGAAAAGAGAAACAGGTTTGGAGGGGAATCAATTGAGTTTTTTAACAAGGTAATATGAGTCTTCACTATATTTAAATGTATGAAACTATCTCATTGTTTCATATGTATAAATTATATCTCTTCAATTAAAATTTAATCAAAAACAATAAATAATTTTTATTGTGGTACCCTTTTTTCATAAAAAATAAGAAATGATATTCCTTTTTTATATTTCCCAGGACATGTTTAGTGGAAGAACATCATCTTTTTATTGGAAGGCTTTTAGAGTCATTCCCAAATAGCTGTGTGATCTAGACAAAGTTGCTTAACCTCCCTCAATCTCAGTTCCACATCTCCAAAATGGGATAATAACATTAATAACTGCCACCACATTGTAAAGAGCTGCGCAAGTTTTAGTTAGGAGGGGGATGGGAGGTGGTCTTGTGTTGAATAAGAATTCCTTCTTAATTGGTTTGAATCTCTTTTCAAAATATCAGTAGTGAGAAACTATCTGCGAGGAGGCCTTGTTCAGTAACCACATGTATAATATTTTTCTTCCAATATAACTTTCAAAGAGCAAGGCTGTCTGATGACTGTATCTAGACTTCAAAATGAAATAGATATTTTCCTCTCTAGCCCCATGTTTCCTTCATCCTTGAGATAAACAAAGCTCCACACCTCAAATTCACTTGCATGGTCGATAGGGCTTTCTCCCTTTCTTTTCCCTCACCCACTTGCCTCAGTCTTCTCAGGCTATACCCAAGCCTAGTTGTGATATGTATTGTATATTTTAATGCCTAACTGCTCGGTAATTCTCTAATGTACAAAAAGGTTAGGCTCTCCAAGTGGAAAATGAAATCCACCAGGGTATAACTTAACAGTGTGTTTCCAACATGGGAAAAATGTCAATAAAAGGCTTCCCAGAGCTTCTACAAGAAGACAGAAGGAAAAGATCAGACTACAAAGAGAGAAGAACAAGAAGACTTCAAATACCTCAGTGCTGAAGAACACAAGTGATTTCTAGTTGCCAGGTACGTTGCACTGGAATTCTTTCACTTGACCCACCAGATCCATGGTCCATCCTCCTACATCTGACCTTGGTAGATTATATTAACAGGCACTCTCACCCTCTGGCTTCCTTTTTGATCCAGCCAATGGTAAACCTGAGCAGGAGATTGGAGGGAAAGAGAAGATTACTATGGTATGGTATTCTTTCAGCTTTCTCTCTGGGGAGGCAGGGAGAGTGGGGACAGCAGTCAAAGTGGCTGAATATCCTATCAAGTGCTCCTTTCTAAAACATTCTCCTCTGCCAGTTTCTATTAATCACTCTCTCCCCTTTCCTCTTCAGGCCTAGGGGTGGTAGATGTGCTTTCTGTGTCCTGCTATTGAGTAGTAAGTAGTATTTCTTGGGGCAAAGCCCTCATTCCTCATCTTTCTTTGCTGCATCCTTCAGTCACTTACCTACTTCAGCTACCTTTGCTCTGTAGATAACTCCAAAATCCTTGTCTCTAGCCAAAAATTATCTCTCTTAACATATTCATCATTCCTTTATTACTCTCTCAACAATTTTGAGTATCTACTATGTATTAGGTTTTCCATAACACACAGGTAAATAGCAACATCAGCCTTAATAATGGCTCACAATTATGTAGTATGTTTATATGGCAAACACTGTTCAAGGGCTTTACATACATAACTCATTTAATCTTCATACAACACTGTAAGTTAGGGTTGTTATAGTTCCCATTTAAAGGTAAATGAACAAGCACAGAAAAATTCAGCAATCACCAGAAGCGACACAGTTAGTAGGAAATAGATCCAGCATTTGAACACAGATATACTGGCTCTAGAATGTAAGCTCCTTAACCATTATGTTATACTGTCAGTGTCACACTTCTGGGGTAGTCCCCATCTATCTCATGCCAGAAACTATGGTTTTAAACTTTCTATGAGGTATATTCACAGTGCACCAGAATCTAGAGGCTCTCACTTCCTTTTTAGAGCTGTCTAGAAGCAAAAATATCTGAATTAAGCTTAAATGTAAGAGTTTGCATGTATAGTTTTTTTTTTCTAAAGTCATTGGTAATAAGTATTACTAATGTGGATCAAACCCAGTCTCTAAACCTCAGAAAATAGTATCTGGACAGAGAAATCAGACATTAAGACAGAGAGGTATGATAGAAGGAATCCACCTCTTCCCACCCTGGAAGGCAATTTGCACAATGTCTAAAAGGCTGTAAAAATATGCACATTGTCTGATTTGGCAATTCAATTCTAGAAATATATTCTGAAGAAATAATCAGAGAAGTACAGAAATATTGATAAAAAGCATGTTCATCTGGAGCATGAATTATAAGAATGTCAAACTTGAAATAACTGAAACATGTAGCAAAAGAAAACTTCTTATCCATGGAATGTACATTAAACAGTGACTAAGAATGAGTATATGTATATGTTCAGAGAGAAAATGCTCATAATTTGTTTATTTTTTAAAGTAGTTTAAAAAGAGTACATATTGTGTAATCACTTTTTTTTGTTTAAAGAATTACGCATATGTGTAAGATAATTTTAAGAACCTGGAAGCATATATACCATGTTGTTCTCTCCAGATTGTAGAGTTGTGGATGGATGATTTGTATACTCTTGTGTATTCTTATTGCTACTTCCAATGTTATCTCAATTAACAATTTTTTATAAAAAGTCGCTAGTTTCTTTAATAAATGGCATATTAAATTTTCTTCCACAGAAGCCAAATCAGAAGTGGGTATGTTAGTATTTATTTGCTAGAACATGATTATTTCCAAGAATCATGATTCTGCAGAAATCAAATACAAGTCTATTTATTGTAAATTTACAGCCACCAATTCCATGATAGATTTCTTTTCTATTTAAATTGTCAGAGTCTAATTTACAGGTAACTCTTCTTGCCTTGTTCCTTAATTAAAATTTGATAAAGGAAGGCAGACTGTTCCCTGATTGGATGGATGATGAAAGAAACAAGCATACACAAATAAATAAATAAAAACAATGGGAATACAGATCCCTGTTCTGCTGTTTGCTGGATAAATGATCTCAGAAGAAGTTAATCTTTCCTCATCTCAAGTTAGTTTCCCTATATGTGGGGATAAAAAATAACAAATAATTCAAATAAACTTAATGAGAGTTTAATAAGATGTATGGAAGAGGCATTCTGTAAATCGAAAGTGTTACGTAAATGTTAATCAGGGATAGGTGATAGTATTTTCTGTTTTTCTGTCACTAACTCATTGTGAGACCTTGAGCAAGTCACTTAATCTCAATGACTGTCAAGTCCTTCATCCTTAAAATGAAGAAATGAATGGTGCTAGTGACCTCTCGAGTTGTTTTTGACTCTGTCATTCTATTATTTTGTGACTCTACTGGGCTGTTTATGGGTCATGACAGATGTTTGCAGAGCCCTGGAAAATGATATAAACATTGAAATCATTGAGTTTGGCAGGAAACACAAGGCTGTCTTCAGTGCTGATGTGGTGATGGGTAGGATGGCTTTAGAAGAAATGCTCAGTCCTGGTTCCTCTGAATCATTTTCTCTCCAAGTGAGGACAAAGATGAAGAGTGAAGAGATTCTGCAGCAACTGTATACATGGAAACTGACCCAGAATACTTTCCCAAGGAGCCTCTTGGGAGCAATGCCCAGAGGACAATCTCTGTCCCCCTGGAGGTCTGCCGCTGCCTTCCCAAAATGCTCTGGCTGACTCTCCTGCACTGCCTGTCTTGGAAAGCCCTGTGCTAAAACTTAGTGGTAATGACTCTTTAAATGTATTTATGGTAGCAAAAAAAAGTGTGTGTGAACACTGAGCAGAAGAATGCTCCTGACCAGAGAAATGTGTTACTTATAGAAAATAACTTCTGGAAAAAACAAGCCATTTTTCTCACAGTGAAAGGTACAAAAATCTTCAGAAAAACCAAATATCAGAAGCACAAAGGTATGTAATGATTAGTTGATTCAGCTCAGTCTACTATAAAGGTGGAAACTGAGTCCAAGTGGGAAGAAGGGGGAACAATAAGGGAGATTAGTTACTCAATACCTATTGTTTTCCATTGCTTAGCAATGTCTAATTTTTATTTTCTCTCTCTCTTTCTTACACACATACACCTGATATATATACATCCATACACACATATACACATACATACATATATACATATATATAATAGATACATATTACATATAGTATATTTGTGGGTATAATACCAAAATACATAAATAGATTTCATGATACCAACTCATAAAATGGACATAATTCATTCTCCATTTCTGTAATAAGAAAGCAGAGATTAAGCTAGATTGAATGATTTCTCAAGGTCACAAATATAATTAGTAGAAGAGCTTGGGCCTTTTGTCCTTGACAATCAGAATCAGAGGAAAGAAAAACTTTTTTTTTTCCAGCTTAGAACATCCGGCCCAGGGATGAGTAAGCAGACGCTAAGGTACTTTTTTAACTTCCTAAAGATATAACAACTTGGATGCCTCTAAGTATCAGCCAGTTATTCCTTTATAGTCTTGCTTTCTATCCTGGCCACTGGCAAAGTGGCATTATTATCCTATGAGTCATCATGCTAATAAATATATCTAATTTGAAGATAACCCCTTCTTCACTTTGCAGCATGATTTAACCCTCCCTCCTCTTCATCTTTTTCCATTCCCAGCAACAGTCTCTCGTGTCTAAAAACAAAATGTCACTGAAGCCAGTTTCATGAAATGAGGAGAGGATGATAAGATCCTAAAATATTTCAAAACCATGACTTTAGAATGGAACTTTTGGAGCTGTTTAAAATGACTTACAGAGTGAGTGCCTTTGATGACAGAAAGGATGCAGGAAAGAGTGTGTTCGAGTACATACTAGAGTTTGCAAAGAGACTGTCTTCTGAAAATTACTGGTAGTGGTCAAGGAGTGATATGGAAGGGAAGCGGTCAGGTAACAAGTCCATATTTTTTCAGTTCTTCTTCCAGCCTCCCAAAGCAATTTGTACCTTGGTTTGTGATTGCATTTATCTCCCTGCCTTTTGGCTGTTTCTTTTCATAACTGTATCTTCAAGGGCAAAGATTATTGATTAAAAAGATAATACTCAGGGACTAGCCCAGAGCTTGGCATAGAGAACATTTTTGCAAATATTTGCTTACTGGAAGAATAAGGTTCACAGAAGTAGAAGTTCGGTGAGGCTGTTGAATGGTTTTTATCTGTATAACATTTCTTCCTCCTCTCTCCAATTCTACAATAACTCTTCTCACTTTGAAACATTCGAGTGGGTATAACCCTCACTCACACTGAACCCAGTGATGAGCTTCTGAACCAGGCCTAACCAGCAAGAGCTTGCTACCCCTAGGCCTACCAGGTCAGGTAAATGTGTATGATTCATGCCAGACCAATCAGGGCTTTTCCTTAACATTCTGCAAGCATACTTGGGGAAGTTTTTTTTTTTCTTTTTCTGACTGCATGTGCTCTAAAGACCAAGACCACCATGGGGCCTTTTGCTAATGAGAGAGAGAGAGAGAGAGAGAGAGAGAGGAGAGAGAGAGGTTATATGAACACTCAAAGGCTAACAGAGTTAAGAGAGAAAGCCTTAGTGCCATTCTATAAACACTTGAATCTAGCTTTTACATGAATTGTCTCTTTGTCTTTCCAGATACAAGAACCAGTAAATTATCTTACCATTTCAGTTGGTGTTCTATCACTATCAATCAAAAGAGACAATTCCAAGGCAATAAATCATGTGATTTCTCACAGTCCCTTTCCAAATTTTAGATTCTTTCATCCCATTAATGGAAAGGATGAGCTACTGGCTCATAAAAACTCAACATAAAGGTATCAACTGGGGGTTTCATGGGTGACCTATGTTAAAGAAAATTTCATATTAATGAGAGTTTTTTTCTGGTTTTGTTTTGTTTTTGTTTTTAAAAAGTCTGGCTCTGTTGCCCAGGCTGGAGTGCAGTGGTACAATTATAGCTCACTGCAACCTCCATCTCCCAGGATCAACTGATCCTCCCACCTCAGCCTCCCAGGTAGCTGAAACTACAGGTGCATGCAAACATGCCCAGCTAATTTTTGTACTTTTTGTAGAGACAGTTTCACCATGTTGCCCAGGTTGATCTCGAACTCCTGGCCTCAAGCAATCTACCTGCCTCGGCCTCCCAAAGTGTTAGGAGCCATTGTGCCCAATCTTAATGAGAGTTTTCTAGCCCTGTAAAGAGATTCTCAGCAAAAGCAGTAAAAGAATATTTTCTTCCAGAATTTCAAGTTCTGGCACATATATTTAGGCTCTCACCTGTTTTCCTTGTTACTGTTTCCTAGAACAGTCCATGTGTAATAGAATGATTATCAGGACTGGACTCAGAAACCCTGGGCTTTATCATCTACCATGCAGTACCTCACTGCAACCTTGAATAAAGTCACATTAATCTTTCCATGTCTCACATTCCTTATTGCTAACAAAGGAATAATAATAGCTATTTCAGGGATGGTCACAGAAGTTAAATGAAATTAATTACATACGAATATGGAGGCCTGATGTCAGGCACAAAATATCATTTGTGTTTTTTCATTCTAGCAATTGAATCATGCAAAAAAACTTTACTGAATGCCTACTATGAGCCTACTGTGCTTACTATTTTATTTAGTTTTTAAAAAATATTCAATGGACATTGACTGACATTTTCATGTGGACAAAAGAGAGAGGCTCAGTGAAATTTTCCAGTGAAACTTCATCAGTCTTCATTAGTTAATCTTGACTCTCTTTTTGTACCCTCATGAGATGGATGGGCATCAGCTCCTGCTCTTCCTAAATACTGTAATTCCCTCCAAATCTCTTTCCTCTCTGGAGCCGTTTACCTTTGTGAGATTCTGATGTCTGAATCCTCACACGTATTATTCTGATCAGTCCATCAAAGATTTTCATTTATATCCCTACTTTTTAGAATATACAGGAGATGTATATAGTATTTTTTTCCACTGTCACATTGATTTTTCTCACATCCTTCTCAAAGATTCCTACCATAGGTCTTTGAACCTAAGGTCTATAGTGTGTCTTTTCCACAGACTTCTTGAGCTGGAATTTTGTTAATTATTATTGTTGGCTTATTACAAAACAATGACAATATTCCTGCTATCATAATTGAGCTATCAACATGATTGATACTCTTTTTTCAGAGTCTAGTTTAGATATTAAAGCCATGATCAAATCAAGGATGCTCCCTTGTGATATTTACATACCAATGGGGAAGAAAGAAAACAAATAAATATGTAATAATATAATATGTAACAATATATCAGGAATTGATAAGCTTCACGAAGAAAAATAAAGCAGGGTAAAAAAGTTACCACTTTACATAGAGTAATCATGGAAGGCATCATTAAAGAGGTGGTTTAAGCAGGGAGCTAAATGAAGTGAAGTGATAAGCCATATGATTATCTAGGGAGAAACATTCCAGGTGGAGAAAACAGCCACTGACATGATTGAGGACCAGCAAGGAGGTCATTAAGACTGGAGTAAAGCAAACAAGGGAAGAGTGGTAAGAAACAGCATATATGTCTGGTTTTAATATAATTGTCCATTTATGTATCTGTTTGCCACACTCTACTAAACTCCTCCTAAGCAGGGCAGCATCTTTTGCATCGACATTTCCAGTGCCCAGCATAATACCAACAAAGAGTGGATGCTAAAATTCTCAGTAAATATTTATAATAAATGATACAGGCATGATTGAATTATTGGAACTCTATAAGTGATTGTCAGATTTGGAACCGAATAATACATTCTGGTCAGGCCAGATGTGACATGTTTTAAACACATGTAACTACAGAAACTGTATTGCATGGATAATAAATAGCAAGTCTTGTGTTTTGGTGCTTTTCCGTCAAATGAGACCACTCATGTGAAAAGCACTGAGGTGTTACAGAACTGCTAGTGGGCATATTTTTGTATGTGGCTCCTAATTAATTTAACGTGCTAAATGTGCTAAGAATGTGATGACTTCTGTGACTGAGAAATGTGAAATACAGGAGAAAACAGTGATGAAGGGTTAGGAAGTGAGTGACGCAAATCCATGGTTGAAAAACAAACATGGTAATGACACCAGTGGCATCTTTGGCACTGAAATGACAAAATAAATGATTACTTGCCTAATTCTCCTGTTTTAACTAGATACTGGACAAAGATATTTTTCTAGACACACTAAGAAATAGAGAATCTTTTACACTTTTAGACATTTTGAAGTTTTCAATAATATTATAGTTAAATATCAAAGTATCCTTCATATAAAACACTCAGAAAGGTGATATCACACGACTAAGGTCACACGTGTCAGGAAAGAACTTCAACTCAAGTCTTATAATTCCCAATCTAGTGTTCTTTCCACTTCAGAAGGATTCAGCCACTAACAAGAATTGAAGAATCATTTAGACTAAAGCAAACATGGAATTAAAACTTCTAGAAGTGGCTGTGTTTTTTTAAAAAAATGTCCAGGACAGGACTACTTTAAGTAGGAAATAGTCTTAATTTTATAATCATATTGAACTAACCATGAAATATATAAACATATATTGCATGCAAACTATAACAATTTACTTTTATTCAGGATCTTAACAGAACAGAATAAAGTCCAATTTTAGTTCATTTTGAGGACATTTGTATTTTTCTTATCTAGGCTAGACTTTCATGAATTTGCATGATTCCAGAACAAGGTCCTCTTTATGTCAATATACATAATTTAAATCTCTATAATTAACAAACTATAGGAAATAAATCATGCAATGGAAATATACACTTATTACCACAGGTAAAATTTTCCTCTACTTTAACATCCTTTCTTTTTACTAATAATGTCTTTCCTACCCTTTACATTATTTATGTTAATTATTTTCTATTGTTTGTAAGATATTAAATATCCAAAAATACAATGTAAACACAATGCAAATTAACTAAAAATAAAGGTACACATCTTGTAAGAGATTTACAGCTCTGTGAAGTATGTTAAATTTTCAATGCAGAACTTCTCAAATCCTCCCACAGTCATTCATTGACTCAGGAGAATATGGTAAAATTAGATCAGCTAATTAATACAGAAGAAAAATCAGCAAGGATGATGAGATATGCATTTCAAAGTAGAAAAAGTTTAATACCAAAGGATTAAGAGCAGCCCTATAGAAAATTAGTGCCATTACAGAATATTTTTGCAAAAGTAACCTTCTTAATTATCATGTTATAAAAGTCAAATGTAAACTAAACTTCTAATATTGTACTGTCATACAATTATGCTGAAAAAACTTGCAAAATGAAATCAATGCTCAGTATACTCTTTATCCTAATACTGAGCACATAGTTGCAATAATAATTTAAGCATTATTAAACATAAGATAAACTGTTTTCAAGCTTTAAAATTGTAGAAAACATACAGTGGCTAATTTGTGATTCTTTTATAAATCACCTCCAAAGCAAGAAAGGAACAAAAAACAAGAACACAAAATCCTTCTTCACCAAAACTATAGCAACTAGAATGTAAATAGTCTACATATGTAAACTACACATATAGAATTCTACATACATAGAATGTAAATACAGGGAAGAATGATAATTGAAAATTATACTAGGGTATGGAAAGACAATGAATGAGGATATCCATAGCTTTAACAAACACGGAATAGGTTATTTATCCAAAGTATGTGTCACATCTAGGGAAACAAGACTCATCAGAACAAAAGGTGAATGGCATGGGAAGCATATAAGTTGTAGTGGGAGCTTCCTTAAATCAATTTAAGCATAAAGTATAGATTAGCTGGGAAAGCATGACAAAATATAAAATATATGGAAAGCAACCTGTCAGTGAGGCATAGAAAGGAGATACATTCTATATTATCAACAGCACTAGAGTACAAATTTAGTCCTTCTCATCCAGACTAGAACTTTTCTTGCTCTCTTACATTAACCATCTGAAAAACTCTCCTAAGACCGAAAGATGCTATATGAGAAAAGGAAACAAAGAATAGGACTTTTGTAGCACAAGAAAATTGTGACAAAATGTATCACTATGAATTTTTACAACATAGTATAGTAAAAACTTTTATAAAACAGGAGCACAAAGGAGATCTAAAAGAGCTCAGGAATGCTATAAAACGTAAATAGAAAATAAAGCATTAGTATAAATAGCACAGAAAAGAAGTGGAAGAAAAATTAAAGTCAAACTGGGCCAACAGAAAGTTTCTATGAATTCCAAAAAGTAGAAAAAAGTAAAGACAATATTCCCTAATCCAAGTATTAAAAAAAAAGCAAAGGATGAAAGGAGGGAAGGAAAGAAGAGAAGAAAAGAAGGAAGGAAGGAAGGAAGAGAGGGAGAGAGGGAGTGAGGGAGGGAACTATAAATTGACAAAAAGAAAGCAACAAAAATCTGCCTACAGGAAATTCTAAACTTCTCCCAAACAAGTATTAGATGAAAGAAGAAATTAAAAGTAAACCTGAAAAATATTGTTAAAATAACCATAATTTAAAATAACCATAGTCTACATTTTGAATTTATGAAATATAGCTAAAACAGTGCTCAAAGAAAAAAATCATAGTCATAAGAACTTGTGTCAATAAAGGGAAAGAATAAATGAATCATAGGGAAATAATCATTATTTAATAAATAATAATGAGTAATAACATACAATAAGCTAAAAATAATAAGGGTAAAAACATACAATTATTTCCATAGATGTGGCAAAGGTTCATAAAATTTAACACCCACTCTTGAAAATACCTTTTAATAAAATAGGAATAGGACTTGGAGCTAGCATCTTAATTAATGAGGAAACAATGGGACTAGTTGCATAAAGTAAAAAGCTAATCGAGAATGTCTTTATCATCATTAGTATTTAACACTCTGTAGAGAAATTAACTGATGCAATTAGGAAAAAAAGAGGTATATAAACATTTAAAAGATGGAAGTAAAATTATTATTCATACACATAAAAAATGATTTCGTAGGAAACTTGGAGCATGGGTAAGAAACTATTACAAATTTAAAATAACGTAGTATGGTATCTATACACAAAATTTACATACAGAAAATAATGGGCTTAATATATGCCAACAAAACCATTAGATGAAAATATCTCCATTTACAAAGGCAACAACAGATAAATTTCAAACTTAAGAAAACACATATATGATCAACATGAATATAACTTAAAATGCTAATCATTGGCTCAGAAGTAGTAGACAAAAACATGAAAAGTTTTGTCATGATCTTGGGTGAAAAATTCAAAATCACATACTTCAGTCGTGCTTTAATCAATAAACTTAGTGTATTTTCAATTTTTAAAAAGGCAACAGATGTCTTTGGGAAATAGGAAAGTAGAAAAATATTACTATTTTTATAGATAACAAACAATAATAATCCAGTATATTTTAAATAAAGGAAGAGTGCTAAAAATAATAATTGTGTCAAATATAAGACATGTTATAGAGCTGCAATAATTTTAAAATGTGGTATATTCAGTGAAAAGATCATTTCTGGCTCTTGTCTTGGAAGTAGAATGGACTAGCTTTAGATCCAAATAAGCTGGGATCCATTTAGAAGGAACTCTGGGACTTAGAGACAAAGAATTCCCAACCTTTGAACTGTTGTAACTTTAGAGAGACTGCTGAGTTTGATGGAAACAAAACAAAAAAAAAAGAAAAGAAAGTCAGAGCCAATGATTATTGAGGAATTGGGTCACTTTCTTTCAATAATTATTTACTAAACAGTAGTAAGCCCCATGTCAGGCCCATGTCAAGCACTAAGAGATAAGAGTTTTATGATATATTCTTAAGTCACCTATCCTCACAAAGCCTATTATCCTTCTCTCTTTTTTTAACCTTTTGTTGTTGTTTTGTTGTTTGTTTGTTTGTTTTTAAGAGACAGGGTCTTGCCCTGTCACCCAGGCTGGAGTACAGTGGAGGCTGAGTGCACTGCAGCCTCAACCTCCTGGGCTCAGGCAATCCTCCTGCCTCAGCCTCCCAAGTAGCTAGAACTGTAGGCATGCATCATCATGCCTGACTAATTTGTTTTTATTCTTTGTAAAGACGAACTCTCATTATATTGTCCACGTTGGTCTCAAACTCCTGGCCTCAAGCAATCCTCTCACCTTGGGGTCCCAAAATGCTGCAATTAGAGGCATAAGCCACTGTGCCTAGCCCTTTTATATCTTTTATAAAGTTGAAAAAGTCAATTACATATTTTCTTAACCTCCCTTGTAAGGGCAGCCATGAGTCATCGTTAGGCGAAGTACAATGGGGTGTTCAGGGAAAGACACTTCTTTCCCAAATAAGAAAATGGTGAACGAGGAGAAAGGCTCTCACCACCATTGCAGTCCTCTTGCTTTCTGACTTTGAATGAAGTCATGACTTCTGGATCTGTTGCAGCCATCTTGAGAGCATAAATGATAAAACTATGGTAGAAAAGCTCAGGAAAGGTAGACCAGAAAAACAAAGAATTGTCCAGGTTCTTGTTAATATTGTCGAATAATTGAACCAGACCAGCAGCTACTATCTCCAAACTTATGAGAGAAAAGTACTCCTATTTAGCTAAGCTACTGCCAGTAGGGCATTCTGTTATTTGAAGTGGAATGCATTCCTAGTTGAAAAGACGAATGTAAAAAGCAATAAAAACTGGGCAGATACAGTTCCTGCTTTTACAGAGTTTAGAGTAGTAAGGAACACTAAAATACAATGTCAAAATTGGTTCGAATTTTGTTACTAACCCTTGTTTAGAATTTGTCTCTTACTGTCCATTGTTTAGAAATCACTTTTTATCTATTTGTTTTGACTCACACAAACTCCATGAGTTAGTCTAAATGATGGGTATGTGTGTATGCTTGTGTGTGTGTGTGGATGTGTCTATGTATGTACATACACATATGCACTACTGGCATGGAACACTAAATTGAAAGACTAGACAGAGAGTAGAATGGATGTGTGTGCCCCTAGTAAAAATGGCATGGAGAAGATTGCAACTCTTAGGTTCTAACAGATGAACTCCAATTCAGTAGTTAGTGGGTAGCTAGAGAATTTGTCACTGAATTCTCTGAAGGAAAAGACAGAGGCTGCCTTACATTTCATGTCTGTCATTAAACAGGCATGAGTGAGTAGTTCTAACTTCAACCTGGTTTTCCTTCATGTATGACCTGAGGCTCCAACTAAGATGCTACAGTTTCTTGACTCTCACTGGACAAAAGGATTTGCCCCCAAGAATACAAGAACACTCATACATATGGGCAAAGCCAACCAGAATTCTCTATGCAAAAGTCTCTTCACATTCTTTGTCATGTTTATTAATTATCCTTCCATCAGCTGGAAGACAGTGGGCCCCCTGGAACGCCAAGCTGGCTGAGGTAGGCACCGCATTCATCACCGGACAACTGGTGGAGCCTGACATAATGTATACAGATCCAATTCCAGACAGAGATAACCTTCCGTCGCAAATGCTCACAGCCGTATGGTTTCCCAGACACCCAGTGCCTAAAAGACAGGTTGACCTTTTCAAGTTTAGCTTATCAAGGTACTCGTTCACCTCACCAGAAAAAAAAAAAAAAGAAAAAGGAACATTCTGCCTATGAGTTCAACAGAGGAAGTTTCTGCCTTACCTGCGGATATACCATCCGTCTTCAGATTTTTAGTATGAAGTGGAGCCAACAAGACACTATCTTGTATATATGGCTCAAAATTTAATTCACTCACTTGCTAAAGCACATATAAAATGTGATCATGTATTTGAAAAAAACTTTATAAACACTAAAATATTGTATCTATATATGATATGAATAATAGGCGTCCTGACATAAAACAGTGACGGTGTTATGTCCTTGTTCAAAAAACATAAAAGCCTTCTATTTCCTACACAGGTAAGTTTTAACTCCTTATCATTAAGAGAGAATGGTTATTCCCCTTCCCACGGTCTCTATAAAAAATATGAGGGTACTTCAGGTCTACTTTCCAAAAGACAGTCATACTGGAGGCACATTTGCTGTCCTTCTCTAGTAAAGTGATTAATATAATTGGTGAAAACCATAACCAGAGAGTGAAGCCACCCCACTGATCAGTTGGCAACAGATCCCGGAACCCAAGGGGAGATTTCTGCTTTTCTGCTCCAGCTTCATCTCCTACAAACAGATGGAGGGAAATCTGGGTCATGTGGCCTCAAGATATAGGCTTCACTCTTTTCTATCTGTTTTCAGAAAGTCCTATCTAAAAGTGGTCCCTTGCCCCATCTGGCTCTTCAACCCAGAAACTTGAAAGTAAAAAGTGTGAGTAGGTGGAAATCAAGCACCAACCTACACTGAGGCCCCAACATCCTCAGGGCCCTCCAAAGTCCCTGCCTATGTTTCTAGCCCCATCTGTCCCTACATCTCCACAGGTTTTTCAGTGCTATGATCATGCTGGATTAGTCAACATTCCGAAGTCGTGCCTCTTCTTTCCTTCCCAGTGCCATCCTTTATGCTGTTTCTTCAACTTACAATTCTCCTCCTTCTATTTCTGCTTTTTGAGGCTGTGTGATTCTCAATCCTGGTTGCACATTAGACTCACCTGTCAAATTTTGAAAAACGCAGATTTCAGAGCCTGCCTCCAGAGATTATGATTCAATAGGATCAGAGTGGGACCCAGGCACTGGGAGTTTTTTTTTTTTTTTTTTAAGTAAAGCTCTCCAGATTGTTTTAAGGTGGAGCTATACTTGAAAACCACTGATGTGTCTTTGCTCAAGTCCTACTTACTCTATGAGGCCTTCCCAAAAATGCTTTTAGCCAAAAATAAGTAACATCACTTATTACAGGTAATAAATGTTGACATTTATTGACATATTCCATGTTCCAGGCAAGGATTATTCACAAGGGTTGTTCAAGGGTTACTCACACAGACAAATTCTTTTTTTGTTGTTTGCTTTGTTTTGTTTTGATTATTGATTAATTTTTTATTTTATTTTATTTTATTATACTTTTAAATTCTGGGGTACATGTGCAGAACATGCAGTTTTGTTACACAGGTATACATATGCCACAGTGATTTGCTGCACCCATCAACCCGTCAACTACATTAGGTACTTCTCCTAATGTTATCCCTCACCTAGCCCCCCACCTCCCGACAGGCCCTGGTGTGTGGTGTTCCCCTCCCTATGTCCATGTGTTCTCATTGTTCAACTCCCACTTAAAAGTGAGTGAGAACATGCGGTGTTTGGTTTTCTGTTCTTGGGATAGTTTGCTGAGAATGATGGTTTCCAGCTTCATCCATGTCCCTACAAAGGACATGAACTCATCCTTTTTTATGGCTGCATAGTATTCCATGGTGTATATGTGCCACATTTTCTTTATCTAGTCTATTATTGATGGACATTTGGGTTGGTTCCAAGTCTTTGCTATTGTGAATAGTGCCACAGTAAACACACATGTGCATGTATCTTTATAGTAGAATGATTTATAATCCTTTAGGTATATACCCAGTAATGGGATTGCTGGGTCAAATGATATTTCTAGTTCTAAATCCTTGAGGAACTGCCACACTGTCTTCCACAATGGTTGAATGAATTTACACTCCAACCAACAGTGTAAAAGTGTCCCTATTTCTCCACATCCTGTCCAGCATCTGTTGTTTCCTGACTTTTTAATGATTGTCATTCTAACTGGCATGAGATGGTATCTAATTGTGGTTTTGACTTGCATTTCTCTAATAATCAGTGATGGTGAGCATTTTTTCATATGTCTGTTGGCTGCATAAATGTCTTCTTTTGAGAAGTGTCTGTTCATATCCTTTGCCTACTTGATGGGGTTGTTTGTTTTTTTCTTGAAAATTTGTTTAAATTCTTTGTAGATTCTAGATACTAGCCATTTGTTAGATGGATAGATTGTAAAAATTTTCTCCCATTCTGTAGGTTACCTGTTCATTCTGATGACAGTTTCTTTTGCTGTGCAGATGCTCTTTAGTTTAATTAGATCCCATTTGTCAATTTTGGCTTTTGTTGCCATTGTTTTGGTATTTTAGACATGAAGTCTTTGCCCATGCCTATGTCCTGAATGGTATTGTCCAGGTTTTCTTCTAGGATCTTTATGGTGTTGGGTCTTATGTTTAAGTCTTTGATCCATGTTGAGTCGATTTCTGTATAAGGTGTAAGGAAAGGGTCCAGTTTCAGTTTTCTGCACAGGGCTAGCCAGTTTTCCCAACACCATATTTTAAATAGGAAATCTTTTCCCCATTGCTTCTTTGTGTCAGGTTTGTCAAAGATCAGACAGTTGTAGATGTGTGGTGTTCTGAGGCCCCTGTTCTGTTCCATGGGTCTATATATCTGTTTCGGTACCAGTACCATGCTGTTTTGGTTACTGTAGCCTAGTAGTATAGTTGAAGTCAGGTGGTGTGATGCCTCCAGCTTTGTTCCTCTTGCCCAGGATTGTCTTGGCTATGCAGGCTCTTTTTTGGTTCCATATGAAGTTTAAAGTAGTTTCTTCCAGTTCTGTGAAGAAAGTCAGTGGTAGCTTGATGGGGATAGCATTGAATCTATAAATTACTTTGGGCAGTATGGCCACTTTCATGATGTTGATTCTTCTTATCCATGAGCATGGAATGTTTTTCCATTTGTTTGTGTCCTCACTTATTTCCTTGAGCAGTGGTTTGTAGTTCTCTTTGAAGAGGTCCTTCACATCGCTTGTAAGTTGGATTCCTAGGTATTTTATTCTCTTTGTAGCAATTGTGAATGGGAGTTCACTCATGATTTGGTTCTCTGTTTCTCTGTTATTGGTGTATAGGAACGTTTGTGATTTTTGCACATTGATTTTGTATCCTGAGACTTTGCCAAAGTTGCTTATCAGCTTAAGAAGATTTTGCGCTGAGACGATGGGATTTTCTAAATATACAATCATGTCATCTGCAAACAGAGACAATTTGACTTCCTCTGTTCCTATTTGAATACCCTTTATTTCTTCCTCTTGCCTGATTGCCTTGGCCAGAACTTCCAATACTATGATGAATAGGAGTGGTGAGAGAGGGCATCCTTGTCTTGTGCCAGTTTTCAAAGCGAATGCTTCCAGTTTTGCCCATTCAGTATGATATTGGCTGTGGTTTGTCATAAATAGCTCTTATTATTTTGAGATACATTCCATCGATACCTAGTTTATTGAGAGTTTTTAGCATGAAAGGCTGTTGAATTTTGTCAAAGGCCTTTTCCGCATCTATTGAGATAATCATGTGGTTTTTGCCATTGGTTCTGCTTATGTGATGGATTACATTTATTGATTTGCATATGTTGAACCAGCCTTGCATCCCAGGGATAAAGCCAACTTTATCATGGTGCATAAGCTTTTTGATGTGCTGCTGGATTCAGGTTACCAGTATTTTATTGAGGATTTTCACATCAATGTTCATTAGGGATATTGGACTGAAATTTCTTTTTTTGTTGTGTCTCTGCCAGGTTTTGGTAACAGGATGATGCTGTCCTCATGAAATGAGTTAGGGAGGATTCCCTCTTTTTCTATTGATTGGAATAGTTTCAGAAGGAATGGTACCAGCCCCTCTTAGTACCTCTGGTAGAATTCGCCTGTGAATTCATCTGGTCCTGGACTTTTCTTGTTGGTAGGCTATTAATTACTGCCTCAATTTCAGAACTTGTTATTGGTTTATTCAGAGATTTGACTTCTTCCTAGTTTAGACTTGGGAGGGTGTATGTGTCCAGGAATTTATCCATTTCTTCTGTATTTTCTAGTTTATTTGCATACAGGTGTTTATAGTATTCTCTGATGGTAGTTTGTATTTCTGTGGGATTAGTGGTGATATCCCCTATATCATTTTTTATTATGTCCATTTGATTCCTCTCTCTTTTCTTCTTTATTATTCTGGCTAATGGCCTACGTACTTTGTCGATCTTTTCAAAAAACCAGCTCCTGGATTTGTTGATTTTTTGAAGGGTTTTTCGTGTCTCTATCTCCTTCAATTCTGCTCTGATCTTAGTTATTTCTTGTCTTCTGCTAGCTTTTGAATTTGCTTGCTGTTGCTTCTCTAGTTCTTTTAATTTTGATGTTAAGGTGTCAGTTTTAGATCTTTCCTGCTTTTTCTTGTGGGCATTTAGTGCTATAAATTTCCCTCTATACACTGCTTTAAGTGTGTCCCAGAGATTCTGGTACATTGTGTCTTCGTTCTCATTGGTTTCAAAGAACATCTTTATTTCTGCCTTCATTTCATTATTTACCCAGTATTCATTCAGGAGCAGGTTGTTCAGTGTCCATGTAGTTGTGCAGTTTTGAGTGAGCTTCTTAATCCTGAGTTCTAATTTGATTGCACTGTGGTCTGAGAGGCTGTTATGATTTCTGTTCTTTTGCATTTGCAGAGAAGTGTTTTACTTCCAACTATGTGGTCAATTTTAGAATAAGTACAATGAGGTGCTGAGAAGAATGTGTATTCTGTTGATTTGGGGTAGAGAGTTCAGTAGATGTCTATTAGGTCCGCTTGGTCCAGAGCTGAGTTCAATTCCTGAATATCCTTGTTAATTTTCTGTCTTGTTGATCTGTCTAATATTGACAATGGGGTGTTAAAGTCTCCAACTAATATTGTGTGCAAGTCTAAGTATCTTTGCACGTCTCTAAGAACCTACTTTATGAATCTGGGTGCTCCTGTATTGGGTGTATATATATTTAGGATACTTAGCTCTTCTTGCTGCATTGATCCTTTTACCATCATGTAATGCCCTTCTTTGTCTCTTTTGATCTTTGTTGGTTTAAAGTCTCTTTTATCAGAGATTAGGATTGCAAGTCCTGCTCTTTTGTCTTTTTTTTTTTTTTTTCTGCTTTGCATTTGTTTGGTAAATATCCCTCCATCTCTTTATTTTGAGGCTTTGTGTGTCTTTGCACATGAGATGGGTCTCCTAAAGGCAGTACACTGATGGGTCTTGACTCTTTATCCAATTTGCCAGTCTGTGTCTTTTAATTGGGGCATTTAGCCCATTTACATTTAAGATTAATATTGTTATGTGTGAATTTGATCCTGTCATTATGATGTTAGCTGGTTATTTTGCTCATTAGTTGATGCAGTTTCTTCCTAGCATTGATGGTCTTTACAATTTGGCATGTTTTTGCAGTGGCTGGTACCAGTTGTTCCTTTCCATGTTTAGTGCTTCCTTCAGGAGCTCTTGTAAGACAGGCCTGGTGGTGACAAAATTTCTCAGCATTTGCTTGTCTGTGAAGGATTTTATTTCTCCTTCGCTTATGAAGCTTAGTTTGGCGGGATATGAAATTCTGGGTTGAAAATTCTTTTCTTTAAGAATGTTGAATATTGGCCCTCACTTTCTTCTGGCTTGTAGGGTTTCTGCAGAGAGATACACTGTTAGTCTGATGAGCTTCCCTTTGTGGGTAACCCAACCTTTTTCTGGCTGCCCTTAACATTTTTTCCTTCATTTCAACCTTGGTGAATCTGATGATTATGTGTCTTGGGGTTGCTCTTCTCAAGGAGTATCTTTGTGGTGTTCTCTGTATTTCCTGAATTTGAATATTGGCCTGTCTTGCTAGATTGGGGAAGTTCTCCTGGATAATATCCTGAAGAGTGTGTTCCAACTTGGTTCCATTCTCCTCGTCACTTTCATGTACACCAATCAAATGTAGATTTGGTCTTTTCACATAGTCCAATATTTCTTATAGGCTTTGTTGGTTCCTTTTTATTCTTTTTTCTCTGATCTTGCCTTCTCTCTTTCCTTAAGTTGACTGTCAGTCACTGATATCCTTTCTTCTGCTTGATCAGTTCAGCTACTGAAATTTATGTATGCTTCACGAAGTTTTCATGCTGTGTTTTTCAGCTCCATCAGGTCATTTATGTTCTTCTCTACACTGGTTATTATAGTTAGCAATTCATCTAAACTTTTTTCAAGGTTCTTAGCTTCCTTGCATTGGGTTAAAAGATGCTCCTTTAGCTCGGAGGAGTTTGTTATTACCCACCTTCTGAAGCCTACTTCTGTCAATTCGTCAAACTCATTCTCAATCCAGTTTTGTTCCCTTGCTGGCCAGGAGTTGTGATCCTTTGGAGGAGAAAAGGCATTCTGGTTTTTGGAATTTTCAGTCTTTTTGTGCTGGTTTTTCTCCATCTTTGTGGATTTATCTACCTTTGGTCTTTGATGTTGGTGACCTTCGGATGGGGTCTTTGAGTGGACGTGCTATTCCTTTCTGTTTGTTACTTTTCCTTCTGACAGGCCCCACTGCTGTTGGTCTGCTGGAGTTTGCTGGAGGTCCACTCCCAACCCTGCTTGCCTGGGTATCACCAGCGGATGCTGCAGAACAGCAAAGATTGCTGCCTGATCTTTCCCCTGGAGGCTTCGTCCCACAGGAGCACCTGCCAGATGCCAGCCAGCGCTCTCCTGTGTGAGGTGCCTGCTGGCCCCTACTGGGACCCTTAGCAGAGTTTGAATGCTGTACTGGGAGGTCCTCTGCTCTCTTCAGAGCCATCAGGCAGGGACATTTAAGTCTGCTGAAGCTGCGCCCACAGCCTCCCCTTTTCCCAGGTGCTCTGTCTCAGGGAGATGGGGCTTTTATCTATAAGTTCCTGACTGGGACTCCTGCCTTTTTTTCAGAGATGCCCTGCCCATAGAAGAGAAATCTGGCAGTCTGGCCACAGTAGCCTTGCTGAGCTGCAGTGGGCTCTGCCCAGTTCGAACTTTCCAGTGGCTTTATTTCCACTGTGAGCATAAAACCACCTACTCGTTGCTTTTGGTGTTTTAGACATGAAGTCCTTGCCCGTGCCTATGTCCTGAATGGTATTGCCTAGGTTTTCTTCTAGGGTTTTTATGGTTTTAGGTCTAACATTTAAGTCTTTAATCCATCTTGAATTAATTTTTGTATAAGGTGTAAGGAAGGGATCCAGTTTCAGCTTTCTACATATGGCTAGCCAGTTTTCCCAGCACCATTTATTAAATAGGGAATCCTTTCCCCATTTCTTGTTTTTGTCAGATTTGTCAAAGATCAGAGAGTTGTAGATAAGCGGCATTATTTCTGAGGGCTCTGTTCTGTTCCATTGGTCTGTATCTCTGTTTTGGTACCAGTACCATGCTGTTTTGGTTACTGTAGCCTTGTAGTATAGTTTGAAGTCAGGTAGTGTGATGCCTCCAGCTTTGTTCTTTTGGCTTAGGATTGACTTGGCGATGCGGGCTCTTTTTTGGTTCCATATGAACTTTAAAGTAGTTTTTTCCAATTCTGTGAAGGAAGTCATTGGTAGCTTGATGAGGATGGCATTGAATCTATAAATTACCTTGGGCAGTATGGCCATTTTCACAATATTGATTCTTCTTAGCCATGAGCATGGAATGTTCTTCCATTTGTTTGTATCCTCTTTCATTTCATTGAGCAGTGGTTTGTAGTTCTCCTTGAAGAGGTCCTTCACATCCCTTGTAAGTTGGATTCCTAGGTATTTTATTCTCTTTGAAGCAATTGTGAATGGGAGTTCACTCATGATTTGGCTCTCTACTTGTCTGTTATTGGTGTGTAAGAATGCTTGTGATTTTTGTACATTGATTTTGTATCCTGAGACTTTGCTGAAGTTGCCTATCAGCTTAAGGAGATTTTGGACTGAGACGATGGGGTTTTCTAGATATACAATCATGTCATCTGCAAACAGGGACAATTTGACTTCCTCTTTTCCTAATTGAATACCCTTTATTTCCTTCTCCTGCCTAATTGCCCTGGCCAGAACTTCCAACACTATATTGAATAGGAGTGATGAGAGAGGGCATCCCTGTCTTGTGCCAGTTTTCAAAGGGAATGTTTCCAGTTTTTGCCCATTCAGTATGATACTGGCTGTGGGTTTGTCATAAATAGCTCTTATTATTTTGAGATACGTCCCATCAATACCTAATTTATTAAGAGTTTTTAGCATGAAATGTTGTTGAATTTTGTCAAAGGCCTTTTCTGCATCTATTCAGATAATCATGCGGTTTTTGTCGTTGGTTCTGTTTATATGCTGGACTTCATGTCTAAAACACCAAAAGCAATGGCAACAAAAGCCAAAATTGACAAATGGGATCTAATTAAACTAAAGAGCTTCTGCACAGCAAAAGGAACTACCATCAGAGTGAACAGGCAACCTACAGAATGGGAGAAAATTTTTGCAATCTACTCATCTGACAAAGGGCTAATATCCAGAATCTACAATGAATTCAAGCAAATTTACAAGAAAAAAAACAAACAAAGCCATCAAAAAGTGGGTGAAGAATATGAACAGACACTTCTCAAAAGAAGACACTTATGCAGCCAAAAGACACATGAAAAAATGCTCATCATCACTGGCCATCAGAGAAATGCAAATCAAAACCACAATGAGATACCATCTCACAGCAGTTAGAATGGTGATCATTAAAAAGTCAGGAAACAACAGGTGCTGGAGAGGATGTGGAGAAATAGGAACACTTTTACACTGTTGGTGGGACTGTAAACTATTTCAACCATTGTGGAAGTCAGTGTGGTGATTCCTCAGGGATCTAGAACTAGAATTACCATTTGACCCAGCCATCCCATTACTGGGTATATACCTAAAGGATTATAAATCATGTTGCTATAAAGACACATGCACACGTATGTTTATTGTGGCACTATTCACAATAGCAAAGACTTGGAACCAACCCAAATGCCCAACAATGATGGACTGGATTAAGAAAATGTGGCACATATACACCATGGAATACTATGCAGCCATAAAAAAGGATGAGTTCATGTCCTTTGTAGGGACATGGATGAAGCTGGAAACCATCATTCTCAGCAAACTACCGCAAGGACAAAAAACCAAACACTGCTTGTTCTCACTCATAGGTGGGAATTGAACAATGAGAACACATGGACACAGGAAGGGGAACATCACACACCGGGGCCTGTTGTGGGGTGGGGGAAGCAGGGAGGGATAGCATTAGGAGATATACCTAATGCTAAATGACGAGTTAATGGGTGCAGCACACCAACATGGCACATGTATACATATGTAACAAACCTACACATTGTGCACATGTACCCTAAAACTTAAAGTATAATAAAAAAATTTAAAAAAAAAACATAAAAAAGTAAAAAAAATAAAAAAAAACCAACCACCTACTCAAGCCTCAGCAATGGCAGATGCCCCTCCCTGCACTAAGCTCTAATGTCTGGAGTTGATCTCAGACTGCTGCTGTGCTGGCAGCAAGAATTTCAAGCCAGTGGATCTTAGTTTGCTGGGCTCCATGGGGGTGGCGCCCGCCAAGCCAGACATCTCAGCTCCCTGACTTCAGCACCCCTTTCCAGGGGAGTGAATGGTTCTGTCTCACTGGCTTTCCAGGCGCCGCTAGGGTATGGAAAAAAAGAACTCCTGCAGCTAGTTCTGTGTCTGCCCAAATGGCCATCTGGTTTTGCGCTTGAAACCCAGGACCATGGTGGGGTTGGCACCAGAGGGAATCTCCTGGTTTGTGGGTTGTGAGGACTGTGGGACAAGCACAGTATCTGTGCCAGAGTTCCTCAGGCTCAGTTCCTCACAGCTTCCCTTGGGTAGGGGAGAAAATTCCCCCACTCCTTGTGCTTCTTCGGTGAGGCAACACCCCACCCTGCTTCAGCTGGCCCTCTGTGGGCTGCACCCACTGTCCAGCCAGTCCCAGTGAGATGAACCAGGTACCTCAGTTGGAAATACAGAAATCATCTGCCTTCTGCCTCAGTCTTGCTGGGAACTGCAGACCAGAGCTATTCCTATTCAGCCATCTTACCAGCAATACCCCAACAAACTCTTTTAAAGACACATATCATAGCGTAGTCAGTGAGAACTGGGATCCAGATACCTTGGTTTGTTTCTTAGATCTTCCAGTTACTATTTAGAAGACATTGGGTAAGTTATTTAACTTCTCTGTGCCTCAGTTTCTTCACTTATAAGTGAGAAAAACAATAGTTTCCATCTCATAGGGATGTTATGAGTATTAAATGAGTTAATATTTACACTGGGCTTAGAAAAGAACATGGCATGAAGTAAACTGCTATACAAGGGTTTGTTGAAGAAATAAATTTAATTATTTAAAATTCACAACAAAAAAAAGACAAGCGTTCAGTACTCAAGGAACAGAGACTATAAAGCCTATAAAGTAGACACTATTCATATTTCTATCATTGATATCTGATTAAACCAGTACCCAGATAGTTCAATAGCTTCAGCCAGCTCATGGAGCCATCCAGAGACAGTCAGTGCTAAACCCATCTTCTGATTCCTCATTTAGTGTTAACTTGTTTTATTCCTACTCTTTGGGTCGCCTTGTCTCCAGGTTGGAGCTACCGAAAGAATTTGGTAGTTTACGTTATTGCAGCAGAGTTCTAGAGCAGGTAGTTGGACATGCAGAGCTGCATCTACTACCTAGAAATACTCTCCTCAAAGCTAATTCTAGGCTGGTGAATATCTGGTCATAGCTACACCTCTCCATCATGCTGCATTACAAAATACAGTAGTGTGAATTATTTTCCTTTCAACATTAGCTACATTGAGCTAAGTGGCAGTAAAGAATAGGCTCCCATCATGGCCATCACTGTGAAAATGCCAGCAGCAGGTGCAGCTGGGTTGGAGCTTATCAGGAAAAGGCAATGTGACCAGAAGCTGAACTTCAGTTCCAGAGTGGTTATGTATAATTAATTTCCGTGTTGAAAAATAAGGGAAACTTTTACCATATTACATTGTACCCCAAACCATGGCAGTCTTCTGAGCCAGAGAACCAAAGGGAAAGCAGAAGCAGGATTTCTTCAGGCACCTAAGTATACCATTAGCCATGCATTGCTAAAATACCTGCAAGTTATCTTCTAGACTTCAGGAGGGTAGGAGAGAGGGGCCAAAGATGAGGGTGTGAGCCATCTTAGTATTTTCATTTCTATCACTTATACTATCTTTGAGGAAACTTTGTAAACCAAAGCTATGTGGGAGGCTTAAGTAATCTGAAGTTGGAGCAGGATGCTGTTCCTGCTGCCACTGCTATCACCGTACGTCAAGCCGCACCAACTTGACTGAATTATGGACACCATCACTGGCACCACTACTGCCATGACTGGATATTGAATGCCACTTCTACCATTGGCATTGGTGGAATAAATTCTAAATCGCTGCTGCTTCTCTGTAGCATCTGGTTGGTCGAAGTTTAGTCACATGTCCTGGTCCTCAGGTGGTTACCAGATTCAGCAAGTAAAAATACAAAATACACAGTTAAAAATGTTATATAAACAATAAATTTTTTCAGTGTATTTCCCATGTAATATTTGAAATATATTTATACTGAAAAACCGTTGTTTATTTGAAATTCACATGTAACTGAGTGTCCCTTAATTTATCTGACAATCCCACCCCGAGGGGCCAGCAGAAAGGAGGAGTGAATGTCTGGCTTTTCGTGTCTGGCACGTAAGACGGTAAACCCAGACTTCCACAAAGATGTACACTATGATGAATTTTCCAAATATAGAAAAGAGATTATTTTGTTGTGCTGCCAGTGACAGGGATATCTACTCTTCAAAGTCAAATTAATATGCCATCCCTTGCATAACCAATATAAAAAAATACTTAGTTATTCTAACTTCTCAGGAATGCATTTTTAACCCAAACACCTAAAGGATGGGATGAAGCAGGCAGAAAGCCATGTTCATGTTTGCTTCTCATGAAAACTTGGTATTTGCAGATGTGCAAGTACAAAGCATTGGATATCTTACATATTTTTTAAAGTCCAAGTCTGGGCTTCAGCCGGAACAAAGATGTGCAGAAGGCACAGATGTAACTGACTACAACTGCATTGTGAACTCGACTGGGCTGTAGGGTTTTCTCAGCCATAGACCTTTTAAAGAATTTCATAGACAGACAGCGTGAATGCTTTGGGTAGGGGCTATTACTCAGAGACTGTGATGAGACCATTTCAATAAGCACCATATATCCATAGTGCTTCAGCAGGCCCAGCAAAAGTATGGCCTTAAGGAACCCTGCTCCAGTTTTGATAGAGAGGTGCTTCCACTAGACCCCAGGACTGTTGTCTGTTCCTGTGCTGCTGGATAGAAGCTATGCCTAGGCAGGGCCGTGAGCCCCTCTGATATATATCCCAAATAAAGGGGAGGTGTTATTGTCCTTGAAAGGCACCGTCTCCCAGATAACCAGAACCATATGTCCCATGCCTGTGGGGCTTTGTTCTCAGCAGGATGTCAGATGCTGTCCAGCCTTGGAATGTACTTGCTCCACGCAACCAGTACCAGGTGGGAGAAGGAATCCTCACTGAGTCCCTCCCCCAGGTCATCGCAGGTTTCAGAGTCTCCCCAGGGCAATCAAATCATTCATCTCTGTCTTTTACACATCCCATCCATCAACCTTTTCCAAACAGAAAAAAGGAAAATGATGTTTTCAAAGTGTTGCCCCTTCCTACCTGACACTTCGTCTAGACAGTTTCCAAAAGAGCCTCTTTTTAGAGCCCTCTTTTGTGTGCTAGATGGGGAAAAGAAAAATATTTTCTAAGTCTCATTGTGATTTTATAAAAATGTTTAAGATCATTCTATTTCATAATATCCTCCCTACCCTATCCCCAACATACACAGTCAGACACTCATCAGATATTAAATCATTTGTTAGCTTACTTTTATTTGCAAATATTTATTAAGTATGTTGTTATCATGAGGTGCCAAGTATTATGTTATGCATGAGTGATATAAAGATGAAAAAGATAAAGTGATCTTGGCCTTCACAGAGTTTTCTTATTTATATACTTCACAGAAATAAGTATAAAGCTTTACATATAGTTCGTTTCAATTAAACTAGTATTTAATGAGTAATTGGAATCCCTTGAGAGAATAAAGTCACTAGGAGAATTAAATCTTATTGAGAAGATAGATGCCCTCCCTTCCTTCCTTCCTCCCTCCCTCCCTCCTGCCCTCCCTTTCTTCTTTCCTTCCTTCCTTCCTTCCAATACATATTTATGAAATGTTCATCTTGTGTCAGGTGTTGTGCTAGAGGCTGAGTATCCAAGAATGAACAAACTCTCAGAGGAATCGCTGTTGTAATCACGATTACAGCCTAGTGGGGGTGAGGCACATTAAAATATCATCTCCAAAATGAAATTATAACTGCAAACTGTAGTAAATTATGATCATCTCTGTTGACTGAATGAATAAATGAATAAAGGGTACTATGAAAGTATTCAACCGAGGAGTCTGGTAAAGCCCAGGGGGTCAGAGAGCTTAGATTGAATTCAGCGTATGACAGTATTACGGCCAAGTGAGGAAGAGGAGGGAAAGTGAGGAGAGCCTACCATACACCAGGCACCGTGCTATGAATTGACAAATTTTGTTTCAGCCTTTTGAGGTATTCATTATTATCTGCATTTTGTGAACAAAGAAACTGAGAGTCAGAGATTTGAAGTAATTTGTTCACCATCATAAGGCTACTTAGTAATGGTAGAGCTGAGATTTGAAATCAGAACTGCTTGACTTCAGGATTCACATTGTTTTCATCACACCACATTCCCTCTCCCTACAGCTACTAGGGCATCACTTTTCAGTAGATAAGCAAAAGGGTAAACATGATGGTCTCATGTCTTAGCGGCCTGTGCTTTGCGCACTTGGCTCCACATTGGCCTTTGTGTTCTTTAATCATGTTCCCATCTCAGGACCTTGCACTTGTCTATATGTTTTTGTATCTCTGTCCCTCCCTTAGTCAGATGTTTGCTCAGCAGTGACCTCCTTAGAGAAGGCTTATCTGACCACATTTACTAAAATAGTGCCTGTTACTCTGTTTACTCTGCTTTATTTTCCTTTATACCACTTATCACCATATAATAATGTATTTGATATTCATTTGTTGGTTGTCACTGCCCCATAAAATGTAAGCTCTAAGTAAGTTAGGGACTGAATCAGGCAGGGTCTTAGCAGGACAGGAATTCTACTCTGATGGTTTCACTGAAAGGATTTAAAAAGAAAAAGAAAGGTGGGCACTTTACAGAGGTATTTAGGCAGGTTTAAAGAAAACAAAGAAAAATATTGAGACATCTAGAAGTGTGAAAAAAAACAGAAGTCATTACCACCCCTAGGCTTAGAGGGAGGGGTAAGGGGAGGAAATACTGTTCCTGAAATCAGTTATTGCTGGAGTTTGAAGGAAGGCCTGGCCAACAGCAGCTGTGGTCATAGAGGAGATGGCCAATGCTGGGGCTATGACCTCTGAGCAGAGAGAAACACCAGGCAAAAAACTCCAATCTCTCACCACTCCAGCCTCGCATCTTTTGCATTGCCTATCACTGGATAAACCCAACTGGAATCCAGCCAGCGAGGTTACACAGGTGCCGTCTACAGTAATCCAACTCCCAGGCATACAGCAGGGAAGAGAAGGTAGAGAATAAATCTGAGACTAGAAGAAAATAGGGAATAATGAAATATAAGGACTTCATGTGTTTTGTTTGCTTCATTTTCCCATCATCTAGAACATTGCCTCCCATACCTTGAATGGTCAATAATGTGTGTGCATGAATTTTAAAACAAATGCCCTGTAAATGAGAAAGACATGAGATGGACATCAGAACACAGGTTTGGTTCCATGAGGACTTCTAACCAGGTGATGCTTGTGAGCATGGAATGGAAAACCATACCTGAAAGCTGCTTCTAAAAAGTGACTAGATTTCTGTTTGTTCAGTGTAAAACACTTCTGTAAAGTCTAAAGGCCATATAAATTGCGAGACACAGATCATACCCACAAATGTTAAGGAATGCCTTCTGCATGCAATATAAACCAACATCCACCCTTCCGTTGGTCTGAGCTGGTGTCCAGGTAGGAAGGAGAAGGGAAGAGCTGAGGTTAAGTGCTCATGCTGGCTGGTGCCTAAGTTGTGGATCATCAAGATGCAAGTAATAGAAATGCACTTAAATGTGCTAAAAATCAAAACCAATAATATATTATGAGGACACAAGGCTATCTAAAGGGACCTAAAGAAAGGAGATGTAGGGGAGGGACCACTGTAATTACTCTTTCCACCTCTATAAGGCTAGATGGTCTGTCAGTCATTCAGCAAATATTCTGAACTCCTACTGTGTGCCAGGCACTGGGTTAGATTCCGAGGTAAATATAACAAAGAGTCTCATCTCTGCTTGTCTGGTTATAGTTAAATACTCTCTTGTTCTCTGTCACTCTCTCTCTCTCTCTCTCTCTCTGCCTCTCGCTCTCCAACCCACTATTTCATTGGCTTTACCTCATTTTGTGCAGGCAGCCTAAACTAGCAACTCTCACCCCTAACATGTCTTTACTGCCTTTTGAAGTCTAGTGCCTGCAGAAATATGAAGCTTCTGTGTTTTGATTCTAAGTTCCAAGCAGAGAGACTCTAAGGAGATAATTGGGGGGTCCTATTGTCCAGTCAAGCCATCAAGCAGACCAGTGGTAATTCCTGACCCATTCGGCATGGATAACAGAAGCATATTCTGTGAAGGGAACATGGGCAGCCTCTCCAAGAGGAAACTGGAGGGAGGAGACATTATTAGTATGATAGGACATCTCTTCTTCATCTCCACCCATTCAGCCTTCCCATGCCTTCTTTATTTGTACACTCCACGGAAAATGTGTAAGGACAGGATTTGAAAGAGGATATGGGAGGGTGTACAGGTGAATATAATATTCTGGCTCTATTTATGAATGCCCTGTGAGTGGAATCACACCCTCTGAGGATTTATTCTTCCAGCTTGTTTGTAGAATGTTCAAGCATAACTCATCAGACAACCTATCTACCCACAGACTCTGCCCTCTGGGTCTGTCACCGACGATACACAGCATGATATGTGGCAAAATATGAAAAAAAGGAAAGGCATTTCTGCCTCTGATTTAGTTCTGACTAAATGAGCAACTACAGTGAAGACAGGCAGATCAAACAAATTCCTGACATTAGTCCATACTAATGAAAACATCTATAGTGTAATTAAAGATACAAAAAAAATCTCTTGTAAAATGTGGAGCCCATAGAAAGATGAGGTGATTCACCCTAAACCAAATATAAAGCAGTTTAGAATCTGAGTCATGTGGTACTCAGTGAATTATCAATTCTTGCCAGTGGCAATAGTGGTAATGTTCAGAAACTTTAAAATATTAACTTTATTTAGTTCATTTATGCCTTGCCTTGAAAAAGCTGGAGAGAGGCCGAAATCCAGAGAAGACCAGAATCACATGCAATTGTGTCCATTTTACTGCTTTATTCCATTCAGGCTGCTATAACAAAGTATCAAAAACTAGCTAGTTTATAAACAACAGAAATTTATTTCTCACTGTTCTGGAGTCTAGGAAGTACACGGTCAAGATGCCAGGAAATTCAATGTCTGGCGAAGGCTGTTTTCTCATTTATATATGGTGACTTTTCACTGTGTCCTCATGTGGTGAAAGGGGTGAACAAGCCCCACTGGGCCTATTTTATAAGGGGATTAATCCCATTCTCATGGGATGAAAAGACCCCCTCATAAGGCCTTAGATCCTAATACCATCTCCTTGGTGATTAGGTTTCAACATATGAATTTTGTAGGGACATAAATATTCAGGCCATAGCATCCACATAAAAAATCGCTCCCAAAATGCCCCTAACCATGATAGGTGTCACCATGATAGGTGTTGTCAAGATTAGAGGAGTTAGAGCCATGAATGAACAGAATGGTCCATATATGTTTCTTCATCTCTGAAAAGCAGCTTACATACTAATAGGAAGTGGGCAGTGGCACTGGAATCAAAGGACTTCACGTGGTACTGAAAGGGCAAGGGTGGCCCACCTGTTTCACCCCCCATCAGCCTGACCAGGAGAACCTTCAAGAGCTTCCAGAAGGCAGTAGACACAAATATGTTTCATGTCAATTCCAAAGACTCATAGAACCAGCAGCAACCTTAGCCTTATCAACAACACCTCCTTCATTTTATAGGTGAGCAAAATTGGGACTCAGAGTGGTAAAAGCATATCACCCAAGGTTATAGGTAGTCACAGGTCTGCCATGAGAGCTGATTACCCCCACTAGCATATGCCTTCTGCTATGCAGAATTCTTGGATGACCTCCAACGATTCTCATCTCCATATAATCCCCTCCCCTTTGGGTGTGGGTGGCACCTGTGAAAATGATGAGCTATCACTCTCATGATTATGTTACATTTGGTGGCAAGGAGATACTATCCTGGGTGAGCCTGACCTAATTAAAATGCTGGCTTCTGGCTAGTGGCAGAAAACAAAGTCAGAGAGATGAGCTCTAGCTGGCCTAGAAGAAAGTATCTACTTTGTGAACTGCCTGTGGGGAGGGACCATGTGGCAAGGAACTGCCAGGGGCCTCTAGTAGTTGAGAGAAGTCCCTGGATGACAGCTAATAGGAAAATAGTAACCTCAGTCCTACAGCTGTAAGCAAATGAATATTTCTAGCCAACAAGTTAGACTGGAAGAGGACCCAAACCCCAGATGAGAACCAAAGCCCCAGCCAACACTTTGATATCAGACTGGTGAGATATTAAGCAGAAAATCCAGCCATGTTGTGCTCGAACTTCTGATCTGCAGGAATTCAAAGACAACAAATTGCTTATGTTTTAAACTGCTAAGTTTGTGGTAATTTGTTGTGCAGCAAAAGAAAACTAATATACTCCCAAATGAATTTATCTGGGCAGGGCTCTTTTGATTTCAAAGAACTGAAGCTTTATCAAACCAGCTTGAGTAGAATAGAAAATGGGGAAAGAGATAATTATTGTAAAGACAGAAATTGCATAGAATCCAAGGACAAAAACAAAATAAAAAACTGAAGGCTAAAAAGAAATAAATAAATAAACTAAAAAGACTAAGGCTGAATTCTTGCAAAACTTTTACAACTGAATCAGCCACCTCATCCACCCACCCCACTGTGAACCCCATATTCCAGATGCATGAACTAGTCAGTTATTTAAACTACTTCCCTGCCACTATGCCAGGGTAATAAATACATTTTCTCTTGATGCCCAGTCCATTTGACTAGCCATAGCTGTCTGTAGTGCTGCAATGAGGAAGATTATGAGATTGATGTTTGGGATCAGCAAGAATGATGAATTAGGATAGCAGGTAGTGGCTGCCTGAGCGAGGGAGGGGCTAATAGCCTGTGGCCATCTATTTGCTAACCCAGTGGTCTGTCACTTTTTATGCTGTCTCTCCAGCTTGAAATTGTTCTTCCTTATTTTACCCCTGCTAGCCCAAATTCTATTAATCATTCAAGGCTTCTCCAAGAAGCCAATCCTAATCACTCCTCACTCTATCCATCCACAATTAGAATTATTCTCTCCCTCCTTCTGGTCCCAGAGTACTTAAAGAAAGTATTTAAATAAAGCACTTTAAGGAAAGTGCTTTAAATAAAAATAACTCAATTTTTAAATGTAATACTCTTTTGGGTTGAATTATGTCCTCCACAAAGATATTTTGAGGTCCTAACTCCCAGTACCCCAGAATGTGATCTTATTTGGGAAACTGGGTCTTCGCAGATGTCATTAATTAAGATAATGTCACACTGGAATAGGGTAGGTCATTCAGCCAATATGACTGTTGTCCTTACCAGTAGAGAAGGAACAGAGACATGACACCCTTATGGAAAGATGACCAAGTAAAGACAGATATTCCACTTTTGCTGTCAAAAGCCTAAGAAAGCTTGCAGCTACCAAAAGCTGAAAGAGGCAAAGAAGTATCCTCCTCCAGAAACTTCAGAGGAAGCTTGACCCTGCTAACACCTTAATTTTAGACTTCTATCCTCAAACTGTGAGAGAATAAACTTCTCTCATTTTAAGCCACCCAGTATGTGGTACCTTGTTATTGCAAGCCTAAAAAACTAATACAGATACACTATTAGGTTTTCTGTAAATTTCTGTCTCCTTTATTAGAGACTAAGCTCCCTGAACACAAAGTCCGTATTGCATTTACATTATTTTTTTACATGATAGATGTTCTCAGTAAATTTGAGATAGGTGGATGGATTTTTCAACACATTTGTTGATTCAGCAAATATATATTGAGTGTCTATTACGTGTCAACTACAACTCTAGGCCCTTGGACATATAGCAGGGTATAAAATCAGCTTTTAAGATCCTGACTTCAAAAAGCTTTTCAATGAATGAATTAAAGACAAATGGATGGATAATGAACAACTATTACATCTTACAGTCTGGCAAGGATTGGTTCACGTATCTGAAGTAAGCCAAATTTGCAGAATGAGTTTAATAGTTTAATTCATTCATCTTCTAAGGTTAATGCAATGGCTCCTAACAGGGGCAACTTTGACCCCCAGGGAATGTTTAACATTTTTTGGTGACGTTTTTTATTATTACAACCAGGAGAGAGGGCTACTGGCATCTAGCAAGTAGAGGCCAGGGTTGCTGCTAAACATCCTACAACGCACAGGACAGACCCCACAGCAAAAGAAAAAAAAAAAAAATCATCTTGTCCAAAACGTCAATGATGCTGACATTGAGAAACCTTCAATTAGAATATACAGGGAAACCAGGGAATAGGTAGGAAAGCAAATGAATCTGTAGCATCTCCCATAAGCTAAGCACTGTGCTGAGATAGATATGTCAATGTACTTCATCTCACTTTATAGATGAAGACACCAAGGCTCAAAGTTAAATAACTTTCCCAAGACTGAACATTTAGTAAGTGTTAATGCCAACATTAACCCAGGTCTGACTCCCAATGTTCTTTCCTCCACATCACAGGTGCTTTGTTCAGTACAACTTCCCTGACTTGAAATTGAATTGAAGTTGATCCCCAGGCGTGAGGACATTGAATCCTAATCAATAGACATAAAGGAGACTCCTGGGGCCATTGTTATACTGCCAGGCCTTCAAGAGTGCTCTGCGGGGACTATCGGTATCATGGAGTAGGCAGCCCCATCTGGGGATCAACTCAAAGGGGGCGTGGGGAGATTGAAGAGTTGACCCTCCCCTAAACTTGTAAGCCAGATAGAAACATAGGTAATGAAAGGTTATTCTCTAGTAATACAAGAGTTCCATAAACTAATGAGGACAATTGGGAAGTGGGGGCAAGAGAGAAACATCTAAAATGAAATAATGAGAATATAAAAACTACAGCAAATAAAAAAGATAGAGATGAGAAATATCTGAAAACGAGGGTTAGAAACACAGTTTATTTATTTGTCCATTCAACTGATATTTATGAAGTGCCTACTTTGTGCTAGGTAATATGCAAACACTGGATTATACACTGGTGAACAAGTGGATGTGGTTCCCTTTATCATGAGTTACAGTCTGATGGAACACGTCAAAACAATCTCATAATAGGTGTGTGTGTGTGTGTGTGTGTGTGTCTGTGTCTGTGTGTGTACATAGATTTAGTCTCAATTACATTTAGTGGCAGTTTGGAAAATCAAGAGGCTATTATGTAACCTTGAGTTTCCATGTTTTCTTAAATTATGCATCCTCTGTCAGCCTCTTTACATGCTTTCTTCAAGGGTAACAGCATAATGATGATAATGATCTTCTTTCTTGTGTTCAAAAGATTGCTCAGCAGCCTCTGATGAGGCTTAAGCAGTAGGAGACAAAAGAAAAAAGAGGACTGGGTTTGGAGTGGCCCATTAGAGGAAATTAGCTGGGAGGATTAAGCCTCTTCAGAAACAGAAAGGCTCTTTCTAGAGTGACCTAGTTGAAATGATTTAAAATATATCATATTTGGCACTCTAATAATTTAAAATCCTATTTTTCTGGTTGTTGTTACCATCTTCATATTCCCCTCTCACAGAGAGCTTCACAACAGTCAGTTCTGAAACAAGTGACTACGGTAAATTACAGATTTTTCTGGGGAGGTCTCTGATAAATGTTTGAAGCAGGTAAATTCCATCTTCAGGGTTCATTCACGCCCAATGCCTAGAAGAGTTTTAGCCCATAGTAATTACTCAATAAATATTTGCTGAATGAATGAATGAATGCTCTTTTCTTTCAGGACAACCTCCCATCCTTGCAAGGTACTTAGTACTCTCTCTTTCTTTGATGACTGGGGGTCACCCTTGCAGTTCCTGATACCAGTCATCCATTTACGTATTTGATGAGTACTTACTATGTGTCAGGCACTGTGCTACCAGATACTTCAGGACTGAAGTTTTATTATAGTTACTGCTGTTATTGGGTTATTTATCATTATCACCGAGGAAATGATATGCACTCTTCAATGGAAAACATCAATTTTTTAAAAAGTTAATATATTTTAGCAAAAGATTCTCTATTATTTTATCAACCCATTTACCTCTGCTCCTTACTAGAATGTCAATTCCAAGGAAGCAAAAAACTTGCCTCCTTTATTTACAGCTGTGTCATCACTGTGTGAACACAGTCTGGCATATAGCAGCTGTTCAATAATTATGTGTTGAAAGAAAAAATAAATGAGTAAATTTGTCAATGCATAGAAAGAATTTTGGAAGAATATAGTGGGCAAGGAGCTTCATAGGTAGAAAAAAGGAAAGAAGAGAATGTATCTCTTTACTTAATACACTTTTATATTTTTAAATGTCCCACAAGAAGCTTGTATTACTTGTAATTTTTAATAACGTTTTGTAAAGATTTTTACAGCAAAGTTTGATCAGCTTATACAAATAGTATAACTCAACTTTCTGCAGTTGAATTAAAGTCCGATTACATGAAGTAAACCACCCTTAACAAAACATCATAGGATAAGAATATTGGGTACACAAATAAGAAATGACAGAAAATGAGCAAGGAATAACCCAGACTGGATTTAGTCATTGCTATGGTCTGAGTGTTTGTGTGTCCCCCAGATTATATGTTGATATCTTAACCCCCAAAGTGAAGGTATTAGAAGGTGGGCCTTTTATGAAGTGATTAGTTCATGAGGGTGAAGTGTTCAAGAATGCAATTAGTGCCTTTTATAAAAGATGCCTCAAAGACTTGCCTTGTCCCTTACACCATGTGAGGACACAGTTAGAAGGCATGATCTATGAGCCAGAGATTAAGTCCTCACCAGACACTGGTGGCACCTTGATCTTGGACCTCCCCGCCTTCCAAACTGTAAGCAATAAATTTCTGTTGCTTATAAGCCACCCAGTCTAAGTCTGGTTTCTTAACCCAACCAGACTAAGACAGTTATCATCAACCAATAATTTTGTCATTTTTAGAAATTCTTGTGTTAAACCTTCTAGAGAGGTGGTTCCTTCTGCCCTGCTATACAGAAGCTTCTAGAGCAAGAAGATGGTTAAAAAATATGACTGTCTTTTAAAGGCTTAATTTTGTCTGAGTGACACATTACATATATATACATACATATATACATTATACATACACATTATACTAGACACATAAGTTATAAAGGTATGTAAGGTATATCTTTCCTGTTCCCAAGAAAGAGCTGCCCCAAGAAAGAGCTTAAGGTTTGATGGGTAAGACAGATATGTGAATAGAAGAATTGTGATACAATGTGCCAACATCTGAACAAATTGTTCTTGATAGGAGTTTGCTTATTAAAGAAGTTACGAGAGAACTAGGGGAGAAATATATGTCTGGTAGTTCTTGGTGAATAATCAGTCTTTCCTATAGCAGCAACCAATGCTCTTGAACTTTTAATACACAAACATTGACTGGTAACCTAATATGTGTTTAGCAGGGATGGGAGAGTATTAGAAAGTGATAGTTGAAACAGTATTTCACTTCCTCAAGCCCTGCTTGTTTGAATCATATGTAATTAGCTAATGAGAAGAAATATACAACAAAGGCTAATAACTACCTTGATGACTACTTGCTTCAAGATAGTATTTTCATTTTTGCCCCAAACCCTAGCCCTTTACCCATAAAATAAATTTTATAAGATATTGAATAGGTAGAGCTGTGGAGGAATAAAATTTGCTTTTTCCCAAATTATACCACATGGATAAGTGGCCATGCTGCTACTTAGAATAAGAATTATCAATGGACAAAGCATCTTGCCAACACCCCTGACATTCTGTGTTCTCATTATACAGAGCTACTTGCAATTCTGCAAACACGTACATACTACTTAGGATTTTCACTCCCTTCCCACTCGCAGCAAAACCCTACTTAGAAATCACCTTCTGACTTCCCCAACTCTCGAAGAGTCTATCACTCATTCTTTCCTTTCAATTAATTCTTTTCCTGTTATGTTCTTCTCTTATAATAATTAACTCATGATAGTGTAGTTTCTGGTTATTATGGTTCTTTCCTACCACACTATCAGCTCCTTGAGAACAGAGAGTATCATGGTTCACTCAACTTTGCATTTTCAGTATCTAGCACCTTGTCTGGGACAATGGTGGTGTGAAGTCTGGACAACAGAAATTCTTGAGCCAGAATAATCAGTAAAGATATTATGTTTGTTTAAACAAAAAATCCAGGGGCACAGTTCATCTTTTCTCCACCCATCCAAAATATCAAATTCTTATACACAAAGTTCGAATGTACTAAGCCATTGTGTTTTAAACCTAATTATCAACCCCTCTGCTATGGTTTGACTGTATCCCCCAAAAAGCATTTGTTGAAAACATAATTCCCCACGTAACAATGTTAGGAGGTGGGGCCTGGTAGGAGATATTTAGGTCATGAGGGTTCCACCCTCAAGAATAGATTAATGTTGATTATAAAAGGGCTTGAGGCCTGGGTGCAGTGGCTCACACCTGTAATCCCAATACTTTGGGAGGCCAAGGCGGGTGGATCACGAGGTCAGGAGATCGAGACCATCCTGGCTAACATGGTGAAACCTTGTCTCTCCTAAAAATACAAAAAATTAGCTGGGTCTGGTGGTGGGCGACTGTAGTCCCAGCTACTCAGGAGGCTGAGGCAGGAGAATGGCGTGAACCAAGGAGGCGGAGCTTGCAGTGAGCCGAGATCGCGCCACTGCACTCCAGCCTGGGCAACAAACCAAGACTCCATCTCAAAAAAAAAAAAAAAAAAAACGTAAAAATAAAAGGCTTGAGGCTGCCAGTTCAAGACCGTTTATACTTATATATGTGCTCTTGCTCTCTTTTGTTCTCTCTTTGCCCTTCTTCCATGAGACGACACAGCAAGAAGGCCCTCATCAGATGCTGATCTCTCAGTCTTGGACTTCTCAGCCTCCAGAACTATGACCCAATGAATTTATGTTTATCATAAATTACCGAGTTTCAGGCATTCTGTTATAGTAGATCAAATGGACTAAGTCAAGCTCCTACACTCAAAACTCACAAATATATTCCTATTTCTGTGGTTCTGATCTCAGTGAATGATACCACCACCCACAGTTACCCAAATCAGAAAATAAGGCATCATATGAGGTGGACGTCTATTGTTTTATCTACCCACTAGCTCCTTACTCTCATTCTGATGACCATGCCATGAACTCTGTTTGGAGGAGCTGTCCCTGGCCAACTCTTAGCCCAAATGCTTTGGGATAACACAGTCTCTAGGGGAGGTACACATACCTTGTCAAAATCAGGCATACTCATTTCACCAGTCACAGTGATTGGCTCCAAGAAGGACAGTGGTCTAAGTTAGACAGACGATGTCCATAAGGCTCAGTTCTACGACTGTTGTTTGACCCATTGGAGAAGTGGAATCTCTCTTTCCTGAGGCTGGGTGCCGAGAAAATGTCATCCTGAGGTTACTAGGGGCATCACGCTGAGCCTAAGAATAAAGCCTGGAGAAAACAATGGACAGATGGTCCCTGAGAACATTTGACACCATGAAGTTACACCTGAAGATTGTGTAGTTACTTGAGTCAAAACATTTCCTATTTGTTTAAGCCAGCTTGAGTTGGGTTTTCTGTAATTTGCAATAGAAATTTACATCATTATGGACTCTCCCTCTCTTATCCAATCAATCACTAAATTAATCAATTAATATCTCATGAATCTGTCTAGTTTACAAGTAGACAGTGCCATATCCACTGGCAGGAGATGCTTGCTATCAGCATTGCTTACTGAATTTTAGCCTCAACTTTCCACTCTTTTTTATACCCTTTCCAAGCCAATATCTATACTATAATCAAGGTGATTTTTCTAAAATGCATAACATGATCATATTACTGTGCTGAAACCACCACCTATATTAAACTTTCCCTTACTCTTTCAGTCTACCGGGATCTTTCTTTCTGTCCTGTCAACTGACATTCATTGGTATCGTGTGCAGGCCACTTTTCCACAAACAACTCTAGCAGTTGCATGACTTTTTCCTCAACCTTCTGCCCTAGTCTTGTCCTTCTCCAGTCCAGTCTCTACACTGCACCCTGTATGAATTTTCTAAAATACGTTATAGGATAATATTATTGTCTTTCTTAAAAATTCTTCTGGCTGGGCGCGGTGGCCCACGCCTGTAATCCCAGAGCTTTGGGAGGCTGACGTGGGCGGATCATGAGGTCAGGAGATCGAGACCATCCTGGCTAACACGGTGAAACCCCATCTCTACTAAAAATACAAAAAATTAGCCAGGTGTGGTGGCGGGCACCTGTAGCCCCAGCTACTCGGGAGGCTGAGGCAGGAGAGTGGCACGAACCCGGGAGGCGGAGCTTGCAGTGAGCCATGATCGCGCCACTGCACTCCAGCCTGGGAGACAGAGGGAGACTCCATCTCAAAATAAAATAAAATAAAATAAAATTCTTCCATATCTCCCCATTGCCTGCAATATAATATCTGAAACTTATACTACATACAGGGTCTATGCTTACTTCTCTAGCTGTATTGCTAACTACTCCCCTCACCTGTAGTCTTCTCTCCAGCCACACTAAACTACAATCAATTCCCTTAATGCACTGACCTGTCTTATCTCCTGACTTTTGTTCATTCAGTTCCCTTTATTTTGGAAAGATTTCTCTACTGCTTCCTTTTTCCCCATCCGACTCCACCTAGCATCTCCTACTTATTCCTAAAACAAGTGCTTAGGCATCATTCTTAAAACAATCCTTAGACATTACTATATCCGGAAGCCTTTCATATTGTACCTCACCCAAGTCTGGGTGAGGCATACTCCTCCTGGGTGGTACATAATAATCTTGTGCACACCTCTCTTGTAGCACTGAATTGTAATTACCTGGCTTAATTTGTCTGTTTTCTGCCTATACAAAAATCCCAAGAAAGCAGGAATTGTGTCTTACTCAGTGTCATATCCTCAGCATCTGACACAGAACTTGGCACAAAATCAATGCCTAATAAATATCTGTTGACTGCATGGTAAGTGTATAGTAACTTGAAAAAATATTCTACCCTAAAGTTGATAAATATTTTCTCCTAAAGATGGGAGTCAACCTTAGCTGCTGCCTCCCTCAGAGCTGAGAACAGGTCTCATTGCAGCAGAGGGAAAAAATAAGCAGGAACAGATGATGCGGCATATGCAGCTCCTTGCTCTTTTCCTGCAGCGAGAATTCACTTTCGCTTTCAGGTAGGCCCAGGCTGCTGTGCAGTCTATTCCATGGCCTCCTCAGGGAGCCTAGAGGAAAGACAACTTGGCACTGAGTGAATGAACTGCGTTCTGATGAGAAAGTGGGGGGGATTTTCCATCGCATTATCCGTCCAGCAGACTGCTAAGCGGCTGCATTTGTTGGGTGATGGGGAGGAGGAAGGAGGACTAATAGACCAACCCTGGCCAGTGGTGCAATGCAGCTTCCAGGAAACAGAAAGCAGTGAATTTTTCCTGGCCGCACACCAGACAACAAGAAGAGAAGGGAGGTGGGGAGGAATGGGTCCTTTTGGAGGCTGATCTTGTCCCAGATCTGAGTAACTCCAGCCTTTCCTTACAAGTCTGTCCAAAGAGTGCCCTTTGCTGCATCCCTACCCTAAACCCATCACCTCAATTAAACCTTCCCTAACTCTCCAACATACAGCAATCTCTCTGGCTCTCCTACTAACCACCATACCACTTACTGACCATACATCCATTGGTACTAAGTACTGACCACTTTGCCACAAACTGCTGTGACTGAGTTGTCATGCATTTTCTTATTTAACAATAGAAGCAAGCCTTCACTTTCCTCCCCAACCAGATTGAAAGGTCAGGGATTATATTGTGTACTTCTGTATATGCCCTTTATACTTTTGCAGCATTAAGCACAGTGCTGTTTGTGATTAAGATATCAAGAATCAGGGCCAGGCATGGTGGCTCCTGCCTGTAATCTCAATGTTTTGGGAGGCCGAGGTGGGCAAATTACTTGAGGTGAGGAGTTAGAGACCAGCCTGGGCAACATAGTGAGACCCCATCTCTTTCAAAAAAGTTTTTTAATCACTGGGTGTGGAGCCACACACCTGTAGTCCTATTTACTCAGGAGGCTGAGGCAGGAGGATCTCTGGAGCCCAGAAGTTCAAGGCTACAGGGAACTGTGATCGTGCCACTACATTCCAGAAGAGGTGACAGAGAGAGATCTTGTCTCAAAAAAAAAAAAAAGAGAGAATCAATCAACAGATGAATAAATAGATCAAGTCTGGCTCATTCATGGAAAGACTCAGTGTAAAGGAATCTACTAAATAGACACAGGTAAGGCTTCCTACAGGAATCAACTTCTCCTGACCCGAAAACCCCAGAGTATCAGTGGCAGATCTTCACTTTACCCTCAACCAAATGACATTTGATAGACAGGATCAGGTGCTGGAAAATATGAGCCTCCATGGATCCTGTATCATACACTATCTATCTATGTCCTCTTATGTCTACATTTAGCTCATAATCTGCAATGCTATCCCCAGAGCTCCTAGGGTTATGTTTAGTACCACGGCTACTAGTCCCTATTAGGTTTAAATGGGATTGAGATGTAGGTTAAGTTGTAGTGAAGTGTCTGTTGTTTCAGAGAAAGAGTTTGGCCTCTGTGCATTTGACAAGTACGAGTGCACCCCCTTTCCTGTGATACGGGAATCAATGTAGAATATTCACAGCTACTACCACATTCAAGGAAAGATATTATAAGCCCTTAGGGCTTCAAGAACAATCAAGATATAAGTCTCCACTCTCAAAAGAGATTGCAGTCTAGAACTTGTGGTCAGCAAAGTGTCAGTTCACCAAAGAGTAGGAGTTCGGAAAAGGGAGTAAACATGTCAAAGGAAAAGGAACTTGAGTTGAGCACCAGTGTATACATGGGATTTAGTCAGTGAAAGAGGTTAGTTAGTGTGAGGTCATTCTAGGCTAAGGAAACTAAGAAAGCCACGTATAAAGGCAGGAATGTGCCAAACTCTTTAAGAAACAGTGTGAAAATCAATCATTTGCAAAACAGGTAAGTAAATGGATGGTTATTCACATAACAAGACTCACAGTAGCAGTCTCTTTAACAAAATTTGAAACCTATTACTACAGTCGTTTTAGAGGGTTGTTAGAAATCTACAGTTGTTTTAGGGAATTATTGGAAATCGGCACTGCATCTTTTAGGATTGCAGTATGAAGCTGCTTGTGAGGCTGCATTCATTGCTGAGAGCTGGAACAGTGCTTCTCGAATCTTAATACAAATATGAGTCATCCAGGGATTGTGTTAACATGCAAATTCTGATTCAATAGATAAGGGAGGTAGGTCCTGAAATTCTATATTTCTAACTAGCTCCTGACTGACATGGATGCTACTGGCCCATGAACCACACTTTTAGCAGCAAAGTGCTAGAACATCTTTCACTTTGTTGAAGAAATTCCTATCTATCATTACAGATATTTCATTAAACATTGTAGATGAGAGAATCCTTGGAAGAAAAGATTATATGTTGCAAAATGTATAAAAGAATAACGGTAATTAACTTTATCCCCTATATTGGTTCATACAGGGGCTGCTCACCATCAAATGTGTATTTCAGTCAGCACAACAATGTAGGACTTGTATGGCCTATAATAGGGATCACCAATCTACTGCCTATGGGCTAAATCCAGGCCCCCACTTGTTTTTATAAATAAAGCTTTATTGGAATACAGATACACCCATTCATTTACACATTGTCTATGGCAACCTTTATGCTACAATGTCAGAGTTAATTCATTGCCACAGAGACCACATGGCTCTCAAAATCTAAATTATTTGCTATCTGGCCCTTTTTTCTGTAACGTTTGCTGACTCCTGGGCCTGTAAGATTGAGGACATGATTTCTGAATGTCTTACTAGCTATGAATTTACACACTTAGCTGCCCTTTAAGTTTTCTGCCCTGAAACCCAAATGTTCACTTTCTGCCCTGAAATCCAAATGTCTAAGACAGTGTTTAGAAGAAATATAAAGTCCCCCCAAATTATCTTGTCCAGAAAATCCCTACATCATCTGACTAGTTGGAGAGATCATAGGAGATCTGAACCAAGAGGGCTTATATAAAACTCTTGGCAAATGCAAAACACTTTCAGCACATTTATATCCTTGGTGTTAGGTGTGATCTGTGAACGAATGGTGTGCTGGTTCAGGAGTAAATTCAAGCAAAGGCAACGTTAAACTGCAGGTATGTGGTTGTTTTCACCCATCCTGGAACCCAGATTAGAGTTTGGGGTCTGACCCATCTTACTTGATAAAAAGCTAATCCTTCTGGGAATCCTTGTTTCAGTGTCTATTCCAATCTTGTCATAGAATTATGAGAGCTTCAAAAACACAGGAAGTAAATCTCTGCTAACTACCTGGGGAATTTAAACTGTCCCAGAAAAGAGGCATTTTCCTGGATACTCTTCTAACCTGTTCCATTGGGCCTGGATTGGTAGATCATGAAGATCAAAAGGAAATTAGGAAGGATGCATGTGAAGGAGTGACAAGGGCAAAAGTAACGTGCCCTTAAAAGTTTGACATGAGGAAAGTAGAGGCCTCCTGAGAATTAAACTATAAAATCACCAGAAATGAATCATACTAAAAATATGAGAAGTCATGTTAAAGATTCAGAAAAGCACTTCCAGGCCTGTAAGACTTGACATTAATCCAGATGAAATTATTTGCGCATTTAAAGGGGGGAAAATGTGCCTGGCAACAGAAAAACTGCTCAGCAACAGAAGCCTGGAGTGGAGATGAAGATTTGAGAGTTAATATTTGTGGTACCCTTCTTTGCCCAGACCAGAGAAGAGGATGCTCAGGACTTGCCTCTTTGGGGATTTCGTCCTTCCTTTCTCCCTAACCTCTCTCCTTCTCTCCCCTCTCTAAAACTCCTCTTTCCCTTTCACCCATTCCCCTCTCTCCACCCCACTTTCTCTCTCTCATCTTCCCTTTTTCCTTTCCACAAATATGTATATAATATATATATTCCACATTAGGCCCTGTGCTGTACAGTCTGGGAATATAATATGGAAAAAAAATGGACATGATCTCCACTCTCAGGCAGCTCAGAAATCTAGTGGAGGAAGCAGGCATTAATCAAATAATGGTACATAGAAATGCATAATTGCTCTAAGTAATGCATGAGGTAAATGCTATAAAGCAGTAGCACAATGCAACCTTAGGGTCTTTGGGCTTGCTATTTCTCTTATCTAGAATCTGCTTTTCCTAGATACCCTTAAGGCTATCTCCTTACTTCCTTCAGGCCTCTGCTCAAACATCATTTATCAGTGGAACCTTCCCTGATAACCCTGTATGTAAAACAGCAACTTCCTCCTTCCTCACATCTCTTGTGCCATTTATATTTTCTCCAACATATTTATTACTTTCAGATATTACATATATGTATATATTTTATATTTTCTTTTGGTGGTTGTTCTTTTTTGTATGGCTCTGTTCATGGAAGGAAGGAATGTTAGCTTCATGAGAACATGGACTTTGCTCTGTTACATTACTAGTATCTATAGTAGACACAGATACATGTTTATTAAAAACATGAATAAAAATATATCTGATCTTAAAGTGTTATTACTCATTTGTTAAAAGAGTAATAGGAGTTAACTAGGATAAGGAAGAGGAAAGCCATTGTAGGAAGAGAGAAGCAGGTCAGACCTTGGAGACTAAAGGCAAACCATGAAGCTAGAGGGAAGACGAGGCAAAATCATGTCAGACTTTACGGAACAAGTTATTTTTTCCACTTTTATTTTAGGAGCAGTTCAAAACCATGGAAGGTCTTAAACTGAGAGATGACATGTTCAGATTTTCATTTTCTCAGATTAAATTTTTTAAATGTCATCCTGGCTACCAATTGGATGGTGGATCAGAGGTATCAGAAAAATGCCATAAAGCGTTTGAATCATACAGCAAACTTCCCTTTCTCTGATTCCATGCTCACTAAACTCTTAACTGATTCGAATTTGGCTTTCTGAAATTTGACAAAGAGAGACCATGACATGTGCTTTCGAATGTACATGAAGGATACGTGAGTCAATAGAAAGCAGTAAATGCATATTCTGTGTTTCCTGTCAGTCTCTTCAAACTCAGGTTCTGTGAGACTCTCCTGTGAGATAGATCCTGCCTCTGCGAGCTCACATGCCAGGTTTCTAAAGCAATAAAGCTGAGGGTCAGCCCTTAGGTCTCATCCACCAGGCTAAATTAAATGTCCATCTTGCAGTGCCTCGGCAGCCCCCCAGAGAGCCTGCCCTGATAAATCCCCAAACTCAAACCTTGCTGTCCACTCAAGTCTTTGGGCTACTAAGCAGAAAATCACTGTTGAATTCTGAAACAGGCTTTTGAGGGCTTACATGAAATTCCGAACCAATGCAAAACCTATCTTAGCTGGTGGCTGACCTCAAAGAATGAGCAGTTATGCACAAGGAAATGCAGTGGTTTGGCAACTCTGAATTTTGGGGGAGCAACTCCAAATGAACATCTATAAAGATCATTATTTGAAATGATAACAAGGTAACAAATAAGGCATTTGTTTGAAAGCAAATAAAACTAGTCACTTTGAGGTTCTGCTGAACTCATTTGGAAAGAAATTTGCCTGCTGAAAATGTGAAACGCAGCCAATGAACCAACCATACCCATTAAAGGACTAAAAGGGATTTCCAAACAATGAAGTGCAAATGAAACTTCGGAAAAGTCAACAGCTTGTTCCCTTAATACAACCCCATTCCACCAGGTTTTTTTCTATCTAGACATCTGAAGAGCCCAGCCATCACACAGCTTCCCAGATGCCCCCACACCCACTCCAAATATCGCTCTAAAACCAAATTTTTCCAGGTTGGCAGTATAACCACATGGTCTCCCATACAAAGTAAATAAAACAACATTATTTCCACATGTCATCCTTGACATTTACTTCTGTGCTTTTTTTTTTTTTTTTTGACTTCTAGTTTCTAAAGAAAAAAGTCACTTCCTCCAGGATTCGGTGTTAAGGACAAAAAACCAAACAGCACATGTTCTCATTCATAGGTGGGAATTGAACAATGAGAACACTTGGACACAGAAAGGGGAATATCACACACCGGGGCCTGTTGTGGGGTGGGGGGAGGGGGGAGGGATAGCATTAGGAGATATACCTAATGTAAATGACGAGTTAATGAGTGCAGCACACCAACATGGCACATGTATACATATGTAACAAACCTGCACATTGTGCACATGTACCCTAGAACTTAAAGTACAATAAAAAAAATTTAAAAAAAGACATTAATTCTACTCCTAGCTTTGTTACTAACTAGCTATGAGACCTTGAAAAGGATCTGAGCTATAGTACATGACATTTATTTGTTTATTCATTCAACAGCCTTTGATACTTTACACAATGCCAGGCCCCATGCTATGTTCTTAAGAAATAAGGTAAATAAGAGAAATCCTTTTATAAGCTGTTCCAAGTTCCTTGGGGACAAAAAAAGCATTGCAACAACAGCAACACGCTGTTGCAGAAATATGCACAGAGCATTAAGTGGGCTTAGAGGACAATGCAACTCTGCCCAAGGGAAGCTGGAAATCCATCCAAGAGGAAGTGGCAGCTGAATTAAGATTTAAAAGAAGAGTTGGAGTTCACCAGGGAAGTGGGGCGGGCCTCCTCTGGGGATGGAGGATATTCCAAGCAAAGACATAGCATGAGCAATGACATTGAAGTAAGAAAACAAATGTTTTTTTGAAGGAAACTGTAAATCTTCAAGAGAACCAAGGTTGCTATGAGTTGTGCAGGAGAAGAATGAACAGAAGATAAGGGATAGGGCATTGTGCCTTATACTGCCAGGCCTCTGACCGTATCCACTCAGTACTCATTGTTCCCATACATGCTGACTACTCTTTCTGCCAGCACTAGTGAATCTTTTCCAGAGTGCTTTCTCTGATCTCAGGAGCATTTTCTTCCTATTCACAAGGTGGACTGAAGTACTGAGGTGTTGAAGCCACACACCAATGATGAATGGTAGTTGGTTGATAAATACTCAACAAGCTCAGCCTCTGAGACAGTTTCTACATGGTGCCCTATAATTCCCAGTGTGCTCATAAGCACACATATTAGCTTTCTTCCCTTCCCTGTCTCACCTCTCCACTTGCCTAACATAGCTTCCTAGGATCATTCCCTGATATGGTTTGGCTGTGTCCCCACCCAAATCTCATCTTGAATTGTAGTTCCCATAATCCCCGTGTGTCATGGGAGGGACCCAGTGGGAGGTAATGGAATCATGGAGGCAGTTACCCTCATGCTGTTCTTATGATAAGCAAGTGGGTTCTCACAAGACCTGATGGTTTTAAAAGGGACTTTTCTCCCTTTTGCTTGGCATGTCTCCTTCCTGCCACCATGTGAAGAAGGATGTGTTTGCTTCCCCTTTCACCATGATTGTAAGCTTTCTGAGGCCTCCCCAGCCATGCTGAAGTATAAGTCAATTAAACCTTTTTCCTTTATAAATTACCCAGTCTTGGGTATGTCTTTATTAGCAGTATGAGAATGGACGAATACACTCCCTAAATAAATAAATAACTTGCACTGAAATCTTTGTCTTACTTTGGGGTTTCCCTTAAAGATTTCAGTACAAGTAATTTATTTGGCACGTGTACAGCATGTGCTGCATCACAATTACTAAGATGTTCATCTCCTGAGGGTTGGGATGAAATGCGGGTAGAAGGCTTAGGCATTAGCTCTAGGATTTTAAAGACAGGAATGCAATATTAAGCATAAAAATGAAGTTGTCTGTGTTGTTTTAATGGCAACAGAAAACTTGAAAATACAATGACAGATCAGCCAACTATCAACTCAGGGCATAATGTGAAAGGTGGCGCGACTCCATGGCAGCATGAAGAGACTTAATTTCCTGCAGCTTGAAGGCAGACTATGGCTGAAAATAACACCCAAAATCTGATTGTAAAAATGACAGAGTTAAAAAGGAGGCTAAATTCACAGCTCTGGCAAGACCCTTATGTGAGAGTTCAGGTCCTAAAAGGAAGGAGTGGGTTCTTGAGAACAGGAGTGAGAATATTTGGTGAATCTGCTTGAGAACAAACTCAGATTCCCCTCACCCTTCTGGGCTGGCAGAAGAGGCTGCCTCCACATGGATAAAGAAGAGCATCCCTCCATGGCCTGGAAACCATGCAAAGTCCTTCATTTGAGACAGACTCATTGTAAGATAATCTTGGCTTCTTCAGGATCTGCCTTTATCTTCCCTCATTGTTTTGAGAAGAGTGAAAAATATATTTGACTAATTAGAAAATTTATTGTTAATTAACTTTTAGCATATGTGTGGTTCTTACTGTATACACTTAAAAGAACTCTTATACTTTTAAGTGTTTTATGTGAACTCACTGAATTTTAAGATAGATTTCATTATAAAGATTTATGCCCCTCTGTTTTACTTATTTTGCAAAGGTAGAAAAGGGACAAAGATAAACACAGTCTTAATAAGTTGATTTTTCAAATAGGGTAGTGCAATTATGTCAAATATATAGAACTTTCAATCACTGCAGAAAATACTTTTGGATAGCAGTGGCTCTAGACATATAGGTTATATAGGACCAAGTCACAGCATGGCCCAAGCAGAGACTTATTGAAATGGGAAACAAGACCAAAATGGCAACCATGATCCTTGAGCCACAGGAATCTAAGGTGACTGCTAATAAACCATGCATGTGCCAAAGGTAAGGTAGATGGACAGCTAACAAGAATAAAGCTTAACTCATATACCAAAAATATAAAGACAAAAATATGACTCTCAAAACTCAATAATAACTTTCAAAACAAACCAATAAAACAGTGTACAAAACATTTGAACAGATGCCTTGCCACGAAAGAAACCCAGAAGGCAAATAAGCACTTGAAAAGATGATCAACATAATTAGTCATTAGGGAATATAAATTAAAACCACAAGGAGATACCACCACACACTTACTAAAACAGCTAAAATTAAAAAGACTGACCATACAAAATGTTGGAGAGGATGTGATGGAACTGGAACTCTCACAGAACAACCACTTTAGAAAAAAACTGGTGATTTTTTAAAAAGTTAAGACACACCTCTCATGTCATGCATCCATACACTCCTAGGTGCTTACTAAAGAGAAAAGAAAGTATATGTCTGTACAAAAACTTGTATATGCATTTTTAAAGCAGCTTTATTCATGAAAGCCAAAAACTGGAAACAGTCTATATGTCCATCAACAGGTGAATGGATAAACAAAGCATAGGATATCCTCATAGTGAAATATACAGGCTAATGAATAAACAAAGCATGGTATATCCTTATAGTGAAGTAGCAATGAAAAGGAGTACATTATAAGTAATATACAACATAGATGACTTTCAAAATGTTTACACTGAGTAAAAGAAATGGGGCTATTTCTACCCTCATACAAAGAGCAGAATTGCTTTCGCTTGCTACAAAAGCAGTAACTCCCCAAGCTCAGTGTTCCTCAACCATGTTGCAAACCTACCGTGTGTGCAGCATCTACTCGGGCCTCTCCACATCATTCCCATATGATTTTGAACAGTGGTAGTGGCAGGGATAGAGGCTATGCATGGACACAACAGCATGGTTTCCCACTCACCAAGGCTAATGTAGTAATCCCTACTGTCAAATATTTAACTTGTTGGCTAATGCCAACAGGTTGGGATACTAACACTGAGCCCTTGATATAGTACCATTCCTCAAGGAAACCAACCAGCCATTTGTTGGTAAGTCAATGATATCTGTCTCCACTCTAAAAGTGTAGTGAATCATCCTGAAATTGATAATATATTCTGGTTATGAATTTTCCTTCTCTGCCTGTAATATCTTGGTCAGCATCATTATTTAATGGTTTAGAGACTGTCTATTTACTGAGATCCCATATAATATCCCCTCAGACAAATGACTCACTTTAAGACAAAGGAGACGTGAAATGGGCATGTGATGATGAGACTAACTTTTCCTACCAATACTGCATTATCTGGAAGCTGCTGGCCTGATAGAATGTTGGAATAGCCTCTAGAGATGTAGTTAATACACCAGCTTAGGGATTAACCTTGCAGAATTGGAGTGCTGTTCTTCAAGATATAGTATATGGTTCTAACCAATGGTCATTATGTAGTGTTCCATTTCTAACAGAATACCAGAATCTGGGAACTCAAGGATGAAACAACTACTTCCAGTGATCTGCTAAGGGAATTTGTGCTTCGCATTTCCACAACTTCAGATTCTACTGGTCTCCATGGGGAGGCACTTTTGCCAGCAGACAGTAAAGGTCCTTTTAATCCTAAAGCTGTACCTGCTGCCTGATCATTTGGGGCTTTCTATTGACAGGAACCACTGAAAGTTTCTATATTGTCAGCAGTAGCTAACCCTAGGAAGCATGAGAAGGTTACTGCTATGGAGTTGGAGTAGTAGAGAGAATTGTGTGGAACTTAGGGGATTCACTGGGGCATCTCTTGCTATTTTCCGACTGTTGATAAACGTGAACCATCAATTCCAGAAGCAACAGACTGACTAGGGCCAGTAATAAGGACGCTGACCCTCTCAGGGATAAAGGTCTGGATTACTCAATAGGCCAAGCAACCTAGAAAAGCAGAAGTTTTGGATGAGGATGAGGGAAATCTAGATGGATGGTATAGGAAGGAGACGATAAGTATCAATAGTGGCTTCAGGACCATCCACAGCAGTGGGTACTGTAACTTATGCCACTAAATCTCTTTTTATTTTTTCTTCCAAGAAATTGTAATAATCCACTATAATGGAGAACCAGTAAGGGAACAGAATAAACTTAATATGGGGCACTAGTAGATATCAGAGGGCAAAGGAAGAGTCCATCTGGTGGGCTAGTAGATATCAGAGGGGAAAGGAAGCAATTCCACCTGGTCTCACAGAAGCGCCCTCAGCCTTGAGCACAATTGCCTTGCAGCAGGAAGCTTCTCATCGATCAGTCTTATGTTATCTTCCTTCCCCTCCTCTCATTTTCCCACTAGATGAGGAATGCCAAAGAGTATATGAGGAAAGTCGAACTGGATGATTTCCACATTCACTTTTATTTTAAAGTTCTGTACTTTGAAAACCAAATATGAGACTCAACCCCTTTGAGATGTTTCCCCTCATGAGCCCCATATCAAATTGAGCACATCTTAGTTCTTCTGCTTCTCAGTACTGGCAGTTTGGATGACAACTTTAATTCAGATTTACTTTACTTTCCAGTTGTGGAGTCCCAGTGTGGTCTCCCCAACTAGATGCCTCGTCAAACCATATCATCTAAAGTAGTTAGTTTCTAAGTATTTTATCCTCAAAGTAATAATAATAACTTCACCCAAGTACTCACAACAACCTTGTGAAGTAGGTTCTATTATTATTGTTCCTATTCTGTAGAAACATGAACTAAGACTTGGGGATATTAAGTTATTTCCCCAAGGGCACTCGGCTTGTAAGTGGAAGCAGCAGGCTTTGAACTCAGACACTCTGTCTTCTTAACCATTATCCTCTACCACTTCTCAAGGACTATTTTTAGTCATGTTTTTCCTTTATGGAAACCTTTTTTGAAACATTTGTCTGTATAAACTAATTATATATGAATTACCAAATTTTATTAAATAATAAATTCCTTTTCTTTTTTAATTAACCAAAGATGTATAGAATTTCCAACCATAAACTTGAACAAGCTAGTATAATAACTAGAATATAATCTCTATAACAGCTATTTGTTGAATGAATGAAAAAGCTTAGCTTATATAATTCCAGCGAAAGTTAAATACACTTGATATTTAAGTTAGCCTCTGCAACTTGGACAGGGGTATTTTCGTGTTAAGTTATTCCAGATATAAAATATCAAAAACAAATTCAACAAACTTCATTGTCACCTGCTGGACTCTAAGTGGGCTAAGGATTCCAAATGTTTCCTTATCTGCTGAACTCTTTCTGGGGGGGTTTGCAGAAGAAGTGGCTGTTGTTGTTTTGTTTTGTTTTGTTTTGTTTTGTGTTTTTGATCTTTTTCTTCTATTGGAAAGCCCCAAGACTCCTTTGCAAAACAAAAAACTGATTCCTCAGGAATGGTTCAGCTACAGTGGTAAGGAATAGAGCACTCAATCTCATTTGGACTACTCCTGATATACTGATTTCTCTGGTTTCACACTTGTCCCCATATGTCACAGTTATAATTATCACTTAAAAATACAAATCAGATCCTAGCACTCTCCTACACAAAACCCTTATGGGGCTGCCAATGTTTACGTTAAATTAAATCTCAACTTTTTACCATGGCTTATAAGACTCCGTAAGACCTATTTTCCAAGAAAAATACTATATGCTTCTTTTTTTCCCTTGGAAAACTGAACAATCTCCAGAAAATCCGTGAAATTTGGTGGATCTTCCTATTGAAATGTGTCGCTCACCATTCAATCATCTGATAGTAGTCCACCAATCCAATCTCAGACACAGAACTCTCAATTGGTCTCTCGGTGCCTCACACTTGAGTAGGAACTGACAGCTAAGGATCAGCAGGTGTTTTAGGAAGGCTTCCAACATGAAAGAAAAAGACTCAAGCAGGCAAACAAACAGAAATAAATCCATACTTAATAGCCTCACAATTAACAAAGGATAATTAAATTTTTTTGCATCCAAATAAGAAGAGGATTCCATGAAAATAAAGAAACAAGTAGCAAAGAAGAAATCACTCCTGGTAATTTAAACTAGCCAAAATAAAACACTCAATAGGAGGTTTAGAAGAAGGCATCAAGAAAATCTCTAGGAAAGTACGCAAAAGGACCAAGAGAAAATAGGAAAGAAGAAAGAAAAACAGGAAAGGAGAAATAGAGGGTCAAACAGGAAGTTTAACATCTCTCTAGTGTGGGTAGCAGGGAAACTAAAAATACATAGAAGTGATAAATTTATCAGAGAAGGGATATAGCAAAATTCCCCAGAACTGAAAAGGAAATCTCCAGAAATAAATGGAAAGAAGGACTATAAAAGAGGTAAATCTTGACTTACCTCAACACGGGCAGTTAATAACTAATGTCTAAAGTTAACAAACCAAGAAACAGCAGTATAAGCATGTTATTTAGAAACTCGGAGGTAAATACCCAAATCAATAGGTATGAGGGTTGAAATGAATCCCTCTGAGAAGAGAATCTGAAGGATAAGGTAGAATAGGGAAGAGTAAAGCAAAGGAGTGCTATTTATGTATATATATAAAAAATTATATGTACTCTTTGGTATCTTAAAATATGCACATGTATTACTTAGACTAAAATATAGAAATAAAGCTACAGTACATAAACTATGTAATAAATATTTTTTTTCCAAGGCATGGTTTTTGTCCTGGAAATTTTGGCCTTTTGGCAGCACCTTTCAGGAATATTTTCCTCACAGTATTCCTTTCAAACTGATGTGCTTAACGTTATTTGTGATATCGTCCTGATGTGAGTTTTATGGAAGTGATCTGAGGACCATGCTTTGGGAAACTGGTCTATTCCAAAGGATTCCCTGCAATTGCAAGCATTACAGCTCAGCTAGGGGTACTGCAAGGCAATTTAAGGAAAAAACAAACAAAACCAAAAACAAAATAGTTAAGTGTGACTTTAGTCTTTTTCTTTGTCCTATATCTTCCATGTCAATTGTGGAATTCGTTGTGATTATCAGAAGTGCTGGTTGAGTATTCAGGCCCCGGGGTACCCTCATTTCTCCTATCTATTCCTTATAGATATGGCTTACCGCATCCAACACAGTGGTTTGCCCAGTATTAATAACTAAGAAGGTACCTAATAGTTAGGGAAAGAAGGAAGAGACAGGAAGAATGGGATAGAAAAAAGATATGCAGGACATAATCAATTTTTTATATCTGAAATGCTGTACAATGAACAACAGTAATTAGTTGGTGGTTGGCTCTACATATAGAATGTAATTTAATTGTTTTGACTGTTATAATAAAAGACTTTCAATCTATAGTTATTGTGCATCTAAGCTAATGACCAGCACAAGATATAGAAAGAAAAATATCATAAGCATTGACTAATGTCCATAAGTACTTTAAATTCTCCTCTGGGATACAAAGTTGACACACATGAAACAAGCAAGCGTGTAGCTATTATGTGATGTGATTTGGGCAGGAAGTACAAAATAAGTCATTGCTTCTCAAACAGACCAGAAATTATTACTTGAGTAATAAAACATGTATGCTACCTATATTGTAGCACTTTTCATGTATTCTTTTACATACTATGCATAACTGCTTTGTAAGTAATTATTATTACTGCCTCCATATTAAGAAAGACTTGGAGGAATTACATATGTCGGATTCACACAGCCAGGGTGGTGATGTAATTTTAACTGATTCCGGACTTAGGTCGGCTCACTTATTGTTCTAAAGAGCAGATAACACACGGAGAGGTGCAGAAGAGAGGGAAAGCCATCAAAAGTGAGAAAAGAGAATCCGAGCTGGGATGGGTACAGGAGGATGCCCCGCAGAGTCAGTGCTGAGAAACAACTGACTGGGAGGGAGCCTGGACTCAGGCATTTACGGGCTTTGGAGCCAGACAGAGTGAGATATAAATTACAGCTCTGTATCTTACTGACCGTACGAAAGAGCAGGAGAGGTCTCCAGCCTCTGTTTCCTCATCTATAAAATGGGATAACTGCTTCTAAGGTCTGTTGTGAGATTTCAATGACACAATTTCTATTTTTAAAGAGCATCTCTCATAAATTCTTATTTCTCTTTTTTTTTCTGATTGGAGTAGAGTATGATTGATGGTAGAAAATAGTGGTGGGTTGTTGGTCACAAACACTGTCATTCAAAACAATCACCTGCACAAAAGCAGAGCTGTACATTCTTCACTGGATTTTGACAGGTTCCTCGGTTGTTTTATTTTGACCAGTTCAAGTCAGTCCAAACAGTTCGTGCAGTTCTAGGAAACAAGCTGAGTTTGGCCTGTGCATTTTGGCATCCTGAACCACAGGATCATGGTGGGGAGGGGGAGAGGAGGGAGGATGGAAAAGTACCCGGCAGTGCCTCCTGAATCCAACTTCCTGCTGGCGAAATCCACCTCTCGCTGACTCTGAGTCACCAACAGCATGCCTTCCCTCCCCTGCGGCCCATCCGCCCATTAGGCCCGGCAGCTCCCCTCCTAGGCTGACTTCCCTCGCTTGCTCCCACACGTGTGCTCAAGGTGGAGGCAACCCTAATGAGGAAACACGAGGCAGCTGCTGTGACAGGCGTTTCTTCCTTGGCCAGCAAAAGGAGGCCTGCAGCAGCCTCGCCTGCAGGGCCTGCTGGCCCACTGCCTTGCAGGTCACCCCTCAAACCCAGGCTCCCCTCAGCTCTGTAACCTGGAGCTCGCCCTTAGGATGGGGAACCATAGGAATTCTAGGCTGGGATCATAGACCCCAAAGGCACCAGAGCAGCCTCCGTGGTGAGGAGAAACCCTTAGACACTTGCTGTTGGGACTTTTCTCATGTATTAACACACCAGGAGACCTGAATGCAGTGTGATATGATGAGCATCAGGAAGATGTTTCCTGCAAACTCTTCTTGAAGCTACTGTCCCTCAGCCTGATATCAACATTCTCTATAATCTGCCTTTTCAGTCCAGTTTCCAAAATGGCCCTCTGCTCTAGCACAGCGTTCATTATGAACTTGACTAGTCTATCATGACTGCCCTCCAGCACTTGATAGAAACACAGACTGCAAGATTCTGATTCAGTAGATTGGGGTGGGGCTCAGGGATTCTGTGTATAAGAAAGACCTTAGATGATTCTCCTGATCCAGCAATATGGGGAGACGGCACTGGCCCAGTGGTTTTCAGTGTTCAGGATGGGCAGTCCTAAGGCTCGGTCGAGGTGCCTCAATGGTCACTTTAGAAGAGGGTAGCAGTTGAAGCAAGGGGAGCTCAGAATCTCAAAAATCATCCCTGTCATGGGTTGAACTGACAGGTTGAATAAAATATATGTTGAGTTCTAACCCCAGATTGCTGTGAATGTAATGTTATTTGGAAAGAGTTATTGCAGATGTTATTTGTTAAGATTAGGTCATATAGAATTAGAGTGTACCCTAAATTCAATATGACTGTGTCCTAATAAGAGGAGGAAGTAGGAGATTTGGATGCAGTTACACACAGAGGCACAAGAAAGAAGGCCATGTGAAGACGGAACAGAGATTGGAATCAGATTGCCACAAGCCAAGGAGCACCAAGAATTACTGGAAGTCACCAGAGACTTGGAGAAGTGAGGAAGGGTTCTTCTCTAGAGCCCTCAGAAGGAACATAGCCTGATTAACACCTTGATTTCATACACAGCCTCCAAAACTGTGAGAGGATAAATTTATATTGCATTAAGCCACCAAGGTTGTGGTAATTTCTTATGGCAGCCCTAGGACATTAATACATTCCCTCTGGTTGTCTTCTATCACACACAAACACACACACATGCACACACTCACACACACTTTAATTAGAACAGCTTTGTTATTTTGATTTATGTTATATTTTGGAGTTCAGCATAACCTTTCATTTGGCGAAGGAAAAAAAGGAGTTTTATTACTAACCAAAATTTGAAAATCTATCACTTTAGCCAGACTGAACCATGACTTATTCCCCAGGCATAACCTGAAGTTTTTTGATGCTATAATTGTACTCACAGCATTCTGTATATCTGGGCACTTTACCTACTTTCCTCCTGTTAAAATATCTAACCATGAAGCTCAGCTTCAACATGATCTCCTTCACTAAGTCATTCCTGATATCCCTGCAATTACATGTGACTTCTTTGGCTTCTGAATTCCAACTGAATTTTGGATCTTCTCTCAGAGCATCTATCTTATTCAACATTGTACTTTAGCTGCATGGGAAATGTCTTGGTCTCCATTTTGACTGCATCTTGGGTTCTGTGTTTTATCCATTTTTGTATCCTGTTCCCCACTCTGACCCAGTGCTTTCTAGAGTATCTTTCACAGTGCAACGGTTATTCAGTGATCATTTAATCAACAGAAGCTTGTGGGAAAATTTCACAAAAGGCCCTACTCATTTGGATTACTTGTGTTTTGTAGGTGTGATTATAATCACATGATAAAATAAAACTTTTGCAATGTTTCTTAACTAGATATTAATTTCAAATTCCCAAGCACTTTTTTCCCCCAAATATGCCTAGCCCTCAGAAAGTTTCCTTAGGCCATATTCTTTGCTAAGAAATGGCTTGTTTTATCTTACTTTAAAAATGGATATTTAATTTCATCCTAATAATCCAGGACAATGGGTTCTTACCATAGAAATCATGCAAGTAATAAAAAATGTTAATCCAAAAAATAATAAGATTGCACCTGAATTTCACAATATGTTTATTATAGTTTGATATACACTAAACTCAACTTTCTTAGTCCACTTTCATACTGCTATAAAAATACTTGAAACTGAGTACTTTATTAAAAAAGCGGTTTAATTGACTCAGTTCTGCATGGCTGGGAAGGCCTCAGGAAACTTACAATCATGGCAGAAGGTGAAGGGGAAGCAAGGCAATTCTTACATGGTGGCAGGAGAGAGAGGGTGCAGGGGAAACTGCCACTGTAAAACCATCAGATCTTGTGAGAACTCCCTCAGAAGATCTGAGAACTCCCTCACTATCATGAGAACAGCATGGGAGAAATCACTCCCATGATCCAATCACCTCCCACCAGGTCCGTCCCTCAGCACACTGGGATTACAATTCAAGATGAGATTTGGGTGGGGACCCAGAGCCAAACCATTTCATCAGTCAACCAGAATCTAGCTTACTAGATTTTTCAATCTGATGTATTTGCTTCTCATATTTAGGAGACAAGAGTCTGATGATCATAAAAGATACTCTCTTAGGGTTCTTATGTTAGCTTCCAGAATATGTTTCTGTTTCAACCTGCAGTCATCTCAATCTGTTTCAGGTTCAATGGCTACCTTTAATGTTCCTTGAATGTTACAAAGCAGGGTCCTTATCTTAATCATCTTTAAGATATCCACACCCACCGTAAAACCTGCTATACTACAATTACTCAGTGAAAAATCTATTGAATGGATAAAGAAGCCCTATTAATCCAAAGAAATCTTGCAGCGTAGCAAGATTTTCAAGTATCCATTAGAGAGGCAGAAAATGAAATTTAGACATTTGTGAAGCAAGATAAACAATTAAACAAATAATCAGAAAATATAACTGTCCGGAATCCCACAAGCTTCAGACATCTGATTATTTCAGATTTTCTGTTACCTAAAGATAAAGAAGGAAACTCCAAAAGGCCTCCCTATGTGGAGAACACTGTTTTACACCAGCGTGCTACATAAAGAAAAAGAGGTCTATTCTGGTCAGTTGGCTGACAGCACTATTTTTCAGGTATCAACAATATTCTGTATTTAGTCATCAAACGATCTCCATCAGGTTACCACGTCCTGGTGCTATTCTATTTTCATAAGTGTTCTTTCGTCACCAACACATTTTCATCCTTCTTAATATTTCCAATGGCATCACTGCACTCCACTAACGTAAAAAAACAAGCAATCTAAAAATTACCCTCTGCTGTTTCCCACTCATCCACAGAGAGTGAAGTTGCCATTTATGGACACTTGCTGTTGCCATGTTTTTCAGAAAGTTTGCCATTCCACAAGCTGTTTTTAGCCCCCATACCCACGACACTTCTACAGGCATTTAGTATTTCTTTATCTGACGCTTTTCCAAGGCAATACCTCCGCCTCCTCATTGAATCATGCGGGCTGTCTCTTAATCAAATGATATTTTTTGAAGTGTTTCCTCACTGGAACCCACAAGGTTGTTTCTCATATTTTCCCCCACACCTGCTTTGTATACTAACCTAGGGAGGACTACTTACGTGGTTTATTGTCTTTTTTGGAACAGAAACACGATATTTGTCATTTTCCTATTCTCCACAATCTGGCCCAACAGTTGAAAGTGTCTAAAAATATCAACTAATACTTCGTTATTTTCATGCTCTCCAGAAAATAATATATTTTCTCTGTTTGTATCTGGTGTTCTATAACAGCTTGGTCAGAATCAAAACTCTGTGGTGCCATAAAAACAGCTTGAAAATTAGTAGCAGAAAGATGGATTTAAATCCCGTTGATCAGAGATGTGACTTTGAGTACAAGGGCATATAAACCTCAATATTCTTGCCCACAAAATGGGGATACAAAAATTTAAATAACAAAGTTGGGAAAGAGTTAAATGAGATAATTGTTCTGCAGTTCACATATCTAACACACTGCCTGACACATGTTAGGGAACCAACAGTGTCTCCAAATATAGAAATGTCATAACTGTGGCAAGATGGTAGAGCAGGTACCTGTGCAGAGGGTGGCTGTTCACCACCCATGATATCTTAGTATTAAGATAAAAAGAAATTACTAAAATTAGAAATGGAATTCTTCTTAAGATGAAGTAGTTTTTGTTTAAGAAAAAAATCTTGATACATCTCTTAGAGAGTAGCAGTTGAAACCTATCATACAATAGCAGAAAGCAACAAAAATGTAGCTTAACTATTCAGCAAGATGAAGGAACCGAAATTTGGAGATGGGAGAAAGCAGATAAGTGAAAACAGAAAAGAGAAAAATGAAGACGGCAGAGCGTCATGGTGAGAGATTAGAGTCTAAGTTAGCCAATGTGTTCAAGGGAATTTTTAAAGAAGAAAAATGGGAAATGTCCAATGATCAACTTTAAGCTATTGTTTTAATGATATATCATCCTCCTCCATATCCTCAAAGCCTAACTCTTACATAAAGTTCTGGAAGAATGTTTCATCACTCAGGTTTTGTCCTGCAATGGCTATGGACATCAAGCAGTGAAGATAGAATTCTCCTTCTGAGGTAACATGACAGGGAGAACACATGTGAGGTGGTGAAATAATCCATTTGTAAGTAGAAGAACTTGGATTTGGAGAGAACCATGAGAATATAAGCCCCTGGAAGATTGCAGAAAACTTAGAGAAAGTAAGGTCCTTTCCATAGGACAGGAGAAGGGGGCTCCAGCACTGTTATCTAGACCAGGGTTGGCAAACTTGTCTTCCAAAAGGCCAGATAGTAAATCACGTAGGCTTGTGGGACATATAGTTTCTGTTGCATCTACTCAACTCTACATCATAGCAGGAAAGCAGCCATAGACAATGTGTAAACAATGGAGTTTGATTGTGCGTCAATAAAATTTTATTTACAAAGACAAGCACTTGGCTGGATTTGGTCCATGGACAGTAGTTTGCCATCTGCTGATCTTGACCAGGGTTCAGCAAACTACCTTCTAAAGACCAAGTATAGTCCCCTGCCTATTTATGGCCCCGTGAGCTACAAAATGTATTTCACTTTTAAAAATGATTACATTAAAATGATTATATAAGTACTTACATAATATCTACTATTTTGCTTCTTGCACCAAAAGGCCTAAAATATTTACTATCTGGCATAACCTTAAGAAAAAGGTTATGCTACGGATTGAATAATTGTATCACCCCAAAATGAATATGTTGAAATCTTAACTCCCAATGTGATTGTGTTAGGAAGTGGGGGCCTTGGGGAGGTAATTAGCTCGTAAAGGCTAACCCTCATCATGGGATTAATGCCATTACTGAAGAGGGAGAGGCATGAGATCTTGCTTCCTCTCTCTGTTCTCCATCATGTGAGGATGTGAGAAGACAGCCATTTGCAAACCAGGAAGAGTGGCTTCACTAGACACATGATTTGCCAGTGCCTTGCTCTTAGACTTATCAACCTCCAAAACTAGGAGAAATAACTTTATGTTGTTTATAAGCCACCCATCTGTGGTATGGGTATAGTTTGGGCATAGTGTCCTGAACTAAGGCAATTTGCCAACACCTGTTCTTAACCATAACAGCCAGTCGATACCTGTATTATACTGTTTTTCATACTGCTATAAAGAAATTCCTGAGACTGTAATTTATAAAGGAAAGAGATTTAATTGACTCACGGTTCAGCATGGCTAAGGGAGCCTCAGGAAACTCACAATCATGGCTGAAGGTGGAGGGGAAGCAAGGCACCTTATTCACAAGGCAGCAGGAAGAAGTGCCGAGCAAAGGGGGAAGAGCCTCTTTTAAAACCATCAGATCTCTTGAGAACTCACTCACTATCAGGAGAACACCATGGGGGATACAGCCCCATTATTCAATTACCTCCACCTGGTATCTCTCTTGACACGTGGGAATTATGAGGATTATAGGGACTACAATTAAGATGAGATTTTGGATGGAGACACAGCCAAACCATATCAACACCTGAGTTCCATGTACATTAGACAAGAATTTCTGTCCCTTTTGTTAAGGCCCAAAGTTGACATCTGAAGGAAAACATGAAGAAAAAAATTCTTGTTAACTCTTAAATATTCTCCAAAAGCCATCTCTACATATCAGTAAAAGAGGCCAGTATATACACAGTTACAAAAGCACGTAACCTGGAAGTCTTCATTAACTGTCTCTAGAGCCCTCATTTAAGGATCCACAAAGACCTGTCAGTTATATTTTGAAAATATCTACCCTAATCCAAGTTACTAAAATTATCATTGATATTATCCTAGTCCATGCTATCATCCACCTCTCACCTAGATAACTACCACAGCCTCCTTCCTATTCTCTTCCTGCTTTTCCTCTCACTCCCACCACCATATAGTCCATAACAGAAGTTGGAGAGGTATTTTTTTAAATTTAAGTTCCATGTTACCCCTTTAAGTAAAGTCCTCCAATAATAGTTCCCCTATTTCATTTAGAATAAAAATCTAAACTCTTGACCATGGCCTGCAGCGTCCTGAAAGATCTGTCCCCTATATGCCTCCCAAACATCAAATGATGTGATCTGAGCCCATTTCACTTGGTTCTTGTCTCCTTTACCTTCTCTCAGTCTCTAAGACTGGGCAAAGCTCTTTTTCAAAACAAGCTATTTGGGCTTTGCTTTTTCCTCTGCCTGAAATAATTTTCTCCTGGATTTTCACATGTATGACATATTTTCATCATTCAGTTCTCAAATATCACCTCATCAGAGAAGGCTGTCATATCTCTCTAAAGTTGATCCTCTACCCCATTATTCTGCATCCCACACCTTGTTTAATCTCATATAATGAATTTACCTCATTAGTAAGCTCCATGCATACTATGAATTGCACCTGGCACAGTGCTCAGCACTCATTAGTAAGCACTCATAAATATGTGCTGAGAAAATGACAGAATGTAACAAAGTTCATATTAATAATCACAAAACAACTCAACATTTTATTGCAATTTGGCGATTCATGAAACATTTTCAGATCCATTAACTCACTTAATCTTCATGGAACTCTGTGAGGTAGTTATTTTATGATTATTTTATAGATAAGGATAATGAAGCTCTCAGAGGTTGAGTAAATTTTATGAGATCACACGACAATTAAGGGAAGAATCCAGGCATGAGAAACATATTCTCTCACTGTACATTTGCTACTCTTTCCAAGACAACCACAAGACATCTACTAAGAGTCAAGTACCACCAACATGCTGTGGCTTCAGATGTGGTTCTTTGCAGTTATAGTTTTGCAAAGCCTAAGGGGTGAGACTCCTCAGGGGTACAAATCCTAGTAGGAGAGATGAAAGTAACTAAGTGCAGTATAAAGTATTTTGTAAACAGAGAAATAACTTCTGGGTTTAGGATCATTAGGAAAAATGTATTTGTTTCCTAAGGTTGCCATACCACAAACTAGGTGGTATAAAACAGCAGAAACTTATTCTCTGACAGCTCTGGAAGCCAGAAGTCTGAAGTTAGGTGTCAGAAGGGCCATTTTCCCTTTAAGACTCCAGGTGGAGTCCTTCTTTGTGTCTTCCTAGCTTCTGGTAGTGCCCATTAATCCCTGGCCTTCCTTGGAAGGCAATTGTATTACACTGATGTCAGCCTCTGTTTCCACAGTGTTCTATATTTCTATGTTTCTGTTTTTCCTTCTTATAAGGACACCAATCATAAACAATTAGGGCCCATTCTAATCAAGTATGACCTCATTTTAACCTGATTCCATCCATAAAGGTCCTATTTCCAAATAAGATCACATTCAAGGTACCAGAGGTTAGGACTATGTCTTATCTTTTTTGGGAACACAATTTAACCTGTAACAGAAAGCCTTCCAGGAGAAAGAATAAAGGCAATATTTTGAAGGCAGTCATTCTCAAAGTGGTATAAAAGAGGATTTTATCAGTTAGGTTTCTGCTAGGATAAGCTGCATGGTAAACAACCCCCAAATCTCAGTGACATACAAGAAATGTTTTCTTGCTAATGAGGCTGAAGGCTGGCCAGGGTAGCTTTTCCTCAAAGTGTCGGGTCAGATTCAAGCCTTCTTTAAGTCTTTCATTATAGAACCAGGGGTCATCTTCTCACAGCGGATGGCCAAAATGCAAGAAACCAAGCAATTCAGACAAGCACACATAAAGCCTCTGCTTGCCACACCTCTGCTAATGTTCCATTCACCAAAGAAATTCACATGACTTAGCCCAACATCCAGTGGAGCCAGGAAGGATACTCTGTCCACTCTAATGAGAGGCATATGGCAAAAGGAATGAAGAGTTGCAAACAATTATCCAATATTTTACAAGGTTTATTACCAAATATTTACTCACTGGGGCTCTGATATTTTCAAGGAACTCAGACATAGAGACGGGGACTGGGACTTTCTTCTAAAAGCCCTCATGAAGGTCTTACATCTGGAGATCTTTATTTATACTATGTAACAATTACATGTATCAGATATTAATAAAAATGTCCCAGGAATTTAGGTATCATGGAAAACTCTCTAGAATTAATGAGAAATTAGTTTCCCCAGGTACACATGCTCTATGTTTTTGTTTTCACAAATGGCAAAAATGGGCCCTGCTTGTATAAATACAAGAAGGCTATTACAGGGACAAAGGTCCAAGAGGCCAAAATGAAGAGAAAGATATCATATGTGAGGTCACTGGGGAGAGAACAAGCCAAAGAAATAACAGCCAGTCAAAGCACTTACAAGAATATTGAGAGTCAGAGCTGAGTGAAAATTACAAAAGAATCAAGTCTAAAACAAGGCATGAGGTCAAGTGGAGACTAGTCAGGAAGAGTAAGGGGAGTCCTGGAAATGCCAAAAGTATCTATCTCTCAAGCATCCTTGGCTTCCCTTCAGTGACTGGCATGTGTATGGCCTATTGGCACATCAAATAAGGTGAAATATAGATGCAGGGTACATGTGTTACATCTGAATACCCAGACTGCAGAGTAACATGCAAAATTAATTTTGTTTTGTTTTGCTGCAAAAACCTGCTCCACTCAGGGAAAGAATGTACTATCGAAAGGTATTGACAGCATAGAGCTACAGTGGGGGAAAATGCCCCATCAGTATGAAGTGAGTCAAAGGGGCCTGAAATGGTTCAGTTAAGACTTTGTATTTAATTAAGTAGAAAGTTATCATGTCCCTATATTGACAGAGGTGCTTCCTAGAGCCAAATGAGTGGAAACCTTTAGGTTTTCTCAGAATATTTTCAGACGAATCAGGAGAATGAAAGTTCTTGAAACTGTGGCATCTGAGAAATGCTGAAGTCCCAGAAGACTTTTTAGCCTTGAGGACCCACAAATATTTAAAGTGTTTTCTGATAGACTGTTCCACATGTTTCCAAAAGGTAGCCCAATGTATGGATACTATATTATCAGTTCAACCTATGGAATGAGAACTAGTGAGCTTCCTGTAAAGCTTAAAGTGGGGAGGGGCAGGAAAGGTGGGGCTCAGGAAAATAATCTGGTCTTGGTCTCATGTTCAAAACTTTTGGCATTATTTCTGTATGAGGTTTTGTGTTTAATTGTTGTGTTATCTTCCTAGTGTTTTCTCTGTATATGTCAAAAAATTAACATAAACATGACAAATGTAAGATAACTCTGGCTTGGCATTAAAAAAATACTTTATGAACCTAAAACAGAGAAATTACTCAGATCTCTCTCAACCTGTAAGAAGTTTTGATTCACTGCCACTTACATCGTTTGAAAGGGAGAGGACATCTATCCAAAGATGTGGGAATTTATGTACTGTACATAGTATTGTACTAGATGTCTAAGACTCCATTCAATATTGGCATTTTTAAATTCTAACTTATCTCACCTATATTTTTCTTGTCTGTAAAGATGGTTGAGAAATTCTTAGCATTTCTCAATGTGGAGTATGAAACAACATTATCTATTCCTGGAATGCTCTTTGTTCTCTCCCCATGTCCAACCCCACAACCTCCACTCCCCAACACCTCAGTAAAGTTTAGTAACTCATACTCCTCCTTCTGGTTTTAATTGGAATTTTAGTTCCTCGCAGTAAACTAATTTATCGGTTTAGGTTAAGATTTTTGTTAGACACTCAGCTACCTCACTTAAACTCCTTGAGGGGCTGGAATCATTTATCATTTTGCCAATATCTAGTACACAGCATGGTGCCCTGTGAAAAACAGAGGCTCAACAAATAGTTATTAAATGAATAAATGAATTATTTGTAATATTAATAGGTGTCGAATGAGAAATGCCGAATTAACTATTTTTAACAGGTTTCTTTTTTTTTTTTTTTTTGAGACGGAGTCTCGCTCTGTCACCCAGGCTGGAGTGCAGTGGTGTGATCTCAGCTCACTGCAACCTCTGCCTCCCAGGTTCAAGTGACTCTCCTGCCTCAGCCTCCTGAGTAGCTGGGATTACAGGCACGTGCCACCATGCCCAGCTAACTTTTGTATTTTCAGTAGAGATGAGGTTTCACCATGTTGTTCAGGCTGCTCTCGAACTCCTGACCTCATTATCCGCCCTCCTCAGCCTCCTAAAGTGCTGGGATTACAGGTGTGAGCCACCTCGCCTGGCCTGTTATTAACTGTTAATAATTATTTCCTACATTAGTGGTATCATAGAATTAAGGAAATTCATTAGTGTACAATGCTTCTCTAATGTGGTTGATTGCGGAATTTTTTTTTTTTTTTTGAGATGGAGTCTTGCTCTGTCACCAGGCTGGAGTGCAGTGGTGCGATTTCAGCTCACTGCAATCTCTGCCTCCCGGGTTCAAGAGATTCTCCTGCCTCAGCCTCCCGAGTAGTTGAGATTACAGGCATGTGCCACCACACCCAGCTAATTTTTTTGTATTTTTATAGAGACGGGGTTTCACCTCGTTGATCGTGGAATATTTTTAAAAGAGCTTCTCCTGGGACTAGTGTTCTGTGGTGTACATTTTAGAAAATACTGGAATAGAATACCACTTCCAAATTTACTAACCTTTGAGTCTATTGTCCAGAATTGGGAAGCAATGTGCTATACATGGAAAGAACAACAAACTATAGCTACTGAGACTTGAATATTTCTCAGCCTGTTTAGTAACTCCAAACAAGTCCTTTAAGCTCTCTGAATCGTGAGTATTTTATCAATAATAGAGGGACAATGATATCTGCCCTGCTTACCTCATAGGACTATTATTAGAGGATAACAGGAAAGTAAAATGTAGAGGTCAGATTCTGGTTAAAGATATTAGAATGAACAAAGAGTTTATATTCCCCTCTTCCCAAAAATACACTGAAATGACAGTAAAGTGATCTTTTTAAAAGGGCTAAGCTCACAAAAATAAAAAAAGGAAGAGGAGAATACAGCAACATTTTGGAAGCTGGAAGGCAGATGGATGAGTGATAACTGATTCAACAGATCCTAAAATACTGAAACCTAAAGAGGAAAACAGATAAGTAACTTAATTTGCACTCCTCAGCCCCAGAATATAATTGTAGGAATGAAGTCTTTGAGAAGGCAAGAAAGAGAAATCTAGAGCAAAAACAGGATGTGAAGGTCTTCCCACTTGAGGAGAAAACATAGAGGAGGACATTACCCCTCCCAAAAAAAGAGAGAGAAAGCGAGAATAAAAAACAAATGTTCCAGAACTGACATATGTTTCCTCATTGAAAGTTCCTACTGGGTGCCCAACACAATGAATAGAAGAGAACTACCACCATGACACATCATTATAAAAGTTCAGAATTCAGCAGATGAAGATAACTGAAAAGCTTTCTGGGGTGGGGATGAGGAGACAGAATCAGAATGGAATTAAACTTCTCAATAGCAACAATTAAGTTGAGAGTTTGCCTCATGTGTTTGACCATATTGCTAGTAGAGTTACACTTATGCAGAGGGTTTGATGATGAATTAGTGATTGGTATATAGAAAGCAAATCAAAGAAAACCAATAGAGTTATTTATCCTGGAAAATAAAAATATTGAAATAAATGAAATGTAACTATAAAACACCATTATCATTCACCTGCAAAAATGTGTCCACAAAATTATGACAGCATAAACTTTGAACACAAACAAAACCATTATTTTTATATACCTATATTCAAAGAATGGTTTGTTATTTTTCTATTGTGGTTATGAAGAATTATCACAAACAGCATCTGAAAAAGGTGCACATTTATTCTGTCATATTTCTGTGGGTCAGAAGTTCAGGCAGAGCTTAACTGAGTCCTCTGCTCAACATCTTACAGCCTGCAATCAAGGTGTCAGCTGAGCTGCATTCCCATCTGGCGACTTGACTGTGGAAGAAGCCACTTCCAAGCTCATTCATATTGTTGACACAATGCATTTGTATTGACTATAGGATTCAGGGTAGCTTTCTTCTTCAAAGCCAGGAAGGGCCTTTGAAGACAAAGAGATGAGTTTGCTAGTAAGATGAAATCTTATGTAATGTAATATAACCAAGGGAGTAACATCGCCTCACCTTTGTCATAGACTTTTGTTTAGAAGCAAGCCCACACTCAAAGGGAAGATATTAAACAAGAATGTAAATACCAAGAGGTAGAGATCACTGGGGCCTCCTTAAAGGCTAAAATACCAAACCCAGTACAACGGGCAATCTCTTCTTTTTCTGATACCCCGTAGTTACATGGTCTGGTGGAATTAGAGATTGGGATAGAATCTTAGCTGTTCCATTAAAAAAAAAAAAAAAAGCTTCAGTAAATTTACAGAGTTGTGTAACCATTCTCAAAACCCAGTTTTAGAACATTTCCATCATATCAAAAAGATGCCTCATGCCCATTTATAGTTAATTTCTGTTCTTAATCTCAGTCAACTACTAATGTGCTTTCTGTCCCTATAGATTTTTCCAAGCTCTTCCATTTTTTGCCATCAAAATGAGCCAGTCCTTCTTCACCTCTTTGCTTTTTCTGCTCTAAGTTGCAAGGAGCTAACTCCTGCTGCCTGCATTCTTGAGGTCCCTATATCACCAGCTTCTCAAGCAGCTCTTGAGGTTCTTCCATAAGTCTCCAACTGGCACTTGACAAGCCTACTGGAGTTTCAGCTTTCCTCAAGGAGCCTTAATCCCTAGCCTCCAAGAACATAACCTCCTCCCTTTCTGGCCCTGGGGGCAATGGTGTGTTGGAGTTGGCTCTTGCTAACTCATGAGAATCAATTGTGAAGTATTTGGGAATTTTGCAAGCCTGTTGTTAAACCACTGGTAGCTTAAAATTGAACTCAGTAAGAGTATTTATATCATGAAAAACACCACAATCAGGATATTTTTGTTTTATTTTTCAGAGAGCTGGTTTATTAGCACACCACTGCTTGGCTTCCAAAACTTGCTAATCTCTGGATTACCTCCTGTTGTATCCAGCCTTCAAGATGTCTCCCAAATAACTTTGTACCCTAATATTCACACCTTTATTATGGGAGGGACTCCTCCCATAATAAATAGGGCTGATTTGGGTAACCATTAGATTATTGCAGAAATAATGATATGTGACTACCAAGGCTAGGTCACAAATAGCGTAATGGCTTCTGCCTTACTCTCACTTGAATCATGCTGTCTTGGGGAAGTTAGCTGATAAGTTATGAGTAGACTCAAGCAGCAGTATGGAGCGGTATGTGTAGGAAGGAACTGGGGCCTCCAGCAACAAGTCATTTAATTGAGCCAGCTTGGAAGCAGATCCTTTGGCCATGTTCAGCTTTCAAATAACTGCAGTCCAGACTGGCATCTTGACTATAACCTAATGGCAGACTCTGAGCCAGCACCAAACAGCAAAGCTGTCCCTGGATCTTGACCCACAGAAACTCTATGAGACAATGATTATTATTGCTCAAGCCATTAAGTTTTAGTGTAAATTGTTATGCAGCAACAGATAACTAATACAGATTTCAGTACAAAGAATTATGTGCTACCATAACACAAGCCTAAATTATGAAAATGGCTTTGAAAATGGACAGTAGATGACAGCTGGAGAGAATGTGAGGAAAGCATCATGAAATCCTGAAGCATCTTTAAGGGTTTACTACTAGAAGACTCTGTGGAGGCTGAAGGCAAGAGCTTATAGCGGAGTGAGGAAACTATTACTAGAACTTGGGGAAGGGCATCCTTGTTATATAACGTCAGGAAGTTTAGGAGCACTGTCCCCTTTGAAAACATGAGAAATGGGAAACATACCTAATGAATTGGGTGATGTAGCTGAGGAGGTTTCCAGGCAGAGTGTTGAAGGAGATACCTCGCTTCTTCTGCTGTTTATAGTAAAATGCAAGCAGAGAGTGAAAAGCTAAAGGAAGGGCTGATTAGAAAAGGAGCCAAGAATTGTTGGATTTGAAAATTCTCAGCCTCTCCAGACAATTTATGATACTAAAATTAAGAAATAGCTTCTGGGCAAAGATCAAATCCAGGACACTTTCAGGAAAACAAAAGATGAAGCCAAAGATGTGACTTCAGAAAGATTCAAGCCAGTTCCTCAAAGAACCATTCAATCAACTGAGTTTCTAAGCAGCTGAAGGATGTTGACCCTCAGCAATCTCAGCAGCAGTCCAAGGAAGAGAAAGCCTCATCTCAAAGAAATTTGTGGATATACCTTGAGGCTGTTTAATACCTTAGAAATAATAAACAAAGGATATCTTTGCTTCTTGGTCCTATAGCAGTACTTACATCAATTCTGACTCAGTACATTGGCCTAGAGGCTTTGCAATCTCTGAGAGATTTCCATCTCAAAGATAACTGAACATTGTATGCCCTGAGTGAATCCAGTGGGTATCTGGCCCAGAACAAGTCACTGTACCATAAATGTAAACTTTCCTCTCAGATATGCTTTTGGAAATGTGTTTTTAGCTTGTCATGATAGTCTAAATTCACTTGCAGAGGAGCTTCAGTTCAACCACTGGCCATTCTTCCCTCAATGGCCCCATTTCCACATTGAAGGGAATGGATCCAGCTAGTATGGCAGAAGGGTCAGTTCCTGACTACCATATTTTTTAATGCACAAACACAAACTAGCATTCACGATTGTTCCAGAAATGACAAGAATAATGGGATGAAGAGGGAGTGGAAGAGAGACTGCAGATTAGGGGTTCTTGAAAATTTTAAAATAAACTCTCTTCCCCCACATCCCAAATGTCCCTCCCATACACTAGGAGTCCTTGAAAGAATAAATCAGCTTTAATCTAAGAGGAATTAAGTAATTCAGGGCAGTTTGAATTTCAGTGGAATAAGGGAAGAGTTTTCAGAGAATGTACAGTGAGTGTAGGGAGGCATTGTTTTGTCATAGCAAATCATTAGAAAGCATAGAAAGTATGCCTCAAACACCAAGATAGAAGGCTATTGCATGCAGGGTCAGCAAATTACCTAAACTGAGTATCTACTGTAGAGCAGATGTCCAAACCTATTATTTCATTAAAATAGCAACTTAACCACCTAGCTATGTATGGAGGGCTCTCTTGTAGACAGAGAGTTAAATAAAAATGTCCCATGTGACTAACATAGCTTCTCTGAAAAGAGGGTATCTTGTCCAAAGAATACAGAGTTTCATAAACAAAAAATAATTCATAATTGTATAAATATATTATGCAGATCTTTAAATTGCCCAAGGATAGGCTCAAATAAGTATGGAGGTCCACAGGTAGCTCACGGAACAAAGGCCATAGTGTAAGACCATGAGAGAGGACACCCCTGTGCTGCTCAGATCATTTTCACAGTCATAAATAACAAATGATAGACATTTGGGAAACCATCCTTACAACATAATCTCATCAATTTTCTACAGATAGTAATAATAGCAATAGTTAACACTTAATGCTGCAGTGAACTAAGATCATGTACCAACTCATTAATTCTCACAACCACACAATAAACTAAGTGTTACAAGGATTCCCAGTTTGCATATAGGAAGAAACTTAGATGTTAAATAACTAGCCAAACATCACATGGCTAATATTATAAATGGCCAAGCCAAGCAAGGAACTTAAGATCATGCTATTAACTGTGCCAGACAGGAACTTAAACAAAAGTAAACTTTGAGTAATTAAAAATAAAAATATGAAGCCATTTCTATAAATAAAATTCAGAGCTGTGGTTTGAGAAGGCAGAAACCAGTATGAATTACGAAGAAGAAGATGAGCACTCTATAGCTTTTGTTACTGTTGGATGTAAATTTTAGTTAAGTGCACTGTGTAACTACAAATATATAAATATTTCATTCCAACACACAGATTCATTTATGTAGACGCAGTTTGCTTTTTTGCCCTCATAAATCCTGTGTTCAAAACCATGCCAGGCATAAGCATCTTTATATCTGAAATGGATAAAATAACTACTGCTTAACTATTACAGTAAAAATAATGCTGCCCAGAGAGGGCAAAACCAAGACAGCAGCTACTTTTTAACAGGATGTTGTTTCAACAAAGTTTAGTTTTGTCTCAGAATGTAAAAGCAATGCAATCTAATCTGGTGTGACTGAAATAAAGTACTTAGTGCTCTTATTTAACTGAATGTGCTTGGACCACTTACATGAAGCATCTATTCTATTTTTACTGATTATTTCCACTAATGACACTTGCTAAAGTTGAGCAAGAAATCTAAAAAAGTCTAAGTAAATTCCACAATGATCTGGTTTTTTGAGCTATCTTCAAAATTCCTGACTCTATGATTCTAAGTTGTTGTATCTCTAAAGAAACCATCTATAAAAGTGAGACCGTTCTTTTAAATATACCTGTCACAGTCTTCAAAATGTACTTTTGTACATACCTTCCCTGACCCTGAAGATCACACCATTTCCCCTTATAATTGAATGGACAAGGGAGTAATACATATTCTCAAGGAATCACTCTTAAGAGTTTCATTTTACTTCCCAGACCTAACTGCTAGAGACTGGACAATTTGGAAAGTACCTGAAATAACAGTTGAGCATTTTGGAGAAAAATTTGCCATGTGGAAAAGAAACAAACTGCAAAAGTGATTTTTATCCCATCCATTCTGTTTAAGAAAAAACAACAACAAAAAAGAGGATTTGGGGTTGACCTTGTTCTGACAGAATGGTGTGAACATTTCTTTGTTGGGGGGAGTAATATTGAATGCAGATTTTAGTGAAATATTAAACTTTCAAATAGGACACTCAGAGACTTAATAGACACAGGAAAGCAGGTTTCAATTCCTCTTCTGTAAAATACTATACATATGCTAGTGCAAAACTTATACAAATCTAAACTTCTAATTATTTTATTCTTTTTTCATAATATGCAACCTTTTTTTTTTTATTTAAACAAGGATAGGCCTTAAAGAGCAGTATATCAGTAGCTGTTGTCCCTTCAAGAGTCACCTATTTGTTGCTGTCTTTTGGAGTTAACTCATCCTATCAGAACTAACAGCATACATGACTGAATGAATAAAATGAGGAATGTAGAAATTTAGGCAAAACAAGCAAATTAGAAGGCAATGAGTATATTGTTTTCTGTAGCCAAGTTATGGAATCCTTAATTGCCCTTCTACTCTGAAAGTCTATTGAATAAATACAACAGTTTCCTGGCCAAAATTTGATTGGTGACACTGAGTGGTCAGTGTCATTTAGTGACCATTGTTTGGTTGCATATTATATATCAGCTATTGAGCTAGGTGCTAATAGCAATGACAACTGTGAGCTAGTGAACTCTTTAAGGGTAAAACTATAACTGATACAATTTTGTATCCCAAGTGTCTAATACGTTGCTCCAAAATGTTTAATGAAATAAATGAAATAAAAACTTTTCTAAGTTTTAAAATATCTGGTTATAATATTTTCATTGTTTTTTAAACACCAGATGGATGTAGCTTCTTTTACAGATAGGACTTCATTGGACCTTGAATCCTTTGACACAAGAAAGGATAATCTAAAAAGTTAACAAAATTAGCCTCAGTAAGATGTAAACCTCAAGGCATATTAAGATGGATCAAATTCTCTTTTATCTTTCTTAAAACACAAGTGCTTAAAAGAATGTGGCCTTCGGAGATTGATAGTAAGATAAGAAAGTCCAGCTCAAGAGGTTGACTCTTAGCACTTCAGGATACAAAGGCAGGTGGATTGTCTGAGCTCAGGAGTTTGAGACCACCTGGGCAACATGGTGAAACCCTGTCTTTACTAAAATACAAAAAATTAGCTGGGTGTGGTGCCTCACACTTGTAGTCCCAGCTACTCGGGACGCTGAGGCATAAAAATTGCTTGAACCCAGGAGGCAGAGGCTGCAGTGAGCCGAGATTGCACCATTGCACTCCAGCCTTGGTGACAGAGCGAGACTGTCTCAAAAAAAAAAAAAGGTTGACTCTTGGAAGGACATGTAGAATAAGCCCAGTCCTCTGTTGCCTCCCTCCTATGCTTGGGCTCCCACTGGGAGCCTAGATAACAGAGAAACCACTAGAGGAGCCAGGATGCAGTCAAGAGACCCCTGTCTAGAGCTGAGGAGATATGGGAAGTATTAAGTGTGAATATTCTATAGACATAGAAAAGAAAAACCAATGTTTGTGATTTTTAAAAGTGGGAGAAGTGGGGAGGAGCAATTGAAAGAGGTAAAAGGTCTCAACCATGACATTTCTTTGAAATGTGGATTTTTTGGGGGAGGTAGTAAAGCTTTATTGCATAACTACTCACTCTTACTATTGTAAACTACAATGAAATTTTCTTTTCATCAGGTTGAGTCCCAAAGGGATATAGAATTGAATATACTCATTAAGACATATGAAATCTGAATTATATAGCATCTTTGCCCTGACTGTAGTTATTTATGTATTTAAGATTTACACTCCACTGAACGCAAAACAACTGAAAGCAACTTATTGGCTAATATACAATGTGACTTAAAGAAAACCAGGTATTCCCTTCACCAAGAGCAATTTCAAGGGAAAGATGTTCCTGTGTACTTAAATGAATAGATTGGGCAGACATTCCATTAAATTTTACAAAATTTAGCTCTAAACAGTCTAATAAATTTGACAAAAATGCAAAAAAAAAAAAGCCATGAAATCATAGCAGTCTTATTTCCTGTCATAAGGAAGGACTTAAATCTAGGTGCAGTCAAAACTTACCTTGGATTTAGAATCAAGAATTTATTTATCCTAGCAAAAAGGATGCTGTTTAACAACAGCATTATGGGTGCTATCTTTAGCCCCAGGTCTACAAAAAATAGAGAAAGTCTATATTAAGTGGATAATTTTAATATCAAATCTTTATAAAATCACAGAGTATCATAAACTAAAAGTCACCTAGGATATTTCTACAGAATAATATAAATAATATAGTTCAAATAATTTGCTTGACTTAATACAGAGATAGAATATAAAGCCTCCAGTTCCACAGATAATTGACATGTTTATTTAAATGTCAGCTGTCTTTGGAGAGCATTTGGCTGATGCTAAATTTATGATCAGATGCCCTAGTAATTGCCAATAGCATAAATGGTCTATGTTGCTAATTAATGACAATGGTAACTAACAAATGTAGAACTTTTTTCAGTTTATCAAGCATTTTTTATATCCATTATCACACCTTTTTATTATAATAACCCTGTAAGACAGGTTCTAGCATTGGTCTTCTTTTAGGGAAAAAAAAGAAAGGAAGGAAGGAAAGAAGGAAGGAAGGAAGGAAGGAAGGATCAGAATTGCTAAGGAGCAGGCCAAAATGGTGCGTGCAGTAGGAGTAGTCAGAACTCAAACCCACATTTTCTGACATAAAATCTCATGTCCCTTCCACTAAATATTTTCTTGTCACTTCTAGTTAAATATCAACCCAAAGTAAAATTCTCTTATGGAAGAAGTAGGTTTGGTTTGGGGCCTGATAAAAGTTTTATTTCAGCAGGCTTTAGTCAACAACATGAAGGAACATGGGAAGAGGAAGGAAGGGTGACCTGAAAATACAATTTTCTTGGATGCAGGCTGGATCCTGCCAGCCTTGGTGGCTATTGTAAGAAAAAAAACTGGCCTCTTCATGACCATTTATACTAATCATTAAGAAGCCAGAGTTTGACATCATAGACTACATATCAAAATATTTTCTCAAAATGCCTAGGGGAGATTTAGAAACCATTTTTTCCTTAAAAAATTTCATCATCATTTTCATAATTCTGTAATGTTTTTTATTGCCGTCAAAACATCCCTTCCAGGCACAATTACGAGAAAGTCCTCTTGGGGAAGACATAATTTCCTAACTCCCTTCTATTGGTTGGGGACAAGAAGGTTCTGCCAGGTGAAGAAGTCTCCACTCAGTGTCACTAATCTAATTCTGGCCAGGAAACTGTTGTATTTATTAACAGACTTGCAGAGTACAAGGGCAATTAGGGATTCCATAACTTGGCTACAGAAAACAATAAACTCATTGCCTTCTAATTTGCTTTTTTGCCTAAATTTATACATTCCTCATTTTATTCATTCACTCACGTATGCTGCTAGTGCCGATAGGATGAGTTAACTCCAAAAGACAGCAACAAATATGTGACTCTTGAAGGGACAACAGCTACTGATTTATTGCTCTTTAAGGCCTATCCTTGTTTAAATAAAAAAACCACTTTACTAGTGTCAAAAAACTTAGTCTTCTGAAGAGAGAATGTGCATGCTGGGCATATTAAGCCTATATATTCCAATATTATAAGTGCCAGGGACTTAAGGACTGATTTATTCCTGGGCACAGTGGCTCACACCTGTAATCCCAGTGCTCTGGGAGGCTGAGATGAAAGGATCACTTATTAAGCCCAGGTGTTCAAGACCTGCCTGAGCAACACAGTGAGACCTCATCTCTACAAAAAATAAAAAATCAGTAAGTTTAAAATATGTATTTTATATATATTTAAATATATATAAATCTATGAATATATATTTTATAAAAATAATTTTAATTAATTTATATATAGAGAGAGAGATTTCATATAGATATAAATATAGATTATATAAATATGGATATACCCCCAAAAGAAAGAAGGAAATACATTCTGCTGAGCAGTCCATGGAATAAATACCAAAAATTATAAATAAGTAAATAAATAAATGGATTGATTTATGCATGTTAAATAATGTTGTAATTCCTGAATTAAAGACCATTCTATAGACAAACTAAATTTTTTGACAAGGCAAATGGTAGAATGAGAAAGCCAAATGACCTAAGAAACTGTATAAAAAATGTTCTCCAATAAAATACTGTAGTCCTTGTGTATTTCAAGAAAGCTTTAAATAAAGTCATTTAGGATGACTGAGGTTTTCTAGGTGCAAGCCAGTGATATTAACATTATTTTCTCACAGGTTGATGGTGGTGCAATCTGAGGCATATGACTTTGGTATTTACCTGAAAGAGAAACCACTTGATTATCTTGATACTACAGAGTGCCTTAACAATAGGTTAGAAAGAGATTCCATTAGAAGAGACAACTGTAATATTTAAAGAACAATCATTTGTCAATCCAATAAATAACTATTGAATGGATGGCCATAATGGATGAGGACCAATGTTAAGTGCTAGGGATACAGCAGTAAACCAGAAGAGTTATTTGCCCTCACTGAGCCTCTGGTCTAGAAGGAAAGAGAGACATACACGAATCACAGAGAAACTATATATTTAGAATTGCTCTGGGTATTTTAATTGAAACTTAGAAAGTGGATATTAGCAGATAAGACTTGGAAGACATAAGTCTGGAGGTCTGGGGAATTGAGTGGTCAACACAGGCTTCCTAAGTTCCTTTTAAGGAGAGGCCTGAAACAGTGAGTAAGAGTTAACTCAGTAAAGACTACAGGGATGTGTGTGTGTGCCCATGTATGTCAGGGCATGCCTCATGCAGAGGAGGAGATGAGCATTCCAGAAAAACAGGATAGGAATGTTTAATGACACAATGGAAAAAGAAAGAGAAAGTCTATGGGGCTGGAGTATTAACTTGGTATCTGAGGGAAGAGAAGGTGGAGAACAGAATATAGAACAGATCCTGCCAGCCTTACAGACTGCTGTAAGAGTAATGGGTATCAACCTAAAAGCAGGAATGAACCTTTTAAGGAGGAAATGAATGTCATCAAATTTGTATTTAAAAACAATTACTCTAGTTGGAGACTGGATTGAGGAAAGCAACAGTGAATACAAAGAGACTAGTTGGATTCTATTGCTGGAAACCATAAAAAGATTAGAGTTTGGACTGAAGATGTGGGAATGCAGATGGAGAAAAGTGGATGGACTGTACAGGACCTGGAAACTGTTTGCATATGAAGGTGGAAGACTTGTAGGTTTTGCACTAGTGACTCTTTGGAGCTAGGTGCCATTTACTGAGATGTGAAGCCCAGCAAGAGACATTCAGGGCCTAAAACAAGTCTTGAAACTAAATTACACATACACACACACACAAATAAATTATAACTCTGGCAAAGTTATAGGAGGATTGTATGTAAAAACAAGCAATACTTAAATGTAAAAGTAAAAGTATATCAATACATCAAATTACTTTAAGGGTACTTCAACAACCAATATGAGCAATTTGCTTTTTAAAGTACTATTCTAATACAAATATTGGTTTAAATTTTCCTAGCACACTTTAGAATGCTCTCATAGTAAAAGGAAATAAGAAAGAGCTTTTAAACCTATATCTCAGATATTGACTTTCCAGATAAAAGAGACTTGGTCTTGCCCATATTCAACAGGAATGGCAGATGCAATGTGAGAAAGTTCAGGCTGTTTTGTCCCAACGAATATTTTTAATTATCTTGTTCCTTTCAGGGATGTAGATCCTAAAGAGCTTCCACCATTGAATGTAGCATTTAAATTTTAAAACAATGTTACATTAGTAGGTAGTTATTTGACAAAATGACTAGGATCTGGAAAATGGATGTGAGTCGGGGAAGACTCCTAGGTTTTGATCATGAGTAAAAATGACAGTAACTTTATAGAAATTTTACAGTTTCCAGAACACTTACATCTTCATAATCTCATTTGATTACAGTTGGTATATCTCTCACAGGGAAAACATGATGATAAGCTAGAATCCTACAAAATGCAATGAATTTTAGAGCTAAATAACTTATGTGCCCCCTTAAAGCTTAAGAAAAAACAAGTAAGTTGAAGATAATTTAAAGACGTTCTGCTTGACGCAGTGGAGAGCAAACTTTGCCAAACCAAGAAACACTTTCTTCCCCAAGAAATAGCCCAAGCCAACATTTATTTAAAAGATTGAAATAGATTAAAAGATGGCACATCTACAGTGACTTATTAAGGGAAACCCAGGATTTTGAGGGCATAGTCCCTAACATTTATGCTGGATGCCAAGGAAGATTAAAAACCTACTCTCCCACAACACAGCTGTTGATGACTCTGTCATCAATAGTTTAGGCTGGATGGACAAAAGGTCTGCTCCAAATTGGCAAGCCTTATGTTCTTATTATGTGCGTTTCATCACTGTGTTCTAGAAGAAGAAAGACCATCACCACCAACCAACATCCTCTCATTCTCGTGTCATCTAAAAATACCTGCAGACAGTATTACCCTGCAATTACCTCACACGCCTGCCCATCAGCCATAGCCACCTCCTACCTCCCGCTCACTAATAGCACAGTCCTGTATCACCTCCTACTCAGCCAAGCAACACTACTGTAGCTGCTTTAGATACACTCATATCTATATATATAGTCTCATATATAAATATATATTCAGACATATACTCATGTGCACGCAAAAAATGCTTTTACAAAAGAAAAAGGGAAAGCTAGTTATGTTAAAGTAGCTGCACTTTGGAAAGTTAGTGTGATATGCCATTTGGAAAATAGTTCCTGTTCTGTCTGGGTGTTCACCCAAATGCCTACAGAAAAGCATTTAATTATCTCAGACATGAGCGGTATTTGGTTTTATTAACTCTTGACTCTTGAGCAATTGGAGCCCCCATTTTCTAAGTCCATTGTATCACACCTTATATTTCCCTCTTTCAATATTATATTATGAACTTAATGTTTATAATATTATAGTACAATTTTTGAACGAGTCTCGTTCTATTTTAAGAAGGTATTTATAGATACTGTACTCATCATTCAACAAATATAGATTCTACTGCTACCCGTTTTTACTGTTTTTTCTTATTATTATTTAGTAAATCCTTGAGGTAATGGTGTATCATTTTGAGACAGAAATTAGTGAGATGGAAAGGAATCAGGAGCAGGCACAGGGGAAGGGAAGCAGAAACAGGAATGGGAGAGATTTGTCTCTGATAGCAACAGCAGACAAAACTACTATTAGCATAATCAGAGCAACCATGGCTTACAGCAGGGAGCAGGGAGCCTGTGACTCTCAGCTCAGCTGCACCTAGCAACAAGCCCAAATGAGCACCATGGAGTAGCACCTAGGGCTGTGAGCAGGAACTGAGATCACAGCCAGGGAAGCACTTTGAGGGTGAAAATGGCGTCAGGATGCAGGGGAACGTCTCTATGATGGTCCCATCATATAATTTGTAGTGATCATTTGTATAATGATGATTGAGCAGACAGTAGAATGGGCACTGTGCAGGCAGGACTAGGCTAATTGTCAGAAACCCGAGACTCAAATCCTGACTCCGACACTAACTAGCTCTGTGATTTTGAGCAAATCTCTTCAAATAGCTGAGCCTCAGTTTTTCCCATCTGAGCAACAGCTACCTCTCCCATCTGCCCTACAAAGTTACTGTAAACACTTAATTAGAATTGTATGTGAAATGTTCTAGAAAGTATAGCACAGGATATGGCTGCACATTTATGACTGAAAGACTCTCTATTAATCCTGAAAGACTCTGTATTAGTCCATTTTCATGCTGCCTGGGACTGGGTAATTTATAAAGGAAACAGGTTTAATTGACTCACAGTTCAGCATGACTGGGGAGGCCTCCAGAAACTTATAATCATGGCGGAAGGAGAAGTAAACACGTCCTTCACCTGGTGGCAGGAACGAGAAATGCGGAGTGAAGAGGGGGAGGGAAACCCCCTTATAAAACCATCAGATCTTGTGAGAACTCACTATCACGAGGACAGCATGAGGGAACTGCCCCCATAATCTAATCACATCCTAAGAGGTCCCTCCCATGATTCGTGGGGATTATGGGAACTATACAATTCAACAGGAGATTTGGGTGGGGGCACAGCCAAACCATATCAGACTCCATCTATATACCATCCGTATCCCAGACTAAAATAAGTATCTTCCACTGCCCGCAGCTTTTCTCAGTTAATGACATCATGTTACTAGAATGTAAGCTCCACAGGGACAGGTATTTGGAACAATGCCAGGCGTATAGGGGGTCCTCAATCAATATGCATTGTATGAATAAATGAATCAACTCAATTGCCCAATAAGGGCAAGTTATCTGTGATGTATTCTTGTTCTTCATTCTGACACATCTAATAAATCACCTCCAGGTGGCTATCACAGCTGGCTTCCTCAGTGACACACAGTGGTGTGCTAATAAATGCTTAACAACTGGCTCTCAGGGAAATATTTCTGGCATTTGCCACTTTTCATGGTGTATATTCCCACTGTGGCTGATTTCAAGCTACCACCATGATTACATGTGGATTATGGGAAGAGACGCCCCCCATCGACGCTCGTGGGCTGGTGTGAGTCAGCTCCAGCTCACCACAGCCTCCGCTGCTCTCATCCTAGTTAAGACGCTCACCTCTAGCAGCTTGGCTTGACTCCTGGATGTTCCTCATTATACCCACCATCCACACGGCCGTCAGCATGGTCTTTCAAACACAAACACCTGATCATGTTGTTTTCCTACTTAAAAAGCCCCTGGCTAACATAATAAATCTCAAATACATAGTATGACAGACAAGAGGCTTCTGAAGGCAGTTTACTGAGCCTCTTCCGTCCCAACCTGGGTGCTAGCCACACTGAACACAGTTCCTGCATTTTTATGTCTCTCTGCTTTTGATCATGCTGTTCTCACTTCCAGGAAAGGTACCTCCCTTTCCTCTCCACCTGATAGACCACCTACCTATTTTACAGGCCCAAATAAAGGAGCACTTCCATATCAAAGCTTTCTCTAATCATTGCAGGTATTTCCTCTTTACCCCTCACCTATCAGCCCCAGGTAGGATGAATTTCTCCCTTACTTGCATCTTCATATCTTTGTAATCCTACCTCAATGATAACAAGTATCAACTTTTATTATAGTTACTTGCTTATTTCTCTCTCCCTTCTGCTGTTCTATGAGCTCCTCTTAAGCAGGACCTGGTCCTTTATGAACACTCAGCAGGTACTGAAGCACTTGGTTGAGGTCTTTCAATGCTTTGTGACTCAAAGTTCTCTGTAGTTCAGCAGCATCAAGTCCACCTGGGAACTTTTTCAAATGCCATGTCTCAGGCCTCACCCAGACCTACTAAGGCAGAATTTGCATTTTAAAAAGATAACTTTATGATTAATAGGTGCATTAAACTTTAAAAAGTTCTAGTTCAAAGAAAAATAACTAGGGCCAATTATTGATAAACTTGACAACTAGGCTAAGGTATTAACATCTTTGGGAAATGGAAATCTATTGACAGTCCTTGAAGAAATATCATAGCAAAAATACCATTGATTGATAATCTCTCAGCTTGGTGAAATGATTTAAAACAATAATATTAGAGCAATGGTTCTCGACTGAGGACAATTTATTTCCTCCTCCACCCACCAGAAACTATTTGGCAATGTCTGGAGACATTTTTGGTCATCACAACTGAGGAAATGCTCCTGGGATCTAGTAGGTAGAGGTCATGGATGTTGCTAAACATCCTAAGATGCACCCAAGAGCCCTTCACAATGAAGACTCATTCAGCCCAAAATGTTAATCGTGCAGAGGTTGAAAAACCTCGGAATAAAGGAAGGAAAAACAGGAAGTTGATGAAATAATGCAGGCATATAGTTATGAACCAACACCAGTGTCAGGGCAGTGCTCGGTCAGCTCAAAGGAGGGAAAAGAATTAGAGTTGCCTCAAATAAATTGGCAGAATTTAGTGACAAAGGCTGAAAGAGAGGAAGCAGAAAATGGCTCCTTGTTTTTTCCTTTGGGTAAAAGCAAGAATGGCAGCAACACTGGCAATAATAGGAACAGCTGTCATTTCTCTTTTGGACAGAAAGAGATGCATTGAAGCAAGATGCAGAAAGAACTAGGCAAGTCAAAGGATCCTGATTTTACTACACTTATTTATTGAGCACCTACTATGTTACTGGAGCTGTGCCCTTTAATTCATGTGACCATATTCAATCCTCCTACAACCCTTAAAGTCAATATTGATAGCATTTTCCTGCTGAAGCAACTGAGGCTCAGAGAAGTTACTTAGCTTGCTAAAGAAAGAATTAGGCCTCAAACCCACAACTTCTGACTCCCAACCCCAATATAGCCTCCTCTCTGACAGACATAGCAATAGAATTTTGTCAATTGCTGCTGATTAATCATGGTATGGCTGCCTATATGAATAGGCATTCAGAGGCATGTCTGCGCTCATCAGCAAAGACCATAATTATTAATTAGACATACCTGTCACGGGGCAAGAGGGAGGCACAGTGGCACATCTACTGCATGTTTTGGGTACTCATTCTGTACTATGAGCATTCAGAGTCAGAGATGGTAGACTAACTCTGTCATTCATTCAAAGGACCAGACAAAAGTGTTTTGAATTAAAATTATTATAATTCTAACAAGCAGTAAAATTTTTCCCTTTCATGTACAAAGATCATTAAATCTATAACCGATTTCTTCTTAGAAACCAATGAAAATGTACTCAAAAATGTGGCATTGAACACGTTATTAATGTCAGCTAATATTGACATTACTAATATTCAAAAATTATTGTCATCGAGCATCCACAAGGCTCTACTTGTCTTTTTGTAAAAATAAAATCAAAATTATTCTCAGCTTATTTCAAAACTGTCGTGATAAAGTGTTATTACATTGGTGCAGAAGTGATTGCGGTTTCCCATTGAAAGTAATGGCAAAACGCCAATCACTTTTGCACCAATGTAGTATCACTTTATGGGAACATAGATTGCCGATTGTGAGACCCATAGAGATCTGAGTCAGCAAGAAGGAAGGGGAAGGTTAAAGTCATTTTCCTTTTCTGCCCTTCCTTGCCCTAACACAATTGTACCTCAGTTCCCTGCCTGACAATCCCTACTGAAAGTTCAGGACCAAACAAACATGATACCTCCTTTCTGTATCTTTCCTTGATTTTTCCAGATAGAATTAGTTTTTCCCTCCTCTGGGTCTCACAACACAGAATATATTGTTCTGCATAATACACTATGCATATTAAACATGTTAGTTATTTATTGACATGTTTATATCTTTCCTAGGACATCATTTTGTTGAAATCAGGGCTGTTTTTTATTCAGTTTATAGCATTAGCACATAGAATAGTGCCTGACTCCCAGTAGTACTCAATAAATGCTTGTTAAATTTAATTAGCATAAACTCAGTCCCAGATAATGAATGTTTTAGGTTGTATTTTTTGCCGCATCTTTTGTTCCTTTCAAATGTATTTCATCTTCTTAAGCTGTTTGTGTTGATGTACACTGTTAAAATGGTTTGATGAAGTATAAATATCTATGTTTTTAAACGTAGAATAATATTTTCTAGGTTCATCCACATTGTGGAATGTATCAGTATTTCATTCATTTTTATAGCTGAGCAATATTCCATTGTATGGATATATCACATTTTGTTTATTCAATTATCTGTTAATGGACATTTGGGCCATTTCCAGCTTTTCCCTATTGTGAATAGAGTTGCCATGAATATGCACAAATTTTTTTGTTTGAACCCCTGATTCCATTTATATGAAATATCCAGAATAGGCAAATCATAGAGACATAAAGCAGATTAGTGGTTTCCAGGGCCTGGGAGTAGGGGAAAGGAGAAATGGGGAGTGGCTATGTAATAGGTACGGAGTTTCTATTTGGGATGACAAATAAGTTCTGGAATAGACAGTGATGTTACTTGTACAACATTATTAAAGCCACTGATATTACACTTTAAAGTTATTAAAATGGTAAATTTAATGTTATATATATTTTACCACAATAAAAATATTTTAAATGATAGGTAGAAAGATAACATAATTGGGCCAGGAGTAAGATCCTTTTGTACATAAAAAACATTCCATCTGCTGTTCTGCAATTCATCCAAGTTTGCATTCAGCAACTGAGATGCTGTTGCCAATGCTGATCAAACCCTCATCTATTGCTACGAGTGGTGTCAATGCAACCATCTTTTATAGTAATTTTATAATATATGTCAGCACATATAACAATGTTCATGCCATTTAAACTTGGAATACTTCTAGGGATTTATTTTAAGAAAATATTTCACAAGAACAACATAGCTGTGTGCATAAAAACGTTTATTACAAATATGCCTATATTAATTAAATGTTGGGAGGAAATCTTTGCCAACAGTATAGAGAACTGTTATTTAACACATGCAATATTAGCATAATAAAATACATATGGAAACTATTTAAAGATTTAATGTTAGGTGAAAAGAAGGGAATACTAAGTTGTAACTCAGTATGAATATGACTTATTCAAAATGTATGCAAGGGATTGATTAACATTAGAAAATTGTATATTAAAATGAAAAGTGTAATAGGACTTTTTTCTTTTAAAAATTTATTTCCTATTCAGTCATTCAAAAAGTTACTCATTCATTCCAAAAAGGAGTTTTGAGCAGCTAGAGTAGGCCAGGCACCGTGATAGGAGTTGTGGCCACCAAGATGAACAAAACAGGTTTTCTGCTCTTATCAGGTTTCCATTCTAACACAGAAGACAGAAGCAAATAATTACGAAAGTAATTACTCAACTGCAATTGTGACAAGTGGTGGGAAGGAGATGTACAATGAGTCTTAAGAATTATGGACATGTTTTATTTGAAGTCTCTGCTGGGTATTCCATGGAAATGGCTAGTAATGGTTGATTATAAATATCTAGAGGTGAGAAGAGAGGTCAGGATTATCAATATAATTGTGGGAGTTATTAGCCTTTTGATGGTAATTTAAGCCACAGGAATTGCCAAAACTACCTGCAGAGGAAGTACAGACTGAGAAGGTAAGAAGGTTTAGGAATAAGAGTACGAGGAATTTCAATAAACGGAAGCAGTTTAGTGTAGTTGTCAAAAACAAGGATGCCATAATTATATTTCCTAAGGTCAGATCCCCAGCTCTAAGAGTTATATAACTTTCTTGGGTCTCAGTTTCCTTATCTGTAGAGCTGGGATGACTTCTCATGGGCTGTTAGGAGGATTTGCTGAGATAATGTATATGGGGTGGTTTGACAAGTGCCTGATACATATTAAGAGCTACATAAATGCTAGCTATGTGAAGGTCAGATATAAGATGAGAATAACCCAAAGGACCCTAGAAAAAAAAATAGGCAAGGAAGTAGGAGGAAAGTAACAGGAGAGTAAGGCGAAAAGGAAGTGGATAAGAGTGTCAAATGTTGTTGAAAGTTTACATAGAATGAGGATTGAAACATCTACATTTCATTATGTTACAGAGATGCTGGTGGAGCAGAGGATATGAGAGCAAGAGTTGTATAGAATAAGAAAGGAACTCTAGTTTATTGTCTCCTTTTCCTAACAACGTAATAATATTGTCGTGATGTTATGATTTTTTAAAGGAGATAGAGGGGAGAGCAAGGGAAAACCCACAGACAGCCATTGTGGCATCCTACCCCAGTCTTACAGAGGCTCCCACAGCACGGGAGAAATTACTCTTCAGCATGTTCTTTGGGATCATAACCTTTTTTTCTCTGCCACCAGACCCAGATGTAAAGGCTTAAATATTTCCAATATTGTCTTTAAAGGCCAGACCCTTAATTGCTGTCCTGACTCTTCCCTGAATCCCTTACCAATTCCCTTTGTTAGTGTCCAACTGATTGAGTTACAGAGGAGCTGGCCAGATTTATCATCACAATTGCTCTCACTGTAATCACATTTGGACCCAAATCTGACTGGAGTGAAAGTGTGAGTCTTGAGACCCTTTTGCTAATAACGAGGAGTGCTTTGGGCATTTCAAGTTTGAAAAAGAAATGCTAACTGTTGACTACCAAAAAATAAAAGAGGCTCCATAACATGACAGTGGTAAATAGTGACTATGATGATAACAGCAATGGGCAGCCCCCAGGACAATGGCTCTTGGGCCAAAAAGGCTGCTCAAGTGCCCTGGGATGGGCAGCTCAGTAGGGAGAGTCAGGAACTAGGAACAGGCATTTCTGGATCTAGCATTACCATCAACAGCGCAGGTGATGGCAGGGAACAAAACACTTGCAGATCTGATTAATTAAAAGAGTGTAGCAAATATGGAGTCCAAAAAGGCACTGAGAAACAAAGTCTGATTCAAAGTCTTTAAAAAATGCAATGAAATGGAATGGAAAGGAAAAGGAAGGGGAGGGAAAAGAAGAAAAGGAGGAAAAGGAGAGGAGGGGAAGAAAAAAGGAAAGGGAAGAAAGAAGAGAAAGAAAAAAGAAGAGAGATGGGGAAGGAAGAGGCGAAGCTAAAAAGGGCTTAGACTGGCAGCTTGAGCAGCAGAGTATTGTTTGTTTATTACTTAATCCATTTCCTCCTCTGTAAAACAGGGGTGATGTTAATGACTGCTTTAGAGGATTGCTATGGGAGAATTAAATAATGTAGGAAAATTACCTGGCCCATAGCAGTTGGTCATCAGATGTTGGTTTTCTGCCTTCCTCAATGACAAGTATAGCTCCATAAGCTGCCTGGGGATTTTAATGTCGCTATTTTTATTGAGGCAGTCAGGCCTACCTGTTGGGTCTACCCAGAAAGCCAAAATTTTAGTCTTAGAAAAGCTTTAACCCAGATAAGGAATTGGCTCTCCTAGCTTCAAAAAGCCTAATGATCTTCTTGACTCTCTACCCCTGAAGCACTCCAGTCTTTTTAGCTAAGACTCCTCACCCCTACTCTCAGTTCCATTGTACCACAGGCTGGACCAGGGACAATTCTATCACTACTTAAAGCCATCTTAAGGATCTCTGGATAAGTAGCTTAGAAGTTCAATGTTAAGTCCTCCTGCTAATGATCATGCTTTAATCCTGCATCTAGTGCTCTTCAACTGTATCCCGGTTTTGCTCATCTTAGCTTTGGTTTTATAAGGTCTTCAATGAACTAAAAGTTCGATTCATTTTCTCAGCATCCATACTTTCTTCTTAGAGAACCATACAGCCTACAGCCATGGACTCCTGATATTCATACCATGTCGTCTCTCTTCTTGATCATGGCAACTTGGACCAGAGGCAAACACTTGCCCAAGACCAACTATTCGTATTTCCTCTTCTATGCTTTTTGGTATCTGGACACTAAATGGTTATGACACTTTGAAGAAACCCAGGTTGAAACGTCATGGGGAGCAGAGACTGCCAACTAGAATATATACGAACCATTTGCTATAACTGAGTAAATAGGAACAATCAATTTAAGAAAAAGGGATAAAAAAATTCTCAAGAGAAGAAAAGATGAGCTCCCATATGCATCCAGAAACAGAGCAAGGACAGAGAAGAGAAGGCTGATGGTTTTCCAGGTTTCTCGAGGCTTGGCCGTAATTCCAGCATTTTATTTATGGGCAATTTTCCTATAATTATGCAATGCACTTCCTTGTTCTTATGTTGTGTGAATTTATTTCTTTTTTCTGTTTTCCAACAAACATGCCCAAGACACCAGGGCAAGAGTTTTATATTTGAATCAGTGTCTTGAGGTAGAGTGTTTCCTACCAGACTATCTTAATTCACCCCCCACCTACCTATAACAGTTTCTGTCCAAAGACAGCCTCTGCCTTCCTGCTGAGATATTTGCATTTGTCCCCAGACCTTTTTGACACGAACTGCCTAATTTCTAGATTTACTACTATTGTCTTCTGTTTCAGTCATTCCCTTAACAAGGCTATGGATGACATTGGACCACATTTTTTAAATAAAATGGAAACTTCTGAGAGTTTTCAGGATATGGAAAGAAATGATACACACACACACACACACACACACACGTATTGTGGTTTTTCTGTTAAGGGGGAAATTTTGAGAATTGGAAGAGTGGCTTTTGTTCTCGTTCTAGCTCTGCTGCATCCAAAATAATGTGATCTTGGACAATCACAACCTAGCAAAAATTCAGCCCTTAAACTTAAAAATCAGGGATAATATTACCCATCCCATAATGTTACTCTAAGGATTAAATGAAAAAATGAATATGAAAGTATTCTGTAAACTATTCAGTGCTATGCAAAAGTAAAGAACGACCATTTCCTTTACAGGAAGTAAACTTTAAAGGCCTGGACTAAAAGAAGCATCTCAATTTATAATGCTAGTGAACTTAGAAGCTTACATTTGAGAATCCTTTTGTAGATACCTTAAGGGCAGCACATTTACTTTGCAAATAGCAGAGACAACCATCCTTCCCCTCCCACAAAATCATATTCTATGAACATACCAGCCACTCTTTTGCTGTTTAGACAGAGATGAAGAGGAAGGGGAGAAACTGGGCTTTTGTGCTGCTATACCATGTTCCTACACTATACAAATTACATAAAATATGTATAAAGCTTCATTAGATAGGGATTTCTATGACCTGTTCATTTATTCACACACTCATTCAATGAAGATATTTATAGGGGCTTAATGTGAGCTCAGTACCATCATAGGCATAACAAGGGTAAAGAAGGAAATCCTCCAGTTCTAGCCCTCAGTGAGCTTTTGCTCAAAGTCAGAAAACAGACAAATTTGCTTTAATTCAGTACTCTTTCATGTACTCATCACTCATTCATTCAGTCATTCAATCAACTGGTGTCCATTAAGATTCCAATGTGTGCTAAGCTAGGAGCAAACTGATTCAGCTAAAGTGATGTTTTGAAGAACATCCCAGTCCCTATCCTTAAGCAGCCAATAATTCTGCCAGGGACACAGGTGAAGAAATAATTTTTTTCCTTTTCTCTCCGCTTCTTCCTTTCTTCTCTCCTTTCTTCTCTCTCTTCTTCCCCCACCCCCACCTCCTTCTTTATCTTTCTTCCTTTATCTTTTGGCTTCAGTCACTATTTATAGAGCTTCTACTATTCAACAAGCACTGGGCTCCCTGTTTGTAATCAGCAAGACAGACAAAGGCAAGTATATAGGCTGTGGTAGCTAGCCTCCAAAATGGCCTCCTGGTAGTCACACCCTTGTGTAATCCCTCCCGGACTGAATAGGAATTATCTGTGTAGCCAATAACATATTGTGGAAACAATGGTTTGCATCACTTCTCTCTTGCTACCTTGAATCACTCACTCCAGGGGAAGCCAGCTGCTGCTTCATGAGGACACTCAAGTAGCCCTAAGGATGGAGGCATGTAGCAAGAAATTTAGGCCTTCATCCAACAACCAGCAATAATTGGCTGGGTATGTGAGTGAGATCCACTGGAAGCAGATCTTTCAGACCCAGTGAAACCTTTAGAAGAATATAGCCCCAGCTGATATCTTGACTTCAATCTCATGGAAGACTCTGAGCCAGATATACAGAGAAAATGCAGGCATTACATACATAATTGCAACTACAAATAAGTAGACACATTATGAAAAATGTAATTGTGAAGATAGCAAGGTAGTGCACACACTCAAGTGGGTTACCCAACCTGGCGTAGCCAAATTGGAGACTGTTTCCTGGAATTAAAGAGTTAGTCAAGTAGTGTGACTAGTATATGTCAAGGCAAAGAGTTGTGAGAAAACTTGGAGGAATCCAGTTTATAAAAGTGATCAACATTGTTGAAAGAAAAGAAAATGTAACTGTTCTCCAGTCGTTAACCAATAAAATCCACACATTATGAACTGGAGTTAAGATATTCAAAACAAACCTTAAGAGAAAGAATGGCTCCTGTATCTGTAACCAGATTAAGAGTATGAACATAGATCAAGAAATAATCATAGGATATTCCCACAGATGAGTAAGGCAGTAGTAGTAATAGATCAGTGCCCATCCAAGCCTTGTCTCTCAGAGTGGTAAGGGGAGGAGGCTGTTAGGCAAACGAAAGTACCCTGTCCACCTCAAAGGTATATTCTAGTAGTGCAGATGGATGAAGTAAGCTATCAGAGCTTGAAGCATAAAGCATATGAGAATTATATACTTATTTATCCTCCTCTAATACTGCACTTACAAAAGGACGATGTGTTTCTATGGTCGATCTAGTTCAACGGAGAGTTGTAGATCTCATTGTAACTTAGTAAATTGGCATTCTGGCTTCATAAATCAGGTCATTGTGAATGTGGGCAGGAATAGCATTGAGATCAGATTTCTGGACCTGCAAGGATGTAGACCAGACTATGCCCTCCTTAGGCACCTGATTGGGTAGAGAGCTGGTCTTTCTTTAAATACATTCTCACTTCATCAGCATACCCTACTTGCTTTTCCAAGCATGTTGGCAAAGAGCATACACTCTGGAGCCAAGACTACTTGGATTTAAATCTAAGTTGTGTGAAATTGGGCAAGTTACTTAATCTTCTTTGCCTCAGTTTGTAAGCCACTTTGTGCCTTGTGTGTAAAATGGTAATTACAGTAGTAGAAACCACATAGGGTTGTTCCAAAGATTGAATAGGTTCATAACATACATAAATACCTAATACACTACCTGGCTCCTTCATTATTATTATTTTTCTATCCATACTGCCTACAGTGGAAATTCTGGTAACTGCAAGTAATTCAATTCACTTATAAAGTAACAAATAGGGAAAGTAGGAGACAAAAGATGAGATGCCACATGATGGAGGACCCAAAACTCAGACTTAGATTCTAAGAGAAATTAGGACCATTGAAAGATGATAAACTAGAGATTAATAATAACTGTGCACCCTAGAAAGGTCAATGTTGTAGCAGGTGGAGGATGATTTAGGAGGGGTGAAAAATTAGAGACAAACCAATTAGGTGATTGTAGCAAAGTTCTAAGAAATGGCAATGGGAATTGAAAAAAAAAAGGGTATGGATTAGAAAACCATCTATAAAGTAGTGTAAGTAGGACATAGTGATCAATTAGAAATGGGGCTTAGGATAGCACTGTGGCCAAGCGGAGACCATATGCCAGTTACTTGTTCACTTTGTGCCTCAGTTTACTCATCTCTAAAATAAGTACACACCTCACAGGATTGTGTATTAAAGTTTAATCAAAATGTAGAATGTGAATATAAGGATACAGACCCCATAAGGTTTTTATGATAAAGTGTTTAGGTTTTTAGATAAAGTGTGTGGCACCATAGTATGTGCTATGGGAACAAGTTGTACCTAGGATGCATCTTAGGTTACTGGCTTGAGTGAGTGGGTGGGTGGTAATGTGAATAACTGAAATAGGGGAGAAAAGAAGAGCAGCTGGTGTTTCAAGATGAGTTTGAAGTGCTTGGGCTGCCCAAGTACATAGTTTCAGCATATATATATGTGTGTGTGTGTGTGTGTGTGTGTGTGTGGTGTGTGTGTGTGTGTGTGTGTGTGTGTCTGTGTGAGGATGTCTTTGTGTGTTTGTGTATGCATACAGGCCCACATATGCATAATCACTCATGTAACACACTGACAAATTTTTTGCATATATCATCTTATTTACAGACAAGGTGGCTATTACTGAAATCGCAATTACTCTCTTCATTTTACAGATGAATAAATTAAGACTTTGACAAAGCAAAATAGCATCAACCTCATACGGTCGTTACGATGATTGAATAAGAGAGTATACATAAAATACTTGCACAATGGCCTGGCACACCATAAGAACTCAAGAAATATTCATGATTAACACTGTTAGTGTGGTTGTGCTGTTGCTATTGTGATTTCTCAGGGTTAGACAGCTATCGAATCACAGAGCTAGGATTCAAACCCAGGACAGACCAACTGCAAAGCAAACGCCCCTAATCACTATTAGTGTTTAAGGCTGTGACCCCTACCATGTAGATGTCTCAGAATTAGGTAGTATAAAGAATACAGGCTGGGCTTGTGGCGGCTCATGCCTGTAATCCCAGCACTTTGGGAGGCAGAGGTGGGTGGATCACGAGGTCAGGAGATCAAGACCATCTCTGGCTAACATGGTGAAACCCCATCTCTACTAAAAATACACACACACACACACACACACACAAATTAGCCAGGCATGGTGGTACTTGCCTGTAGTCCCAACTACTTGGGAGGCTGAGGCAGAAGAATCGCCTGAATCCGGGAGGTGGAGGTTGCAGTGAGCCGAGATCATGCCACTGCACTCCAGCCTGGGCAACAGAGCGAGACTTTGTCTCAAAAAAAAAAAAAAAATACACAGAGACTCTGCCCTCAAAGACCTTACAGTCTTACAGTTGCAGCTGGATGATCTGGTTGAAAAGAAAGAATATAGTGTGGGATGAAGATTGCCTAGACTAGAACAATGAACTAGGTTTTAAAATTCAACTGGTTAAGGAGAGCTGGGAGAGTACCCCAGGCAGGACAATGCAAGTGAGCAGAGTCTTGGAGGTGTGGACAAATGGAAGGAAAGATACAGATAATATGGAAAAGCCATGCTAGAAAGTGTCAGTTTCCCAAATGTAGTTTTGCATACAGGCTGGGTGCGAATCTAACCATTCCAACTCTGAAATGCCTACAATTAAGCCCTAGCATTGCCTCTAGGTTTGATTTGGAATGAAACCTTAGTTGTCAAAAGGAAAGCAGCCAGAGCTGTGTTTGCTTGGTGCTGCCTGCAGGAATTACACTCGTAAGAAATCGTGGGAGGTGCACATGGGACTCCCCACCCACTGGGGTTGATAATCCATGCTAATTGTACACATTTCCAAAGCCTCCCGTGTGAGAAGGAAAAAATAAAAATGTTCTCTTAACATTTTTGAAGTTCATAAATGTGGCAAATGTTCAATAACTATATTTAACTCCTGTTGCATATTCCTTAGCTCTTAAAATACGTTAAACCAACAGTTTTATGCACTTGACAGTAAAGGCATACTTTCCTGCTCTTTTCTCCCACCTATCTAGGTGAACATGCATGTCCATCACAGCTTTGAAGAGCTAGCTCAAGATTTGTTTTTTCCAAAGTTGTCCCTGGCTTCCCTGTCCCTTCCTTTGCTTAGCATTATACATTTGTGTTTGGTGTTGGATTCAAATGAGGTCCTGGACAGCTAGAAGGGAGACAGAAGAACTGGAAGAAAGGGTGCAAAGTGTTTAGCATCCACAAGGCAGAAACTCAAAGGTGAACACAGCAGAACTTGCTGCCCCTTTATTTGCTCTCCATGTACCTATACATCCATTGCTCTAGGTTCTTGCTCCTCAAAGTACTGTCTTTGGACCAGCATCCCTCATCAATACCTGGGTGCTTGACAGAAATGCAGATTCTCAGCTTTCCCCTGCCATACCTACTGAATCAAAATCTTCTTCTCTGTTTTTTTCTTTTAATAGTTTTAACCTTTATTTTAGATTCCAGAGGTGTTGCGGGGGATACATGTGCAGGTGTGTTACCTGGGTATATTGCAGAATGCTGAGGTTTAGATTATGATTGATCCCGTCACTCAGAGACCAAGCATAGTAACCAAGGGTTAATTTTTCAACTCTTGCCACCATTTCTGCCTCCTCCCTTCTAGAAGCCCCCAGTGTCCATTGTTCTCATTTCATATCATGAGTAATCAAAGTTTAGCTCCCACCTATGAGTAAGAATATGCAGTATTTGGTTTTCCATTCCTGTGTTAATTCACTTAAGATAATGGCCTCCTGCTGCATCCATGTTACTGCAAAGGACACAATTTTGTTCTTTTTTATGGCTGCATAGTATTCCATGTTGTATATGTACCATATTTTCTTTATCCAGTCCACCATTGATGGGCACTTAGGTTGATTCCGTGTGTTTGCTATTGTGAATAGTGCTGCAATGAACATATGAGTGCATGTGTCTTTTTGGTAGAATGATTTTTGGAATATATACTCAATAATGGGATTTCTGGGTCAAAATAGTAGTTCTGTTTTAAGTCTTTGAGAAAGCTCCAAACTGCTTTCCACAGTGGCTGAACTAATTTACATTCCCACCAACAGTGGCCTTTCCATTTCTTAGCAGCCTCAGCATCTGTTGTTTCTCAACTTTTTAGTAATAGCCATTCTGACTGGTGTGAGATAGTATCTCATTGTAGTTTTGATTTGCATTTCCCTGATGATTAGTGATGTTGAGCATTTTTTCACATATTTGTTAGCTGCTTCTATGTCTTCTTTTGAGAAGGGCCTGTTCACGTCTTTTGCCTACTCTTTAATGATTCTCTTTCTTTCTCTCTAGCTTTTTTTTTTTTGCTTAATTAAGTTCCTTATAAAATCTTCATTTTAAAAAGATCCCCAGGTCATCCTAATGTACATTAAAATTTTAGAACCACTATGCTAATATAGACTTATCACCCCCACACTACAATTGTTTGTTTCCTTGTTTGCTTCTCCTTGCTCTGTGAGTTCCTTCAAGGAGGAACTGTGTCCTATGTGCCCCGGTAGCCCAGCGCCTAGCCCAGTGCTCAGTACATAGAAATCAAATAGCTGTCACTTACGTCCTTATTATTTGCCAAGTGCCATATATACATTGTTATCATTTAACCTTTGCAACAATCCTTTGAGAAGGTCACTGTTATATCCATTCTGCAGATAACGGGGCTCAGAGACTTTAAGTAACTCACCTAAAGTCACACAAATAGCAACAGAACTGTCATTCAAATCCAGCTATATCAGATGCCACAAGATGTGCTCTTGACCGCTATTTTATATTATACTACTTTCATAGTAGACGTTTAATAGATATTTATGGAATTAAGCAGACTTTGCGCAGCAATGATTGAGCCTTTCCTTTGCTTCTTTCTGTCATGAAGTAAAAGGACAAGGGCTACAGTTTTAATCTGCCATGCAATTTCCAAAGTGCAGAGGCATAATGTCTGCGTTCACGGAAATGGCCTGTAACTATACTAGGAATTCCGCATCCCCCACCCCTCTTCTCTTGGAAGATCTGCAAGTGTTAGTAAGCCCTGCAGACAAGCAATCCTGTCAGGCAGAAGGCAGCCCAGAGCCCTTAAATAAAACATTCTCGCAGCCTTCCGCGGAGAGCATGGAGACAAATACCGCGGATGTGAAAGGTGTCGCTGGGATTACCAATGACGTGCTAATGGCTGCTCAGGCAATCTCTGAGCCTCCTGCGCTCTGAGTCACCCGCTCCCTTTGGAGCCTGCGCTCACGTCATTAAGGGACCGAAAGCTATTCACAGATCACTGACTAATGGCAAGCTTGAGCCTGGCCTGCACTCCCCCCACCAGCCTTCTCCAAAGGACTAAGGTCATGGACAGGAGGCCCTGGAGCTTTTTATCACGGCCACAATGAAGGGTGAAGGAAAAGATAAAGTCTTCTGCCTTCCTTCTATCTATTCTGCTAGCTGTACTTTTGCAAATGAGGAACTTTCCTCGTGTTCCAGAATGTGTTGGAAACTCTTTGCCGGGAACAAGCAGAATCTTGAGTAGGGCGGTTTACTTTTGACAGTTTATTATTCTAAAAAATCTTTCTGATGTTATTTTAATTCCACAGGCATTTCATTACTAATCAACCCTGGGGCTTTCAGTTTCTAGAGTACATAAACATATTTCCTTTTTTTGGATTATTTGTGTGACTGCTTGCTTGAATTTATTGTAATTTTATTTGTTTGTTTGCAACTGCCATAATGGGAGCTTCTAAAAGACTAGGAAGTAATAAATGTAATATTTTCTTTCAGATACTGCATTTTTTCCCTAGCCTGCCTAAATCCTTTGAAATATAACATCACTTGGCTTTCCTGCCAGGCACTTCTCCCTGAAATAAAGTCACAGGTCTGCTTTGGTCACTCTGTCAATATCTGTGACAGATATTTCCAAGTTAACTTTTAGGGAGTCACAACTTGGCAAGTCTAAAAAGCACTATATTTAGCTGCAATTTTGGAATGATGTGGGAAAGAAAATTGAATCTGAAAAAGCAAAGCAAGATGTGGTTGAGCATTTTGTGGAACAGGTAACAACCACAGAATTATTTTTTCCTGAATAAACCATGATCTGTTTGGTGGCCACTTCTATACTTTTCCAAAAACAATCTATTTACTTACACAAGTTCGAATTCTTCAAGATTAACCCCAGGCTTTATCCTGGAAGATAATTTTATTTATTGGTAGAAGATAAAGCTATTCATATATAAGGCAAACTGATTGGAGATACATTTGAGCTCACTTTGCTTTCTATGCTAATGTCAGAACATGAAGTTTAAGCATTTGGTTACTGAAGAAAATATCGCACACTGGAATCATTAAGATCAGTCATCAAAATGATAAAGATACAATTTTTTTCCAGAATTCTGGAGCTCTGATACACAGCTTGAGAGTACATTTCTCAGCATGAATTGCATTATTCAGTCAAAGAATGACCATGGAGCAAAAAATGCAAAATGTTTCCTATTTCTGTTAAAAGTCAGGTTTAATATAGACACATTTCCCTTAGATGTGGTCCACAGAATATCTTCTTTGGGAGATATCATTTGGAGAAAGCAAGACTTATCTTTTTGAACAAATAAAATTTTGATTGATAAAGGAGCTTTTACAATGGCATACTAGGATCAACATTGGTTGTGATCGTGAAAATAATCAGACTTTTAAGGAATTGGGCAAATCTGGTGTGTTGGAGAGCCATAAGACATTTCTTATTGCTTATATGCATCTCATACTTTGGTTCTTGAGTTTGCTTAAAAAACGCAAACACGTATACATCTAAATTGTAAATGTTAATTGCTTCAGAGTTATATATGACTGTTACAGAAGGTCACCACAATTTATGTTCCATTCTGTTTTCCCAGGGATTGATAAATCCTGGGAATAAAGCCTTGTTAATAGGCAGATTTGGACTATTCAGGAGTCACCTTGAGGATGATATCCAAGTGGTTGAAGGGAAGATGAGAAAGCAATTTTGCACAACTCATTGATTGACAATGAACTAATTTCAAGAGACTCCTTGAAATTCCACTAGGACTGTGGGAAAATGGAATATCAACAAAGTTATCTTAACATGTGACACCAAGGCAGTGCTAGTAGGACCTCAAGGTGCTCATGCTCTGTGAAGATCGGAGAGAGAAATCACAAGAGAATCCTTACAATATGCAGACACTGTTCTAAACTCAACCACATCACGTTATCCAGTCCTTACAATAACTTTGTGAGGCAGGAATTATTATTCCCATGTCACTCATTAGGTCAGAAATTTTAAGTAATTTGCAAGTCATAGATAGTGAGCATTTCAAACCTACTTTGAGAAATGTGTGCATGTATGTGTTTGTGTGTGTGTATATGGATATGGATAATGGGAGGTTGTTTATAGAACTTTTTAGAAGGACCTTATCCTGAAACCCAGCCTTTTGCAAGTGCTTCTCTTGAAAAGAAACCAGATTTATTACAGTAGTTGCCTACAACATTTTTTTAACGGATTTAAATATATTAGCTCAGGAGAGGAAATTTCTTGCTGCTTTATTGAAAAAAAACTGAAACTTACCTTCAATCTATTTTACTGTTTACCATACTTTCTACATATTTTGTGTCTATTCTTTTAAATATGGAAGAGGAAGTATCTGGGTAAAGGAACACACTTGCAGCTAGCCAGAGGCCTAAATAAGTAAATATTAGATGGGGAAAAAAAATGAGGCCTTGTGATAAGACAGACCTGGGTTCTATGTAAACTCTGCCACTTATATCTGAGTGATCCTGGTGGAGGTTATTAACCTCTGTGAGTAACAGCCTCCACATCTGTAAAACACACAAAGACATAATACATATTCATGTATTAGTTATGAGGATTAATTGAGAAAAAGGTATATTTTTAAGACCTGGTATCATGCTGTTGCTTGACAAATGTCAATTCTCTTTCCTCCTGCATGAGGTTTTCTTTTTTTTTTTAACTTTGTTTTTACCCAGTGACTGACAGAAGTCACAGGATCAGACCTAAGAGATAGCTTTCAAAGAAACCCTGACAGATTCATGTCCAACTATGCCCAAGTTGAGTTTTAAGACAAAATTCACCTGTAACAGAGCAGAGTCCTGGAAATACAGAGATTCATAATATATGTTTTAAATCCTAAAGACCTTATGACAGTATCTTGAGCTTTATATACTCAAGTTCTTTTAGCTGTCTTGATAACATTTTGAATAATAAATAATTGGAAATAGTTTTGTCAAAGACTCAACTCCACCACACGGACTGGGAAGATTGACCATCTTTTTTATGTTATTGTTGTTACTATTATTAATATAGCAAAAGTTAACTTAGCAATATGAGAGAAAAATACATCTTAAAATAATTTATCCTCACAACCAAAAATTGATGAGAACCCATACATGGCCTAAAGAGAAGGTCTTACATTTCCAATGATAGAGATACTGTCATAGATCTTTCAGTCATCAGTTCGTCATTGTTTAATTCCACAATGAACATTGATATTTTGGGCCAAAGCAAGAGTATTTATTTACCTCTTCAATATACTAGGAACTTCATCATTACTAGCTTTAAGTGTGGTCACGCTCATTGGTCAAACAAAGAGGCTATGAAGATAAAGTAAGAATCACTCTATTTCCTAAGCAATGTCATGAGTTGCTAAAATGGAATTGTTCATCCATTCTTCCATTCAATCATTTAAGAAATCATAAGCACTTAATATTTTCCAGGCATTGTGCTATGGACTCTAAGAAAATCAGATCCCCAACCTCAGTGAGCTAACATTCTAGAGCAATTCTCTAAATCAGAATTTCTCAAAAACTGTACTATTGACATTTGAGGCTGGATGACTGTACTGTAGGATGTGTCCTGTACAGTGCAGGGTGTTCAGAAGCGTCCCTGGCCTCTACCCACTAGTGCTAGTGGCACCTCCCTTCCCAGTTTTGACAACCAAAAATGTCTCCAGATATTGACAATATCCCTTAGGAGAGGTTTGGGAACAAAATTGCCCCTGGTTGAGAACCAATGGTCCAGGCCTACATATCAATAAGTGACTGCAGTCAGTGGAAGCTCCCTGTACAATTCTTGATCTAGGCCACCAAAATTCAAAAATGAATCCTAGGCTATTTTTGGCTTCTAGAAAAGTTGATGACATAACACCTTAATAGAATTCAGATGAAGTCTCTCTCTCTCTCTCTCTCTCTCTCTCTCTCTCTCACACACACACACACACACACACACACACAAATTTGAGCTTTTCCTAAGCAATCTATCATTTTCAGAAAAAAAATAGTATTCGAGTCAATTGCCTAGGAGGCTTTGATATCTACCAGATCCAATAATGAATAAGGTTTAGGCGGCATTGTTGCCTACAGCATGGCTTTTGTAGGAGGCATCACAGAAGAGCAGGTGTACTGTGATCACTGGAGAAATTGCTTTACTCACCCATACAATTCTATAATAATCTATACTTATCATCCCTTACTGGGGTCAGGAGGTTTTACATAACTTAAAATATGTTATTAGTCACCTGAAACTAAAACAAACTAAAACAAAACAAAAACTAAAAGGCCTTGAGAAAATTCCTCCACAACTTAGAATCATTTAGATTTGAGATATACCATGTATATTAACTGATATTGGTATCTGGAGTGCTGGGTTAGGAAAAATTCTAAGATCACACCTGTTGGTGGGAAAGAATATCAGCTTTGATGAATGACATCTATTCTATCCACTGAATGAAGAAATAGAAGTGCACGTACCTGGTATTTGCCATCCTTGATCCAGATACTATGTTCAGTGATGATGCCTATATTAGTCCGTTGTCATGCTGCTGATGAAGAAATATCCAAGACTGAGTGAGCAATTTATAAAGAAAAAGAGGTTTAATGAACTCACAGTTCCATGTGGCTGGGGAGGCCTCACAATCATGGAGGAAGGCAAAAGGTACCAACTTACATGGCAGCAGACAAGAGAGAATGAGAGAGCCAAGTGAAAAGGGAAGCCCCTTATAAAATTGTCAGATCTCTTGAGACTTATTCACTATCAAGAGAACAGTATGGGGGAAACCGCCCCCACGATTCAATTGTCTCCCACCGGCTCCCTCCCACAACATGTGGGAATTATGGGAGCTACAATTCAGAGATTTGGGTGGGAACACAGCCAAACCATATCAGTGCCCATTATTTATATGGACTGGATAACCCCATGAATGAAGTCTACAAATGGACTTGCTGTATTCAGTTCCATCCAGCTCTTCAATATTATAAATGTGATCGTCCTTGTTTCTACTCAACAATTTGCCTGACTATGTTTTTTCTAATATGTTATATGAGGAACAAGTAAAAACTACAGTTCAGATGTATATACAAAACGATTTTGAACCCTGATTAATTTTATATCTCAAGAACATGGTTAGGAGTGACATAAGGCTTGTCTCAGGATATACTGATAGTTCTTTCATTTTTGGTTTTATAGACAGGTATAATCTGGGGTCATGGATATATTCCATCAATATGAATTCTAGGTTATTCTAGGTTAACAATATTTTATTAAAGTCTGTATATCTCTTCTTCCATTTAAATATTTACCTTTTCATTTATTCATTTAGCAAATGCTTATCTAAGGCCATCAATATACAGGTAAGATGCCAGATAATAATTGAGTCAGACATAAACCCTTCCCTTAAGGATCTTAAAATCTAGCAGAACATATAACAAATCTACATAGCAAATACATTATAAAGTTAAAAAGGGTAAAATTACAAATGCCATTGCAGAAAATTAAAAAAAAGAAAAAGAATTGCAGGAAGACCCAAGAGATAGAGATTTCTTTCCAAATGGGAGGTCAATAAGGAGATTGCCTTGAATGGGCCTTGAAGTATTGGTGGAATAACAGCCATACTAGGCAACAAAGAAGGCATTAGTAAAAGCACAGAATGGGAAAATTTGGGATGTAGATAGAAAACAGCAAGCAGTTCTGTGTGAAAGGAATGCAGTTAAAAAAAAAAAAGTAGCCAGTAATAAATTTGGAAAGACAGAGTCTAAAATCAGAGTAGGTAGACATGATCTTTTAACAGATGAAATTCCAATTATATTTAATAAAAGAAATATTTGGGTCATAACCTCCTTTTTTATTTATGCTTCATGAATATGATTCAGTTGTTGGAGGAATGGGCTGCTTGTTCACTTATCAAAGGAAACAGGCAGCATCCCTTATGCTAATGATAGTTTTATTTTTTATTAACTGGGAGTGGCCTTTAAAAAAGAAGAGATTCATTGGCTAGTTACCAGAAACTTCCTTTTAAAAAATACTAGAAATCATTTTATTTGGTATCCATTATTTCATATTTAAATGCAGACTTAAATGTTGAGTTAAAGAGTTGTACACACAGGAAGGTTTTTCAGCTATAGGGGGGACATTTGTGGTCTGCTCTTGCAAAATGTTGGAGCCACTAAGACAAAAGTGTACTCAAACTGGTCTTCTTCAGAGAATAAACATGTGATTTTATGACTCAAGTAGCTAAAAGATAATAGTGGTAATAGCCACTATGATTGAGAGCCTACTATGTGGAGATGTTCTGTAAAGTCTTATTTGATTATTCATTCTGCAAATGTTAATGAAACATCCACGATGTAGAAGATGTGGTGCTGAGCACTGGAGATAGAGTCAGCAAAGGCAAACAGGTTTCTACTTCCATGGAACACAGAGTCCCCTAGAGGAATTAATCATATGACCACTGTAATAATGTACACAGTTGTCCCCTCTTATCCAAGGAAGATAAGTTCCAAAAACCCCAGTGGAGACCTGAAATAATAGATAGTAGCAAACCATGTACATATACTATTTTTTTCCTATTTCCTATTTTTTTCATAGATATATACATATCTATGTTAAAGTTTAATTTATAAATTAGGCACAGTAAGAGATGAATAACAGTAACTAAATGAAGTTATTGTTGCTAAAGCATTATTAAGTAAAATGAGAGTAAATTGAACACAAGCTCTGCAATATAACAACCAGTTGATCTGATAACCCAGACACCTATGAAGAGACTCAAGTGCAGGGGGCATATATAGCATGGATATGCTGGACAAAAAGGGGGTTCGCATCCTGAGCAGGCTGAAGTGGGGTGGTGTGAGATTTCATCATGCTATGCCGAACAGTGGGCAAATGGGAAGCTTATGAATTGTTTATTTCTGGAATTTTTTTCATTTAATATTTTCAAACTGTGGTTGGCCGTGGATAACTGAGACTGCAGAAAGTGAAACCGCAGATAAGTGGGGAATGCTGTAATTACAAATTGATAACAGAGCTCTAAAGGAGTAACAAGGTACTGAGAAAACACATTAAAATAAACTGACGCAGGCTGTGAGATAAAGGCTGAATCATGCAGGTCCCTAAATGAAAATGGGGTGGGCGGAGGCAAAAGCATTCGATCAAAGGGAACACAAAAGCTCTGAAGCAGTAGGGAACATGGTGTGTTTGAAGAATTCAAAGAAAGCCAGTGAGTTGGAAAGCAGAAAGAGAGGGGTGGGGAAAGAATCCATGATGAGACAAGAGAGTTAGGTAAGGTGGGACAAGGTATAGATTTGTGTATATATCTGTGATCAAAGAGAAAACAGTGAAAGGTTTAAAGCTGTGAGTTTAGAGGGGAACTTGATCATATTTTCATTGTGAGAATATTGTTTCAACTGCAATATGGAAATGAAGAGAAAGAAGGACAAAGTACAGGAATGAATCCTCCTTTGAAGGTTATTACAGTAATCTAAGCAAGAGTTGAGAATCTGTACTAACGAGGGTAAAGGAGACCCAAGGAGAAAAGATGGAAAGACGTAGGTGGCTCTGATAGATATGTAGGTGGCAGCATTGGCAGAATCTAGGCATGGGAAAGACAGAGAAGGTGAGAGAAGTGTTAAGGATGTGGCATAGGTTCTAGAATACAAAATTGGATAAATGGAAGTTCCAGTCATTGCCTAAGACAGAGGAAAGAGTGGAATGGTCCTAATTTCACAGGAAAAGAGCAATTATCTCATCAAAGTCCCCTCTGATATAACCCAGTTGTTAAGTCCATTTTACAGGTGAAGAAACTGAGAATTGTATGAGGGAAATCCCCTTAGTTTGTCTTTTTTATAAATGACAGAGCCAGAATTGGAGCACAGGTCTATATGATTGTAAAGCCTGTACCCTTGAGGTTTTCTTTTCTTTTCCTTTTCTTTATTTTCTTTTTCTTCTTAGATTAAAATAGCGAGTTCTGGTTTAAGGTGCAGAACTCTGGGAACTCAACCAATTACTTGTCTAAATTCTTGAGCAGACAAAAACTCCCTTTAGAAGAAAACGTGTGTATGTATGTGTGGGCAGTTGGGGGGTAGTGTCTTTCCCATCCTTGGATTTACTTCTATGTGAAAGAAGAATAACTTGCCACTGTTTTTTACTCATATATAATGTTGCAATAACTGCCATTATGCATAGCTCTTTATTCATATTTAGGATTTTATATAGGTGCCATATCACAGTCAATTTCTGATTGAATATTCTGGTTTGTTCTCAAAAGACCTGTAATCTTTATCATATCATTGCTGCTTTTCAAGGCGAAGGTTGTCTTTTTATATTAAACATGCAGCCAGTGGGATAAACCAACATTTAGTAGTAAAACTGTAATGCCAACTACCTACTAGCATTATTATAAGAATTAAATGACTTAAAAAGTGAAGCAGTACTTGGCACATAGTAAGTACTCAATAAACACTGGAAATTATTAATAGTTATTTATAGGATCTGTGTCTTGCTCACTTCTAGCTTGTGTCTTTATTGGAATTAGCTCCCCTCCCAGAAATGCTTCATTTTTCTCCTCTATCAATCCAAGCTCATGTCTTCATTCAAAGCTTAGTGTAAGACTCACTACTTCAGAATGAAAGCCCTGCCAGAAAAATTTCACTGGAGGGGGATGGAATTTATTAATCCCTTTGATAAATACATTTCTATCCTTGTTCTAGGTACTGAGTGCTTCAGTCAACGAAACAAAGTTCTTGATGTCACAGATTTTACTTACATTTTAGTGAGGAAGGACAGTCACTAGACCAATAAACATATAAATACATAACATGTCATTTGCCATGCAGGGTAAATGCTATTTAAAAATTAAACAAAGTAAGATCTCACTATTATTTGACATTTAAGTAGACAACCAAATGAAGCAACAGGGTAAGAAAAGAAGAGAAAAGGATGATGGAGAGCACTTTGTCTGTTCAAGGAAGAGCCAGGTAGTTGATGTGATTAAAGTAATATGAAAAAGTAGAAAAGATTGGAAATGAGGTCAAGGATTCAAGCAGAGCCAGATGCTATGCCAAGGGAAGGACATTAAAAGTTATTCTGGGTAAGATGGGAAGCTGCTGGCATATATAAAGAAAGGAGTGATATGATGTGACTTGGGTTTCACATTTAAAATGAAATCACTCTGGCTGGTGTGTGGATAATAGACAGTAGCAGGGTAAGAGTGTAGACAAGGGGTCCATTGGGGAAGACATGGTTTTGCATTATTCCAGGGTGATGGCATTGTGAGTAGTGAGAGATGACCAGATCCTGGAAGATCTAGCCCATGTGACTTGTTAATAGGTGAGATGTAGGGTGTGAAAGAAAGAAAAATATCAGGAGTGACACAAGGTTTTGGGTCTGAGCAGTTGAAAAAATGGGGCAGCCATTTACTGAGATGGAGAAGGTGAAAGAGCAGCAAGTTTGGGAAGAAAAAAGAAAAGTCCAGTTTGGACACATTAGGATGGAGTTGGCTATTAGAAATGGATGTGGAGATGTTCAAATGGCAGCTGGATAGAAATGACAAGAGTTCAGGGGAGAAGTCAGGGCTAAAAACATAAACTGGGGAGTCATCACTCTAGACACAGCATTTATAGCCAAGGGACTGAATGAGATCAATGAGAATTAATGTGGATCAGGAAGGAATTCCAAGGACTAGATCCTGGGGCACCTCAGCATGCAGAATTGGGAAGAGGAGGGGCAAAGGAGACAGAAGTAGGAATACAAGAGAGTGGTGTTCCAGAGAACATGTTTCAAGGAGGAGGGAACAATTAATTTTAGCAAATGCTGGTGATGACAAAAGAAATGAAGAGTTTTAGCACCAAGTGCCTCAAATTTTGTCATTTTTCTAACTTATTTTTTCACCAGTTTTTAGAGAACCTATCTCAAGGTTCACATCTGGCAGCCAATGGGCCAGATTTTACCCACAAGTATATTTTGTTTGGCCAGCGAATATTTTGTTTAAAAAAAATTGAATTTGAAAGACTTTATGTTGGTTGTGTGCTCCATAGCTGACCAAAGGCCTCCCTGTTTTGTTTAAAACATGTATATATTCTTGGGTCTAATGGGCATTTATGATCATGATATCACACACATGCAACAACAACAACAACAACATAGTTATTATTGTACTTAAACTTATCTCCTAAGCCATAATGTAAGAAATTCAAAGGGAGATCCTTTGGAATTTCCCATTCGTCTGGTTCTGTGTGTATGGCAGGGAGTATTATGACCCCCACTCCCACCCCCACCCCCAAGGATATTCAATGCCTTAATCTCAGTACTTGGAATATGTTATCACCTTACTTGGCAAAAGCAACTTTGCAGATGTGATGAAGGTTAATCGCTTGAGCTTAAAATAGGGATTTATCCTGGATTATCTGGGTAGACCTGATATAACCCCATAAGCACCTAAAAACAGAAGAAAGACACTAGAGAGATTCAGCGAATGAGAAGAATTTGCTCTGGCTGGCTTGAAGATGAAGAAGACCACATGTCAAGGAAATGGGGACCTCAGACCTACAACCACAATGAACTGAATTCTGCCAACAACTTGAATAAACTTGGCAGCAGATTCTTCCCTCAGAGCTTCAGAAAGAAAGCGGCTCCTCTAACACTTTGATTTTAGCCTTTGAGACCCTGAGCAGAGAACACAGACACAGTATACTGCACTTCTGACCTAGAAATCTGTGGAATAATAAATGAACATTGTTTAAGCCACTAAATGTATAGTAAAAAAGCCACTAAATGTATAGCAAAAGATAACTAAGGTAGTTAGTGTCCTTAATAAAGTATCATTATCAAAGTATATCTATGGTTATCACAAGTCTATCTTTTTCCAGAAAAACTTCTTAGATTATTGACTCGCATCCCTTAAATTCAGAGCTTTTATCTGTACCGTCTTATGGTCTGTCTTTTCTACTTAATTTTTGTTATTTAACTTTTCATGTGTATATTTACGACTTCTATTAAACTACTGAGAGCTGCTTGAAGGCAGGGACTGGGTCTTCTATCCTCAAAATTAACTTCTGAAAATCTGATTTGATCAGGTCAATGTAGTACTTAAACTATTGTATGGTTTTCAAATGCCATTATCACTAATAGTGTTTTCTGGGCATGGCCAACACAGGTACAGAGCATGATTTGGCCCCTCTCACCTTCATAGTTTCATTTCATAAGGCATCATGGCACCCTCCAGCTGGAGCTCCAGCCACAGAGGCATCAGCGCAGTTTCTCTGAATGGCCATGCTCGTTCCTGCTCCAAGACCTCTGCATATGTTGTTCTTCTTTCTTCGTGGGACTCTCCTCCCTTCTGCATCTGGTAAATTCCAAATGCTTCTTTAGATGTCAACTAAATGGTCACCACTTCCTGAGAGAAGCATTTCCTGGCCACTTTTACTAAGTCAAAAAATCTTTTTATAGTGTAGTAATTCATTTTGTGTTGCTATAAAGAAATGTCTGAGGCTGAATAATTTAGAAAGAAGAGGTTTATTTGGCCCATGGTTCTGCAGGCTGTACAAGCATGGCACTACCATCAGCTTGGCTTCTGGTCAGAACCTCAGGAAAGTTTTCCTCATGGCAGAAAGTGAAAGGGGAGCAGGTGTGTAATATGACAAGAGAGGAGGTAAAATAAAAAGGGGGAGGTCTCAGACTCATTTTAACAATTAACTGTCACATGAACTCATGGAGTGAGAACTCATTCATTGCTGAGAGAACAGCACCAAGCTATTCAAGAGGGATCCACTCCCATGTCCCAAACACCTAGCACTAGGCCCACCTTAACATTGGGGTCACATTTCAACATGAGGTTTGGAGGTGACACACTTCTAAACCATATTAAATAGTGTATCATAATATCACTCCTTCCTTATTACAGTTGCAATTTAATGTTCATCTGTTACAATCTAACCCATGTCATATCACTTCTTTATAAATTTCAACATGTCAGAGACTATTTCTATTTTTTCCTTCTAGTCCATTCTCGGTAGCTAATGGTGTTTGGCATATAATAGTTGTTTGTTTAAAAAAAAACAGATCAATGCATATATAACTCTTATAGGCAGAATAATGTCATCCCCTCAAAATATCCACATCCTTATTCCTGGAACTAGTAAATATGTTAGATTACATGGCAAAGTGGAATTAAGTTTGCAAATGCAATTAAGGTTGCTTATCAGTCAACTTTAAGATTATCCTGGATTATCTGGATGGCCTCGTATAATCTCAAGGGTCTTTACATGTGAAAGAGGGAGATAGAAGAGAAGAATCAGTCAGGAAAATGTGAGGAGAAAAAGAGTCACAAACAGAGATGCCATGTTGCTGGCTTTGAGGATAGAAGAAAGGGGACATGAGCCAAGGAATGAGGCAGCTTCCAGAAGGTGGAAAAGACAAGGAGATGGATTCTCCCCTAGAGCCTCCAGAACCAGCAAAGCCCTGCAAATGCCTTGACTTTATTCCAGTGAAACCTATAAAGCATTTCTAACCTACATAACTGTAAGACAGTAAACTGGTGTTATTTAAGCCTCCAAGTTTGTGGTAACTTGTTACAGCAGCAATAGGAAACTAATGGAATAACCTACACCATTTCTTTGCCCACAGAAATGCAATATACTTCTTGATTGACTTCAGCTCAAACAATGTTCATTGAGCAAAACTAAATTGTTAACAATGTAATGCATTATGACAAAATATATATAATTTAGAGCTAGAAAAAAACTTTAAAAAATAGCAAGCACTTCTAACTTATCTCCCCCATTACAGATAAAAGCAAAATGAAGCTCAAAGATGTAAAATAACTAGCAAAAATGTACATATCTAGCTGGTGAGAAACCCCAGGGAGACCACCTATGTTGTAAGACAGTGAGAGAAAAAAATTAATGAGAAGAATTAGGGAAACAGCTTTGGATAATCTGTTCTACATATGGTGATCACAAGGAGTAACAAGTAGTACAGCATTTTTCTGCCTTGCAGATTAAAAGGCTAGGAGGTCTCTACCCAATTTTTAAAAAGAATACTAAATAAAAAATACAATAACAAATAACAGATTGGCTGCAAGAGGAGAAAAAGTACTCTCTGAGTAGGATTTGCCACATGGGATTAGTAGCTGTCTCATTATCTGTTGCTTGAGTTTTAAAAAATTGCTCACATTGTATAAATAGATTCCTTTACTCTTTGGAACAAAAATTATATGTGTTTAGGTTGTAAAATGGAATACTGGCAAGCCAGAGAGCTAGCTACTATGCTAACAAATATCAGTGGTTTCTTTTGTGTCATAATATAGTAGGCCATTGGTTCATGTCACTAATATGACTTGCTTTTTCCAACAGAATTTATTTTAAATTGTACTGTTTGAGGCCTAAATGCATGTCTTCTGTTACCTACCAGATCTGGAGCACTCTAAGTAGAAACTAGTGCAAAGCATCATCCTGCTCTGTGAATGAGGTAAAAGAATAATGAACACAGAAATAATTTGCACATCAGTGGCCTTTGATATCAGCAGTGGACTTTAGTTGGAAACTGTCAGGAGAAGGAAAAAGCACTGGGACTTCCAAACAGTACACCTAAATGAAGACAACCAGTCACTGTGTGTGGAATATGAATATTGTAGTCTTGGTTTTTCTGTTAAATTATTAGCTTTTTTTTCAACCTGTGACAAACTGTGATGAAAAATTTTCTCAGGCTAATAATAATCCTGCCATAACACAGGTATTTTGCAAGTCTCATTAATGTTAGTAAAACCAACTCCAGTTAATAGAAAGTGCTATGCAAGTGCAAATGGTTATTAAAGAGACTGTGTACAAATTAGAGAAAAATGACTAATAGTAACATATTGTTCTGGGATGTCTTCCCCCAGGCAAGGCAAAAAAATATCAGTCAACTAGTCAGCCAGCCTTTATTTAGTACCTAATCTGTTCTCAAAAGTACCCAAGCCTAGGGATGCAAGAGAAGCAGGTGGCCGCCACATTAACAAGAACAACTAATTCTGATGGCTAATGTTTATTGAGAACTCACTATATGCCAGAAAATTTCACCTGGATTAGTCACAATCTTCATACCAACTCCGCAGTGTGTAAATTTCCATTCGCATTTACAAATGAACAGTCATGGGAAAGTTGTAAAGAAGTTAAGTGTCTTACCAAAGGCTACACAATGAGTATATGTGGAGTCCAGACTCACTCCGAAGCAGATCTTCCTTCCACTCTGTCATGTTTCTTTGGAAATGGTACAGCACGTTGCCAAGAGTCATAGAAATAGGAAAATTATCAGAAAGTAAACTGTACACAAATGCTTGCACTATTGGTCCCATCAGCAAACGTACATGCTGTCTTTAGAAACCAGAGCATGGTGGTTAAATGCTCAGACTTTGGACCAAGATTGCCCAGGTTCAATCCCACTTCCTCCATTTAGGAAAGTTGCTTGATGTGACTCAGATTTTTATCTCTACTACCACTCTCATGCGGTTGTTAGGAGGAATCTCATATACAGCACCAGCTTCCTTAGAGGGTTGCAATGAGAGAACACATACACAGCACTTAGAACAGAACCCGGCCCAAAACTAACACTATGTGAATATTAGATATTCACGAATATCTAATACTCATGTGAATCAAAGCACGAGGGGGAACAACTGGCAAGAGTTTTGATAGGCAGCATTGGATGAATAAAGCAGAAAAAAATTGAAAGATTGATAAATCTGTTCTTTTGCTAGGCATTCACTGAGTGTGAGCCTAGAAATTAATGGGATAAATTGTTGGGCCTACCCTCAAGAAGCTTTCAAATCTTCATGCATTTATCATGGACGCTAGACTAGGACAATGAGTTTGCAGTTTGGTCTCAGGTGACTCAATCACATCCAAATATCAATGCGATGCTTATTTTTACCTTCAGCCTACAGCCTGATTACCCTCTCCATTCTTCCTCACCTTCTTTCTGGAACATCCAGTTCTCTTCATCTATTCACACCTTCTAGTCAATCAAAATTGCCACCTTGAAAATTATAAAATACTTTTCAGTCCATATACAGAAGTCTTTTCTGGTTATCTCCCAACCCAAGTCTCTCAAACTCAACAGGTCTAAGTGATCTAGTTTTTTAAATACATACTACTTTTTTATCTCCTATGCTTTCTGATATCAGGGCTTTTATTTTTCCACATTGTTCTTTTGTCACATAATGACTACTCCTTCCAGAACCAGCTCAAACAGAACTTCTATGCAAAGCCATCTATTATCTGTTCAAGGCAATTTCTCACTCTTCTGTACTCCTTCTAGCTTATATTTATAGCTATGCTTCCCTTACCAAGTTATAAAGAAGCTGATATTGATTTCTTCTTACTTCTAATACCTTAAACATGAAGATTATCCCTGGTATCTGGCATTATCATAGCTATTCAGACCATTTAATTAATTTCTACTGCACTCATATTCTACACCATAAAATTTAGCCCTTAGTTTTGCGTATACAACTTGATAGTATTATTGCAGGGCCAAGACTCATCACTTGAGCAAAATGATAATCAGTAAATCAACAAATAATTGGTGGAGTCATTTCCAGCTTTCTGACTCAGTTCTCTAAAGCATACAAAGACAGTCTCCTAAAAACTCAGTATCTAATTGGAGGAAAACAATACTGATCTAGACATAGGTGACTAAATTCTTAATTATAAATCTCTTTCATACATTTTTTCATCTCCTGATACATCATCCATAGTGATGGTGCTTGGGAGATAAGCCCTAAGAAGTTGATTTATATTTTATGTCCTCCAGTTGGTTTCATTGGAGATAAAATTTTTCTTTGCTTAGAAACCAGAATTACAGGATGGCATGCGTATGCACAGATGGGTGAGCAACTATTAGCAAAGGAAGACTTTGGGGAGCCATTTAAAAAAACAGGATGAATTCTGAATGGAAAAAGGAAATTACCCTAAAGGGTAAGTATAAAAAAGCAGCATGAGTGTTCCTTATATGAAATGAGAACATTTTATAAAAGGATTTAGGGAGTAATAAAATCAAATCTCACATTTTATTATTTTACAATCATCCTTTCTCTTTGATAATAGGAATATTACCTATAATCATTATTTAGCTCATACATACAGAATTTCCTGGAAAAGAGGGACAGAAGACACCTGAGGAAAAGTATATACGTTTATGCCTTATTCAGCCTTGAAGAAATTGTTAAGCATTTTCTGCCACATGGGAGACTAGAAAATCCTTCTCTGATTTTTCCTCTGGCTCTCAAGAAATCAAGATAACTTGCTAATGAAAGCTATGCTCTCCTCTTTTAAAACTGTATGGTCCATGGTAAATTCCAGGGTGGAACTTCTAGATAATCCATGGTGGCCTTCACCCTCAACTCTTAAGAGTAAAGTAAAATACGATGGATATCAATGAGCATTTTTTTAATTCGTTGATTTATTCAACAATTATTAAACATTTCCTAAGTGCAAGGCAGTATGCCAGTTGCTATAAATAAGAAATGGAAAACTTAAAAGATAAATAATACTAGTTAACTACTAAGTGCTAAGAGCTTTACATGAATTATGTTAAATCTTGTGACACTCCTTAAAGTATTAGTATTCTCCTCATTTTACAGGTAAAGGAACTAAACCTTAGAAAGACTGAATAAATTTTCCAATGTCTTATTACTCACAAAGTGGCAAATTTAGGATTCAAATCCAGTGATATCATATTACAGAAATAAGAGGTTTTGTAGAAGAAATGACATTGAATTGGGCTTTGAATTATAAACAAGTGCATTAGTCAACTTATGCTATCATGTGCTGTGGTAACAAACAATCCCCAAATCTCAACAACAATTTCTTTTTTCCTCCTGTATTGCATGTCCATTGTGGTTCAGCTGCACATCTCTTTTATTCTGCAACTAACCTGACAGAATATGACCTATGTGGAACACACATGTCTGATGGCAGAGGAAAAAGAATAATGACAGAACCATGTAATACTTCATAAAGCTGCTGCTCAGAAGTGACTTAAGTAACTTTCATTCACATTTCATCAGTCAAAGCAATTTACAGGTCAAGTTTGCTGTCACTGGAGTATGGAGGTAAAATTCTCTTATGGGGAGAGATAGCAGTCCTTGGGAAATCTATTACAGCAAGGTTTAGACAAGTGGATATGAGGAAGAACATTCTAAATAGAGAAAATAACTTGAATTCAATCACCATAAAAAGTAACCATTTATGCATTTATGGCAAGTGGAGTTTCAAGTCAATATGGAACATTATTTAAGAGGTTCAGAAAAGGACAACGGTTTGGAAATATTTGTAGGCTGATCTGACAGAGATTGTTTAACACGGAGGCAGTTGAATAAAAGGGGAAGAGGAAAGAGAGACTGACTCAGGCTTGCAGAAGAATAGAAAAGTTTCCCTCTCCTACTGTGTGCCTAAATGTCTGTCAATAATATCTATACAATTTAGAGAGTGACACCAAACACCCCCATCTAGTTTCTGATCTACTCTCATGACTTTGAGCTGGGCTGGGCATTGAAAGCCACCTGTCTATGCTCACAGCCCTCAGGTCTGAGTAAATTGGCCACTCACTGTCCACAGCATTGAAGTAAGAAAGGCAATTCTTCTATTAACACCCTTTTTTCTCTAAAGCAACCTACACAGCTGAAGTGATTTTCCCTTGGAGAGCAACTGAGCCCCTGAAGGGTTGAAATTGCCTTAAGGTTACTTTCTGAGTTTGATCCTGGGATCAAGAATAAAACACGGCTGTTTTCTCTAATTTACAGTGAGCTTTCATTTCCAAGGAGACTTCATCTAAGCTGTCTATACAATGCCAAATACCCTGTGAATATAGTGGAAATACTAGGGAAATAGAAGGTTGGTTTTGACATCAGGTAAATCTGTGTTATCTACCTGGTGACCGATGACCTGGGATGAACTTCAACTCACCTTACCATGTAAACAACTCCTTTAACAAAATCAAGACCATCTCACTTAGAGCTTTTCAAATCTCCTACAGTAGCTTAGGTATATTTTGACACATTAGAAACCAAAAAAAGCATAAAGTTTGTCATTAGAAAATCACCTGGCCTCTTGGAGCTTCCATGGTCTTACGGCAAAATTGAGACTTAAGGCTAGGTAACCTGGGTACCATTTTTATCCTCTTTGGTTACGTGAGAGGGAAGACCTCAAAGTGAATGCCGCTTTGAGAAAGGTTAGCTAAAAATTAACTGTCCAGAATCTCAGTGATCAAGCAAAAGCAGAAACCGTTTCACATAAACTTCTAAAAAGAAGGAAGTAATATTAGAGAGAAAACCAAGTGCCTAGGACATTGACATGTCCACACCCTCTTCTTCAATCCAAGAGGAATTGTTTTGGATAAATGATGAATGTGACAGACCATTGGGGGAAACTTTTCCAACTCCAAGAATTCCCTCGAGCTTACCAAATAAGCAAAGCATTTGAAAAAAAAAAAAAAGTAAAATAACAACAACAACAACAACAAAAATGGCCTTTTCATCTGATGAGGCCCTCTGAGCCTTACTCACAGAACAGTGTTCAAATCACAGAATTTTTAGAAGTGTAGTTGAACTAGAAATTCTACACCCTTGACTTGAAGGAACCCTCGGAAATACCATTTCAAAGCATCTTCAAGGTTTCCCAGTGAGCTCCAAGCCAGTGGATTTCAAACATCTTCCCGTGTGTCCCCAGATGGGGAGAGAAAGAAAAGCCAGGATTCTCAGAATCTGTTGTGTCTCTCCATCTCTTCCATCAGAGTGTGCTGCTTTTATATGTAGTATTATATATTGAACTTTCATGAACTATTTCTCTTGAAGAATGAACTCTAGTGCTTTGGGGAAAACAAAACAAAACAAAAAACTTTGAGAACCACTGCACCCAGCAGGAGAGATTAAAGAGAAAGCTTAACATGGCAACAGGGTCCATTGCCCCTGAGCTCCACCAAGCCTTTAGGAGCAGGGAGGGTAGGACAGTGGTAAAATAATCCTCAGGAACAAAGGCAGCAGGGAGGAGGAAAGAAAACAAATTCACCACCACGTTGCTCTTGCTGCACTCAAGCAGGCTCTGGCAGCAGCTTAGAAGGGTCCTGTTCTTTGCTAAACATTGTAGGAACCCAGCTGGGCTTGTCATACCCACTTAATAGCAGCACTTTAAGAAAGTGTTGTCATTTTCTTGTCGTACTCATTTCTCTACCCTCTATTATCTTTTCAAAATCATATTACAAAATATTATGAGCTTCCTGTATCAGACACTCTGGGTCTTAGTCACTCAATTATTAAAATTGTATGATTTTTTAAATTGCCATTATGTGTGGGCTGTCTTTACCGAAGCGACAAAGCAATTGAGTTAACCCAAATGGTGCTATGATTGCAAAATCAGAACATGGAAAATTATAGCCTTGGAGAGAAAAAAACAGCTATTTCACATCAGTGCCAATAAAATCCTGGGAAACTCACCATGACACCATTATGTTAGACAGAGCAGAGCAAATGCTCCCAACGTATTACCATGCTGGGTCATAGAAAAACAAAATCATTTAGGGTTGTTAGTTTTATACCAAGTTCCTCATCTATAGTAAACGAGGCCCTCTGGTAATGTGATGTGCTCCACGTGACACAACAAGGGCAATTCTGACCGGCTGTCAGCCGTTTCTCATTTCACCTGTGCCTGTGACCACACAGTCTGCATATGCCTGCTGTCAGAGCTGCCTCTCTCAATGAAGAACTGAGGGCAGAGCTCCATGCAGCCTGGGCTGTGCAGGAGTCTTCCATGGGCCAAGCTGGCTCTATGACATCCACTCTCCTGGCCTGATGAGCTACTGACAAAGCCAACTTGAAAATGACGTGGAATTTACAGGTGCTGCCCCAGGCTGATTTTTTTTCATGCAGCCAAGCAACAACTCCATTTCCCGTCATTCCGCAGATAATGGTTAGTATATGATCTGTAGAATGGGAACAAGGGTCCTGGCTCCCTCGTTTCTCCAATATAGACATCTGTGCTGGGCTCACCTAACATTAACTTGCACATTCAGCCTAAACCCAAACTGTGGAGTCAGTCATGTTGCTTGTCAGAGAGGATGATCTACAACAGTTCAGTCCAGGAACTTAAACACCATAGGGGTACATGGCATATAAAATTGGAGAAAGGCTAGGCACAGTGGCTCCAACACTTTGGGAGGCCAAGGCGGGTGGAGTGCTTGAGCTCAGGAGTTTGAGACCAACCTGGACAACATGGTGAAACCTTGTCTCTACAAAAAATACAGAAATTAGCTGGGCATGGTGGCATGTGCCTATAGTCCCAGCTACTCAGGAGGCTAAGGGAGGACTACTTGAGCTCAGGAGATGGGGGCTGCAGTGAATGAAATCATGCCACTATATTTCAGCCTGGGCAACAGAGCAAGACCCTGACTCAAAAAAATATATATACATAAATACATATGGAGAGAGATGTCACAATAAACACCGCAATAGGGTGTGATACAAACTCTGATGATATGGTTTAGATTTGTGTCCCCACCCAAATCTCGTATCAAATTGTAATCCCAAGTGTTGGAGGAGGGGCCTGGTGGGAGGTGCTGTTTTCATGGTAGTGATAACAAGATCTGGTTGTTTAAAAGTGTGTAGCACCTCCCTCTTCTCTCTCGTCCTTCTTCTCAGGCCATGTAAGCTGTGTCTGTTTCCCCTCTGCCTTCTACCATGATTGTAATTTTCCTGAGGCCTCCCCAGTTATGCTTCCTGTATAGCCTGTGGAACCATGAGCCTGTTAAACCTCTTCCCTAGGTAGTTCTTCATAGCAATCCAAGAATGGACGAATACATCTGAAGTCCATGCTCATCCAAAGGACACAGCACAGTGCAACCCAAATTACTCTTTCTAGGACAAACATAATACTAGCCTTTCCAGATGTTTTTAAGATGTCAGACACAGAGATTTTTATGTGAAGTGAAATTTGTTTAAGTTGCCAATGCTCTGTGTTTTTGAAAGCAAAACATGTTTGTTCATGACATTAATTTCCAATTGCTGCTGTAACAAATGATCACAAAACTAGTAGTTTAAAACAACAGAAATAGGTTATCTTAAATTCTATAGGTCAGAAATCCAAATTTTACTCCTGGGATTAAATCAAACTGTTGGCAGGGCTGTGTTCCTTCTGGAGGCTCTAGGAAGCAACTGGGCTTTTTTTGTTTTGTTTTGTTTTGTTTGTTCGTTTTCCAGTTTCTAGGGGCCATCTATGTTCCTTGGCTAATGGCCAATTCTCTCATCTTCAAATCTAGCAGCAAAGCATCTTCTAAGTTCTCTCTGACTCTGACACTCTGGTTTCTGTCTTATAAGGACACTTATGATAATAATGAGCCCAATTGGATAATCTAAAATAATCTCCACATCTCAAAAATCTTCAACTTAATCACATATGCAAAGTTCCTTTTGCCATGTAAGGTAACAAATTCACCAGTTTGGGGGATTAGGTTGTGGACATCGGGAGGCCATTGTTCTGCCTGCCACACCACCATGTTGCAATGTTCTAGAAATTTGAAAGAGCTCAGAGACTTGTCCTCAAGTCAGCCTTGAGTTGGTTCTCTTGCCTTTTATTTAATAACTAGATTCTAGTATCCATAATCATGTCTTTATTCTCTGCTCCCAATCTCCTTAACAACATTGCCTAGCTTTCAAGGTTCTACAGTGATAATCTTGATCCATAGTGCAGGGTTGAGGTCACACTGGTTAACGGGATCTCAGAATTCAAACTCTTAGTACTAAATTTGTCTACACTGCCTGGATTACCTCCAGAACCTGTCTTCTCCTCCCTCTACTAAATAAATCTCTATCCTAGGAATTGTAGCTTCGTATTTTTGCATTCTGAAGTCAGTTACTCTCATCTTCAAAGCTTTGAAATTACGAATATTTTGTGAAGGATTATACCTTTTCATTTTGCAGACACTCATTAACTATCACTTGAGAGCTAGAATAGAAACTGAGATGGATGCCTGGGCCTGAGAAGTTGCCATGAAGATGGAAAAATGAGATATTCAGAAAGCTGCTCCAAAGATGTAGATTTTACTGCGTTTATCACATTGAATAGGTGGGCCCAGATTTTGACGACAGTTTTCAGAATGAAAGTATTGCAACAATATATTCCTAGGCATGTATATATCTCTTCAAAACTAATGTGGGATCTCGCTTGGACCTCCCTGCTTATAGCAAAATCCTAGTCTCCTCTCAGGAAAATGGGGAAATGCAGAAGCTAAGCAAAGATCTGATTCCTGCAAGGGCAGAGAAAAGAGAGTAAACATTGCCGATGTGAGGTTTGATTTTCCCTTCCTAGTGGTGAAGAGTTTACTAAAAATTGGAGCCCAAGGCCATGGCATTTAATTTAAGAGTTCTGGATTTCCAGAGTGATTGAGGCCGTAGCAGAATTTAACTTTGCCTAGGGATGGACAGCATCCTGCCTCCCCAGTCAGAGCAGGAGACTGGACACTAAGCAGAGGCAGCTCCATACTATTTTCTCACTTTCTCTCCCTTCCCTCTACCATTCTTCCTCCTTTCTATTTCCTAAATTTTTTCCTTGGGAACTTCCTCCTGTCTACCTGTGGGGTAGGAGTGCCTAATTGACAGGGAACATTTGTATTCGTATTGTCTCCATTTGAAAGTTGATTTTGTTAGGTGGCCTTTGGCCTGTAGCCTGTCACTCAGAACATAGCTGTGCTTTCTTGCAAGAGCCTGTCGGACCTCAGGAATATTCTTTATCTTATTCAGCCTATGCGCACAAATAGCAAAGACTATACACAGACCATCACAGAACTGGACTCTGTGCTGCATCTGCCCCAAAGACATGTTTGGCTGCATTGTTTTACTTAACTGTCAATGCTTTGAAAATCAAGGCATTCCACAAGAAAATTCAGACAACCACGCTCTCTTAAAGCCATCAAAAGATCTGGCTTATCTGGGTCTGCAGTTTCACAGACAGAGCACATCTACAACTTAGTAGCAGCTTACTCTTTAAACAGGTGCACCTCCTCTAGCTTAGTCCAGCAACCTGACTACCCCAGTAGGCATTTGAGTTTGTAACCCATGTGGTATCATGTAGTAAATAAATGTATGGAATCTGGCTGGCCTACATCTGATTCTTGACTCCATATGCAACAGCTTAGGCTATTCTTGACTCTGCATGTAACAGCTTAGGCTTCTGAAGGCACTACTAAAGCCACTGGTAAGGGATCAAAGCCCATTTCCACACAATAGGAGACTCTAAATTCTTTTACTGCATCTGAATATTCTTGCAGTGAGGATTTCTAAAAACAAGCTGGCCATCAATTGGTTCTTTGAGATCACTTTGTCGTCTACAGATTAGTGATTTGAAATTACTTCTATTTCCAATTATATTTATTACATGTGGCCCACCTCCAGTGTTCCATGATGTGGCACTGTGAGTGGGCTGTTGCTTTTTCTGTTTAATACTTGCAAACTCATAGCATGGCCAAGATGATCATTTAGTAGTGAAGGATACAATAACAGGGCCAGGTCATCTCACCCACACCACTCCTGGTGTCAGCTTCCTGGGGTATGGATTCCATTTCAGACACAGCATCTGTTCAATATCACTTTCAATACAGTCCTAAGATTCAGGAGAAACATTTTAGTGCCAGATAGATATTTAAAATTTAAAAAATAAATGTTCTCAAGAGACTGTTCATTGAGCCATTTTATTTTCAGGATGCACAGGAAATGTTTGTCTTACCAATTTGAAATAAATGTAATTGACCTTTTAAACACAGAATCTGAGTGATTTAGAGAAAAGAGAGAGAAACATTTCTACCTAATCTTATTAGAATGAATAACAATGGTGACTCTTCTATAAGACCTTCAGCTAATAAGAGCAGAATGTCCCTTCTAATGGTTGTTAAAAGACTGGATATATAGATATATGAAGACAGAAGAATTAGTAGCAGGAGTCCAGTTACCATATCCCAGAGAGAGACCATGAGAGGAGCATGACATTGCTAGGCAACGCTGTGCAGTTAAACAAGTTTTCACTGGCTCAGTGTGGTGTAGTAGGTAGGAAGCAAAATTCAAGAAAAGCACAGGGAAAAAAGAATGACATTGTTTATTTTAATAGGATAGGGATGGAGGGAACAAAGGCAGATATACAAGTTAGCTGCAGCCAAGTTTTCCAGGATATGAATGTGAATTCTAGAAAAAATAAGAATTCTAGAAAATTTTAAACATTTATTTCAACAAATTAAAGATTATTTCTTAAAAATAGGGTTGGAGACATTATGCTTTATATAAATTACACTATGGTAAGAGTAGTCATACTATTTTAAAGATAAGGAATGAAGTTCAGAGAAGTAGGTTCAAGTACCCAGCATTCGATACTAGAAACATAAGAAGCCAGGATTTGAATACACTCCTGTGTGATGCCAGAGCTCATGCTCTTTCTATTAGTCCATCCTGGGGTTCTTTTACTGAAGAATAATTCCTTAGATTTCCTGAGTCTTCAGTTGAGGTTTCCAACAAAGTCACGTATTTTTTCAAGGAAAACACATTGGTGCAAATAGCTATTTTTTTTCTCAATCATTCAACAAATACTACCTCTTCTCTCCCAAGCACTGTTCTAAATGCAGGAACTACAGTGGTGAAAAAATGAGTTCCCTGCCCTCTTGGGTTTAAGTGGAATTTGGATAGACTAGCAATAAATGAGTGAAAAATAGATTATAATATTTTAGGTGGAGATGAGTGCTATAAAGAAAAATACAGCATGATAGGGGAATAGGGCAGGGTAGGTTAGACAGATATACACAACCTCTCTGAGACATTATCAATCTACACTCATGTCTAAGGAAGACTGCCTTATAAGTTTGTTTGTTTGTTGTTTGTTTTTGCTATTACTCTGTTGTATTTGTGTATGTATTTATTTATTCATTTTCTTGTTTTTGTATTTCTACTTCAAGGAATTATAGCAATGGGTTTCTTTTCTAATTTATTGATTTTGTCCTGCAAATGCATTACCCTTCCCAAATGAATATACTGAAACTAGGACTTTAAGTTCTTTGAGAGGACCTGCCTCACTTTAATCATTGCCTCCTAATTGGTGCCTTGCTTCCATTCTTACCAATGCACTTTTGTTCTCCACACAATAATCAGGGTCATGACATTCACAGCATTCTTCTGCATGAAACCCTCCAATGTACCCCATGGAACTAAGAAGAAAATCTGCTCTCCTGAATTTGATGCCATGATCTAGCTCCCACCACCCCTCTAGTCTCATCTTGTACTTTTTCCCTGTGTCTTCTACCCTATTATTAGGCACTGCTATGATTAGGGGTTTTATTGTAACAAGGGGATATCATTGAGCTCATATCTAAATTGGTCATCTCAAACATCTTTCCAAGCTATTTCTTCTTTACTCTTCTAGTAAAAAACAAATCCTAGGGAGTAAAATTGGAATTCAGCATTCTATCTCTCCACCCTTACTTCTTACCTCCCTCCTATCACATAACGTTCTTGCCATCCAAACTAACATATAATATATGATCTATTCACACCTCCCAATTCCCCCTTCATTCTTTCATTTCTGCCTCTGAAACAGTTACCAACTCTCTGCCTCTCCCATTTCTAATTACCTATGTCTTATCTAATTTAAAAATATATCTGGCTCAGTTATTACCTCCTCCAATAAAATCTTCTTTGATTATCTCAAAGGAACAGAAGCTCTCCCCATCTCTCACAAGTTACATCTCACTTTCCAATTTGTATTGTAATTTTCTATATTTGTCTTGGTAGCTACTGTGCTGAATAACCCCAGAATTTCAGTGGCTTAATAAAATAAAGATTTATTTGTGGCTCATATCATAATTCAGTGTGACTCAGTGGGGATGGGGCTGGGGGAAAGGAGACTCCAGGTTTCCCTGTTATTTAGGATTCCAGGTTTCCCCTCAATCAAGTGGCTGTGCCATCTCCTTGGACTACTCCAAAGGACCCTCTGAATCTGAGTAGTAACAAGAACAAAGGGCACAGAGAAGACTATACCCACTCAGCAACCTTGGCCTAGGAGTGACACACATTTCTTCTCACATTCCATTCATGAGAAGTGGTCACATGTCCTTACCTCAGGAAGAGTGAGCTGGGAGGATAAGCTAGCAGTGTACCCAGAAAGAAGAGAAAATGTGTTTGGTGAGTACCTAGCCAGTCTCTGCCACTGTCCTAACTACAGATTTCACCAGAATCCCCCCAAAACCCATTGTGTTGTCTTGAATATAAAATATATTCAATATTTATCCCCAAAATAAAAAGATTATGATGGTGAGAAGACTATTGTGATGAACCTTTCATTTCCTATTCTCTAGTCCTGCTGCTCTTGTAAGCCTCAGATTTCTTATCCTTCCACATGGAGAAAGTTTGATTTCTAGCTTTCTAATTAATTATGCCCTTCCATTATGGGCAATAGAGTCAGCAGCATATGCAGATATCCCCCGAGATCTCTTTCCCCTTGTCCCCTGCTATGGTGCCTGAAATGTATATGTTAGAGTCAATCACTCAGTTATGATGGCTAGAACCAACATCACACAGATCATATTTCTGTGAATTACCAGGATGTAATAAAATTGAAAATTAATAACAAATGATTTTTAGATAAAAGATAAATATCACTAACTTATTCTTTGGTAAAGGAAAAATCCTGACAGAAATTTTTAAAAACAATTTGAGCAGAACTCAATGAAAGTACTATATGCAAAAATCTGTGAAATGTAGCTAGAGCAGTACATAGAATAAAATGTATAGCTCTGAATACATTAATTGGGAAACAAGAAATATGACAGAAAGAAAACAACCACGATGTTGAAAGAGACAGTCTGTGGTAATGATAGGGGGTAACAGTAAGTGAATAAGGCTGTATAATAGACATGTATGACTGTCCCATAAATCAAGTGAACAGTATGGAAAGTAGCTGAGTGTGAACCATCTTACTCATAAGGCCTACCTGCCAAGTTAAAGTGTCCTTCAGCAAGAGGCTGTGGGGTGTATTTCAGAAAGCACAGCTGGGGAGGGTCAGATTATATCGTAGCATAACAAATATCCCCAATCAAGAACTAGTGCAGTGAGAAGGACCTTGTAGAGCTTCTGAAGAACATAAATAAGCAATTGAGAAAGAGGAAATAAGTATAAAAATAACAGAGATTTTCTTAGCATCATGAAAAAACTATAAACCACTCAACAACCATATTGAATTGTATTTTTAAAAATCTAGATGAAATTAATAAATTTCTTGAAAAACATACAAAAAGTCAAAATAAGCATAAAAAGAAATAGAACCCATGAATATGCCAAATCATCAAAAAAAAGATAGTAAAAACTTCCTTCTCTACCAATTCTCCCACTACTACCTAAGACATTTTAGGCCTGGATAGTTGCATGGGGTGAGTGTAACAAACAATATAAAAACAGATAACCACCATATGTTGTTCCAGAAAATGTAAAAGCAATAAAAGTTAGCTAACTCATTTTAAAAGCCAGTTTCACCCCTATATTAAAACCAGAGAAGTTCATAATAAGGACAAAAATGTAAGCCAATTTTACTTATATAATAGATACAAAAAAAAACCCCTGGGAAAACTAACCAAATTTAATAGCATACTTAAAAAATTATGACAAGATTTATTTTAGAAACTCCTGGATGGCTCAGTATCAAACAAACAATGTAATTTACTACATTAGCACTACGGAAGACAGTTCATATGGTCACTTTAAGAGATGCAGAAAAAGTGCTTGATAAAATTAATACATTTTGTTTTTTAAAAAATTCGTAGAAACAAGAAATAGAAAGAAACTATTAATTTTATTTAAACAATAATAAGGATAATAATAGCCTACCAAGAACCTAGGGCAAAACCATAATGATAAATTCTTAAATGTATATTTTTTAAAGTTAGGAAGAAGAAAAAGATGTGTGCTATCATTTCAGTTGTTTGACATGATACCAGAGGTACTGACCAATACAATAAGATGACAGGGAGGGAGGGAGGGAGAGAGAGAGAGAGAAAGAAAGAGAGAGAGAGAAGGAGAGAAACAGAGATAGAGATGGAAGGAGAAAGAGAGAGAGAAAGATAAACATATTGGAAAGGAAGACACAATGTTGTTACTATTTTTTATTTATTTTTATTTTTACTTACTTATTTTTTTGAGCCAGGGCTTCACTCTGTTGCCCAGGCTGGAGTGCAGTGGCACCATCTCGGCTCACTTCAACCTCTGCCTCCCCTGTTCAAACGATTCTCCTGCCTTAGCCTCCCATGTAGCTGGGATTACAGGCGTGCACCACTATGCTTGGCAGCTAATTTTTGTATTTTTAGTAGAGACAGGGTTTCACCATGTTGGCCAGGCTGGTCTCAAACTCCTGGCCTCAAGTGATCCACCTGCCTCTGTCTCCCAAAGTGCTGGGATTACAGGTGCGAGCCACCATGCCCAACCACATGAGCCACCGCGCCCGACCTATTTGAAAAAAACAGAACAAATAGTACATTTCCATGAGGGGCAGGGAGACAACAAGAAAATCCATAGTAAACCATTAGAATTCATAAGATTTGACCAAAGTAGCCAGAGACAAGATCAGTTCCCCAAAATGAGTAGCATCTGTCTTATCAGTGATAACCAGTAAATAACATGGCAATGAAAAAACAAACACATGTAGGAATTAATCTAATAGAAGTGACCAAGACCTTTATGGAGAAAAATTTTAAATGTTTTAAAATGACTCATCTCTCTCCCCATAAAACTTGAATAAACAAAGAAATATACTTCATTCTTGGAGGAGATAACAGCACTGTAAACTTGTTAACTTTAAACCAAATGACTATATAAATTTAATGTAGTTCCAATCTAAACAACACTGAGGACTTCAACAAGTTTATCCTAAGATTTTTTAATAAAAAATAAACATCCATTAATAAAACAATAATTAATAAATCACAGTAATCAATAGTGTGGTTGTGATACAGAGTCAACAAGTAGATGAATGAAACATGGTAGAAAACTTAGAAACGGATTCATTTGTGTGAGACCCTACCCTATGGTAGAGATGGCATCAAAGATCACTGACTGATGCATGAATTATTTAGATAATGATGTCAATAAAAAATGTTATATTTCCCACTTCGTATTATACATCAAAATTCAACACCAAATGGATTAAATGCCTAAATGGGAAAGGAAAAATTATAAAAAGATAAAAACTGAGGTAGAAAATTATTTTTGGTACTTTGACGATAAGAAAAATTTTCTTAATTTAAAAAGATTCAAAAATCAAAAGCCATGAGCAGAAAAATTAATGAATTTTCATAAAAATTAAAGATATCTGTTTAATGAACATCATTGTCAAAGTTAACAGATGAGTGGCAGACTGGGACAAGATATTTGCAATATCAAAATCTGACAAGAATTTAACATCTGAAGTATACGACAAACTCCATAGAACCCACCAAAAAAAGAGGACAAAAAACACAATGCTTACATGGTCAAAATTTAAACTTGCACAATTTGTATGTGATTCAGAGTTAAGGTAAGTGAACAGGCATTCAGTCTCTATAGCACTCAGAAGAATCCTGAATAAAGCAATAATTACATACCAATTTATACCCACAAGATTGAAAAAATTTGGAATGATGGATATGTAAAGTGTTGCTGAGAATGTCGCAAATCAGGAATTACTGATCTGCTACAGGGAGGGTAAACTGGTATATCCACTATGAAGAACAATGTGTACAGTCTAGCATTCCAGTTCCTGAGTATATAAGCCAAAGAAATTTGCACAAAATTCACAAAAGATCATGTCCAAATGGGATAGCAAATATGATCCTACCCTATATCCAGAGTGAGGAAACTGACATTTTTGAACAGTCCTAATGACCATCATCATTCACCTTTGTGAACTATGGTCACAAATACTGGGTTCATTCTTCTTTCTACAAACAAAATACCTTCCAATCTCCCTCAGATGGAGGAACTTAAAGGTCTTGTTTAATCATGACATCAGTTTCTATTCACAACAGGACAGGATTTGCTGCAGTAACAAGCACTTCCCAAATCTTATTGACTTCTATTAGCAAAGGTTTATTTCTCATGTATACTATTTGCACAACACTGTGTGACAGGGTGGCTTTGATCGTAGAAATCACCTTGAACTCAGGACCCAGGCTAACAGAACAGGAATTATCTGGAACATTGTTGGTTCCAGGTGAAAAGCCATCAGCAGATGCAAAAACAAAGTACATGCTACACATGCCTCCACCTAGAAGTGACATGTGTCACTTCTGTTCACTTTTAATCAACCAAAATAACTCATGTGACTAAGTCTAAGTCCAATATAGCAGAAAAATATTGTCCTCCCCAAGAAGAGCCAATTAATATTGATGAACAGTGATAGTCTACCTCAGTGGATAATCACTGCAGCATTGTCTATAGTAGAAAAGAGTTCAAGTTATCCCATGTGTCTACCAAAAAGGGGAACAAATGAATAACATGTGATGTACTCATCTGTTATTTCATATGGCCCATAGAAATGATGATACATTTTAACATATAAGCAAAAATATATCTAAGTTCAAATATAAGAAAGAAATAATCAGAATTAAATTTATAACAATACAATTTTTGTGTTTAAAAAATTCATTCACAAGCTAAGATATATTTTTCAAAGACAAATATACAGTAGTCCCCCTTTATTCATGGTTTTATTCCCTGCAGTCTCAGTTACCCACAGTCAACCAGGAACTGAAAATATAAAATGGAAAATTCCAGAAATAAAGAATAAGTTTTAAATTCTGTGCCACTATGAGTAGCATGATGAAATATTGCATTGTCTCACCTGGACATGAATCATCCCTTTTTCCAGCACATCCACGTTGTATGGGCTACCCACTCATTGATCATTGAGTAGTCATCTGGTTACTACAACAGAAAAACACTATATATAATATGGCTTGGTACTATCCATGGTTTCCAGCATCCACTGGGGGTCTTGGAAGGTATCTGCTTCAGATAACGGGGCATTACTGTATATCCAAATAAATACATGGAAGAATCTGTCTCAAAAGAAATGCCTTCCAATGATTGAGGATAGTGTTCTATGTACTGAATATAATTAATTCTGTTCAACAGGTGTTTATTAACAAAAACTTCTAGGTCTCCTTTCAAGTGAAAATATATGATTTGAGAGAGATAGTTTAAGACATGTTAATATTTAACATCTCACACATATACCACATATGTACATTCTCCACAATAAATTACTAGATATGACCTTGGCTCCATCAGAATCTTAAGGAAATGAGACTTTGGGCAATACATGTTTTTTATATGGGAGAGGAGTGTCATGAAAATGCCTGGCACAGGATGGGTGTTTCATAAGTAGTATTAGTTTTTGTACAAATAGTGTTTTGCTATGTACACATTATCTTATTTAATCATCATAATAAAGTAGAGGATTTTAATTGCAATTTCATATATGAAGAAATTTATAGAGGGGGATGGTGAGTTGTTCCAAGTGTGCACTGACAGTAAGAAGTCAAGTGATAATAGAAATTCTTAACTTGTGAATTCTTGTTTAGTTTTCATTTGCCTCTTAACACTCAGTCTGACACAAGAAAAAAGAATTCTTTGCATCTAAGGAGAATATGGTTTGAGTCTGGTATCACAAGAGCCTCCAAATAGCCCTCAATCCTCTTTCTTATCAGCTCTTCCCACACTAATGTAGTTAGATGGGCATAGAAACAACTTCCAGAACTTTTCCTTTCTACGCTCTGTTAAACATTGCCTGGAAATAACAATTTATCCTGGTGCAACTTCCCAAAGACACAGACAGTAAAGGCAACATGTGTAAGTAGCCCACGTAGTTCAAATACTGCCACACCCTAATGGGAAAAAAAGGTGTATACTGCAAACTGTTCAAAGTCATGCTACCAAACTTTTTCAATACATAAAAAGGTTTTTTTTAAACAGATAATAAATACTTTTAAGGCAACGTCTATGACAAAATGCTAAGCTAATTGGGCCACACAATGTACTATAGGATGGCATATCATTTGCAAGGAATAAAAGAAAAAAGATATATATTGTCAAGCTGGGACCAAAGAAAGATTTGGTGTTTATTGGAGCATGAGAAAGCCTTGTATTGTAAATATGTAAGAGAGTAAGTTCAGGGCAGTAAACAAATTCTGCACAGATAGCCAAACTATGCTGAGGAGAAACCAAACAACTGTAGGTTCAATTTAGCCCCTTAAAGTGTGCCACCCAAATCTCTAGTATTTAACACAAAAAAGTTTTGAAACTACTCTTTTAGATCAGAGGTTACAGAACGATAGACCATGGCCTGTCTTACAAGGTCTGAAAGCTGAGAAAGTACTTTATATTTTTAAAGAGTTGTAAGGAAGAAGATGGAGGAGAAGGAAAAGAAAAAGAAAAAGTGACAGAGACAATAGGAGGCTCACAAGTGATAAAACATTTAGTACCTGACCCTCTACTGAAAAAGTATGCTGACCTCTGTTCAAAATCAGTGAACAAGTTAGCATGCTCCTACATTGGCAAGGAAAAGATGACACCCGCCCCCCTACAAGACTAACACAGTTGTATAGTATCTTTTACCTAAAAAGCAGGACTAAACAACCTATAGCAAATTAATTAAGGTTTCCTGTGGCACAGGTACACTCACTTGTTTACATGTTGTCTGTGGCTGCCTTTGAGCTGTAACAGCAGAGTTGAGTAGACAAAAGTATTTACTATTTGTCCATTTAATATAAAGTTTTCTTGCTCTGCCATAAAGGACAAGTGGAAAACTTGCCACTCATTATGTGATGTCCCCTTTAATACTGGTAGACTCTGACAGCTCAGAACTGAGGGACTTTTAAGCTTTTCCTAGAAGTTTTTTTGTCAATGATGGCTATATTTCTTTTAATGGTTTTGTGCTTCTGACTACTCCTGTTTTGTGCTCCATTATGTTGCTCTATTCTTTGATACTAGAAATACAATTAACTGTGAAGCCACAATCCTTGTTGACAGACACCAGGCTTGTTGATCACATGATTGGGAAAATTCAGACTTAGATAATGTCTACCTCAGTCAATAATCAATCAAGATTCTTTAGTTGAAACATTATGTGAATAAGACTTGCATTGAATAATTTCATTGTAGATAGGCTGGTATGAGCATATTGAGAAAGGTACTATAAGAAAGATATACATTATATATATATATATATATATATATATATATATATATATATATATATATATATTTGTACCTACACACACATATACATAAATACAATACAGTCACCTTTTCTACATGGATTTTGTTGAAGACAGTGTTATTTACATCACAATATTACATCACTGAATGTCTCCTTAAAGGGGTTTTTATTAAGACACTTGAGAAAAAATGTATTAGAATTTTATAGTTGGAATGCTTTTATTGTGTGCACAGTGTATACATTGTAAGTGATTGTTCTAGGTATCTATTTATTGCCTCAGCTCTAAATTCATCATTGCCTGTTCTGCAAACATGTATCTAGGCCTTTTAAATGTTTCCTTTGCTTGCCATTGTTAAGCTTTGTCAGTAGAAGGCATTGGAGGGGCATTGTGGGAAGAAGGGTTTTGATTTCTAGTTCCTGGTTTGGGTTTTTGGTTCCTGGTAAGGCTGCCTTGACTATGTACTTCTCCTCCATGTGAGCAGTTTCGTTTCTTGCAGGGGACCCCCATCACTTAGACAGGAAAAGAAGTAGATTTCTCCAAGGAGGCTGACAGGAAAATAACCACCAAGGAATAAGGTAAACCCTATTTTGTGGTATTGTTTCTCCCTGTAAGATATACTCTGGTTACAACAAAGGAGCCAGCTGTCAAAGCAACACTTATTCCCTTACCTTTCTTGCTGTTGGCTCTTTGGGAAAGGACGTGCCAAGCAACCTTTTAAGATCACCAAATTCAACAGCAGCATAGCTGTAAGATTTGAATCCTGTGCCTGAGAGAAGACATCAGGAGATTGGAGCAGCCTTGAATACTTCTACCTCTAAGTCATAAATTTAAAACCAAACACCAATTCATAATCAAGAACAAGGATATACATCTCATCATGTTTAAATAGTAAAAATGGGAGATACTGTGAATGTTCAATACAAGTTAATTAGTCAAATAAATCATGGTCTCTCCCCACCAGACACTGGCATACCATCACTAAGAATGAAATCACGGAGGAATATTGAAAGGCAGGAAGAAATGATCTTTACGTATTATTAGATTAAAACAAAAGCTTTTATGAAGCAATAAATACAAATTTTATTTTTAAACATATTTATACCCACAGACATACATGTGTACTCACACCATGCATACACACACAAATAGGAAATTTCCAAATTCAGGGAAAAATCACAATCCCTGGTATAGCTATGGAATAAAAATGTTCACTTGCTTTGCTTTCTTGGTATTCATTTCTTAAAATATACACCTTGATCAAGACTGGTTGCTGATCTCACCAACACAGGGAACAAAAAGTGATCCACCAAAATCCAAGGGTTTAATCAATTAGTTTGAGTTAATCAGTAATTCAAAAATATAAGTCCCTGAAAGTACAGACATCATGGAGATGGTTTCATCCAACAAATGGATGGATATAGATTACATAGCTGATGCTGATGATGGTGGTAGGTAGTTAGATAGAGAAAGACATGCAACAATATAGTTTTAGAAAAATTAACGTTTTTCTAAAAGAGCTTCATCTCCATGGAGGCAGTGCTGCATTTACCTAATGTGGTATTTTCATCTATGAAAGAAAGATAAGATAGCCATGGAAATAGGTAAGTGAATGTTAATATACACAGGCACAATATAAAACCACTTAGATTGCTCTTGATGTAAATTGGTTTTGGGGGGTTAAAAAGATATGCAGGATTCTCTGTGTCTATCTATTGCTGTTTGTTATTTGATTATCTGTTTACCTGGAAACTAATATTATGCAATACTGGAAGGAAGCTAAGCGTTTCAATTATTACTAAATTTTAATTTAATAACAGTTAATTGTGAAATATTACTACTACCATTTTTCAAGTGTTCACAATATGTCATGTATTTTAATAAGCATTTAATCAATACCATCTAACTTAGTGTACTCAACTTTACGGTGAGGTAGGCATTATTATTTTCAGAAAAGGAAACAGGATCGGAGAGATTCAGTGACTTGCTGAAAGTCACACAGAAAGTATCTGAAGCAATATTCAAATAAAGATATTCCTGATTCACAAATCTGTTCTCCTTTCACTGTCCTAAACTTCTGATTTTCACATGGCTCAGTGGTTTGGAGTGGTCTTGAATATACTAAACCTAGGCACGTGAGTTCCTTAAGTTCAAGGATATGAGGATGATTGGCAGAAATTAGAGCTATCAAGGATTTTATCAACATTGGTTGAACTAATAAAAGCATGATACAAGGAAAAGATAGTGTAGAAAATATAATCAGACTCTCCTCTTGTTTTCTAGGTCCATGGGAGCTGGGATGGATGGTGGTTTTTGTCATCATTTTAGAGTATAGCAGTGATAGCATCAGATTATATAGTAATCAATTGCTTTATAAAATCAGAAATTTCTTGAAGAGATAGCTTCAGATAATCCTTTTCTGCTTGAAGCAAACACCACAGTTGAATGAAAAGTACAAATGCAGTTAGAAAGCAGCAATTTCAGTTGTGAATTTGCCATTTAGTATGTAAAACAGGGAAATAAATAAACAGCTAAAAAAAAACTAGAATTATAGGACTAGTTCTATAAGTTGCTTAAACCCCCTTAGACTTCATATTCCTTCCCTGTCAAGAAGTAGTACAGATATCTATTTTATCTACTTTACAGAGTTTTTAAGAGAGACATATTAAGTTTTGAAACATTGTAGATAGACTGTATTAAACAATTTTTGCTAGAAATAATTTCTTCAGTTGGGGCCTATTTTTAAAATAACTTTTGAGTTTTTCTTTCATTATTACAAAAATAATATATCTTCATGGTCCAAACTATGAAAATTACAGAAAAAAAAATTCTAAATCTCTTATTTAGTGGCATTCTAGAGCTGCCCTGTAGCAGTTTCTGAAAGTCAATTGTGCGCATGTCTTTAGAATGGTATGTTCAGTGACGTTATGTTGGTAGCTTTAAATCAACCATGATGATATTATTTACACCATGGAAATTGGCAGATATTACCAAGCAGGGCTTTCTTTTTTGGAAACAGTTGTTATACATTTATCAGCACACCGCTGCCCATAATTCTAGAGCTTTGCCAATTTGGTAATTTAAATCAGATTGCTATCCTTTTAGTAAGTCAAAAATTGAAGGAGATTTAAAATAACCAGATACTCTGCATTCAGCCTTTAATGTGTTATTCTCCAACAGAGAAGATAGAGTCTGAATAAATGGGAAAACATGCTTTATAAGCCTTTACTGCAAAGGCCTGCATTGTTTTATGTCTTTTGCATTATTTAGGCATGTAATAGGTTATACAACCTTTGTGGTTTCTCTCTCTCTGTCTCTCTCTTTAAGAATTTTAACCACCAAATGCCAACAGGCATAGATCTTTAGAGGCTTTGCCTGTGCTTATGTTGTTTCATTAATGTCTCCTTCTTAATGATAGCATTTCTAATCTTTGCATAGATGGCCAAGAAGTAGAGTTATTGGCCTTCCCCTTAGACATTTGAGTTCCTCTTCAGCTTCCCAATTATGTATAGCTCCAAGACTCTACTTTGGTAGCAAATAGGACCAGGAGTACCCACCCCAGCTTGCCTTTTATCCCCATATTTTATGGAGCTATTTTCTGCTGTCACAACCCTTGAACATCAGAAACTAATTTTTTATGGATTTCAGAAGTTCAATGAGGACATTTGAAACATAAGATTTATTTTCTACATACTTACCCATGTTCAGTCAATATACACAAAAATTTAAATGACATTTTGTCCACCAGAGGGCACTCATATTGTTCCAAGTATAGAGCTAAGGATTATGGCAATTGGAGGAGTTGGAGAAATGAAAGAACCCCCAGGACTAATCAAGTCTTCACTAAACGCCAAACAGAGCAATACAAATCAATTTTTTATTTCATTTTATTTCCACTCCTCCCATATTCCTACCCCCGCCCCCCACCCCCTGCTATGTACACCAAAATAATCTGGACAAGTGTATTCCTCAATTCACGAAAGAAGTAGGGGGAAAAGGGAGAGATCAGGGTGAATTTCTGCGTTCCACATTTTCAAGTACCAGCTTTGCAAAAGGGCATATTTTTTCTTTAAAAAGTGGGTGTATGGAGAGTATGGAAGAATAACAAGAAATTGATTTTCATAAAGTTACATCCTTTGTGCTTTAAAATGATACATCTCAAGTTGTTTTCCAGTATGAAGCTGATGAACTGCATGCTTCAGATGACAGAGCTTCTGCCCTTCTCTTGGAACTTGACACTTCTTAAGCACTAGAAAAACCAGAGGCTGACACAAGGCTGCGGTCTAGTGTGTTGACAGCCTCAGCCACAAGTTATTCTGACTTCTCACAAAAGCAAAATAAACTTGTGATTTCTGAGACATGTCGTATACCTCATTAGTGGTTTCAACTAAGTGCTGTTTATTGATCTTAAAGTCTTTCTCTTCTCAACGTAAGCAGATTTCCACCTATGTCTTCATCCTTCCTGAACATTTTAGGATTATGAACCCACTCCATTCATGGACCCTAGAAATTGCTAAATTTAAGCCATTACACCTGAGGTAAGGATTCTACCTCATTCCAGTTATATTACTATTACATGTCAAACATTTGCCTCATGCCATTTTGTTTCTCTACAGGGCCATTTTTGTTCATAAATTTCAAAATTAGACAGATTAAAAGATGCATTACAATATTTCTGCTTCAGAATGGCTCACCAATTAAAAGTCTCAGCATTTCCTCTATTTTAAAGAGTGCTCAGTTAAGCCAACATAGAATGATCTGAAATCTAGCTTTCAATATTTAGTATCTATGCGATACAAACACACATACCACAAATAAGGAAAAAATAAGGTTTTTGTCCATTTGGAAAATCGTGGCAAAGTAATTATCAGAGAATGACTAATAAACATTCATAAGCCTGATCTTTACAACATGGCCCAAAGTGCCAGGTACTGTAAAGCTTTGAAAAAATTGGACCGTTGGCACTGCAAAGACCAAAAGCAAAATTGGCCTGCCTTCCCCAATTCACATCTGGGTTCAGTTTGTTCTCAGTAAGAAGAGCTTAACCAATCACGCTGACTTAGTCTCGGTTCAGATGGGAAAGCAGCAATGTTATATGAAAGGAGTAGGAAGAGGTGACTGTTCCTTTAAGTCCTCCCCTGAGGGAGAAATGCTGTTTTATTATGTTTGGACAGTCCTTACATAATTGCTTAGTATTAGGGAATCAGCTGGTTCGTTGCTGAGTGGTGCCTATTGGGCTTAGATAGTCCCTTTTTGAAGTATGCAGTTTACTGGTCAGAAGCCTTCAAAAATAAAGTACATTATTACAAGGGCTTTGCACTGGGTAAGATTAAGCTGAAAAGAATTAACTTTCTTTCCAATACATGAGAAAAGATGCAGAAAGAATTTCATAACTCAGGTTTAACATGGGAAATATAGTTGATATAAAAGTTATTATATAATATAGGCAGAGAATGGGAAATAGGTACAAAATTAAGAAAAATGTAAAATAATCATGATTTACACTGAGTCATTTTTTTACAAATTCTTCCCATGCATGCCACAGTTGGCAATTACTTTGAGAGTCAGAATTTTTATGGGTATATCACCTTCAAGTTTGAAAATATTTATTCCAGACAAGGAATTATGAAATAATGCCAGACCTGGAATTATCATAAGACAAAGTGTCACTTCACTGATGAGATAAAAACGCTAAGAAGGTCTCTATTAAATAACAGTAATGTTAGTAAGAAAAATGGTAGCATATTTCCTATCTGTTGCCTTGTTTTTAATCCTCTCAGTCCTAGTTAGCACCTACTTCTTTTGTCAGATCTTCGTTCAATTATCACTTCCTTGGGGAGGCCTTCAAATACCTCCTTGATTAAGTCAAATCCCTCTATGATATGCTTTCAAAGCACCATGCCTCTTTCCTCTAGGAGACAGCAAAGTTGCAATTGTGCATTTATTTTTATAGTTCTTTGATAAATATCTATGCTCTCACTGTATTAATGCTCCACAAGGATACTGACTGTGACTGGTTTTGATGTCCATTGAATCACCAGCATCTAATACTGTGCCTGGCATGCAGGGGGTACTCAATGCCTATTTATTTATTAAATTATAAATGAATGGTCAAGTGAGATAAAATTAATGTCATATTACAAAGTAGCTAACAAACTCAGAAAAGCCAGTTAGCTAACCCAAGATAACAAAGCCATTTAGTAACAGGGGAGGGTGGGATTCAACTCTATGCTACTTTCTTTACCCAATGTGCCTTATAAGAAAAACTATGAGTCAAAGCATAATGGTTAAAATCAACACAACAAAAGGTAAAGTAACTAACTAAATTTGTTTTCCAACTAAGGTAGTAAAATAAATCAAGTGTTCTTTGCTATTTGCACAAACCACCAGCCATATTCTGGGTGAAGAGCTATTTTGCAAAGCTGGATTAAACATCATTCAACCAAGTGAAAATGTCTTCTCAGAAAATAGGTATGTATTTTTTAAAAGAGCTGAGAAAAGGATAGTATTTTATTGTGTTAAAAAAAAAATCCACATCTGCTTAAACATTTCCTAAAAATAGGTAGATCCGTTAAACAAAAACAAGGGTGTTGGTTTTCTTTACTTGTCTTTAAACAATAATGTACACATTTACACATTTAATTTTCATCACTGATAATTAGAGCTTATTACAGAGGAGAAAATCATGACTGAGAAAAGAGAATTAAATTGCATAAAGTCTGTGTCAGGGCTTGCATTAGTCTGCTTAGACTGTTGTCACCAATACCACAGACCGAATGGCTTAAATAACAGACATTTCATCACCGTTCTGGAGGTTAGACCCCAAGATCAAGATATCAGCAGGCTTTGTTTCTTCTGAACCTCTCCCCTTGGCTCCCCTCTCCATGTGTCTTCATGTAATTCTTCCCTTTCCTGGGCCTGTGTCAAAGACAAAGAGAGAATCTTGAAAATAGCAAAAGAAAAGTGACTCATGTAACAGGGACTCTCAATAAGGCTAACAGCTGATTACTCACCAGAAGCTATGAAGGCCAAAGGCAGTGGGATGACATATTCAAACTGCTAAAAGAAAAATTAAAATAATTATAAAGAAATGCTATGAGCAATTGTATGCCAACAAATTAGGTTACCTGGATGAAATGAAGAAATTTCTAGAAAGACACAAGCTACCCAAATTCTCTCTATAACTGAGAGGTGACAGCATGCTGGCAGCCCTCGCAGCCCTCGCTCACTCTTGGCACCTCCTCGGCCTCGGCGTCAGCTCTGGCCATGCTCGGGGAGCCCTTCAGCCCACCACTGCACTGTGGGGACCCCTCTCTGGGCTGGTTGAGGCTGAAGCCGGCTCCCTCAGCTTGCCAGGAGGTGTGGCGGGAGAGGCGCAGGTGGGAACTGGGGCTGCGTGTGGCACTTGTGGGCCAGCTGGAGCTCCAGATGGGCATGGGCTTGGCAGGCCCCACACTCAGAGTGGCCCTGGGCAGTGAGGTGCTTAGCACCCGGGCCAGCAGCTGCAGAGGGTGCGCCAGGTCCCCCAGCAGTGCTGGCCCACCAGCGCTGTGCTCAATTTCTCGCCGGGCCTTAGCTGCCTCCCCTTGGGGCAGGGGTCAGGACCTGCAGCCCACCATGCCTGAGACTCCCCACCTCTCCATCATGGGCTCCTGTGTGGCCTGAGCCTCCCCAACAAGCGCCGCCCCCTGCTCCACAGCGCCCAGTCCCATCCACCACCCAAAGGCTGAGGAGTGCGGGTGCACGGCGCGGTACTGGCAGGCAGCTCCACCTGCGGCCCCGGTGCGGGATCCACTGGGTGAAGCCAGCTGGGCTTCTGAATCTAGTGGGGACTTGGAGAATCTTTATGTCTAACTAAGGGATTGTGAATACAGCAATCAGCACTCTGTATCTAGCTCAAGGTTTGTAAATGCACCAATCAGCACTCTGTGTCTAGCTCAAGGTTTGTAATGCACCAATCAGCGCTCTGTGTCTAGCTGATCTGGTATCTGGTGGGGACTTGGAGAACCTTTATGTCTAGCTAAGGGATTGTGAATTCACCAATCGGCACTCTGTTTCTAGCTCAAGGTTGTAAATGCACCAATCAGCACTCTGTGTCTAGCTCAGGGTTTGTAAATACATCAATTAGCACTGTGTATCTAGCTAATCTAGTGGGGACGTGGAGAACCTTTGTGTCTAGCTCAGGGATTGTAAATGCACCAATCAGCACCCTGTCAAAACAGACCACTCCCGCTCTCTGTAAAATGGACCAATCAGCAGGATGTGCGTGGGGCCAGAAAAGAGAATAAAAGCAGGCTGCGCGAGGCAGCAGTGGCAACCCGCTCAGGTCCTCTTCCACACTGTGGAAGCTTTGTTCTTTTGCTCTTTGCAATAAATCTTGCTGCTGCTCACTCTTTGGGTCCACACGCCTTTATGAGCTATAACACTCACAGCGAAGGTCTGCAGTTTCACTCCTGAAGCCAGCGAGACCACGAACCCACCAGGAGGAACGAGCAACTCCAGACGCGCTGCCTTAAGAACTGTAACACTCACCGCGAAGGTCTGCAGCTTCACTCCTGAGCCAGCGAGACCATGAACCCACCAGAAGGAAGAAACTCCAAACACATCCGAACATCAGAAGGAACAAACTCCGGACACACCGCCTTTAAGAACTGTAACACTCACTGCGAGGGTCCGCGGCTTCATTCTTGAAGTCAGTGAGACCAATAACCCACCAATTCTGGACACATAACCTTTAAGCCCTGTATGTTCTTCTCCTTACCTAAATCCTTATCTCTCATTAGGCTCCCTTCAATTTACTGTATCTCAAATATATTGGCTCTCATTCAGTTCCTAACTTCAGGAACTACACAATGTTTTACTCCTTTACCTTGCTGATTATTCCATTTTTGAGGACTCAGTTTAAATGCAATTTCCACAGACACTTTCTTGAACCCTTCACACTAAGTAATTACTCATCGAGGCAATACTAATGCTCTAACAAAGAAAATGTCTTTGACAATACCTTTCCCTCAAATACTTGTTGGGCTCCTTGGTAGGCTTTTAATCTACTTACTAATCAGTTCCATGTTCTAGTGACTATGCCCAAGATTATTTCCCAGATAAAATTATCAAGCCCAATTTAGGTATTTGCTTTCTATCTTCCAAGGCAATCTCTTTCACATTAATAGATGATATCTTGAGACCAGTGAAGTCATAGACTTGGGTGGGAAGGCCACATACCTTTAATCTAATCTGTACTTCCAGAGCTCTATCTGCATGAGTCACTGTTACTCAAAACCTCTTTAGATTTCATCTATTATCGTTCATGGTCTTGAAGTGATTTTCAAAAAAATCAAAAATTTTTGGTATTCTCTGACTGTCTGGCAACTATCCAGTTATTTCTGGATTTAGCTTTATTTTCCTAGTAACATCTTGGTAAAAAGTGGAAATGAAAACCAATTTGGATTATTCTGAGTTTTTCCAACTGTATCCCCCAGAATATAATTTTTCAACCCCAACACCATTGACACGTTAGATCAGATAATTACGCATTTTAGGGATCTATCCTGTGCATTGTGGGATGTTTGTCAGCATCCTTGGCCTCTACCCACTCTGTGCTTATAGCACCACCCCACCTTAGTCACGACAAACAAAAATATCTCCAGACATTGTCATATGTGCCCTGGGATACAAAATCACCCATCAATTAATAACTGAAACCACAGGCTCAATAGGCCCATTTTCTGCCTTCAAGTTATCATAGTCAATAACTTTACCAAATATTTGGTCAAATTCATAGAATGGGCCTTCATTTATCCAACCTTTAAGAGTTTTATGGCTGCCTAACTTATTACTGATAGGTCAATGTCACCTAATTTAAATGTTTGTTATATGTAGATAGTACCTCATTTCAAGTTTATGTTGAATCATAACTTCAGAATTAGTTTCTATATTAGTTATGGCAATTCTAGCTTCATAATGAGCAAATATCAGCATCACTGTGGCTAAAGCCAATATAAATTTATTTTCCACATGTAATAGTCCAATGCTGGTGTTTGGTTGGTGACTTCTGTGTAGTGTTTCAGAGAGCCAATCAGCTTCCAATATGTCGTTCTGCCATTTTCAACACATAGATTCAAAGGTCATGATGTTCATATGTTTCAAGTCAAAGCAAAAAGAATACAGAATATTGTATAAGGGAGAATTTTATAGGCTAGACTATGTAATGACATATATTATTTTTGCTCACATTTATTGATTATAATTCAATTATATTGTTGTATCCAACTGAAAATGTGTTTGTATTTGGGATGGAAAATACAGACTACTTATGTGCCCAAGAGCACAAGGGAATAGGTTTGATGATAGCTTTCAGTACCTGCTGTTTTAACTAGTTATATCCTCTCATTGTACTGTACCCTTTTTTAATGCCACTTATTAGAATTATAATAAAGTAATTATTTAAACAACTATTGGTTTATAATCCGTCTTGCCTCTAAATCAGTATACTCCATAAAGGCAAGAACCGCATCCATTGTATTCAATGTTGTATCTTTAGCAAATTTGCTAGTTTTCTGAACCTCGCAAAGTTCTTGGCATTTAGTACTTTTTCAATAGAAATGTTTTAAATAAATGAATAAAATAATGTAAAAGTGGGTGAATAAACAAATGATGATTTGGTCCTTGATATAGACCTAGTCTAGCAAGTTATTCTTTGCCAGACACATATGTAGCTTTCCTCCTGATCTCACGGTCTCATGTTTACTCTGCTTAATTCAAGCAGTGGCAACTGGTTCTGCCCTTGTAACCCATGGTGAAGAAGTGAGATGGTCATGTAGTCTCCAGAGCCCAACTTTTCCTGATTGTGTTGGTTCCTGAGGCTCCTTCTGCCTTCTTGTGATGGTGAAATTTATGTGTCAACTTGATTGGGCCATAGTGTCCAGATATGTGACACCTAGATACATTATTCTGGGATTTTTCTGTGAGGGTGTTTTTGGATGAGACTAATATTTAAATTGGTGGACTTCGAATAAATTAAGTTACCCTCTGTGATGCTGATGGGCTTCCTCTAATCAGCTGAAGGCCTGGATAGAACAAAAGACTAACCTCCGCCAAGCAAGAGGAAATGCTGCAGGAGACAACCTTTGGACTTGAACTGTACAGTCAGCTCTTCTTCGGGTCTCCAGCCTGCTGGGCCATTTTGCAGATTTTGCACTTGCCAGCCTCCATAATTATGTCAATCAATTCCTTCAAATAAACCTTTCTATATACTGTATACATACATCCCACCGGTTCAGTTTTTCTGGATTATCCTGACTAATACACTGCTCATATACACATATCAATTTTAGACTTCACTCTAAGGTCAATACTTCTATTTAGAGTGAAGGGAGGGCTGGCTCCAGAGCCTAACATCCCCCAGATTCTCCTGTTCATATTAAGGCACAGAGCTTTCCTATTGTGTGTGCTCAGTTTCTGATCAAATTTTTAATGATACAGCATTCATTTCACTACCTCATTACTACACACCTGTATTAGTCAGGGTCCCAACAGAAAACAGATGGCAAACTCAAATTGGAAACATTAAGGCAAGTTTAGTAAAAGGATTCTTGCCAGAGTTGTGGACAGCATATAAGGAAACTACAAGGAACAGCACATTACCCCCAAGGTGAGTAACAGAGGATCACCTCCAGGACTGAAGAGGCAAAGAAGGGAGCCAGTGGGAAACCTAGAGAGACAGCAAGAGTGGGGCAAAGAAAGATACTGAAGAGCTATGGCCTATACTTGAGAGAAACTCCCAGACTAGGACATGGAAGGAACCAGGATAATAATACCCTGACCCTACTCTGCTTTCTCCTACTAGTCTTCTAGCAATGCCTTAAGCAAACCCAACCAGAAGTGGAGCATGAGGGAGCCCAAGGTCAGCGCTGGAGTTTACAGCAGGGAGGAGAAAAATAGAAAGTGAATCTGGAGGGCCACAAACATCAAATATTCAGCACACGGCCCTACCTTCCTAAGCCTCTGGCACTGCCCCAGAAGGAATAACTTCATATGATTTCTTCAAGATAAAGCCAACAGTCTGTCTTCTCTAATAGCCTCATCTACCTCTCAAACTTATACACCCAACTCTCCCATCAAGGAGAAATCCTTCTGCAGATGGTATAGTGCTCTTTTGGCTTTTCTTTTCCCAATTACCTTGTTTACTCATAGAAATAGTGCACTAGAGGGCCCATCCCTTCGGGCATTCGGACAGGCCCTGACATGTCAGAACTGGCTGGACATGTCCAAGACACAATAAAACCCAGTAAGATATACTTGGCACTAAATAAGGGCTGATTAGAATGGAATCTTCCATTGATGACTTAGCCACATCAGGATTGTACAGGACCTCAGGTTGTAATTCTGAATATCAAGTCATTATACAAAACTGTATAAAATACAATTATGGATTTTTTAAAGGAGTTGATTTTTGCATCCTGGAACATGCATCACTGCATATTCCAAGTTAACAGTTCCTGAAGTTAAAAAAAAAAAAAGAAGTTTGATAGTTTTGTAAACCAGCCTTGAAATTCTTAGTTCTTAAAACTGGCCAAGGCCCAAAATGGAAAGAGAGAACAAAGAAAATAAACTGTTTTCATAAGTTAGAATCCAGCAGCATCAGAAATCTTGAAAGAGGTTGGAAAACATTTTCAGACTGGTTTTACAACTCCTGTTAGCCTAGTTAATTGATATCACCACCCAAATTTACTTTAACTGGGCTTTGAAAGCTTTTGAAATTCATTTTCCTAAATGAATACAGCTCTAAACTCCGTGAAGAATGGTGTATTTTCCTGCCCACTATTAAACTAACCTGAAATTTTATAGCATGCTAGAAATTCTAGTCAAATCTGAAGAATCACCTTGAAGCCATTAATTACCAGATAATCCTGAAACCAAAGAAAAGACTCATATTTATAGATGAATAAAAGAACTCCCAGGGTGGCCTAACCATAAGTTATTTTCTCGGGACCTTCTTGAAGGTAATATCTCTTGGGTGGCAAGGCTGGCACCAGACAAAGTGATGTAGCTGTTTTCACTGCATGGGCTCCAGATGCCTTTGTTGTTTCTATCAGGCTCCCAGGGCAGCCTCACCCAGGTCTTCTTGATTACCCAGTTCCCTTCTAGTTTAAACATTCCTAGGCCCCTGACTCCTTTTTTTTCTTTTTCTATTTTAAGATGAGATCTCATTCTGTTGCTCAGGCTGGAGTGCAGTGGCTTGGATCACGGCTCACTGCAGCCTCAACCTCCCCAGGCTCAGGTGATCCTCCCACCTCAGACTCCTGAGTAGCTGGGAATACAGGTATGCACCACTACTCCAGGCTCACTTTTCCTATTTGTGGAGACAAGGTCTCACCACGTTGCCCAGGCTGGTCATTAATTCCTGGGCTCAAGCAATCCACCTGCCTCAGCTTCCCAAAGTGCTAGGATTACAGGCGTGACCTAACACAACTGGCCAAGAAGACTTCTTTATGTGACTGAGTAAAAAGTTTAAATACTTCCTATCTTCCTTCCCCAGTGATATGCTAAAAACTGGTGCTTTAACTACAGTGTGTAGCTTTAAGGAGAATCAGCCGTGTTGGAAAATGCCTGGACAAACAATCAGGGGGCTTGGGTTCTTGTTTGTCCCCTACCACTAAAAGCTAAAGTGACCTTGACAGTGTCACTTTACTTCTTTGGCCTCAGATTCCTCTTCTATAACAAGAAGGTGGTTGAATTGTGTCAGTGATGTCTATGCTATTTTTTTTTAGCCTTTCTGCAAAATAGAATATTACATGGGAGCTCAATATGTGAAGGAGAAAAAAAGTACAGCTGCTCTAGTTTGAAGATGATTTCTACCAACCCTGTGCACTTGACCATCACACTTCCCAGTATGTCTTCAGTTTACTCCCCTTTCACAGTAGGACCTTTGATTCATGCATGTGGCTTATGATCTCTGAGGTTCTTCTTTTTTTTTTTTTGAGACGGAGCCTCACTCTGTCGCCCAGGCTGGAGTGCAGTGGCGTAATCTCAGCTCACTGCAAACTCTGCCTCCCAAGTTCGCCCCATTCTCCTGCCTCAGCCTCCCGAGTATCTAGGACTACTGGCGCCTGCCACCACGCCCGGCTAATTTTTTGTATTTTTAGTAAAGACGGAGTTTCACCGTGTTAGCCAGGATGGTCTCGATCTCCTGACCTCGTGATCCGCCCGCCTCGGCCTCCCGAAGTGCTGGGATTACAGGCGTGAGCCACCGCTCCTGGCCTCTTGAGGTTCTTCTTTAAAAAGCAGAACTCTGGATCCCACTCCAAAATCTGCTAAATCAGCCTGTGTAGAGGTAGGCTCAGGAAGGTGCATTTAAACAAGCATCTCAGGTGAATTTCATCCACACAAAAGTTTCAGCACAGCAAAGCAATTTGAAAAAGGACTGGGTCAAATATTTCTGATGTCCATCTCTACTCTAAAAGTCAACAGTGGTTTTCAGTGTTTAAGACTTAGAAAAATCCTTTAGGATCTGATAAAAGCAATGACTCTCCTCCCTGAGAAATATGCAAACAAACAAATATGCATACACACACATTCACAGATACATATATGAAATGTTCCCAGAATTTCAGCAAGCTTATGTACTCAGTTATATATCCCTCTGATGTACATCCATGGACACCCCATAGCCTCACAGTTAAAACCCTTACAATATTCATTACTTAACAGCGATATTTCAGGGTGAGTGTGGTGATTCACAGGAGCCCTTCTGGGGGGCTTCTGATATTGCACTAAGCCAAAGGTTGCCTCTAACTTAGGATTTCTAATTCAGTTTTCAAATTGTTTAAAATAATTGGTATGTCCTGTTTGTTTGTTTTTCTTAACTACCAGGATAGTGTTACCCTGAATTTTCCTTACTTACTTCACCACCAGTATGAGGATGACATGGCTAACCCCTAGGCAAACAGCTGACACTTTCTGAAGACCCTTGCTGTAAGGGCTGTTCAGTTCCCAAACTGTTTCAATTATCAAATTATGCTTATAGACATTCCTGCCCATGGAACAAGAGGGTTATGTCTTCCAACAGGAATGATGCAGCCACCTCGCTGCTAGAAATCCAGATATTCTTTTCAGAGGATCCAGGAGTGAGCTTGAAGCTGGTTTTCAATCTGCCAAACAATAAGACTGTGTGGTGGCGCCAGGCACTCCTATTAAGGGCTGCTCCATAAATATTCATGGACCATGATAACAACCAGGATAGTTCCTTCCCAAAAGTCTTTCTTTCTCACAGTGCCACCCAGATGTGTCATGTGGAGGGGGGTCTCTAGCATCCAACAGAGATGAGATCCTGTACTGCCTAGATAATTTCTTTATGCTTTTTTTTTAAACCTTTCTCCTGCAATCTGAGTGATTTTGGCTTTCATTTTGCTATTGGCCTGCCAGCAGTAGCCCCTCTCCAAGTCAGCTCCCCACCTACTTCTTCCCAGTCAATAGGGAACCACTTAACGACATGAACATTAACTAATTTGAAGTTTGCTTTTGAACCCAGCACTAATAGGAGATGAGGAATGTGTTTCTGTTTGCAAGTTTTCCATGTGGGTTAAGTAAAGATTGTTTGCTCAAGTTTGAAGTTTGGAAGAAAAAGGAAAAACAAGGCCCATGCCTCATCTTGTCCTTTGAAGGTAGGCAGAAGGACCATTGTTCCCCGTGCAGCTGAAACTTGTGGGCTGAGAAACCACTGGAGTCTCCTCCCTGAGGTTTCTGAAAAATTCCCCACACACATCATTGTCAGTAACCGTGGCGGGCTGTTTTGTTTCGCCTTTCATTCCTTATTTATTGCCAAAGTAAATGGCAATGACAGTTGAGAATGGAAAGAGCGGCAAGGAGTGAAATATAGAAATAAGGCATTGATACAAAGAAGAGAAGTTGCTAAAATGAGAAAGGAGTCCCTTCTCTGAGAGCTCAAAATGTGTTTCAGCATCCAGAAAGGCTGGACAGAAAGCTGTTATTTTTAAAGGTAAACAGGTAAGAAGTGAAGCAGTGAGTCATCCAGAGCTCCAGGGTGGATGCCCACCCCTCTCACAACGAAAGGATTGCCTCTTAGTTCTTTATAGGTAAAACAGGGCCCAGAACAATGGAAATAAATATGTTTGAAAGTAACAATTAGGACATATCATATTGGATGGATATCCATCCAAAGCTAGATGGATTAAAAAATAAATAAATTAAAAAACCTACCTTTCAAAATCTCAAGAAAAAAAAAAAATACCCTTGGAGTGATTCCCTCTCCTTAGCTGTTCAACGGCCAAGCTAAGGATGCCACAATTGATTGGGGGTTTGTTGGAGATTCTGATTTCAAGCTTGGCTTCTTTGTTTCATGGCATATGCAGCATTTTTCATGCTTCTCCTTACACTGTAGTTTTCACAACAACTCAGCGGAACATTCTATTCTGAATGCCCTGAGTCTGTCCCATTTGCAAAGAAAGGGCAACAGAGAGATGAAATGTTTCGATGTTCCCATCACTGAAAGGATACAATCTGAGGTCTTCAACATGGTCTAACTGGATCGCTGTCATTTGACCCTTGCTTATTGTTCCAGCTTCAAGTTCTAATATTTTGCCCCTTGAACTTTATGATCCAACAATTTCAGAAACATTAATTTCCTCCAAATCACTGCACTGCTTTAGATGTCTATGGGCATTCCGATGACATTCTATCTCCCTGGGCAACCCTCCCTTGGTATCTTCTCTTCTCTCTGCCTAATCCTTAGCTATTAAGGCATAACTCAAGTGTCATCACATCTAGGAAGTTATTCTTAACATGCTAAACCAGTCCCTCATATGGGATTAAGCACCTGGGCATGACATTCACAGGAGAATTACCATATTTATGAAACTATTTCTGTGTTTATCTCCTCCATTAAATCATATGTTCCTCAAGGGCATCTTATTTTCTCAGTATCCCCACTGCCAAGCAAAAAGTAGGCACTTAATTGAATTTAATCAAATAAAAAAAGAGTAGTATGGAGTAGAGGAAAAAGAACTTAATTTAAATTACAAAGACCTGATAGGCAAGTTTATCTTCACTCCTCAGCTCATCAGCTGAGGCTAGTTTTATTGCTGACAACTTCAATCTTCCTTCATTGCTAGCACAGTTCTTTGGTGAGCTTCATGACAGTGCCCATGTAACCTGGATCTCCATGCCCACTGATGCCCAATTCTGACAGTCTCTGCCCCAAGTCTTTTAAGCAGAACAAAATCATTCTGCAATCCCCCCACCACCCACCTGGTAATAGCCAATAGCTAATATCTAGGGCAGCACTGTACCAAGAACCAGATTCCTTTCCCCAACCAGCCCATCATTCACTCCACAATCATTCTAGATGACTGTCTTGAATTTGAATTTTCTGTAACAAGCATGAAATAAATCTATATATGTGGTTTCACTTATTTGATTGAGTCTTATTCACCTCTCTTTGTAATAACCCAACATGTTCAAAACATAGGGTACACTTGATGAGTATGAACTAATTAAGTATAACTTCTGTGGTTCCCTTTGGGCTTACGATTAGATGTTTTGTGACAGAAACAGATAGCTGTCTATCAAGATGTATGTTCACCCTTTCTGATGCTGAGATATTTCTGAGAAGAGGCTTAGCTAGAGACTGACTTAGAGACTTTCCAGCACTTCTTGCATCTATTGTGGCTATGTGTTTTTATTAATGAAATGGAAATAGGGGAAATATGTGTCTTGCCTGATCCAAGGCTTTAAAGAAGTGGTTGTAACTTCTTCATGCACTTCGATTCCTGCTGGTTCAATGTAGATTAAAAATGGGACCTATAGCAAGCATTGACAAACTTTTTCTAGGTAATAAATACTTTATGCCTTATTGCCATATGATCTCTGTCATAACTGCTCAACAATGCCTTTATAGTGCAAAGTAGGCATGGCAATACATAAACAAGTATTTGGAACTGTGTTTTAATAAAGTTTTATTTACAAAAAAAGAGGTGAAGGGCCATATGTAGCCCATAGGCTGTAAGTTACCAACTCCTGCCTTATAGGATAGCAGACCATGAGATAAAAGAAGGCTGAGTTCTTGAATCCCTCATGGAGAAAAATCAACAACACAGATCAGGATTGCCTGTCTTGGCTTGTTACATGAATATAATAGGAAAATTCTATTGTATTAGGCCATTGAAATTTTGGTGCTTATTTGTTAAGTAAGTTAGCTTTGCCTTTACTAATACATGATACTAGTACAAGGTTTATAAGTTCAGGATTAAATATGTAGAGTTAAAAGAGCCACCAAGATAAGCTTAAAGCAGAGCCACATGATTTGGTTCTCCTATTTACCAGTTCCCTGACCCTTTCTGGCTCCTAGAATCATTTATTCTTTCTTATGCTTTTCCTCCTTTGCTGCTTTCCTGTCCCCTCTCTCATAGCTTATTAGGCAGTCAATTAAAAAGTGGTAAAACGTGATATATTTTATTCCATAGGCCTGTTTTAAAACTGTAGTAGCCATACTTAATGTACATAGATATCATTATTTCTTTAAATTTAGGTGTAAGATGTCACAGATAACCTGGCAAAGAAAAATAGCCACTATATGCTCTTCACAAATGCATTGCTATCCTCTATGGCCAAACCTCTGTGGAGATCTGTGGGCATAGTAAAAGATCTAGTCCCTTGTTTTGCATTAATGTTCATTAGATGTTCTTGAAGCAATGCAGCTTGAACCCAATGTGCCTCAGAGTGTAGTAAAATTCTCATTTAACTTCTAGTTACAAAGCTATCTCAGCCTAGGCATCAAACATGTGTCCAAAGTTTGGTGGTGGCAAGGTGAACAGGGCTGGGATATAGAAGGTGTCAACACTTCAACAGGGAACAAGTTTAAGAGACAGGCACACTCTGAACTCATAAGCATTCCTGTCCTCTGACAACTAAAGGATTGTAAGTGCGGGGGATGAATTTCTTAGCATGCTTTTAGTTGCAAGTAATAGCAATTCAAAACTCAGATCAACTGATTTAAACCACAAAGGGAATTATCTTATTTGTGTGAAAAAAGCTAGTATGGAATTTAGAAATAGTTCGTTCAGGACTCTGGCTCCATTTCCTTAGCATTCTCTTTTCTCTATCCTCCTATATATGACATCTATATCTTCAAGTGACTTCCCTTGTGGCTGCAGCAGTCTCAGATCTTATAAACACATATCATATCATTCAAGCTAAGAGAGGGGTCCTATCCTTTCTCCAATCATAGATAAAATAGTCCCAGGTTCTGACTTGACTAACTTGGTCGGGTAGATGGCATATGTTGATTGGCTTAGACCTATGGTTTCTGCCCATCCCCGAAACAATTACTGTGTCAAAGGGGATGAAAGAATGCTGATTGGCTTTTGCTACTTAAGGCCCACCCAATCTGCACCCTAACAGTGTAATGGGGGAGGGGTGGAATGGATCTGGGAAGATAATTACAATGTCTACCACATTAAGTGAAGGTCAACACATCATGTACCTTCCCTCGAGTTTCTCCAAGATCCCCATTGTTGGGAACAGGCCCCCCAAAATCTGGCCATAAACTGGCCCCAAAACTGGCCATAAACAAAATCTCTGCAGCACTGTGACATGTTCATGATGGTCATAATGCCCACGCTAGAAGGTTGTGGGTTTACCGGAATGAGGGCAAAGAACACCTGGCCCGCCCAGGGCGGAAAACTGCTTAAAGGCGTTCTTAAACCACAAACAATAGCATGAGCGATCTGTGCCTTAAGGGCATGTTCCTACTGCAGATAACTAGCCAGACCCACCCCTTTATTTCGGCCCATCCCTTTGTTTCCCATAAAGGTTACTTTTAGTTAATTGAATATCTATAGAAACAATGCTAATGACTGGCTTGCTGTTAATAAATAGGTGGGTAAATCTCTGTTCGGGGCTCTCAGCTCTGGGCTGTGAGACCCCTGATTTCCCACTTTACACCTCTATATTTCTGTGTGTGTGTCTTTAATTCCTCTAGCACCTCTGGGTTAGGGTCTCCCCAACCGAGCTGGTCTCGGCACCTCATGCAGGTAGATTTCATGCTACTCTACTCTACCAACTCACCAGAGTCCTGGCTTTGCTGCTTTGTAAGAAATCATCCCCATTTTACTGCTGAGGGAACTGATAATCAGAGAGTTAAATCAGTTTCCTAAGACGTTGCAGCCGGTAAGTGGTACAGCAAAGGCATAAGCACAGCTCCACTGGACTCAGTCTCATTTTCTTATGCCCCACCCCATGTCTCCCGCCTAAAAAATAAACCAGTTAGAGGATGGCCTGCACATTTGGAGACGTCCCAGTCATATGCAAGTCCTATCTGAACAGTGGGCTCTGTTCTGCTCTCTTGACATGCAATGTTTACTGCGAGTATGGAACCTACAGTTTGAGTCTGGAAGAAAATGTGCAGTGAGTTCTTGTAATCATTTCAGTGTCTAAGTACAGTTGACCCTTGAAAAACATGAGTTTGAACTATGCAAGTCCACTTACATGCAAATTTTCTTTCTCCTCTGCCACCCCTGAGAAAGCAGGACCAATCCCTCCTCTTTCTCTTCCTCCTCAGTCTACTCAATGTGAAGACAAGAACAAAGACCTTATGATGATCCACTTCTACTTAATACATAGTGAGAGGTGACAGCATGCTGGCAGCCCTCGCAGCCCTTGCTCGTTCTCAGTGCCTCCTCTGCCTGGGCTCCCACTTTGGCAGCACTTGAAGAGCCCTTCAGCCCACCACTGCACTGTGGGAGCCCCTTTCTGGGCTGGCCAAGGCTGGAGCTGGCTCCCTCAGCTTGCAGGGGGGTGTGGAGGGAGAGGCGCGAGAGGGAACCGGGGCTGTGCGTGGCACTTACGGGCCAGCTGGAGTTCTGGGTGGGCATGGGCTTGGCAGGCCCTGCACTCAGAGTGGCCGGCCAGCCCTGCCAGCCCCAGGCAATGAGGGGCTTAGCACCCGGGCCAGCTGCCTCGGAGGGTGTACTGGGTCCCCCAGCAGTGCCGGCTCACCGGCGCTGAGATTGATTTCTCACCGGGCCTTAGCTGCCTCCCCACTGGGCAGGGCTCAGGACCTGCAGCCTGCCATGCCTGAGCCTCCCCATCTCCTTGGGCTCCTGTGCAGCCCAAGCCTCCCTGATGAGCGCTGCTCCCTGCTCCACGGTGCCCAGTCCCATCAACCACCCAAGGGCTGAGGAGTGCGGGCGCACTGCGTGGGAATGGCAGGCAGCTCCACCTGCTGCCCCGGTGCGGGATCCACTTGGGTGAAGCCAGATGGGCTCCTGACTCTGGTGGGGACTTGGAGAACCTTTATGTCTAGCTAAGGGTTGTAAATGCACCAATCAACACTCTGTATCTAGCTACTCTGGTGGGGACTTGGAGAACCTTTGTGTGGACACTCCATATCTAGATAATCTAGTGGGGAGGTGGAGAACTTTTGTGTCTAGCTCAGGGATTGTAAACGCACCAATCAGCACCCTGTGTCTAGCTCAGGGTTTGTGAATGCACCAATCGACACTCTGTATCTAGCTAATCTAGTGGGGACGTGGAGAACCTTTGTGTCTAGCTCAGGGATTGTAAATGCACCAATCAGCACCCTGTCAAAACAGACCACTCCCGCTCTCTGTAAAATGGACCAATCAGCAGGATGTGGGTGGGGCCAGATAAGAGAATAAAAGCAGGCTGCCAGAGCCATCAGTGGCAACCCGTTCTAGTCCCCTTCCACACTGTGGAAGCTTTGTTCTTTCGCTCTTTGCAATAAATCCTGCTGCTTCTCACTCTTTGGGTCCACACTGCCTTTATGAGCTGTAACACTCACCGCAAAGGTCTGCAGCTTCACTCCTAAAACCAGTGAGACCATGAACCCACCAGGAGGAACGAACAACTCCAGAGGCGCTGCCTTAAGAGCTGTAACACTCACCGCGAAGGTCCGCAGCTTCACTCCTGAGCCGGTGAGACCACGAACCCCACCAGAAGGAAGAAACTCTGAAGACATCCGAACATCAGAAGGAACAAACTCCGGACACGCCACCTTTAAGAACTGTAACACTCACAGCGAGGGTCCACAGCTTCATTCTTGAAGTCAGTGAGACCAAGAACCCACCAATTCCGAACACAATAGTAAACACATTTTCTCTTCCTTATGATTCTCTTAATAACATATTCTTTTATCTAGCTTACATTATATTGTAAAAATACAGTATATATAATACATGTGACATACAAAATACATGTTAATAAACTGTTTATGTTATCAATAAGACTTCAGGTCAACACCAGGCTATTAGTAGTTAAGTTTTGGGGAGAGTCAAAATTTAAACATGGATTTTCTACTACGCAGGGGGTCAGCACCCCCACTGTGTTGGTCAAGGGTCAACTATACCATCCTTGCATTGAATAGAGAATGTGTGTATATGAGTGCGTACATGTGTATATAGTTTATTTCCCAGTACTTTTAAAATATTAACAATAGGTGGCCTTCCTGGGTTCTCTTTAATTGTAAAAAAATCTTAAGAAGTCTACGATACATCACTAGCCTCCCTTCAGAAGCCCTCCAGTGTGTCTCATAAAGTCATCCCAGGGTTGTAACATGCACCAACCCCAGCCTGTCCAACTTGTCATTTCCAAATTAGTGCCCAGACAGACCCACACTTAACACAGGCTGAGTACTTGAGGAAGTCTGAGATTATGCACTCTGAAACCTTCTCCAGCTTTTAATTGCATCATTTGCAATGATTTGGGCAGTAGTATGGTATGTTTAGAGTATGCAAGTATAGATTAAGGCTAAGTATAAGATGTGAGAATGAGATAATCCCAAATCAGCTACTCAGTTTGCATACTTAACATGATTTTGGGCCCGTCATCAACCTCTCTAAACCTCCATTTCTCTTACCTGTAAAACTGGAATAATAATAATAACATATACTTCATGTGGTAATCATCAACATAATGTCTGACACATAGCATTCAAAATTGTTCACTGATACTACTATTATAAACATTAATGTTTATTTTATTACTGTTATGATTATTAATCAGAATTGGTATTTTACTCAAATGACCAAACTCACTCCATTTTCTCACTATTGGACATTAGCTACATATAATTTCCATCTGCTTAATATACTGCCTTTGGGAATCTAATCTTTAATTTAGATAAAGGTCTATTTTCCTCTTTTACATCAAAGGAAAATAAACAAACAGATGCAAAACATATTTTTTAATATCTTGGCTATTTACTTTCTGATTTATGGTATCTAGTACTGTGCTTAAAGTTTTTATTCCATTTCTTTTTTTGTTAGCTGAAGTAGCAGATCTTCTTATAATTTCCTTTAGTAATTTATTTTGATACTTATCAAGTCCAAACAACTGAGACACAGGCGCTGTAAGGAAAATGTCATCTCTACACAGTCAATAGATCCAGGTTTCAATGGGCTTAACCTGAAGCTCTGGCCTGCATAGCACTTCAGTGTTACATCCCAAGGGCCTCGGAGCTAATGAAACATGTTGCCATCCTAATATCTACTTAAGCAAATTGAATGTGGGCATCCAGGAAAATTACTCCATTGTCATAGTAACTCTTTTACTACTTAGTTCAAGAAGAATAGAAAAAAAAAATGATACCTGGCAGCCAACTCTACAACCTAAAATAAAGTTGCAGGAGGTACAAAGCAGAGACAAGTGAGGGATTTAATTCAATATGGAGGAAAACACCTGAAATGCAATGAGCTCCCCATAACACACTCTCCCTTAGCATGCTTAGACATAAGGTTGGGGGTGTCTAAGCAAGAAACTCACAGAATGTGAAATACAGAAGAACTCTTAGGAGATCTAATTTGAGCCCTTCATTTTACAAACAAAGAAGCAAAAGCCCAGAGAGGTAAAACAACTTACACAAGTTCACAACTCAGTTATCAGCCCATACTGAAGCAGAAACAAGGTCTCCTGCTTTTCTGCCCAAGAATCTTCCATCTTATTATTCTACATCTGGGATGTAAAGGCAAAAAAAGTTGCATCCAAAAGATAAGTCTTGCTTTTTTTTTTTTTTTAAATAAAGGATTGACTTAGTGCAACGAGAGGAAAGCAGGTTAATCTTAAACCCATTCCAGGACTGGGCAGTTGTTGAAAAAGTTAGAAAAACCTCACTCATCATACATCAATTACACATTGACTTTGTGCTAAGCACTATGCTGGCTTCCTGAGATCAAAGATGATTTTGTCAAAATGCTTCAGACATTCACAGTTCTTTCAAAAGTAGAATACCTTATGTTTACACTGAAATCCAAGAGTTTGAAAATCTCCAGCTCCAAGGGATTTATTCTCCATTTCACAAACCTTAGAACATATGGCAAAGTTATGGTACTAACAAGCAACAGCTGCAGCCTGATTTTAACTCTATGATGCTTTCAACATCAAGAAAGCATAGAAATTGCAAACCTGTGCCACAGAGGCCTTTTAACATTATCGTCAATGAAAAGGTGGACACTACCTAGTCAAAAAAAGGAGGCCCAGGAAATTTAGACAGTAGATATCATGGTCTAGAAACATGAAAACTGGCTCCCTTATGCACTACGTTGGTCAGTCTGTAGGTTAACATTACTATGCCATGCCCATCTTGGCCTCATGCCAACCCATTTGATTTACCAAACCAGGACCAGGTACTTTGGTCTTATCCCTAAATGATGTCCCTTGCCTTTTTGGTTTAACAATTTTTTTTTGGCAAGAAATAATCCTTAAATACCAAATGATTGCAGACAAAAGAGGTATTGGTAGCCCATTCTTAAATCAGCATCCCCCAAAGCCAGAGTAACCTGATGATTATACAGAATTAAACCAAGTAGGCATTGCAAGAATTAAGAGAGAGCCTATTAGTTGGTGGCCATGAAGAGAAGTGACTAAGGGACAAAAAGATCCCCTAGAGATGTGGAAACATCAGTTTATACCAAGTGAAAATATGCTCCTGCCTGATACTTGGTGGTAGATTTTGTTTCTCTAATTAGACTATCAATGGGGCACAAAATTGGTGCCAATAAATCTTCTTTGGGTGGATGGATAAGTAGGTAGTTGGATAAGAACAGAATTACAGTTAATAGTGATGGTGTTGATAAATTCTAAAATAGAAATGATGGATAGATACATTCATGCAGTCATTCATTAACCTACTGAAAAGTATTTGTTAGGCAGCTATTATATAACAGATTCCGCTCTAGATGTTAGTTACAGCAATAAAATTGACAACATCCTGTCTCTTGTATAAATTCCAGTAGGCTTTACATACTACTGACAGGAAGGAGAAAACAAAAACTGACCAAAAAACATTCCATGTGGTAATAAATGCTATGAAAAAAAAAATAAGGACTGAAGAGGGACTGGCTGATGAGGGTAGAGGCAGGGCTCTGAGCAGGAAATAAGTTTGAAGTGTTTTAAAAGCAGAAGAACAAGCATTTTACAACTGTAGTACAGGACGGGAAAAAATGACGTTAGAAATTAGGCAGACACAAGAGTACGTGTCACTTTAGGGGACATGATGAGGATTTCAGATCTTTTATAATGGGCTGGGAAACCACTGGGAGGTTTTGAGATGATAAGTTGGGTGACCTGATTTACATTTAAAAATATCACTCCAATTTCTTTATGAAAAATAGAATGAGGAGAACTGGAATGGAGTAAAGGTGCAATGTGGTGAAGAGTTTATGATAATCCAGGAAAGGTGTGATGGTCTCAGGGACTTGAGAAGTAGCAGTTTGCGGGACAAGAAGTGGTTAGAGAAGAAAATAACAGGACCAATTGATTAGATATGAAGAAAACAGAATAATTCCAAGATTATTTCCAGGACTGGAAACTAAGCACATCTGAAAAAATTAGGGTCCCATTTCTGAGATGAGAAAGAGTAGGGGAGATTTTTTGAAAATGAAAATCGAGGTTTCTGTACTGGAAGCATTAAGTTTAAGAAGTCCGTTGAATCAAAGAAGGGAAGCCATGTACATGGCTGGATATATGTCTGGAGTTGAGGGAAGTGGTAAGGTCTAAAGTGATGATACAGTTTGGATTTGTTACCCTGCCCAAGTCTCAGGTCAAATTGTAATCCCCTGTGTTGGAGGAGGGGCCTGGTGGGAGGTGATGGGATTATGGGGGTTGGATTTTCCCTTTGCTGTTCTTGTGATAGTGAGTTCTTAGGAGATCTGGTTGTTTAAAAGTGTGTAGCACCACCCCCTTCACTCTCTCTTCCTCCTTCTCCAGCCATGTAAAACATGCCTGCTTCACTTTGGCCTTCTATCATGATTGTAAGTTTGCTGAGACCTCCCAGCCATGCTTCCTGTACAGCCTGCAGGACTTTGAATCAATTAGGCTTCAGGTAGCTCTTCATAGCAATGCAAGAATGGACTATTACAAGTGGTAAGGTCTAATTAATGTAGACATTTAGAAGTCAGCAATGCGTGTGCTGACTGATTGGTAACGGCTGCTGAAACACTGTGTTAAAAAGACTGAGGGCCAGGCCCAGTGGGCTCAGGCCTATAATTCCAGCACTTTGGGAGGCTGAAGTAGGCAGATCACTTGAGGTCAGGAGTTTGAGACCAGCCTGTCTAACATAGTGAAACCCCATCTCTATTAAAAATACAAAAATTAGCCAGGCATGGTGGCACATGCCTGTAGTCTCAACTACTTGAGAGGCTGAGGTGGGAGGATCACTTAAGCCCAGGAGGCAGAGGTTGCAATGAGCCAAGATTGTGCCACTGCACTCCATCCTGGGCAACAGAGTGAGACTCTGTCTCAAAAAAAAAAAAAAAAAAAAAAAAAAGAGACTGAGATTGATTAGCAATTCAGGTACCAATAAACTCCATGATTTTGACACTTTGAACACAGCAAAAGGGATACAGGCCACAGTTACAACTAGGAAGTCATACAGAATACATAATCTCAAGTAAGATGTTTTATATGACAAGATATACCCTAAGACCAAAGTTTGGGTTAGGCATAAATATTGAATGAGTAATCTTTTATAGGACAGAATATGTATAATAATAGTTACCACTCTTTGAGTGCTTATTTTGTGCCATTTACATTATGGTTTCATTTAATCTTTTTAATCAGTTTGAAAAAATAGGTATTATTTTAAAAGTTTGTTTTCCAAGTAATAAAATGAAGATTTCAGCAACCAAGTTCATAAGGCTAGTAAGCAATGACACTGAAATTCAAAATCAGGTTTGTCTAATTTCAAAGTCTATGATTATTCTGTTACATCACAGGAAATATCAAAATAGGGACTAAGTCATAATAAAGACTGGGCCAATATGGTTAGTAGAAACAATTTCAAATCAAAAGCAATGGGGCCTCCCAGGGAGAGAGACCCTACGTCATTTGGATAACAGAGGCAAGCGGAGAGTACAGGCTGATAACTCATTTTCATTTGTTTATTCCATTAATCTATTAAACTCCAAAAGGTAGTGGGGGAAGGAAGCCAGACCAAGACTGAGTTTATGACTTAGACAGGCTTGAGTATGAGGAAGCAAAATGAGGGCTCTCACAAACTTACAGGGCAAGAGGAGTCTACCAGAGTGAAAGAAAATCATTTCCTTAACTATACCTTGCCTTTACAGCTGGGAACTTGCAAAGGGTTAGGCACAGAAGTGTGCACTCTCTTTCCCAGTGTCTCTTCAAGGAAACCCTAGGAGCATACTAACACTCAATCCATCGTCATTACACAGTCACTCAACTTTTTATAGGCCAGGAACCGACAATAATTTACAGATCATACCAGCTGAGTTATGGATCCACCCAAACAGTGAAATTCAAGATGGCAGATACTAAATTAAGTATCCAACATGTACCAGCAACTACCAGCGATTTCCAGATGAATAAGACATTTCTGCTACCCTCATCAAGTTTATTATTCTATTAAGAAATGATATAATACATATGCACACATACACAAACAATTACCAAAAGGCAGAATATAAATGTCTTCAGAGAGCTATGAAGAAAATGTTCTCAGAAAAACTAAAAACATCCTGTGAGGATTGGGAAATGGTTTATGGATTTGCTTGTTTGTTTGTTTTAATGGGCGGAGATAATTAGTTAGACAGAGCTGACCAGAAAGAACATTCCAGGTAAAGAAAAGCAGCAGGAAACTATGACCCATGTTTACACATCCGTGTCAGTAAATCGTCCTGCTTGGAATGCTTAGCAGATGGTCTGGAGATACTTCCACCAGCTACTTGATGAGTTTCCAGCCTGAAAAGTTTGTTGGTGAGTATTTTGGAGGTGGCAAACCTATTTGAGAATTTCATGAAAGTGATAGATCTTCATTCAAGAAAAATATACCCGAATCTCTATGTTAAAAAAAACACACATACACACATACACACCGAGTTACACTTTTTCCCAGTTCCTTCAAAAATTCTAGTTATCACCTTTCCAGGAAAAGCCATGTCCAGCCAGCTTCCCACCAGGTCCAGTCCTGGCTCTTTATGCCAGAAGCCAATGCAACCAGCTTTAACTAAGACTGGGAATGGCCCTACCAGTTGTTCAGTTGTAATTAACGCATGTCAAACTACAGGGCTGCTTAGTCTGGTGGTGAAGCATAAACTGAACTGAAGGGCACTGAACCACTGCCTCCTAAGCAAGGCTCCCCAGTGAATAATGACAGCTCTATACTAGCCAGAGAAAGAAAGAATTAGTGCATGTTACGTGCCAGCAGCTTGCAAAGGAAAATTGCTCTGTGGCTGTTTAAACATTCGAATGAGTTCAAAATAAAAATGTGTGCATACAACCATGCCCTTAACATATGTGCATCACGATGACAATTATTTGAATTCAGTAATTTAGCTTTTGCCACGCTGGCTCTGCTGCTGTAGCCATGGGCATGACCTAATAATCTGAGTAGGTTTTTCTCAGTTTACTTGTTTCCCAACAAGCTGGTTAGACTCTATCAGAAGACTTAGTTAAGAGATTGCAAACGATTGGCCTTGTTTGACCCATAGGTTTATTTTATTTAGCCCATATATTTTTTTAAAAAATCTTGGATTTTCTTTAACATCTTGAAATTAGGAGATTATGCATGAAAATCCAGATTTCTAATGGCTTTTTAAAAATTCTGGAGACCTGACAATAATGGGCCCATTGGACATACTTCTTGATGGCAACAATTATCTTAAAATGAATTACAACTGCTCCTTTTAGGAATAGCATGAGCTATGTAGTTTGCCCCAGCCCTACTAGCTCAAGTTGTAGTATGTTCAACATGCTTCATGCATTTATATTACCTGCCTGGTCCCTGAACATTTAAGTATGCAATTTTTTTTTCTTTTCTCCCTCTCTTTTTTTTTTTTTTTTTTTTTGAGACAGAGTTTCACTCTTGTCGCCCAAGCTGGAGTGCAATGGAGTGATCTCGACTCACTGCAACCTCTGCCTCCGGGTTCAAGCGATTCTCCTACCTCAGCCTCCTAAGTAGCTGGGATTACAGGTGCCTGCCACCACGCCCAGCTAATTTTTTGTATTTTTTAGTAGAGACGATGTTTCACCTTGTTGGTCAGGCTGGTCTTGAACTCCTGACCTCAGGTGATCCACCTGCCTTGGACTCCCAAAGTGCTGGGATTATAGGTGTGAGCCACTGCACCCAGCCTAAGTTTGCAATTCTTAATCTAGCTAATGCATCATAAATTATCAGGACAGTATAACAGGATATTTATGAATATGAGCTATAGAATCTGGCCTACCGGGTTTGAATCTTTTTTTTTTTCCCCTCGAGATGGAGCCTTGTTCTGTTGCCCAGGCTGGAGTGCAGTGGCACGATCTTGGCTCACTGCATCCTCCGCCTCCCTGGTTCAAGCAATTCTCCTGCCTCAGCCCCCAGAGTAGCTGGGATTACAGGTGCGTGCCACCACGCCTGGCTAATTTTTATATTTTTAGTAGAGACGGGGTTTTACCATGTTGGCCAGGCTGGTCTCAAACTCCTGACTTCATGATCCACCTGCCTTGGCCTCCCAAAGTGCTGGGATTGCAGGTGTGAGCCACCACACCCAGCCTGGGTCTGAATCTTTACTATCTGCTAGCTGGGTAAAATGAGTTACTTAATTTCCACAATCCTCAATTTTATCACCAGTAAAATGTTGAGAATAGTGTCTATCTTATACGGTTTCTGAGTAAGAATAAAGTTAGCTATGTTTAGCACAATGCTCACTATGTCCTTACCTGGAAATAGTGGTCAAAGTATATTGATTTACCTTTCACTAACAATTATTGTTCCTCCCTGGGGAAGGATCGTACTTTTACACCCCACAAGGGTCAGGCTTAGACATATGACTACTATGGGCAAATAAAATGTGAGCACAAGTGAGGTGTGTCACTTCCACGGGAATCTTTAAAGGCAGTTTGTACTTTACCAATACTGTACACCACTGCAACTGATGCTGCTTCAGATAGTGACCCATCTAATGCCTGAGTCCTGGGAGGCGTTCAAGGACAATGTGGAGGAGAGCCCCCAGCTGACTCTTGGCAGACATGGACAGCAAGTGAGAAATAAACCATTTTTACTTGAAGTCATTGAGATTTCAGAGTTACTACAGCATAACTTGACCTGTTTTGACTGATATTATAGTGGTAATTATTATTTTATCATTATCATTAACATAATTATGACTACTATTTGAAGTGATTTTCCTCGCCAAACCCTACTTTCCTTTATTTCCAGAGCTCCTAGCAAAGAGAACAGAAGACCCATAAGTTCTGCTCTTTTTCACGTCCCCCAATTCCATCATGTACCCTGAGCTTACTTTGCAGGTATCCACTTCTCACAACCCTCAACATCCCAGTGGTCACAAGCCTTCAGAGAAAAGGGAAAAAAATTATTTCTTTTTACACTAAGATTTCTTCTCCCTTCTCAATGTGCAAATAACCAAAATTGTATTCATATCTTATAAAAATATGCAAAGAAAATGTCAGTTTTTTCCACTTTTTATTTCCTCTTTCTTCAAAGCTGCTACCCTTTTGGATAGTAGGAGAAAATTATCTTTAGTTGAATCCAGGAAATTTAGTCTGATTCAGTAATGTAAACCTGAAGGTGGCAAACTAGGACCTAAAAGCCCACCATGGGTTTGTGTGTATAAAGTTTTGTTAGACCATATTCACCTGCTCATTTACATATTGTTTATGGCTTCTTCCATGCTACAAGGGTAGAATTGAATAGTTGCAGTACAGTCCATACAGCTCATAAAGCCTACAATATTTGCTCTCTAGCTCTTTGTAGAAAAGGTTTGCTGGTCCCTGATTAAAAACCTTTTTTTAGTAAATTACCAGTCTCTATTTGGATAAAATTCTTAATCTTTCAAATTTCTCTCGCCTCATTTAACTCCTCTCCAAGAAGATAGCTGGATATAAGGGGGTCTATGGTTTCTGTGCCCTTGTGGAAGAGCTTTTTTTTTCTTTTTTTTTTTTTTGAGACAGAGTCTTGCCCTGCTGCCCAGGCTGAAGTGCAGTGGCGAGATCTCCGCTCCCTGCAAGCTCCGCCTCCTGGATTCACGCCATTCTACTGCCTCAGCCTCCCGAGTAGCTGGGACTACAGGCGCCCGCCACCACGCCCGGCTAACTTGTTTTGTATTTTTAGTAGAGACGGGGTTTCACCACGCTAGCCAGGATAGTCTCGATCTCCTGACTTCGTGATCCGCCTGCCTCGGTCTCCCAAAGTGCTGGGATTACAGGTGTGAGCCACCGCGCCTGGCCGAGCCAGGTTCTTGAGTGCACATGGTACCCTCAGGGTTCTTGCTCATATCTACTGCACAGTGGGTGATACGGATTGCTCCCTGGACTAATGACCACTGACATGAGACTGGTCTTACTCCTGAGAGTTCTGTTGACATTCCAGGCTGAAGTTTGCAGCTGGCAAAACTCATGTCTGTTCTCTTTTTGTCTGTCATAATCTGGTATCTTCCGTGACGGTGTGGCTGTAGATGATGCTGAAAGCGCCACCAAAAGCCAATTGTAACCTCCTTGCAGTCATCAACTACAGAACCACTTTTATTTAATGCCAGGAATCTTTTCTGGCAAACTCCTCAGATAAAATCTCAAGTAACCTCTGCATCCTGTCCCAAGCGCATATGATAAACTCTTCATGGGAGATAAGGGTGGTTCTAAAGCGCTACATTCATGCTTTCTTTCCACTTAACCATACTGGGATGCCATGTTTCGCATTGGGTAGATTACCTATAAGGAAATTATCTTCTAGAATCTTAAGCAGGAAAGAGGGAGCAGAAATCTCTCAGCCCTCAGCATTTTCTTTAAATCACCAAACATTCTTCCTCTCTCTGATATTCAATTCTAAAGGTAGTAGGGCACATAGCTGCCCATCTACTGTTTCCACCCCAAATGTCTCTAGCTGATATGAGTATTACCACTCTGCTCTTGCTGTCTATTTAGGATGTCTATTACTGAAACTACACAATCAAGCCTGCCAGCCAAGGCTCTCAATATATTAAAAGGCAGGATAGTGGGAATATGAGAATAAAAGATATTTAGTATATTAGTTCCGCTTAAAAAACTTGGGCTTGAAGAAGATAAAATTGTTGCAGCTTTTAAAAATCCTAATAGGGTGTCAGAACCTAAATGTTATCTTTCTTTTCATTCCTGCTGAAATGTGATAGATATAGCACTTGGGCTTACTGAGGAAAAAGTCATATACACTGAAAATCAAAAGAGAAGAACACATTAAAAGCATTCAAAGCCGGGTGCAGTGGCTCACGCCTGTAATTCCAACACTTTGGGGGGCCAAGGAGAGTGAATCATTTGAGGTCAGGAGTTCAAGACCAGCCTGGCCAACATGGTGAAACCCCCTCTCTACTAAAAATATAAAAATTAGCTAGGCTTGGTGGTGAATGCCTATAGTCCCAGTTTTCGGGAGGCTGAGGCAGGAGAATCGCTTGAACCTGGGTTGCAGTGAGCCGAGATCTCGCCATTGCACTCCAGCCTGGGTGGCAGAGCGAGATTCTGTCTCAAAAAAAAAAAAAAGACATTGGAAAAATATTGCTCACATTGCATATGCACAGGATCAAACTCACTTGAAGAGAGCAGAATACAGGAGAAATTCATTGTGAAAACCCTACCTGCCAATGCATTGGGACCACCCTCAAGCCTGTTCTTAATCAAGGTTCACCTCAACAGATGTAGAATAGGCATTTTACAAAGTGAGATTTTCATTCATGTAAATGGGCATTTCTTGTCAAGGGTCTTCCCCAACTTTAAAATGAAGTGGTTGGATTGGAAGCTGATCGAAGTCACTCTCAACTCTTGAAACCAAGATCAGAAGAAGGCAATGCAGCATAGTAGTAAGAGGACAGTCTCCAGGTAGTACAGCCCTGGATGTGAATCCTGAGCCCACCATTTAGTCATTGTGTGTATCCGTTCACAGCCACTACAGGAGTTTCTATGTCATGGGCCTCTGTTCCTAAGGCATCAGGACTTCATCTTGGTATTTGATTATTTCCTCCCATCCAGACCCACATATTATGGATTTGCCACAGACAAAAAAAAAAAAAATAGCAATTCCAACCACCTGCCCTTTAAACAAACAATAGAAAAAGTTATTACTTTTAATTAAAAGGACAATTGCTCTACCCAGAATACCACATGCATCAGCAAAGTTAGATTTCAGTTTGGCAGGCTGTCAGAATCTGATTGAACACACCTCTCTTCTTATTTTTTCTTATGACTGTTGAAGGTCTAACCCAGTCCCTGGGTTTGAGCCACCCAAGAAACTTGGACACTGAAATTTTTGAGAGTCCCTGTACTTACAGTTCCTGACCTCTGAAATGCCCAACAGTGTCTTTTTTTGTGATCATTTTATGATTTCTCCAGACTGAGAGGCCATAACTCAAAGTGATCTCTGGTCACTTATTCAGCAGTCACTCTCAGAAATATTTTTGTTAAGTACCAATAAGTTGGGAAGAGATGATTGAGTTACCAAATTTCAAGCCATGGAAAGAATCTCAGATTGGCTACAGTTTTGATTGATATTAGATCTTGGTACAGAAATTGAAATGACCAGTATCATCTAGGAATAAAGAGAACTAATGGAACAATATGTCTCTTTTGTAGCTGTTTCTTAAGCATATCTAATATATTTATTTAGGTTAGAAACCATGCCATTTGCATAGTTACAAAGGACTTCTTATTCTTAGAGAAAAAGTGAAGTGTCATACCTGGATGTTATAATGACAATTATTGTATGAGTGTGTGTGCATGTATGTACACACACGCTAAATGTCTGAAACACTCCTCAAGCACTATTACCCTTTGTGATCTTGGGCACACTCTACCTAAAAAACAGGTTGAGGAGAACATCAGTTATCCTAGGCAAAGGTCCAAGGGGCAGGTCTGCTTGAGACCAGCAGACCCCTGAGGTAGACCCCTGAATCTGAGGCAAGGTAGAAAGCCAGAGGTAGACAACGTAAGGCCTATCATAGCTAGATCTCATTTACTCCTCACACCAACCCTGTAAGACAGGAATAGACAAGTTCAATAGCTTGTCCATGATCATACAGCAGAGTTAAGATGTATTAATAAAACCAAGCAGTCAAGCTCTAGACCCTGCTTTTCTACCACTCTGAATATTCTCTTCTTCCTCCTATAATCTGGGATACAAAAGCATAACAAAAGGAATAAAAAGTAGGAAAGACCAGACAAAAGTTGAGAAATACAGTAAAAACTTTAAGGCAAGATGTGCCATGAACAACATTTAGGTATTAACGAGTGTCCTTTTCTTGTAGGGACCTTACCGTATCATGAAGAATCTGAAATAACTAATAATTGGATGATAACTATTTCATAGACATTAGTCCAGGAACTATTGCCTTTAATCAAAGTACAGTGGGAAGTAGGCAGTGCTTACATAAAGGGATGAATCTCTAAATAAGGGGAATTTTAGTCAGGTCAGTGCAAAAGGAAAGGACAAATAGGGGTAGGAGGGAGATTTGAGGAATTGTTACTTTTACAATTGCAAAGATAGTTGCTTAGTTTTTCTGGATATATAAACAATTCAGAAAATGCTATTGAGCTTCTCTGTTAGATCCCTGAGTATAAGAATTTGGAGGCCAGGCACGGTGGCTCACGCCTGTAATCCCAGCACTTTGGGAGGCCGAGGTGGGCGGATCACGAGGTCAGGAGATCGAGACCATCCTGGCTAACACAGTGAAATCCTGTCTCTACTAAAAATACAAAAAATTAGCCGGGCGTGGTGGTGGGCGCCTATAGTCCCAGCTACTCCGGAGGCTGAGGTAGGAGAATGGCGTGAACCCAGGAGGCAGAGCTTGCAGTGAGCCCAGATTGCACCACTGCACTCCAGTTACAATCTGAAATGCCCCCGGAATTCATGTGTTGAAATGTAATCCCCAATGTGGTGGTATTAAGAGATGGGGACTTTGGGGGAAGTGATTAAGTCATGACAGCTATGCCTTCCTGAATGACTTTGCATCCACCCCTCCTTTTTTTTTTTTTTGAAACAGTCTCTCTCTGTTGTTCAGGCTGGAGTACAGTGGTGCAATTTTGGCTCACTGCAACCTCCGCCTCCCAGGTTCAAGCGATTCTCATGCCTCAGCTTCCCAAGTAGCTGGAATTAAAGTCATGCACCACCACGCCTGGCTACTTTTTGTATTTTTAGTAGAGATGGGATTTCACCATATTGGCTGGTCTTGATCTCCTGGCCTCAAGAGATCTGCCTGCCTCAGCCTCCCAAAGTGCTGGGATTACAGGTGTGAGTCACCGCATCCAGCCTTAATACCCCTATAAGAGAGGTTTCAGAGAGACTTTGCCTCTCTTGCTCTTCTGCCATGTGAGGACACATTGTCTGTCTGCTCTAGAGGATGCCATCTTGGAAGCAGGCACCAAGCCCTCATTAGGCACAAAGCCTGCAGTGACTTGATATGGACTTCCCAGCCTCTAGAATTGTGAGAAATAAATTTCTGTGGTTTATTAGTTACCCAGTCTGTGGTATTCTGTTATAGCAGCACAAACAGAGTAAGACACCCCTGCATTCAGAAGACTTATAAGCCAAGGAGACACATATAACCACAGAAAAAGCGTCTGAATTCATTTTTTGTCTTTGAAAAGGAACATATAGAAGAGTATTCAAAGTGTGTAGAATGTCATTCTTTCCCATTTTGGAGCACAGATGGAAATTAAGCTCCTTTTGCCTCAACACATAAGCTTGTATTACAGTTTCCATGCAGATTGAGAATTTATGTTGTGGCACCACGTCATTAGATTTAAGAATATTTGTGCATGAAGCAAACACTAGTATTTGCAAGCACTGGAGTCAACAGGAGAAGGTTTCTTGTAGATACAAAGCTAAAGAAAAAGTGAGTAACATTTCACTCCATTCCATGACAATTTGTCCTTTCTCTGAACTCTGAAACATGATTTAGCCCTTTATCATAGTGCCTGCTAACTATTCCCCAGTTGTTAAGTCAGTCTCCTTTATCCTTAAACCAGGTTACAAAATCCTGAAGGGCAGAGATGGAGTCTTCAGCTTCCTTTGTACTAGCCTCAATGTCCAGCTCAATGCCAAACCTGAATGCGGTGCCTGGCACTGGCTCCCTTGAGTTGACATAAAGAAAAAGAATCTCAGTCAAGAAAGAGAAGGGGAAGGTTCAAAGGTATTTGGCTAGGAAAGACTGGAAAAGGTTTTGCAGTTTTAATGATGCAGCCTGATATTTTGGAAAGACTTGAATTTTCTGAAAGGACCATACAGATTGCATACATCATAGACAAAGTTAAAGGCTGCCTAGAGTCAGGGCACTAGCTGAGCCTCAAGTTCATACTTACATTGTTATTTACTGGCACACATAGAGTCTATTGGGTTTCGTTTAGTGCTGTTTTTCTGTAGAAACTATTAAGCTAGAAAGGAGACAAACCAAGACATTGAAATATTCACTGAGTCCCATATATCCACAGCAGGCACTGATCATGTGTCCATAAAACTCTCTGGTGACCCCAATGGCAGCAGAAGCCACAACCTCTGTCCTTGCAAAACCTGTAAACTTTATGGTGGTTCAAATAGCTTTTAAGATATTCACCTGTGTTTCCCTCTGTCTTTCACTCACTCATTGATATGGTTTGTCTGTGTCCACACCCAAATCTCACCTTGAATTGTAATAATCCCCAGGTGCCCAGGGCGGGGCCACATGGAGGTAATTGAATCATGGGGGTGGTTCCCACATACTGTTCTCATGGTAGTCAATAAGTCTCATGGAATCTGATGGTTTTAAAAATGGGAGTTCCCCTGCACAAGCTTTCTTGCCTGCCACCATGTAAGACATAACTTTGCTTCTGATTCGCCTTCTGCCATGATTCTGAGGCCTCTCCAGCTATGTGGAACTGTGAGTCCATTAAACCTTTTTCTTTTGTAAATTAACCAATCTCAGGTATGTCTTTATTAGCAGTGTGAGAACAGATTAATACACTCATTAATCATTTATTTTTGCAGCATATTATTGACAGTCTATTTGTGCCAGGATCAATGATTATGCCACATCACTAGGTAACACTAAAAAAATGTTTGAAACGGACCCCCATGCATTCAGGATATCTGAAGAATTCGGTTAGCCATGAAGAAAGACAAGCAGGGTCCAAAGGAAAGAAAGTGCTGCTGTATTTGGGTTCATTTCTCAACATGGATCTTTTCATCCCTAAATGTATTTTTCCTTTTCTCTGAGCTTTCCAGCATAGTCTCTTCTTTAGGCCTGGATTTTGCCTGATTTTTTTTTTTTTCTATCAAAAAACAGCAGAGATTCTGGTTTGAGGGCTTCACTTGGCTTTCAGAAAGATGGCTTATTTGGGTTTAAATGTTATTAGGAAAGACTATGGGTCTTTTTGCTTTTCTTCCACCCTCTCATTTTTCCCATGGATTTGTTTGGAAAATGTCTGAAATCTCAGAGTTATATGAATAACTGAAACATATAAGCAAACATAAACTTTCAAGCCCTGACTTGGCAAGAGGAAGTACATTATAATTCCTCACAGTTGGATAGGAAAGCCAAGCACGATGTAAAGGAGGAGCCGAGATGGTAGTGGACACCCCCCTTACAAGCATGCTCAGCATCTTTAATAGGGGAGAGCTTGCAAATTAGCTGGACTCTCATTATTGAAGATCAAATCTAGTCTGTCCTTTTCTTTCTTTTTCCCTTTTTGTCATCCTCTGGCCCATCCTCCAGCCCTTCTAAACTACCAAGAGATTCTCAAAGACCTTTCATGAGTTGTTGCCTCTTTTGCAACAGCTCATCCCTCTGCCTGTATTTTCACCTCCCTCAGAACTTAAGCACAAGTTACCATATGGCTTTACAAGCACTGTTACTTGGCTGTCTCTATGGTTTATATTTCCTATTAGCCCCTGATGTTCATGAGGGTTGGACAATGTTGTTTTCACTTTGAATCTCTGAAATTTAACACAATAACTGATGTAATAGATGCACAATAGATATTTGATGAATAAATGAACTTAAAATAATAACCGATATTAGTTCAGCAGTGACTCCATGCCAGGTACTGTGTGAAGTGTTTTATACATATGAATTCATTTAGTTATCACAAAACCATATGAAGCAAGAACCATTATTTTCTCTGTATTAGTCTGTCCTCATGCTGCTAATAAAGACATACCTGAGACTAGGTAATTTATAAGGGAAATAGGCTTAATTGACTCCCAGTTCTACATGGCTGGGGAGGCCTCACAATCACTGAAGGTGAATGAGGAGCAAAGTCACATCTTACATGGTGGCAGGCAAGAGGGCATGTGCAGCGGAACTGACTTTTATAAAACCATCAGATCTCATGAGACATACTCATTACCATGAGAACAGAACAGGAAAGACCCACCCCCGTGATACAATTACCTCCCACTGAGTCCCTCCCATGAACCATGGGGATTATGGGAGCTACAACTGAAGATGAGATTTGGGTGGGGACACAGCCAAACCATATCATTCTCCATCTCAGAGAGATGTTATCTTCTGAGATAAGATGATAAAGCACAGAGAGGTAAGGCGACTTGCTCAAGATACACAGTAAGGGCTTGAGGCAGGATTTGAACTTGAGCCATATGACCCCAGCACCTACACTCCTACTTACCATACTACACTGAATGGGGATAGAATTGTAGAACCAAAAGAAAGATTGAAAAGTATATTGTCCAGTGGTTTTGAAACTTTTTTAGCAGTCAGACTTTTCTTTCCTGGGAAAAACCTTTAACAGCTCAAGAGGTAATACAAATGACAGTAGATAATTAAAGTGGGTTGGTGGTGAATAGATCGACCCCTGTTGCATGGCCTTCTCTCCCTGCTCTGTGGGTGCCCCTGAAGCATCTCAATGAGTGTGGAGAACTGAGTTTGGACATTACTGCTCTCACCCAGTTTCCTTCAATTAAAAAATGAGACATCTTTCATCCTAATTTGTTTGCTAAATGTTGTGTATTTGCTAAATATACTAAATCATTTGTCCAAGGACACACAGCTAGTAAGTGGCAGAAACCAGGTCTTCTGGCTCCAAGGCCAGTGTTCTTTCCACTATATCATGCCAGTGTAATTGATTTCTAATCCTAGTTTCATGCCAGTGAGGCTGTCCTAGTTCTCTCATATTGCAAGATATGTAGCAAAATTCTCAAAGCAAAAGCAGTCATTTATTTTAAGAAAATTTATTGCCATATTTTTGTTGTTGATGAGCAGAGAATGGGACAAACTTATAGAATCAAATGATAACAAGATAATGTCACTGCTAAGATATTGCAAATCTAAAAAGGTTGAAGTCTGGAGTAATATCAACCATGCAAACTAAACCCATACATTCAGATTCTGACCTTGAACAACTAATCCTTAGAAAATCCACAATCTATTAGTTTTACGCAGTTGTATTTGGAGGGAACAGCAAGTGAATTGATGTTTTTCAAAACAAGGTAATGAAAGCCCAGTGTTTACTGTACTAACATGGGATCCTCTCTGCCCAGAATTTTCAGAATTTTAATAATAACCAGAGTCGATGTTTAATTTAAAGCTAGAGCACACTGGTTAAGAAACTGCTAAAAATAGTCTGCTTCATATTGATGGCTTTGGCTTTGTTGACTCATAAAATGTCAGGGTTGGAGAAAAATAACTAACGGAAGCTTCAGCTATGATTGTACCTTTAATTATTGATGCTCCATTCTTAGTCTTCAGGCCCAACAGTTCAGATGAGACATGACAGAACAGAGGCCATATGATGAACTAAGCATGGGGAGGCTCACTCCTGATTCTGTCCTTAAGACTCCCAAACTTAACAATAAAAACCCTGGGGTCCAGGGCCAACTGATTTCTTGGCTTTCCTTTGCATTGGATGTTAAGAAAAAGGAGAGCAATGGGCATGATTTGTCAGATCTGGAACACAGAGGAGAATGAGGAGATGACTGTGTCCTGAGCACTACCACACCTGAAGGTCTGTGCTTGTGAATTTACAAGAATGATTTTCAAACAAATTCCTCTTGTTTACAACAGAGACTCCAGAATCACCCAGGATATTCATGATCTACCACTGTTGACAAGGGACCCTTATGGGATTAAAAATCAGGATAATTGAGTTCTAGTCCTGGTTTTGCCCTACACCAACTATGTATGCCTGAGCTACTCAACCAAATAATATGCCTACTTCATTATGTACCTGATGTACCTGAAAAATCCTTACTGATCTTCAACTATCATTTCCTGAGGCTAGACGCCATACTAGGTGCCTCACATACCTTAAATTATTCCAGTCTGTACTTACATAAGATACTAGCATTTTGTTATATTTTTCTGCAGATAATGCTAGTCAATGCTACAAACGCTGTAAATGCACTCATAAAGTGAAAAGTTGGAATTGATTTCCAAAAATTACAAATAGAGACCTGACATAGGCTTTCCAGGAGGTATCAACATGCAGGCGAATCACGAATTGCTCATGACAATAGGAATAAGTCAGCATTCAATGTTGTGTGTGTGTATGTGTGTGTGTGTGTGTGTGTGTGTGGCTCCAGTTGCCTTTTCTAAAATTTATCAATTTCTGACATTTCCACACAGCAAGAATACGAAGTCAAAGGAAACCTATGCACTTACCACCCCCCACAGGACCTGATTCAATGTTTTTCAGCTTTGAGGTACAGCAGGCAGATAGAAACTTTGGACATTTCAACAGCAGTAAAAGAAGCACCTGCCACAAGATGTGCCTGTCAACTCTGCTAGTCTAACAATCCAATCCCAGACCCTCCATGGGGCAGGAAGACACCACAAACTGCTTCACTTTGCTTCTAGAAAGCTAGAATGGAGAGGGTGGTTCTCAATTACAAAGCTTAGACTAGCCCTAGAAATGTTTTCATGTAACACCAGCGTCAGCTGCATATAGAATTGCTTCTCTGATAGCAAAAAACATCTTGTTCTAAACCAGCCATACTTTTGTGCTCAGACATATTTGTTGCCATCATCATTCCATTCAATTAACTTTTCCTGACAGCTTACTTGTGCCAGGCTCCTAAAGGCCTGTACCTTATACAATGCAAACAGGGTAGGGAAAGTTTTAATAGCTAATAGTGATACCAGGTGCTAAGTCCCATGTGAACACAGAAGAAAGGAAACTAAGGTAGATTATCGGGGAAAGGGAGTTCAGGGAGTTTAAAACATTAAAATAGAAGGCATCCAGTTAAATTTGAATTTCAATAACATAGTAAATACTTTTCTCTAATATAACTATTTTGGGCCAAAATAGGACATATTTATAATTTAAAAGGTATTTGTTGTCTATCTGAAATTCACATTTAATTGATGTTCTATATTATATCTGGTAATCTTTCCAGAGGAGGTTTTCTGGCTATGTCTCACTTTGGGAAAAGGTTGGAGATGTTTTACCCATGGATTTGATTTCATTAAGGATGAGTCAGAAGTACTTCCTGACTATACACAAGAGTGACCTGCCATATTCTGCCCCTCTATTTTTGCAACTGCTGGTGCTGAATCCCATCCCTGTTTATCAGCAGAGTCAATAGCCCAGGTGACCTAGCATCACCAGTTTTGCTATTGGCTCTGCCTAGACCATGCACCTGACGTGACCAATAAAAGCTCTGTGGGATATAAGAATGAGTGAGGGTCCTAGTTACTACCTGGATTTTTTTCTCTATTTCTTGTGCTCAAGCTCCTACCCTGTCCCTCAGTTTCAATAAGGGGACTCCTTCTAGAATCAAGAATGAAATGGCCATTCAATAAGCATTAAATATTTAATTCAGCAATATGAATAAATGGACTAGTTGGTCAAAGCTGGACTACAGCTTTGTACTCTTATGCAACTCCTTCCACTCTATGTCCTTGGTAAAATTATAGGGTCCAAACAGATAGCCAATCTGCTTTCCCAGCCCCTTTTAAGGCAAGTCTCAGCTGTCTTGCCTATGGGTATATCCAGGGCCAGTCCTATATATTAAAAAGTCCACAAAGCTCTTCAATTTCCCTTTTAGGGATGCCAAGATTTAATGTGTAAAGATAATATTGAGCAATAACTCATTGGGAAATTACTTTTGCTAAACTTAGACAGTGTTTTTATTTCATAATTCAACACAAAATCCTTCCAAATTTCTAATCCTGGGACCAGTTTCCAATCCTTGGAGTGTCTCTATCTTTATACAATGCCCCAAATAATCAGCCAAACCTTTTGACAAAAATGTCTATTTATGCATAGTCTTGTCATGAATGTTGCCTTTTTAGCCTAGCTATTTTAAAAGGCTAACATTTGTCTCCAACAGATAAGGACTATTTTTTTCTCCTGTAATTTTCTTCAATGTTTGTCTTTTTTTATATATTACAGTTAATAGGCAAATTAAGACTGAGGTTTTCCTCTCAAAATGTATTCAATTAAATTAGTGGTGCTCGACCCTAACTGCACATTAAGAATCACCTGGGGAGCTTTAAAAATGACTGAGACCAAGATCTCACCCTAGATAAATTAAATCAAAATCTCAGGGGGAGGAGACCCTGCTTTGCCAGTGATTTTAATTTGCAGCCAAAATTGTGATCTACTGAATTAAGCCACCAAACGTGTTTCCATGGCATTGGAGCTTTATATTATTCTTGCAAAATATGTGAAGCCAACAGTAGGTCATCCAGTCTGAGAGCATTATTAAGAGATAGATTTGGGGAAAAATCAATGTAAGAATGAATCTGAGGGTCTACAGCTACAAGGAACATTTAGCTATCATGATCATTGGGTGCAGATGAATGTTCACTGAGAGGCTTCTTGGGGTTTAGGATTAGAACAATTCTACCACCATCCCTGGCAATGCCAGGTGAGAATGCAAGAGAAGTTAACATCTCTTTCCATGGACCAGATTGCAGAATGCTTTTCAAAAATCTTTCTCAGCCATGACACCTCAACTACTGAAAAGATAAGTAAAGTTCTTCAAGAAAACTGATCTTCCTCACTCCTTATCCATTGTAACTTCCTTCTGCTTCCTCCCCTTCTTCCCTCTCCTTCTATTCCTCTTCTACCCCTACCACTAGCACCACTGTAAATGCTTCTGAAGGGAGACCATGCAGTGATGGAGGAAAACGCAGGAACAGGGTCAGCTGCACAGGGTGACCAGTAAAGAGAAGTTTACTTTTCTTTCTTCTCATGGTCTAAGTCCAGGGGCGCTCACAGAATTAGCATTTATTGAACACTTACAGTGTGCCAGCTTGAATTTCTCTCCATTTTCTTCATCTAATCCTTGCTGAAATTCTTTGCAAAGTGACTAATATTATTCTCACAATATAGCTGACGAACCTGAGGCTTAGAGAGGTGAAATAACATGTTCAAGGTTACATACCTAGTAGAAGAGCCAGTGTGCACCTTAATTGCTACCTTTCCCATGAGCAACTTCTCCAACAATGAGTGGAAAATGATCTCTCTCTCTCTCTCTCTCTCTGGGCTTCCATAGCACTCAGTCTCCCTTTCTAAGGCACATGGCTTGTTCTGCTTCATACTGTGATAAGTTTCAGACCCCCTCCTATGGATTTATACTCTTTGAAGATAGTAACTACATCCTGTTTATGTGTGTTCCCCATTATGCCAGCACTATATTTGGTTGACATGTCCTGTCGATAACAGGTGAATGCTGAATGGATTTGGGAGTGAAGGAGTGCATCCTTCAACAGCTGACAATTTTATTTAACAAGTCATGCTCTGAAGTACCAAGGAAGCTTTTGAAGAAAGAATTGTTGAATAAAGAATCTCTTGTTTTAGAATCACAAGTTCAATTAATCAAAGATATCCACTGCATAGGAAGGGGCTGGGGTACCAAACATGTGGCCTGTACTGGACTGGTCTCTAAAGGCTTTAGAGAGGATGTTATACCAGCAGCTGTCCAAAGCAAGAGGAGCTAGGAGCATCAGCCCAGAAATGGCAAGTAGATTTTGTGACACACATCTCACCCATTGAATTGGTAGTGATTGCTTGAAGAGCTCTATCGAGAGACTTCATTAAGGCTCAGAAGGAAAAGTGCCATGAAGATTAGCAATGTTTACTGTGGGTAAGGTAAAAGAAGAGAGGGTTGTAGCCATAACACATAGTTGCTACCTCTAAGCTTATTAACATTAACATCTCTTAGTGAAGGTCTGCTTGGTATTTGATTCACCACCAACTATAAATGCTAAGACCTAAGATCCAGAGGATTAGAGTTGGGATTCAGAAGGAAGAGATGGAATAAAGAGGAAGTAGGAACAGCAGGTCTAGGAAGGTTCACAAAAAAAAGTATCGTGGGGTCAGACTTATTTAGAATCAGTTGAGGTATCTGGGTGTATCTGACTGATTTAAAGGACCAGAAACAGAAGGGACAGGAATTATTCCAAACAAATTACAGTTATGTCATAACACAAAATCCAGCCAAGCTGGGCAGAGCAGAGCTACATCTTGAATTTGCATATCCCAGAGACCATCTCAGAACTGAGAATTCAACTCTTCACTAGGATAAGCAATGTAGCGTCAACTATGACATAATGAAATTAGTCCAGTTAACTTTAGTGGGTGGTAAATAGATTAGATCCTATGGAGCACTAAGCTGATATTCATTTAAATTAATTCCAGATGAGAAAGTGGAAGTGACAGGAAACAGCACAACACTCTTATTATAAAACTGAGTTGTGTTATTCTTTAGAAACACAGAAATGGTTTTAAATAAATATAAGAATAGAAAAAAAACAGCAACAGGATTTTAGGAATTTGTTATTCCTTGGTTTGAGATCATAATACTGTAAGTTAGCTCATGAAGTGTGCTTAATTTTAAACTTCTATTCTCAAAGCCAAAATTTTAAAATAGAGTAATTTTGCTTTAATTGGTCTTGTTACTGCAAAATATTTTCAGACTTGTTCCAGCAGGGAAATATAATTCATTTCAAAAATATGAGTTAAATAAGCATATTTTCATTGCTGAGTTGGAAACTGTTGTATAAATAAACAATAATTATGGAACTACTAGTCAAAGTAGAAATCTAATTTATAGAATTTCTTATTGTCCTGTCCTCAGTGTAGACACTAGCTAGAGTTCTGATGCTAGCTACAATTCTCTATTGTACCCAAAGAAGTTACAAATTTTGGCTTTTTGTGATACAAATAAAAAAAGTTTTTCTGTTTTGTGGTTCCCTCCATTTAGTAAATGTTTGCTCCTTCTTACTTCCAAACTATAGATTCATGAAAACATTTCTAATACTTCATGCAATTCAACATTGTAGTGCCACAGATGGCCAAGGAAAGGAGCTAGTGTCTGAGAGAAGAAATAGAAGCTAAGACAGAGGTAGATGGTGATAAGGCAGTGGATTGGGCTAGATTCTGTATCTACATCTGTGGTCCTTTATACCTTCTAAGCAATTGTTTCTTTTTATAGTTTAAAATAAAAAATTTTAAAAAGTTTAAAATAAGCTTTTTTATTAGAAAAATGAGACTTTATTATAGGAGAAATGTAATAGAAATATAGGAAGGCAATGAAAACTGTGATCATATGCCTTTATACCATTGAACAACTTAAGTACATAACTTTCTGGACTTTAAATATCTAATACATATAGTATGTAGAATAAATCACAGTGTATATGCTAACTTGTAACCTGTTTTTTAATTTAAAATATATCATAAGTATCTTTCTAGGTCAACAATTACTTAATATGTCAGATTCTTTATGTCTAGATATTATTTCATGGTATTAATGAACCATAAATTACTTAACTATGCTATTATTAGCTTTTAGTTATTTCAATTTTCACAATTATAAAGGCTGAGATGAACGTCCTCATAGCAAAATACTTTTGAAGATGCATGATTCTCTTAGAATACATTTCTAAAAGTGGATGTGCTTGTTTCAGAAGGTATGTGCCTTTTAAAGATTTTTGAAACATGATGCCAAATTGCCCCCCAGAAAGGCTGTGCAAATAAATGTAATGAGATTTCACTGCAATCTCACCAAAGCTGAATATTTGAACATCTTAAAAAAAACCTTTGCCAATCTAATAAAGAGAAAATGGCACTGTATTTTTTTTTCTTAATTTGCATTTTATGTGTACCTTTTTAAAGGTCGGTTTGCAGGAGATCTATTCTTAGTTTTCATGCCTGCCTGTCCACACCTAGCACTGAAAAAATGTGGCCATGGCTGACCTCACCTGGTGCTTTCTTTTCTTCCTTTTCTAATGGAAGAACTGATTCTTCCTGACAAGGTGAACAGTGTCCACATGCATTCTTCCAGGCTGAATGGATAAAGAAGTTAAGTTATCAGCTACAATATCCTGGCATGGCAAAATGACACTCTGAAGATACATTAGGAAGAAGACAGTTGAGGAGGTAAAAGTCCTTTCTGTCAGACAGGCTTCCAGCTTGGATTTATTGCTACAGACAATGAGAGGTTACTTCTGGGCAACCACATAGATGGCCTAAAGGGCAGATGGCCACCACTGCCACTAGAGAGGCGCAGGCTTTATTAACAATCCTGGCAGCATCAGGCTAAACAGAAACATTGAAAGGCTCAGTCTCATTGGCACAGACAGTAGAAAATCATAGAAGTCCACTCAGTATCTCCAGGGCCTGCCAATTTCTCTAGAAATGGACAGAACATCTGCTTTACCCAATCATCTAAGAGAGGCAGAGAAAAAAAAAAAGGAAAAAACACATTCTTTTTTCCTGTGTCCACCTGGGAAAGATTAACATGAGAGCCTGATCCAAGAGGTCTCCCTTGGTCCCCAGGACTACCGAAGGCTCCCACAGACTTTCCTGTACCATCCCCCATGAGTGAAGTGGCCTAAGATGCAGGAAAGCCCAGGAATCACAGTTTCTGGGTTTGAACCTGGCTTTCCCATCCATATCCTAGATTTGCAGCCATGGACAAGTTTATTACCACCTCTAAGTGTTAACTTTCTCATCTATCAACTAAAATTGATACTCCCCTTCTCATAGCGCTAACTATGGACTAAATTGTGTCTCCCCAGAATTCATGTGTTGAAGCCCTAACCCTAATGTGTCTATATTTGGAGGCAGGACTTTTAGAGGACATTTAAGATTAAATGAATTCTTAAGAGTCGGGTCCTAATTGGTAGGTTTAGTGGCCTTATAAAAAGAAGAGGAAGACAGGTTTCTCTCTACATGCACACGCATAGAAGAAAGGCCATCTGAGGACATAAGCAAGAAAGCAGCCATGTGCAAGCCAGAAAGAGCCCTCTCTGGGAACTGAATCAGCCTGCACTGTGATCTCGGACTGTCCTCCAGAATTATGAGAAATAAGCACCTGTTGTGTAAGCCACCCAGTACGTATTTTGTTATGGCAACCTGAGATGGTTAAGACACTGTTGTAAGGGGTGAATTAAATGAAATTTCATATAGGAAATGCATATCACATATTAAGTTCTCAATAACGTTTTATCTTTTCTACTCTCTACTCTCTCCTCCCCATAACCTGCTCCACCCCAATACTTGCCCAGCATGTATCTGAGTTTCCAACAATATGATTCATTATGTCCCTGCCTCTTCTCTCTCTGCCCCTCACTTTAATGTTTCCATACTCATCCTGGTAACTAGTGTGAATTTCTGAATGTTTCCTCTTCTTAGCGATTTGGTTTTTATGTTCTTAATGCTGAGTCGCACTTGATCTTGACTAATGAATTTGTCATTAGTAAGAAAAGACTTTCAGTAACTTAGAACTGTGACTTAGAACAGTGCCTGGCACATAGTGAACCTTGTAAATATAGTTATTGTCATTATTATATCCAGCATCCTGACATTATAATTAAGCTATTTTTCTTTTCTTTTCTTTTCTTTTCTTGCATTCAATAAGTTAGACACAGTTAGTCTTACTTTCCTTCAAATAAACAGCTGAAACAAGAATGCCCATGCCAGCTATGGCTCTGTGGGGTGTGAGTGTGTGTGTGTGTGTGTGTGTGTGTGTAAAACTTCATTTTGGATTGTGGGATGTCACAGATCAGGAAAAACTTCATTACCAGGAACTTAGCATCATAGCGAGGGAGAATCTGAAAATAATTCAAGAATAATTCCTCTCCAGGCCTCAGTTTAGCCCTTTATTTGTCTGGAAGAGATAGAGAAGCCATCAGATATACCTGATTCATGAGCAGGCACAGTTCTAAGCTGAGGCATGTGACCAACAGCAACAGAAGGTAGGCCATTAAACCCTGGTGTGGGACGGCCAGACTGTTTAGAAACCCTTTGCCAATTACCTTCAGGAAATCGTAGTTGATGTCCTGGAGTCAAGTCTCACCTTCTGTGTCTCCCACAGCTCTACTCAAAACGATCGCATTCCCAATAAGAAGAGCAGGTGAAAAAGAAGTGAATGAGTTGGTAGGAGCCAGCATAAAGGTTGTCAAGATCATTACCAGAGCACCTAGGATGTTTTGAAACCAAGGGAGATAGATCTAGGATGTTGGGGAGATACAGCTATGATGCAGAGCCAAAAGCAGATCCCCCAGAGGAACATCAGACTAGATGGCCTATATAGAGACTGCAATGGAGAAAAGGAGGGGCAAGGCAACAAAGGACATGGAAATCCCAAACAACAGCATACCATAGGCAGTCCGGGGTTGAAAGACATGTAGGCTGGGCATCCACTGGAGCATTTCTTCTCCACAGGACTCATCGGGTGACATCAGGGCAGTGTCGCATTTAGGGAGGCACTGTCGCCCAGTGGTTAGGAGAGTTGGCTCTGAAACCAGACTGCCTACGTCCATATTCCAGTCCTGCAATTTAGAGCTATGTTATCTTGGGCAAATTACTCAACTTCTGTGCCTTGATTTCTTTGTAATAAAAGTAAGCTAAAAATAGTACAGACCTTAACAGGACTGTTTGTGAGAATTGAATAAGGAATAAAAGTAAAGAACCTAGAATAATTCCAGATTTAGAGCAAGTACTTAATATGTGCTACTGTTGTCATTATTATCATCACCATCACCGTTATTATACGATTTTTGCTTTGTTCTATATGCATATATATCTTCTAGCTCCTAATATGGAGGAATAGGTCATTAAAAACAAGATGTAGAATCTTGTTTTTACTCAAGTTCTCAGTCCTACCATCTCACTCTCTATTTTTAAATATATATCAATATGCCATTTGGATATAGCTTATAAAAATAATGATACCAATTGTTTAATAACTACTTTACACTAGGTACTAGGTGTACACATTATGTTATCACATTAATCTTCATAATAAATCTGAAAACAAACACTATTAGCACCTCCTCTTAGAGCAGGGTTTCAGTACCTTAGAACTGTGAAAACTACCTTAGAAAACTACCAGTTGCAGTGCAAATCCAGCCCACTACCTGTTTTTATAAGTAACATTTTATTAGCACACAGTCATACCATTTATTGACATATTGCCCATGGCTATGCTCATGCTACAGTGGCAGAGTTGATTAGTTGAGACACAGGCTATATGGCCCACAAAGACAAAAATATTTACAATCTGGAACTTCACAGAGAAAGTTTGCAGATCCCTCCTTTAAAGAGATGAAGACATTGAGACTCAAAAATAAACCCTGGGTCCAGGATCATGTAGCTAGCTGCAGAGAAAAAAAAAGATTGAAATCCAAGTCTGCCTGGCTTACAGCTCAGGCTCTTGATCAGTATTTTAAGCCTCCAAAGTTATTGGTCTTAATGTCGAGGCCAAAGGAAGTCTCTGAGGTTTGATGAAATAAGCAGATGGAGCTATGAACATCAATTAGTCGTCTAAATATCCGACATCAGGCCCATGAGTCAACAGTTTTTCCCGCCATTGCCACCCACCAGATACGCTGGCTGTCTTCTGTCGTCTTGTCGAATGCCAGGCAACATGTAGTGAGCTCAAAGTGCTCACATAATGGGAGGTATCTCCCATTATGCCCAATGCATTGCTGCAGCATGTCTCTTTTTTGGTGTTAAATCAAGCAAAGAAATTCCTATTAGTGCTTTTTTCTAGTAAAAAATACAGTTCCTGGTTTGGGACTGGTTAGCAGCATTTTTTTTTTTCATGTTCACTGAAGTATGGTTATGTGGGGGCAGGAAAAAGGGAAGAAGAGGAGAGAGGCTGATCCGGATTGTGTCCCACAGTGGTCAGCCTTATCCTATTGTCCAGGAGGATGTCTTAGTTTGAAGTTGGGGCTGAGATGGCAGTATGGCACATTGATGAGAGCTCTCTGAATCATAGTTCAAACAGTGCTACTTGAAGTTTGGTGTGCCCACAAATTACCTGGAGAACTTCCTACAGCAGATTCCTGGGTTTCATCCTGAGAGATGCTGACTCCGTAGGTAGGCCCAAGAAATTTGCATTTCTAGCAAGCTCCCAGGTGATGCTGAGCCACACTTTGCATGTAGCCCTGAGCCAGACAAACTGGCTCTGGTCAGTGGCACATTATCTACTAACCAAGTCACTAAAACATCTGAGCTTTACCTTCCTCATCTGATAAGTGGAGCTAATAAGCTAATACACAATGGAAGAGGAAACTGTAAATATAGAACTTGTTTTAATATTTACTAATAACGAGAATTAGGATTTCCTGAGCAACTACTCAGTTCTGTGCCAAGTACTGTGCTAAGCACTTTGCATCACACACCATCTGTGATTTTCAGAAGAACCCTACAAGGAAGATATAACCCCTATATAATAGACAAGGACTCAGAGGCTCCTAAGAGGTATCTTGCCTAAGATCTACAGCTAGGAAGTAAAAGAACTGCAATTCCAAACATGATATGAATGTTACCAAAGTATGCTTTTCAATCTCCAAATAGGCATAATGAGTTGGCTATAAATTGCTTAAGTGGTAACTCCTATCCAGTATGCAGGAAAAGGCTAGGGCTCCTGATTACAAGTAGTAGCTACAGCCTCCAGCCATTAGAGAAGTGAAGACAGCTTCCCCACTTGCCTTCTGCTGATGATGCTATTTGACAGAGTGCTTGAGACCAGTGATTACCCATTCTTGAAAGCAATCATTTTATTCTTCATCCTTCAGTGGCTTGCAGCAGGGGTGCCTAGGGCTGAGAGAGTTTGCAGACAAGGGTGGAAAAAAAAAGCTCAAAATCCAGGGAGCTCAAATGAACACCTCTTGAGAAAATGTATTTCAGAATTAAACATTTAATGCTGGGTTTTCATTTTGTAACAGCAATGGGCTGTGGAAACAAGTGTCAAAAATCAGGAGGAAACTTGCAGCGACCCTCGCCAATAACAGAAAATTATTTATTGCTTCCCAAAGTGGTATTTGAGCCCAGCGGGCTGCACTTAAGATGTGACTGGATAATGGCTGTGTGACACACCCCTCTACTGGAACTGTCACACAGGCAGCGCTGAGCAGCCTGAGCTGCGGCTTTGAAGAAACTCCCTCCACTGTCAGGCTTTTGCTCGGGTACCTCTGGGCCAGGATGGGATGTGATCCTGCTGGCCGCTTCAGTGACTTGAGGGGATATTATGCCTAGCTGCCAAGAAAAGCTACCCCTCCCATTGGATGGGTGGGAAATCAGAGGGGAAAAGTCAGCTGAAGTCACCAAACCCAGAGATGGAGACTGAATCCCTTTGCAGGGACGTTCAGTGTGCCCCCAACAATTGGAACAATTGGGAAATGGCCCCATTGACAGTCTCCTACCGCCTTTTGTGTTCATGGGAAGCCTACACATAAAGTCCCTGCAGAAGGACAAGAAGGTGTATTTGTTTCCTATGGGCTGTATTCAGCGGCTTAAAACACTTTTATCGTCCTGTAGTTCTGGAGGTCAGAAGTCCAAAATGGGTTTCACTGGGTTAACATCAAAGTGTCAGCAAGACTGCATTCCTTCTGGAGCAATTTTCCACATGGATATGAGTTAGGGAGACTAAATAAATTTTTCTGAAGTTCAGAGTGGGAGGTAACTTTAGTGACATCAGGGTTACAATTGTATCAATAATGTGATACTTCCTCCCCAGAACTACCTGATTCTTAGTGCATTCCTTAATCATGCATTTTCAAGTAGATTGAAATTATGAAAACATAACATTTCTAATATTAGAAAATAATACGTTATTCTTTCTCTCTCTTCTTCCTGCCTAAACATTACCTTCTTGATCAGGTAAACCTTGCTCTCCCCATATGCTATGACTCCTTTTTTGTCCCATTAAAGGGACAAGGCTTCAAAGATCTCCTCAGGAGCCAAGATCTATGCAGCAGGGGAGTAGGAGTGTGCAAATTGAATCCAGTGTCTTTTCCTTCTGTCTGAAACTGTTGCAAGGTGAAAAGCTTACTACCAAGAAATCACATCCAAAATCTCTCTACACAGCCTTCAAATGAGAATTACGAATAGCTTACAAATTGGAATTCTAAAACCTTAATATCTCAATAGAGGAATGAAGATGTGAAACAATAATATACGATTGCAAGGCCTTACCCCTGACAGTAGTTCTCTAATTCATTCTGCTCACCAGGATTAAAAGCCAGGGTCACCGCTAAAACCAAAGGGCAACTTGAAGTAGTCAGCTAGAGCCAGCTTGTACTGCTTACGAGAGCTGTCATTACATTTCCAGGTATTGGTGAGCAGATTGTTAAACACAGCCATTAATAAAAATTTTATTATATAGATTTATAGTTTAACAAGAAACATTAAAAACAACATCAATAAATACTCTTCAATAAATACATGCTCTTAAGATTATTTACATCTATTGTATCTGTAAGATGGAAATACTATATAATGGTACACTAAGGCACATCCCTTTCCAATTTTGCATTCAGTAACGTTGTGTTGGTAGCTTAAAATCAGTCACAGTGGGAGTATTTACAACATAGAAAATGGCAAATGCTACAAATCAGTGTTTGCTGTATTGCTTTGTTGAGTATATATACTTAAGAATATGATGAAGAAAATGTTAATAATGCAGATTATACTTTAAAAACATGTCACGTCTGTAACTGTATAGGAAATAATCTTCCAGTATTCTGAAATTTTTATCTAATTCAGGAAATAAGCTACATACAACACTGACAAATGAGTAAAATTCTAGCATGTTTTCATTTTTTCACTTTCATCTTAATAGTTAATGTAGATGAAAATGCCAAGCAATATTCATGTTGGAACTACACTCATTCATCAATAACAATAGATAAGGTGAAGATAAAAGGGTTCAGCAAAAATCAACAAAAGCACTTTGTTAGATTTAGTCCACTAAATGTCATTTACAATAAAGAGTATTGCATATTCTGTGTAGTGCACATACTTTATGTTAGTAAAATGTTTAATAAACTTATAAACATGTACATATTTATATCCAAATATACACACACTTTTTTTGATACAGCTGATGATTATTATTGCCACATCGCTGGTTATGTTCTTCAGAAAGAGGAACTTGCCAAGTAAGACTAGTTACAAATAAGAAAGAGAATACTCAAAGGCCATATCATTTATCACTATTTGAGGCTGATGAAGATGGACCTCAAAATAGGAAAAGAGACTACAGGCAAGCTGGATGGAATCTATATCAGGATTACTACAAAACCTTTTGTATGCAAAGCAGGCAAAGTTCAAGAATATAAGAGTATGACTTGGAATAAAATCTTCTCAGGGCCCAAATACTAGGGTTCTTCAGAGAGACAACTCTTACAGAAAAAAAAGCCAATGGGAACCATACAAAGATCTCTTAGTTTTTAGTCCCTAAGCTGTCACTTCTCTCTTTGGATTCAGTCACTTTTACATCACTCTTTTGGGTATCTGTCCTTCTTCCTCAACTTGTCCTACAAAACATTTGTGGACTGAAATTTTCACAAGGGCAGGGCTTCTATCTTTCTTATTCATTCTGTTAACACTAGCATCTGACATAGTCATGACATACAGTAGGCACTCAATAAATATTTATTTAAAGAATCAACAAATAAAACAAAATAGCAACAACCCTTTCCTTTATTCTTAGTTCAACTGATCATGGCTGGAATTTTATAACATTACAAAAGCAAACACACACACACACACACACACACACACACACACACACAAAGAGAAATAAGCAAAAAACTAGAGTTTTCAAAGTACAAGTTTACATTCTTATAGTAGTAGTAAGAACGCCTGCCAAATACATCTCTCTATTGTTTTCACATCAATCTGCACCTTAACCATGGGGCCTCCCTTGGCAGGTGCCATGTTGTTTTCTGCTTCCTAGGAGATAATGGAATTTAAGCTTTTTACAAGTCAAAAAAACATCAACACCAAAACTCCTTTCCATTCCAAGTCACTTATGGCCCCTTGGAACCTCCCAAAAACTAGAAGATCATTTGTAAAATAGCAATAATAGCATATTGATCTTTCTTTAAGTTGCCACTGTTGCTTACTGCTTCATGTTTTTTGTTTCTGGAGAAAGGGGAGGTGAATGAATACCAGGTGGTTACCCTGAGCATCCAGGAGCAAAGCAAGCCAAAGAATGCAAGAGATGTTCCCAGGCATCCCAAGCATCAAAAGCGGGGATACCAAATCTGCTGGCACATTTGAGACATAAAAAAGTTGGAGATAAAGACAAGAGGCTCTGGAGGAAGGTAACACTGAAATTTAGTAGATACAAACAATACAGACAGAAACCATGCAAGAGAGGTCAGATAATCACCACGATTGAGGCCACAGACTCGCCTAATATTTGTCTTCTGTTGTCTACTATCTGAGTGATGGGGTGAAAATTGTCTAATTTAAAGGCACGAAATCATGGTAGGCATAGACTCATAATCACCATCTCTGTGAGTGGTCTTTAGATTCATAGCTTTAGGATATAAACAGAGCTTGAATTCATAAAAACAGCATGGTCAACATTTTTACCAAGATAAGAGGAAATTTACTCCTTCATATGGTATCTCCTTAGGATTTACAGTTTATTTAATAACTAGAGGTTCCAGATTCTTCCAGATGGTCCTTTCTTTATCTGACTAAAGTTTTAAGATCATGGACATAGGTCTAAAATAACAAAATAAAATATAAAATAAAGTTTTATAGCTGGGGTATAAGAGAGTTTGGCCATGCTAATAGATAGATAAAGGATAAAACAATTTTGAAAAGAGAACTTAGGATCTGGTGGTAGTATGTGGCCAACAGAGACCACCAACATGTAAGAACCATATCTATATAGAATCAATTATCAGAGGATGCATTCTAAAATGGAAAGGAAAATTAAAAGCTAGCAGTAACTTGAGCTTAATGCTCAAAAAATACCATACAGAAAAATTTTAGGTTAAAAAACAAATAAATATTGAAGAAGAATTCAAGGATAATGAATGGCTCAAGATGAATATTAAAAACAATGGAAGGGCTGGATAAGTTGATAACGGCCTCAAGATTGACTCCATAAAATTATTTAAAATGAAATGAGCATTCTTATAATATAAAACACCCAATCTTTGGGTCTTTAAATAGACAGTGTATAGATTTTTTTCCAGGGATGCTATAAGGGAAATCCTTATATTGGATGAGGTAGGAAATGAAGAAGGCTATTTTATGTTAGTTGTGAGACAGAGTTCCATTCAGGCTAACTCATGTTTGTTGTAAGGATCGTTGTGGCAATACAGTTATCCTTACAACAAATACTTTGCCAGATATTCAAGAATAAAAATTGCAATATGCCCAGCACTTTGGGAGGCCAAGGAGGTGGATAACCTGAAGTCAGGGGTTCGAAACTAGCCTAGCCAACATGGCAAAACCCCATCTCTGCTGAAAAAAAACCCACAAAAATTAGCCAGGCATGGTGGTGCACACCTGTAGTCCCAGCTACTTGGGAGGCTGAGGCAGGAGAATTGCATGAACACAGGAGGCGGAGATTGCAGTGAGCCAAGATCGTGCCACTGCTCTCTAGCCTGGGTGAGACGCCATCTCAAAAAAAGAAAAGAAAATAAATTGCAATATGACCATACATAAAGAAACTGGAACAAAAAGTTATTCTGTATTTCTTGAAGCTCTAGACCTCAACAGCACAAGTCTGGGGATTTTAGTCACAGGCAGACTCCCATTAACGTGGCTAAGCACTATGCTACCCTCTCTTCCTGTTTCTCTTTCTGTCTCTTGCTTCTCCTATTACTACTTGACTTCTTTTTCAACCCCATTCTCAATTTATCGGTAATTTCTGCTGCTTCATAGTTTTAAATTACTCACAACTTTGCTCACTCATGTCTATTATGGTCCTTCTCTATTATCTCACTGCTCACAATATGATTTGTTCTACAGCACTAAGAAGTGCAGTACAGAAAGGTAACTGATTATCCCCTAAGAGTCATTGGTTGAACTTTTTTAGCACTAAGCTACACCATAGATCACTGGTTAGCTTAAGGTGTGCCTGAAGTCAGATCCTCACATCTGATACCAACATGTGACCAGGGTAGGATCCTGGGTCCTGTGGTAACAACATAGCATTCCAGGGCTTGCCCTTCTACATGGTCTGAAAGGAAATATAGTTTCTCTTAGGAAAGAACGAGGACATATTGATTAACCTGTTTAGAACAGTAGGAAGGAATAAAATGGAATAAATAAGCCTCTAAGGTCTGTCTCAACTCTCAGTACGTAATTCAGACCAATGGAAATTGGCTTGCAAGGAAGATGAATACAAATACCTCACAGCCAAGCTCAGAAAGGAAACTCATCAATAATACCAAATAAGAATTCTGGTGGTCTTGTTAGAGTCACCACTATTGCCTTATCTACCATCTGGGTCATTTCGACAACAACTCAACACTCAGAAAAATGAGGTTTTATCCATAAATGATAGAAAGCATTCCCTCTTCCCAGGGACCAAAATAAAGAGGCAATAATCAAACCCAGCAGCCTGATATTTCTGTCTGGTTAATATCTCAGACAGTGTGAAGAGGGGGACAATGGGCTGGGCTTGGCACATACTCTCACGCTGAGACTGCAAGCCAGGAATATTTTTCCTAGAAAGCAACCCAGTGGGGAGCCTCTGTGAGAGAGTCAAATATAAATTATTCATTTTCTGTTCTTTGTCTACTACCCCTAGCAAGCCTGGTTCTGCGGAAGCAAACAGAAGTCAGATGAAGGTATCATGACAGGGTGCTGTGCATTAAGCTCAGCTGAAGATCACTGTTTCCCAAAAAGTGTGCATGCCACAGAGGACTGCAGGCAGCCTAGGTGGTAGCAGGAGGAGAGGACAGTCACTGGTCTGATTGAGAGGCAGGCCCCCAAATTTGCCATTGCTCAGCCACTTAGTGGACAGGCAAATTCTTCAGTTCTGTGGAACTAAGTTTTATTAAATGTAAAAAGAGGGTAACTGAGTGTGATCTGGAAGGTTGGCTTTGGAAAAACATACGATTAAGGTTGAATTCCCTTTGGACCGCTCAGATTCCCTAGCTCAGGGGAATGCTGTAAGTAGAAGAAAATCTCAACTAGAGAACTGCAACCTTGGGAGCCTAAAAGATAACACTCTGAACAGAACATAACACTAGAGGCAGTGAAGAAATTTACTCTTGAAGAGTGAATACACCCTGTAGAAGATCTGGACCACCAATGGCAACACTGAAGTAGGGTACCAGGATGTGTCAAACCATGAAAACCATTTCTCAACAGCCACACCACGAGACCATGACCAGACAAATCATTTTCTAGTTTTCTATTTTCCTGAAGTTTAGAAATGGGGCTGGACTCTTTGGACTAAGTAAGTAGAAATCTTGGACAATAGATGGAGGGAAAATCTCAGAATAATTCTATGCTACCTGAATATTAAAAAAGAAAAAGAAGTGACTTCACACCACCAAGCTGGTGAAGAGGATCATGCAATTTTCATTTGATCATTTAGAGTATCAACATGAATTACCAACATGAAGCTTGGCTGTGAGCTTAGCTTCATGGTTTCCACTCACTGTGAGAAACTCAGTCCCTAATAGGGCCTCTAGCCTTCCATAGCTTCTTTCTAGTGGGTTTACCTTCCCTTTACACCTTCCAGAGCCTTTGTTCAAATCAACTCTTGCCCAGGTGAGTACAACTGCTTAACTGACCTGTAGGCGTCTTGCTTATCCAGATCCAGTTCAAATAACCACCTTTGGCTATCAAAACGATCTGATTAAATAAGAGAGAGAGAGGATTGAGGACCTCTGCTTCTTGGTCACCTGTATCACCAGCAAGTCAGGTTGTCTTTATGGCCTCCATGTGTTAAACATAGGGCACTTATCCTGAGACCTGGGAGGTTCAATGACCAAGTACCACCATTAGTAACTGCATGGGAGTTTAAAATAGTATTGAAACAACACACCATTCACCCTCACTTGGGTTATGTAGAGTCCACCCTTCATTATCTGGTCAAATCCCACATACAGGGAATATTTCTGTTAACAGCATTTTCAAACCAAATATGGACATTTGTCACAAAAATGTGATGTTTGTCTAAACTTTTGCACCATCCGCTCTTCTTTGGTGTGGGGCCTTATTAGGCTACATCATCCTTGAATACCTACAGATTAGACCAGGAGTCTTTTCAGTTTCATTTCTTAGTAACCTGCCATCCACTTTAAGACTGTCAGGCTGTCTGTGAATATTCTCCCAAAAAAGCTGGATTTTGCTGCTTGGGTCACCTTCAGCTATTTTTAGGAGCTTACTTTCTCATGAACACATATATATCCAAATTTATGAATATATATTTACTTCTATAGCATTTTGAGGGGGCTTGCTCATATTTTTCAACAATAGTGTTAGTGACCTATTTTACAGAGAGGCATTATCATTATTTCTTGGATTAAAGAAAGGAGAATTAAACATAGACACCTTAAATTAGTGTATATTTATCACAAGGGGGGAGGCCAGCATGAGAAAAATGGATATAAATATTTATAATAAATATTTTCTGTTATATAGACATATTTAATATGTATTAAATATTTGTAATAAATATTTTCTGTTATTAAGGATAGATTTATAAATATTTACATTTATACTTGTATATACTTATACATCTATAAGTATGTATATACATGTGTATTTGTGTGCATCTCTCCATGTACAAGATGAGGCAGTAGCTGCCTTGGTGCTCACTGCTACTGGGAGAATAGATAGGGAAACAACTGACATACTCTAGAGTCTTTCACAGAGGTAGAATAGAAGCATGAAGAGGAAATATCAATTCTGCCCTGGGGTATGGGAATGGGGAAAAGGAAAGGGTGTGGCATAAAAACTTCAGATGAAGTGGTGCAAAGAGGTTGGGCCCTGAAGAAAACATAGGTTCTCACCAAGCAGATAGAGATGAAAGGCAAACACCCTGCAAGGTTAGAGTCTGCAGGTGGTCTTTAGCATTAGATGAGTGTGAGGGTCAGGCCAAGGAGAAAGATAAGGTTGGTGAAGCAAATGCAAAATTGTGGAGAAGCTTGAATGCCATTCTTTATCTCCTGCGGAGTTTGGATTCTATGCCTGGGACATCCTGAGTCCCAATTCTGATTGGCCCATAGTTGCTGCTCCAAAAATTGCACAGTGAGGGAGATTCTGTGAACTTTTCTGAGCTCTCAAGAGAAAAGAGTCATGACTTCTTGTAACATGAATGTATCCACATCCAGCATGAATGCAGGAGCCAAGCATGGCCACACATCTGCCAACTATTGATCTCTGCAGCTGAGACAGGTTAGACATGTAATAAGTATGCCTTAACTGGGGGACAAAAACAACGTCATTAGACTTGCTCATCCTAGAAACATGAAAACGTAATTAGCCAGGATTTGTTTTACATGCAGGACCTATGACCTTGCAATTTTAACTGTATTCTCCCAGGTGATTAATTTTACCACACTTGTTGGTGGCATACCACCATTTTCCAGGCACTCCTGGGAATACTGAAATTCAGGACAAATATTCTCTCCAGAAAAGCCTATTAAAATATTAAATGGAATAAAATTCCTAGGTAATCCATACTTTAAACAATACTGTCTATGTTACACACAGCCATGAGTATTGAAAACCATCTCAGCTGTTGAATGTCAATCACACCACTCTCCTCCACTAGAACTACATGCTCTTTCCTAATTTAGTCTCAGAGGAAACTTGTTAGCTGGCCTGCCTCCTTTATCCATTTATTCCTCTACATTTAGTAAGAACCTATGAAGTACCAGACTCTGATCTTCCAGAGAAACAGACCTAGACCTAGTCCTCTTGGAACTCAAATTCTAAAGGGAAAAGCAGACATTCAAGCAAGGAATTACATTTTCTACTGAGTGCTCAGTCTCTAGAATTCTCTAAGGTTCATGTCAGGAATAGCATCACAAAGAATTTCTTGTTTATTGTTTTCTTTCATCCACATGAAAACTTATTTCATTTTATTGGCAGTTGCTGTGATTTTTGTTTTCCCTCCTATTTAATATCTGCAATACCCTCTTGGCTTTTTAACCTTGAAAGTGACATCCAATCTCTCCTTGAGTTTATTTCCCCAGCTAGTCTTCCAGAGGTCTTTCTCTGTGTAATTTTTATTATTATCATTACAGGCCTGATACAGATTGATATAAAGTCCAATCCACATATTCTTTTATTCTTGTTCTTAGCCCTGTTGGACTAGATGTTTGCCTCTGATGCCTCTGGGAGTCTGTCTTTTGAATTTCTTCATGGAATCTACTTTAGAAGTACCCCAGATAACTTCCCTAGCCCTGTAATACCTTAGGTAGAATACCTGATGCAGCATGCCCCTTGAAATCCAACACCAAGGTGGCCTTCCTGAGCCCCTAAAAGATAGGGATTCATGTTGGGTAAATTACAGTTGTATTAGGAGATTGATGACTACTTTATTGAGTGCTTTGGAAGCAAATAAGCCCCCAAACTGATATCTATCAGTGGTGAACTTCCAGTCATGCTTGGCCTCTAGTATTAAATATTCAAAGTAAATAGGAGAGCAAAGACTTATAACAATTCTATTACCAAGTTCTAGTTAACACCTCCATGTGCTAATTAAGGGGACTATTTCTTTTATTCACTTTCTCAATTTAAATGGCTTTAGTTTCCCTGGAGAACTTGTACTTCAAAAAGACCATATTTTCTCAAAGTTTCTATTGCAAACCTGTGACTAGCAGGAATCCCAGCTGGACATTTTAGTCTTTTTCAACATCTTAGTCTCTTTCACCAGATTTGATCTGCCTCTCCTGAGCTCAACCTTGCGTCATTCAGAAAAATCATTCAAATAGCTTTCACCTCAAAGTAGTTCATTGAGAGAGTTTTTCCCCCCACAGAGAATGATGTCTGCTCTGATTAGCATAGAATCCAGCCAGTTCTTTTTCTATGATCAAGGACAATTTTTTTTTTCAACTGTACCAGGAGATTTATAATCTACCAGCTGGAAACTTTTTTTTTTCTAAAAACAACAATGTTAAAATCTACAGGGGTGGGGTTATAAAGAAATATCTAGCACACCCTCAGAGAAGCTTGCATTATATCTAGACCTTGGTTCAGAATGTGTTATGTTCTGTTCCAGAGATGACAAAAGATTTAGCAGAAAAGCAACCTTGCATGATGGGGGAGCTGGAAGGCCATAACCCCCACACAAAGAGAGGGCTACAATTGGAAGCATACAAATCACAGAAGTTCTTTCAACCACCTGTGTCTAAATCTTGCCTCGCAACTCAGAGTAATGATGAGTTATTCTATTGATTCAGATCACAAAAAGGAACTGGACTTTTCCTGAGAAGAAAAATGGAAAAAAGAAAATTTGTAGCAGCCAGTGTTTAAAGATGTCCCACAATGAACCACACCTTTCAATATGTATGCATTCATGCGATCCTTTCCCCTTGAATCTGGGTTGGGATTTTGATTTGCTTGAAACCAGTAAAACACAGTGCAAGGAATGCTGTATGTCTTAGGAGGCTGGGTCAGAAGTCTTGCAGTTTCCACCTTGGTTGCTAGTATGCTTACTCTGGAGGAAATCAGGCTTATATAACAAGTCTGACCTGTTGAGAAAAGAAGTCACCAACTGGTGAGAAAAGACCCAACTAGGATGTCCAGCCTTGTTGGGTCTTCTGATGGCTCTAGCCCCAGGTGATGTCTGTAACACATGAAAAAAACCAAGTGAGAACTACCCAGCTGAGCTGACTGAATCCACAGAAATATCAGAGGTAAGAAGAAGTTGTTGTTGTTTTAGGCCACTAAAATCAGCACGGGGAAAATGAGGTGATGGGGTAGGGGGATTGTGGTTAAACCAAAGTAGATAATAAGAAGAAATTATCTTAAAATGAGGGATGCTGACTCCAGATGTTACATCACATCAGCCCTGCATTATACAGGAATTTTTCGTGGAAAATGTCAAAAACAAACATGTCCCATCTCAAGTAACAAAAAGGAAATTTACTGGTTCAAGTAGCTGAACATGTTAATTGTGCTGGAGTTAAACGGGAGTGCTTACATTAGCTAAGATACCACTTCAGTTTCCAAAAATTAAAAATGGCTTAAATAATAAGGCCATTTCTCTTTCACATATAAGTTCAAGGAAGACAGCACTTCTCTTCCTTGAAGGCTTCAGGAACCCAGAATTCATTTATCTTATTGCTCTGCCATTATTAATATAATACAAAGGTTCTATCTCTTCTGTTAAAATGGCTGCTGCAGCTCTGTTCATCACAGTCACATCCCCTTAAGTAGGAAGCGGGAGAAAGGGCAAGGAAGGATGTGTTTCTTCTCTTTAAGGGCAGGACATAAAAGTCACACATATAACTTCCGCTCACATTCAGTTCACTATAACTGAGTCACTTTACCACACCTGGCCACAAGAGGGTCAGGTAAATATAGTCTTTATTGATAGACTTGTGCCCAACTAAAACTTCTATTACTATGTAAAAAGATTACAACTAGCAATCTCCAATATATGCAGTCCCCAGTATAAGGGGGTAAGAGGACTGAGCAAGGGGGAAAAAGCATTCACTGCAAATGTATTGATGAATTTTTTATGATTCTAAAACTTTTTAACAATACAAAGATTGTTTTTCCCTTGAACATTATTACCAATGGCCTGCTACCACTAATTACTTTCCATTTCTCTAGTAAGAGAGTCTACATTGTGATTGTGAGGTTTTTTTCTTTTGTTGCTTTTGTTGTTTTTTTGTAGTTTGTGCATGACTTTTCAATTAAAAAATAGAGTTTAACAGGTAAGTTAGAATATATTCATGAATATATTCATAAGCCTGACATTTAAAATTAGTAAACACTAATATGTTTTAACAGAGGCTATAGACCTTTTCTCTTTTTTCAGAAAGTAAAATATTACATATAAATTGAAAATCCCTATGTTACATTCCCGTGTCCTGTTTGCCTCCCTTCCTCTCTAAATGAATCTCATTTCATGAATTTTGTGTGTATCAATGCACATCATCATACTTTCTCTAATAATAATAGGAATTATAGCAAACATAGTGTTTATTATGTGTAGACATTCTTGTAACAGCTCTGCAAACATTAACTCATTAAGTCTTTATAATAATGAAGAGGTTGTTATCATTATTACCCCATTTTACAGATGAAGAATCTGAAGCACATAAAGGTTAAATAACTTTCCCAAGGGCACACAACCAGTATTCCAGTAGTGGTGGAGTCAGCATTCAAATCCATGCCTCCTAACTCTAGATCAAGTGCATGGTGACTACAATTAGTAATAATATATTGCATACTTGAAATTTACTAAGAGAAATCTCAAGTGTTCTCACCATACAACAAAAAAAGACTACTATGTGTGCCGATGGAATGGATATGTTAATTAGCTTTATTGTGATAATAACTTCACAATGCACACATGCATAAATGCATTACATTGTATATCTTAAATATATACAACTCTTACTTGTCGATCATAACTGGGGGGAAAAAGGTCAATCAGAAGTGACACAAATATGGTGTAAGTATTAAGTTAAAAGCTAGAGACTCCAAGATGGAAGCCAGTTATCAGAAACTGACCCAACCAAATAACATCTAAAATATTATTGCCCAAAAGTTGTGTCACATGGCACTAAAAATGCAAGATCACACATACACACACAAATGACTAAATAAATCACTAAACCCATGAATAAATTTGGAAAATGATGTCTGCTACATCATTCTTTTAAAATCTTTTAAAAGGCCCTGGAGCTTTTGAAAGGTTACATTATGTGTACAAAGCACAAAAAATTAAAATCAATTCTCAGTCCAATTTTCCATCTATGCCCCCCAAATTGGTCTTGTCTCTGCAATGTAAAATAGAGCTCCAACTGAGTGCCACCTGGGATTCAATCTTTCATTCAACCATGAAGCATTTATTGATCAAAAGACATTAAGATACAAAGACAATTAAGTGAGGTAGAGCCCTGGAATCATATGTAAATTGTGTGCTAAGACCATGGCCTGTATGAATGCCCCTGTCACGAAGCTCCCTTTGCTGACTTTGGGACTCAAGGAGTTATTTGCAAAGGTTCATAATAATCCTCTCTCACACTCCAAGAAACCTACACTAGAGGCACTTAGAGAAATTCAAGTGCTTTGGCAATTTATGACTGTATATATTATTAAATAATACTATTTTGCATAGAAATAGAATTTCTTCACAGATTTATGAACAACCCCTTGGTCTCTTAAAAAGACATGCACTAGACTAAAACAATATTATATCAAAATGTAGTTGATAAACCAGTTAAATTAGGTAGCCTGACATGCTTTGCTGTCCCAAATTTGCATGCTTGTAGCTTCTCTGGGGAACAAAATTGTTTTTTCGTGAACGCACTACCATCTCTTCATTTCTCCTCACCGTGTTTTTATCCCTGGTGCTCTTTCCTGGGAGTTACCCTCAACTTGTGAGGGAAATATCTCAATTACAGAATTTGTGACTAGAAAAAAATCCTAATAAAACATGTAGTTTAATTTCCTCATTTTACAGACTAAGAAATTAAGATAAAAGAAGGCTGAGGGCTTATCCGAACTTCCTAGAGCCAATTAGAGTCCGGGGCAGGACTGGAAAACAAGTCACTTGGGGTGTGTCACCATTAAGATGCACAAGGATGTCAGCAGCATTGGAACAAAAATGGCTGAGATGTGGTTTAAGTTTTATGCTTAGATTGTTATGTTCAAGCATTTGAGTGGTGGTTCATGCATAATCTGCCAGCTAGACAGTCCAGTAGCAAAATAACCATTTCCTAGATCTTGATTTATTTAGAATGGGGAAGTGCGACAAATAAATATATTTTGGAAGGGAAATTCATATCTCTGTTTCCTTCTCCTCCTTGGCCATGCTACTAAAATATCTCTCATGGCTCTATAGCTTACTACCCTCTTTATTTCCTTCATTGTGCATATTGCATCCAAAAAAGTTAATTTATTTACTTGTTTATTGTCTTTCTTCCTCATCACTCTCCATTGGAAAAATTCTTCCAATTTATCTGTTTCACCATTTTGTGACTGGTCCTTACTATGGCACTTGGTACAGAGAAGACACTCAGTACCTGAGTGGGTGAAGCCAAATCCAAGTGGCAAATGGGAGGGAAGAGGGCAAGATAGCTACAGAGCCCTCTGTGGTTTCTGTAGGAGAGAGATGCAAGGACTGTGTTGAGGAGGACTTCCAGACAATGGGGCAAATACCTAATGGAATGTGAGCAGTTGAGAATAAGTTAGACAGCAGTAGCTGCACTGGAGGGAGATTAGATACACGCAGAGTGGAGTAGGAGGCAGTTTGGAGCCTCTTGTCGAAGGCCTGGGAGCTGAGCTCTTCCTGAGTCAACTGGGTGGGAGTTGCCCACGGAGGTGTTATGCAGCTTGATCCTTGTTTAGGCTGAGAATAAAAATGTTACTGAAACACCAAAATCGTTTTCTCAAATGTTTCTGTTGCCACTACCCTGGTCCCCTTATCCTCCACCCCTCTACCCCTGCCATTATAAGAAGCCACCATGACCAGAGGGAGAAGTCTAGACGGTTAATATGAGTCCAGTCACATTTCAACTTTTCCGCAGTGCCTCCTCGATGAGATGCCCTCTGCAGCAACTGAAATAACCAATGACACTGTGCTAATGATCATTTAAAACGATATGTAGGGAGATCCCGAAAGGCAGCATGCCAGAATCTGGGAGAGGGATATTTCAGGCCAGGCCACCAGAATTCATGTGCACTTTTCCCAAAAAGGACTCCAGGTTTAAAACAAACAAACAAAAGAAACCTCCCTAGAGCAGAAAGTATGTGTGCTGTGGTAGTTTTCTGAACTCCCTCCTCCCCAACAGACTGAAGGCTCTACATGTGTTGCCCAGACAAAAGCCCATTTTGTCAGTATACAAACCATGGAGCCTAAATGCTTCTGTTTTGACCACCTCCAATGGCATGCATTCCCCACACCAGCCCTCCTAAAAGGATAAACTAGCCTGCGGCAGAGCAGAGGAGTAACAATTTGCAAATAGCTGAGGGTAAATGAGACTGTGGAGTTGCTGTAAATATGTAGACAATCAGGCACCGCGTGATGTACCGAGGGAGCCGCAGCACCTTAGCCGGACGGAAGGAGTGAGGCTGGGGTTGACACTGGCTTTGGATTACAGAATTACATAGTTACTGGAGACAAGCCTTTCTTAACTGTGAGAACTGCACTAACACTTCCCACACATCTTGTGGAATGGGCTGAGCTGTGGTGTGGCCATGGTTTCTGTGCTTCTCTTGTTAACTGATGCCTGATGGGCTGGGCCCCAATATTCAACTTAAGAAAACAGGTTTCTCCACTCGAGGAAGCTATCCTGTTTTCAAACTCTTTATTAACTGAATTTATTTTATTGTAGGTTTATCTTATGAAAAGTTTTGGTGGAAACCTATTATATATCTGCCAGGCACCTTCTTTTAAAAACAGTCTTCCAATTTGGCCGTTCGTCAATCTATCCACCTGATTCCTGCAGAAACTCCCATGCCAGATCCTGCCTTCTGATACTAATCACAGCAGATTGATTCAGGTGTAGATGTCTGACCCAAAATGGCGTTTGGCCAACATTGTTGTTGGCCTGGCTGTTCCTGAGACCCAGCCAAATTCATATTCTTGAGTTCCTTAAGATCCCCCCGACTTCAATTGAAGATAGCTCAAGCTAAGTTTCTGTCTCATGCAATAAAAAATTGTAATTAATACAGGAAAGAAGGGGAAGAAAGAATTAACATATACCTACCATATAGCTGTAATCAATGAGTAAAGATGTTTGAAAACAGTGATTCTCAACTGGGGGCTATTTTGCCCTCTTAGAAGACATTTGGCAATGCCTGGAAATATTTATTTTTGGTTACAAGTGTGGAGAGTGGGTGATACTGGCTTGTAGTTGCTGCCAAACATCCTACAATGCACAGGAGCGCCCCCACAACAAAGAATTATCTAGCCCAAAATGTCAATAGGAGAATCTTGCTGTAGTATAGGATAAATCAGGAGAGAAACAGATGAGTAGTGAATCAAGAGAGGCACACAAATTATCTGAGGCATCTGGGGCTGGGGGATACAGGCAAAACACCTGCTTGCTAGGTTTCTGATTTGGCAACCATTAACTGGTGGCTCCATTCACTAAAAAGAAAAGATAGGATGCAGAGCAGGTTTGGGTTTTAGCCTTAGAGATTTTGAGTATGAGAGGCTTCTAAGTTATCGAAGTGGAGATGTCTCAGAAGCAGTTAGTTTATAGGTGTGGAAGTCAGAAGGGAAACTAGGCAAGAAAAATAGATTTGGAGGTCATCAGGATATGGAAGTCAATTGAAGAAATAAAGGTAATAATATTGCTCAGGAAAAATGTACAAAATAAAAGGAGAAGACATAGGACCCCTGAAAGATCATTAACATTGAAAGGACAAGAAGGGTAAGAGGAGCAAGGAGACTGAGAAAGACTGAATGAAAGAAGAAGAAAACTCAAGAGAGTGTGGTACCAAGGAAGTAAAAGAAAGAGTGTATTTCAGAGGGAAGTGGTCATTACCGTTGAAAGACTTAATCTTTCTTATCTGAATAAGGAAAGAGCAAATAGGCGACTTCTCATAAGAAAATGCCAAGGGGAAATTGGCAAGCACAAGTTCCTTGGCCATGTGTTAAGAGGAGGCTTAGGGTATTGGTGAAGGTAGGATCCAGATCATACTAAAAAGATGAGTAGGCAGAAAAGGAAATAGAGTGAGTGTGACCAGATCTTCCAAGAAGCTTGTATGTGATTAGAAGGAAGATGAAGGGGCATCTCTTTTGTGTTAGGAAATTAAATTAAATCCAAGACATTGTTCTTGCCTAACTTCAAATCCAACAGGAAATATAGCACTTATCTTTTTGTATAAGGCAAAGAGACATCTGAGCCAAGTAGATTGGAGTTTAGAGGAAATAGTTCTCATTGGTGATCTGAGCCTTTAGGGGAAACCTAAAAGAGGTAGTAGAACTTAATCTGATCCCCAAAGAAGGAGCAGAACTTAGAAGCATAGAATGTAGATAAAGCACAGGCATACGACAGCATTTGAGGAACAGAAAATAGACTATTTTGGCTGGAGCAGAAAGATAGATTTAGGAAGGATTCACATATCATCTGTTTCACAGTTTTCAAAAGGTTCCCTGGAGAGCCCTAGGGTTTCTACAGAGATGACCACAAGTGAATTTTCTAGATTGGAGATGGTAAACTATGACCCTTGGGTCAAATTCAGCCTGCCATACATTTTTCTAAATCACATTTTACTGGAACACAACCACACTCATTTGTTTACATACTCTCTGTGACTGCTTTCCACACTGCTCTAGGCAAGTTGAAACAGAGTAGTTGAAACAGAGACTGTATGGCCCACAAAGCCAAAAATATTTACTATTTGGCTTTTTTCAGAAAAAGTTTGCCAGCCCCTGTACTAGGTAATGGAAGCCTTCCCATTCATATGATATATATATTTTTAGCTATTTTCACCATTATTGGTAGAAACTTTTGTAGAATGCATTAGAAGGCCTTATGTAAACACATGATGATAGTGTTACATGAACTAAGGCTTTCTGCATCTTACCACAACTGAAGTGAAATAAACACTTTATATTCTTTCCTTTCTTCTAAGGTAAAATGTAATCAAACACGATTCAACTTTGCTGAGATGACGCCAGCATTGTTGTAAAATTAAATCATCACCCTAGGTCATAGCGCAGGAATGACTGCGGGAAAGCTCCCTATGCCCACTCATCTCTAGCTTTATTTTGTTTCTGACATGAGGAAGGATTACACTTGCCTTCACTCTGACAGGGTTGTGTTTAGTTCCACCCAGTGGTAGAAGTACCCATGTTACTTTTCCCCTGCTATGACATTCAGTGATGAACATGTTGAGAATCAGGTGCTACATATGCAGTAGCATAAATTAATGAGCTTCCATGTGGAGTTTAGTAACCCACAGGAGCCACCGAGACCAGAGGTAGTCTTTGCATAAGAAATCATCTTTTGTGGTACTAAGTCCCTGGGATTTTGGTATTGCTTGTTAATACAGTATAACCAACCTATCCTGATAAATACAGTGGCCTCATGGAGTCGTTATCTGCATAAGAATGTTTTCCTCATGCTATGCAGTTTCAGAATCATATGACTTAGAGCCCTTCAATCTTCGAAACTTTGTATTTTTTCCTTCTTTAATATAAGGTTATCATTTTAAGCAGTTATCAGCATGTCCCACTTTCACATTCATTTATAATTTGCTGCTCCTAATCTTCTATAAGCTAAGTAGTTACTTATAATTATTATAATCATTCTAAAGTAAAATTTGTCCCTGAGAGATCTTGAGGGGATTTCTTGTGACTAAAATGTTTTTGTAGCATAGGTTCTATGATACCCATTTTGACATGCAGAGGTCCTTTTGACTTCATTTCTTGTTTTGGGTGGTATTCTAAATAAGAGAGGCTCTTGACCAGTACTTTTTGGATAAGACATGTATGGATTACCATATGTTTAATAAAACTGCATGGAATTGTTCTGGAAATTTTCAGACTTATTTGTAGGTAGATGTGATATATATGTATTTTAAAACTATGTTTACATATCTGTGATACATCTTCACCCTAAATATATGTCTAGCTTTTCATAACAGACTTGTCACCCTCCTCTAACACCTGTCTCAGTTACAGGTTTCATTATCCATGTATTCATCTGAGAAAAAATTCTGTCATTTTCTTGGACTCTTCCCTTGTCATTCCCCCAACAAACAATGGGCCATGAAGTCTTGTTGATTCTGCCTCTAAAATATGTTTCAAAAGTCTCAGCTTACATACAGAACCCTTCATAAATTGGCACTATCTTACTTGTAATGGACATTTGTTATTTTCCTTACCAATAACTTTTCCTAACTATTTGGGTAACAGCAACCAAGTTTGATTTGGGAACCCTTTCTCCCATTGTTACAGCTTGATAGGAGTCTCTATCAAGGGATTTTGTTCTCTCTAAGCCTATAGGAATCCAAGTTGGACCATTCAGATGCTATCCCACTGGTCTTTGGTGTTTAAAGGAACTCACTGAACATAATTCATCCCATGAGGCTGCCTGAAGAGACCACCATCAGTTTCTCAGGCCCACTTCCTGTATTTTTTGTATCCTGGCTCTTCAGTATTTCCTATAATTCTGAGTAGCACCAAGTTCTTACAATAAATTCTGTGTGTGTGTGTGTGTGTGTGTGTGTGTGTGTGTGTGTGTAAGCGTGTATGCTTGCAGATGTGTGTGTATGTGTATGTGTGGTTGGCCTATTTCTTCAGTTTCTGTTGCTTGTAACCAGAGAATTCTAACTGATACATTACCTTCCAGTCTCCTCCCAGTCCTCTTTTACTCACACCTCCTAGATTCCAGGACCATAAGAAGCTGAACAGTTTCTATAGCATGTCCTACACTTCCATTCTTCTTGTATTTGCCCATACTCTTCCTTATTCCCATAACACCCTTTCTTCATTTCTGGAAAATTCCAATTCATTATTAAAGTATTAGGTCAGATATGGAAGTATTTCTACGTCAAGCCCTTCTCTGGCCCTAACAGGTACAATTAAGCATCCTTGTCTTCATGTACTCATAGCACTGTATACATCTTTTTGACTTACAACATGGTATCATGGATAGTGAGTCACATTGTTCAATGCTTCCAGGAAATGCTGAAATCCTCAAGGGCACCCGGGCAAAGTTCAACAAATATTTGTTGAATTGAATGAACTGAATCACATCTACAGAGAATAAAGATTTTTTTCTCAAAAGATGGATCTCATTTTATTTATGTGTATATATTCTAAAATTTCCAATCCTGTATGTCTTTTAAAAATTGTTTCCATTTTACTTAACAATAATGTATTGTCCTTGAGTGATGAACACCCTGAATACCCTGACTTGATCACTACATAATATATACATGTCACAAATCTTCTCTTGTACTCCATAAACTTACACAAAAAAGGAAAATTGCATACTGTTAATGCTTTATAGAGTTTAGAATTAATAACTGATGAGAAGTAGAAAGCAAAAATAGTTGCCCCACATCTCTTTTTTTTTGTAATTCTCTGCCTCTCCCTTTTCCACTGACACATCACATTTCAATGTCATTTTCGTTTCCTTCCAAACTTCCTTGGCCTCTATCTTTTCAGAAATATGCAATGACCCATTATGCAATGAGCTACATTGTATAACAGACAGGATTTCCCTCCTCTCTTGAGACCATGTGGAAGAAGAAAAAAACATGAAATCCTTAATAAAGTTGCTAATGTGAATAAAGGACAAGGATGCAATTTCTTAGGAAATTCTAGAGATGGATACAGTTTGGTTCCTCATGATAAATCACTAGTGGACTATTCAATAAAAACAAAATATAAAGAAGCAAATGCCAGACGTCCTATCTACTTTCCTAAGAAGACTGATACAAAGCCCCACTTGTCAATTGCTCAAATGAATTAACTTTAATTAGGGAAGAAAAATGCTAATCAAAACGAGGAAGAAATAAATGGAATTGGATTCATGTTTGTCTTATCTAATGATGCCAACCCTATCTCACCTGCTGCCCTTCCTGACTGATCAGAGGGTTAATAAATATTTCTTTGGTATTATCTGTCCCCCTTCTTGGGAAAAAAAGGAAAATAATCTTCCTCACTTGACTTGAGTCTCTGCATCTTAACCCCTCTGTCTATGAAATGAATTCTAAATCCCTGACCTTGGTGCACAAAGCACATAATAATTCTATCTACTCCCAACCTACCTCCTCTTTCTCTCTCATTCTACTCCAAAAGATTACTACTGTGAACTTTTCCAAGTTATCCGTATACTTTTTGTTCCTCCTACTTTAGAGGATCCTCCTACTTTAGAGGAGCCTGCTGCACCTCTTAACTAGGAAACCTAATCCTCTTTGTCTTCCAGGAAAATCTTCTCTACCCTTGTTTATTCTTTTCAAATATTTAGCCCCTCACTCTTCTGAGCCCCCACAGTGTTGTAAACACATCTCCATGTGATGTGTAATTTATCTTTGATCTACTTCTCCCTACTATACTCTGAGCTCCTTGAGAGCAGGGAGCATATACCAGTCACAGTTCCCAATATATAGTAGATATTCCAATGTTTATTAGATGAGTTGATGATTACTCACTTCCAAAATAAAGCCACAGAAGGTTGTTGCTGAGGCCAAGGTAAATATCTGGTTAATTATAACATATATTTTCCCTTTATTTTCATAATATTAAAGGAAGCCAAAAGTTAAGTGTTGTAATACAGATCATCCAGTTCTGTGCTAGGCCCAATTTGGATACCTCCTGGCTTGGAGAGAACACAGTCCCTTGATAGAGTCCTGTCAAGCTGTAACAATGGAGGAAAGTTAGATTTTTCAAATCAAATTTGTTTCTGATTACTCAAGTAGGTAGAAATAGATATTGGTAAGAAAAATGACAAATGTCCATTACAAGTAAGACGGTGCCAATTTATAAAGGATTGTGGATATAGAGATACAGTCTCACATTTGAAAACTCACAGTCTAGTGAGGGAGAAGCCTCCAACTGGTAAATGTTACAAAATAATAATAAAGTATTATTTTAATGATAAATAATTTATCTTATTTAAATAAAATAAAAATGATAAAAATGTGTTTATTTAAACCTGGCTTATTATGGGAAAATAAATTTGCTATCTCCAAAGTTCACTAAAAACACTTCAAAAACACATAAATAAATGGGCCTCACAGTACTAGAGAGAATTTCATTCATCTTCACGATGCCAGTAAGCAATCATGGTATCCAGAAATTAACACCAACAGAAGCCACAAGAAATTTCTCTACATACACATAAGAGCATAAAAACAGCTGATCCATAAAACCGCTGTGGACACCAACAATAAATGACAAGGGACAAACATACACTTATCTCCAACTGGTTCTGTTTAAGGGAAAAAGAAGAAAAATGAGGTCAATGATTTCACTCAAAAAGCTATTCTAGGTTAAGCCTTTCTAACATGAGCATAGATAGAAATTGGTTTTTTCAGCCCAGATTCCAACAGCTTTAAAGAGCTTTTCTCTTTAGGGTAACATTCATTTAAGGGATCTTTCAACCTATACAATTTCCCAACTCCTAAAATTGATCATAGGAGTAACTTGATTCCAAAAGAAGATAGCATTTCAGCAATGATGGTGGGATAATAAATAAGGAATTGCTACACATTATTTTACCGGCCCTGAAATTACAAGGTAAGATGGCACTATGAAAAAGGCATAGGCTTTAGAAAGACACAGTTTCTGCTCCTGATACTGTTTCTTCCTGGCTGTCATATTTTTGCCTGTGGGATTTTGTATAATATTTAAATCCATTGGGCATCAGTTTATCTTCATCTATAGAATTTAGATTGAAATTAAACCCACTCCACAGAGGCTTATGAAGACAGAAAATGATATTGTAAGAGACTTAGCCCAATACACAACATGTAGTTACATATCAGCTAATATACATGAAATTTATAAAAGTATACTAATTACTCAGCTGCAATTAATTTGCTTGCTGAATTACCATTTTGGATAGGAAATACCAAAAGATATGGAAGACATTTCCATTTCTCCTGATGTCAGGATATAAGGGTACAGTAGAAGAAAAAGTTAGAGATAAAGAGCCAAGGTAGAGACCAAGACAGAAAATGACAGACTGAGAATGAAGATAGGAGCATTTCAATGGTGCTGGATCATTGGGAGGAGGTATATGAACATGTCAGGTTGATTAAAAAGATCACAGTCTTAGGGAGAACAAAAAGTGACTACATAAAAGAATAAATTTCTGAACATTCCAGTTGAACTTTCATTCTACCAATCGACATTCTTCCTTTCTTCAACAATAATCCTCCAAATGTCCTGCAACTACAGTGGCATAAGAAAAAGAGAAATATATTTATGTAGCCATGGATGGCCACACAAATGGAAGGGAATACGCTCTGGATAGATGTGGGCTATGTGTTGTTCTGAATAGCATCAGATAAAAGTAGTATAGGCAATCACCTTGTGGACCCAAGTGGAAGAGTAGTCCAGGATTTCCACATGGTGACACATGTTTCTGCAGTAAGGCCCTGGGCAGGTGAGAAACAGCAGCTTCATGAAGATAGCACATTGTGCCATGAACTCTCCTATAATTTTGACTTGAAAGAGGTGCATTATTATCTCTCAGAGCAGTGGTGTTAAGATCTCCAGGCTTTGGAGGAAGAGAAGACTAGGTTCAAATCTTTCCTAAGCTACTTGGGAGCTATAAAACATTGGGCAAGTTTTATGGATATCTAAGTCCCAGTTATCACAGAGTTATGATAGAGGTTGATAACATAATTATATAAATTATATATCACAACCCCCTAGTATTTAGAAAATAACAAATGGTAGCTGTGATTTTATGTGGAAGAAAAAAGAATAGATAAACAAGGCCATTTGTCCATTTCTGCAATCTGTACTAAATCCTACAGAATACTACAGAAAACTGAAGATGAGGCTCCATAAAAATGTAACAGTTACAGTATATACCAACAAAGCCAAAAGAGGTATTTTCTGCAAAGGCTACCAGAGAATATCAGACTGGAGAGGTTTTTCTGGGCACATCCTCGAAAGTCACCCCATCTCCTCATGAAAGATAAGATACACTCAGGGGTGGTGATATCCTTCTGCCCCTACAGGGTGAGGTCTTGCCAGCTGTGGGATGCCCTGAGGGGGAGCTTTACAACATTCCTATATTCCCAACTACAACACTCTAGAAATCTAGCATAATTGACATACTTAGTCACAAAAACTGTGAGCTAAAAATGATATTAGGTCTAAGTACAAATCCTTATCCTGCCACCAGCTCACCTCACTTCATTGTCATCAGATTATGTTATGATTATTCAGCACAACTCTTGCCTATCTCTTGGCAATTATGAAACAACGTCCAGTCTTTAGGCATGTGTAATAAGTGATCTCCTCCTTACAGCACCTAAGAAGGGCAGAGTACCCTGATGACGGCCTGATGACCTCAGCTCTGCAGGTGGCTGTGGCAGTTGATTCCTATAGGACATCTAGAAGACAAGAATGCTAGACGTGGGGGAATCAGAGCCCTTATGTGCCATGTGAGTTTTCGATGAAGTCACGTAGCATCTAAAAGCTTCAGTTTCCTCACTTAAAAGGGGGCAGAAATTTTTGCCCTATCAACCTTTCAGACTGCTTGAGTGGATCAAAATATAAATAGCTAAAATTTGTGCTAGTTCTGCATAAATTATAGAGTGCTTAAGGATTATGATAATATAAACAGTATTGTCATGATCTTCTCATAGGTGCTTAAAGATGACTTAGAGGATTTTTTTAAAACAACAACAACAACAAAAACAACATATAATGCTGCATTCATGTAGGAGGATTAGACAAACATAAGGATGAAATCTATTTATATAAGCCTTTTCTAAACACTCTATCAAGCCCATTTGCATGTTGGGCTTACATTGCACATATGTGCAATACCCTTTCCATGAATTCCTTCTATGCTTAAAACATCCAGAGGCAGTCTTCTTACAACTTAGAACCCAAGAACTTTGATACAAAAAATGAGTACCAAGAATAGTTGCAGTAACATTATCTAGTGTTCCAGGTATTTATTGCTATATAATAAATCAACCCAAATTCAATGGCATAAAACAACCATCATTTCATTATGCTCACAGATTCTGTGGGCCAAGAATTCAGACAGGGTACAGCAATGATGGTTTGTCTCTGTTCCAGAGTGTCTGAGGCTTCACATGGGAAGAATCACATGGCTTAGACTTAATCAGGTCTTGCAGGTTAGAATCATCTGGAGGCTTCTTCATCCACATATCTGGTGCTTAGGTTAGGATAACTCAAAGGCTGGGATTAGTTGGGACTGCCTACCAGATTACACACACGTGGTCTTTGTATGTGGCTTGAGCTTCTTAAAACATGGGGGCTGTGGCCAGGTGCGGTGGCTCACACCTGTAATCCCAGCACTGTGGGAAGCCAAGGCAGGTGGATCATGAGGTCAGGAGTTCGGGACCAGCCTGGCCAACATGGTGAAGCCCCGTCTCTATTAAAAATTACAAAAATTAACAGGGCATGGTGGCGTGCACCTGTAGTCCCAGCTACTCGGGGACTGAGGCAGGAAAAATGCTGGAAGCCAGGAGGAGGAGGTTACAGAGAGCTGAGATCGCGCCACTGCACTCCAGTCAAGGTGACAGAGATCTGCCTCAAAACAAAACAAAACAAAACAAACAAACAAACAAAAAAAAAAACAACCCTGGGGGCTATGATACAAGAAGTAGCATCCTGAGCAAAATATCGGTCAAGAGACCGAAAGAGAAGCTCAAGTGTTGCTTCTGACCAAGCAGGAGAAACCGTGCAGTAGCAGTGGGACATGGCAGTCAATGCCTGTAATCTCAATCCTTTGGGGCAGAGACAGAAGGATCACTTGAAACCATGAGTTTGAGACTAGCCTGGGCAGCACAGTGAGACCCCATCTCTACAAAAATTTTTTTTAAAAATTAGCCAGGCATGGTGGCATGCACCTGTAGTCCCAGCTCCTCATGAGGCTGAGGTTGAAGGAACACTTGAGCTCAGGAGTTTGAGGTTATAGTGAACTATGATCGTGCCACTGCATGCCAGCCGGCATGATGGAGTGAAAGCTTGTCTTTAAAAAAATAAATAAATAGGCCAGGCGCGGTGGCTCATGCCTGTAATCCCAGCACTTTGGGAGGCCAAAGCGGGCAGATCACGAGGTCAGGAGATTGAGACCATCCTGGCTAACACAGTGAAACCCCATCTCTACTAAAAATACAAAAAATTAGCTGGGTGTGGTAGCGGGCACCTGTAGTCCCAGCTACTCGGGAGGCTGAGGCAGGAGAATGACATGAACCCAGGAGGTGGAGCTTGCAGTGAGCCGAGATAGCACCAGTGAACTCCAGCCTGGGTGACAGAGCGAGACTCCGTCTCAAAAAAATAAAATAAAATAAAATAAATAAGAAACCATGCAGTATCACCATGACTAGTACAGTTTCACAGGGAGAGGGGCAGACTGTAATAGCAGGTCACATTGCAAAAGGAATGTGTTAGAATATTAGATATTTTTACAACCATCTCTGGAAAATACAATGTGCCACGCTGGAAGTGGGTAAAATCTAGGATTGGTTCTCTGACCTCAATAGGGCTGAATGAAATTTTTAAAAATCAGCTAAAATTATAGGACAGGTTTTTACAGACGCAAGACACAGAGACAAAATGGCCTTAATGCATTGTCTATGGTAACGTGGAATAAATTTTCCACTGAAAGGAAGATTTTGGGGAACCAATTGCTATCTCATGGAACAACATGAAGGGCATAAAACATTTAATATTGTTGGGATGAAGTGGCTACTTTCCAAAGACTGATAAATTGATACCATGGGCTAAAATAATCTCTGTCTTGCTGCTTCACTGAAAAAAAAAAAAAAAAAAAAAAAAAGCTAGCTGATCCCATGTGTTATTGAGTTATATATACAGTCAGTTGAGTCCATTACCTTGCCAGTACTCTTGTATGAATTAGAACACTGACCAGGAAGTGATGCATGATGAAAATCCAAATGGATACATATGGGAGGATTCAGGGGACCTGAGTATCTTGGAACTCCGATTCCCACTGAACCACTATTTCCTGAACAAATACCACCTCTTCTGTCTCTTAAGCCAGTCTCTGCCTCGTTTTAAGGCATTCTAATGACACCACCTGAGAGTTACCTTGCAAGGGACAGGCAATCTTCCTCATCCTCCACTCCAAGCCCCTCCCCATCCCTTGTGCTTTCCAAACCTTTAGAGTCATATTCCAATGTGCTCCAGTGAAGGAAATTACAAAATCAAATTCCAGAGAATAAAGCTTATTCAACAAGATAATTTCCATATATGGCTAATTTATGTTGGTGAAAATATGAGATACATTTAAGAAGAAGGAAAGAATATAATTGAATTGTTGTTCAGTCTGAATATGTTGATATAAGCGCATTTACCAAAGACTATAAGTTAAGTATGTTAACTCCAACAACCAAGAGAGGTTCTAAGTATTGGTTTGATGAGTAGACGGAAACCTGGACTCTCATTAGTGGCCCATGCTAAATGACTTAGGATGGCTTAAATTTCTGGTATAATGTAGAGAAAGTAATCCTAAGACATGGGGCCTGAAACATTGAAAAGGGTGTTTTCTATGTGACTCATACACAAAACCCTAAATATGTCTCCCAAGAGGCCTCAGAAGAACTTCTATTAAGAAGACTATTAAGAAATACACTGATTAGAAGCATATCAGTACAGCTGAAAATTACTTTTGCAATTGTTTTCTATAAGTCAGAGATGTTGTTGGGAGATACTTCAGTGGAAATGGACTCCTTAATTCCAAGATCCCGAGGGTGGCAGATGTCAAGTGGCCATTAAAAGTTAGTCAGTTTTTATGTGGTCACCATAATACCAGTAAAGCTGGAGGATTAATTGGAATGACTTACACTTAGATAAATCTTTGGTATTGGCTAACTGATCAGGGGTCCCTGGCTCTGAAATAGAACTAAACAAATTCTACTTGAGTGATATAACGAAACAATTCCAAGTCCATCAATCAGAGGATTTACTTGGGACATCACAATAGAGTAAGATCCCCTCATCAAATTCTCAGTTTACTCCTCCAGAATCACTGAACGAAGAAAAGTCTAGGTATTCTCAATAATACAGTATGATTAAAATTATGTACTGAAGTGTGACTCTTTTTCCTGTATCTTCCCATGGGATCTGTGCCAATTAAAGTTGCAATGGGGAAAGGAAAACAACCAACCAACCAACCAAACAGATTTTTCAGGAGTGGTCTAACATTGGATCTGTGTTAACACTAATCCTTGAATCCCAGAGTCAACTGTAGTACTCGCACATAGTGAAAGCTAATGATGGTGAGGATATTAATGGAATTTTGACCAAAAACCATTCCCATGAATAAGCATAGAGAGAGATCCAAAAGCCATCTTGTGGTTATTTTCCTAGTTCTTGATTACGTAGTTAGAAGTGATGTCAACTATCAGAATCCTCACAGAAATACATGGTAGAAAGGCCCAGTAGAAACACATGCTCTACTGAAAATAAGTAAATCTAAAGTAATACCACATCCTTGGAGGAAAGTTACAGATTAGTGCTATCATCAAATATGCAGGAATAAAGATTTTTTTAACACATTATCATCTAACTCAAGTGTCTGGCAGAGCAGAAGAGAAGTGATACTTAAAGACTGATAGAAGGTTAAGAAAATGTATCAGCTATTGTTTCCATTTGCTGTTGCTCTCTGAAGTGTGGTCTCTTTATTGGAGCAAATGTATTTGGCTCTTAGAACCTGGTAACTATAATCCAGCTGGATTTCTTTTATGGAAGGTGGCAGGTAGAGCCGGAGGATGCTGTTCTCTATAATGAGTTTACTGACTGAGTAGGAAAAAACTTAGGCCTTCTTTACAGAAGTTGCTACATACACAATATTCTGGCAGCAGCCATAAGTGCTTTGCCTTGGCTCTGTAAAAGAGTAGAATAGGGAGATTCTGGTATTAAAAAGAAAAAGCATCTCATTGTTTACTCTGAGGAGGTGTGGCATGATGTAGGGATCCATACTGTATCATGGGCAGGGATCAGTAGGTTGGCCAGATGGAAAATGGCTTCTAAGGAGCAAGATTAGAGAATCTATGACAATGTGATTTAGTAAAGAGGTTAATGAATGGACTTTTCAGAACTGGCCACAAGTATAACATTTGTGTTTCACATCAACATTCACCAAAAGGCTCCACTACAGAATCAGCTCTTGATAAGCAAAAGGATAAGACAAACAACTTTGTGGATATCAATTGTTCTGCTTTCCCAAACGCTCCAGTGGCTACTCAAAGTGCTCAACAATAAAGCACTCAACGGGGGCAGTGATGGAGGCTATGCATAGGCTCAACAATATGAACTATCCCTCACTGTCTGGCCTGGATCCTGTAGCAGGGACAAAATTGAATCTCTGACGTGGCATCATAACCCTAGATCCCAGTGAGTGCCTGGGTTACATAAAGATGATGTGATTTTTTTTCTTTCTAAAGTAGACATGTCTTCTAGATTTGCTTTTCCTGTCTACCTTATGTCTGCAAACATCACCACCATGTGATCTTACTTAATGTTTATACCCTGTTATGTATCACATACAGCATTGTTTCTCACCAAGTAAACCACTTTAGGTATATAAATTAAGATACAGCTGCCCTTGAATTGTATTGCTGTCATTAAATATCACCGAAAAGCAATTGATTTTACAGAATGAAGGAATGGGAAACTGCAGACCATTTATAACATCAGCTGGAAGAAAAACACATTGTGAGGTTGGGGTGCTATCCTGAAGAATGCAGTAAATGATATTGGACAAGTAACCAGAATATAATGTTTCTTTCAGGCTGAAGACAGGTGCTGAAACCAAGGTGTGAAAGTAGAAAGGCACCCCTCCCTATTATTCCAAACGGCTCTCTCCACAAAATGTTTGCTTTCTCTCCTCTTGACTTTGGACACTACTTGCTTAAAGTTTTCTATATTCAAAGGTGGAATATGTCTACCAGGGTCCCCCAAAACACTTCCACTCAGCCAGAAGCTAAGACAGCTAAGTGGTTATTCCAGGCTCTTCATTATACCAACTAACCACTAACAGGCTCATAGGCTTAGAGGGCTGGCTGAAGCCACTGATCTGACTATTCAGTCTACATTATGGGGGCAGATGGGAGTTTGGAAGAACAAACAAATAAACCAAAACCAAGAGCTCTCCTGGGCTACCTTCTATCACTGCAATGTAAGGCAATAACTTTTCTGGAAGGCTGCCATAACCCATAACCATCAGGAGGTTCAGTCTTTCCAGAATGAAGGGATCTTGGCTAACGTCACCAGCAGACGCTGCATAATAGGGTGAGCAGTGAAGGGAAGCCATCAGAAACACCAACGAAGGTGCATGGCATAAAGCAGAAATAAGAACTATAAGCTAGCTGTATTTCCTTATTTACCATGCCAAATCCATTCACTAATATACACACTGCATTTCCTTTTTCTTTTTCTTTTTTTTTTGAGACGGAGTCTCACTCTGTTGCCCAGGGTGGAGTGCAGTGGCGTGATCTTGGCTCACTGCAAGCTCCGCCTCCTGGGTTCACGCCATTCTCCTGCCTCAGCCTCCTGAGTAGCTGATACTACAGGTGCCCGCCACCACGCCTGGCTAATTTTTTGTATTTTTAGTAGAGACGGGGTTTCACCGTGTTAGCCAGGATGGTCTCCATCTCCTGACCTCGTGATCCGCCTGCCTCAGCCTCCCAAAGTGCTAGGATTATAGGCATGAACCACCGAGCCCTGCCTGTATTTTCTTTTTCAAATTAATTTTCCTTTCCTTTTCTCTCCTGTTAATCTCCAATTGATGTTGGCAGTGTAAGCTGAAGTACCCATTCCTCAGACACTGTAGTAGTCTGGGACGTGATTTTGGTTCTCCGCTCTTCCCGTAAGTTTTTTGAGCTGTGGTATCATCCCAGTGCAGTTTCCTTTTTGCTTAAATGAGCATAATTGAGTATTGTAGCTTTCAACTAAGAATCCTGACTGATACATATGGTGCAGCAGAAAGACCTTTGGAGTCAAACATAGCTGACCTGGAATCCCAAGCCCATCATTTACTAAGCTTGGATAAGTCGCTTAACCTGTTTGAGCCATGGTTTTTAATCTGTACAATGGTGATGAGAGTCCTCCCCTCACAAGGATTATATAGATTAAATTAGTATAATGAAAATACTGAATAGGTAGTTGGCTCCTAGAACATGTTTAATACATTACAGTTACCTTTATTCTATAGAGCAATGGTTCTTTACCTTTCAGGATTACGATTGCCTTTGAAAATCTAATGAAAACATTGAGTTTCTAATAAAAAATATTGTGCATATACATATCCACACAACTTATGGCTTATCATTTCAAAAGTTTACTGAATCCACTAAAGTCCAATAAGGAGCCCAAAACTAAATCCAGATTAATAACTCTTGCTATAGGTGGTTACTTTTGACTTACACATACTGTATTTTCACTTTGAGTGTTAAATACATGCTTTAACTCAGCTCTTCTGCTACCGCTACTACCATCAACATTCAATAAGCTTTTACCTTTATAAAGGATACATACAAAAGGCTTTTACATTCATCATATCATTTAGTCTTCACAAAAGTCCTGTGAGATTAGTATTATCATATTTTACAGATTAGAAAAAGAAAATTTATTTTGTATTTCCTCATTGTAAATAAGCCTCATGAGGACGTTGTTTTAGTCACCATTGTTTCTTCAACACTTTATACATTGCCTGGAACATGGTAGGTCCTTAATGTGTTTGAAATAAATGGAAACAAAAATGTTAAAAGGGAGTTTCATTTCTTGAATAAGACTTCATAATTTGATGCTAAATCAGGGTAAAGCTAAGACCTCCGTCGGCTTAGTCCAGTGTCATTGGAAATATAATGAACTCTTGGTAAGTTGTTTGGTGGATGAGTAGGTTGACAGATGAATAAATAAATAAAATCTTATTTCTAAAATATTGAACCTTGAATTCAAACAAAAATTTCCATTTCTTTTATTGATTACTGCCCAAAATACAGCAATTTAAAACAACCATTTTATTTTGCTCTCAATTTTATGGGTCAAGAATTTCGGAAAGTCTTAACTGGGTGGTATATCACTAGACCATGTGACATCAGCTGGGGTAAATGGGACTGGAAGATCATTTTCAAACTGACTTTTTCATTCACTTCCCTGTGCCTTGGCAGGAACAGCTGGAAGGCTGATCTCGGCTGGGCTCTTCTCCCTTTTCATCCTGTGTTAGTGTCTTTCCGCATTGCCCCTCTAGAAAGGTAGTCAGACTTCTTACACAGCAGCTCATGGCTCCCAGATGAAGAAGCAAAACCTTCAGGTCACTTAAGAGCTATGTCTAGAACTGAAGCGTCATTTCCACTGTATTCTATAGGTCAAAGTAGTCACAGGCTAGCTAGCCTGTGACTTGAAAGTGGAGAAATAGATACCATTTCTATATGAGAAGACGATCAAAGAATATGCAGCCATCGTTAATTGCTATGGTTTCCTTAACCAAGGCAGAAGGTTCATAAACATTAACCTATGGATTTGCTCTTGTTGCCACTCTCAATCAGACTTTCCTCATGGAATACCTTTCATTTCCCAAATATCAGTAAATAATTCTGTAAACCCTTAGATTAAAATTAAATGAAGCTTGAATGCATATCTGAATTAATTTCCATGCTTCAGTGAGCATGTCTCAGGAGTAACATAGGAGTGTCTGTGTTCTAGTTATTTAAGGTAATTCAAACTTCTCCAAATCTGGTGGGATCAAACAGCCCAAAATATCATTATAGCTAAAAATTTACTCTACAGTAAAGTGTCATTACAAATCAGCCCTGCACTATCCACCTCCTGGGCATGCAAAACTTTAGCACTGCCACTTTCAGGATATTTTAGCATCTCAACAGGGAGTATGGCTAAGTAAGAGCTAAAATAGCGCAATGATCCCAGAAACCACATAGAAGAAAGAAAATACAAATAGCACAAACAAGCACAGGGCATCTCAGACAACCCCCAAAGAGAACTGAAGTTTATTCTCAACACTAGTTTCTGGAGGCTCCATATTTTAAGGCATTTTACTTCAGAAGGTTTTGGCCACCCCAACCCTCCCAAATGCAAATTATTTCCACAGGCACAAAAACTATTTTCTCACTGTGTCATGATCTTAACCTCTTCCTGTAACAAGCATAATAAATATTATACATTTATTTTCAATGACCTGGAGCTTTTGCCATCTATTAACTGATCCAAAAAATGGTGGTGGTGGGGTGGGGGAACTGGCTGGTTTTGTCAAATGCAAATATGCACTTGGATCATTTTGGCCCACAGGAACTTTCAGAAGAAGGGATGAGCATACTGAGGAAGAAAATATTCTATAAATGCAAGATCTGCCATAACTTAGGTAGATTTAGAGAGAAAGCATGTGAAAAAATGTAGAAAACAAAATCAGAGAAAAATAAAAGCAAGATGAGATTGGTGGAAACTACCAATGTTAACCCCAGAGCAAGCAGCTGGGAGAACTGCTTGGTGTCTGATGGGGCATGATGGTCCCAGCCCAAACATAGCAATCTCTCATTCCTGAAGCATCCACTAGAATGCAAGACCCATGAGAAGCAAGATCTTGATCCTTTTGTCCACTCGCATATCCTAGAAACCGAGAATAACACTTGGCACATAATGAGAACTCAATAAATATTTGTTGGCTGAAAAGAATTCAGGAAGCTAACTGAAGGTGGATGTAGTCACCAGAGATCTATTCATGCAGCAGGAACCCTGCCCAAGGCATAAGAGAACAGAACAAAGATACCAACAAATACTGGGAAAATCTCAGGGTCTATGCCCAACAGGTAGAGTATAAGAGGGGCTCTACCATGTTAAATGGAGTGACCAGCCAGAGATAAGAAGAGAGGACCCATGCAGAAACCCTACTCTGTGATGAAAGTGAGAAGGATGAGAAAAGAGAGTAGTTATGAGGCTGCTGCAATCCTGTTATCATTTGGGCACTCAGATCCCAAGCCTGATGAGCAGAAAGGGGCATGGGGACAGAGTGGAGGGGGGACTATGATCCAAGTTGTGATCTGTGACACAAATTCCAAGATTCACTATACTTAAAGGATATGAGTTATGTGAGGAACATTACTATTTGCCCTCTTTTTCTCTGAATCGTCTCAGAATACTGGGCACTGTGCCTCAGTCCACATGAAAGGGTGGGCATGCATAAATAAGAGAAACTGATATGGCCATCCTAACCCCTAAAGCAAGGCATTTATAGTCTCCCTCCCCCTGAGATATTCTGAATCTGAACAATTTTTCAGCAAGACAGTACATAACTGCCATTCTCTAAAGTTTTGAATGCATCAAGAAGAACTGATTTGAAAAATTATTCATGGTAAGTTTTGCATCTGAAGACTCACAATGTAAAACAAGAGAAGAACTAAAATCTCAAAATCAAGGTAGATCACAAAATAATGAGATTCAGCCATTGGTTTCTGTGGCACAAAAAAAAGAAAAACCCACTAAACTGTGGGAAAAAAAAAGGAGATCAAGGTTCATGTTTTCGTTATTCAATACTTTATCACCAGGACTCCCCACAGTGATGAATTAGTAACAAATGAGGAATCTGGCCTCAGACATAGAAGACACTGTCTTAATGCTATCAGAAGCCCTGTTCATTGAGTGGTTTATGGGTAATAGATGCTGTGTTCCCTTTTAGGACATCTATTGCTTCCTGGAAATATTTCTGCATGCCTGGTCTCTTGACTCTGCCAGTCTGTTGTTTCTCTACTGCCTTTCATAACCTAATCTCATGAGAGAATTACATTCAGTTGGGCCCAAATTAAGAAGAAAAACATTAAACAGCCTAAGATGCTCAAAGTTAATCAAGGAAGAGAACAACATTAAAGAGACTATATAGTAATACACACATATTAAAAAGAAGTCTAAGAAAATATCCTAACATTAAAGAGGTGAGTGGTGGAATTATGGGTGTTTTTTTAAATAATCTCTTTTGTGCTCTTTTTATATTTTCCACAAAGAATATATATTATTTTTAAACTCAGAAAACAACATCAAATTTAAATACAGATATTTGATCCCATTTTAATTTTTATAGTGTGTGTGTATATATATGTGTGTATGTATTCTTGTATTTCTATAGAAAAATATCTGGAATTGCAGACGTAAAAACTATAAATAGTGGTTCAGTTTGGGGAATGTGATTAGGGGTATGGAAAGAGAAAGGAGAAGAAATTTTCTTCTTTTCTTTAACTCATCTATAATTTTTGAATTTGTACTTTACAATAAACATTCATTATTTTATAACAAAAAAGAAAAAGATGACTAGAAAAATGTTATAACATGTCCCCTTGATAGTCAGGTCTATGGAACATAAATCCAATGCTAAAATGAAATGAGTTATTGCTATGATGATGTGTAGTTATTGATATGATAATATATTGTTGTTAGCAAACAGGTAACAATACTTTACCCTGTATGTGTAAGGTTTTTTTTCTTTAGCCTAACCTAAAGAAAAGAAACCTGAGGGCAAGTGATAAAATATAACTCTCTGTACAGAATGAAGGGCTCACGCCTCACAGACAGCCCTTCCGGAAACCAGGATGAGAAAAACTTGTAAGATCTGCTCCTTGAGGAAGTTAGTGATCAACAGAGAAAACTTCACACAGCAAAGGCGAGAGCACCAGTGTGGAAGCTACACACAGAATTACTTTCCCTGGAGGGCTTTAAAAATAGACTGGCACATCTAGAAGAGTAGAAATGTGCATTTCTGCTGAAGTCCAAGCAGATGGCCTTGGTGACCCTTCAAGGTCCCTGTCAGTCCATTGATGGGAGCTTACACCCCGGCTCAGGTACAAGGGTCTCCACCCCACCCTACGGCCTTCACCCCCTGCATTCACTAGCTGCTTTATGTCCAGTGGTTACAGATGCTCCACATATCCTGCTATATCGAGAATTCTTGAGCCCAGCTCAATCTGGACAGAGAGTCTAATTGCAATCTCTTGCAAGAGACATGTTATTCAAAAGCAGATTTAAAACATGAGCTCTACAAAATCCAAATTCAGGGACACAATATAAAATAACAGGCCAGGCCAGGCACGGGGGTTCAAGCCTATAATCCCAGGACTTTGGGAGCCTAGGCAGGAAGATTGCTTGAGCCCAGGAGTTTGAGACCGCCTGGGCAACATGGCAAAACCTCATCTCTACAAAAAATATAAAAAATTAGCCAGGTATGGTGGCACATGTCAGTAGTTCCAGCTACTTGAGAGGCTTAAGTGGGAGGACTGCTTGAGCCCAGGAGGTTGAGGCTGCAGTGAGTCGCGATCATGCCACTGCACTCCAGCCTGGGTGACAGAGCGAGACCCTGTCTCAAAAAAATAATGAAATATAATAACTGGTTTATAATCTTCAAAAATGCCAATATCATGTAAAACCAAGTAAGGACAAGACATATTCCTGTTTAAAGGAGACTAAAGGGACATGAACACTAAATACCCTGCACAATCCAAGACTGGATTACAAAATGGTATAGAAGGCATTATTGAAACAATTAATAAAATTAAAATGTGGACTATAGATTAAAGTGTTGTATCAATGTCCAGTTTCCTGAATTTCATAACTATACCATGTTTATATAGGAGAAAATCTTTCTTCTTAAAAAAGAAACTAAGGCATTAAGTAGTAAACACACACACATACACACACAGAGATGAGACAAATATGACAAAATGTTTAAAACTGGTTAATCTGAAAAAGAGTCTACGGAAGTTCTTTGCACTATTCTTACAAGTTTTCTATACATTAGAAATGATTTCAAAGTAAAGAGTTTTTAAAAGTGGACGTTAATGTTGAAACACTGACTTAGGTGTGTTGCTCCAGGATTCCTGCCTTCTCATCTGTTCCTCACCACTAGGAAAAGTGTTCATCTTAGCCAGCCTCGGACTCCTGCTTTCCACTTCATCCTCATCTCTGGAGCTGTCACAGTTCTGCCCCTCAGCTTGTCTCTCATGTTTGCCCCTTCCCCTCTCTAACCCCATCCTCTCAGGACCAGGACTGTAGCCAGCTCCTCGGTCCCAGTCCTCATACAGCAAGCCCCACCTGATGCTGTTCACATCCTGAAATGACACTGTCTATCTTACACTGAACAAAGCAAAATAAGAAACTCTTATATTCATTCACAGGAGTTCAGAAAGCCACAGGAGAAATGCCTTGCTTACAGTTTATTTCCGTGTAGGCTACGGTGAGAATGTAAACCTAGGACAGGAGATGACTTTGGAAGGGAGGATAGAAACTATTATTTATGAGAGCCATCCTCATGCTAAGTGATTTAAGAACATTATCTCACTTAATCTTTGCAACATTTCTGCAAGGCAGCTTTTATTATCCCTATTTCATAGATGAAAACATGGAGGCTCAAAAATGGTAAGTGATTTGCTCAAATTCATGGCTACTAAGTGATTAGGCCATTAATCAAACTTTATGTTTCCAAACCTCAGCAAATTTACTACATGGCATCCCAATTCTGTGGGCTTACAGTTGAGTAGTACTGTCTGCACTAACTTATAATTAATAATAGCAAATGGACTCTAAACTAATTTATGTAATATAGTTTGTTAAATTCCAATAACTATAAGCCATGTTGGATTAATCTTTTATTTATACTTTCTTAAAGTTGTAAATAAAATTCAATCTATTTAGGAAAAAATATAAATGATTTTGTTGTTAGTACTACTAGTGGGAGTATACACTGTTGCTTTGAAAAGCAACTTGACAGTATGTAGCTATACAGCCTCCAAATGTCTATACCCTTTAACCAAGCAATTCCTGGCTATGGATCCAATATTATAACTATAAGGGTTGAGCAACTTTGTGAACCAAGATATTCTTTACAGTGTTATTAACAATAGTTAAAATTATAGTCAAAATGTCCAATGATAATGAGTTGCATAAACAAATCATGGTGTATCTCCCCATGTAATGATAATTGAGCCATTGAAAATTATGTTTATAGTTTGTAATTACATGAAAAATTGAAATCACATGGAATTGAGTGAAAAAAGCAAAATGTAATATTAAATATAAAGAATGATTGCAGCTTTGGAGAAAACTTTAATATTTTAAAAGATTGTGTCTACCTGCTGCATGGAGAATAAATTACAGGGTGGCAGATCAATCACTTATAAAACTACTACATTAGTCCAGGGGAACAATGATGAAGGTGGATTGGATTCAAACGTTAGCATGGGCATCACTAAGAATCTGTCAGATTCTCTACATACTCTCAAGTGGAGCGGACAGGATTCCCTAATGGGTTTGTCACATGTTATGAAAGAAAGAGTGGAGTCAAAGATGCCCTCATATCTTTTGGCCTAAGCAACTGGAGATGTCATTTTCTGAGATGAGGACCCTAAGGAGGAGCAGGTTTCGGGTGTAAACATCACAACTTAGATTTGGAGTGTGTTGCCTTGGAGGTCTGGTTGGTTAGACATTCATGTGAGAATGTGAGGAAGCTATTGGATATAGTACTCAAGTTCAAGGGACAGATGAGAGTTATGGGTATAAACTTGGGAACTGTCTACTTGGAGATGGCACTGAAAGCCATCTGACTTGATGATATCACTATGAAGAGCATACAGATAGGGAACAGAAGAGGGCCAACTGCTGACCCTGTTCAATTAGAGGTGGAAAGATAGGGAGAACTCAGCAAAGGACCCACAGAAGTAGCAGCCAGGAGGGTGAGCAGAATAACGAGAGGCGGCTATGCCTCAGAAGCCAAGCCAAGGTATGGAATCACAAAGGGAATGATCAGTGATGTCAAAAGATGCTGCTAGGTTAAGCAGTGATTGATTGTTACATGGTGGGACTTCAGTACTTCTTTTAATCCCACTTTCCTAATAAAAATAAGAACAGAGGTTGCCTAGAGTGAGAAAGGCAGATGGAGACAGAAAAGTGATGTCAGGGTGATGGCAATGTTCTATATCTTGACTAGTGTATGGGTAACACAGTTGTGAACACTTTTAGAAACTTATCAAACTTTACACTTAAGATCAGTGCATTTCACTGTATGCAAATTATAGTTCAATAAAAATAAAAATAAATTCATTTTTCATATTTCTGCATTCTCCAATATTACTATAATGAACATTCATTACTTTTATAATAAAAAATAAACATTTAGAAATGGAGGTTGGATTACTGCATATGTCAAACTTCTTTGAATTGTAAAGGTAAGAATTAGCAGGATATTATTTTTTCCCTCAACCGAAAACCAACGTAAATAATATTTGAATAGTGTACATAATGAAAAATTTGCCATGGATTTCCCAGGGGAAACTCACCTCTGCAAGTGAAAAGCTAATTCTTAAAGATAAACCAGGAAACATCTACTTCACAGGTCAAGACTGAACAGTTCAGGCAAGGAGTGATTTTTGCATTTTGCAATGTAAAGCAATATAAATAACACTGAAATCAGCATTGGAAGGTAATATCAAAATGTAGCTTTGTGTTACTGAAAAAGTTGGCTAAATTCTGTGTATACGTGTTCTCCAAAATGGCAATAATATTGTCTATCATATGCCACTCATGGTCTTGAGATAATGCCATGAGCTAATGATCAGGAAAAAAAAAAACTGTTTCGAAACCATAAAGAGTTTCACAAGTGCAAGGCCTCAGAAATAATTCAATTTGAGGTCATAGGCAATTCCATTTATCTCCATCACCCTTCAGGAAATATGCCCTTTGAAGGTAGACATTAAAGCCTCCTTCCTTCCTGGGAAAATAGCCCAGAGCAAATTCCCAAATAACTATAAATCTGAAACATCATCTTTCTATAGTCAGTGCATTTTGGAATGCAATCAGAAGCTTGTAACTTGAGGAACTGTCCAGTGATTCTCCAGTCTTCTTTTTCTATACCTCTTCCCCTTTCTCAAACCCATTATAACAAGAGCCTCTTGTCTTCCTCAGGTAAGTTAGTTGAAAAGAAAATTTTAACTTATCTAAAAGGCATATCAACTTCCGTATGTCCACAATTTAAATCTCTTCTTCCTACACTCAACCTGCACAATCTACTTCTTTTCCAGTGTAAAAAGCATCTTGGAACATTTCTGTCAACTCCATAAGCTATGTTTGAAGGCTAGAGAGTAATTAGTATTTTCTAGAATGAAAACCTAGACCAAGAAATTAGAGAGAAGACCAGAATGATAATCTGGGTTGATTGGAAGGGCCCCAAGTACCAAGCTAAATGGCATGGGTTTTATCTTATGGAAAAATGAATGCCATTGAAGGTTTTCCACTTTTTTTTTAAATAAGTGATGTTTTAGCAAGATTAGTTTGGATTTGGTGGGCAAAATGAATGCAAATGGAATGAAGTGATGGGAGAGGCCCCAGATGAAAATCTATTGTTGTCGTTCAGGAAATTGAAGTGAGGTCGTAAGGACATTGAGAATAGAACTGAAATAGGAAAATCAGAAATAGAATACAGTGGTGAAGAAAATAAAAATACATTTTAGGATATGATGAGTTTAAGGTGACAGTAGAATCCAAACAGAAACATCAGGAAGGTACAACTGAAAATTCAGGAGTAAGAAACAGAAGAGAAGTACCAGAGTGGCTTCAAACATAATTACTTTGGGAAGAATATTCCATTCAATGTTGTCATAGAGGGTCTGTGTCTTTGCCTTTCCCCACAAATTGTGATTAATTTATTATTTAATAACATATTTAACCTAATCTATCAGAATATCGAGACCAGCCTGGCCAACATGGTGAAACCCTGTCTCTACTAAAAAAATACAAAAATTAGCTGGGCACGTGCTTGTAGCCCCAGCTACTCCGGAGGCTGACGCAGGAGGATTGCTTGAACCCAAGAGGCAAAGGTTGCAGAAAAAAAAAATGAGACATTTCCTATGTTTTTCATACTGTTCAATAAAATTTTTGGTAATGTACCACATTATTATATAAATCCTACAAAAAAAAAAAAAAAGTAGTGTCATAAGTAAAAGCCAACCAGAATGCCCCCTGCCCCGCCCCCACAAAAAAAAATTGTTTCTACAGTCTTCAAAATCCAATGTGAATTTTATACTTAACAGCACATCTCAGTTTGGGCTGGCCATATTTCAAGTGCCTGATGGCCACCTATGGGTAGTGGCTATGGGATTGAACAGTGCAATTCTTGATGGCACCTTTCCTCCCCTCATTGCTTCCTTAGTATTAATGGCAGAGGGCTGGAGGAGAAAGAAAAATTGATTATCAAGACAGAAAACGTTTCAACAAGGCATATAAAAGTATGTTTGTGTGTGTACCTATGTGTGTGTTTGCATTTATGTGTGCACGTATGATGACATTTATCAACCTTTTGTTGTGTACCAGGCAATGAATTGAGCACTTTAGATAGATAAGCATCTTAAATAGTTGAAATAAGTCTATGGAGTAAGTGCTATGAACATTATTCCCATTTTATAAATTTAAAAATAGTCTTAATAAGGTTAATCAGCTTTTTCAAATCATGCAGCAATTAGGTGACTTTGAGAAAGTTACCCAGGCTTTTTAAACAAGGCCAGTCTGAATCCAGAATCTTTAAACTTAATTTATATAAAGACTTATGAGATTTATTTTACTTTTTTTCCTGACAAAAATGCCACTCAGGATTTTTTTCTTTTGTGGCAAAAAGTTAAATGCTATAGATATTACTACTTAATAATTCATAGTAAGCAATTTTTATATTATTAAATAATATTCAAAGTCATGATTGTAATGATTATGCACTAGATATCACATAGATGTACAACTACTTAACCATTTCTCCTCTAGGTCTTAGTTCCCTCTATATCTAGTAACACGAATAACTTGTTCACTGGTTTAATTGGGCATGCAAGAAGATACAATAAAATATATGCTGAAAATGACATTGATCAGTTCCCCAGTCATGGCTTTCTATGGGGACCACCAACACAGCCGTACTCCCTCCTGCCTCATGCAAATTGCCACAGTCAGGGTCTTAGCCTGGGTAGCTAAGAGACTTGGTAAAAGCCTCCATGTCTACCCAACACAGGAACAGCTGACAAATAAAAAGCCCTAGGAGCAGCCTTGAAGACAGTTAAGCCAACTAAATGCCAAAATTGATGCCAAGTCAGAACATTTTCTTGTATCTGGCAACTCCACAGGTGAGCAATGAACCTACATGCTCTGCTAACATGTGGCAAGTTTCCAGACCCAAGGCATCTCCTCCAATTGAGAACCAATTAGGCTGAAAGTACTTAACAATTAAATCCCTCCCCTCGGTATGTCCACAGTCCTATAAAATTCCAACAGATAATTGCAGTAGGAGTAAAAGAGATCAAACTTAACAGGGCTTATACAACACATCTCCAGTGACTCAAGGCTATGTGATGTTAGTAGGATTATTTAGTACTCACAGAGTACCTTTTCTCCTCCACCCCGCATTGGGCCCACCCACAGGGATAATGAGGGAAGACAAATATAGAGCTCTAAGTGAAACTGCACCATCAAGTCCAAGTTTAGGTACACAATGAGACAAGATACTCAACAGACAAAATTTGCCTATTCTAAATTGCATTGACTACTTGACTTGGAAACAGAATTTTCTTGAGCTCTCGTGAAGCACATTTGTCCTGCGTAACCCTTTCATTTCTGCTGTCTTCATCCTGGGTACATGCTCAGCATAGCGAGCGTTTATTATTCTTTTGCTAGCAGGAAGGTTAGTGGAGATATTCTCAGAACTATGTAACACACAATGGGCACCCTCCTGGGATTTTTCTAGGAAAGGAGTAGCCGTAACAAAATTGTCAACCTCCACAGATATCCTAGTCCCTTTAGGACTTCAATTGTTCCCTCTATGGATTCTAAAATTGTTACAAGTTATTGCAAAAGAGAAAATGCTCATCTAAGACTGAACAAAAATCCAGAGATCCCTAGCAAAGGGTAACAGCTTCCACTTTTCTGCCTCTGCTGGATCTTACACAGACATCCATCACAGCACTTACAGCACTTTTTTTTTTTGCATTCTTCACATACACACACAATTAATGGTTTTAAAAATGTGGTCTGGCTGGGCGCGGTGGCTCACGCTTGTAATCCCAGCACTTTGGGAGGCCGAGGTGGGTGGATCACCTGCAGTCAGGGGTTCGAGACCAGCCTGGCCAACATGGTGAAACCCCCCCGTCTCTACTAAAATACAAAAATTAGCTGGGCATGGTGGCATGCACCTGTAATCCCAGCTACTCAGGAGGCTGAGGCAGGAGAATTGTTTGAACCTGGGAGGCGGAGGTTGCAGTGAGCCGAGTTCGTGCCACTGCACTCCAGTCTGTGCGACAGAGCGAGACTCTGTCTCCAAAAAAAAAAAAAAAAAAAGAAAAAAGAAAAAAGAAAAAAAAAGCGTGATCTATAGACCGCCAATATCAGAATCTTGGGAGTGGGGTGGTTGATAAAATACAGTTTCCTGGGACTTGGCCCCAGGCCAACTAAACTTGAATGTTCAGAGGGTGAGAAGTGGGATTCAGTCAGATGATAAAGTCTGACAACCACTTCACTGAGCCCTAAATCTCTCAAGCACAGGGAATATGTCCCAGCAAGAGAGAAAATAGAAAATATTTGGGACCAAAGGAAGGACTTTAAGATCTACCAGACAACCCGATGTAGGACACAGGCACTCGCCGTTTCTGCCTACAAGGACAAGCCCAGTCCTACGTGGCCTGAAAAGACTCTAACAGCCCATATGCCTTGTTATAAACTCTGAAATAGTTCACTTTATAAATGAAGCTCCTAGAGAGAATAGTGCACAATTTCTCTTTCTCACTGCCTGGGAAAAGGTCTTTGAGCAAGAATGAAAACAAGGATAATAATAGAATTGAGTTCCTGGGCTGTTCTAAGGAATTACCATTAACATCAATCATGAAATTATTTTCTAATGTAATGTAAAGTGTAACTTCTTAAAATAGGAATAATAAGTCTGCATTTGCTTTTTCCCCCACTTTGTTCATTAATTCATTTAGCTATTCAATGATTCATTTTTTTTATTCAGTAAATATTTATTGAGCACCTACCATGTACAAGGCACTGAACTAACAGCTAAGGATAAACAGGATAGACAAAGTCCCTGCCCTTGTTTGGTAGAAATTTGGTTCATTTATTCACGCATTCATTCATTTATTCATTCAACAAATGTAACTAATCACATCATTTGGAAGAAACTGGGCTGGGCACTGTGAAGAATGTTTAGACAAATGATGTGTAAACCATGTCCTCTAGCAGTTTTCAATCTAGCTGGGGTGTCAGAGACCCAGCTAGAAATGATTCATTCTAGTACTAGGCAAAATAAAACGAACAAGTACAAAATGAGATTGCTTCTGACTCAGGTTGACTGAAAAGGAGAGATTTAAGCAAAACTGTAAATTGAGGCAAATTTTGACATTCAAGTATGAAAAGAGCATATTCATCTGCTGAAATCACAAGGGCAAAAGCAAGTATGCCCATATAATATTTGAGAAAGTGTAACAAGACGAGTGCTGTATAGGGTGTGTTTAAAAACTGAGGAGAAAAACATCTGACCAGTTGAAGGATATCTGGCTAAAAATTTCGTCCATGTTGCATCCCTATATGTGCATCTTCCTTTTCCATTTATTTATTCAATTATTTATGCAAAATATCTATTAAGCACCTAATATTTGTCAGGCATCATGCTAGGTGAGTGTATTAGGGTTCTCTAGAGGGAAAGAACTAATAGGATATATGTAGATATGAAAGGGAGTTTATTAAGGAGAATCGACTCCCATGATCACAAGGTGAAGTCCCACAATAGGCCATCTGCAAGATGAGGAGCAAGGAAACCAGTAGTGGCCCAGTCTGAGTCCCCAAACCTCAAAAGTAGGGAAGCTGATAGTGCAGCCCTCAGTCTGTGGCTGAAGGCCTGAAAGCCCCTGGCAAACCACTGGTGTTAAGTCCAAGGGTCCAAAAGCTGAAGAACTTGGAGTCTGACGTTCAAGGGCAGGAAGCATCTAGCATGGAAGAAAGATGAAGGCTGGAAGACTCTGCAAGTCAGCTTCACCCGCCTTCTTCTGCCTGCTTTATTCTAGCCATGCTGGCAACTGATTAGATGGTGCCCACCCAGATTGAGGATGGGTCTGCCTCTCCCAGTCCACTGACTCAAATGTTATTCTCCTTTCACAACATCCCCATAGACACACCCAGGAACAATACTTTGCAACCTTCAATCCAATCAAGTTGACACTCAATATTAACTATCACACTGAGTGTATAAAATGAGATCTCTGATTTCTACCCTTGAAAACCTAGGAAACAAGAGAGAAATAGTGAGCACATGGCATATGTGCTACCTTTTCTATCTCCCTCACCCATGACCAAAATCACTAATTAACAGAGTAGCTTTTTCTGCTGAGCCTATATACAGCCTCTGAACATTTAAAAACAGTATTCCATGCAAGCATTTCCAAAAAAAAAAAACACTCAATGTCAGAGATATATGGAGGAGGGCTGAAATTTCCCAACCAAGGCAACCTTGGATTAGCCAGGTGCTAGTGGATCTGCCAGCTGACCACGGATGCATGGAACACTGATGCATTTGGCATAGCTCAGATCTGCAAAATCTTCTATAAATCCATAGAATTGTGAAAAATAATATACAGTTGTTATTTTAAGCCACTAAGTTTTGGAGTGGTTTATAATGCACAATAGCAAACTGATAAAGAATTTGGTGTTGCACTTCGGTTCTGTCATAACTAAAACTTAAAAGATGTGACATTGGCTTTGGGTCAGAAAAGTTGGCAGAAGCTAGAATAATGGTGAGGAAGCTGTTAAAGGAGACTGGAGAAATGGCGATCCATTTCATATAACGGTGAAACCACTGTTAAGACTGTCACCTGTTATAACTAAGAAAATTTTAAATGTACTAATGAACTTTAGGATTTAAGCAATGAGATTTCCATGCAGGATGTTGAAAGTGCCAACTGGCTCTTATTGACTGTATTTGATACACTGCTACAAGAAAGATATATTCTAAATTAAAGACTAGCTATTCTACAAGAAGAACATAGAGAAAATAGGGAGTCCATGATTTTCCGGGAGGGACATAAAACTGTTTTTATCTCTAGCCCCTCAAGGGAGCAATATAACTCTCAAAACAAATTTTAGCTTGGGGGCAAAGACAAAATCACAGGCATGGCTATAAGACCCTTTTTGAAGATCCGTGAAGGAATTCAGGCAAAGTCTAGCAGGGTTTCTCTACTATGCAAAAGGGCTTAGAAGAATAGTAAAGGTGTGACTTTTATATCATGAAGTAGAATCCAACCATATTCATAGGAATTCACAATGTTTTTAATTCAGCTACATTGGCAACAGTTTGCCAGCCTGGAGGAAAAAAGAATTGAGACTCTATAGAGGTGTCTCACACTTGTAGAGAGACATCTCTGCCCCTAATTTTCTATAGGCAGGAAGCAGGAATATTTTCCAATATTCTCTTCTGAAGTGGGCAAGAAAAGTGGAAGAGACATGCCAAGAGCCATGGAGAACAATAGACTGAGGAGCATTCCCAGAAAGCAGAACGAATCAAAGAACATTTCCCATCTCCAGAGTAGGGTAAATGGAAAGCATCTGCCCAGAAAGAGTTCAGAGTTTCCATGGACCAGTGACTGCTATGTAGTTTCAATTCATCCCCTTTCTAAATGAGAATACTTATATAGGTTATTCTGTCCTCGTTTTGCCATTCTATGTTGAGTATGTTTAGAGCAAATACTTTTTTGCCAGTACATAACTTTTTGGATTAAGAGCAGCATGTAATGAACCTGATGTAGATCACAATGCCCTGGACTTCAAGTAGGATGCCCCAACTTGAAGAGATTTTGGAGGGTCCTGGGAAAGGAGGAATGTATTTCACGTGGTCAAGCATGTTAGTAATTGTGCCCTGAAGGCAGACTATGGAAGATTGAGCAAATTAGGGGACACAGGTTTTCATAACTGCTATATCTTTCCCCTTTGGTACTACTGTCACACTCTAACTCTAGGCTTAAACAGATGACTTGTTTGGATGAGTGAGAAAAACTTGAAACCAGCAGAAGCTTGAAAATTTGCTCATGCATTTCTGCCTTCTCTCTTTGATTCCTGCCACTACCATGAGAACCTACCAGGCTAGCCTGCTGAAGGGAATGAAAGACACATAGAAGAGAGCCAAGTTGTTCTAGCTGAACCTATACTAGACTAAACCATCCCTAGTCAACTTGCCAGCTGACTGCAGATGCCCAAGATGGCAAAATGAGCTGAGCCTATCCTAGATCAGCAGAATCTTTCAGCCAGACAGTAGACCCACAAGAAATAATGACCACTAAGTTTATGTCACACAGCAAGTGTGAACTGATACAGACAGCATGTGTGATGAAATCCATTTACCATCTCAGTAGTAGAGTTCCTTTTAAAGAAGTTGGAGGCAAATTTGAAGGATATTCCCTCATTAATAGATTCATCTTTTAGTGATATTCATAAAATCTCAGCTAGATGGACATCTCTAAATTTACAAACAGATGGAAAGAATAGCAGAGAGGTGACTACCAATATGAGAATTCAACAAGTCAGTGTCTGAACCATTGAAAATAGCCTTGGTCAGAGATGTGATTATGCCATCTGCCTTAGTTTATTCTCACACTGCTAATAAAGACATAACTGAGACTAGGTAATTTATAAAGGAAAGAGGTTTAATTGACTCACAGTTCAGCATGGCTGGGCAGGCCTTAGGAAATTTACAGTCATGGTGGAAGGGGAAGTAAACACGTCCTTCTTCATGTGATGGCAGGAAGGAGAAGAATAAGAGCCAAGTGAAGGGGGAAGCCCCTTATAAAACCACCAGATCTCGTGAGAACTAACTCACTATCACAAGAACAGGATGGAAAAAACTGCTTCCATGATTCAATTATCTCCACCTAGTTCCTCCCCACGACATGTGGGGATTATGGAAACTACAATTCAAGATGAGATTTGGGTGGGGAAACAGCCAAAGTAGATCACCATCATAGAACAGTTCAGCCTCTTAAATGCAGAACGATGCCCAAGGAGACCATCCTTCACTTAGGAAGGAGTCTAGTTTAACTACATTTGATAATTAGATAATGCTTCAATTAAACATTACATTTTAGATGAATGGGGGGATTCTCAGTGGTATTGGAGAAGAAAGGATTGATCTATAAGACGTATCAAGGACAACTCAACTAGTTGTAGAGTCTAGTTGTAGATGGGGAGATGTGAAAAAGGAGGCATCAAAGGTCATCACAACCTAGTCATTAATCTACTTAAAGACCTTCAATAGCTCCATGGAAACTTATGTGATGTCTCTACTAAAGTCTAAGCTCCATGAAGAACCAAATAATTAAAGATAATCGTCATCATCACCACCATCATCAAATCTAACACTCATTGACCGTATATTCTTATTACATGTCAGGCAGTGAACTAAGAAATTTGCGTTCATTAATTGTCTTGTTTACTTTTTACAGTATCCTTGGAAAACAGGAACTGATATTATCCCCATTTTACACATGAGAAACTGAAGTCTAGGGAATTTGAAGTGATTTGCCCATGGTCAGCCAGCTAAAACACAATGGAGTCAAAGTTCAAACAGAGGTCTTCCTCTGACTTGAAAGCATTCATTCTTAAACACTACCCTATTCTTCCTCTCTTATTGGGATACTTGCTAGCTCCCCAGTGTCAACTCAGGTTTGTTATGGTATATAGAATACATATTTGTTGAGTTAATGAATGAAGAAATGAGAAGAAAGTAAATGAATAAAAGGATAAATTGACAACAAATGAGTAAGAGAATAATAGTACTAATGACAGAGCCAAAAAAAAACAAAAAAAACAAAACAAAACCTGAGAGAAGTCCTGCAAGGCGAAGGCAAGGAAACTTTGGATTTTATTATGGCATTAATAGAATGACAGTTCCTCAATGTGTTCAGGAAGAAATTAACAAGATGACATTTGAAAAAGAAATTAAGTGAATATAGGTTTTTGGCATCTTTGATATAAAGGAAAATAGTTTATACAGATAAGAATGACCTTTGTATATCTAGAGGCAAAAGGCAAAAAAAAAAAATGTGGAAAAAAAGGAGGTTACCAAAATGAGCCAGTGCTCTGGGAGTTTGTTGCTAAGAAAGAATGCTTCACTAGGTTATGGTCAAACAAGGACATGCTATAAAACATTCTTCCCAGGGCACAATTGCTTCCATATTACCTCCCCTAATTAACAAGAACAGCTGAGAATTCATTGAATATGTCCCTACGTGTACTACTCACTCTGCCATACCTTTGACAATGGAATTCATAATTTAATCTTCATGGAAACACTATGAGTTCGATATTATTATTTCCATTTTACAGATGAAGTTCAGTGAGAGAAAGATCCTTCTGCTAAAAATGGTGGAGAGGTACAAACTTAGATTTGTCTAACACTAAAACTCTTTCTCGTTTTTCTATATCGGGCAAACAGAACTGCCAGACCACTGACTGAAAGAGAGCATTCGCCCCTCTTGCCTTCAATGGACAATATTGAAGAAGAAACTTCTCTTTCCTCCAATACATTTTTCCAAGGAGAGAAAAGAGTAATAAACATGAATGGCCATTTCCAATCATGTGTACATAAGTAGACTTAGTTGAATGATTACAGCCATAATTATTGATTCTTTTACTTAATTCCTTAAAAAGAAAGAGATATACCTAACTTTGATTGAACTACCAGAATATCATGAAGACAATACAAAACAGTTAAAATAGCAGCAAGTTGCCTTTTCTTTTCCAGCTCAATGTCTTTATTCTTTTCCATCGTCAATAACTATCTATACCATTTTTGTCCATGTCAGACTATAAGGTTTGACTAAGAATTTGGTCAACCCCATTATAACTCCTTGCATGGCACACAAAGGTATTCTCCATGAGATGGAGTCCAAGTCACAGAAGATTTTGCAGTGGAAAGTTGAAGTCTTTTCTTCACCCTTAGTTACACACTCTGGTGTTAATGGAAGGATTCCTCCATTCCTAATAGAATCTGGGAGAGAGTTGAGAATCCTATGATGGGCACCCTGTGGAGACACAGCTTGCTTGTTGTCCAATTAGCTGTTAGTCTGCCTCTTTCCTGGAGTGTGAGTATAGTTTTCACCAAACAAAAGCATTATCTTTCCCCTGTCTAATTACTGTTTACTCTTCTTTTTTTTTTTTTTTCTTTTTTTTTTTTTTTTTAAATTTATTTTTTTATTGATAATTCTTGGGTGTTTCTCACAGAGGGGGATTTGGCAGGGTCATGGGACAATAGTGGAGGGAAGGTCAGCAGATAAACAAGTGAACAAAGGTCTCTGGTTTTCCTAGGCAGAGGACCCTGCGGCCTTCCGCAGTGTTTGTGTCCCTGATTACTTGAGATTAGGGATTGGTGATGACTCTTAACGAGCATGCTGCCTTCAAGCATCTGTTTAACAAAGCACATCTTGCACCGCCCTTAATCCATTTAACCCTGAGTGGACACAGCACATGTTTCAGAGAGCACAGGGTTGGGGGTAAGGTCACAGATCAACAGGATCCCAAGGCAGAAGAATTTTTCTTAGTGCAGAACAAAATGAAAAGTCTCCCGTGTCTACTTCTTTCTACACAGACATGGCAACCATCCGATTTCTCAATCTTTTCCCCACCTTTCCCGCCTTTCTATTCCACAAAGCCGCCATTGTCATCCTGGCCTGTTCTCAATGAGCTGTTGGGCACACCTCCCAGACGGGGTGGTGGCTGGGCAGAGGGGCTCCTCACTTCCCAGTAGGGGCGGCCGGGCAGAGGCGCCCCTCACCTCCCGGACGGGGCGGATGGCCGGGCAGGGGGCTGACCCCCCCACCTCCCTCCCGGATGGGGCGGCTGGCCGGGCAGAGGGGCTCCTCACTTCCCAGTAGGGGCGGCCGGGCAGAGGCGCCCCTCACCTCCCGGACGGGGCCGCTGGCCGGGCAGGGGGCTGACCCCCCCACCTCCCTCCCGGACAGGGCGGCTGGCCGGGCAGAGGGGCTCCTCACTTCCCAGTAGGGGCGGCCGGGCAGAGGCGCCCCTCACCTCCCGGACGGGGCGGCTGGCCGGGCGGGGGGCTGACCCCCCCACCTCCCTCCCGGACGGGGCGGCTGGCCGGGCGGGGGGCTGACCCCCCCCACCTCCCTCCCGGACCAGGCGGCTGGCCGGGCAGAGGGGCTCCTCACTTCCCAGTAGGGGCGGCCGGGCAGAGGCGCCCCTCACCTCCCAGACGGGGCGGCTGGCCAGGCGGAGGGCTGACCCCCCCACCTCCCTCCCAGACGGGGCGGCTGGCCGGGCAGAGGGGCTCTTCACTTCCCAGTAGGGGTGGCCGGGCAGAGGCGCCCCTCACCTCCCAGACGGGGTGGCTGGCCGGGCGGAGGGCTGACCCCCCCACCTCCCTCCCGGACGGGGCGGCTGGCCAGGCGGGGGGCTGACCCCCCCACCTCCCTCCCGGACGGGGCGGCTGGCCGGGTGGGGGGCTGACCCCCCCATCTCCCTCCCGGACGGGGTGGCTGGCCAGGCTGAGGGGCTCCTCACTTCCCAGTAGGGGCGGCCGGGCAGAGGCGCCCCTCACCTCCCGGACGGGGCGGCTGGCCGGGCGGGGGGCTGACCCCCCCACCTCCTCCCGGATGGCACGGCTGGCCGGGCGGGGGGCTGACCCCCTCACCTCCCTCCCGGATGGCACGGCTGGCCGGGCGGGGGGGCTGACCCCCCACCTCCCTCCCGGATGGGGCGGCTGGCCTGGCGGGGGGCTGACCCCCCCCACCTCCCTCCCGGACGGGGTGGCTGCCGGGTGGAGACGCTCCTCACTTCCCAGACGGGGCAGCTGCCGGGCGGAGGGGCTCCTCACTTCTCAGACGGGGTGGTTGCCAGGCAGAGGGTCTCCTCACTTCTCAGACAGGGCGGCCGGGCAGAGACGCTCCTCACCTCCCAGATGGGGTCTCGGCCGGGCAGAGGCGCTCCTCACATCCCAGATGGGGCGGCGGGGCAGAGGCGCTCCCCACATCTCAGACGATGGGCGGCCGGGCAGAGACGCTCCTCACTTCCTAGATGTGATGGCGGCTGGGAAGAGGCGCTCCTCACTTCCTAGATGGGATGGCGGCCGGGCGCAGACGCTCCTCACTTTCCAGACTGGGCAGCCAGGCAGAGGGGCTCCTCACATCCCAGACGATGGGCGGCCAGGCAGAGACGCTCCTCACTTCCCAGACGGGGTGGCGGCCGGGCAGAGGCTGCAATCTCGGCACTTTGGGAGGCCAAGGCAGGCGGCTGGGAGGTGTAGGTTGTAGTGAGCCGAGATCACGCCACTGCACTCCAGCCTGGGCACCATTGAGCACTGAGTGAACGAGACTCCGTCTGCAATCCCGGCACCTCGGGAGGCCAAGGCTGGCGGATCACTTGCGGTTAGGGGCTGGAGACCGGCCCGGCCAACACAGCGAAACCCCGTCTCCACCAAAACCAGTCAGGCGTGGCGGCGCGTGCCTGCAATCGCAGGCACTCAGCAGGCTGAGGCAGGAGAATCAGGCAGGGAGGTTGCAGTGAGCCGAGATGGCAGCAGTACAGTCCAGCTTCGGCTCCGCATGAGAGGGAGACCGTGGGGAGAGGGAGAGGGAGAGGGAGAGGGAGAGGGAGAGGGAGAGGGCTACTGTTTACTCTTTAAGGTTTTATAAGAAGGCACTTTTTACCAATATTTCAAGTTACTCTTGACTTTCGATCTTCTTTAATTGTCATCTAAGGACATACATTATCTCCCCCAAGACATTGCAGTTTCTTGTAAGCAGGGATGCCTTAAACAGGAGTTTGGGTGATGGCAAAATAAAATTGAGAAGAGATACTCAGACTGAGAAACCTATTACACAAAATAGGGTAGGATAAGTAATAAGAGGCTGACCCAGCTGTACTCCAGATGGGCCAGCAGAGCTTGGTTACCATGTAGGAGAGAGGTAGCAGCAGTCCAGTCAGGCAGGCAGTATAATAGGGGGTTAAAAAGTCAGGCAGGGAGAACATGGTGATGAGCCTTCCAGATAAAGGTAATATGAATAGGTGGTCAGCACCAGAGAATTAGCATGGCTCCAGCAGGGCCTGGGCTTTAGGAATAGGATGCCAGGTATCAGGTTATAGGAAGGGGATCTGCCAGTGACAGATGCAGGCTCCAGAAGTACCAGAGTCCTGGGAAAGAAATAAAGATAGGAGAGAACAAGACAGAAACTCTAGAAGTTACTTAAGCTCAGGAATTTGGAGATGTTGGACTAGGTCGAGGATTATGTGCCATATGAGCAGTCAGAATGATGGTCTTGAGCCCCTATGTCAGATATAGAGCAAAGTGCCTCCCAGAGTCCATGTTAGTGTTAGTAGCCAGCTTGTCTCAGGGAGCCATTTATGAGGTTTACAGAAATTAAGCCAGTCCCTGAAATAACTGTAGATTACATATTTTTAAATTCCACCATGGGTTTACATCTAGAGCTCTGCATGTAGAAGACACTTAATTATAACCACATAGAACTAAGTGTATTATATGTGCTAGACACTAGTCTAAGTGCTTGGCATGAGTTATCTCATTTAACCACATCCTAGGATTGTATATACAATTATGCACTAAATAACATTTTGGTCGACAATAGACCACATATGGCAGTGGTCCCAAAAGACCATAATATCATATTTTTACTGTACCTTTTCTATGTCTACCTATGTGTAGACACACACATACTTACCATTGTGTTATAATTGCTTACAGTATTCAGTACAGTAACCTGCTATATAGGTTTATAGCTTAGGAGCAATAGGCTATACTATATAGCCTGAGTGTGTAGTAGGCTATACTATCTAGGTTTGTGTAAGTACACTCTACAACGTTTGTACAAAATTACCTAATGACACATTTATAGAAATGTATCCCTGTCATTAAGCATTTAATTATTGTACTATTATTCCTACTTAATAGAAAGAAAGTCAAGGCCCAAGCACATGAAATAAATTGCCCCAAATCTGGAAAACCAGCACAAAACAAGGATGCTCTCTCTCATCACTCCTGTTCAACGTAGTATTGGAAGTTCTGGCCAGGGCAATCAGGCAAGAGAAAGAAATAAAGGTATTCTAATAGAAAGACAGGAAGTCAAACTATCTTTGTTTGCAAATGACATGATCCCATCCTCTCAGCCCAAAAGCTTCTTAAGCCAATAAGCTACTTCAGCAAAGTCTCAGGATACAAAATCAGTGTGCGAAAATCGCTAGCATTCCTATACACCAACAACAGGCAAGCTGACAGCCAAATCATGAATGAACTCCCATTCCCAATTGCCACAAAAAGAATAAAATACCTAGGAATACAGCTAACAAGGGAAGTGAAGGACCTCTTCAAGAAGAACTACAAACCACTGCTCAAAGAAGTCAGAGAGGACACAAACAAATGGAAAAACATTCCATGCTCATGGATAAGAAGAATCAATATGGTGACAATGGCCATATTGCCCAAAGTAATTTGTAGATTCAATGCTATTCCCATTAAACTACCGTTGACATTATTCACAGAATTGGAAAAAACTATTTTAATATTCATATGGAACCAAAAAAAGCCCAGAGAGCCAAGACAATCCTAAACAAAAAGAACAAAGCTGGAGGCATCACACTACCTGATTTCAAACTATACTACAAGGCTACAGTAATCAAAACAGTATGGTACTGGTTCAAGAATAGACACATAGACCAAGGGAACAGAATAGAGAACCCAGAAATAAGACCACAGACCTACAACCATCTGATCTTTGACAACCTGACAAAAACAAACAATGGGGAAATAATTCCCTATTTAATAAATGGTGCTTGGAGAACTGGCTGGCCAAATGAAGAAAATTGAAAGCGGACTACTTCCTTACACAACATACAAAAATCAATTCAAGATGGATTAAAGACTTAAAGGTAAAACTGGAAACTATAAAAGCCCTGGAAGAAAATCTAGGCAATACCATTCAGGACATAGGCATGGGCAAAGACTTCATGACGAAAACATCGAAAGCAATTGCAACAAAAGCAAAAATTCACAAATGGGATCTAATTAAAGAGCTTCTACACAGAAAAAAAACCTATCATCAGAGTGAACTGTCAACCTACAGAATGAGAAAAAATTTTTGCAATCTATCCATCTGACAAAGGTCTAATATCCAGCATCTACAAGGAACTTAAACACATTTACAAGAAAAAAAAAATAAACAACACCATTAAAAAGTGGGCAAAGGACATGAACAGACACTTCTCAAAAGAGGACATACATTCAGCCAATAAACATATGAAAAAAAGCTCAACAGCACTGATCATTAGAGAAATGCAAATCAAAACCACAATGAGATACCATCTCACACCAGTCAGAATGGCTATTACTAAAAAGTCAAAAAAAAAAAAAAAAAAAAAACAGATGCTGGCAAGGTTACAGAGAAAAAATAATGCTTTTACACTTTTAGTGGGAATGTAAACTAGTTCAACCATTGTGGAAGACAGTGTGGAGATTCCTCAAAGACAGAGGCAGAAATACCATTCGACCCAGCAATCCCATTCCTGGGTATATACTGAAAGGAATATAAATCATTCTATTATAAAGACACATGCAGCACTATTCACAATAGCAAAGATATGGAATCAAACTAAACACCCATCAATGATAGACTGGATGAAGAAAATGTGGCACATATACAATACTATGTAACCATAAGAAGGAACGAGATCATGTCCTTTGCAGGGACATGGATGGAGCTGGAAGCCATTATCCTCAGCAAATTAACACAGGGACAGAAAACCAAATACCGCATGTTCTCACTTATAAGTGGGAGGTGAACTATGAGAACACATGGAAATATGAGGGGGAACAACACACACTGGAGGCCTGTCAGAGTGTGGGTGGGGAGGAGGAAGAGCATTAGGAAGAATAGCTAATGTTGGGCTGAATACCTAGGTGATGGGATGAACTGTGCAGCAAACCACCATGGCACACATTACCTATGTAACAAACCTGGACAACCTGCACATGTACCCCTGAACTTAAAATTTTAAAAAATAAATAAATTGCCCAAAGTCATGCATTGTGCAAATAGTGAAGCTGGAATACAGATTCAAATAGTTTGTCAACAAAACCCAATCTTAAAGCTATATTGCCAATCTTGGTCATACAATTTTATACAAAAAATATTTGCTGAAGTCTTATGTGGCAGACTCTGTGCTAGCTATTAGTGTCTCAACAACAAAAAATATATACAGGTACCATCTATGCCTTTAAGGAGCTTAAAGTGCAATGCATATACGATGCATTAAAGGTAGAAATACTTACTACAACGCTCTGATAGGAGGCTAGCGGGTGCTATGAGAGCACTTAGTACGGGAACCAAATATTCCCTGAAGGTGAGGCCGCTTAGGTGAAGTGATGAACGATTAGAGGTCATAAAAGCAAAGGATGGAGAGGAAGGGGAAAGAACAACTTGTTCAAAGCTCCAAAGACAAAAAGGAGCATAATTCTTTCAAGTTACTGAGGGATACCCTGCATGACAGAAGTTTAGAGTATATAAAACGATGTGAGAAATCAAACAAGAGATGTCACTAGAGAAGTGGACAGAGGCCTGATTATGATTATGCAGGGCCAAGGAGGTGACATTCAGGAGTCTGGACTTCACCTTGAGGGCAAAACTAGGAAAGGATTTAAAGAAGGCAGTAATATGACCAGATGCATATTTTGGAAACATTACTTTGACTTCTGTGTGGAAAGAATGAATAGATGGATGGGTGAATAGATGGAGGGATGGATTGATGGACAGAAAACCAATTCTTGCTCTTTCTACTTCATGAAACAGATTTAAGTAGGTTTTATTGTTCCTACAGCCCATCTGCCTCTCAGTCTTCTGATAGGAACTAGAGCCCAGAAGATATCACCAGAGGCCAAGTCTACCAGCAGGAAAATGATCTTATAAAAACTATGAATGGTTTTCACTTAACAGTGGGTTATTTCCATGCTCTGTATAGACTCATGCTCCCATCCCAGCAAGGAACTTGCTATAGTTTCAACAAGTCTTCTACAACCAACCACTGCTATTACAGTAGCTGTAAACATACGTTTTCTGCTTTTCCCACATCCCTGTAGTGGTACCACAGGTTGAAGCTCAATGAAGAGAAAAAGGGACACAGAGGAAGTCTGGAATGTCTGGTGTCATACCAGCCATGCAAAAAGTCTTGGCCTTATGTGATAAATCATACCTTCCACATCTCTTGGTGGAAGAATTGAAAGAGGGCACATTTCTTCTGTGTGTGGCCTAATGGCTCTCTCCCAACACTAAACAAGCCCATTTAAAGCACAGGTTGGCAGGGGTCACCTTCTTCACCATCACACATGTTTTAACAATCCAGTTACTCATAGAATATAAAAGTTCTGTAACTGACAAGAACCAAACAGCTTTGAAGAGCCCATGCTAATGCTTTTCTGAAGGGATTATGTGTAGACAACTCTAATTGTTGCATTGAACCGATGCCCCTCTTTGCTTCCCTCCTACCTGTCTTTGTCATATGTATCTGCCTTCTCTACCCTTTTACCTCAGGTTATCCTCCATGCAGAAAACTAAGTGGGAGAGAGGGGCCTATAATAGTGACTCACCTTAAGCACCAGCAGACAAAGCAAAAGGTGATGCTTTTAGATCTTTTTCCGAAGAACATGTGCAGCCTAGAAACAGAAAGGGCAAATGTTCAGGAAAAAAGAAAACAAGCAACATGCTAGACATTTTTAGTTTTCTGTAAGATGAAGTTAAGATATTTTTACTTATTAGCAAGACTAGTTTAAGAAAATTTTTCAGTCATTATGTCTATAAAAATGATGGAACATTAACATCATACGAAAATGACAAATGCAGATGTCAGTAGGGAGAACATATTGAACAGTATAAAGGGCTCTAAAAATGCAAAGCATATGGCTAGGTTTTATGGAAGTTTTTTGTTTGTTTCTTTGGGGTTTTTTAAAAAAAAGTTTTATGAGTACATAATAGGAGTATATGTTTATGGGGTATATGGGATATTTTGATATAAGCATGCATGTGTAATAATCACATCAGAGTGCATGAGGTATCCATCACCTCACACATTTATCTTTTGTGTTACAAACAATTCAATTATACTTTTAGTTATATTAAAATGTACAGTTAAATTATTAATTACAGTCATCCTGTTGTGCTATCAAATACTAGGTCTTACTCATTCTTTCCAACTATTTTTTTGGCCCCTTTAACTATCCCTACTACTCTCCATTCCCCTGCTACCCTTCCCAGCCTATGGTAACCATCCTTCTACTCTCTATCTCCATCAGTTCAATTGTTTTAATTCTTAGCTTCCCAAAATAAGTGAGAAAATGTGAAGTTTGTCTTTCTATTCTTGGATTATTTCACTTAACATAATAACCTCCAGTCTATCCATGTTGTTGCAAATGATAGGGTCTCATTATTTTTTATGGTTGAATAATACTCCATTGTGTAAATATACTATATTTTCTTTATTCATTTGTCTGTTGATGGACACTTAGGTTGTTTCCAAATCTTGGCTATTGTGAGTAGTGTTGCAATAAACATAGGGGTCCAGGTATCTCTTCATTCAATACATTGATTTTCTTTTTTTGGGGGGGTATCTACCTAGCATTGGGATTGATGGATCACATGATAGCTCTGTTTTTAGTTCTTTGAGGAACTTCCAAAATGTTCTCCATAGTGGTTGTACTAATTTACATTTCAACAACAGTGTATAAGGGTTCTCTTTTCTCTACATCCTTGAAAGCATTTGTTAGTGACTGTGTTTTGGATAAAAGTTATTTTAACTGAGATGAATTGAGATGTCATTATCATTTTGATTTGTGTTTCTCTGATAAGTGATGTTGAACATTTTTATATACCTGTTTGCCATTTGTATGTCTTCTTTTAAGAAATGTCTATTCATATCTTCTGCCCATTTTAAAAATTGGATTATTGTTTTTTTTCCCCTATAAAATTTGTTTGAGCTCCTTATATACTCCATTTTTTAACCCCTTGTTAGATGGGTAGTTGCAAACATTTTCTCCCATTCTATGGGCTGTTTTCTTTACTTTGTTGATTGTTTCCTTTGCTATGAAGAAACATTTTAGCTTGATATGATCCCATTTGTCCATTTTTGCTTTGGTTGCCTGTCCTTGTGGGGTATTACTCAAGAAATCCTTGCCTAGTCAAGGTTCTGAAGAGTTTCTCCAATGTTTTCTATTAGCAGTTTCATAGTTTGTGGTCTTAGATTTAAGTTTTTAATCCCTTTTGATTTTATTTTTGTATATGGCAAGGGATAGAGGTTTAATTTGATTCTTCTGCATATAAATATCCAGTTTTCACAGCATCATGTATTACACAGACTGTCCTTTTCCCAGTGTATGTTCTTGGCACCTTTGTGGAAAATCAGTTCACTGTAGATATATGTACAGATTTGTTTCTGAGTTCTCTATTCTGTTCATTTCTTTGGTCTATGTGTCTGTGTTTATGCCAGCACCATGCTGTTTTTGTTACTATAGCTCTGTAGTGTAATTTGAAGTGAAGCAACATAACTCCTCCAGTATTGTTCTTTTTGCTCAGTATAGTTTTGGATATCTGGGTCTTTTGTAGTTCCACATAAATTTTAGGATTGTTTTTTTCTATTTCTGTGAAGAATGTCATTGGTATTTTGATAGAGATTGCATTAAATCTATATATTGCTTTGGGTAGTATGGACATTTTAACAATATTGATTCTTCCAATCCATAAACATGTAATAGCTTCCATTTTTTGTATCCCCTTCCATTTCTTTTATCAATGTTTTATAGTTTTCATTGTAGAAATATTTTACTTCTTTTGTTAAATGAATTCCTAGTTATTTAATTTTATATATAGCTATTGTAAATGGAATTACTTTCTTGATTTCTTTTCCAGATTGTTTGCTGTTGGCATATAAAAATGCTACTGATTTTTGTATGCTGATTTTGTATCCTGCAACTTTACTGAATGTGTTTATTAGTAATAGTAGTTTTTTGGTTGGGTCTATACGGTATTCCAAATATAAGATCATATCATTAGCATAAAAGGATAACTGGACTTATTCCTTTCCAATTTGGATGCCCTTTATTTCTTTCTCTTGTCTGATTGATCTAGCTAGGACTTACAGTACTATGTTGAATAACAGTAGTGAAGGTGGCATCCTTGTCATGTTCAAGATCTTGGAGGAAAGGGTTTCTGTTTTTTTCCCATTTGTTGTGATACTAGTTGTGAGTCTGTCATATACGGTTTTTATTACATCTATGTCATTTTTTAGGGTTTTTATCATGCAGATGTTAAATTTTTTCAACTGCTTTTTCACATCAATTGAAATGATCATATGGATTTTGTCCTCCATTCTGTTGATATGCCATATGACACTGATACATTTGCATATGTTGAATGATTTTTGCATCTCTGGGATAAATCCCACTTGGTCATGATGAATGATCTTTTCAAAGTGTTGCTGAATTCAGTTTGCTTGTATACTGTTGACGATTTTTGTATTAATATGCATCAGAGATATTGAACTATAGTTTTCTTTTTTTGGTGTGTCTTTTGTTTTGGTAGCAGGGTAATACTGGCCTCATAGAATGAGTTTGGAAGTATTACTTCCACCTCTATTTTTCATAATAGTTTGAGTAGGATTGATATTAGTTCTTCTTTAAATGTTCGGTAAAATTCAGCAGTGAATCCGCCAAGACCTAGGCTTTTTTCTGCTGGGAGATGTTTTTTATTATGGTCTTGATCTTATTACTTGCTATTGCTCTGTTCCGGTGTTGGATTTCTTCATGGTTCAATCTTGGTAGGCTGTGTGTATCTAGAAATTTTATTCATTTCTTCTAGGTTTCCCAATTTATTCACATATAGTTGCTCAAGTAGTCTCTAATTTGACTATTAATTTGAGTTTTTGCAGTATAGGTTGAATGTCTCCCATTTCATCTCTGACTTTTTTGGGGTCTTCTCTCTTTGTTTCTTAGCTAATCTGGCTAAAAGGTTGTCAATTTTGTTTATCTTTTTAAAAAAAACAACTTTTAGTTTATCTTTTCTATTGTTTCTTCATTTCAATTTCATTTATTTCTGCTCGGATCTTTGTAATTTCTTCTACTAACTTTGGATTTGGTTTGCTCTTGCTTTCCTAGTTCTTTAGGATGCATTGCTGGGTTGTTTATTGGAAGTTTTTCGTCTTTTTTGATGTAGGCACTTATAGCTATAAACTTCACTGTTAGTACTGCTTTTGCTCTATCCCATAGTTTTTGGAATGTTGTGTTTCCATTATGATTTGTTTCAAATAAATTTTCAGTTTTCTTATTAATCTCTTCATTGACCTACCAGTTATTCAGGAGCATATCATTTAATATCCATGTATTTGTACAGTTTCCAGAATTCCTCATTATTGATTGCTAGTTTTATTCCATTGTGGTCAGAGAAGATACTTAATATTATTTTAACATTTTTGAATGTTTTAAGACTTGTTTTGTGGACTAACATAAGGTCCATCCTTGAGAATGATCCATTTGTTAAGGGAAAGAATGTGTATTCTACAGTCATTGGATAAAATGTTCTGTAAATAACTATTAGATCATTTGATCTACAATGCAGATTAAGTCCAATGTTTCTTTGTTGATTTTCTGTCTGGAAGATCTGTCCAGTGCTGAAAGTAGGGTGATGAATTGTGTAGTTATTACTGTATTGGGAGTATAGCTCTCTCTTTAGCTCTAATGGTATTTGTTTTATATATCTGGGTGTTCCAGTGTTGGTGCGTATATATTTTAACTTTCTTGTACTTGAATATTGATATATTTCTCTAGGTTTGGAAAGGTCTCTGTTAGTATCTCTTTAAATAAACTTTCTAACTTTGTCTCTTTCTCTGTCTTTTCTTTAAGGCCAATAACTCTTAGATTTATCCCTTTTGGGCTATATTTTCTAGATCTTGTAGACGGTCTTCATTCTCTTTTATTCTTTTTTCCTTGTCTCTTCTGACTGTGTATTTTTGAATAGCCTGTCTTCATGCTCACTAATTCTCTCTTCTGTTTGATCAATTCTACTATTAGGAGACTTTGATACATTCTTCAATATGTCAATTGCATTTTAAATTTGAGAATTTCTGCTTGATTCCTTTTAATTATTTCAATTTCTTTGTTAAATTTATCTGATAATATTCTGAATTCCTTCTCTGTGTTATCTGGGGTTTCTTTGAGTTTCCTCAACATAGCTATTTTGAATTATCTGTCTGAAAATTCACATATCTCTGTCTGTCCAGGATTGGCCTCTCACACCTTATTTAGTTCATTTGGTAAGGTCATGTTTTCCTGGATGATATTGATGCTTGGGGATGTTTGTCAGTATCTGGGCATTGAAGAGTTGTGTATTTATGGTAGTCTTCACAGTCTGGACTTGTTTGTATCTGTCCTTCTTGGGAAGGCTTTCCAGGTATTCAAAGGTACTTGGGTGTTGTGATCTATGTTTTTGGTCACTGCAGCCATATCTGTATTAGGGGGCACCATATGCTCAGTAGCACTGTGGTTGTTGTAGACGTGTAGAGATACCTCCTTGGTGGTCTTGGACAAAATCTGGAAGAATTTTATAGATTACCAGGCAGAGACTCTTGCTCTCTTCCCTTACTTTTTCCCAAACAGTCTCTCTCTCTTCCTCTCTATGCTGAGCTGCCTGGAGCTGGGGGAGAGGTCACACAGGTGACCACTCCTATGGTCACCACCACTGGGACTGCACTGGGTCAGACCTGAAACTGGCATAGCACTGGGTATTGCCCAACACTTGCTGTAATCACTACTTGGCTATTGCCTATGTTCACTCAAGGCTCTAGGGCTCTACAATCAGCAGGTGATACAAGCAGTTCTTTAGCTACCTTGGCTGGTGTCTCACTAGGTCGCATGCTCCCCCAAGTCCATTGGCAAAGCACAGCACTAGGACTTGCTGGGGAGTTGCAGTCCTTTTGGGCCTAAACTGCCTTTCAAGTTTATTTAGAACCCCCCAGAACACTTTAGCCCACAGTGGCAAGGCTTGATGAAACTTAAGTTCTGACCACTGGGATGGGTGATTTCCCTCTGGCTAGGGCTGGTCGAAATGTTCTTTCCATAAGTCTTGGTTGAGTTCTGCGTGATGTTGGCAGCACTGAGTTCCAATGCAAAGTCCCACATTCACTGCACTTTGCCTGCCCTAATTGCCACAGATTATCTCTCTGAACCATGTAGCCACTGCAGAAGGATGGGGGAGGGGTGGTGTTGACAATTCAAAACTGTCTTTTCTACCCCTTTCAATGCCTCTTTCAGCAACATAAAGCTAAAACCAGGTACTGTGATTGCTCATCTGATTTTTAGCGTTTATGAAGGGCTATTTTGTATAGACAGTTGTTAAATTTGGTGTTCCTGCAGAGAGGACGATCGGCAGAGGCTTCTATTGAGCCATCATGCTCTGTCTCTGGCTAGGTTTTTCATTAGCCCCATCTAACTATGGCATCCAACCTCTAGTCAATATTCTATCATCCATCTTCAAAATAGACCCACTGAAAAGAAGCACTTCACCTACATGAAACTCAGTAATCCAGCAATCCCATTTTACTGAGACATAAAGAAAGAAAGTAAAATGGGCCACTGATCAGGCAAAGGTGCTATAATAAAGCTCGTGGACCTTTCTCACAAGAACGCTCCTGGAGGTAACAGTTGGAGTCAATTTGCTTGTATTTTAGGCACAAGTTTAACGAGCGTGATTGTCTGGTTTCCCAGTTCAAGGAATCCCAGAGGCAGCAGGTCATCAGAGAGACATACACTGGCAGTATCAAAGAGTGACAGCTGGCAGTATCAAAGACTGACAGCTGGCAGCCTGAGAGTTGATGAAGAGGACAGAAAAACTCTGAAAACTTGATACCAGAACTCCAAACCGGATCCCCCACAGGTTCAAACACAGAGCCCTGCACTCAATAGGCTCTATTAAAGCCTGTTAGAATAATTTATGATTGAGTCATCAAGATAAGATCAAATTAGAATGTTCTATTTAATAAAGCAGGGAAGTATATATATATTTTCAAAGATGTTCACCAAAAATAGTTTAGATGAACCTATTTTTATACATATGAACTTTGTAACCAGAACAACTCATTTCCTTAATGTTCCAGATAGATAGTTGACATTTGACTGTACATTGGTCATGTTCCAATTTTAATCCTCAGCCACCTGCCCCTCAGTGGCCAGGGAGTCACACTCAGGAAACACAAAGGCATTATGCTAATACTATCCTAAGTTTAACAAAATTAGGTAGATAAATCTGCCACCCCCTCCAAGAAAAATTACACACTGCCACTCCAACCTCAAACATATGACTCCAGACTTATCTATGCTACTGCCTACTGCCAATCATATGTAACATATGTTAGCATGTGCATTGACAAAGTTTAAATCATATTTCAGCCGACCACTTAAGAAGACATTATTCTAATCTAACAATCTGAGCTTTTTGTGATTTGATTTATCTTCGAGTCCCTTGAGCCAGATTCTCAAGAAATCAAATAATTGCCATCCAATATTACTGAACTATTGAACCTGGAAGACAAAGACAATAGATTGGGACTTAAAATATGGAGCAAATACTACCATAAGTGATATTTTATTTTGCATTATTCTTTTTGCAAATACTAACAATGGAAAAATCAGGGTCACCAAAATCAGAGCAAACTTGAGATAAGAATTCTGCTGGATGGAATGCTTTTTATGCCTTTTACATAAGTCTAAGACATAGTCCTGCCTCCAGAGATGGCATGTACAACACCCCTGTTCTCTCCCATAACCATGGAAGATATAAAAAATCAAGAAAGTGCTTTTTCTCACTAAGGCCAGACATAGCCTCAGAATCATTTACAACAGAGTTCTCCAAATAGCTGTGATTAATAAATCCACAGTGGTGGTTTTATTACAGAAGGCATGGGTGGGGAGGTAAAGCAGTAGTATCCAAGTTGTTTCTATTTTTATCTCAATAAATGATTCTTTCCAAAGATGTTACAGAGGTTTGGGTTTCCTGTGGTCACACATTTCAATCTACATCTAATTTGTCTTCCTAAGTAATAGAAACTGTAAAGACCAAACTGCATTTTCAGCTAAGTTTCTACCCTGTTTTAGGTTCCATCAAGAGATGGTGGCCTTGCAGGAAGAGATTGGAACTCCTGGCAAACACAGGGTCAGAAGAATTTGTTTCTCCTGAGGCAGCTGGGAGCAAAGTTTGACAGTCCAGTCTCTGGTATCAGAGCTACAAAAGAGCAAAGTATCTGTGGAAGCCAGATTTATTTTTAACAAGTCCCTTATGGTGTTTGGGCAATTTACTGGGCTGAATTATTTCTGAATGGGCAATTCACCTATACCTGGTTTCACTCTTAGATACAGGCAAGAGAGGCTCCTGTTCTGGACCCAACATGTTAGAGGTTTCTCACTGACTTCAGAACCTTTACATGGAGTGAGGAGTATGTGAGACTAAGGGGACATACTTAATTGGAGCTCTAGCCCCAGATGGTGCCCCAGGAAACATGGACCCATATTCTTTACCCAAATGGCCCTGAGCTTGCTTCCAGGGTCTGTGTGGATCTCTTCCCTGGGACCATTTTTCTCAGAGTGTCCCACTCCACCAGTGTGGGCACCTTTAGATCTGACAGTGACCACAGGGCAACTTGTTGCCAGGGGTATAGATAGAGCTTGAACACGTGGGCTATAGTCTGCACACACAGGCACACAAGGTGCTTGCAGCACAGAATGAAGCCAGAGATGGGCAGAGAAGGGCCGGGAACATGGGTTGGGAGCTGAGGCTATGCTTTCCCCAAGGTACTACGCTTGGGTGAGAAACCCAGAGAAGTCTATTGTAAAGTCAATCTGGACTTTCCAGGTAATTTCAGAGGTACATTTCTCAAAGGAGAATAGTAAATATTTTATTTAACGATTTGAAGATTAGATTTAACTTTTAAGTATTTAGACATATGTTATGTGTGTCTCTACTTGTACTTTTATCTCAGGCCCCACAAATTTTACAAGTAAGACTGCTTAGTTCTTTCTCCCTCCTGTAAATTCTGTAAGCTACCTTGTATCCTATAATAAACCCCTTTCTGCCTAAGCTACCTAACATGGATTCTATTTTCTAACATCAAGAATCCTGGCTACTACAGCTCCCTAGATGTTTAGAAGGAGATGCTATTATCCTTTTCTTATACCTAAGTCTATATCAGCTCAAGGAATTGATGTAGACTTCATCAAATCAACTCTTCCAGTATCAACTATAGCTTCTATTTGTTGTGAGTGACTCTTCCCATTCCCAAGGCTCTGTACTGTAGTAGAAAGAGTACTGAAGGTTGAATGAGAGCATGGGTTGGAGACCTAGCTCTAACACTCACCAGTTGTGCCACTTTGAACAAGTCATTTTTGACCTCTCTGAAACTATTTTCTCACCTGATGATTGAATAAGATAATGTGTATACATATTCTTCATTGAAAAGCACTGTGCAAATGTAATATTTCCATTTCTAATGCTGGAACTAAGAAAATAGCTAATAATAGCTGGATTCATAGCTATATTCCCTGTGGTGTGTTCTCAGATACCTTTTCTTTTATTTTCTTCAAAAACTGCTCTAGCTACTTCCCCCTAGATAACCAAATCTACTGTCCTAACTATGACTCCATTAGAAAATATTTCTAGAAAGTCATTCAGATGTTTCCATTCGCCAATTCCATTTTGGCACTGCAAGTTCTAACTCTATATACTACAGAAAACCATTTCTCCCTTGCTTGCTATTTAAAGTCTTCAAGAACTTGTCAAGCATTATTATGTCATACTCACCCTACTCTGGGATTTAATCATATATTTCATCCACTTCAAAACATATTAATTTTCTGGAGTGCCCAATGACATGATCCACAATAGTAGAGATAAGGATTCAAGCATTTAAGTTCCTGTTGGGTTTTCTTGATTTTCTGAATCTTAAGGAATCTTCTACAGTTAGTCCTACAGCAATGCAAGCTTCAAATAGCTTTCACAACACAATGTATTTTCTTTTCATCATATTTTTCGGATTAAGAATCTACTACAATAGCAGTCTATGCTAGCAGGAAGATAAGCTTTCTGTGGCTTATAATCTTGGAAAAGTAAACACTTCAAAAGTCATTTTGATGGCATCTTTCAATTAAATGCCTAAGTATCTATGATGATATCAGCAAGAACTGCATTAGATAATTTCTATTTTCAAAAGATTTGTCTAGTTTCCTATTTTCCTCACCAAATAGTTCTGTGAAGTTCTCAAAAACAAAAAATAAACGACTAAACAAAAAATTGACATTGTAGAACCATTGAAACATGGCATCAAATAGTTGAAACTACATAGAACCTCTGAGAAAATGCTTTAAACTTTGAAACAATTAATATTGCCATAGATGCTGTGGCTGGGAGCTTGGGTGTGTTGGCTCTATTCCTTGCCCCTCTTCAGATTAGGTCTCTATCTATCATAGGCTGGGGGAAGAACGGAGCCCTGCAGTCTATATTTCCCAGCATCCCAGATAAGCTGTCTTCTAATTGAGTTTTAACAGAGGGAGGCACTGGCAGGAGATTGAACAGGTTCGGAAAGAGAAGTTAGGGTATTTCTCTTTCTGCTTGTTTGAATTAAGAAGTACCTTCTCAGAAGTTGCTTCCCCTGTATGTTTCCTGCTCCTTGCTTTCATTGCTTGGCAAGTTTGTCTTAGCTCCAGGTTCCATCAGGTGACCACTGCTCCTGAGCAGTAACACTGCCTACATTTTTTTATCTTTCCAGCATACAACTGTGGTTGCTGCTGTTTAACTTTGGTTTGCCTTAACATTCCCTCTTTGATCCTCACCAACTTCATCACCTGTATAATAATTTCTCTGAATAAAATTCACTGTGTTGAAAAGTCTTAAAGTCATTTCCACTTTCTTGGTTAGACTGATGGATAATATAATGCCTTGGACTTTGAAACAATGCATATAACTATTAGTGCACAAATAGGAATGTTAAGAAACTCTGCACTACATGATACGGAACATAAATTCTAGAAAATCTGCCACAGCAAGAAGACTAGATTAGAGGGACCACGGAAAAGAATAAGAATCCAGAGATTTGACTATCTTTCTTTAAAATTTTTTCTCTCTAGTTGAAACAATGTCTAAGTGAGTAGTGAGTGCACTGATAGTCACTAGCCTATTTTAAATTCTGATATTAGGCCAGTAGGTTTATTGTCTAGTATGAGCCACATTAAGATGTTCATTAGAATAGCTAAGAGACATTGCCTCCTATTCCTTCAATCCATCTGACCAACCCTTTCTCTTCCATGAAAATTACCATTTCTAGAGTCAGAAGAAAAGGGGCAGTACAAATGCTCAGCAATTCATAAGTCATTAGTATTAGAACGTGAGACCCATTTCATCCTTTTATTTCAATAAGAGTGTTTTCTATGTGGAGAAAAAACTGTGCAGATTTGCATATACATTATTTTGTTTTACCTGTAAAAATTATATCTCGCAGGAAACGAATATAAATCTTTTTTTAAGTGGAAATGTGTCTTTCCAAAATCAGTTTATGAAACATCTTAGTCCAAAAGTTTAGTTTGTAAAAAGGAATTTTAAACAAATTTAGGGAAGGAATACTATCATTTTCAGGGAAGCTAAAATTAAATGAGGAGGTAAGAATGGTAATTAAGAGGTAAAGAATAAAAACTACTAAATATCTGTTTTGATGAAATAGATATGATGGCTAACTGAGCCCATATATAAATGGTATTAAATGGGTATAAATGGGTATTCCAGTTTGAGACAAAGATGGAAAACCACTTATTTAGTAGTATTTTTTTGTCTCAAAAGGAAAACATATTTGTTCTAAAAAAACTTTTAATGAATTTTATTGTGTATAGTTGAAGTTTACAAATGATATTATGGGATGTATTACATTTTATGCATATAGATACATAGATATATATAGATAGTATAATGGTTACTATAGTGAAGCCTATTAATATATATATATCATTTCACATAGTTACTATTGTATATGTGACAGGAGCAGTTAAAATTTACTCATTTAACAAGATCTCTAATACCATACAATTTTTTAACTTGAGTCCTCATGTTGTACTTTAGCTCTCCAGACTTGTTCATTCTATGCATCAGCTATTGTATATTCTTGAACTAAATCTCCCCATCTCCTCCCCTCTGACCTCCACCTATGGTACCAATGTTTCATTCTCTGTCCCTGTGCTTCTAAGCTCTCTTTTTAATATATTCCACATATCAGTGAAGTCATGCAATAGTTTTCTTTCTGCGTTTGGTTTATTTTACTTAGTGTAATGTCTTCCAGTTCCAGCCATATTGTGGCAAATGTCAGAATCTCTTTTTAAGGCTGAATAACCTTCCATTATTCCATGTATATTCTGATATTATGGAAAGTGATATATGTATCACCTTAATTATATATCACCATAACAGAAAATGTGAGCTCTCTCTCTCTCTCTCGTTTGGTCTCTTTCTCTCTCTCTCTCTGTCTCTCCTTTATATATATATAACATTTTCATATATTATATATAACATTTTCTTTATCCATTCCTCTGTTCCAGGCATTCATTTCCATATTTTGACCATTGTAAATAATGCTGCAATAATCATGGGCATGCACACATCCTTATGAGGTGGTAATTTCATCTCCTTTGGGTATATACCCAGAAGACAGACTGCTGAGTCATAAGGTAGTTTTATTTTTAATTTCTCTGGAAAACTCCCTACAGTTTTCCATAATGGCTATACCAATCTACATTACTAACAGCAATATACTACAGTTCCCCTTTCTCCATACCCTCATTAACATTTCTTATCCCTAATCTTTTTGATAATAGCCACCCTTACAGGTGTGAGGTGATATCTCATAGTGGTTTTAATCTGCATTTCCCTTGTGATTAGTGCTGCAGAGTATCTTTTCACATACCTGCTGGCCATCTTCACATCTTCTTTAGGGAAATGTCTGTTCAGGTCCTTTGGCCATTTTAAAATCAGGTTGTTTGTTTTCCTGCAATTGAATTGTAAAAGTTCTTTATAAATTTTGGATATTAACCCCTCATCAGATAAGTGGCTTGCAATTATTATTTTCCAGTTCAGAAGGTTTCTTTTTCATTTTGTTGATTGTGGTCTCTGCTGTGCAGATTTTTAGTTTAATGTAGTCCCATTATTTATTTACTTATTTATTTGGTACCTGAGCTTTTAGTGTGATATTAAAGAAAAAATCATTGTCAAGTCCAAGATCAAGGAGCTTTTCTCCTATGTCTTCTAGGAATTTTAGAGCTTCAAGTCTTACATTTATTTAGGTCTTTTATCCATCCATTTTGAGTTGATTTCTGTGTATGATCTAAGGGTTGAATTTCATTCTTTTGCATGTAGAAATACAGTTTTCCCAACATTATTTATTAAAGAGACTATTGTTTCCCCTTCGTGACTTCTTGATGCCCTTGCTGAAAATTAGTTGTCCACATATGTTTGAATTTATTTCTGGGCTTTCTATTCTGTGTTCCCTTGGTCTATATTTCTGTTTTTATGCCAGTACTATGCTATTTTGATTACTATAGCTTTGTAACATGATTTTAAATCAAGATGTGATGCCTCCAACTTTTATTTGTATTTATTTGGCTATTGGCGATTTTTTTGTAGTCCCATATGAATTTTAGAATTTTTTCTTTTTCTGTGAAGAGCACCATTAGAATTTTGATGGCGATTATGTTAAATCTGTATATTGCTTTGGGTAGTATGAATATATTAACAATATTAATTCTTCTTATTCATGAACATTGATATACCTTTCCATTTATTTGTGTTCAATTTCTTTCATTAGTGTTTTATGGTGTTCAGTGTACAAATCTTTCACCTCCTTGGTTAAATTTATTCCTGGCTATTTTTTGAAGCTATTGTAAACGGAATTTAAAATTTTTTCTTTAGCAAGGTTGTTTGTATGTATAGAAATGCTATTTGTATGTTGATTTTGTACCCTGTAACTTTACTAAAATCATTTATTAGTTCTTACAGTTTTTATGTAATCTTTGGGGTTTTCTGCCTATAGAATCATATTATCTGAAAATAAAGACAATTTTACTTCTGCTTTTCCAATTTGCATACCTTTTATTTCTTTTTCTTGTGTAATTTTTCTTGCCAGTATTTCCAGTACTATGTTGAATGGAAGTGGTGAAAGCAGGCATCCCTGTCTTGTATCTGATCTTAGTGGAAAAGCTTTCCATTTTTCCCTGTTGATTATCATGTTAACTGTTAGTTTTTCTTAAATGGGCTTTATTATGTTAGAAATATTCCTTCTATACCTAAACTGTTGAGTTTTCATCAAGAAAGAATGCTGAATGTTGTCAAATATTAATATTTTTTGAGTCAATTGAGATGATCAAGTGTTTATACTTTTTATTCTGTTGGTGTGATGTATCACACTGATTGATTTGCATATGTTAAATCAGTCTTGCAGGCAGGGATAAATCCCACATGGTCATAATGTATAGTCTCTTTGATGTGTTGTTGAATTCAGTTTGCTACTATTTTATTCAGGATTTTTGCATCAATGTTCATTAGAAATATTGGCCACGTGTTTTTCTTTTCTTGCAATGTCTGTCTAGCTTAGGTATCAAGGTGATGCTGGCCTCGTCAAAATGTGTTTAGAAGTATGAGGTATTACTTCTAGCTCTATTTTTTGAAAGAATTTAAAAATTATTGGTAATCATTCTTCTTTGTATGTTTGGCAGTAATCAGTAGTGAATCCATCTGGTCCTGGGCTTTTCTTTGTTGGAAGGTTTTTAGTTATCTCTTCAATCTCTTTATTTGTTATTGATATGTTCAAGCTTTCTATTTCTTCCTGACTGAATCTTGAGAAGTTACATTTTTAAGGAATTTATCCATTGTCTCTGGTTTATCTAATTCATTTGCATAGAGTTTTTCATAATAATCCTTTATGATTCTTTGTATTTCTCATGTATCTTTGTAATGTCTCCATTTTCATTTCTGATTTTATTGAGTGTTCTCTATTTTCCTTAGTCTAGCTAGGGTTTTGTTGATTTTACTTTTTCAAAAAACCAACTCTTGGTTTTGTTAATTTGTTTTCTATTATTTTTCTATTTTCTATTTATTTCTGTTCTGATTTTTATTTCCTTCCTTCTGCTAACTTTGCGGTAAGTCTGTTTTTCTTTTTCTAGCTCCTCTATAATGAAGTGTAACATAAGACAATTTATTTGAGGTATTTTTCTTCTTTTTTAATGTAGGAGTGTATTGCTATAAACTTCCCTCTTAGACTGCTTTTGCTGCATCCCATAGATTTTGATATGTTGTGTTTCCATTGTCATCTGTCTTAAGATACTTTAAAATTTGCCTTTTGGGTCCTGCTTTGATCCATTTGTTGTTCAGGAGCATGTTGCTTAATTTCCACATATTTGTGAATTTTCCATATTTCTCCTGTTATTAATTTCTAGTTCATAACATTGTAATCAGAAACCATATTACATATGATATAAATATTCCTTTTTTTTTTTTTTTTTTTTTTTTGAGACGGAGTCTCGCTCTGTCTCCCAGGCTGGAGTGCAGTGGCATCATCTCGGCTCACTGCAAGCTCTGCCTCCTGGGTTCATGCCATTCTCCTGCCTCAGCCTCCCGAGTAGCTGGGACAACAGGCGCCTGTCACCCCGCCAGGCTAATTTTTTGTATTTTTAGTAGAGACGGGGTTTCACCATGTTAGCCAGGATGGTCTCGATCTCCAGACCTCGTGATCCGCCCACCTCAGCCTCCCTAAGTGCTGGGATTACAGGCGTGAGCCACTGCGCCCAGCCCGATTTAAATATTCTTAAAATAAAAATTGTTTTGTGGCCTAAAACATGATCTATCCTGGAGAATGTTCCATATGTACTAAAAAAGAACGTATATTCTGCTGCTGTTGGATGAAAAATTCTATATGTTTGTTAGGCCCATTTGGCCTAAAGTGTAATTCAAGTCCAGTATTTCCATGTTAATTTTGTGTTATTGTTGAAAGAGGGTGTGGTAAACTTTTCTTTAAAAATACTTAAAAATATAAAGGAAAAACTTAGTTTGCTCAGAGATACATACCTGATCAATTTAAGGTATTTACTTCAAGATTTGATATATATGTACATGTGTGTGTGTGCATGTGTTTGAAAACCATATTTATATTATAAAATTGAAATGACGCTCTCAATATAATGTTGTATATTACATATGTCAGTAAAATATTACATGGGCTTTTTCACATCATTAAGTAGTCTTTGAAAAATGTGATTTTGATAGCTATATGACATTTTACCATATGATCATTTATTTATCCATTCCCCTATTATTACATATTATGTCTTTTCCAATTATTATTAACTATTTTTTTACAATTAATACATTTAAAAACTATTCTTATACATGATTATTTCCTTATAATGATTTCTGAAGTGGAAATGGTGGAGTGAAGGTTGTGAATAGAGTTAACCTGACAGGACATCAAGCCAGTATAACTGAGAGAGAAAAGCTTGAAATAGAAACAGAGGTGGTTTTAGCTAGCACGGTTTTCTTGTTGTTGTTGTTGTTGTTGTTTTTAATGTGATGTAATTATATTTTACATTCTGGGATTCATATGCAGGACGTGCAGGTTTGTTACTTAGGTAAACGTGGGTCATGGTGGTGTGCTGCGCCTATCAACTCATCACCGAAGTATTAAGCCCCGCATGCATTGGCTATTTATCATGATGTTTCCCCCACCCCACCCCCTGAACCAACAGGCCCCAGTGTGTATTGTTCCCTTACCTGTGTCCATGTGTTCTCATAGTTCAGCTCCCACTTATAAGTGAGAAAATGTGGTGTTTGGTGTTCTGTTCCTGAATTAGTTTGCTGAAGATAATGGCTTCCAAGCTCCATCCATGTCCCTGCAAAGGCCACAATCTTGTTCCTTCTTATGGCTGCACAGTATTCCATGGTGTATATGTGCCCCATTTTCTTTATCTAGTCTATCATTTATGGGCATTTGTGTGATTTCATGTCTTTGCTATTGTAAATAGTGCTGCAGTGAACTTATGCATGCATTTATCTTTATAATAGAATGATTTATATTCTTTTGGATATATATCCAGTAATGGGATTGCTGGGTCAGATGATATTTCTGGTTCTCGGTCTTTCAGGAATCAACACACTGTGTTCCACAATGGTAGAACTAATTTACATTCCCACCAACAGCGTAAAAGCATTCCTATTTCTGCACAGCCTCACCAACATCTGTTGTTTCTTTACTTTTTAATAATCGCCATTCTGACTGGCATGGGTATCTCATTGTGGTTTTGATTTGCATTTCTCTAATGATTAGTGATGTTGAGCTTTTACTAATATTCTTTTTGGCCACATAAATGTCTTCTTTTGATAAGTTTCTGTTCATGTCCTTTGCCCGCTTTTTAAAGGGGTTGTTTTTTTTCTTGCAAATTTGTTTAAGCTCCTTCCAGATGCTGGATATTAGACCTTTGTCAGAAGGATAAATTGCAAAAATTTTCTCCCATTCCACAGGTTGTCCATTCACTCTGATGATAGTTTCTTTTGCTGTGCAGAAGCTCTTTGGTTTAATTAGATCCCATTTGTCAGTTTTTGCTTTTGTTGCAAATACTTTTGACGTTTTCATCATATCTGCCCATGCCTATGTCCTGCATGGTATTGCCTAGATTTTCTTCCAGGGTTTTTACAGTTTTGGGTTTTACTTTTAAGTCTTTAATCCATCTTGAGTTATTTTTTGTATAAGGTGTAAGGAAAGAGTCCAGTTTCCCTGATGAACATCAATGCAAAAATCCTCAATATAATACTGGCAAACCGAATCCAGAAGCACATCAAAAGCTTATCGACCACGATTGAGGTGGCTTCATCCCCAGGATGCAAGGCTGGCTCAACATATGCAAGTCAATAAACATAATTCATCACATAAACAGAACTAAAGACAAAAGCCACCTGATTATTTCAATAGACACAGAAAAGGTCTTTGATAAAATTCAACATTCCTTCATGCTAAAAACTCTCAATAAGTTAGGTATTGATGGGACATACCTCAAAATAATAAGAGCCATTTATGACAAACCCGCAGCCAATATCATACTGAATGGGCAAAAGCTGGAACCATCCCCCTTGGAAACTGGCACAAGACAAGTGTGCCCTCTCTCACCACTCCTATTCAGCATAGTATTAGAAATTCTGGCCAGGGCAATCACGCAAGAGAAAGAAATAAAGCATATTCGAACAGGAAGAGATGAAGTCAAACTGTCTCTATTTGCAGATGACATAATCCTATATCTAGAAGATCCCATTGTCTCAGCCCAAAAGCTTCTTTTTATTATTATTATACTTTAAGTTCTAGGGTACATGTGCATAACATGCAGGTTTGTTACATATGTATACTGGATTAAGAAAATGTGGCACATGTACACCAAAAGCTTCTTAAGCTGATAAGCAACTTCAGCAGTCTCAGGATACAAAATCAATGGCAAAAATTACAAGCATTCCTTTACACCAACAATAGGCAAGCAGAGAGCCAAATCAGGAATGAACTCCCATTCACAAATGCTACAAAGAGAATAAAATACCTAGGAATACAGCTAACAAGGGAAATGAATAACCTCTTCAAAAAGAACTACAAACCACTGCTCAAGGAAATAAGAGAGGACAAAAACAAATGGAAAATATTGTGAAAATGGCCATACTGCCCAAAGTAATTTATAGAATCAATGCTATTCCCATTAAACTACCATTGACATTCTTCACAGAATTAGAAAAAAAACTATTTTAAAATTCATATGGACCAAAAAAGAGCCCAGATAGCCAAGACAATCCTGAGCAAAAAGACAACGCTGGAGGCATTGTGCTACCTGACTCCAAACAATACTACAAGTCTATGTTAATTAAAACAGCATGGTACTAGTACAAAAACAGACACAGAGTCCAATGGAACAGAATAGAGATCTCAGAAATAAGACTGCACACCTACAACCATCTGATCTTTCTTCAACAAACCTGACAAAAGCTAGCATGGTTTTCATAATTGAATATGAGAGGTGGGTATGCCAAAGCAATAATCCTTCATAAAATAGTGGCTATGTATTTCCAACAATCATTTGAAATGGGAGCTTAGACTAAAGACTTGTAAATCTACAGCAGAGTTCTACATAGCATGTGCTGCAGATTATTCATCACACGAGATTTTCATAGATGTTAACATTTCAAAAGTGTTCTGAGGTATAGTGATTTTAGAGTCAAACAGAATTTGTTGCTATTACATTTTACTGTAGGTCTTCCCAGAGCCCGTAATGTTCTCACACGCTTTTGAACACACCAAAAGGAGAATATTATATGGAACATTTTCCAGATTTATTTGACCACAAAAACTTCTGTGCACTAAGTAACCTGAGAAAAAAGTTTTCTGTGGAACAGAGGATTGAGCAAAATTACTCTGAATGGAATTGAGAAAAAGTAAATTGTAGTTAAGGCCAAATGGGAAAACCAGGTCAAAATAAGTTAGAATAAGTTTAATGATCATATGGCAAGCACTGCATGTCTTGAAATCTTGCTTTTAATTTGAATTCCTTATTTATCTCTTTAAAAACACTGATTGATCTATATTCCTGTTAGTGCATAGCTCTAAATAAAAGTAATATTTGGCAGACTGTGAACTTAATCTCATCATGACATGCTTTTGAGGAGAGCACATAATATAGTGAAAAAGTCCTAGACCAGGAGTTAGGACAAAGTGGTCAGCTTTGCCATTAGCTAGTTTTGTGAGCTTAGAACAATAGCCCAAGCTCCATAAGCTTTTGTTGGCACGCTGCAGCTGTACAATGAATGTTTGTTCAATGAATGATTTAAACTAGATGTTCAGAAACTTTTAAATCATTCTTATTTGGTATCATTTATGGGCTTGAAGAAGATCTAATCAGTCTTTCTATGATTGGTCTTACAAATATTAAGCTCTGACATAATCATAATCTCTACTTCAGATTCACAGTATTTTTAATAATGATGCTATCAAGAGGAAGATGGGTCATTATTCAACTTCTTATTAACAATACAAAAATAAATGCGCCTCTGTCCTGTCTTTTGCCTGGACAGACATTTGCACTCCAAGGATCAGGGGCCTTGCTCATCTACATTTTCTGCATTATCTTCGCAGTGCGACGTTGGCCTATGGTTTATTTTGTCTTCCACAATATAGATGTTTAACCTGGGGATACTAAGCTTCAAAGGGTCTGTTATAATCTGAATATTTGTGTCCCCTCAAAATGCATATGTTGAAACCTAATCACCAATGTGATGGTGCTAGGAGGTGGGGGCCACTGGGAGATGATTAGGCTATGACAGCTCCACCCTAATGAATGGGATAAATGCCCTTATAAAATTGGCCCCAGAGAGCTGCCTTGCCCCTTCCACCATGTGAGGATACAGCAAGAAGATGCCACCTATAAACCAGGAAGTAAGCCCTAACCAGACAACAAATCTGCTGGATCCTAGATCTTGGATTTCCCAGCCTCTAGAACTGTGAGTAATACATATCTATTATTTATAAGCTATTCAATTTAGGGTATACTTTGTTATAGTAGTAGTAACAATTTATGGTAATTGTTTTGTTATGGTAGACAGAATGAAGTATGGCAGGATCCTTGGACCCCACGGAACTGTGTGTAACAATTTCTTTTTATATGGGCACATTTATTTTTCTGGAGAGAGACTCCATAGCTTTTAATAAACTTCCAAAAGGTATCTTTAATCTCTCAAAATATTAAAAAATATTGCTTATGGGTTTTTTAGTTTTTTCCTGTAGACCTTCTCTATGCTCATGTTTTCTAGGGTTTTTGAGGGAATACATGAAGAACAAAAAAGCCACAAACTAAAGCTTATGTTGAACACAGTGGTCTAAGTTATTGCTACAGTAATTTACCCATCATCAGAATGTATAACAGCAGAAATCACAGGATACAGAAATCAGCATGGTTTTTAAAAAAAGAATAAGAAGCTATTTAGAGTCATTTTTACTCCTCTTTGCTTCCCCAAGCCCCTGCCCATGCATGAGGAAAAAGAAAACTTGCAAGAAAAATGTCCTAATGATATGTTATAAAAACAGCTTTGCCATTATTGGCAAAAAATGACATAAAAACATTAACCCATTTCTTAGTCATGTTCCTGAAGTCCTTAAAGATAAACATTTCTATGAAATTGTCTTGTGTCATGAGAGTATCTATGACATGGTTCATTGTGTGTGGTTTTTTATGGATAAGATTTCTGGGAAAACCTATGCATGGGATAATTGGGCAATATTCCACCTAATACTGACTAATTTTGGTCATATATTGTTTTCTCCTGTATGCTCCTGAGCTCCAAGACCCAAGTTATTAACCCCTATTCTAGATTGAAATCCCAAATATACATACACCTCTGAACATCATTGTGTGATACTGATGATGACAAAATGTGGATGACAATGATAGCTAATACTGATTTAGTATTTAGTATATGCCTCAGAAAGCTTTTGAGGTCATTACTAACAAGTTTACAGACAAGGAAACTAAACTGTAGAAAAGTTAGGTAACTTATCCTGGAGCACAGAGCCAGCAAGAGGCCAAAGCAGGACTCAGACTCAGTCATATTCCAGCACTTATCATGCTATTTGGCCCAGGTCGGTAGTGTCAGACTTGAATTGAATTAAAGAACACCCAAGCTAGTGTCCACTGGAGAATCCACTGGAGAATTGCTTGGTATGTCAGGAAAACCCCCCATACATCTGCTGTCAGAAATGTCAAATGACTGAAAGTAGAGATCTTGCAGTAACATTTAAATTGACTCCTGAACAATGAACAGAAGATGGATGAGCAATGAGCAAGAATGTTCCAGGCAGAAACAATGATTTCTTTTCCTTTGGGTGGATGGGACTGGAGGCCACTCTGTTTCTGAGTGAAATAACTCAGAAACAGAGAGTCAAATATCATGTTTCACTTATAAGTGGGAGCTAAAAAATATGTACATAAAGACATAGAGAGTGGAATGACAAACATTGGAGACTCAGGAGGCTGAGAAGGTGGGAGAGGGTGAGGGATAAGAAATTACTTAATGGGTACAATGTACACTATTTGGCTATGGCTACATTAAAAGCCCAGACGTCATCACTAAGCAATATATTCACGTGACAAAACTGCATCTGTATCCCTTAAGTCTAAAATTAGACTACAAATTGAAATTTTAAAAAGTTAGAAATTTTAAAATTAAAAAAATTAAAATTAAAAAAAGTTAAGTATTTAAATGTGGCTCTGCCTCTGAAAGTGACAGATGCAAGGGTCCAGAAGCAAGAGCCATATTTGGGAAATTCCAAGTGATGAACGTCACTAGATTTCAAGGTGGGAGTGGTAGTGAGAGACAATGAAAAAGTAGTAAGTAGGGTATAGATCCAGAAGGATTTTGGGTGACATTTAAGGATTTAAACTTTATCCTGAAGTCAGAGAATCACTGGAGACTATAAATTGGGTAGGGAGTAGTGATTGGACTTAGCTTGGCTACAGAGCAGAGAAGGAATGAGACAGAACCAAGGCTGAATGATAGCAAGGGGATCAGCTAGGAGACTGTTTCAGCAATCTAGGCTAAGGAAAGTAAAGGCACTGGAGAGTATTTAGGAGGCAGAATCCACAGGTTGGATTGACTTGTTGCCACTGGTGAGGGAAAGGAAGGAGGCAGAATGACATTCCAGTTTCTGGCTTAGTTGGCTATTGTATAATGGTGACATTCCCTAACAGAGACCTAAGTAATAGAAACAACTCTGTTCACAACGTTTTTGACCTATCTAGAATATTTCATAAAGGTTCTAGAAACTACCAAAACACTCTTGGATAGGTTTTAGAAGGCTTCATGCACATGAACTGAATGCTTGCTTTAGGTGAGAGTTTTTATGTTAATTTTACATTCACTGACAAGGAAAAAAATAAGTCACTAAGTACATTTATTAAGGTACACTTTTGTAGCTTAACATTATAATATTTTTCATAGGGACCTTGAATTACAATGAAAGTAAAATAAAGTTGTTGCAGGAGTGACTTCTCTGAGCTATCTTTGAAGTATCTTGCTATCGAAGTAATTTGGCCTCAAGAACTTATGAATTACAAAGGAGTAGTGGTTTTTTTTTAGTCACTCTTAACTAGCCAAATGAGGATTGAGATCTTCATCAAAGCCAAATAAGTGCTTCCCTCTGGAGTTCAGCAAGAGCCAAATGCAGGTCTGCTGTGCACTCTGAAGGCATTCAGTTATTTATCCTTGTGTGTGGGCTAGTATGGGCTTCGCTGGTATTGCTGCTTACAATCCTCATCGAAAAGAAGAAGGATTAAAAAAGTTAAATACATGAGACAGAAATTATTAAAACAATTACTCACTAAAAGCACAGAGATAAAAAGAGTATGGTCAATAAAAGGAGAAAAACATAAATCACACACATATGAGAGAAGACCAGAAAGTTCTCTAAATTTGAAAAAATTAAAATGATGAAACAAATTCTGAGTAATAATTACTAAAAAACAGATTAAGAGATTACTTCTTAATGGAAGTCTATGGGTAAAGTCCCCTCCAAATGATTATCCCAGGCAGGTATTTGTGGACAGTAGCCATAGGCAGCTGATTCTTCCTCCAGGCAAGTCATAATGATTGTAGTGAAGATAATCAATTCCCTAACTTAGGCATTTTATTAAATTGAAACCACAAACATGGCACTCTCACATCCACTGAAATCAGTAGATTTTTGACAAAATTAAAATGACAACATTTGCCACTGGCATGTCATTTACTTTAGGAAGAATTACGCCAAATACAACTCTATCTTTTGCTCTAATGAAAACTTGCTGGCTATTTTTAAAACAGAGATTGGTAATGACTTCTTCTTGACAGCTGTTCACACGCACGAATTTTTGTACACCACATAGACTTAATGTTCTTTGTCCAATGGAAATCTTGTGATTAACAAGATAAATAAGTCACTGCTCTTCAGTGTTTTCAATTCTGTTCAATTCAATGGTGATTGAGGCTGGTTAGGAGAAATTGCTTGTTTTTCCAATTTCGATGTTATGAAAACACATTGTTGTGGTTAGGAAGCATTATGAGACCCATCTAAATTTAGCAAACATTTTCAATCCCTTGACCAAGCCCACCCACAGTAGTGGATGAAACTTTGATTTTATCCACACTCATGTGGGTAATGTAAACCCCTCAGGTTCTGTATAGACCACTGAGCAAGAAAGCTGAATGCAGAAATGTCAGGAAAATATGTAACCTTTGGACCTCAAGAGGGGTGAGGGATGGGGGGAACTCAGACTCCACTGACAAATTCAAGTTGGTTTTAAACTGTTTCTCAATTTATCCACATCAGATCTCCTTTGTTTGCTCAGAAAGCAGCTGGAAGAGTGACTAATTAGGGGAAGCCAGCTTGATGTTTATCTGAGGTGCTGGACTCAGCAATCCCTATGGTTCACATCTGAGTGGGAGGTCAGTCCAAGGTGTCATATCTCCCCTCCATGTTAATAACTTTGAGTGCAGTCATGCTTTCTTAAAGGCTTAACAAATGTGTAAGCTTAAAGCGAAGCTTGCGTCACTGAAGTCAAATGAAGCTGCTTTGTATGGTATATGACTGCCACAGTGAAAAAAAAAAGAGAAAATTTGCTTTATAAAATGCTACACATAGTAGATGATCAATAAATGATGGCTGAATAAATTGTAACCATTTAAACAAAAGGCCAAATCTATGATCCCAAATCAAATCTGTATGGCAAGATTTCTCTTTCTTTACTGCTTAAGTACGGTGGAAGAATGTGAGGACGGGGAGAAGAAAAGGGTGATCTAAGATGAGGCAAATCCAGCTAATTGCAAGAATTTCTTTAAAGTCTTATTATCTTAAAAGTTCATACAAATATTACATGCTACGTTGTGGTATATAAACATTTATTTATGGCTTCAGGTACTCCCTTGCTAAATACTTTGAGAAGCATGACAATCTGTCATTCTCCCTGATTATGTTAACCCAAGAAAAGTTTAGAAAAGGACTTTGGGAATGACTAAATACCTAACCTGAATTTATACATCCCAATATTTGTGCAAATTATACATAAAGATTTTTTAAAATTTTATTTTTGGCATTTCATTATCAATAAGGAAATGCATTTTGATAGTAGATTAGAAAGATTTTATATCTTAATATGTGGAATTGTATATTAAGGGAGAAAGGCATGTAACGAATGAATGTGTATCAACCACTTATGTGTGCATAAGGTGTGTATATGTCACTACTATACTGTAGAATTAGAGGTTATAAAAATTAGCTAATATTCTAATATATGTGCTATGAAGATAAATGATTGTTTAAAAATCCTCTTGAAAATTAGACACATTGCTTTATGATCACACCTTATGCAAATATGAGTGTGTCTTATATAGAAGTTTTCTGCAAAGGATGAAAGGAGAGTTTCATTTTCCCTAATAGTAGCCGCAGGTAAAAGAGAATGAAATTCCCTTAGTCTTGATGCATGAAAAATAATTCTAGGGCTTTTATGGTTTTAGGTCTTACATTTAAGCCTTTAATCCATCTTGAGTTAATTTTTGTGTAAGGTGTAAGGAAGGGGTCCAGTTTCAGTTTTCTGCAAATGGCTGGCCAGTTTTCCCAACACCATTTATTAAATAGGGAATCACTTACCCATTGCTTGTTTTTGTCAGGTTTGTCAAAGATCAGATGGTTGTAGATGTGCTACGTTATTTCTGAGGCCTCTGTTCTGTTTCATTGGTCTATATCTCTGTTTTGGTACCAGTATTATGCTGTTTTGGTTACTGTAGCCTTGTAGGATAGTTTGAAGTCAGGTAGTGTGATGCCTTCAGCTTTGTTCTTTTTGCTTAGTATGGTCTTGGCTATATGGGCCCTTTTTTGGTTCCATATGAAATTTAAAGTAGCTTTTTCTAATTCTGTGAAGAAAGTCAATGGTAGCTTGAGGGGAATAGCACTGAATCTATAAATTACTTGGGCAGTATGTCCATTTTCACAATATTGATTCTTTCTATACATGAGCATGGAATGTTTTTCCATTTGTTTGTGTCCTCCATAAAAACCCTAGAAGAAAACAGAGGCAGTACCATTCAGGACACAGGCATGGGCAAAGACTTCATGACTAAAACACCAAAAGCAATGGCAACAAAAGCCAAAAGTGACAATGGGAGCTAATTAAACTAAACAGCTTCTGACAGCAAAAGAAACTATCATCAGAGTGAATAGGCAACCTACAGAATGTGAGAAAATTTTTGCAATCTATCCATCTGACAAGGGGCTAATATCCAGAATCTACAAAGAACTTAAACAAATTTTCAAGAAAAAACAACCCCATCAAAAAGTGGGCAAAGGATATGAACAGACACTTCTCAAAAGAAGACATCTATGCGGCCAGCATACATATGAAAAAAAGCTCATCATCACTGGTCATTAGAGAAATGTAAATCAAAACCACAGTGAGATATCATCTCATGCCAGCTAGAATGGTGATCATTAAAAAAGTCAGGAAACAACAGATGCTGAAGAGGATGTGGAGAAATAGGAACTTTTTATGGTTTATCAATTTTTGTTTATTATTTTAAAAACCAAATTTTTGTTTCATTTATCCTTTTTTGAATTTTTTTATTTTTCTAATATACTTTAAGTTCTGGGGTACATGTGCACAACGTGCAGGTTTGTTACATATGTACACATGTGCCATGTTGGTGTGATGCACAATTAGGTATATCTCCTAATGCTATCCTTCCCACCTCCCCCCACCCCACAACAGGCCCTGGTGTGTGATATTCCCCTTCCTGGTCCAAGTGTTCTCACTGTTCAATTCCCATCTATGAGTGAGAACATGCGGTGTTTTGGTTTTTTGTCCTTGTGATAGTTTGCTGAGAATGATGGTTTCAAGTTTCATCCATGTCCCCACAAAGGACATGAACTCATCATTTTTATGGCTGCATAGTATTCCATGGTGTATATGTGCCACATTTTCTTAATCCAGTCTATCATTGATGGACATCTGGGTTAGTTCCAAGTAATTGCTATTGTGAATAGTGCCACAATAAACATACATGTGCATGTGTCTTTATAGCAGCATGATTTACAATACTTTGGGTATATACTCAGTAATAGGATGGCTGGGTCAAATGGTATTTCTAGTTCTAGATCCCTGAGGAATCGCCACACTGACTTCCACAATGGTTGAACTAGTTTACAGTCCCACCAACAGTGTAAAAGTGTTCCTATTTCTCCACATCCTCTCCAGCACCTGTTGTTTCCTGACTTTTTAATGATCGCCATTCTAACTGGTGTGAGATGGTATCTCATTGTGGTTTTGATTTGCATTTCTCTGATGGCCAGTGATGATGAGCATTTTTTCATGTGTCTTTTGGCTGCATAAATATCTTCTTTTGAGAAGTATCTGTTCATATCTTTCACCCACTTGATGGGGCTGTTTGTTTTTTTCTTGTAAATTTGTTGGAGTTCATTGTAGATTCTGGATATTAGCCCTTTGTCAGATGAGTAGATTGCAAAAATTTTCTCCCATTCTGTAGGTTGCCTGTTCACTCTGATGGTAGTTTCTTTTGCTGTGCAGAAGCTCTTTAGTTCAATTAGATCCCATTTGTCAATTTTGGCTTTTGTTGCCATTGCTTTTGGTGTTTTAGACATGAAGTCCTTGCCCATGCCTATGTCCTGAATGGTATTGCCTAGGTTTTCTTCTAGGGTTTTTATGGTTTTAGGTCTAACATTTAAGTCTTTAATCCATCTTGAATTAATTTTTGTATAAAGTGTAAGGAAGGGATCCAGTTTCAGCTTTCTACATATGGCTAGCCAGTTTTCCCAACACCATTTATTAAATAGGGAATCCTTTCCCCATTGTTTGTTTTTCTCAGGTTTGTCAAAGATCAGATGGTTGTACATGTGTGGTATTATTTCTGAGGGCTCTGTTCTGTTCCATTGGTCTATTTCTCTGTTGTTGTACCAGTACCATGCTGTTTTGGTTACTGTAGCCTTGTAGTATAGTTTGAAGTCAGGTAGCAGGATGCCTCCAGCTTTCTTCTTTTGCCTTAGGATTGTCTTGGCAATGAGGGCTCTTTTTTGATTCCATATGAACTTTAAAGTAGTTTTTTCCAATTCTGTGAAGAAAGTCATTGGTAGCTTGATGGGGATGGCATTGAATCTATAAATTACCTTGGGCAGTATGGCCATTTTCATGATATTGATTCTTCCTATCCATGAGCATGGAATATTCTTCCATTTTTTTGTGTCCTCTTTTATTTCATTGAGCAGTGGTTTGTAGTTCTCCTTGAAGAGGTCCTTCACGTCCCTTGTCAGTTGGATTCCTAGGTATTTTATTCTCTTTGAAGCAATTGTGAATGGGAGTTCACTCATGATTTGGCTCTCTGTCTGTTATTGGTATATAAGAATGCTTGTGATTTTTGCACATTGATTTTGTATCCTGAGACTTTGCTGAAGTTGCCTATCAGCTTAAGGAGATTTTGGGCTGAGACAATGGGGTTTTCTAAATATACAATTATGTCATCTGCAAACATGGACAATTTGACTTCCTCTTTTCCTAATTGAATACGCTTTATTTCTTTCTCCTGCCTGATTGCCCTGGTCAGAACTTCCAACACTACGTTGAATAGGAGTGGTGAGAGAGGGCATCCCTGTCTTGTGCCAGTTTGCAAAGGGAATGCTTCCAGTTTTTGCCCATTCAGTGTATTGGCTGTGGGTTTGTCATAAACAGCTCTTATTATTTTGAGATACGTCCCATCAATACCTAATTTATTGAGAGTTTTTAGCATGAAGGACTGTTGAATTTTGTCAAAGGCCTTTTCTGCGTCTATTGAGACAACCATGTGGTTTTTGTCTTTGGTTCTGTCTATGTGCTGGATTATGTTTATTGATTTGTGTATGTTGAACCAGCCTTGCATCCCAGGGATGAAGCCCACTTGATCATGGTGGATAAGCTTTTTGATGTGCTGCTGGATTCGGTTTGCCAGTATGTTATTGAGGATTTTTGCATCGATGTTCATCAGGGATATTGGTCTAAAATTCTCTTTTTTTGTTGTGTCTCTGCCCGGCTTTGGTATCAGGATGATGCTGGCCTCATAAAATGAGTTACGGAGGATTCTCTCGTTTTGTATTGATTGGAATAGTTTCAGAAGGAATGGTACCAGCTCCTCTTTGTACCTCTGGTAGAATTAGGCTGTGAATCCTTCTGGTCCTGGACTTTTTTCAGTTGGTAGGCTATTGCCTCTATTTCAGCCTGCTATTGGTCTGTTCAGGGATTCAACTTCTTCCTGGTTTAGTCTTGGGAGGGTGTATGTGTCCAGGAATTTAACCATTTCTTCTAGATTTTCTAGTTTATTTGTGTAGAGGTGTTTACAGTAATCCTGAAATAGGTGGGGTGAGGAACCTGGGCAATGCCCTACAATGTCCACCAAAATAATCTCTGTTCAGTCTCCAAGGATTATACAGGAACTCATTTACCATCCCTCAGAAAGTAGACACAGTATTAATTATCTTGCCATCCCTATTCCTTAACACAGTGCCTGACTCCAAGGAGGTGCTCAAGAAAATTTTGCTGACTGGCACACCTCTGAATATCAGAATCTAGTCTCTTATGCTGCACCTAACACTAAACACAAAAGACAAAAAATCCTGAGTCCCCAAATTCTGAAAGCAGAATCATGTCCCTTCTGAAGCAAAAGGGAATTGTGGGCAAACGATAATTGTCAAGTGAGGGCAGAGAATTTTTCAAATACAATAAGCTTGTGGAAGAAACTCTCCAAAAATTGATTTCATTAATTTTTATTGTAATTATGGCTGATTACTTACGATCAGCTCATCATTACTGCAGATTTCAAAAACGGTTGTGTATAGTAGGGAGAAATCAGCCATTGTGGCATCTTAAATATGATTGTTTTGAATGAATGGTTTGATTCATTATGCTTATACTTAATAAGTATCTATTATGTATCAGACATCATGGTGTATAAATAAAGGTAAGTAACACATGACTGTTTCATAGTCCAGGAGAGAGATCAGCACAAACTAACAATTACAGAAAAGGAATTATAGCAAAGGTAAGGATTTTGTTGGAAAAGTCATAGAAGCCACTTCCAGTAGACAGCAGCAATAATGTCTTTAAAAAGATGAAGAATCATTAGTATCTTTATGTGTACAACTCTTTTTCAGTGGAGAATCTTGTCATAAGATAAATCTAATATCTTCAGTGCATGTGGACCTCCCAGCAGAGGAAGATTTGAACTGAAAATGTCCGTGAAACATTTTAAGAATTTTTTAGTATTGAGAACTTTCATTCTCTGCCACCTCCAAGACCACACTCCTTTTTATAACTTCCACCCCCCTCCTTGTGAGCCAGAGTGTGTGAGTGAAATAACAAAAAGAGGGCAGAAAAGAAAATTAGGCCCAAATATGACTGAATATGACCATTAGAGCTGTGCAAATTGAATGATGCCAAAGTTCACTCACATCCCTCAGCATTTGTGTTGTGAATGAAAGCTTTTCTAACTCTTCCTGCTCCTTCTTAACTTCCCTTATGGAGATATTTTTCTTTGTTAACCATCTGTTAATTAACAGAAATGGAACTCTTATATGTCATAGAGCCTGTGATAATGAAATATAATTGCTCAAGATTGTTCCTTCCTTCCCTTACTGCCTTCTCTTCTCCCCTCTCTCTCTGCTCTGCCACTTCTTTCATTAATCTTTGGACAAAACATGACGCACAAAAATAATAAGGCACCAACCCTACTTACAAGGTGCTCAGCCTAATGGAAAAGTCAGACACATAAAAAGGTAATTATAGCAGACTGTATACATTTAAAACTACACATACACAAACACACACATACACACACATACATATTTTTTAAAAATCAGGAGTATGGATGGAGGAGAAGCAGTTGCTCAATTTGGGAGATAATTTAAAGGAAGGCTTCCTAGAGGCATAACACCTAAGTTCTAAAGAATAATGTGGTTGTAGCCAACCTTCAAGATGACTTCCAATGGTCTTCATCTTCTGGTGTTCACATCCGTATATAGTCTCTTCCTACAGTGAACCAGGGCATACCTAAGTGACCAAAAGAGTACTGAAGAAGTAATGGTGTGTAATTTCCAAGGGTAGATCATAAAAGGCATTATGGCTTCTGCCTTGGTCTCTGATATCACTTGTTCTGAGAGAAGGCAGTCTCCATGCTATGAAAACTCTCGAGTAACCCTGTGTGTAGGCCCAGGTAGAGAGGCTGTCTGCCAACAGCCAGCCCCCGTTTGCCAGCCACGGGTCATTTTATCATTTTGAAGCTAGATCGTCCAGCCAGCTGTCTTCAAATAGCTCCAGCTGGCATCTAACATCAACACCAAGCCAGAAATGCCTAACTAAGCCACTTCAAAATTCCTGACCCATAGACACCGTGAACAATAATAAATGATTATCATTTCTTTAAACCACTAAATTTGGGGTAATTTGTTATTCAGGATTTCCATTTTTAAAGACTAAATATTTCATTGTATGTATATACCACATTTTCTTTATCCATTCATTTATAAATGGACATTTACGCTACTTCCACCTCTTGAAACTTTTTTGAATAATGCTGCAATGAGCAAGAGTGTGTAAATACCTCTTTAAAATACTGTTTTCAATTCCCTTAAATGTATATTCAAAAGTAAGATTGAAGGATCATATGGCAATTTTATTTTTAATTTTTTTGAGAAACTTCCAGGCTGTTTTCCATAATGGCTGCACCATTTTACATTCCCACAAAAAGTGCACAGGCATTCCAATTTCTCCACATCCTTGCCAATAGCACTGGTTATGTTCTGTTTTGCTTTTTTTTCTTTTTTTTCCCCGTTGTCATTCTAATGATTGTGAGGTGATATCTTATCATTATTTTGATTTGTATCACCCTAATGATCAGTGATGTTCAACATCTTTTCATAAGCCTGTTAGCCATTTGTATATCTTCTTTGGAGAAATGTCTATTCAAGGACTTTCCCCAGTTTTTAATTGGTTATTTGTTTTTTTGTTTTTGTTCAGTTGTAGATCTTTATATATTCTGGATATTGACCCCTTTTCAAACAATGTGGTTTGCAAATATTTTCTTCCATTACATAGTTTGCCTTTTCACTCTGTTGTTTCCTGTGATGTGCAAAACTTTTTAAGTTTGATATAGTACCATTTGTCTGCTTTTGCTTTTTTTGCTTTTACTTTTGTTATTATATCCAATAAATCACTGCAAAATCCAATATCATGAAGCTTTCCCCTATATTTTCTTCTGGCATAGTTTCACATCTTACGTCAAATCATTAATCTGTTTCCTATATCATTTGTTGAAGAGACTATCTTTTCCACATTATATAACCTTGGCACCCTTGTTTAAGATCATTTGACCATATACCAAAGGGTCTATTTCTGGGCTTTCTATTCTGTTCCATGAGTCTATATGTCTGTCCTTATACCAATTCTACACTGTTTTAATTACTTTAGCCTTATAACTTGTTTTGAAATCAGGAGTTTGAGGCATCCAGCTTTTTCTTTCTCATAATTGCTTTGGCTTTTCAGGGTATTTCTGATTCCATATGAATTTTATAATTTTTTATTTCTTTGAAAAGTGTCATTGTTTTTCATATGTCTTTTGGCTGCATAAATGTCTTCTTTTGAGAAGTGTCTGTTCATATCCTTTGCCCACTTTTTGATGGGGTTGTTTGTTTTTTCTTGTAAATTTGTTTGAGTTCATAGTAGATTCTGGATATTAGCCCTTTGTCTGAAGAGTAGATTGCAAAAATTTTCTCTCATTCTGTAGGTTGCCTGTTCACTCTGATGGTAGTTTCTTTTGCTGTGCAGAAGCTCTTTAGTTTAATTAGATCCCATTTGTCAATTTTGGCTTTTGTTGCCATGCTTTTGGTATTTTAGACATGAAGTCCTTACCCATGTCTATGTCCTGAATGGTATTGCGTAGGTTTTCTTCTAGGGTTTTTATGGTTTCAGGTCTAACATTTAAGTCTTTAACCCATCTTGAATTAATTTTTGTGTAAGGTGAAAGGAAGGGATCCAGTTTCAGCTTTCTACATATGGCTAGCCAGTTTTCCCAGCACCATTTATTAAATAGGGAATCCTTTCCCCATTTCTTGTTTTTGTCAGGTTTGCCAAAGATCAGATAGTTGTAGATAAGCGGTGTTATTTCCGAGGGCTCTGTTCTGTTCCATTGGTCTATATCTCTGTTTTGGTACCAGTACCATGCTGTTTTGGTTACTGTAGCCTTGTAGTACAATTTGAAGTCAGGTAGCGTGATGCCTCCAGCTTTGTTCTTTTGGCTTAGGATTGACTTGGCAATGTAGGCTCATGATTATCTCAATAGATGCAGAAAAGGTCTTTGACAAAATTCCACAATGCTTCATGCTAAAAACTCTCAATAAAATAGGTATTGATGGGACGTATCTCAAAATAATAAGAGCTATCTATGACAAACCCACAGCCAATATCATACTGAATGGGCAAAAACTGGAAGCATTCCCTTTGAAAACTGGCACAAGACACGGATGCCCTCTCTCACCACTCCTACTCAATATAGTGTGGGAAGTTCTGGCCAGGGCAATTAGGCAGGAGAAGGAAATAAAGGGTATTCAATTAGGAAAAGAGGAAGTCAAATTGTCCCTGTTTGCAGATGACATGATTGTATATCTAGAAAACCCCATTGTCTCAGCCCAAAATCTCCTTAAGCTGATAAGCAACTTCAGCAAAGTCTCAGGATACAAAATCAATGTACAAAAATCACAAGCATTCTTATACACCAATAACAGACAAACAGCGAGGCAAATCATGAGTGAACTCCCATTCACAATTGCTTCAAAGAGAATAAAATACTTAGGAATCCAACTTACAAGGGACGTGAAGGACCTCTTCAAGGGGAACTACAAACCACTGCTCAATGAAATAAAACAGGATACAAACAAATGGAAGAACATTACATGCTTATGGGTAGGAAGAATCAATATCATGAAAATGGCTATACTGCCCAAGGTAATTTATAGATTCAATGCCATCCCCATCAAGCTACCAATGCCTTTCTTCACACAATTGGAAAAAACTACTTTAAAGTGCATATGGAACCAAAAAAGAGTCCGCATTGCCAAGTCAATCCTAAGCCACAAGAACAAAGCTGGAGGCATCATGCTACCTGACTTCAAACTATACTACAAGGCTACAGTAACCAAAACAGCCTGGTACTAGTACCAAAACAGAGATATAGATCAATGGAACAGAACAGAGCCCTCAGAAATAACACTACATATCTACAACTATCTGATCTTTGACAAACCTGAGAAAAACAAGCAATGGGGAAAGGATTCCCTATTTAATAAATGGTGCTGCGAAAACTGGCTAGCCATATGTAGAAAGCTGAAACTGGATCCCTTCCTTACACCTTATACAAAAATTAATTCAAGATGGATTAAAGACTTAAATATTAGACCTAAAACCATAAAAACCCTAGAAGAAAACCTAGGCATTACCATTCAGGACATAGGCATGGGCAAGGACTTCATGTCTAAAACACCAAAAGCAATGGCAACAAAAGCCAAAATTGACAAATGGGATCTAATTAAACTAAAGAGCTTCTGCACAGCAAAAGAAACTACCATCAGAGTGAACAGGCAACCTACAGAATGGCAGAAAATTTTCACAACCTACTCATCTGACAAAGGGCTAATATCCAGAATCTACAATGAACTCAAACAAATTTACAAGAAAAAAACAACCCCATCAAAAAGTGGGCAAAGGATATGAACAGACACTTCTCAAAAGAAGACATTTATGCAGCCAAAAGACACATGAAAAAATGCTCGTCATCACTGGCCATCAGAGAAATGCAAATCAAAACCACAATGAGATACCATCTCATACCAGTTAGAATGGCAATCATTAAAAAGTCAGGAAACAACAGGTGCTGGAGAGGATGTGGAGAAATAGGAACACTTTTACACTGTTGGTGGGACTGTAAACTAGTTCAACCATTGTGGAAGACAGTGTGGCGATTCCTCAGGGATCTAGAACTAGAAATACCATTTGACCCAGCCATCCCATTACTGGGTATATACCCAAAGGACTATAAATCATGCTGCTATAAAGACACATGCACACGTATGTTTATTGTGGCACTATTCACAATAGCAAAGACCTGGAACCAACCCAAATGCCCAACAATGATAGACTGGATTAAGAAAATGTGGCACATATACAACATGGAATGCTATGCAGCCATTAAAAATGATGAGTTCATGTCCTTTGTAGGGACATGGATGAAATTGGAAATCATCATTCTCAGTAAACTATCGCAAGGACAAAAAATCAAACACCGCATGTTCTCACTCATAGATGAGAATTGAACAATGAGAACACATGGACACAGGAAGGGGAACATCACACTCTGGGGATTGTTGTGGGGTGGGGGGAGGGGGGAGGGACAGCATTAGGAGATTTACCTAATGCTAAATGACGAGTTAATGGGTGCAGCACACCAGCATGGCACATGTATACATATGTAACTAACCTGCACATTGTGCACATGTACCGTAAAACTTAAAGTATAATAAAAAAAAAGAACTAGAAATACTATTTCACCCAGCCATCCCATTATTGGGTATATACCCAAAGGATTATAAATCATGCTGCTATAAAGACACATGCACACGTATGTTTATTGAGGCACTATTCACAATAGCAAAGACTTGGAACCAACCCACATATCCTACAACGATAGACTGGATTAAGAAAATGTGGCACGTATACCCCATGGAATACTATGTAGCCATAAAAAAGGATGAGTTCATGTCCTTTGTAGGGACATGGATGAAGCTGGAAACCATCATTCTCAGCAAACTATCACAAGGACAAAAAACCGAACACTGCATGTTCTCACTCATAGGTGGGAATTGAACAATGAGAACACATGGACACAGGAAGGGGAACATCACACACCGGGGCCTGTTGTGGGGTGGGTGTAGGGGGGAGGGATAGCATTAGGAGATATACCTAATGTTAAACGACGAGTTAATGGGTGCAGCACACCAACATGGCATATGTATACATATGTAACAAACCTGCACGTTGTGCATATGTCCCCTAAAAGTTAAAGTATAATAAAAAAAAAGAAAAGTGTCATTGTGATTTTGATGGAGATTGCATTGAGTCTGTAGAATACTTAAGTATGTATGGACATTTTAACAATATTGTCTTGTAATCCATGAACACAGAATGTCTTTACATTTATTTGTTTCTTTTAGTATTGCTTTCAGCAACGTTTTGTAGTTTTCAGTGTAAAGTATTTTTCTTCCTTGGTTAAATTTATTCCTAACTGTTTTATTCTTTTGTTGGTATTATAAATAGGATTATTTTCTTAATTTCCTTTTTGCCTTGTTCTGTGTATAGAAATGCAATTGATTTTTTTGTGTTGATTCTATATCATGCAACTTTCTTGAATCCATTGATTAGTTCTAACAGGATTTTCTTGTGTGGAATCTTTATTGTTTTCTACATATAAGATTATATCATTTGTAAATAGTGATAATTTCACTTGTTTTTTCTACTTGTATAAGTTTTATTTCTTTTTCTTGGTTAACTGCTCTGGCTAAGACTTCCAGCACTATATTGAATAGAAGCAGTGAGAGTGAGAATCTTTGCCTTATACCTGATCTTAGAGAAAAAGATCACTAGAGGAAAAGATGTTAGTTTTTCACCACTATTATGTTAGTTATGAGTTGTTTATATATGGCATTTATTATGTTGAGGTAATTTATTCCTATTTCTAGTTTGTTTAGTATTTTTATCACAAAAGTGTGTTGAGTTTTCTCAAATACTTTTTCTGCATTAATTGAGATGATCATGTAAATTTTGTCCTTCATTCTGTTAATGCAGTATGTTACACTGAATTGACTTTCATTTGCTGAACCATATTTGCATTGCAGGACTCAATCCCACTTGGTTATGGGATATTTGCATTGCAGGACTAAATCCTTTTAAAGTATTTGCTAGTATTTTGTTAAGGAAATTTGTCCCAATATTCCTCATGGTTATTGGTATGTAGTTTTCTTTTCTTACAGCATCTTTGTCTGATTCTGGTATCAGAGTAATGCTGGCATCAAAAAAATGAGTTTGAAAGCATTCCTTCCTCTTCAGTTTTTTGAAAGAGTTTCAGAAACACTGGTGTTAATTTTTCTTTAAATGTTTTCCAGAAGTCTCCAGTAAAGCCATCTTGTCCTGGGCTTTTCTTTGCTGGGAGGTTTTTAATTACCGATTTAATCTCCCTACTAGTTATAGGTCTGTTCAGGCTTTTTATTTTTTTATAATTCGGTTTTGGTAGTTTGCATGGTTCTGTAAATATATCCATTTCTTCTAGGTTATCCAGTTTTTAATGTACAATTATTCATACTATTATATCATGATCTTTTATTTTAATTTCTGTGGCATTAGTTGTAATATCTCCTTTTTCATTTCTGGTGTTTGTTATTTGATCATCTTTTGTCTAGCTAAGAGTTTGTCAATTTTGTTGCTCTTTTCAACAAAACAGCACTCAGTTTCATTGATTTTTATCTCTTGTTTTTATATTGTCTATTTTATTTATTTCTACTCTAATATTTATTAGCTCATTTCTTCTGCTAACTTTGGGTTTATTTTGTTCTTTTTCTATTTCTCTGAGGCATAAAATTAAGTTGTTGATTTAAGATCCTTCTCCTTTTAACGTAAGTGTTTATGACTATAGCCTTCCAGAGCCCTTAGTACTGCATTTGCTGGATCCTATAAGTTTTAGTATGCTATGTTTTAATTTTCATTTTTCTCAAGATATTTTTGAATTCCCTTGTTATATGTTCTTTGACCCAATGATTCTTCAATAGTGTTCTTAATTTTCACATACTTGTAAATTTCATGGTTTTCTTCTGCTATTAATTTTTAGTGTTATTTCATTATAGTTGGAAAAGATATTTGGCATGAGTTCAATCTTGTTAAATTTGTTAAGACTGATCTTGTGATCTAACACGGAATCTATTTTGGAGAATGTTCTGTGTGTATTAAAGAATGTACAATGTGTTGCTATTGGGTACAGTGTTATATATGTGTCTGTTAGGTGCAATTGGTCTATAATGTTGTCCACATCCTCTATTTCCTTATTAAGCATCTGGTTGTTCTATCTACTACTGAAAGTAGAGTATCCTAATATTAACGTGTTATCATTTATTTCTCCTTTCAATTCTGTCAATATTTGCTCATATATTTGGGTGCTCCAATGACAGACATGTTTGTATTATTGTTATATCTTCTTGGTGAATTGATTTTTATATCATTATATAATGTTTTTCTTTGTCTCATGCAACAATTTTTAACTTAAAGTCTATTTTTTTTCTGATGTAAGTATGATCAACCCTGTTCTCTTTTAATTACCATTGTCATGGAATATCATTTTTCATCCTTTTGCTGATGTTTATAGTGAATCTCTTGTAGACAGCTTATAGTCGGATTTTGTTTTTGTTTTTATCCATTCAGCCTGGGGCATTTAATTTATTTACATTTAAAGTAATTACTGATAGGGAAAGATTTAAAACTGCCATTTTAAACTGTTTTTTTTATAACTTGTTATTTTGTCATTCTTTACTCTCTTACTGCCTTTCTTTGTGTTTTGTTGATTTTTTGTAGTGACATGCTTGATTTCTTTCTCGTTTTCTGTGTATATCTTCTATAGGTATTTATTTTGTGGTCACCATGGAGATTACATAAAACATTTCATAGTTATAATCATCTATTTAGAACTGGTAACAACTTCAATCAGATACAAAAACTCTAGTCATTTATTTCCCCCATACTTTGTTTGTTATATGTATTTTGTATCCATTAACATAATTTTACAATTACAGCTATTTGTTATGCTTTTATCTTTTAAATTGTATGCACAAATCAAAAGTGATTTATGAGACTTCTGGTTCCAAAATGGCAGCATAGAAGTACTGGCCTCATTCCCTATCCCCTCACACACACACACAGAAAATTAAAAACAAACATGTAATGCAAAGATTATCATCAGCTAGAATGAATATTGTTAAAATGGCCATACTGCCTGAACAAATTTACAGATGCTATTTCTACCAAACTACCAGTAACATTCTTTGCAGAATTAGAAACAACTATTTTAAAATTCACATGGAACCTTTTTACAAAAGGTCCAAATAGCCAAGACAATCCTAAGCAAAAAGAACAAAGCTGGAAGCATCATGTTACCCAACTTGAAACTATACTACAAGGCTATAGTAACCAAAACAGCATGGTACTAGTACAAAAACAAACACATAGGCCAATGGAACAAAATAAAGAGCACAGAAATAAGGTTGCATATCTGCAACCATCTAATCTTTGACAAAGCTGAAAAAAACAAGCAGTGGAAAAAAGACTCCTTATTCAACAAATTGTGCTGGGATAACTAGCTAGCCATATGCAGAAGGTTGAAACTGGATCCCTTCTTACACCATATACAAAAACCAACTCAAGATGCATTAAGGACTTAAATGTAAAACCCAAAAGAATACAACCCTGGAAGACAATCTAGGTAATACTATTCAGAACACAGGAATGAGCAAAGATTTCATAACAAAGATGTCAAACGCAATTGCAACAAAAGCAAAAATTGACAAATGGCTTCTAATTAAACTAAAGAGCTTCTGCACAGCAAAGGAAACTATCAACAGAGTAAACAGACAACCTACATAATGGAAGAAAATATTTGCAAACTATAAACTTGACAAAAGTCTAATATTAAGCTTCTTTAAGGAACTTAAATAAATGTACAAGAAACCATCAAACAATCCCATTAAAAAGTGAACAAAGGACATGAATTGATACTTTTCAAAAGAAGACATATATGTGGCCAGAAAGCATGGGAAAAAGAGCTCAACATTACCAATCATTAGAGAAATGCAAATCTAAACCACAATGACATAACATCTCTCACCCATCAAAATGGCAAGTATTAAAAAATAAAAAAATAACAGATGCTGGCAAGGTTAGGAAGAAAAAGGAGTGCTTATACACTGTTGGTGGGAGTGTAAATTAGTTCAAACATTGTGGAAATCAGTGTGGCAACTCCTCAAAGACCTAAAAACAGAACTACCAGTCGATCCAGCAATCCCATTACTGAGTATATACCAAAGGAATGTAAATCATTCTATCATAAAGACACATGTGGCTGGGTGTGGTGGCTCATGCCTGTAACCACAGCACGTTGGGAGGCCAAGGCAAGTGCATCATCTGAGGTCAGGAGTTTGAGACTAGCCTGGCCAACATGGTGAAACCACATCTCTACTAAAAATAAAAAAAATTAGCCGGGTATGATGACGCATGTCTGTAATCCCAGCTACTTGGGAGGCTGAAGCATGAGAATCGCTTGAACCTGGGAGGCAGAGGTTGCAGTGAGCCAACATCATGCCACTGCACTCCAGCTTGGGTGACAGAGTGACACTTTGTCTCAAAAAAAAAAAAGAAAGAAAGAAAAACAAAGACATCTGCATGCATATGTTTAGTGCAGCACTACTTACACACTATACACAACAGCAAAGACATTGAATCAACCAAAATGCCCATTAATGGTGGATTGAATAAAGAAAATGGGGTATATATACACCATGGAATACTTTGCAGCCATAAAAATGAACAATATCTTATCCATTGCAGGGACATAGATGGAGCTGGAAGTCATTATCCTTAGCAAACTAACACAGTGATAGAAAACTAAATAACACATGTTCTCACTTATAAGTGGGAGCTAAACAATGAGAACACAGGGACACATAGAAGGGAATAACAGACACTGGGGCCTACTTGAGGGTGGAGGGATAAGAGAGAGAATCAGGAAAAATACTAATGGGTACTAAGCTTAGTCACTGGATGACAAAATAATCTGTACAACCAATCCCCATGACATGAGTTTACCTATCTAACAAACCTCCATGTGCATCCCTGAACTTAAAATAAAAGTTAAAAAAATAATAAAAATAAAAGTGGTCAAAGGACACTAATAGACACTTTTGAAAAGAAGACATACACATGGCCAAAAAGCATAAGAAAAAAATGCTCAACATCACTAAACATTAGAGAAATGCAAATCAAAACCACGAGATACTATCTCACACTAGTCAGAATGGCTACTATTAAAAAGTCAAAAATAACAGATGCTGGTGAGATTGTGGAGAAAAAGGAATGCTTACACACTGCTGGTGGGAATGTAAATTAGTTCAGCCATTGTAAAAAGCAGTGTGGCAATTCTTCAGAAAACTTAAAATAGAATTACCATTCAACCCAGCAATACTATTATTGGTTATATACCCAAAGGAATATAAACTATTCTACCAAAAAGACACAAACACATATATGTTTATTCCAGCACTATTCACAATACCAAAGATGTAGAATCAAACTCAATGCCCATCAATGATAAACTGAATAAAGAAAATAAAGTACATATTTAACATGGAACACTACCCACCCATAAAAATAATGAGATCATTTTCTTTGCAGCAACATGGATGGAGCTGAAGGCTATTATTCTGAGCAAACTAACATAGTAATAGAAAACAAAATATCGCATGTTCTCACTTATAAGTGGGAGCTAAACAATGAGAACACATGAACACAAAGAAGGCGACAATAGATACTGGGGCCTACCTGAGAGATAAAGGTAGGAGGAGGGAGAGGATCAAATCTACCTTTCGAGTACTATGCTTATTACCTGAGTGATAAAATAATCTGTACACCAAACCCCCATGACATGCAGTTGACCTATATAACAAACTTGCACATGTACCCCTGAACCTAAAATAAAAGTTAAAAAAAAAAAAAAGATTGTCACCATCACCAATATCCCAGAATTCAAATGTGAGGATCAGACAGGACCCAGGGCCACAGAGAAGTACAAAAACTCCAAGAAGGCATAAGATAATTGAACTTTCTTTTTTTTTTTTTGAGACGGAGTTTCACTCTTGTTGCCCAGGCTGCAGTGCAGTGGCGCTATCTTGGCTCACTGCAACCTCTGCCTCCTGGGTTCAAGCAATTCTCCTGCCTCAGCCTCCCAAGTACCTGGAATTACAGGCATGCACCTCCATGCCTGGCTAAGTTTTTGTATTTATAGAAGAGATGGGGTTTCTCCATCTTGGTCAGGCTGGTCTTGAACTCCTAACCTCAGGTGATCTGCCTGGCTCAGCTTCCCAAAGTGCTGGGATTACAGGTGTGAGCCACTGAGCCCAAGAGGTGAACTTTCATATTCACAATACCCCTCCCCTCAATCTGCTGGGAACAAGCACATGGTAAATTTCCCCCTGACTCACAGTTTCTACATGGAAAAAGTGAGAACATGGAAGACAACCATCTTCCTAGCCATTTTGGGTTTTTTCATGGGATACCTGCCTCGCCTCACCTACAGGAAACATCACAAGTGCCTAAATGGAGAAATATCCCTGAGGACAGCCAGAGACAAAGTGTGGACACAGAACTATCATCCCCAGACTTGGAAACTCTGCTCTGTAACTTGCCCAAAGACACGCCACATCAGAGTGGCTGTTCAGTGGCACCACACTGTAAGTGGTTTGCTCGACATGTTCCCTCAGCAAGAACCCCTAGCCAACCATTTGGAATGGGCAACACATTTGGAATGGGCAACACTCTGATTTTTTACTAGAACTGAAGTAAACCTGGGCTCAAAGAGGTAGTGATCTATTGGGGAAAATACCAAATAAACAAAAGAAAGAAGGTCCACAGGTAAACTGCAAAGAATCTCTAAGCAAGTATATCCAATAAAAATCAAAACAAGTCTGACATAGAAGATTTGGATAAATAACTAATCCTCCAATGCAGACATAAATGTACATCCACACAAAAAAAAAAAGGAAACAGGAAACCATAAAATTTGACCTTCCCAAGTGGACAAAGCAAAGATACAGTGATTGGCCCTAATGAGATAGCAATATGTGAATTATCTGACCAAGAATTCAAAATACCAGTTTTAAGGAAGCTCAGTGATTTCCAAGATAACACAGAAAAGCAATTCAGAAATTTATTAGAAAATTTTAACAAAGAGATTAAAACAATTTAAAAAATCAAACACAAATCTTAGAACCAATAAATACATTTGCTGAACTTAAACATTCATTAGAGGCTCTCAACAGAAGAAAGAATCTAGCAGAGGAAAGAATCAGTGAGCTCAAAGACAGCCTATATGAAAATATAGTCAGAGGATAAAAAAGAAAAAAGAATGAAAAAGAAGAAAGATTGCCTATAAGATATAGAAAATCACCTTGAAAGACCAATGCTAAGAATTATTTGTGTACAAGAAAGAGTTGAGCAATAGCAAGTAATAGAAACTTATTCAAAAAAATAATTAGAAAGACTACAAAACTTGCAAAAGAGATAAATATCCAGAAAGTCAGAGAACACCAAAGAGAATCAACCAAATAAAAGTATCCTAAGGCATATAATAATAAAACTCTCAAATGTCAAAGACAAGGACTGAACACAGTGGCTTATATTTGTAACCCCAGCAACTTGGGAGGCTAAGATAGGAGGATCACTTGAGGCCAGGAGTTCAAGACCAACCTGGCCAGCATAACAAGACCCCATCCGTACAAAAATAAAAAATAAAAATTAGCCAAGCACATGCCTGTAGTCACAGCTACTTGGGAGGCTGAGGAAGGAGGATCTCTAGGCTAACTTCTTTAGCCTAGGAGTTCAAGGCTTCAGTGAGCTATGAACATGCCACTGGACTTCCGCCTAGATGACAGACCAAGACACTGTCTCAAAACAAAAAAGATCAAAGACAAAAGGGACACTAAGAGTAACAAGAGAAAAGAAGTGAATGAGATATGATGGAATCCAATTTGTATGACAACAGACTTCTCAACTGAAACCTTACAGGTCAGAAGGTAGTGGAATGACATTTTTAAAGTGCTGAAATGAAAAAAAAAAAACTCTCATCTAATAATACTACATCTAGCAAAGCTATCTTTCAAATGTGAAGGAGAGAGAACATTTCTCCTAGACGAACATTTGTATATTTCCATTCTTTTTAATCTAAGATATGTTGTCATCTTTTAAACATAACTTTTTATATCAATAAGATGCTTTTAATAAGCCTGATCACAATTACAATGCAAAAACCTATAATAGATTTACTAAACATAAAAAGCAACAAATTAACAAATTAAAACATGCTGCTAGAGAAAATACTTATCCACAAATGAAGACAGTAAGAAAGAAAAGAAGATATGAGTTACAAAACAACCAGAAAGCAACAAAATAGCAGTAATAAATTATTAATTATCAGTAATAACAATGAATCTAAATTGACTCAATTCTCCAATTAAAAGGCATAAAGTGTTGGGAGGGTGAGTCAGGCAGATCACGAGGTCAGGAGATCGAGACCATCTTTGCTAACATGGTGAAACCTCATCTCTATTAAAAATACGAAAAACTTAGCCGGGCGTGATGGCAGGTGCCTGTAGTCCCAGCTACTCAGGAGGCTGAGGCAGGAGAATGGTGTGAACCCAGGAAGCAGAGCTTGCAGTGAGCCGAGATTGTGCCACTGTACTCCAGCCTGGGCAACAGAGTGAGACTCCATCTCAAAAAAAAAAAAAAAAAGCATAAAGTGGCTGAATGGATAAAGAACAAGATCTAACTATATGTTGCTTAGAAGAAACTCATTTCACTTATAAAGATACACATAGACTAAAAATGAAGAGTGGGAACAAATATTCTATGGAAATAAACCAAAAAAAGAGCAGGAATAGCTACATTTATATCAGATAAAATATACTAGAAGTTAAAGACTGTAAAAAGAGACAAAGATTGCTATATAATGAAAAAGCCAATTCTGCAAGAGAATATGACAATTATAAATATCTACACAACCATCACTGGAGCACCCAAATACATAAGACAAACATTAATACATCTAAAGGAAGAGACAGACTGCAATAGAATAATAGCAGAACGTTCAACAATCCACGCTCAGTAAGGGACAGGTCATCCAGACAGAAAACATCAACAAAGAAATATTGGAGTTAAACTACACACTAGAAAAAAGAAATCCTAACTGACATTTACAGAATATTTCACCCAACTGCAATAGAATCACATTATTCTCATCAGTACATGAAACATTCTCCAGAATAGACCACATGGTAGGCCTCAAAACAAGTTCAAAGAAGTTATAAAAAGTAGTAATTATATAAAGTATCTTTTCTGATAACAATGGAATAAAACTAGAATTTAATAATAAGAAGAATCTTGGAAACTACACAAACACATGAAAATAAAACAACATGCTCCTGACTGATCAATGGGTCAATGAAGAAATGAAGTAGAAAATTAAAATATTTCTTAAAACAAATGAAAATTGAAATACAACAGACCAAAATCTATGGGATACAGCAAATGATGTACTAAGAGGGACATTTATAGCAATAAACACCTATATCAAAAAAGCAGAAAGACTTCAAATAAGTAGATCATTCACCTTAAGGAACTAGAATATAAAAAATGAACTGAACCCAAAATTAGTGGAAGAAAATAAATAATAAAAATCAAAGCAGAATTAAACATAATTTAGACTAAATTAACAATACAGAAGATCAATAAAATTAAAGGTGGTTTTCTGAAAAGATAAATAAAATCAACAAACATTTAGGGAGGAAAAAAAAGAGTACACCAAAAATAAATAAAATCAGAAACAAAATGGAGACATAACCACTGGAACCACAGAAATACAAAGTATCATTAGAGACTATTATGAACAATTATGTGCTAATAAATTAGAAAACCTAGGAAAAATGGAAAAGTCCTGGACATATACAACTTACCAGGACTGACCTATGAACAAAGAGGAAACCTCACCAAACGAATAACTAGTAATGAGATAAAAGTTGTAATAAAAAGTCTCTTATTAAAGAAAAGCCCAGGACCTGATGGCTTCACCTGAATTCTACTAAATATTTAAAGAAGACTATACTAATTCTATTCAAAATCTTCAAAAAAAAAAAAAAAAAACTGAAGAGGAGGGAATACTTCAAACCCATTCTAAGACACTAGCATTACCCTGATACCAACACAAGATAAGAACACAACAGGTGGAGGAGCCAAGATGGCCGAATAGGAACAGCTCCTGTCTACAGCTCCCAGCCTGAGCGACGCAGAAGAAGGGTGATTTCTGCATTTCCATCTGAGGTACCCGGTTCATCTCACTAGGGAGTGCCAGACAGTGGGTGCAGGTCAGTGGGTGCACGCACCGTGCACGAGCCGAAGCAGGGCGAGGCATTGCCTCACTTGGGAAGCGCAAGGGGTCAGGGAGTTCCCTTTCCTAATCAAAGAAAGGGGTGACGAATGGCACCTGGAAAATCGGTTCACTCCCACCCGAATACTGCGCTTTTCCGACAGGCTTAAAAAGCGATGCACCACGAGATTATATCCCGCACCTGGCTCAGAGGGTCCTACCCCACGGAGTATCGCTGATTGCTAGCACAGCAGTCTGAGATCAAACTGCAAGGCAGCAGTGAGGCTGGGGGAGGGGCGCCCGCCATTGCCCAAGCTTGCTTAGGTAAACAAAGGAGCCAGGAAGCTCGAACTGGGTGGAGCCCACCACAGCTCAAGGAGGCCTGCCTGCCTCTGTAGGCTCCACCTCTGGGGGCAGGGCACAGACAAACAAAAAGACAGCAGTAACCTCTGCAGACTTAAATGTCCCTGTCTGACAGCTTTGAAGAGAGCAGTGGTTCTCCCAGTACGCAGCTGGAGATCTGAGAACGGGCAGACTGCTTCCTCAAGTGGGTCCCTGACCCCTGACCCCCGAGCAGCCTAACTGGGAGGCACCCTCCAGCAGGGACACACTGACACCTCACACTGCAGGGTACTCCAACAGACCTGCAGCTGAGGGTCCTGTCTGTTAGAAGGAAAACTAACAAACAGAAAGGACATCCACACCAAAAACCCATCTGTACTTCATCATCAAAGACCAAAAGTGGATAAAACCACAAAGATGGGGAAAAAACAGAACAGAAAAACTGGAAACTCTAAAAAGCAGAGTGCCTCTCCTCATCCAAAGGAATGCAGCTCCTCACCAGCAAAGGAACAAAGCTGGACAGAGAATGACTTTGACGAGCTGAGAGAAGAAGGCTTCAGACGATCAAATTACTCTGAGCTACGGGAGGACATTCAAACCAAAGGCAAAGAAGTTGAAAACTTTGAAAAAAATTTAGAAGAATGTATAACTAGAATAACCAATACAGAGAAGTGCTTAAAGGAGCTGATGGAGCTGAAAACCAAGGCTCGAGAACTACGTGAACAACACAGAAGCCTCAGGAGCCGATGCGATCAACTGGAAGAAAGGGTATCAGCAATGGAAGATGAAATGAATGAAATGAAGCGAGAAGGAAAGTTTAGAGAAAAAAGAATAAAAGGAAACGGCAAAGCCTCCAAGAAATATGGGACTATGTGAAAAGACCAAATCTATGTCTGATTGGTGTACCTGAAAGTGATGGGGAGAATGGAACCAAGTTGGAAAACACTCTGCAGGATATTATCCAGGAGAACTTCCCCAATCTAGCAAGGCAGGCCAACGTTCAGATTCAGGAAATACAGAGAACGCCACAAAGATACTCCTTGAGAAGAGCAACTCCAAGAAACATAATTGTCAGATTCACCAAAGTTGAAATGAAGGAAAAAATGTTGAGGGCAGCCAGAGAGAAAGGTCGGGTTACCCTCAAAGGGAAGCCCATCAGACTAACAGCGGATCTCTCGGCAGAAACCCTACAAGCCAGAAGAGAGTGGGGGCCAATATTCAACATTCTTAAAGAAAAGAATTTTCAACCCAGAATTTCATATCCAGCCAAACTAAGCTTCATAAGTGAAGGAGAAATAAAATACTTTACAGACAAGCAAATGCTGAGAGATTTTGGCACCACCAGGCCTGCCCTAAAAGAGCTCCTGAAGGAAGCACTAAACATGGAAAGGAACAACCGGTACCAGCCGCTGCAAAGTCATGCCAAAATGTAAAGACCATCGAGACTACGAAGAAACTGCATCAACTAACGAGCAAAATAACCAGCTAACATCATAATGACAGGATCAAATTCACACATAACACTATTAACTTTAAATGTAAATTGACTAAATGCTCCAATTAAAAGACACAGACTGGCAAATTGGATAAAGAGTCAAGACCCATGCCGCATTCAGGAAACCCATCTCACGTGCAGAGACACACATAGGCTCAAAATAAAAGGATGCAGGAAGATCTACCAAGCAAATGGAAAACAAAAAAAGGCAGGGGTTGCAATCCTAATCTCTGATAAAACAGATTTTAAACCAACAAAGATCAAAAGAGACAAAGAAGGCCATTACATAATGGTAAAGGGATCAATTCAACAAGAAGAGCTAACTATCCTAAATATATATGCACCCAATACAGGAGCACCCAGATTCATAAAGCAAGTCCTGAGACCTACAAAGAGACTTAGACTCCCACACATTAATAATGGGAGACTTTAACACCCCACTGTCAACATTAGACAGACCAACGAGACAGAAAATCAACAAGGATACCCACGAATTGAACTCAGCTCTGCACCAAGCGGACCTAATAGACATCTACAGAACTCTCCACCCCAAATCAACAGAATATACATTTTTTTCAGCACCACACCACACCTATTCCAAAATTGACCACATACTTGGAAGTAAAGCACTCCTCAGCAAATGTAAAAGAACAGAAATTATAACAAACTATCTCTCAGACCACAGTGCAATCAAACTAAAACTTAGGATTAAGAATCTTACTCAAAACCACTCAACTACATGGAAACTGAACAACCTGCTCCTGAATGACTACTGGGTACATAACGAAATGAAGGCAGAAATAAAGATGTTCTTTGAAACCAACGAGAACAAAGACACAACATACCAGAATCTCTGGGACGCATTCAAAGCAGTGTGTAGAGGGAAATTTATAGCACTAAATACCCACAAGAGAAAGCAGGAAAGATCCAAAATTGACACCCTAACATCACAATTAAAAGAACTAGAAAAGCAAGAGCACACACATTCAAAAGCTAGCAGAAGGCAAGAAATAACTAAAATCAGGGCAGAACTGAAGGAAATAGAGACACAAAAAACCCTTCAAAAAATTAATGAAACCAGGAGCTGGTTTTTTGAAAGGATCAACAAAATTGATAGACTGCCAGCAAGACTAATAAAGAAAAAAAGAGAGAAGAATCAAATAGACACAATAAAAAATGATAAAGGGGATATTACCACCGATCCCACAGAAATACAAACTACCATCAGAGAATACTACAAACACCTCTATGCAAATAAACTAGAAAATCTAGAAGAAATGGATAAATTCCTCGACACATACACTATCCCAAGACTAAACCAGGAAGAAGTTGAATCTCTGAATAGACCAATAACAGGCTCTGAAATTATGGCAATAATCAATAGCTTACCAACCAAAAAGAGTCCAGGACCAGATGGATTCACAGCTGAATTCTACCAGAGGTACAAGGAGGAACTGGTACCATTCCTTCTGAAACTATTCCAATCAATAGAAAAAGAGGGAATCCTCCCTAACTCATTTTATGAGGCCAGCATCATTCTGATACCAAAGCCGGGCAGAGACACAACCAAAAAAGAGAATTTTAGACCAATATCCTTGATGAACATTGATGCAAAAATCATAAATAAACTACTGGCAAAACGAATCCAGCAGCACATCAAAAAGCTTATCCACCATGATCAAGTGGGCTTCATCCCTGGGATGCAAGGCTGGTTCAATATATGCAAATCAATAAATGTAATCCAGCATATAAACAGAACCAATGACAAAAACCACATGATTATCTCAATAGATGCAGAAAAGGCCTTTGACAAAATTCAACAACCCTTCATGCTAAAAACTCTCAATAAATTAGGTATTGATGGGACGTATTTCAAAATAATAAGAGCTATCTATGACAAACCCACAGCCAATACCATACTGAATGGGCAAAAACTGGAAGCATTCCCTTTGAAAACTGGCACAAGACAGGGATGCCCTCTCTCACCACTCCTATTCAACATAGTGTGGGAAGTTCTGGCCAGGGCAATTAGGCAGGAGAAGGAAATAAAGGGTATTCAATTAGGAAAAGAGGAAGTCAAATTGTCCCTGTTTGCAGATGACATGATTGTATATCTAGAAAACCCCATCGTCTCAGTCCAAAATCTCCTTAAGCTGATAAGCAACTTCAGCAAAGTCTCAGGATACAAAATCAATGTACAAAAATCACAAGCATTCCTATACACCAACAACAGACAAACAGAGAGCGAAATCATGAGTGAACTCCCATTCACAATTGCTTCAAAGAGAATAAAATACCTAGGAAACCAACTTACAAGGGATGTGAAGGACCTCTTCAAGGAGAGCTACAAACCGCTGCTCAATGAAATAAAAGAGGATACAAACAAATGGAAGAACATTCCATGCTCATGGGTAGGAAGAATCAGTATCCTGAAAATGGCCATACTGCCCAAGGTAATTTACAGATTCAATGCCATCCCCATCAAGCTACCAATGACTTTCTTCACAGAATTGGAAAAAACTACTTTAAGTTCATACGGAACCAAAAAAGAGCCCGCATCGCCATGTCAATCCTAAGCCAAAAGAACAAAGCTGGAGACATCACACTACCTGACTTCAAACTATACTACAAGGCTACAGTAACCAAAACAGCATGGCACTGGTACCAAAACAGAGATACAGATCAATGGAACAGAACAGAGCCCTCAGAAATAACGCCGCATAACTACAACTATCTGATCTTTGACAAACCTGACAAAAACAAGCAATGGGGAAAGGATTCCCTATTTAATAAGTGGTGCTGGGAAAACTGGCTAGCCATATGTAGAAAGCTGAAACTGGATCCCTTCCTTACACCTTATACAAAAATCGATTCAAGATGGATTAAAGACTTAAATGTTAGACCTAAAACCAGAAAAACCCTAGAAGAAAACCTAGGCATTACCATTCAGGACATAGGCACGGGCAAGGACTTCATGTCTAAAACACCAAAAGCAATGGCAACAAAAGCCAAAATTGACAAATGGGATTTAATTCAATTAAACTAAATTGCTTCTAATTAAACTAAATTAATTAAACTAATTAAACTAAAGAGCTTCTGCACAGCAAAAGAAACTACCATCAGAGTGAACAGGCAACCTACAAAATGGGAGAAAATTTTTGCAACCTCCTCATCTGACAACGGGCTAATATCCAGAATCTACAATGAACTCAAACAAATTTACAAGAAAAAAACAACCCCATCAAAAAGTGGGCGAAGGACATGAACAGACACTTCTCAAAAGAAGACATTTATGCAGCCAAAAAACACATGAAAAAATGCTCACCATCACTAGCCATCAGAGAAATGCAAATCAAAACCACAATGAGATACCATCTCACACCAGTTAGAATGGCAATCATTAAAAAGTCAGGAAACAACAGGTGCTGGAGAGGATGTGGAGAAATAGGAACACTTTTACACTGTTGGTGGGACTGTAAACTAGTTCAACCATTTTGGAAGTCAGTGTGGCGATTCCTCAGGGATCTAGAACTAGAAGTACCATTTGACCCAGCCATCCCATTACTGGGTATATACCCAAAGGACTATAAATCATGCTGCTATAAGGACACATGCACACGTATGTTTACTGTGGCACTTTTTCACAATAGCAAAGACTTGGAACCAACCCCAATGTCCAATAATGATAGACTGGATTAAGAAAATGTGGCACATATACACCATGGAATACTATGCAGCCATAAAAAATGATGAGTTCATGTCCTTTGTAGGGACATGGATGAAATTGGAAATCATCATTCTCAGTAAACTATCGCAAGAACAAAAAACCAAACACCGCATATTCTCACTCATAGGTGGGAATTGAACAATGAGATCACATGGACACAGGAAGGGGAACATCACACTGTGGGGACTGTTGTGGGGTGGGGGGAGGGGGGAGGGATAGCATTATGAGATATACCTAATGCTAGATGACTAGTTAGTGGGTGCAGCACACCAGCATGGCACATGTATACATATGTAACTAACCTGCACAATGTGCACATGTACCCTAAAACTTAAAGTATAATAATAAAAAAAAGGAAAAAAAAAAGAATAATGTGGTCTCTGAGGAATGCTGAAACATTACTGTTATTTTTAAGAAATGTCAACCAATTGTGAAGAACTTTGTGTAGGGTTTTTTTTCCAGAACTTGATGTGCAACTCACTGGTTTAACATGTATTGGCATGGAGAAAAAAAAAAAAAAAAAAGAACACAACAAAAAAAGAAAACTTCTAGCCAATGTACTAATGAACATCGATACAAAAATCCTCAACAAAACCAAGAAAATTGAATTCAACAATAGTTTTAAAAGATCATTCACCATGATCAAGTGAGATTCTTCCCAGGGATGCAACGAGGGTTCAACATATGCAAATCAATTAACATAATACATCACATTAACATAACCAGGAACAAAAACCATATGATAATTTCAATAGGTGCTGGAAAAGTATTTAATAAAATTCAACATCTCTTTATGGTAAAAATCTCAGAAAAGGAACATACCTCAAAATAATAAAGGCCATATATGGCCAATTCACAACTAACATTGTACTGAACAGGGAACTCTTGAAAGCATTTCCACTGAGATCCAGAATATGATAAGAATGCCTACTTTCACCATTTTTATTCAACATAATACTGTAAGTTCTCACTAGAAAAGTTAGGTGAGAGAAAGAAAAAAAGGCATCCAAATAGAAAAAGAGGAAGTTCAATTATCCTTATATGAAAATAACATAGTTTTATACTTAGAAAAACCTAAAGTCTCTAACAAAAAATTGTTAGAACTGATAAATTCAGTAAAGTTGCAGTAAACAAAATCAATATACAAAAATCAGTAGCATTTGTATATACCAACAGTGAACAATCTGAAAAATAAATTAAGAAGCAAACCCATGTACAATGGCTTCAAATAATATAAATTACCTAGAAGTTAATTTAAGCAAAGAAGTGAAAGGTCTATACAAAGTAAACTATAAATGACTCATGAAGTAAATTGAGGAAGACACAATAAAATGGAAAAATATTCCATGTTCATGAATTAGAAGAATTAATACAGATTCAATGCAATATCTTTCAAAATATCAATGTCATTTCACAGAAATAGAAGAAAACATTCCTAAAAAAGTATACGGAACCACAACAGAGCACAAATAGCCAAAGCAATACTGATCAAAAATAACAAAGCTGGAGCCATCATGTTACTTTACTTCCAAATATGCTACAAAGCTATGGTAAACAAATAAGCATGGTACTGGAATAAATACAGACACATAGACCAAAGGAATAGAATAGGTATCCCAGATATAAATCCATACATTTATGGCCAACTTATTTTTCACAAAGGTGCCGAGAACATACAATAGTGAAAGGATAATCTCTTTAACAAATGATGCTATGAAAACTGGATAACCATAAGCAGAAGAATAAAACAAGACCCCTATTTCTCAAAAATCAAATCAAAATGGATTAAAGACTCACAACTATGAAACCATTAGAAGAAAACATTGGGGAAACACTCCAAAACATTGGTCTGAGCAAAGATTTTTCATGTAAGACCTAAAAAGCACAGGCAGCTAAATCAAAAATAAATAGGATTACATCAGGTTAAAAGCTTCTGTAGAGCAAAGAAAACAATCAATAAAGTGAAGAGACAACCCACAAAGTGGGAGGAAAAAAACTGCAAATTATTCAATTGACAAAGGATTAATAACCAGAATACATAAGGAGCTCAAACAACTCAACAGCATGAAAACAAATAATCTAATTTAAAAATGGGCAAAAGACATTCAATAGACATTTTTCAAAAGAAGACCTATCAATGACCAACAGGTATATAAAAATGTTCAGCATCACTATTAGAGAAATGCAAATAAAAAATGACAATTACATCTCATTTCACAGTAGTTAAAACAGCTTCTATAAAAAAGACAGGGAATAATGTATGCTGATGAAGATGTGGAGAAAAGGAAACCCTAGTACACCATTGGTGAGTATGTAAATTAACACAGTCACTATGGAAAATGTATGAACGTTTCTCAAAAAAACAAAAATAGAACTACTGTATGATACAGCAATTCTACTATTGGGTATATATCTCAAAGAAAAGAAATCAATGTATCAAAAAGATATCTGCACTCACACATTTCTTGCAGCACTATTCAGAATAGACAAAATACAGAATAAAAATAAGAGTCCATTAATGGAAGAATAAAGTAAATATGATATGTAGACATCATGGAATATTATTCAGCCATAAAAAGAATAAAATCCTGTCATTTGCAGCAACATCAATGGGACTATAGGTAATTATGCTAGATAAAATAAGCCAAGCAGAGAAAGACAAATATTGCATGTTCTCACTCATATATGAGAGCTAAGTGGATCTCCCAAAGCTTTAGTATAGATTGGTGGTTACAAAAGGCCAAGAAAGGTAGGGGAGATGGGGGGATGAAGTGTGGTTGATTAATGGGTAGAAACATACAGTTTGATAAACAAGACCTACTGTTTGATAGATCAGTATGTAACTACAGTTTACAGTAACTTATTCTATATTTTAAAATAGCTTGAAGAAAATAATTCAGGTGTTTCTAGCATAAAGACAAATATTTAAGGTGATGAATATCCCAGTTTCACTGATTTGATCTTTATAAATTAAGTGACTCTATTAAATCGTTACATGTACCTCCAACATATGTATACCCATTAAGTATTAATGAGAGAATAAAATTTTCAAAAGTGATTTATGCACTACCATTATGGTATTACAGGATTCTGTATTTGTTGATATATTTACCTTTACCAGAGATCTTTACTTTTCTCTTATGCCTTGGTGTTGCTGTCTGATGTCTTTTTCTTTCAACTTGAAGGACTCTAGCACTTCTTGCAAGGCAGGTCTAGTTTTGATGAACTCCCTCAGCTTTTGTTTATCTTGGAAAGTCTTTATTTCTCCTTCATCTTTGAAAGACACTTTTGCCAGTTATAGTATTCTTGTGTGGCAGGTTGTTTTCTTTCAGCACCTTGATTATATAACCCCACTACCAATGTTTCTGCTGAGAAATCTACTAATAATTTATGGAGTATCCTTGTATATGACAAGTCAATTTTCTCTTTCTGTTTTCAAGATTCTCATTGTCTTTGCCTTTGGACGGTTTGATTATAATGTATCTTGTGGTGGACTTCTTTCAATTTATCCTAGTTGGGTCCTTTGAGCTCCTTGAATTTGGATGTATATATATATATTTGAATATTTGGGAAGTTTACAACCATTATTTCCTCACATAAGCTCACTATTCTCTCTCTGTTCTCAATGTATAAGTTCTGTAATGCAATACTGGTCCACTTGATAGTGTCCCACAAGTCCCTTTGCTTTTTCTTCTTTATCCTTTTTTCTTCTTGTGCTTTTGACTTAATAATGGAAAAGTACCTGTCTTTGAGTTTGCTGATTCTTTCTTCTGCTTGATTAAGTTTTTGTCGGACTTCACTAATAAATTTTTATTTATTTTAAATTATGCTTTAAGTTCTGGGGTACATGTGCAGAATGTGCTGTTTTGCTACATAGGTATACAGGTGCCATGGTGGCTTGCTGCACCCATCAACTCATCACTTACATTAGGTATTTCTCCTAATGTTATCCCTCCCCTAGCTCCCCACCCTCTGACAGGCCCCAGTGTGTGATGTTCCCCTCCTTATGTCCATGTGCTCTCATTGCTCAACTCCCACTTATGAGTGAGAACATATGGTGTTTGGTTTTCTGTTCTTGTGATAGTTTGCTGAGAATGATGGTTTCCAGCTTCATCCATGTCTTTGCAAAGGACATGAACTCATCCTTTTTATGGCTGCATAGTATTCCATGGTGTATACATGCCACATTTTCTTTATCCAGTCTATTATTGATGGACATTTGGGTTGGTTCCAAGTCTTTGCTATTGTGAATAGTGCCACAATAAAACATACGTGTGCATGCATCTTTATAGTAGAATGATTTATAGTTCTTTGGGTATATACCCAGTAATGGGATTGCTGGGTCAAATGGCATTTCTAGTTCTAGATCCTTGAGGAATCGCCACACTGTCTTCCACAATGGTTCAACTAATTTACAGTCCCACCAACAGTGTAAAAGCGTTCCTATTTCTCCCCATCCTCTCCAGGATCTGTTGTTTCCTGACTTTTTAATGATCACCATTCTAACTGGCGTGAGATGGTATCTCACTGTGGTTTTGACTTGCATTTTTCTAATGAACAGTGATGATGAGCTTTTTTTCGTATGTCTGTTGGCTGCATAAATGTCTTCTTTTGAGAAGTGTCTGTTCATATCCTTTGCCCAGTTTTTGATGGGGTTGTTTGTTTTTTTCTTGAAAATTTGTTTAAGTTCTTTGTAGGTTCTGGATATTAGCCCTTTGTCAGATGGATAGATTGCAAAACTTTTCTCCCATTCTGTAGGTTGCCTGTTCACCCTGATTTTAGTTGTGTTTTTTTTTCTGTTTTTTTCTTTGTTTTTTTTTTTGTTTTTTTTGTTTTTTTTTTTTTTGCTATGCAGAAGCTCTTTAGTTTAATTAGATCCCATTTGTCTATTTTGGCTTTTGTTGCCATGGCTTTTGGTGTTTTTAGACATGAAATCTTTGCCCATGCCTATGTCCTGAATGGTATTGCCCAAGTTTTCTTCTAGGATTTTTATGGTGCTAGGTCTTACGTTTAAGTCTTTGATCCATCTTGAGTTGATTTTTGTATAAGTTGTAAAAGGGTTCCAGTTTCAGTTTTCTGCATATGGCTAGCCAGTTTTCCCAACATCATTTATTAAATAGTGAATCTTTTCCCCATTGCTTGTTTGTGTCAGGTTTTTCAAAGATCAGATAGTTGTAGATGCATGGTGTTATTTCTTAGGCCTCTGTTCTGTTCTATTCTATATATCTATTTTGGTACCAGTACCATGCTATTTTGGTTACTGTAGCCTTGTAGTATAGTTTGAAGTCAGGTAGCACGATGCCTCCAACTTTGTTCTTCTTGCCCAGGATTATTTTGGCTATGCAGGCTCTTTTTTGGTTCCATATGACGTTTAAAGTAGTTTTTTCCAATTCCATGAAGAAAGTCAGTGATAGCTTGATGGGGATAACATTGAATCTGTATATTACTATCCATGAGCATGGAATGTTTTTCCATTTGTTTGTATCCTTATTTCCTTGAGCAGTGGTTTGTAGTTCTCCTTGAAAAGGTCCTTCACATCCCTTGTAAGAGGAAGATATTGACCAATCAGCCTGGCTAGAGATTCTAGGGTCCTCTCAAACATTTTCAGGAATGTGTTTTCTCTAAGCTTGTGCATTTGCTTTCCTAATTAGAGAGGTTTTCTGGTTTCTTTTTTAGAAGCTCATAATATCTTTTTTCCTGCAGTATCTGTCTGTGTACTGCAGGTTTGTAAGATGTAGCAACAAGCTGCCTAGCTCTCCTTTTTTTTTTTTTCTCAGTGGCTCCTAGACATCTAAAGTATGCCAGTTCCCTGTCAACACTCTGAGTCAGATGAGACAGAAACCAGTCGCTCAGGCAGCCCCCTGAAAAGCTGAAACATTGGACTACATTTCAGTCTTCTCTTTCCTGAGACAGAAGCCACAATTTGGACATTTATTTTTTCCTGATTACACTAAGCACTTAGCTGTGCTAGCTTGGAAGGAAGGGTTATCATGGGTAAAATGCAATGGCTTTTATTATCCATTTAAATACAGCTATTCTTGGCTTTATGCTTGCTTGGGGTACTGTGACTTCTTAACTGATTTGTGGAGTTCTCATAAAGACCTTTTGGACTATATATTGTTGTCAGGGTCTCTGGGGAGGAATGATGGCTGGGGCATTTTATTCTACCATCTTGCTCTGACATAGAGCTTTTAGATAAACTCTATTTAAATATGGGTTGGCAGAGCATGCTGCGCCAATTTAGCCCCACCTTCATTCCTCCTCTTGTCTTTTATATAGCCTCAAATGATACAGAATTTTCTTACAGGCTCCTACAGACATTTTACATCCATGTTTTTTAGTCTTTGAAAATGCAGTATTAAATACTACTTGCAGGAAGCCCTACTAGGTAGGCTCCTCTCTTCTTATGGGTGAAGGGACTCACTGCTTCATGAATCAGCTCACTCAATTGATGGCAGTTGTAGTCTTCAGAAAATGAACTTTTTTCTTCTTTATTGAGCTGTAATCTGCTTCTTTATAGTTTCTACTCATTGCTCCTAGTCCTACCCTTAGTAGAAATGAGAATCAAGCTTACTTGAGGTTTTATTTTTATTGTTAATTACACAGGGCAGTATTTTATTTATAGATGGATATAATGCCTCACCATATTCTGGTCTGCTTCTGTATTAACATCCACAAGCTCTTCTGCCATATGGATTCAAGGCTTTCTCTCCATTCTTTTGCCCTCCACTGAGTCACTGAGTCACTGAGTTGCTCCTGTTCTTAATAATTTTTTTTTTTTTACAAAAGGACCCCTGAACTAAACCCAAGATTCCAGATGATCTATGACCAGTGCAAAGTGGAAAGGAATAATTACTGCCTGAAATTAACTCACTGTGCTCCTGACAATGGGATCTTTACTTATTTATTTATTTGTTTGTTTTTTGAGACAGAGTCTCACTTTGTCACCCAGGCTGGGGTGCAGTGGCATGATCTCAGCTCACTGCAAGCTCCGCCTCCCAGGTTCATGCTGTTCTCCTGCCTCAGCCTCCGAGTAGCTGGCACTACAGGTGCCTGCCACCACGCCCGACTAATTTTTTGTATTTTCAGTAGAGAAGGGGTTTCACCATGTTAGCCAGGAAGGTCTCACTCTCCTGGCCTCATGATCTGCCCGCCTCAGCCTCCCAAAGTGCTGGGATTACAGGCGCTCATGAGCCACCGCGCCTGGCCCATTTTTTGTTATTTCTAAGCAGTTAGCTCAAGTTAAACTTCTGCTTTTTCAAAAATCCCTCATACATTTTTTCACATACAATGATGCCAATTCAAGTATTCCTCATCCTATACTTATGAATGGATTCCCACAATTTCCAGCCCCAGAGTCCTAAATGAGGAATGTAATTAACATAGAAAGCAGGAGGTTTAAAGAAAAAAAAAGAGAGAAGATTCAAATAAATGCAATCAGATATGACAAAGATGACATTTCAGCCAATCCCATAGAAATACAAACAATCTTCAGAGACTATTATAAACACTTTTATGCACACAAATTAGAAAATCTAGAGGACATGCATACATTCTTAGAAACACAACCTCCTAAGATTGAATCAGGAAGAAACTGAAAACGTGAACAGGCCAATAGCAAGTTCAGAAATTGAATCAGTATTAAAAAACCTACCAATCAGAAAGAGCCCTGGACTAGATGGATTTACAGCTGAATTCTGCCAGATGTACAAAAACTGATACCAATGCTACTGAAACTATTCCAAAAAATCAAGGAAAAAGGGTTTCTCGCTAACTCATTCTATGAAGCCAGCATCATCCTGATACCACAACATGGCAGAGACACAATGAAAAAAGAAAACTTCAGGCCAATATCCCTGATGAAAATAGATATATAAAAATCCTCAACAAAATACTAGCAAGCCAAATCCAGCAGCACATCAAAAAGTTAATTCACCATGATCAAGTAGGCTTTATTTCTGGGATGCAAAGTTGGTTCAATAAACACAAATCAATAAATGTGATTCACCACAAAAGCTCATCAAAAACAAAAACCGTAAGATCATATAAATAGACACAGAAAAAGTCTTCTTTAAAATCCAGCTTTCCTTCATGATCAAAACTCTCAACAGATTAGGCACTGAAGGAATATACCTCAAAATAATAAGAGCCATCTATGACAAAGTCCAACATCATACTGACTGGGCAAAATCTGGAACCATTTGCCTTGAGAACTGGAACAAGACAAAGATGCCTACTCTTACATAACACTCCTATTCAACATAGTACTGGAAGTCCTAGTCAGGGGAATCAGGCAAGAGAAATAAAAGGCATCCAAGTAGAAATAGAATAAGCCAAAATACCCCTCTTTGCTGATGATATGATTCTATACCTAGAAAATCCTAAAGACTCTGCTAAAAGGCTCCTAGATCTGATAAATGAATTGAGTAAAAGTTCAGGATACAAAGTCAATGTACCAAAATCAGTAGCATTTTTATACACCAATAATGTTCTATCTGAGGGCCAAATCAAGAAAACAACCCCATTTACAATAGCTATGAGGAAAATGAAATATCTAGGAATCCATTTAACCAAGGAAGTAAAAGACCTCTACAAGGAGAACTACAAAACACTGCTGAAAGAAATCAGAAGTGACAGAAATAAATAGAAAAATATTTCATGCTCATGGATTGGAAGAATCAATATAATTAAAATGGCCACACTGTCCAAAGTAATTTACAGATTCAACACTATTCCTATCAAAATACCAATGTCATTTTTCACAGAATTAGAAAAATATATTGTAAAGTTTATTTATAACCAAAATAGAGCCCAAATAGCCAAAGCAATCGTAAGCAAAAAGAACAAAGCTGGAGGTATCACATTGCCTGACTGCAAGCTATATTAGAAGCCTACAGTAATCAAAACAGCATGGTATTAATACAAAAACAGGCACGCAGACCAGCGAAACAGAATAGAGAACCCAGAAGTAAACTCACAGACCTACAGCCATTGGACCTGGGACAAAATCAACAAAAACAAGCAATAGAGAAAGGACTTACCATTCAATAAATGGTGCTGGGATAACTGGCTAGACATATGCAGAAGAATAAAACTGGACTCCTACCTCTCACTGTATGAAAATTAACTCAAAATGGATTAAAGCTTTAAATCTAAAACCTCAAACTATAAAAATCACAGAAGAAAACCTAGGAAATATACTTCTTGACATTGGCTTTGGCAAAGATATGTCTAAGACCCAAAAGCAATTGCAACAAAAACAAAAGTTGACAAATGGAACCTAATTAAACTAAAGAGCTTCTGCACAGCAATATAAATTACCAACAGAGAAAACAGACAACCTAGAGAATGGAAGAAAATATTTGCAAACTATGCATCTGGCAAAGATCTAATATCCACAATCTACGAAGTACTTAAAGCAACAAGGTAAAAACAAACAATCAAATTAAAAATGGGGCAAAGGACATGAACAGACACTTCTCAAAAGAAGACATACAAGTGAAGGCTGGGTGCAGTGGCTCATGTCTGTAATCCCAGCACTTTGGGAGGCCAAGGCGGGTGGATCACGGATCGGGAGTTCAAGACCAGCCTGGCAAACATGGTGAAATGCTGTCTCTACTAAAGATACAAAAAATTAGCTGGGCCTGGTGGCACAAGCCTGTAATCCCAGCTACTCGGGAGGCTGAGGCCGGATAATCGCTTGAATCCAGGAGGCAGAGGTTGCAGTGAGCTAAGATCGCACCACTGTACTCCAGCCTGTGTGATAGGGTGAGGCTCTGTCTCAAAAAAAATAAAAAATAAAAAAAAGAAGAAGACATATAAAGACATACAAGTGGCCAACAACACATAAAAAAATGCACAACATCACTACTCATCAGAGAGCTGGAAATAAAATCACGATTATATACTATCTCACATCAGTCAGAATGGCAATTATTAAAAAGTCAAACAACAATAGATGTTGGTAAAGCTGCAAAGAAAAGGGAAAGTTTATACTACATTGGTGAGAATAGAAACTAGTTCAGCCACTGTGGAAAACAGTTTGAAAATCTCTCAAAGAACTTAAAATAGAACCTCTGTTCATTTGTGGGCATATATGCTTCAAGGAAAATAATTCATTCTATCATGAAGACACATGCACCCACATGTTTGTTGCAGCACTATTCATAATAGCAAGGACATGGAATCAACCTAAGTGTCCATCAACAGTGGATTAGATAAAGAAAATGTGGTATGTATACACCATGGAATACTATGCAGCCATAAAAAAGAACAAAATCATGCCCCTTGTGCAATATGGATAAAGCTAGAGACCATTGTGCAATATGGATAAAGCTGAAGACCATTCATTATTCTAAGTGACCTAATGCAAAAACACAGAGCCAAATAACCCATGTTGTCACTTATAAGTGGGAGCTAAACATTGAATATACATGATGATAAAGATGGGAACAATAGACACTGGGGTCCACTAGATTGGGGAGAAAGGGATTGGGGCATGAGCTGAAGAACCACCTGTTGGGTACTATGCTTATGGCCTGGGTGATGGGATCATTAGGACCCAAAGCCTCAGTGTCACACAATTTACCCATGTAACAAATCTTTATGTTGTACCCTTTAATCTATAGTAAAAGTTGAAATTAAAAAAAAGAAAGCAGTAGGTTTTAATGTTTCACTGATACCCAATGCAATATGATATGTGATCTTCCTGATATACCTTTCCTTCTACTTTTTCCTTGTGTTTTTCTTAATATCACAATCAGGACTGTTTGTTTAATTGCAATTGTGTAATTATTTGTCTAATGCTATTTCTACTTGTCTGTAAGCTTCATAAGGAAAGAAACTATATTTTGTTTGCTGATACAACTGGTGTTTAGGATAGTGCCCTACCATTACTGAGGGTCAATATGTATTTTAGTAAATAAATGAAAATGCTACCTCCATTTTTCTTTGAAGGCCATCCACGTTGTTTGGGTCTTCTAGGAAGCTGACACTGAGATGAAGTTGGGAGAATAAGTAGTTTATTGGGGGAAAATGCCTGTAAAACATAAGAAACATAAATAAGAAGCAGAATTGCACAGGGAGAGCCTCTGATACTAACGTCCGTCTTACAAAGGCTTGTCTAACCCAATGAGGAGCTTTAGAGCAAAAACTACTCATTAGAGGAGTCCTGTGTTCAGGGGAAATGTCTAGGCTCCGGGACCCCAAACTCTTGGGATCCATGAATGGTTTGGTAGTTTTTACCGATATTAAGTATTAAATAAATATTTATTAAATAAATGGCAGTACTATAGGGCTTTTATACCCCTCCCCCTACCCAGAAAAGAATTATGTGATTAAAAGGAGAAATTTCAGGTAGTATATTTATTAGAACTCCTCATTTAGAGATAACAAAAACCAAATCTAGCTAGAGTAAGAGTAAAAAGCAGAGGGAGATATTTTCTTTCTTTTTTATTTTTGAGAAATCAAAGTTCACTTTGTTTTAAATAAAATTTCTGTGATGTATCAGAAAATTAGGTAGGGTGTTCTCAAATAACTGAAATGACAGTTTGGCGATATTTTCTAAGGCCATCAGAGAAATGCAAATCAAAACCACAATGAGATACCATCTCACACCAGTTAGAATGGCAATCATTAAAAAGTCAGGAAACAACAGGTGCTGGAGAGGATGTGGAGAAATAGGAACACTTTTACACTGTTGGTGGGACTGTAAACTAGTTCAACCATTGTGGAAGTCAGTGTGGCGATTCCTCAGGGATCTAGAACTAGAAATACCATTTGACCCAGCCATCCCATTACTGGGTATATACCCAAAGGACTATAAATCATGCTGCTATAAAGACACATGCACACGTATGTTTATTGCGGCACTATTCACAACAGCAAAGACTTGGAACCAACCCAAATGTCCAACAATGATAGATTGGATTAAGAAAATGTGGCACATATACACCATGGAATACTATGCAGTCATAAAAAAATGATGAGTTCATGTCCTTTGTAGGGACATGGATGAAATTGGAAATCATCATTCTCAGTAAACTATCGCAAGGACAAAAAACCAAACACCGCATGTTCTCACTCATAGATGGGAATTGAACAATGAGAACACATGGACACAGGAAGGGGAACATCACACTCTGGGGACTGTTGTGGGGTGGGGGGAGGGGGGAGGAATAGCACTGGGAGATATACCTAATGCTAAATGACGAGTTAATGGGTGCAGCACACCAGCATGGCACATGTATACATATGTAACTAACCGGTACATTGTCCACATGTACCCTAAAACTTGAAGTATAATAAAAAAAAAGAGAGAGAGACACTTTACACATCGTGAAAGCACCATGAAGTCAGGCTTCCTAGATTCTAGAGAGCCTCTGGAACCCAGGCAGTGTTCCTTCTCAAAATCAAGCCTGAGTTTCTTTCTGTAGCTCTGACTAATTCTGTTTCTCTGCAGACTAGCTTTCTCCACTACTTGTCTTCCAAAGGGAAGTGACTATCTCATAGATCCTTGGTTTACATTGTATGGTTATAAGACAAACTAAGGAGCTGCCTCTCAGTTCCAAGTATCAATTCTTATAAGAAGGATTCGGAAGAAGAATCTGCTTGGCACATCTTGGGCCCTGTTTTTAAACCTGTTCCAATTGGCCATGGCCGGGGAGTGGAGTGGGATGAGAGGTGAGGTGGTGGAATTATGCAGTACAAATTTGGCTGGTAGGCCCATCTTACACTTGTCTATTGGGAAAGCACTTTTAAGAGAAGGCAAATGGCAAGTGAAAGAATGAATTGACCACTGGAGATCAGCTAGGAAGGAATGTTATAGTGTCTGTATCCCCAGAGATTTTAAAGAAGCCTGATCATGTGGTTTAGTTACTCTCTTAAAGGCAAAACACTCTCTTAAGGCCCCTTCCAGCTCTATGATTTCAAGAATCCTGCATTCTCTCTCCTGAGGGGTTGGGCTTCTTTTGTAAGTCCTTTAACAACATATCCAGAATCAAATTTGTTCTGTACCCAGCAGGTAAATGGACACAGGCATCAGAGCAACAGTTTCGAACCTCTCAAAAATCACTCAAGTGAAATGATATTAATGCAGTTTAGAAGTTAATATCTATATAAACAACTCATATAATTAAAGTTATTTCATATCACAGTGTAAATGATCTGGTAACCTTACCAGAGTTATTATTTTACAGAAAACATACTTCGGCATGTTTCTGGTGAGTTGCAAAACAGAATACAGCATATAAGAATTTCTTGTAGAAAGACGCACAAGTGTATGAAAAACAGCTCATTGTCACTAATCCTCAGATAAATGCAAATATAAACCGCCATAAGATACCATCTCACACCAGTCAGAATGGCTATCACTAAAAAGTCAAAAAATAACAGATGTTGGCAAGGCTGCGGAGAAAAGGGAACAATTATATACTGTTGGTGGGAATGAAAATAAGTTCAGTCACTGTGAAAAGCAGTTTGGAGATTTCTCAAAAAATTAAAATTACAACTACTATTCAACTCAGCAATCCCATTACTAGGTATATACCCAAAGGAAAATAAAATGTTCTACCAAAAAAATACATGCACTCATATGTTCACTGCAGCACTGTCTAGACATGGCATCAACCTAGGTGCCCATCAACGGTATATCGGATAAAGAAAACATGGTACATACACATCATGAAATACTATGTAGCCATAAAAATAATGACATTATGCCATTTGCAGCAACATGGGTATGGCTGGAGAACCTTATCCTAAGCTAATTAATGCAGAAACAAAAAACCAAACACCACATGTTCTCACTTCTAAGTGAGGGGTAAACATTGGGTACACATGGACATAAAGATGGGAACAAGAGACACTGGGGACTACTAGAGTAGGGAGAGGGTGAAGAGGGCAAGTGCTGAAAGACTACCTATTGGGTACTATGCTCACTACCTGGGTGACAGGATCATTTCATACCCCAAACCTCAGCATCCTGCAATATACCTGTCACAAACCTACACATGTACCCTCTGAATCTAAAATAGAAGTTGAGAAAAACAACAACAACAAAGAATATTTATGCAGGTAAATTTAAAACTAAAATTTTCTCTGTGACCCTAACAAATACAACAAATACTTTAGCTTTTGGGGTGTTGGTTTCTACAGTTTATTTATCCTTTCACATATTCATTCATTGTTTCATTTAACAAACACATCTTTAGTGTCTTTACTGTGTGAGATTCCATGCTAGGTTTTGGAGAGACAAAAGTAAATCACATAGTCTCTCCCCTTAAGACATTCATACATTGTGAAGATGATCACATAAATAATTATAAGAGACTGAAAAGTACTACAATGAAACTACATAATGGTATTAAGGGAGTTCAGGGGAGGCGGTAGCAAAGAGCAATAGGAAGGTTTCAAAATCCTGATCTCTGGGATTCTGGGTAGAAGTGTTCCACTGTCTACCTCAGATCCAAAGTACTAAATTCATCATGGGACACTTCTTCTCTGTTCTGTTTAATTTTTCATCGTTACATTTTGTGCTTCAGGGAAAGTTACAAACGTGGTGTATTTGGTTTTCTATTGATTCAATAGCAGATTATCACAAACTTAATGGCTTAAAAACAAGACCCTTTATTACTTTGCAGTTTCAGTAGGACAGAAGTCCAGCATAGCATGGCTGGATTCTCTACTTAGGGTACCACAGGGGTAAAATCAAGGTGTCAGCCAGGGCTGTGGTTCTCAGTCTCTCCAGGGCCAGAATCCTCTTAGAGGCTCATTGGCTGTTGACAGAATTTAGTTCCTTGTGGTTGTAGAATTGAGGTCTCTATGTCTGTGAAACATGGTCTCCTTCATCTTCAAGCTAAGAACAGTAGACAGAATACTTCTCATGCTTTCAATGTCACAGATTTCCCCCTCTGCTTGAAAGGAATCATTCAATCTCTCTATCTTAATAACCACAGATTTAAACCTTATTTAAATCTGTGAAGTCTCTTTTCCCACATAATGTTAACATTTGCATGAGTGTAACACTAGATAGAGAAAAGGTCATGGGGGCCCAAATTCTGCCAATAACACTTGACATATTACATTGTTCTTCTCTCGTTGCTCTTTCATTTCTTTTGAATCACTACAAAAAAATGATCAGAGCCTTGGAGAGAAGATATACTAAACCCAAGGCAATCCCGAAAGAAATGAAGATTTCTGTGCACTAGATCAGAAAATCAAAGCCACTTACTCCTAATTTGTAGTTTGCTTTCATTAAAGTCTCCCTCCATGTCTTTGGGTAGTCAGTGAAGGTATAGGTTGGGGACTGAGATGGTTGATATTTATTGAGCACTTACCATGAGTCAGGCACCTCAAATCATGTGATTCTTAGAATACGCTTATAAAGTAGGATTATCACTGTGGTTATTTGACAGAGAAAACAATGAAGGTACAAAGAGTTTAAATGGCTTGTTCAAGTCTGTAAGCTAGGAGAGAAAACTTCGGGATATAAACCAAAGTCTACTTGGCTTGAGGGCCAAAGTTTCTGACCACTACCCAATGCTGTCTTCTGGTAATCAGAAAGGAACTTTCTTTTATGTGAAAACTAGGTGGAAAAGAAAGAAGAAAGGGAGAAAAGGAAATATTTATGTATCAAGCACATTCACATGTACTATCTCATTGGATCTTCAGAAATATTCTATTTGGTAATATCTTCTCCATTTATTAAGGAGAAAACTGATACTCAGCAAGGTTAAGTGATTTTGCCAAGATCCTGGAATTCATATGTGGTAAAGCCAAAGAACTGTATGTAAACCAAAAGTATACTGTCCTTCCAGTCTACTCTATCAGCCTTACAAGTGACACACCCCTTCCAAAGTAAAAAGCAAATGTTCTGCCTACGAAGAGCAGGAAATAAAATTCAAAGAACTGTTCTGTGTGTACTGAGCCAGGATGTTAATAGCAACTGTGAGGTTCTGGATATGCCTACGGAGTCAGGCCCAAGTGTGCAGCTAACTGTGCCCAGTCTCCTCGAGAAATGAGTCCTGAGGCCAGCACACCTGGGCCTGTGTCAGCCAGGGCCAAGCCAGGTAATGCCTCTTCTTCCCAGGAGCACATCCTGGTTCAGCCAGGATGCCATATGGGTCTCCGATTAATTTGAAAATGAAAAATTGTGGCTTGAAGATGTTTTAGCTCCAAATACCAAGAAATGATGGTATTAACCTGTGAAATAATTTCAGCTTGTCCTATGAAAAGACATAATTCAAATGGTGTTTTTGTTTCCAGGCCTCTGGTTTGGCATGGTTCATCTGGTCTGAAAATGTTTTGCCAAATGAGAATTCATGCCACTGCCTTGATAGGAGTCACCTTTGGGGTCAGAGAATGCCAGGCTATTGTCTGCCCCAGTTAGAGCACCTGGCTTGGCTTTCTTTCTAAACAAACCCTGGCCTTTGGAAACTTTCCTGCAGAGAGTTTTCATTTGCCTCCACTTTGTGCCTCCATATAAATATGCTTGAACAATTTTTCTCCCATATTTCTTAACTTGTTGACTATTTTGAAATGTTCGATCTAACCTTCCCATATACTTGTATACAGAGAAGGCTCATGTCACTCATTTGACAAATATTGAGTGTCTACTGCATGCCAGGCACTGTGCTAGCTACTTTGAGCAGTAGGTAAACAAGATCAACAAAGTTTTTAACTCAAAGATCTTGAAATCCAGTGGGAGGAGACCGAAAATAGTGAAGCAAATACATAAATGGACAAAATAATTACATTGTAAAACAATGCTAGGAAAGATATAAGCAAGGTTATGAGATACCAAATATCCAGCAAAGGCAACTTTAGGTAGAAGGCCAGGGAAGACCTCTTTGAGAGGGTAACATTTGAACTGAGAGACAAGAGGGAGCAAAGAGCTGAAGTCATAAAATTATATGTTCCCTAGTAGCCTAGTGGTTAGGAACAAAAAATTACATGTAGAGAGACAACACGTGCAACAGCCCTGAGGTGGAAAATAGCTTTGTGTGTTTGAGCAAGAGCAAGACAGCTAAAGTTCCAGGAGGATAATGAGCAAAGGAAAAAGATAGTATAAGATAAAGTTGGAAAGGTATGGGGACTCCAAATCATCTGAAACCCTGTAGCAATGATATATATTATTTTATTCAATCCTTCCACAAACTTGCTAAGTACAGTTGTCCCTTGGTATGCCTGGGGGACTGGTTCTAGTACCACCACCCCCTCCCCTGGCAAATACCAAAATCCAACAATGCTAAAGTCCCTTATATTAAATAATGTAATACTGCATATAACTTATGCAAATCTTCCTCTATGCTTTAAATCTCTAGATTACTTATAATGCCTAGTACAATGTAAATGCTACGGAAATACTTGTTATACTGTATTGTTTTTAATTTGTATATTTTATTGTTTATTTCCCAAATATTTTCAATATGTGGTTGGTTAAATACATGGATATGGAATTCATGGATACGCACGGCCAATTGTATTAATATATCTTTTCTTTCAATGAAGAAACAGAGGTGTAGGGAATTTAATGTAATGGTGAATCTTCTCCAAAGACCAAGAAGACCTGGCCTTTGCAGAACTACTATTAACCTACAAAAATTTCCAAATTGACATACTTTAAATAAAATTTTTCCCCCAGGCTCTTGGATTGATTGGGCCTAGAAAAACCTCAATATTTATTGAAATGTATTAATTTTTGCAAAGTCTTTCAAAAGAGCCACCTTCAGAACAGTGACATAGGGATACGGTTATATGATTAACTTCTACCTAAAGGTGGTAGCTGAAAACAGTTAATACAAGTTGGGATAAAGGGAGAAGGTGCCATTGAGCCTTGTCTTTGTGTAGTAGCAGGCAAGTACTTTGGGGGTGACCCAGGAACATGTGGACACTTTGTGCTCTGTGGGAGTGCTTTTGTGGGTCCTTCAGAGTTCTCCTGTAGGGACCTTTCCTAGTCCCAGAGATGCACTCTTCACCTGCTCTCTCATTATTTCTTTGTTAAGGGAAAGGTCCTCTCACTCACCTCTGTATTGATGATTTTAAAAAACTGCTCAGCCTCAGTATCCCACCCATTTCTAGTTCCATGTCTCCTACTCCCTTCCATAGTGATTCTCTAAACATTTTTGTTGGCAACATACTTTGACATAACTCAAAACATACACGAAGGGATTAAAAGTTCAATACTGATTTAAAAATAAGTTTTGTAAATTGAAAAAAAGAAATGTACCCAATTATTACACCACTCACCGATTTCCCTTAAGCTTTATGTCACTATGTGAGTAGAAATATTCACTGCCCTGACCTTTCTTGCTTCTGTTGTTGAATGAGCTGAACTAAGTAGGATACAATAAAGTCAGGGTTTTTTTTCATCCACTGCTGCCCTCAAGCCATACTGCCAGATCTCTATTCTCTGTACTCTCAGACCAATTCAATAGCTTTTCTAGCCATATCTGACTAATAACAGAATAGAATCTTTCAAATATTAAAAATAAATCTAAAACGACATCCAATCTCTCATACAATGTTAGGTTCCTCTCTGTCTTAGTATGCCATGACCCAAGAATTCTATAGATTAGCAGTTAAGAAATTGATAAAGCCCACTTCTTCACTGCTCCAACATACTATTCTCCTCTCCCCCAATATGTTACTCTTGGTAACACCAGGTTGGGACAGGGAAAAGATGAAAAGGCAAAGGGGAAAAAGGGTTCATCCATGAAGAGTGCTATTGTTATCCAGTTCTGGTGTGCTCTGCAGATATTTTGTGCTCTATGGGAGTGCTTTTGTGGGTCCTTAAGAGTTCTGCTGGGACCTTTCCTAGCCCCATAGATGCGCTGTTAACCTACTCTCTCTCATTATTTCCCTCTCAGCTCCTGCTCCAATGGTACGTTCTGTAGTCTCATTTCTTTGCTGCCTTTTGGCAAGTCCTGAGATATGTCCAGCTTCTCTCTTAGAATATGAGGTTCTTCTCAGCCATTGTCTTTAATCACAATTACAAGATAGACATTAGACATTGCTTGACACCTTTTTTTTTTTTTTTTTTTTTTGAGACGGAGTCTCGCTCTGTCGCCCAGGCCGGACTGCGGACTGCAGTGGCGCAATCTCGGCTCACTGCAAGCTCCGCTTCCCGGGTTCACGCCATTCTCCTGCCTCAGCCTCCCCAGTAGCTGGGACTACAGGCGCCCGCCACCGCGCCCGGCTAATTTTTTGTATTTTTAGTAGAGACGGGGTTTCACCTTGTTAGCCAGGATGGTCTCGATCTCCTGACCTCATGATCCACCCGCCTCGGCCTCCCAAAGTGCTGGGATTACAGGCGTGAGCCACCGCGCCCGGCCGACATCTTATTACACTTACATACTTATGAGGAAAAGATCTCTTGCATCCCAGTTAAGCCCCCAATTTTTACACAAAGATTATACCTCTTACCTCATCTTTCCTTCATTCACTGGCTACCTGCTGTCTATCACATGGTAGGCACTCTTGTTTTGACACTTCCTCTAACAGACATAATCATATGAGCCTCTGTTAGAGCTAAGTAAATTTTACATATTAATCAAGGTCTGGTGGCACACCCTTCGAAATTTTGATGCCCTCCTGCCCTTCTGTGTATTTCCACTTGGATATCTCTTATCATTTCAAAATTAATATTCTCAAACAACATTTTTCTCTTCAAAATGGCTCCTTGTCAATAGGTAAGATATTCTTCCAGGCATTTATGATCAAAAACTTAGGGTCAACTTTTTGAGCCTTTTGCTATCTGCCAAGCCCAGTTGGTCATCACCCCCTTTCATACTTCTGGGGCTCTTCTCCTTTAGGCCTCACATTACCTTACTCTGAAGAGCTGCAGTAATCTTTTAACTGGAGCCCCAGAATATGGGCTTTTCTTTTCTAAGCTAGGCTGAATATGGCTGTATGACACTTAAATCCTGCTTTCATAGTGATGTTCTAATTTTACTGCTTAAAAGCCTCTCTGTTTCCCTACTGATGCCTGACAAAATTTCTAGACTCATATCTGACCATCTCTTAACACTTTAACCTTTTCTCCTGCTTTTCCGTATCATGCAACTGATATTATAAACTAGGCCATTGTTCTATGAATATATATTTTGATGTGATCATTTTGATTCTGGGACATTTTACTGTAAACATTGAACCATTGAGCTGTCAGTTTTTGCTGTTGCCTGGATGCCCAATTATCTTTCCTCCCTCAATGAGCTTCACCTCATCTTGACCTCAATACATCCATGACCCTTGGGGGTGGGGTGAAGATTGGGGAGAGGGAAAGGGAGGGCTGAGGTACTGGGAGAAATCAGAATCTGAGATAGAAGAGTTCAAAGACAGGGTAAGGAGCAGGAATAAGGTGAAACTTAGGGATGGGAAGAGGAAGAGGAATGTATATAACATTTTGTGCTTGAAAAATGTTACACATTTGACTTAGTATGTAAAAATGTCTGCATTAAATTTTGTTCTTTCCCTCCTGGACACATGAAGTTTATGATACTTCTAAGCCTTTGCTGTTCCTTGAGTGCCCTCTACTCATATTCAGGTCCACAAATATTTACTGATTGTCTCCCCTACTATCCTGCCCTAGTTGTTAGAGCAATAGAGGTGAGTAAAACATGAGGGAAAGTCCTTCCCTGAAGGATCTCACAGGCTAGGGGGTAGACAGGTCAGCTATTAAGTTTAATATGAAAAATGCTTCAAGTTGTTGTGGGAGCACCAAAGTGACACAGCCATGTTGGTGGCTGATTTCATAGGTTTCTCATTTTTACCTAAACATTCCCTCCTCCCGGCAGAAAGGTCAGACAGAATTTTCTTGCCTATGCTGTGAAGAGGTGCAGGTTAGGCCTTGGGACATCTCCAAAAGAGTTTAGATTCTCCAGTGCAACCTGCAAAGAAAGTAAGTAGATTTAAGGTAAACAGAATAATAAGTTACATTACCTAGAATCACAATACCTATACTATATACACTTGCCTCACAATTTTTTTTTCTACAGTGCCAGTTTTCACCTTTGTAACTATGACACCCTATTGGGGGAAATTAAGGCAGAATGGGTAAATAATTTGCCTCATGGTTTCAGGCAAAGTGAACCTCCTAGCTAAGTTTATAAAACGTAAACAGTCTCTTGCAACCTTTGGCTTTAACGCCTTCCTAGCTGTGAGCTTTCTTTCTTTAAGACCTGTCAATACTGCCTATGATTTTGCTCAGTTGTAAATTTCCTGCCACACCTTATTTCATCATTACATATGACTGGTGAATGTTGTTCTTGTGTACTTAAATTGCCTTAAGTTTACACTTAATTTATACTCAAATGCAAAGACACATATATCATACTAGGGCATAGGCAGCAAACTGTTCAGACTCATGGAGTTGTATACAACCTTTCACTTGGATAGTATAGTAAGGTTTATAAAACACTTTCTCACATGAATTAACTCATTGACTTCCCAATGAGGTAGAGATTGGTATAGACATGTGGGGCAGGGAGCTAAAATGAAGATTCCAGATGTTTATGCTACTTGTTTGTGTTGATAAATAATTGTTTCTGAATTCATAGCTTTGGGCCCGGTGCAGTGGCTCACGCCTATAATCCTAGCACTTTGGGAGGCTGAGGTGGGTGGACTGGATTGCCTGAGCTCAGGAGTTTGAGACCAGCCTGGGCAACATAGTGAAACCCGTTTCTACTAAAAACACGAAAATTAGCTGGGCATGGTGGCGCGTGCCTGTAGTCCCAGCTACTCAGGAGGCTGAGACAGGAGAATAGCTTGAACCCGGGAAGTGAAGGCTGCAGTGAGCTGCGATTGCACCACTTCACTCCAGCCTAGCAACAGAGCAAGATTCCATCTTAAAAAAAAAAAATTTTTTTTAAATTCATAGCTTTAAGCAGTCTATCTCAAATTCCATACGGTTTACAAGTAGAGTAGACCCTGCTGCTATTGCCCTACTCTCTAGGGAGAAATTAATGGAGCTCATTCTAATTTCTCACTGGATAAACTTCTCAAATCCAGGTACAATATGGGAGAGTGAGAGATCCTTGCTCTGAAAAGTTGCTTGGTAACCAGTGACCTAGCATAAATATATTTTAATAGTTAAGGTAAAGAATGTCTATGTGGGAGTTTGTCATTTCTGCTTCACAAAATTCAAATGTTTACATGTAATTTATTTCCCCAAATATAGCAGAAGCTCTTAGGGACAGAGATTTTTGTCTTATAGTGCTCAGACAGTCAGTGAATACCTATTGATTGATAGCATCAATTTTTGAATTATATTTATCCCTTTTCACAATGTGCTAACTGCAGTACAAAATGAATTCCCTATTTGGGGTCAGGTGCTTGACCATAAAAAGACAAGAAGTCAAAAACAAGTAGAGAAAAAGAAGGAGTGTATTAAAATTTAGCAAGACCAGGCTCTTATCCAAAAGTCCTCAACCCAAAGTAATTTTGTTTATAACTTGATTTTTCCATTAGAGGAACAATTGTTTTAGTTTACTTGGATTGATTCAGTAGTTAACATGCTTAAATTGTAGAGTATGGGTGACCTTTTTGTTTTGTTAATGCCAGATGTAATTTTGTAATAAAACTAATTTTGTTTATTTAAAAACCACATTCAAATTGTGAAATAGGAATTCTACCCTCTTTGTTCTTCTTTTTTTCTCATTTCCTTCAAATACATCTAAAATTATCCTCTTGCAAATCAATGGATTTGTGAATTTTAGCCATCATCCATAAGGAAGAAACAAGAATTTGTGGCCCAGATTTGTAAATATTCCCATGGATCAGATTATGGTGGCCATCTCTCTTTTGGATACAGGAACCGTTTCTTATTTGTCTACAGGCCCTAGAGCACATAGCATATAGAAGGTATATAAATAGTGCTTGAAAGAAAAGTATATATGGAAAGAGTAGAGAGGAAAGGCCAGAGCTTTTATCTAATAGCCTGTCTAATACAGGTGGCTATCTCCACTGTAGCAACAGAAAGACTTTTAAGGGAAAGAGAAAAACTCTGCAAGACATCCATGAAACAAGTCATTGTGCCCAACTCTCATCATTTATGCAACACCTTCTGTGCAATTCTATACTCCTTACATCATTGTTAACATTTGTAATCTTATTTTTTTATTAACTTCTTTTCTCTAAAAATATTTACAAAGGAAGCAAAAGGAATTCTGATACAAATCAGAACAGTAGTTGCCCACAAAAGATGGAGATTGACGAGGACTTTCTGGGGAGATGAAAATGTTCTAAATCTCAATGTGGTAAATATACTTGTTAAAACTCATTGAATTACATGCCTAAGAACTGGGCAGATTAAATAATTTAATTCTTTCTGCAATTAAAATATATTTAAGGTAAATAAATAGATCAAGGAACTAAACATACTCACAATTAAAGCAAATAGTGTTATTAAATTCTAGATACTACTCCTTATAGAAGGCTCTAAACCTGATACTTGCTTTCTCTTTTTAAAGCAAATAGTAAGCAATTAAAAAAGAATAAAGACATGTTAGTAGCTCTATATCTTCCTCTTTCCTTTCCTTTATTTAGACAATATATTAGTATCCTGCCTTCCATTGTCAAACAGCCCTGTGTGAGGCCGGAAAAGGTAGCCTGCCCAGATAAGGAAGGCAGACCTGTGCAGAGGAGGCTAATCTGAACACAGGGCAAGTCCACCTGCAAGGGGTGTGGTGGCCCAGCACTATCAGATTGGCCACACCCAGGGAGATTGAGCAGATAGTAAATATATTGTGAATAATGAGAACCAGGTTTTTCACTATTGGAAAGGGAGTGACAATTAAAGAAAAGATAAAGCAATAATAAACCCAGCCAAAATTGGATTAAAATTGAAGGTACTAGAGTGAGCTATTAGTTTTAGTTGTAGATGTATATAGAGATAAATATAAATGTATGTGGTTCCTAGCTATCTGCTGAAACAGCCTAAGAGTAATAGTACTCCAGTAGTAATGATCACCTAATGCTCATATCTTCATTTGAAATACTGAAATGAACAAAGACTCCTTGAAGAAATGACTGAATCCAGGGCTGAGGCTGAGAATGTGATGAGCCTGGAACACCTTTCATAATAGAAAGAAAGGAAATACTCAAAGAATGCAGACATATTAAAAGAACACAGAAGTAAGCTTGAAGGAACTGGCTCCCAGTGGCCAAAGTACAATTGAAACATTAAATAATGCTAAAAGAGCAAATTATAACCCATTGAATAATCTAGTACCCCAATGATATAAATACATACATACATACATACATACATACATACATACATACATACATACATACATAAATGGATAGACAAAGTTCAGTGGTGGCTCATGCCTGTATGTAATTTCAGCACTTTGGGAGGCTGAGGGAGTGTAGCTTGAGTCCAGAAGTTCGAGACCAGCCTGGGCAACATAGTGAGACTCCGTTCTCTACAAAAAATAAAATAACTAGCCAAGCATGGTGGCATGCACCTGTAGTCCCTGCTACTCAGAAGGCTGAGTTGAGAAGATTGCTTGAGTCCAGGAGGCTGAGGCTGCAATAAGCCATGATTGCACCACTGTACTCCAGCCTGACTGATAGGGTGAGACCCTGTCTTAAAATAATAAGAAGAAATTCAATAAATGGGTAGAAGAGTAAGCTCTTCCTTACAGCAGAAAGCTTCCAATAAATGTGGAAGGAATATTGTTTTATAAACTCACCATTTGGCAATAATCATAATAATTAACCCAAGCAAGAAACTTCAACAGACACTACAACTAGTAGGTCAAAATGAGGTAAAGAACGAGATTTTTACATAGTCTCAAAGTATCTCCATTCAAAACATTTTTTTAATTACAAAGGGAACAAGAAGTAGAGAAACCTGGTGGACGTAATCTTAATCAAGTGATTGAAACAAACACCATCAGTAATGGGACACATAGATATCATGTGCAATCTCATAGGATGGTAATGAAAATAAAATAGTAAGTGTGACAGTCAGACCAAAACTTCATAACCTGGGTCTAGTCATGAGGAACCATTGGCAAACTCAAGTTGATGGATATGTTGAAACACAACTGGCCAATCTTCAAAAATGCTAAAGTATCGGTGCAAGAAGAGGACACTGTCTAAATTCTGCTTAGAGATGTTAGGAAAGGCTTACTAAAGGAGATAACTTAGATATGGTCTTGCAAAATGAAGCAGCTGTCATATAACTTAGAGAGAAATCATTCTAGGCACAGGAGACAGCATTTTCAAAAGTGTGGAATTCCGGGTACTATAGTGAGTTGGGTGCCTAGAAAGCACAGAAAGACGGTAGCTGCAGCCAGGGAGATGGGCTGGGGCCAAATTATGAAGGATCACTTTCCTCTGTATTTTGCACAGTAAAATGAGTACACAGAAATTCAGTGATTAATCCTGAAGGAATTGGAAAAGACATTAGCGTTGATGGGTTAGTCCAGGTCCTCTGAGAAGCAGATGCCAATTCAGGATTGAATACAGAAGGAGTTTATTAGGAGAAATGCATTCCTGAAAGAAAATATCGTAGGAGCTGGAGAGGGCTGGAAGAGCCATGAGATTGTAATGTAAGTCTGACCCCAAGTGAAGATGAGAGGTAAAGATGGTTGGGTCGTATGTTCAGCAAAACCATTCATGAATCCTTCAGCCAAAGTAAATGACAGTAGTCCCCTTCTCTCCCAAGAATCAGGCTGCCCTACTATTCCTACCTCACTTTACCATTGGTAGGAACTACCCCTTGGTAGGTATGGCCTCAGTGGCAACACAAGACTGCACTTCAAAGTGCAGCAGCAGGTACCCTTGGTCCATTATGCTCCCTGTAATAGAAGGGAAACAAAGCACATTCTCATTACCACCACATCTTTTAGAAGAAGAGGTGAAGGAAATTCCAAGGAAACATGTGAAGGAGTTTAAGTGCAAGTATTTGGTATTTCATCTTTGTTCTTATTTAAGTATCAATTTCCTCTTAGTTACAAGAGTCATAGACATTTTTGAGCTGAGCCATGACTACATTTGTCAATCTGTGGTTAGTAAACATGGACATCTAATCTGGGAGAGTCTATCATTTTGCTTTGCCTTAATGTGGTCAGTCTTCTGTTTTTAGTCTTTGGTGCACCTGTGGAGGCTAACCTCAATAATACATAATTCTCTTTTCCCTGGAGTTACTTGATGTATTATGGAACACAAGTTGTTGTACACGAAACACATGCTGGTTAGTAACTATACATGCCTTAAATAAAAATAGGAAAATAAATTTGACTTCTATTTAGTAGGAAGACACATTTCTTCTTAAACATTGTTATTGTTGTAAAGTATTTTTGATTTTGAAAAGGTTGGGAACAATTGAAATCAACAAATTTTCTTGTGATTCTGATGAAGTTGAAAAGACTATAAATCCATAACAAAATTTCAAGTTGCTTTAGTTTATTCTTAATTACAAATTTTCTAAACCCCATTAAAGAAAGGAAATGGTCTTTCTAGACTCATTTTACCAGGTTTGGAGTATCTTCCTTCTCTATCAAGTGCCTAAAAAGTCCTCCAGATTGCATAAGAAACACCTATAAAATATGACTCATTGCATTTTTGGTGAGTAATGCAATTAACACTGTAATATTGTAGCCACATTTTAAAAAAATCTTATTTACATTTATTAACTGCTAGCACTGGGAACATTTTTAACTCCAAGAAAGATTCAAGATGCCCAGTGTAGATTCAAAAAAACATAACAATGTGCCCTTTCCTCAAAGGATAATGTGCCTGTTTCAAATGATGCCATTTAAAAACACAACAGAGCATTTAATTGGGTAAAAAACTGGTGCTTAAATTTCAGAACATATTTTCATTCAGTGGCAAGAAAATTGTTATTCCAAAAATGAGATGCATACAGGACGTAGCTTAACTGAGGAATCATGCTAAAGATGTGTCTTTAAAATAGTTGCTGCATATGAGTGATAGCTTTGACATTTGGTCTTCAAGACTACTCCTATTTTTATATTTTTTGTGTGATGAAGGCGGTGAAGAATTTCTATGTTTTAGAAAATAATCATTTAATACCTTTCATTATAAATGTCATTCCTGGCCTCATATATGCTGTGATTACTTGTTCCTGGTCAGGAATGCATTGATTTACTCAGAATAGACACCATCTTTTAATTCTAATGTGAAAAGCAATCCTGGTGTGGTCAGCCTGAAGCAATTTTTAAAGATGTTGCTATGAGTTTGCTTGATTTTGGATGTAGGTACAAAGGTCTGTTTTGGTCATTTTATTTTAAAGGCTGTCTTGTTGGCGCACCAAATCCACTGGTCCTTTAGAAAAAAGGAATGAAAAGATGCAGCTTCTTCATACGTAAGGGTTGCTGCATTGCAGTTCAGAGAACACAGATTCCATCTTATTCCATGTGTGATGCAGCAAAGTATTATACTCCTTTTTCTTCAAGCTAGAATTGTATTTCCCAAAATAATATATATGACTATCCTGAGTTAGAAAAGATAAACTAGGCAAGGTGCGGTGGATCACACCTGCAATCCCAGCACTTTGGGATACGGAGGCGGGTGGATCACCTGAGGTCAGAAGTTCAAGACCAGCCTGGCTAACATGGTGAAACCCCGTCTCTACGAAAAATACAAAAAATTAGCCGGGCGTGGTGGCGCACGCCTGTAGTCCCAGCTACTCTGGAGGCTGAGATACAAGAATCGCTTGAACCTGGGAGGTGGAGGTTGCAGTAGGCCGAGATCACGTCATTGCACTCCAGCCTGGGTGACAGAGTGAGACGCTGTCTCAATGATAACAACGACAACAACAAAAAAAGAAAAGATAAACTATTCATTTATTGCCAGATACTTATGGTGGGGGACTGGAATTATTTTTAAAAGGTGAAAAATGGATTATTTCTTTAAGAAAGCCAGATATACCTGTAGTGATTAAGTTCTTAAAATGTAGTCCAAATTGAGATGTGCTGTAAGTGTAAAATAAACACTGGATATTGAACTCTTGAACAAAAAAAGAATATAAAACGTTCCATTTTTATATTGATTACATGGTGAAAAAATTTGAATATATCAAACAGACTATACTATTAAAATTAATTTCACGTTTCATTTTACTTTCCTCAATGTAGCTTCTCAAACATGTATAATTACAATGTGGCTAAAATTTGTGGCTTGCATTATATTTATATTAGACAGCACTAGTCTAGAATAGTCAATCTATTCAAATCCTCAGACATCACTTAATCTCTTCCATTCTTTGTGCCCAACACAAAATTTCTGTGAGGGCCCAGCTTAGCTTTGCAGGGACACTGGCCATATTAATTGATGACAAAATTGAGATTCTCTTAGACAGTGTATGGAGCTTGAAGCACCCAGGTATGAAAGAACCAGATGAGGTTCAAAGGCAGAAATCTCAGCCTTTACCCTTTGACATATCACTGGGTCACATGTGGGAAATGTGACTTGAATTGAGAGAAGTTTCTCTAGTACAGGAGTTATTGGACTGGAGCCCATGATAGAACTGAAGAGCTTTCATAAATCTCTTGATATTATAAACAAAATTAGTGTGCATGTGCTGTTTTCATTAGTGAGCCTGTACTTTTAATTAGATTTTTCAAAGGTTCAGGAACCATGGCTTCAAAAATATTAAGAATCCTAATTCGAGGAAGATATGGCTCATTCAGACAGGTTATTATCTCATAATTACTGTTACATAGTCATCCATGTCTCTCAATATTAGTATTCTTAATAATGTGAATATGTGCATTCATATGTCATGGAGAACTAAATGGTGCTTGGTCATCCTACAGAGAGCATTTTGAGAAAACTATATCATGGAAGTCAAAGTGCATGGCGATTGGTGAACAAGAATAACAAAAAGTAAGGGTGAAACAAGTAGACTATCAATGACATTACAAGAAAAGGCCACCTGGTGAATTATGTCCCAGGAAATTAAGCTATTGATGATTCAGCAAAAAAACTCTTGTAGTTCTCACCTTAAACGAATGTTATAAACCCAGTTCTTTTTGGAAGAAAACTTCATTCATTTCTTTATTTCTTTGGGCTGTCATAGTACTTACCTTCTATTACAGAATTTTCCCTGTTTATCTACTATCTTTTCAAAATTGGCATATCTGTCTCACCCTATATTAAACAGCAGTCTTCAAGAACAAGAAGCACTTTTTTTACTCTATTGCCCCCAGTGCCTTGCAAATAGACACTCAATAGATGTTGAGTAAAATAATAAATGGTTGTTGCCTGATTTCTGTACATTTCAAAATAAAAGACAACCTATGCACAAATACAACTTTAAATATTAGAATTTATTTGGAAGGCTAAATAAAAGGCTAGAGCTGTATAGAGTTTTAGTCAAACAGACTAGATTTAGCATTTGATCCTGTTCAATGCTCAAAAATTTAACTGATCTGAAGAAAGACTGCATGCAGGACTGCAGCTGCGATACACTTTTCCCAGGCCCAAACAGTGCTGAGTCATTCACCACAGTTCGTTTGTGAGTGAAGGAAACAAACTTTTAAGTTAGAGAAATATAAGCAGTCGTAGATCTGGGAGTCATCAGGAAATGTTTGCTACTTTAAAGAACTGACTGAAAGTTAAACAGGTTAATGTGACATTTCAAAGGGATTTTGAAATTCAATAGCTTTCTCTAGTTGATGTTTATTCTCTGGTTGTAAGGCAAATGTTTAATTTCTTCTAAGGAACAAAGATAGATTCTAGAATAACTAGATAGGTTCAATGTTCACTATAAGTTTTTTTTTTTTTTTCTTCTCCCTGACCTTCCCCACCCCATGAAAAAATATTATATATGTATGTATACAATGGGAAATGAAAAAACATCTGGCTGGCATTTAAACATGGTTTTCTTCATCATCAAAGGGGTTTGTATGAAAACAATAATTTTACAGTTAGAAGTACATTGTCATCCAAAAGAGAAAAGCAGAATCATAAAGAATATACATAAATTCAGGAAGAGGACATATTCTCTTTTTCTTACCAATCAGCACTGTGTAGGAATGTAAGATGTTTGCCATGATTAAGTGAAAGTTGTATGAGTCAAATAATCTCTTTCAAAAGCACATTATCAAATGTTGGTTAGTAGGGCTAACGACAAAGATATGTGACAGAACATACTGTATTACAGACTAGGATGTGAATTGTACAACTGTGCATACAAAACAATTTCACAAAGCTTTATTAAGATACTGAAAAATCCCATTTAGGTGAATCAGTTACCAAGTAAAAGTGAAGAACATAGTTTAACTTAACATTCAGATGAAAGAAGCCTTAAAAGTCATCTATTCTAAACCTGTTATTGATTTGGTTATAAATAACAGAAATCCAACCCAAACTGATTCCATTTTTTAAAATGGGGAAGAAAGGACAGAGGAATTTCATGGCTTATAAAATCCAAGAATGGGGCCAGGTGTGGTGGCTCATGCCTGTAGTTATAGTACTTTGGGAGGCCAAGGTGGGAGGATCACTTGAGCCCAGGAATTAAAGACCAGGCTGGGCAACATAGAGAAACCCTGTCCCTACAAAAAAAAAAAAAATTAGCCCAGCCTGGTGCCACACACCTGTGGTCCCAGCTACTCGGGAGGCCGAGATGGGAGGACCACTTGAACCTGGGAGGTTAAGGCTGAGTGAGCCATGATCACATCTGTGCACTCCAGTGTGGGTAATAGAGCAAGACCCTGTATCACAAAAAAATAAAAATAAAAATAAAAATAAAAAAATAGAATCGAAGAATGGGTGCACAACTAAATCATGGGAAGGGCATAGATACACCTGGGCTTCTAGAACAACTGGGATGAAGAATGTGAATGCTCCCAGGAAGAGCTCTCCAACTCCTGTCTTTTTATTTTCCTTCTGTAAGTTGTCACTCTTTTTTACATGGTGAAAATGTGGCCCTGACAGTTTTAAGTTTTACACCTTTCAGACATTGAAGTGGGCCCAAGAAATCCCCTTTTCTCATGAATGTTTTTTAAAAATAGGAAAGATCTAGATTGGGTCAGTCACCTGTAGCCAGGATTAGCCTAGTTTTACATCATAGTCTACCCCTGGGCCAATTAACTGTGATAGGAATGGAACAAGAAATTTGGGGTGATGGTGTGGTGATAGAGGGTGGTCATGGAATGACATGGAAGATTGCAAAATGGCCACACAGAGAAGAGTCCACTCCAGAAGTGGAGAGTACACTGGCATGTCCAATACAAACTCCATCATTTTACAGATAAGTAAGTAGAGATGTGTTATTTTAGCCTATTTGACAAACTAGTACAACGGTAACTAAAACAAAAACAAAAAAGATACTACTTTGTGCATACCCTATTTAACTCTTGTATATATAAATATTCATGTTTAATACACCCACCTTATAAAATAGGTGTTAACATCCTCATTTTTCAGAAGAGTAAAATGAGGTTTAGAGATAAATTTATATGCAAGATGATTCCAAAATCTGTGCTCTTTCAAAATAATACTGAAACTAGACTGCTTTTGTAAAATGGATATACATTCATTACAAACATTTTAAAACAGAAAACATTTTCAAAGAATGATTAAACATACTAAATCCCTCCACCTAGAATTAAACATCATTAATAAAGAATATCTTTCATGTATCACTAAGGACAGAAGAGTAAATAGAATAGCAAATTTTTTTTAATTATACTTTAAGTTTTGAGATACATGTGCAGAACGTGCAGGTCACATAGGTATACACGTGCCATGGTGGTTTGTTGCATCCATCAACCAGTCATCTACAATAGGTATTTCTCCTAATGCTATCCCTCCCCTAGCCCCCCAACCTCTGACAGGCCCTGATGTGTGATGTTCCCCTCCCTGTGTCCATGTATTCTCACTGTTCAACTCCCACTTATGAGTGAGAACATGTGGTGTTTGGTTTTCTGTTCCTGTGTTAGTTTGCTGAGAATGATGGTTTCTAGCTTCATCCACGTTCCTGCAAAGGACATGAACTCATCCTTTTTATGACTGCACAGTATTCCATGGTGTATATGTGCCACATTTTCTTTATCCAGTCTATTATTGATGGGCATTTGGGTTGGTTTTAAGTCTTTGCTATTGTGAATAGTGCTGCAATAAACATATGTGTGCATGTGCCCTTATAGTAGAATGATTTATAATCCTTTGGGTATACACCTAGTGATGGGATTGCTGGGTCAAATGGTATTTCTGGTTCTAGATCCTTGGGGAATCGCAACACTGTCTTCCACAATAGTTGAACTAATTTACACTCCCACCAATGCTGTAAAAGTGTTCCTATTTCTCCACATCCTCTCCAGATCTGTTGTTTCCTGACTTTTTAATGATCACCATTCTAGCTGGCGTGAGATGGTATCTCATTGTGGTCTTGATTTGCATCACTCTAATGACCAGGGATGATGAGGTTTTTTTCGTATGTTTGTTGGCCACATAAACGTCTTCTTTTGAGAAGTGTCTGTTCATATCCTTTGCCCACTTTTTGATGGGGTTGTTTCTTTCTTGTAAATTTGTTTAAGTTCCTTGCAGATTCTGGATATTAGCCTTTTGCCAGATGGATAGATTGCAAAACTTTTCTCCCATTCTGTAGGTTGCCTGTTCACTCTGATGATAGTTTCTTTTAGAACAGCAAAAATTTTTATAGAGAGGGCACATCGGACTATGTAGCTTATTTTTTAATACAAGCATATCATTTAATTTGAATTTAACTGAAATTAGAGAGTAATGGATTGCTCAATCTAGATTTTTAGTCAAAAATGCCTTGTCACCAAAATTATAAAATGTACAAAAATGTTGGAATCATTTTTAAAATGATTTAAAAATGATTCCAACATTTTGACAGAATTGAATCCTTGTTTCTTAAAAACAAATTAGTGTACGTATACTTCTCTATCTCCTGACCCTTCAGCTTCATAATTTCAGTGAGCTGCTAGTTTTATATTTTCAAGCCTTGTGTATTTTGCTTTGTAACCATAATTCTCATGATTGTTTACTCTTAGTTCTGTATTTACATGGATTCCGAGCTTATCACAGTTCTTTTTACCAGACAACTTCTCCCTTACTGATTTTTTGTTTTTCACATCTTGATTTGCTGGATTTTATCATCGAATAGTTCCCCTTTCCCCCCTACTTTCTCCTCCTCATGGCTCATGTGACTTTTATTCCTTGAGAATGCCTCTTTCCTTTCAACTCACAGGACTTTTTTTCTTCAACTTTGATTTGCAGCAGGTTTTACTATGCTGTTCCTAGAAAGTTTGGGAGCTTCTTGGATCTGTAGTTTGATGTCTTTCATCAGTTTTAGGAAATTCTGTCACTTTCTCTCCAAATATGGCTTCTGCTACATTGTTGCTGTTGATTTTGGTCATCTCTCTTTTTGGGAGGCCAATTACACCTGAGTTAGACTTCTCATTTTAACTTTTATGTCTTTTGTACAGTTTTTTTTTTTTTGCATTCTCTTTATGTCTCATTATGCTTTACTCTAGATATTTCCTTCTGAAATATCTTTTAGTTGATGATTTTTAGTTGTGTCTAATCTGCTCTTAAACCAATCCATGGAGTTCTTAAAGTTGAGTACTATACTTCTCAGTTCTAGAATTTTTATTTTTTATAGTTTTCAGCTTTTTAATTTCCCTGAACTTATGTACAGCATTGTGTGTGAATCCCTCATGGGTATCTTTTTTATTATATGTATTCTTCATCTTTTAAAAATCACATCACATTTCTTCATGACTGGTCACTTTTTGATTTAGTGATAGACAATAAATATGAACAATTACAGAAATTATTTTAGAACTAGAACTTTTTCCCCAAAAGATTTTAAATAGCTTTTGAAAGGCACTTAGGGACTCTAGTGTCTAGGATCAATTTAATCCAACTTCAAGGGCTAAGATGATTTAAAACTGAGCTCCAATTCCTTCAAGGTCCAGTTTGGTTTCAAATTTACATGTACTTCCCAAAAGACTATCAAAAGTTCCTCTTAGTTTCTCAGCTGCCTTTTCTGAAACTCACAATTGGCAGCTACAAATGCTGATCTAACCTCTACGTTTTTTCCTCCTCCAAGATCTTTTTCATTCCTTATTAGCTCTCTGATGCTTTCACCTAGATTTCTTACAAAAAATATTTTGTCCAGGGTTTCTAGTTGTTGTAAGTGGGATGGTTAACCCGAATTATCTTGTCATTACCAAAGCTGAAGTCCTGGTTTGTAATTTGAAGTCAATTTTAACACCTTGATTCTTGCTGGTTTAATACCTACACTATAATAAAAAGTTTCTTTTATTTAAATCTAGGAAGACTCCAAACTCTGTTTCTTTCATTATTGTTTTGATATCTCTCATCCACTCTGTGGATGATCATGGAGGGATTTCACAGTATTACCCTCACTACATGCACATTCCTAGGACTAACTACCTTGTAAACAATTCACATGAGTCACCATATGGCTACGGAATAGAGAGAAGATGATTCCGTGAAAGAATCAGTGTTAGAGAGACAAACTGATTTTGGAGGACGCAATGGAAAAAAATATTTTTATGGAAGGATAAACATGATCAAATCTTGTAGAGATCAGGTAGCTAAAGATGGTGATTAGGGTGTTGGGCCTGGTAACAAAACCAACATTAACTATTAAGAGAAGATTTCTATAAAGAATACCCTAGAATAAATTTAAAAATTGATGAGGAGTTGGAGGCAGTGTAGATTCTTTAAGAAATCAAATTATGAAAGAAAACAGAAAATAGGTGGTATTTTGGTAAGAAAAACAGTCAAGGGTTTGCTTTTAGCATGGGGCCCTTTTGAAGATGTTTGCAGGCTGAGGGAAAGACACTAGCAAAGAAAGGCTTAAAGACTGCAGTTGCAAGTAAAATTGACTGAACCAAGTCTTGGTGAAGACAGGAAAAAAAAAAAAAAGAAGCAAAGATAAGCTTTCTGCTGAAACACAGGGGTAAAAAGTAGGGATAAAGGAAGAGATTTATAAATGCCCAGATGAAAGTTAAGGGGGTGGGAATTAGAGGAATCCAGTTCTGATTAACATCTATTTCTGGGTCTGTAAAAGGAAAGATCAGCTCTAATTGTAAGTACAGGCATTGAGACATGGGTCATTAGGCAATATCCTTGTGTCAGCAGTGTACTTACATAAACCTAGATAGTATAGCCTTCTACACACCTAGGCTAAATGGTATATAGCCTACACAAACCTGTATGGCATGTTACTGTATTGATAATGTAGGCAATTGTAATACAATGGTATTTGTGTATCTAAACATATTAAAGATACAGTAAAAATACTAAAAATACTGCATAAAAGATAAAAAAAGGTGCACTTACTATGAATAGTGCTTGTATGACTGGAAGTTGCTTTGAGTCAGTGAGTTGTGAATGTTAAGGCCTAGGACATTACTACACACTACTGTAGACTTTATAAACACTGTATACTTAGGTTACACTAAATATATAAAAAATATTTTTCTGGCTGGGTGTGGTGACTTGCACCTATAGTCCTAGCACTTTGGGAGGCTGAGGTGGGAGGATTGCTTGATTGTTGATTAGGGTATTGGGCCTGGTAACTGCTTTACATGCATGTCTCAGTCCATTTTTATTTCTACAAAAATTTTATTTCTATAAAACTCAGGAGTTCAAGACTGCAACAAGCTGTGATCCCATCACTGCACTCCAGCCTGGGCATCACAGCAAGACTCTGTATCTTAAAAAAAATTAAAATTAAAACATAAAAAATTTTATTTCTTCAATAATAAACTACTTTAGCTTAAAGTAAGTTTTTTACCTTATAAACTTGTTGACTTTCTTACTCTTTTGTAATAACAGAGCTTAAAACACAAACATGCTGTACAAAAACATTTTCTTTATATCTTTTTCTATATTTTTTGTATTAATTTTTAAATTTACTTTTAAAACTTTTTAGTTAAAAACTAAGCCACAAATGCACACATTAGCCTAGATGTACATAGGGTCAGGATGATCAATATTACTATCTTCTACCTCTGCATCTTGTCCCACTGGAAGGTGTTCAGGGGTAATAATGTACATAGAACTGTCATCTCCTATGGTAACAATGCCTTCTTCTGGAATACCTCCTGAAGGACCTGCCTGAGGTTAACAGTAATGTTTTTAAAAAAATAAGTACAAGGAGTACACTCTAAAATAATGATAAAACATAGTAAATACATAAAAAAGAAACATAGCCATTTATCACCAAGTATTATATATTGTACTGACTGGCAGTGCAGGTTAACAGCAGCAGCATCACAAACATGTGACTATTACGTTGCCCTGTGATGTTACAATGGTTAAGATGTCACAAGGTGATAGGAATTTTTTAGCTCCATTATAATTTCATGGGGCCACCATTGTATATGTAGTCCATTGTTGACTAAAATGTTAAGTGGTGCATGAGTGTAGTCCACCTATCTTCCACCAGTTATTTTCCCTTTAAGACCTGCAACACACACTTTTATTGGTCCTTTTTATTGGCCTCTTCTCACTGGCTTTAGAGTGCAGAATTAGAAAACTCTTTCATAGTCCTGCAACAATCTTCCATCTAATATCTCACAAATTACTCATTTCCTTTTCCCCCTCAATATGTATTTTGGAGAATCTGACTATAAAGACTCTGTAGGTTGGCCACTTACTGATATGAAGGTGGAGGAGGACAAATACTTTCTCTTACCTAAATGAATGCCAAATAACTTCAGCAGCCGGCTCCTCTTATCCCATCTTTTCTTATAAATGGAAACTCCACAAGAGCAATGACTGTATTTTATATACCCTGTCAAGGTGTAGCAAATACTGGGAGTGTTTAATAAATAATACATGGGAGTGAAGTTCCCAAATAATAAAACAGACTATAACCCTATCAATTCCTGCTAGTGATGCAGACGCTGCACTTAAAACTACTAAGGGGGGAAAAAAGACATCTTTAACCATAACGTCCAGAAATGTAAGTTAGATTTTGGTAAATCTTTTCCAGCAAAATAATAGCACTATGTACTCAGTGAGTGTTTACTATACGTCCAGAACTGTGCTAACTGCTTTACATGCATGTCTCAGTCCATTTTTAATTCTATAAAGAACACCCAAGGCTGGGTAATTTATAAAGAAATTTATTTCGCTTATGGTTTTCTAGGCCATACAAGAAGCATGGCACCATCAGCTGCTGGTAAGGGCTTCAGGGTGGATCCTCTTATGGTCGAAGGCAAAGGGGAGCTGGTGTGTAATCACAAGGCAAGAGAGGGAGCAAGAGAGAAGAGGGAGGAACCAGGCTCTTTTTAACAACCAGCTCTCTGGGAATTGATACAGCAAAAACAATTGTTACTATGAGGACAGCATTAAGCCATTCATGAGGGACTCTCTCCCATGACCCGGACATCATTTATTAGGTACCACCTCTAACATTGGAGGTTAAATTTCAACATGAGATTTGGAGGGGTCAAATAAAGCATCTCCAAAATACAGCAGTGCATTATCTCATTTCATTCTTAGAACTTTCAGTTCATAAACATTTATCTTCTATTTGATTCACAGCAACATGAGAAAGTACCAATAATATCCACATCTTAAAATGAAACAAATGAGAATTCAAGAGATTAAATAGGATGTCCAAGTTCATACATTCAGTTATTACATGTAGATCCGGAATTCAAACCCTCGGTTTTCTGAGTCCCCAGCCAATAGCGTTATTCACAATACTATACGGTCTTCTCCTCAACTTAGCACCTATAAGACTTGAATAATAAGACTTTTCCTTGTGAAATTATGAGGAATCCTATCATTTGATGGCTTAATAATACAAATCTTCACCTGTGCAAGGCAGACAAGTGTTATTGCTCAAAGCATAAAGATGGGGTTTAACGAACAGAAATAATTATTCAAGAATCAAGTGGAGCATGTCCTCTTGTTTGATTTCACCTTTGTATTCTAACATTTGAGCAATGATATATTTAATAGGACAACAGCTAATAGTAGAAAACTTGTTCAGTATTTAAAGTAACATTACCAAAGACACAATCTCCTGCTGTGCATATTGAAATATTAAATTTTCTTTACTTTGTTGCCTAATAATTTGGGCAGATTATGAGAAGGAAGTGAGGTGGCCAAAAAGTCAGTGACAAGCATTATAAATTATGACCATTGTATGTTGTACAATTCTTCATTTTAAATGTTTTTAAAATTTTATGCTGCAACTAGACTTTAAAAAAATAATTTATATGTAAACTTTCTCTTAGCATTCCTGCAGATCATCCTGTGTTACCAAACATTAGTTGGATATAGTAGCTATAAACAGATAAGATTTGAGAAAATAATATAAAAATAGCTGTGTTTGTTATACAACCCAGCCTCTTTAGAATATAGGGTTGATTTTTACAAACCATACTTCAATCAACATCAAACATATGGCATTGTGGTTATGAGAAAAATATATCTTTGATCAGAGTTTCAAATTTATATTTATCAAGCACCTCACAAAATTCTCTTTATGTTTAAATGCTTATCCCTGTCTATTATAGAATGCTGCTACACAAAAATATCAATTAGGATACTGAAGCAATTATGAAAACTAAATAGAAAAATAATTGCAGTAAAATAAATTTTACAAAATTTTAACCAGAAGCAATTTTTAATTTAGTTTTTAATCTATTAAAAAGATTCTAATATGTAAGGCTTAGTTTGTCATGGTATGTGCCAAAATTACCTAATATTTCTTTTTCCAGAGATAAATTGAAACATAATTAATGTCACCTCAAATTTACATACCAATGTGAACAGAGAAGAAGGGATGGTATATAAAAAGAGGGAGAGTGGTGAAAAAGGTATTTTTTTATTTCTTCCTAAACAGTTAGCTTCTAATATACGCTTGAGTACATATATACATATATTTTTCTCTTTTTTTAGCCATTAAGTCCCATTAAGAACTGTCTCATACTTTTTGAATGACAGATTTCAAATGAAAGTAAAATTATTTTTTAAAAGTCTGCAGTACAGATTCATTATCTCTACTTCTTAAAAACAAAAATTAGAAACAAAAATTTTAAAAACCTTAGGTATGTAATACTCTGCAAAGACTTAAGAAAATATGATTTTCAAATATTTGCAAGTGAATTTTAAGAAATATTAGTTCATTTAAAAAATCTAATTAGGCATACTGTATTCTCTTATAAACTACTGCTTGTAGCACAACAAATAGTTTACTACAATGAATTTAAGCACAAATAATATATCATATACTACATGAAATAGAAAAGACATATAGATATAGTGTCTTTCAAGAACACCCCTAGAAACTTCAAAGAACATAGTAATTAATATACAATTTTAAAAATAAAATAAAAATAGGGATATTATCTAAAAATTGTAGTTATTAAATTTTATTTAAGTAATGAACTAAAAACTGTTAAGAACTGATGTACTACACAATGACATTGATACTATGTTAAAATGATTCATAGAAGGCAGTCAAGACAGAGATTCAGAAACATTTTATTAGAAAAGTAATGCGCATTCATAGTAACATTAGCTTTTATTTCTGTGTACTGTAGGAACTTCCCAAAACCATTCTCCAAAGCTAACCATTTAAAACTCATTCATGTATTTTATTATGCATCCTACAACAAAGACTAAGAAGCAGGCAAGAATTACTATAAAACACAATCTAATTACAGAAAAGTTAATTTATTTTTACATGAAAACATTTTGAAACCAATTTTGTGTTTATTGAAGGATTTTTCTCATGCATATTATCCAAGATTTTTTTCTGTCAGAGTATTAGCTTCCTAGGATTGCTGTAACAAATTACCATGAACTGGGTACCTTAAAACAGCAGAAATACATTCTCACTGTTCTGGATGCTAGATGTGCAAAACCATGTTAGCAGGGTTGGCAACTACTGGAACTCTGAGGGAGAATCTATTCCATGCTTTTTTCCTATCTTCTGAGGGTTCCCACAATGTATCACTCCAATCTCTGCCTCCAGCTTCATGTGGCATTCTCCCCTGTGTCTCTATCTTCTCTTTCTTCCTTTTTTTTTTTTTTTTTGAGACAGAGTCTCGTTCTGTTGCTCACACTGGAGTGCAGTGGTGTGATCTCGCAACCTCCACCTCCCAGGTTCGAGTGATTCTTGTGCCTCAGACTCCTGGGTAGCTGACATTACAAGCACCACGCATGGCTAATTTTATTTTTAGTAGAGATGGGTTTTCGCCATGTTGGCCAGGCTGGTCTTGAACTCCTCAGCCTCAAGCGATTTGCCTGGCTTGGCCTCCCACAGTGCTGGGATTACAGGCGTGAGCCACCATGCCCGCCCTATCTTCTCTTATAAGGAACACCAGTCATATTGGATTAAGGGCCTGCCCTGCTCCAGTATGACCTCATCTTAGCTACTTACAACCACAACCACAGTATTTCCAAATAAGGTCACATACTGAGGCTCCAGGAAGTACATGAATTTTGGAGAGGACACCATTCAACCCAGTACATTCAGTTTCTATTTAACATAAAAAATAATTCCCATACTATACAGGGTGAAAAAATGACTTATGAAATAGGTGAAAGATTGTTGAATATACAAATGTGATCTTTTCTTTTCCAATCACATACAGAGATAAGAATTTTTTGGGAATATGTCTCATTCACAAATATGTATTATATGCAAAGAGAAATTTATACAATGTTCAAGTAGGATTCAGGGAATTAACCTAGGTGCATTCTCTTGTTTCTATTTCAACCATATTGTTCTCCAGATTTTTTTCCTAATTCTGATTTCCCTGTAGGATTGTTCAGATTTAAATAAAGCCTGTAAAGCAGAAGTAGTGAACAAGCCTGGGTACTAAAGTTAAATATTACAGAGGCAGATAAAATAAGTCTGAGGAAAATTCATGCATTTAATTCTATCTATTTTGCCCACATAGTTATGCTGATATTTCATTCACTTGGATTCACCAACCTAAAATTTGTAACTATAATGGAGAATCTTTTTTCTGTATTTGAAAAAAGTGCACTGAGCAAATTAATAGTATAAATATGATTTCAAGGATAACTAAGAGAATATTTATTTCTATGTATGGTTAATCAACATGCCCCCTTCCATACTCCATGTGCCCTTTGACTAATTATCTCCAACTCATCTTTCAGGTCACAATTTAAGTATAAATAATAAATTAGAAGTACATATTACTATAAAAAATTGACATGTGAATTATGAATCAATCTCCTCAATTTGTTAAAGAATCTTCTACCAAGTACTCTTTTCTTGAATAAACTTTTACCCATATTACAGTTACCATATCTTTGTAACAACATTAAGGGAGCATTGATTTTACTATATTAAATAGACAGTTTTCTATTTCAAATAGACTTGGCTGAATTATTTTGATTAGCTCAATTAAAAAATACAAGATTCTAATAAGAGACTTTATTACTTACTAAAGGCATTGTGAGCTATTATTAAAATAAATACAATTGACATGAAATATAAGTTTTGTGAAACAATTCTCTGTAAGGATTTTACATTTTTACTTTGCGATAGATGAACAAAATGGCCCATATCATACTGAAAAATCCCTTTAAAATAATAGACTATAATTTGAAAGATGAAATTTTATCAGTATAACACACATTTAAACTAATATTTTAAAATTTAAAATTTGTAAAAAGCCTACATTTGAGAAAGCTAATTATTCACAAGTAGGGACATTAAAATTCATTCCATAATCATCATTATTTGAGCCACAGAAAGACTGATGCAAATTGGAATATCTAAATTCAAAATTTAGGACATGCAGATATGATTACAACATCTTTCTCTTTGGTAGCTTGAGTTTACGTATTTAGATAAACACAACACAGTATTATTTTTTAAAAAATTTCCTGGCCAGAGGAAGGATTGCCTTCAAGAGTCCAATATGATGCAAAGATTAACATATTTTTCCAGTCTGGAGGTGCTGCTGCTCCCTGAGTGTAACTTTCTCTGTCATGTATTTCCTACAGTTTCTTTTTGAGAAAAAAGAAATGCTAAATGCTATCAATTTTCAGACTGTCCCACACTTAAACCTATACCAAGACATTCAGGGACATAACATGAGTAAAGATTAGAGAAATTGTGAGAAAAAAATTTGAAGAATAAGATGATGATAACTTATAATTTGATAGCTGCTCTAAGCTTGGCTGAGCGCCCTCTGGGGTTATCTTGTACATCCTGATCTTGTGGACTAAGTACCTTCTTGTGTATCAATTCCCACATTAAAGGAGCTCTTCTCATAGAGACTTCTTCCGTGTTTTCGTGATCTGAACCCAATTGAGATGTTTTCATCACTTGTTGTCTAACACTTAGGTTAAATCTTTCTGTCATGCTTATTCCAAGCAAAAATCTTTTGACGATGCGATCCTCTAGTGAATGGAAGGAGAGGGCAACAAGACGACCACCAGGTCTCAGAAACTTCTGAGCTGTCTTCAGTCCCGTGTAGAGTTCATTGAGCTCATTGTTCACAAATATGCGAAGAGCCTGGAAAGTCTTGGTGGCAATATGGGTAGATCGCTGTAGTAAGTCTTTCCGTGTATAAATAGCAGAGGGAGGAAATGCTCCTAAAACAAATGTTGTAAAGATAGGAAAAGAAGACCGGTAACATTAATATTTTTCACTGTAAATCTAATGAATTGTGTAGTTGTGTGCATATTTAGTGAACTAAGTTTTCTTAGAAAATTGTGGTGGCACTTCATTCATACTTCCCCCTCTTATTCCCAAACATTCTTCCAAGGTTTAAAACTATGTGGCAAAAAAACCTTTCATAACTCATAAGGATAATTGGAGTTTAACAAGGAGCACAGAAAGAGAAATGGTGGACATATATTTAAAGAAATAATAACAAAATCCTTCTCAAATTTGGTGAAAAACGTTAACTCAAAGATGCTCAATGAAGCACAAATATAATAAACAAAATGGCTGCACATAGGCATATCATAAAACTACTACAGCCAAAGATAACAACAAAAAAAATGCCAACAGAAAAGAAAATTCATTACATAAAGAAGAACAAAAATATTATTAACAGCTAATTTTTTATGAGCACACTGGAGGCCAGAAGATAGTGGAATAACATAAACAGTGTTGAGAAGAACACTCTGTTTACGAAGAAGGCTAAGTCTACTAAGATATTTATTCAAAAATAAAGGTTCAAAGACATTTTAAAATAAATAAAAAGTGAGACAATCCACTGTGAATAGGTCTGCATTCAAGAAATTGAAAGGAAATACTTTTAGCTGAAATAAAATGAGGCCATGTGATCATTTGGATATACAGATAGGAATGAAGTGATAAGGCCATAGCTATAAAACATTTTTGAAATAAATTAAAGACCTATATAAATGGGAAATTACTGAATGTTCACAGATTGGAAGACTTAATTACTGTATGTTCAAAGACTGGAAGATGGGAATACTACCCAAACTGATCTAAGATTTAATATAATCCCTATCAGAATTCCAGCTGACTTCTTTGTACAAATTAACAAGCTGATTTTAAAATTCATATGGAATTGCAAGGCACCTAGAACAGCCCAAATAATCTTGAAAGAAAAAAAAGAATAAAGTAGCAGGACTTACATTTATGAATTTCAAAGCTTACTACAAAGCAATGATAAGACAGTGTGGTACTGGCATAGCAACAGACATAGAGAAAAATAGAATGTAATTGAGAGTCAAGAAATAAACCCATACCTATACAGTCAACTAATTATTGACAAGAGTGCCAAGACCATTCAATTGGGAAAAGCCTTTTGAACAAATGATGCGGAGGCAATTGGATAGCCACATGTAAAAGAATGTAATTAGACTCTTACATCATATACAAAAACAAACTCAAAATGGATCAAAGACCTAACTGTAAAAGTACAAACTATAAAACTCTCAGAACAAAACATAAGGCTAAATCTTAATGACTTCGAATGTTGCAAAAGATTCTTAGATATGACACCAAAATTGTGAACAACAAAAGAAAAAATTAGATAAACTGGACTTCATCAAAATTAAAAACCTTTCTCATTCAAACAACACCATCAAGAAATGAAAGACAAGTCAGAGAATGGGAAAAAATTTGCAAATCATACATCTAATAAGGGACATGTATCTAGAATATATAAAAGAAGTAAACTGCAGAATACATGTATATTATTTATATCATATTTTAAAACATGCACATCAAAACAGGTATGTCCCATCTACTTCAATAATTGAGATAGGCAAAAATTACTAATTTCTAAATAAACTAATAAATATAATTTTCCTTAAGCTTATAACCACTGGCATACAAACAAGATATTAATGTATAATGTTCAATAGATTTATACAAAATTTTTTCCTTGATTTTGTACCATGCTCCTGAAGAGTATTATCCCATAGAGAAGTAGTGTTTCTAGTACAGATTTGTTCTTAATGAAGATCTCAGAAAATAACTGCAATCTTGGCATTTTAATCTCCTTAGCATGTTTCTTAAAGAAAAGTTAATTATACAAGGCTGGCACCTTAGTTCACATTTCAGTAATCTAAACACCTAGTAGTAAAGATCAGGCATAGCAGATTAATATTCTTTGGAAACTAGATCAGAGACGGAAAGAAATAATATCTTACATGAATCACAGAATTGAGAACCTGGTGGTTTAAAGTAAACCAAATCAGTGTGATGGTTCTTTCCTCTATAAAAATTACTTTGCCAAAAGTCTGGAGAATGTTAGACACTAGGGGATTTATCTTCCAACAACCAGGTCTCTCAGGAACATGATGTCCATATCAAAACTGAAAAGGAAGGCCAGCTTCTTACCATTTGCTATTCAATTCGTCCATTTTCCTAATAAAGAGTTTGGGCCACTGGGAAATATGTTTCAGAGTATTCTAAGAATATGAACAAACATATATTTTCATGTAAAATAGGAAGTAAACATTCATGGAGCACATAAATCAATAAGAACTGCAGGATATTTTTGCTATAATTTTTTTAAAAATTTCTTAGCATTATCTTTGATATTTTGCAGAAATTAAAATGATGGTTCAACATAACTGCTTAACTTTATTGACATTTTAATGCAGAATCTCTTAATTCATAAAATAGAAAGGCAGAAAGCTCAATAAATGTTTGCATACTATTTTCAGTAAATGTGTTTTGTAAAATTAATGAAAATGGAATGTTTCATAACAAAACCAAAAAAATAACAAAATAGTATCTGAAATAACCATGTAGTTCTAATATAAACAACAGCATTGGTTTATTTGACATTAAAGTTTGTTAGACATTTTGGCTTACTAGCTAAAATAGCACCTTCCTGTGGCAGAAGGATGGACATAATTTATAATTCATTTAGTTAGCTAGCTGTCAAACGATGAGATTCCTAATTCCTTTCATTTGATGAAATCAATTTTCAAAGCATTCACCCAAAGTGATAATTTATTAGTATTTTATATTATAGAATTTCAAGTTTATATAAATCATGTTCACATTAAGTATATCCCCTAGTATATATGAATCTGCAGCTGACAAATTAAAACCACTGCAATCAGACAAGCTTTTCTTTATAAGATCTACTTTGGCCTTGCCAATGTCATAAAGTCATGCAGAATGGATATAAGAGCTTTCAGCTATATTTGGGAATAGATGGTCTTAAAGATAATAGGGGAACTTTAATCTATGAAGCTTTCCTTCTGGGGCCTTCTCACTTTTGTTTGGGGAATTTTGACCTGCATTATGTCTGATGGATTTCCTGGAAGACGTTTCTAGATGTCGTCCTGTCAACCTCACTAAGTCCCATCTTTAGGGACCAAGAGATGACAAGAGGTCTGCAATGAGCAATGTGTTTTGTGGAGCTTTTTTGGTACTTCTCTGGGGGATCAAAGGCACATATCTTCCCTTATTTTAGATAGGTTAAACTTCCAGGGCTATCCTTCCTTTATACTGGTACCTCATGTCTGTAATTTTTAGGAAGAAAGGCTGTCAAAGCAGATCGTGTAAAATGAAATTAAAAAGAAACAAAAGAATATAAAATAGCATGTGATGCTGGGCACGATGGCTCATGCTTGTAATTCCTTTAGGAGGGAAGGATTTGGGAGCACTTTGGGAGGCTAAGGCAGGCAAGTGGCTTGAGCCCAGGAGTTCAAGACCAACCTGGGCAACATGGTGAAACCCTGTCTCTACAAAAAAACAAAAACCAAAAAACAAAAACAAAAACAAAAACAAAAAAATCCTACAATTTAGCCAGGCACGGTGGTGCATGCCTGTAGTCCCAGCTACTCCAGAGGCTGAGGCAGGAGGATCATCTGAGTCTGGGGAGGTTGAGACTGCAGTGAGCCATGATTGCACCACTGCACTCCAGCCTGGGCGACAGAGTGAGACTCTGTCTCAAAATATATAAAAATTAAAATAAAATGGCACGCGATAATGGAAATTAAAGTAGTAAGAACAAAACATCGACTGGCAATGGGACACATGGATAAGAAAAAATAATCCAACCACAAAGGATTAGCAAGGTTCTATGAATTATTAAGCTTAAAGACAATAAAAGTTCTGTGCCTCTGAGGAAGGAAAAATGGTTTTCTCCTGAAAGTCACTGATCAGAGAACAAGGAACAGAGTTATCTTAGGAATGCACAAACTAGGTAAGAACAGCTGGCTCCTGATTTAATCAAGAACACAAGATAAAAAAAAAAAACTAACAGATTCAATGCCTACTCTTATGCTGGACTCTGAATGAGGCCACAGGGAGAAAAATATTAATAAGACAGAAAAATGGTCCCCGCCCTTGAGGAGCTCACTGTTTTGCAATTCTTCTTCACCTCCTTCTCATCTCCCATATACTGTTATCAGAAATAGAAACTTATTGTTCTGCTTTTTCATCTCCTGAGTTTCACCACAGAGTCTAATATGGCTAATTCATTTGATTAAGGAATAGAGTAGGTAAGATGGAAAATCACAATTTGTGTCATTAGGTTTGATGAGAGAAAATCTCCTTTTTGTGTGTTATAGTCCATCAATGGACTTTGTTAACCTAGTACCAATATACATGAGAAGAGGTGTGCTTACCCCTAGTATAGCACTTATCATACTCTTCTGTAATTACTTGTTTACTTATTTATCTCACTCATTTGACTCTGATCTCCTTGTGAATAAGAACTATTTCGCGTTCACTCTTATATCCCTAGTACTTGACAGAGAAGCTTGTGATTCTTAATTCTGACTGTACATCACAGTCACCTGTGGTGCTTTTGACAAAAATGCCTGGCTCCACTCCAGATCTACTGAATTAGTTTCAGGGGTTTATTACTCAGGAATCACTACTTTTGAAAAGCTTCACAGAGGATTTTGACATGCAGCCAAGATTAAAAACTACTTTAGAAAACACTCAATAAATGTTTGTTGAAAAGATAATGAATAGATAAATGAAAAAAAATGGATGAATGAATGGATAAAAATCCAGGATCATTAGTACAGTTTCATTCACATCATCGGGTGTGTACGGCCTGTGTGCCAAGCCTGTATATCAAACCTATGTGCCCAAAACTTATGTATAAAGCCTGTGTGTGTCTATTGCACCTATGTACCCAAAGCTTCTATGTATAACCTGTGTATCCAAGACCTATGTCTTGCTCAGCCTAGCGGGTGGAGTTTAAGGAACATGGCTGTGCTTTGGTCAAGGATAGGCCGAGGTAGGATGTTTACATCTTGCATGACTCAGTGAGTTCAGAGCAAAGGCATATAACTTCACTTGTTATCACAGCCATGTAGCCGTAACATGGGAAGGCCATCACTTGGTTCTATGCCAATATTGTCTGTAAAAGGTATAATTGCCCTGCTGACACTGTGCAGGTGCAGCCACCCAGAGAAAGAGAGAGAGAGTCAGAGCTGTCCATCTTTGCAGACAGAGAGAGGGGAGCCAGGACAAAGCTTGGCTCGCTCATGCCCAGAGAAAGAGTTAAGCTGCTGACCCTGAAGCCAAGGGAATGTCAGCCATGCAGCTGCAGGCATGGGGGCAGCAGGAGCCACAGGGCAGGAGCAAACAGCTGAAATAAAGGCGAACAGTGTAGAGAGCTAGTATAAGAAAGCTGTCGATGAGAGCTGCTGCTAAATAAAATCATCTTTCACCTGCCTACGGCCCCGATTGTTCTTTCTACTTATCCACCCACTCCCTTCAGACCTCGGCATGGCATTTGTTGTAATCATGAACCTGACAGCGTGGGTCTATAAAGAGCACAATATTCGGTCATATCAATAAGTGACTAAATGAGCAGCATCACAATTTTAGTCACAAAAAGCATTATGAAAATACTTTTTAAATGTCATGATATGGGTCCAGTCCTCTATGCTACTTTTTGGCTAAATGTGATCATGGGAACCAAAGTATGATTTTTGTTGGAGCAAGTGAACTCTCAAATTTGCCAGCAATTTCCCTGTCTCAATACAACTGATTGCATGCACTTAATTATACCTGATAATGATTGAGAACATCCTTAATTAATCAATTATTTGTACATGCAATGGAGCACCTGCAAATAATTTTAACCTCAGAAAATCCAAGCTTGGAAGCCTTTATTACCTGACATAGGGGAAATGTGCAAGGTGAACTTTGGTTTTGCATATTTCTTTTGCAGAAAAAAATGAGACATGATAATATAATGGTAAAACTTGGAAATTTAAGTTTTAAAAATCCTCAATATCTTCAGTGATTTAAGTTCAAGTTTTTCCCCAAAGATTAATGCACAATATTGTTAAGATTTCATGTAAACTTTTTTCACTTAACAACTATAAAATCCTAAACCACAAATTTTCTCAATTCTTCAAAATAGCAGAACTGTTTCTTCCTTATACTTTAAAATAGAAAAATTTGTTAGTAAAACTGACTACAAAAGGAAATTAAAGGCTAATGTACATTTAATGGGAAGATGTTTTCATGTTAAATAAACTTTTAAAAGTAAGCGTGCACTAAACCCAGTATGGGAACAAGTTCTAATTTCAATACAATTTTGAGACATTATTTGGCACTTACTTCTCTCACAGTAATGCTGGGAAAATTCATGGCATAAGGGATTGACCCTAGCTGTGAAAGAAAATTGTTAACAAGTTCTGCCTTATTAGAGGCACTCCATTCTCACATTCCAGATCAGGTTTGTTGATGGTGGTGTATTTTAAGACTCTTGACAGTTTTATATCCTTTCTGTTTTCTTTGTCTCACATCAGCAAATTCTGATGGCTCTGCATCTGGGATATATCCAGAACCCCACCACTTCTTACCAGCTCTACCACTATGACTCTTGTCCAAGCCATCATCTTTTCCACACATCCACCAGACTGATCCTTTTAAATACAAAAATTAATCATGCAAACACCTCCAACATCCCCTGACCTTGCTCTTAACTGAACCTTGGCATGGTCCTGCCTAAGTCCTTTGACCTGTACTTAGAAGATCTACCTTCATAGCCCTGAGTGGCTTACTCCCTACTTCATTCAAGTCTCTTTTCAAATATCACATAATACAAAAGGCAGTCTCTAACTATGCTTATGAAAAACAGCACCATGTCACTAGTCCCCTTACCTTGGTTTAATTTTCTTCATAACACCTTATCAGAAACAAATATTTATTTGTTTACCATCTGTCTTCCTCCACTAGAATACAGACTCAGGTAAAATAGAGACTGTATTCACTGCTATAAAACCTTTGCACCAAGAACAGTTGGTGGATTGAAAGAATGACTACATTTGTACTTCCAAGTTATAAACACAGTCATTGTTAAAAAAAAGAAAAGAAAAAAAAAGCCAAAGGAAATATTATCATTTGTATATGAAGTCAATAGTTAATGTCACTACTCTTTAAATTCTTTAAATTCAAGAGGCAACCAAGAGGTATACTTCCTTTTTTCTTCATACACATGTATGACAAAAATACATATAGGTGTATATGTGCATATATATACATATACTTATAAGAAACGAATCATCTGTAAAATAATCTACAACTTAGTTTACTTATCTTTAAAAACTAATTTCAGTTGTATAAATGCATTATAATTCATTTTGTTTGTCCATTTAACAAATGTTTGTAGTGTCAAGTACCAGCCAACTGGAAACACAATAGTAAATAAGATAGAAGTGGTCTCTTGTGGAGCTCACATTGTCACCGCAGCAGGAACATTTAGGATGGTTTTTATTTTTTCCATCACAATAAAATGATGCAATAAACGTGTGAACTGTACATTTTATAATCCTACATAGCAGAAAAACTCTACAAAGTAAAATGACAGTCACAGTCTGGGAAAAATATTTGCAACTGTATGTGAATCTTGTATGTCACTTGGAGTTGTTAGGTCAAAGGGTAGTTATGTCCACTTAAATTTGGATCAATATTTCTAAATATACTCTCTAAATAGATTATACCAATTTACTTCCATCAATAGTATATGAGAGTCCATCTCCTCACATCCTTACCAGTACTAGAAGCTATCACTCTTTAACCCTGACTAGTCTGATAGTAGGTAAATCTTAGCTTACCGCTGTTTTAATTTTCATTTCTTTGGCAATTAGTAAGGTTGGACATCTTTTCAAATCTAATAGCCAGTTGATTCCAGCTAGAAATTGCTTGAACAAATCCTTTATCCATTTTCCTGATGTGATGTTGGTCTCTGCTTTATTGATTTGGAAGAGCTATTTATAAAATAAGGATATTAACCTTTTGTCAACTATTTACATAGTTAAAAATATTTTTTCCTGAACATTTGTAAATGTCTTTTAATTTTGTAGAGTTTCTGCCATTCAAAAATTAAACATTTTTATACAGATTTCCAAGTAGTTTTAGGTTTTATTAAATTTAGGAAGGTTTTTCCCACTCTAAGATTATAGATATAATCAACTCTATTTTTTGATATATTTCTGGTTTTATTTCTTATATTTGAATATTTAATCCACACAAAATTTGTTTTTTAGTATATGAGGTTCAAATCTAATTTTTTTTCAAAATGACATAGTCAACTTATTTATTAAACAGTACATTCTTTTCGTACCCATTTGAAGTACCCTCTTGATCATATACTACATTTCTATATACAGATGGATCTGCTTCTGGATTCTCAATTGTGTTCCATTGATGCGTTTCTCCTATTTTTCTGCAAATACCACATTATTTTAATTATTATTAAATATCTTTTCCAGTAAGTTTTGCTATCAGGTGGGGCAACCTTCTCCCCATCATCTTCTCCTCCACCAGCCCACAATCATCTTTCTTTTCAACATTCTTTTCAAAATTATCTTGCGTATTCCAATGTATTAATTGCTCCAAATTAAATTTAGAATCAAAGTATATAAAAATAAAAATTTTGATTGGAATTATAGTAAATGTGTAAATTTATTTGTGTAAAATTTATCATAATGTTGAAGCAATGCATCCAGGAAACATAGTATTTCCATTAATATTTTATATGTCTGTTATTAAAGTTTAATAGTTGTCTTCACTTAAGTCTTGGTTATGTTACATGCAAGCACTATGTTTATGCATATACATTTTAATCACTCCTATGAAAAAGCATAAAAAATTATAATACTTCTATTAACAAAACATTGTGTAATGGAAATGTCACTGACCTTCAGAGAAAGGGCTCTAAGTTCAATTTTCAGATCATTCACTTTTTTTATGGCTATTTGATGTGGGGTAAAACACTTCTGAGTTTCTCCATTCTAGGATGAAATCATAACACTTCTCACAGGATTATTGTGAAAATCACGTTAAAAAATGTTCAGAAGCATTTAGTGCATACTGGGCATAAAGTACTCATTTTATGAATGGCATAACACAGTTACTTATTCTTCTCAGTTGTAAAATGGAGTAGGTAGGAAGGGGATTTGATATGTTAATTTAAAGGTTCTGCCAAGCTTATTCTACTTTCAGCCTGGACTAATGGAGAGCGGGTAAGATAAAGGGCTATTGAAAACCCCTGAAGCATCTGACTAATGCTTATTCAAGTTAGGTATTGGACTAAAAGATTTCAGCATCCGAAATGAAGTATAAAATTTTCCTAATGTATAAATTAATGGAACATTCTCAAATTTACAAAGTAGTACTTATGTTTTAAAAGTATAGAGACTTACAATGACTTAAGTATGAAAAAAATTGTCTTTAAAAAAAAATGTTAGTTTTACCCTATTTGGTAATTGATGCTAAGGATTTTAAGAGACCAAATTTCATCAGCCTAAACCTTCCAGGTTGTATTTAAACCATCTAGCTAGAAGTTTATTTTCCATAATTAAACTTCTAGATTTCTCTTGCCACCTGAGATATACAACTTGTATTTGGGCATTTTAAGAATGCATTTTTGTTTTTTCTCTATTCTTTTCTTACTCCTGTGCCTAGTTTTCATGGAGCACCTTTCTGCACAGGTATTTTTTTTGGGGGGTCGGGGGCACAGGGTCTCACTATCACCCAAGCTGAAGTGCAATGGCATGACATAGCTCACACTGCAGCCTTGAACCCTGGGATCAAGTGATCCTCCCATCTTAGCCCCCTGAATAGCTGGGACTATAGGTGAGCACCACCACACCCAGCTAATTTTTAAATTTTTGTGTAGAGATAGGGTCTCGCTACGTTGCCTAGGCTGGTCTTGAACTCCTGAACTCAAGCGCTATTCCTCCTACCTTGGCTGCCCAAAGTGCTGTGATTATAGCCGTTAACCACCATGCCTTACTTTTTAAGCACGGCTCTACAAGGCTAAAATATATTGGAGTGATTTTAAACCACCCCCTTTGTTTTCACAGCTCAAAAAAAAAAAAAAAAAAAACTATTTATTTAGTCTATCAACTGAATTGCATCTGAGGTTACCAGAAATTGTATAGACTAAAAAAATTTATTACCCACAATGTACTAAACACTGGGGATTAAAACATTTCTGAATACATAGTCCTTGCTCTCATGAAATTCAAACCTAATGAAAAGAATGATACTTAAATATTGTGATTAAGTGCTATAAAGAAGAATTATACATGCTCATATGAGAGTGAAGAAGAAAGACAGAAGAACATTGACTCTGTATCGCACAGCATTTTCCAAACTTCAGTCCACAACCAAACACCAATGTATCTGTTGTCAAGTAAGTCTGGGAAATGCAACATGCTACACTCCTTTTTCCAGGATTCACAATGCCCATTAACATGGTAAAGCTCTTAAGATAACTGTATAACTTTGTTTACCCACAATTTCCCAACTTTTTGATAAGAAACTGTTTTAATTTTAATAACCATTCCACAGTATTTATTTTCTGGATAACACACTTGGGAAAATACCAGAGGTAGATTTTGTTTTAATCATGTTCCACATATTTAATTCTTACAAAAATTCTGAGAAGTATGAAATAGATGTTCTAATTTTCGTTCAAAGGTACCAAACTGAGGGGTTAAATGTCTCTTCTCAAGTTCACAGGGATTGTAAGTAGTCTTATTTGACTAGTTCATCTCAGATACATTCTAGGAAGTCTAGATCAGTATGAGTTTTCTCAAAAAAAAAACAACACCTTATTTTATTATATATATGTGTGTATTTTTTCAGTGTCCTAAGAATGTTGTTGAGCTTCTTTCCGTTTCTGGGTGCTCAAAACAAAGCAACAATTTTAAGATGATATGTTCACCAAGCCATCTCATCTTTTTCCTGATCAGAATTTAAGGAAGTCAAGATGAGATCACATGGCTTAGAGTGATTTCCAGAAGCTCTAATTCCACGTCTGCTATTTTATACAACGATCTCATTTTCTGGGAGAAAATGAGTGTGGAATCTTTAAACCTGAATAGGCTTTTACTGAGAGATGTTTTAATGGAAGCCAAATCACTATGCATCGAGTTGCAAGAGTTTGGCTTTCTCCCTACATTTCCCTTGGGGAGATGTGCATTGTCAGGCCTAAAGACAGCACATCTGGTGAAGGCAGCAACTGCTGTGGTCTCTTATCCTGGGAATGATAATGAATACCTTTGGCTTTTGTCCTTTTTGTTCTATTGAAAATAACTTATTGTTAGCTCAGGTTATTGACTGTACATTTGTCTCTTTTTCATCTGCTTTCTTGATAGTGGGTTTAAAAAAGAATCAGTTGCTACTGCTGCCATTGTCAAGATTTTTGGGCAGGTACTGATTACATGTGTTTGATTAAGAATCTAGACTCATCCAATGCAGTATATATGGGCTTTTCTTGACTCACTTACTAGGAAGGGAGCCTTTTACAGTTGTTTTTGTATTTGAAAAATGAGTGCTTAATATTCTCCAGTTAAGCAAGATGAGGAGAACAAGCTTGTATACAAATGTAATAAAAGGCTGAGATGGCTAAAACCTTAGGAAATTAGGCCCAGCTAAAACAATAATTTTTGTTTTATTTAAAGCTTAAGAAATGTTGATAGAGAAAACTAACTTTTAAAATACACTTGTTGTTATACATTTCTTACACAGTATTTTAGCAATGAAAGAATAGTGCTTCTTGTTCTCATTTCTGTGCTTCTGCACATACCGTTCCTTCGGCCTAGAATGCCTCCCTCTTCTTGTACTTTACATCAATTAATACTCACTAATGTGCTGTCTTCTCCAGGCAGTTCTGCAATTTTATATATATATATATAAAATCAAATTATTTACCCCTCTGTACTACTTGTCTACCAACCTCCACTAGGCTGTAAAGGGTCCAGAGATCTTTTCTTACTTTCCTTTACTTCCCCAATCCATTTTAAGGCCTGGTACACAGCAGGTGGCAAAGAAAAAAGTCCTCTCAATAAGGGATACCCTTCCAGTCCCAGATAAAGATCAAGACGTATCATAAACAATATTTGGAATGTGGAAATTCATGAACTCCCTGAAATCTTCATAGGATTTTGCATGTACATGCAATTTTATGCGGAGATGCTCTGCTGCTTCCATCAAATTCTTAAATGAACAAGTGACCCACAGTAGGTAAATTTCTGGTAAACGCAAATTGGGAGTTGGCTGAGTTTTTAGCTTACAACTTACCACTTCTAATGATATCACCCCAAAAAAACTTCTGTATGTATTTAGTTTTGTTTTTCTTTACCTCCAGAAATATTCTACCACTTAGCATCACTGGAAGCATTGATTGAGAACCCTGTTTCATGTATGATATCAGAAGCTGGAAACTCTATCAGTGAATCCTTGGTTTTCTTATGACTCACAAAGAATTTCACATAAAGTAAGAGAAAATCTTGCTTAGTAACAGTCTGCACTACATATAATAATAGAACACAATTTGTATGTGAAAGTAGTAAGATATACTTCATTCATAAAAAGCACCATGCTTCTGGCTAGATAAATGATTTGAAGTCCCAGAGAGAAATTGCAATTTTTAGTTCTGGGATACCCTTATGCTACTTACACTTTTTAAAATTTAATACATTCACGTGTTTAAATGTATTGAGATTTTTAAGCTTGTGAATGAAATTAGCATCGTGCTGTGGCTGTCAACGTGATGCACTGCAATTCCCCCTGAGTGGTAGGGTTTAAATATTAATTCAGCTCTTGCACCTGTTTGCCAGCATTCGGCTGTTGAATTTCCATCACATTTAATAAGTCTCGGTGACGCAACCCATGTCCTTTTGCCTGGGCTCCTTTAATATAGTGTTAAATTCTCACCCATCTGAAATTCAAGTAATATTACAAATTTCAAACTGTTAATTAAAATCTGTGAACTTGAATGGTTCTGGAGAAAATTGGCTTTACTCAGTGAGGTTCTTTTTAAACTTCTTCAGAGTCTCATTTAATCCCCAACTCCTACCAGGTTAAGTCTGATGACAACACGATCTCACTATGGGTGGTTGAGATTTACAAATCCTCATACAATAGGGAAAAAAAATAAAGTTATAAGTTTGAACAAAAAGGTAATGAGGAACATTAACTGCTGAAATGAAATAAGAAACATGGCCCAGAATTAAAGGAAAGAACTGAAATTTTTCATAACTATTTTTCAATAAAACTAATTCTATACTACTGTATTAGTCCATTTTCACGCTGCTGATAAAGACGTACCCGAGTCTGCACAATTTACAAAAGCAAAAGGTTTAATTGGACTTACAGTTCCACTTGGCTGAGGAAGCTTCACAATCATGGTGGAAGGCAAGAAGGAGTAAGTCACGTCTTACATGCATTGCAGCAGGCAAAATGAGAGCTCGTGCAGGGCAATTCTTGTTTTATAAAACCATCAGATCTCATGAGATCCACTCACTATCAGGAGAACAAACGGGAAAGACCCACCCCCATAATTCAGTCATCTTCCACCAGGTCCTTCCCACAACACATTGAATTATGTGAGTTATTAAATGAGATTTGGGTGGGGACACAGAGCCAAACCATGTCATTCCACCCTGGCCCCTCCCAAATATCCTATCTTCACATTTCAAAACCAATCATGCCTTCCCAACAGTCCCCCAAACTCTTAACTTATTTCAGCAGTAACTCAAAAGTCTGCAGTCCAATGTCTCATCTGAGACAAGGCAAGTTAAGTCCCTTCTGTTTATGAGACTGTAAAATCAAAAGCAAGTTAGTTATTTCCTAGTTGCAATGGGAGTATAGGCAATAGGTAAATACAGCAATTCCAAATGGAAGAAATTGGCCTAAACAAACGGGCTACAGGCCCCATGAAAATCCGAAATCCAGTAGGGCAGTCAAATGTTAAAGCTCCAAAATGATCTCCTTTGAATCCACGTCTCACATCCAGGTCACACTGATGCAAGAGGTGGGTTCTCATGGTCTTTGGCAGCTCCACTCCTGTGGCTTTGCAGGGTATAGCCCTGCTCCTGGCTGCTTTCACAGGCTACTGCTGAGCATCTGTGGGTTTTCAAGGTGCATGATGCAAGCTGTTGGGTGGATCTACCATTCTGCGGTCTGGAGGATGGTGGCCCTCTTCTCAAAGCTGAACTAAGTGGTGCCTCAGTGGGAACTCTGTGTGGGGGTCCCACATTTCTCTGCCACACTGCTCTAGCAGACGTTCTCCATGAGGGCCCAAGCCCTGCAGCAAACATCTGCCTGGGCATGCAGGTGTTTCCATACATCTTCTGAAATCTAGGCAGAGGTTCCCAAACCCCAATTCTTGACTTCTGTGCACCCACAGGCTCAACACCACATAGAAGCTGCCAAAGCTTGGGACTTCCACCCCCTGAAGCAACAGCCTGAGCTGTAACTTGGCCTCTTTCAGCCATGGCTAGAGTGGCTGGAACGCAGGGTACCAAGTCCCTAGGCTGCACAGAACAGGGGGGCCTTGGGCCTGGCCCATGAATCCATCTTTTCCTCCTAGGCTTCTAGGCCAGTGATGGAAGGGGCTGCTGTGAAGACCTCTGACATGCCCTGGAGACATTTTCCCCATTGTCTTGGGGATTGGCTTCTCCTTACTTATGCAAATTTCTGCAGTCAGCTTGGATTTCTCCTCAGAAAATGGGATTTCTTTTCTATCACATTGTCAGGCTGCAAATTATCCAAACTTTTATGCTCTGCTTCTCTTATAAAACTGAATGCCTTTAACAGCACCCAAGCCACCTCTTGAATGCTTTGCTGCTTAGAAATTTCTTCCCCCAGGTACGCTAAATCATCTCTCTCAAGTTTGAAGTTCCACAAATCTCTAGGACAGGGGCAAAACGCTGCCAGTCTCTTTGCTAAATCATAACAGAGTCACCTTTGCTCCAGTTCCCAACAAGTTCCTCATTTCCAACTGAGACCACATTGGCCTGGACTTTATTATCCATATCTCAATCAGCGTTTTGGGCAAAGCCATTCAGCAAGGCTCTAGGAAGTTCCAAACTTTCCCACATTTTCCTGTCTTCTTCTGAGCTCTCCAAACTGTTCCAACCTCTGCCTGTTTACCTAGTTCCAAAGTTGCTTCCACATTTTTGGGTATCTTTTCAGCAATGCCCCAATCCCAGTACCAATTTATTGTATTAGTCCATTTTCATGCTGCAGATAAAGGCATACCTGAGACTGGGCCAATTACAGAAGAAAGAGGTTTAATTGGACTTACAGTTCCACATGGCTGCGGAAGCCTCACAATCATAGTAGAAGGCAATGAGGAGCAAGTCACATTTTACATGGATTGCAGCAGGCAAAATGAGAGCTTGTGCAGGGCATCTCCCGTTTTTTAAAACCATCAGATCTTGTGAGACCCATTCACTATCAGGAGAACAGCATGGAAAAGACCTGCCCCCATAATTCAATCATCTCCCACTGGGTTCCCTCCCACAATACATGGGAATTATGGGACCTACAAGATGAGATTTGAGTGGGGACACAGAGCCAAACCATACCAACTACCTATGTCTTCATTTGCTCAGCATAGATGGGATACCTGAAATTGAATCATGATTCCCATTACCTATTTAGGTGGTCACCTTTATATTTAATTACTGGATATTTCACGAGTGATTGAGGCCCATTTGCCACATACAGAAGTCTAAGCAGGAGGTTCTAGCATATTTGAGACCCATTACAAAATACTTTATTTGAACCCTTTATGAATATTCTACAGGGCATGCATTATTGATCCCAGAATTGGGCCATATGCACTTCCCAGAGTTGGAAGATGGTAACACACAGATGATTAACAGTGCTGCCTTTTTCTTGAGATCAGCACATACTCATAATCAATCCTTGCACTCGAAGATAAAGTTGCATGCCTTCCTGTAGCATACTTACCTGCAATAGAACACTTCTCAACTGTATTACAAATGTTCTTCAAAAAATATTTATCTTTCCTACTGACATATAAGCTTCCAGAAGGTAGAGGTCATGTGTTTTCATCATTTTTCTCAAAACAGGCTTGTTGAAAGACCAACAGACTGACTGAATTAAAGATTACATATACAATTCTCTGATGTCCAATAGCAAATGGATTTTAATTAAATCATAAATTATAGATATCTTTTTTCACTCACATCCAAATTCAATACTGAACTTCCTCCTCCAACTTTTATTTTCCTACCTGCTCTATACCACTAAATTGCTGTAGAAATAGTGCCCAGTAAAGGCTTTTGGTTTCTAGAAGGACATGTATACATTTTGAAAAGCATGTTTCAAGGGCTAAAGGCATATATGTGCTATTAATCTCACTTTGAGACTTTAGCTTAGAAAATATCCACCTTCCAAAAAAAATCCCTTAAATATGCCCAAATTATTTATTATATAGCTTTTAATAATAGCTCCCACTTGGAGGCCAACTATCTAATGATAAGTAAGTTAATAAATTATGGTATCTCTACTGATATCTAGTATATTGGCATAAAATTTAAGTAATATAATAAAATAGTAAGTAAAAAAATCCAAAACTATATACATCCAATCACTCCAACACAACAAATGTGAGAATAAATAAAGAGATAAAATTAACATGCGATAGCATATTTATGTTATAGTTGTACAATGGTATTACAGGTTTTTAAGTTTTTTTTAATTTCCTAACAATTTTCCATGACATATAAACAAAGATACTTTTATAATAGAAAAATAAAAATCCTGTACTTTATAAACTTGAATTTTAATTACTGAATCATAAATTCATTAATCATTGATTATTAATAATGAATTCATATTTATGAATTCATGATCTTTATGATTATGAATTCATGATCTCAATGATCATGAGTTTTAATTATTTTTGCATGTGTTTGTGATGTAGATTTTATCAACAATTAGACAAGGTAAATTCTTATATTGTTTTTCTTTTGTCAAGTACCTATCATGTGCCCAGAACTAGCATAGGTAGTTTTAAAAGGTAATTTCTAATCATTACAATAATCTTATAAATTAGAAACCATTATCCTATTTTAGAGAGGCTTAGAATAGTCATGTCATTTGTTCAAGTTCACAAAGCTAGTAAATGGTAGAGATGGAATCTGAACCTAGGTTTTTGTATAACTCCAAAACTAACTTATTTTTCTATTACTCAGTGATACAATAGAAAACAGAGACATGAACTCTGACTAATAATACGAGAGTGACAGGGCTTAAAAAGAAAGAAAAAAAAAAAACAAGTCCTATGGTGGGAATGTGTTCCCCAAAGTTCATGTGTTGAAACTTAATGCCCAATGTTAACAGTATTGAGAGATGAAACCTTTAAGAGATGATCAGGTCATGAGACTGTCCTCATGAATGCTACCATCTCAGGAGTGGGTTAGTTTTTGAGGAAGTGAACTCCTGAGAAGAGGATGAGTTGGGCCCCCTTTCCTCTCCTGCATGCATGCTCTTTTGACCTTCTGCCTTTCTGCCATGAGATGACATAGCGAGAAGGCACTCACTAGATGCTGCTCTTTGATTTTGGACTTCTCAGCCTCCAGAACCATGAACCAAATACATTTCTGTTGATTATAAATTATCCAGCATCAGGTATTCTGTTATAGCAGCACAAAATTGACTAACACAACAAGAAAAAAAGAACAAAGAAATAAAACAATACAGCATATTGGCTTGGTAGTTTGATGGAAAAGTCCATTTTTCATCAAAGGAGTATACAGACGAAGTCAACAACTTTTATGTCCTACTTGGTAGATTATCATTCACAGCTACAACTTCTGAGATAGACAGCTGAAGCCCAAAGGGCTCTAGACTAATGTTTTCCAGGAGACTATGCATAACTGTCAACATTTTTTCTTCTTTTTAGGAAGCAAATGTAGTAGCTTCAATATCATTGTTATATATATGCTGTCTCTAAAACAGTTTAATGAATAACAATAATTGGGCAACAGAAATCTCCATTCAACAATCATAACTTAAATTATAATTAATAATAAAACACATTATCTTGTCAAATTCCAAGCTTACAGCTTATTATGTGAGGTCTAACATGTCACCTGGCTAATGAGCTACTGGTGTACCTGAAATGAGTTGGCCGCCTATCCTAAGAGTTCTTCAATGTGATGAAGAAAAGGGTGGGGAGGATAAAGTAGCAGCTGGGAATAACAACTTCAACAAAAAAAAGGAATGCTTTCCTCTGTCTCAGCTTTCTTACATTGCTTCTTAAGCTTTAGGTTCCCAGTCCCTTGACTGCCACTGATATCTCTACCTGCTGACATCTTAGCCATCCCTTCAAAGAGCAATGTAGCTGCTACTGGTATAGGAAGTCTGTCTTTTCTGATGAATCCATTAATGAAATTTGTATAGCACTGTCCAACTCACTCAATTACCCACTAACTCACTCATACTTACGTTTCATTCAACAAAGGTTAAAAATAAACATATCTCTAGACATCTAAAATATGTTATCTGATTTAGTTATCCAAGAATCATTTGAGGTAGCTATTACTACCCATATTTTGCAGATGAAGAAATAGATTCAGAGAAGATAAATTTACAAAGCTAGTAAATTACAGAGTCAGCTCAAATCTATGTGACTCAACCATTCTTGCTTTTTTAGGGCAGTCTATTGATTCCTTTAACACATGTTCTAAGAGATGTAAAGTATTCAAGTAAATTACATATGGTTGCTCTATCCTTGAAGAGCTCACACAGTTCATAAGGTAGACAAAGTATAATGAAGCAAATGCTAGTTAGGCATATGAACACATAATGAAAAAGTAAGCAACTTCAGGAGGATGGCAAGAAGGAAACGTTCAGGGCACGATCTAAAGTAATAATATATGAACTGAATCTTGAAAGTGAGTATGAATTTCTCACAGGAATTTCTCCCTGTACTACTTGTTCATGACATTTCCAAAATTGATAATTACACATTTATTTGAATGATTTGAATATTTATTGCCTGTTTCTCTCACTGAGAAAGAGAAAGGATTAAATAACTTTCCAAAGTCACATAACCATTAAGTAGCAAAACAATGATTTAATTGCTGCTCTTTCTGACTGTATAAAGCCTGCCATGCCACATTGCCAAGAGGAAGATAAAAGATGAACAAACTGCTGTGCTAGTTTAAATCAAAGACCATGCCCAACTTGGGAAATAATGGATGGAATCTCTCTTCCTCTCTCTCTCTCTCTCTCTCACACACACACACACACACACACACACACACACACACACCCACCACCACCACCACCACCACCACCACCACCACCACCACCACCACCACCAGCAGCAGCAGCAGCAGCAGCAGCAGCAGCAGCAGCATTTAAGCTAGGTCTTAAAGATGAAAATATTTCAACTGGTGGAGACGGAAAGAGATTTTTTTCCAGGTGGAAGATATATCACAATCAAAGATACATGAAATACAATGTAAGACATGTTTAGGGGAAACGGACAGAACAGTTAAGCCAGAATGTAGAATAAAATCAGAAAATATGAAAAAAGAATAGCTCAGACTAGAAAATAGGCCTTCAAAAATCAAGCTCAGGAGTCTGGGATCAAATGTATCCGTAACTGGAGTCACTGCATGTTTTGAGCAAGTAAATGATGTAATTAGTAAAGCTGTGATATCTTAGGGAATTGGTTGGATATTAAGGAATGGAATAAAGCCCATTCATTAAGATTCTAAAAAATTATTAAAAGGAGGTATAGGAATCACAGAAAGCCAACTGCAGGAAATATTACTAGGCCTTTAGGGAATTGAGAAGCAATCAGACAAGCATTCTTTGCACGCCTGGGTTTGGTTATATATTCATGGGTGCGTGCGTGTGTGTGTGTGTGTGTGTGTGTGTACCTCTGAACATTTCCTCCATTTTCTAGACATTCATTCTTTCCTCAAACTAATTGCCTTCATTCTGCTCTTGGTTCCCAGTTTTCCTAACTCTGACTTTCCCCTTGCTTTGGATTGACAATGAGGCAATTCTGTCCCCAAATCTATATTTCCAGTACCATCTACTTATAGTTTCTAAGTTTCCTGGCTCACATTTTGAGAGAAGTATTTAATTTACATGACTCTCCAATTAGTTGCTTCTGGAGTAAAGTGGTATAAACATAGGTGCCTAGGTTTCTTTACCAGGTGTCAGTAGTTGATGGGGGGGTCTATTAAATTCAATGGGAAGAAGATATGGGTTGGGTAGAAACTCCAAAATATGTGTAATGCAGATGGATCTGAGTGGAAAAAGTAGACGTGGGTAGGCCTCTAAGAAGTCTATTGTAATAGTCTAAATAACAGATGAACAATGGTAATGGTGGATATTTACAAGAGATGACTGAATTAAGAGCCACCATCAGGACAGAATTTAAGTGATCAAATGAAAAATTGTGTGTGGGGGGCACAGAAAAAAATGACCCAGGGATATCTCTGAAGTTTCCATCCCAGAGACTAGGAAAATGCTGTTGTAGCATCATAAAACGCAGGAGATTGAATGGTCTAATAATACACTTACCCCTTACAAGAAAGAAAATAAACGAGAACCAGAGAGAAAAAGTTATTTGTCTTGAGTAACAGTCAATTATTGGCAAAAGAGAAATCAGACTTAGGGAAACTGGACTTGGCTAGAGGATGGTGATAAAAATCTGGACCATGGGTTGCGGGGTATGCTCCAAGATCCCCAAAGCAATGCAAAAGAATACTACTCAATGGTAATAATTAAAAATGCAAAGTGAAAGGTACCCATGTTAGTAAAGATGAAAGGTAATAGGATTAGGCACTAAATAGTAAGAGATGAAGTAGAAGTTGGTTAGGACTAGAGTTAGTCACAGTTGGGCAGGTATAGACCAAGAGAAAAAACAAGTTAGCTGGGAACCAAGAACAGTTTAAAGAGGAGGTTTGTCAGTCAACAGTGGTGGGGTGTCAAAAGTGAGATTTGTGACGAGTCAAAAGCGAGATTTGTGTGATCAGCCAGGTAGTTGGCAGCAACCAAATGGAAGCCAGATATTACTGTAAGGACAACAACGCCAGGAAGAGAAGACGATTTTGGTGGAGAAGATAATGAAAATTTCAACATTATACATTTTGAGATTAAAGTATTGACATGAAATTTCGGCAGACATACAGAGCAGGCCACTACAAATGAGGGAGTACAGCTTGGAAACATAAGTCTGAGCCAGAGCCATCTATCTATGTATCTATTGATCTACCTACGATCAATCTATCTATTGGTTGATTGATAGAATGGCTATCCATCTTGCCATCCATGCCTGCCTGCCTATCTATCTATCTATCTATCTATCTATCTATCTATCTATCTACCTACCTACCTATCTATCTAATCTTTCTTTCTATCTGATGAACCTGCTAAGGGGAGACACTTTAGTGATGAAGAAGTTTCAATGCAGCCTCACATATGGTAAACAGTGGGGAAAGAGAGTGGTTTCTTGCCCCTGGAGATTTGGGGAAACTAAACGTTATCATGCTTTGGTGATATACCATAATAACTGTCATTAAAAAAGCCCTGTCAACAAAAAATTACTAAAAAAGACAAATTATAGGGTGCATCCGGCTCATATAAGATAACTGAATGATTTTAAAGGAGAATAAGAAACTTATAATCAGTTATAGCTAATTTCAAGAACTATCTGTTCTTTGAAGCACTACATAAACAATTACAATCCTGGGAGGAGTCTATTCTATGAGTGGAACTGTGTCAATTAAAAAAATTAACAAATGGGTTACACAGCAGATTAGATATACCTTAAGAGTGAACCAGTACAGTATCTTACCTAGATTATAACACAGAGATAGAAAGACGTGGGAAATACAAGAAACTAAGTGTTGCAAAGGAGTAGAGAGAATGGGAGGAAAAAAGTATGGCTAGAAATAAAGTCTGATATTTTCAGGAATATAGAAATATTAAAGAAGCTCATTCTGTTTCACGAAGGACAAATAAAAACAAAGTCACAACCAAGCACATCACAATTAAATATGAATGACAGAAAAATCTTAAAGGTAATCAGAGAAACAGAAAGAATAACTATAAAATAAAGACAAGCAGACTTTTCATTAGCCATAATAGATGTCAAAAGATAATGAAATGATATCTGCAAAGTACTAAGTGAAAATAATCATAAACCTATCAACTCTACACCCAACTAAGCATCATTCAAAAGCGAGAACAAAACAAAAATACAGTTAGACAAATGTAGCAACATACTCTCATAATTTGTCTGTGTCTTTATCTTCATCGAAGATATCTTAAAATATGTACTTGGGTAGGAGGAAAATTAATCCCAGAAATTAATGGGATTCATGAAAATATTATAAGAAATCAGTAAAAATATATATGTAGCCAAATAAATACTATGACATCTGCTATGTAACTAGGAAAGATCATTTTTTGTTAATTCTTAGAAAGTAAAACCTTTGTCTTCATCTTCATCAGTGCCCAGCACAAAGTAGACTTAGAATAAATACCTGATGGTTAAGTCGATACATAATATGTGTATGAAATAGGTGTTTCTAGGTCAAATTCACTACTTTGCTAATGAGAAAACTGAAATTACAGAAGACTGACCCTGTATTTTATGGCATATTTAGCCTGATTTACCATTTAAAAGAATAGGAAAGGTACTACAAGTGCAAAGACAATTATTACATTTTCTCTTATTTTTGTAGGTCTGAGTCTACCTAATAGCAAGTGCCTATATGCTAAAGAAACTAGTTGATTAAAAGGCCTTCTTTACTAGTTGTACCTAGTCAAGCTCATTGTATAAACATCAAAACTATGAACAAAATGGCCATTCATTTATTCATTAAAGAAATATTGATTGAGCATCTATTTTAAGACATAATATATCAAGTTTTGATGATGCACCAATGAAGAAGACACATCTAATCCTTCCCCTCATATAGTCTTGTAGTCCAATTGATAAGAAAGTCATTAAATAAATAATTATGTATTAGGAGAGGTAAGAAGTCAGCAAATATTTCTTGTTGTTTACTGTGTGTTATATGCTATCACACACACAAAAAATGTAAACAGAGGTGATCTATTCTATAGTTTATAATACAGTAGAAGTGATTCTAAGTGATTAGAAATATTTGAGGCAATATACAGTCATCTGAAGATTACAGTGATACAATAAATTAAAATGTTTGGGAAATGATGAAACTTAATATTTCTGACAAAACTGAAGAGTTATAAGAAATATAAAATATATTAAAAGTTAACAAATTCCTATTTTAAAAATTCTAACAAACACATTTCCTAGATATTCCATAATTTTTCAAATTCAGCCACAAAGCAAAAGATACAATATATAAAAATTTGGAAGTATTATTCTTCATTTTTAGTAACAAAGCTTAAACATCAAACATCAAAACTACTCTTTCTTCCATTATTACCCTCTCAGTCCCAAAAATATAATCTTTGATCTTTGTCAATCCATTAAAATTGGGAATTCTCTCTCTTTGACATTCTTTAAAATAACTTGAACATTTTAAACTTTAAAAATGAAAGCATATGCTTGTCTTCAAAGAACATCCTGAAACATACAAATATAATAGCTGATGTGTGACACTACTACTTTAAGGAGTGGAGGTGCATACTGTTGATTCTCTCAATATTTTTGGGTGAAGTAAAGAGAACATGTTATTGTATCTGCCACCTAGACAAGATCTGAATCCATGTAAATATCAAAAACAAGACAGTACAAATAATATGTAAGACTGCCTGATCTAAATTCTGAAATGGATCGTTCAGATAAATATCTGCCACCAAATTCTTAAGGCTTCTGAATAACTAGTTATAGGAACAAATAATCTTTCTTCATTTTTAACAAGTAAAAAGGAGGAAAAGATGGCCTGGTTAGTCATATATATCTTCACAAAATTAATATCAATGTGAAAACTGCTACTATATCAAACATACAATGCCAGCAGGTCACTCTAATTTTCACTTGCAGAAGTACTAAAAGTATAAAATAACAAGAAATGGAGCAATGAGGTAACAGGATGCATTTTCTTTTCTCTTTTTCCCTAGAAGCAGTCTAAAATTCATCCAGAATCAGGAAGATCTAGAGTACGTGGTTACACTAAATTACTGTCCCAAAAATCTGACCCAGCTCAAGGTCACATTTAGGAAAGGGGATTCTAAGATAATGAGGAATTCCAGGAATTTGGAATTATATTAGGTCCTAGAATCGGACTCTGAATTGCCTGTCTTCTACTCTCCTCAGCCCCCTGAAATCCCACCTATTTCTTCATTTATTTGTTCATTCATCTTTTCATGTCTGTAATTCATGAATTTCTATTAGTTGCCAGGAACTCTTCCATAAATAGGCATCACTTCTGCCCCTAAAAGGCCTAACTCAAAGGTCTCCTTGTCTATAACTTCTACTTGACCCTTCTCTTCATTAAGTCTAACCTCTCACTATACAAAAATAAATTTCTCTTTTTTCTGGGTTCTCATACCTTTTTGTTCATGACTCCATTATTTATAGCATTTATCACAAGATACAAAGTGCTGGGAGTATGGGACATCCTTGAAGACTGAGCTGTCAGCATTCTCCAGCAACACTGCTGTACCTTAATCATAAGAAAGGGATCTAGAACAGTGTTATAATCAGGAGCACAGAGTGTAAAATGAGATTACTAGCTTCTAATCCCAGCTCTAGTTGACAAGAGGAAAGTAACCTAATCTTTTTATACTTCAGTTACCTCATCCATAACATGGGGATAAAACCAGTACCAGCCTCATGGGTTGCTGTGAAGATTAAGTGAGTTAATACAAGAAAATGATTTCACATAATACCTAGTATTTGCTCAGTAAGTGTTAGCTAGCATTATTATTTATCATTATTATTATCAATAAATTAGGGTTGGGCTAATTAGTCAGTTGCGACTGGAACATTCCCTGCTCCCCATTTGGTGCCACAAACTGAGAACAGCTAGACTTTTTTAGGAAAAGTTACTCAGGTTTTCTTTCTTTTTTTCCACATTCCATTCCCTTCTGAGTTGGAGTTCATGTACAGAATGTCTTTTGAAAGGATTACTTATTAAAATAAGAAATAAAACATAAGTTTACTTAAAAAATGTCATTTGCTAATTTAGTTGGCATGTCACTATACATACAGTGTGTAATAGATTGAGTTCGAGAAATTTGAAATGACAAAAGAATAAGTGTAATTTTCATAGCAGTGGCAATGACAACTATGATATATTGGGGAGCCATCCAAATTCAACTGTAGGTTTGACCATACCATTTTCCATCAGAGTGAAAACTGAACACTCTAACACTTTTCCTTCCATTTCTTAATCACAGCAATGTTAGTATAAAGAGTATTTTTTGAGAAAAATGAAGGAAGCAACATGTAAGTTATTAAACAATAAAAGGATGTCAAATTATCTTGATCAGGAATAAGTTTATGTTCCAACTAAAAGATAATGACTATTTCTTAATAAATTTTATTATTTTATTTTATTATTTTTGAGACAGAGTTTTACTCTGTCACCCAGGCTGGAGTGCAGTGGCACAATCTCAGCTCACTGTAATCTCCAGCTCCCGGGTTCAAGTGATTCTCATGCCTCAGCCTCCTGAGTAGCTGGGACTGCAGGAATGCACCACCACACCCGGCTAATTTTTGTAGTTTTAGTAGAGTCAGGGTTTCACCATGTTGAACAGGCCAGTTTCGAACTCCTGGACTCAAGATCAGCTTGCTTTGGCCTCCCAAAGTGCTTGCAGTATAGAGTGAGCCACTGCGCCTGGCATAAATTTTATCTTATCATTATCTTTTATTTTGAAGGTTCTCTCTGGATTAACAAAATGATGCTGAAAAAAGATGATGGTTTCAGATACAGGTTGAGGCATGAGCCATTGATGCCACTGTGGAAAGATATACCTTAACATGTCCCAGTGCAGAAAAAGACAATTATTCTTCTCCTTCCTACAAGTCACATAACTCCTAAGGGAAGAACATCTTGGAATGAAGTGATCAATCTATCACAAATCACACTGTTTGGTTATGGACAGGAAAATAGAATTGGAAATGGAAGTCCACACTCAAGAGTTCCAACTACTGCATTCCTTTACTGTCTGAATTACCTTAGCTCTGAATACAGAGGAGAAAAAAAAATGCTTACAAGAATATTTGCACTTTAAATTTCACAGATAATAAATGTCATTTATTAGTCATAGCAAGATTTGTTATTCCTATTTTCCAGATGAGGAAATGAGGGTCAGAGAAGATAAGTGAACTTACTCAAGTTCACAGAACAAATAAGTGGCACAAACAGAAACAAAACTTGAGAATTTTTGATTCCATGTCCTGGAGGGTCTCACTTATTCCTCAAGCTGCTTTAATTTATACTGAAGACTTTGATGCTCAGGTTGTCTCCCTCTTCAACATGACGGAAAAAGTACAGTTTATCCTCAGTAACACCTAAGAACTTATATATTTTTTCCCCTTGAATTTTCATTTTTACTTTGGCTGGGAATGTACGTATCCTTTTATTGATTTATTTGTTCAACAAGCATTCATTAATCTCTGGTTATGTACCCAGTTTATGAGTCAGAATAAAGGTTACACAAAAGTTTCAGGAAAGGAATAAATCTATACATTTAATCAACATGAATCACAAATATCTAAGAAGTTTCTCCCCCTCCTCTCATTCAAATAATTATAAGCCTTCTGTCACCTTTTGATTGTTTAGAGATCAATTATCTATTTTATCAATTATTTTATTTTTATTTAACCTAAATCTCAATGATCTGAAAAGTGACTGGTATACTTCTTTGATTTTTAACATGAGCTCTGAGACTACAAGTGAATTTCAACATTGGTTTAAGCAAAACATAATTGGCATGGTTATGTTTACTAAAGAAAATTAATGATTATTATCATAACTATTATTTGCCTCCAGTTTAAGATGAGAAAGATGAGGTCTAGAATTATTCAAGTTTACACAAACAGCAAGTTGAAGAACCAGGACTTGAACAAAGATGTTTTCATTAAACTAGTTAGCATTTAACTGGTAATTTCCTTGATGTAACCGGAGAATGAAAAGAGCGCTAGAATACGAAAAAGCTCAAATATAAAATATGGGCAGCCAGCCTCTTGAGGAAAATACCCAGATTTCTTTATTCAAAGGGATGTCTAGAATCTATCTCATTTTTAAGACTATGCAAAACATCAATACATCAAATACATCAATTCTGCAAAATCCAGACCATGGCCATTTTTTCAAAATTAAGTGCATAAATTTTCTTTCTTCTGAAGAGCTTGAGAATTTTTATATGTGTCATTCATCATAATGAAGGATTTTTAATTAATAAAAATATTCTATCAAAGCATTATTATTCTTCACAGCATTCTTAAAGAATAAGATGGGAATTAATATCATTTCAACTTACAAAGATGAATAAAGTACTAGAGGGCAATGTAGTTTTCCTAACTTACCTGCATATGTTAGTGTTAATGTTGTGGGGGACGTATTGGTCATTTTCATGCTGCTGATAAAGACATACCCAAGACTGACCAATTTACAAAAGAAAGAGGTTTAATTGGACTTACAGTTCCAAATGGCTGGAGAGGCCTCACAATCATGGCAGAAGGCAAGGAGGAGCAAGTCATCTCTTATGTGGATGGCAGCAAGCAAAGAGAGCTTGTGTTAGGGTCTCAGGTCTCATGAGACCCATTCATTATCATGAGAACAGCACGGGAAAGACCTGTTCCCATGATTCAATCATCTCCCAGTGGGTCCCTCCCACAACACATGGGAATTATGCGAGCTACAAGATGAGGTTTGGATGAAGACACAGAGCCAAACCATTTAAGAGGACATTTGCTTTTTATGACCTACAAGACTGAACATCAATTTTTAAAATTAACGTTGAAGTTATTTTACTGAATCCAAACATTCTAAAAGCAGAGCTTTTCTGATTGAATGTGCACTTTGTTAACTGTATAAATTAACATTGAAAAAGTATTGCCAGGAGCAGTTGCTTACACCTGTAATCCCAGCTACTCAGGAAGCTGAGCCAGGAGGTTGGGGATCGCTTGAAGCCAAGAGTTCGAGACAAGCACGGTCAATATAGTGAGACCTTATTTCTAAAAATAAAAATTAAAAAAATTATCCTGCTGTGATGTTGGGCACCCGTAGTCCCAGCTACTCAGGAGGTTGAGTCAGGAGGACAGCTTGATCCTCACAGCTCACTGCAGCCTTCAACTATGATTGCACCACTGCACTCCAGCCTGGGTGACAGAAGGAGACCCTGTCACTTAAAAAAAGCTTTTTAATAAAAAATTCTAAAAAATGTATTTACTAAATACCTTTCAGGTGTCAAACATTAGGCTAAATGCTATGATACAGTAATTAGTACAAAAGTCACAGCAGGGCTTATAATCTTGATGTTTATAGTCTAGAACAATACTGTCCAAAAAAGATGTAATGTGAAACATGTTATTTAACATTTTTCTATAGCCACATTTAAAAAGCAAAATATTAATTTTAATACCTTATTTGACCTAATATATCTAAAATATTACCATTTCAACATGTAATGAAGATAAAATTATTTTTGTAATATTATAATTTTTTTCAAACTAAGTCTTCAAAATCTGGTGCATATTTTAGATTCATGGCACCTCTTAATGCGGAGTAACTACATTTCAAGTGCTTTATAGCCACATGTGGCTGTTGACAATGGTGTTGCACAATATAAATCTAAGGGAATATTTAAATAGTAAGCAAGCAATAAGATACAGCATAATAAGTGCCAGACAAGGGAATGCAGTGCAATGGTAGCACATAGGAGACCATCTCAACTAATGTGAGTAAAGTTGGAAAAAACTTTGTGAGGAAGTGGCATTTCAACTGAGCTCTAAAGGATGAGCTGAAATTAGCCAGAGAAAAGGGTAGGGGTAGGGCAGGGAGATGAGAGAAGAGGAAGGTCAATATTCCAGGCAGAAGGACATCCAAGGCCTGCAGGTGAATGACTATGGTGTGCTGGAAAGACTATAAGAACTTCAATATGGCTGGAACAAAGACTATTATGTGGAAAGGGGAAGATGAAAAGACAGGTAGGAGCCAGTTCATGGAGGAAGTTGCAAACCATGTAAAGGAGTTTTGCTTTTATTCTAAGAAATCTATCCTTTCTAAAGTCTCTACGCCTGTATTATATTTATGGAACTGGCAACTTCAGGCTGAAATGTGCTCGTCTTCACCGGAATACAATGGGGAGTAGGAGAGATGAAGATGAAGAGGCTAAAGCTAGATGACCATTTATTAGAGGTGATGAAGAATCTAGTTCTAGATTAGATGAGTCCCTTAGGCCATTTTCATCTCTTAGATTTTACAACTCCAACTCTTTAGCTAGAACATTAGAATAAACATTGTTTAACAAAATGTGGACTTGTTATTTATGAATCATTTTTGGAGGGAACACTGTATATAACACTGCATATGTGTTAAATATTTATATTAAGATTCACGGCCAGTAGTTCTGAATAGCATATGTATGAACATGTGTGGTAGTAAGAACAGTGAAATCCTACAGGTTGTTTTTGGAATTCTCTTGTAAGTTGCTTATAAATTACTGCTTTGATAATTTGCAAAGTAATTCACAATGCTTGTAAGTGCTCTGTTCCAACTTGGAGTCTTGAACCTGTCTTTTGGAATTCCCATGATATGGAAGAGTACTGGAACTGTAGTTATTTATACTAGCAAAACGCACCAAACTTTAGATTTTACAATTAACAGCTTAATCACGTGACTTACAGGATCCTACTGAGCGTGTGATTCCAAGTGTGTTGTTCTTCCTTGTCCTACTGAATTATTAGTTTTTGGAAAGCAAAGAAAGTGATTTATATTTCCATCAATATGGATTTTAATATGTGTCTGGAACTGTGCTGCATATTTCCTAGAGTGCTTGATAGTTTTGAACATATTTAGTATGAATTTATCAGAATCAGAAAACACATTTAAATATAGTCATTGCATATTATAGCTTGCCAAAATACATGTTTGTCAAACAAAGATATTGCTTAGGAATTGTACTGGGTTTATAGAGTCCCCCACAATTCATGTCTACGTAGCACAATTCATGTCTACCCAGAACCTATAAATGTGATCTGACCTAGAAATAAGGTCTTTGCAGATATAATCAAGTTAAGATTAGGATATACTGGATTAAGTGTGGGCCCTAAATCCAACATGACTGGTGTCCTTATAAGAAGAGGGAAATCTGGGCACAAAGACAGATGCCCAGGGAGAATGCCAAGTGACTATGGAGGCAGAAACAGTGATATATCGACAAGCCAAGGAACACCAAGGATTGCTGGCAACCGCCAGATGCTAGGAATAGTAAGGAAGGATTCTCCTCTAGCTCCCTTCTAACATCTTGATTTCAGACTTCAAGTCTCCAAAACTGTAAAATAATAAATTTCTGTTGTTTTAAGGCACAAAGTTTGTAGTACTTAGTAGCAGCAGCCCGAGGAAACCCATACAGGAACTTGTGCCCTTCCAATTGTGTCTCATATTTTCTTTATGTAGTACCTCTTGATTTATTGGACTGGACAGATTTAACCCTTTTCTCTGTTAAACAAATTGTGTGAGGGTAGGATTCTATTCTTTGGATTCTCTGGTATTTCTATACAGTTCTAGTCCCATCAAGAGAGCTGTGCACTTACAGCCCAGAATGTTCACTGTTGTTATTACATAATTTAATTACATATTACATAAACTGATGAAATATGAATGCAAAAGGAAAGACAGCTGCAGTTTCCCTGAAAACTAAGTTGGAAACTTTGGAAACTCTTGTTAAAGGTGAATCACTTAAAAAAAATTCAATCAAATTAGGTATGAATGAGGCAATTATAAAAGACTAAAATCATGAAAATCTAGAAAACTTCTCATTCAGATGGCTTTGCAAATGCCTTTAAAGGCTTACTTCATTTTACTAAAACTATAACCAGAACTTATAGGACATATGTCATGGGTGTGGTTTGTTAAGAATCAACTTCATGGAACTGCAATTAAAATGCAAGCATACAAATATATGTATATTTTTATAGGTTCTATAGTTATCTGCTTTTATCAAATTTTCTATTGACCATACTATCATAACTCTTGATCACAATAAATAGGAAAGAGAATTTTCACTGTAAGTAGAGGTTATTATATGATGTTTTCACTCAGTTCCCTGACTGTTTAATCTATTAGTCTATAAACTTTGTAAACACAGAGGTTGTATCTGATTAGCTCCTATTTTACCTTTAGTATTTAGGAAGTAGCTAGTATAAAGCAGCCTCTCTCAAAATATTTTTTGAATAAATGAGCACAAAATGAAAACACATTTTTGTTTTTCCCTTTTCTAAAAATTCATATTATCATTAATAAAGTTGTATTATTATAGACTGATATTTAAGACATAAAAATGGACTAATTCCAGATAACTCAATGTTTCAATGGCATTTACTAAATTGAGGTTTTATTTACCATATATGAATATTTTCACTTTTACTGTATCATTTCTCATAGCTCTAATGTACTTTTCATATCATAATCTTTCTGAAGGTACTTAAATTGTTCCTATTGTACACCTTCACATAATTTCTACTTAATGCCAAAGTGTTATTTCCGCAAGTTTACAAAGTAGGATGCACAGACAGAAAAGGTAGCTTAAAGGCAGATTCCCAATTATGCCTTAAATTCATGAGCTTCTGAATTCTAGATTACTATTGCAAGCTATTGACCCTCCCTGAGCCTCAGTTTCCTTAGTAATCAGATGAGGTTTGCTGACTAGACAATTTTTAGGATGCTCTCTAGCCCCAACACCTCATTTTCAGCACCAATTTTAGATTTGCTTATAAATAAAAAAATATCACTTCTCACTGCTTTTCTTTCCAATATGGGAGACAGATAATAACACATAGCTAAATAATTACAGAAAGGATACGGTGGAGACATGTTAGTGAGTACGGAGTGGTTAAAGGAACACCAGACAGGGGATGACTTTAATGTCGGCATGCTGGTATACACACTTTTTTAGGGGGGAAAATATGAAATATTTTATGTTCATATAACCACAAGAATTCTGCTCTTAAACTTGCCTAAAGAAATCTCAATGGTAAGTTCAAAGGGCCCTGAGATATGTGGCTTAAAAAATTAAAGGCTAGTCAGCTCTTTATATTTCATTATAATAACTAAGTAGAATATAGTCTTATTTAATTATATCATAAAACAATTGCTATGTGATCTCTAAATAGTAATGATCTAAATGAATTTATAATTAAGTTTTACTTCTTAAACTATGGATAATATTAAGAAAGAGACAGCCAATATCAGGTTCTATTTATAAGTTACACAAATATTCCTTTTTTAAAAACTTCTTAAAATTTACTTAAGTAATTTAATAGGAACCACTGAAAAAAAATCTTAATACATTTGGTAAATAAAAATGATACAGGGTTTCAGATGGTTCAACAAGATGAAAATTTTACCATTGGAATTCTGTTAAATAACTGCAAGAGTTATATTTTTGCCTTGGAAAACTTTCATCACGGAACACAGCTGTGAAACAACTTTGGCTTCAAACAGAGAGGCTATAATAAAGCGCCTCCTAGCTAGAGTTAGGTTCAAGAGGTTTATGGTGGTGAATAGCGAAATAGCAGAAAAGATGAAATGTTTCAATAAGCCCCTAAGGCTGATTTAGTTAGCATTCACAAAGTGGAATAACCTATACATCATATACCCTTTGTTAGTTGGTTGTTTAGAACAGATATATGAGTCACTGTATTTTATTTTAGCATTTGGGCAATGCAATTCTCCTTTTGCCCAAAATATTAAAATGCAGAAATGTGAAACTAAGAGAAGTAATGTCAGATCTTATACAGGTGCTTATCAACCACTGCGATGGATCAAGAAATCCTTTTGCTCATCATTCCATGTTTCACCTTGGTAGACACAAATGATAAATTATCCTGTGTAAAATAAAAATCTACTATTATACAAATTAGCAAACTACAGTATATTTTTTTAAAAATTGTATTTGGGGGAGAGGTTTTTTGGGGGAGAAGCATGCAAAAGCAAAAGAAAGCTGACATTAGAGAAGGATAGGCAAGATTCTATCCTGGATTTCAAGTACAAATGAATCCCTCAGGGAGTCTGGGGGATTAATGCACACACACATGTGCATGCGTGCATGCACACAAACACATGCACACATGTAAATATAATTTTTTCTCTTAGACACTGTTGAGAATTAATGAGGCTACCTGCAACGATGCTGGCAAGCTGCTGGGTTCTGGTGATGGGGTAGATGCTGCGTGCCTGAACAATTGCTGAAGCGATTTTCTTGGCATGCTTCTCCTCCCCGTATGTTCTTAGGATAGATGCAAGTGCCTGTTGATCTAAAGCATTCACAACATCAGCAGCAGTGGGCATGTCAGGGTACCTACGCACAAGAAGAGCCAATTAGTTCACTGACATCAGTTCTCATTGACAAGACGTGAAACTTCAGAGTACTGAGACATAAAGTCAGACACACACACATACTCTAGGAGAAGTGAGGTTTTAAAGTCAGAAACTGAAACCTTAAACAAATGAAATAGACTTTCTATTTCAACTACCCATCATTATGGCAAGTGGTGATGGTTTATAACATTCATCAAGGTCAAGGCAGCAGGAAGTCAAAATATACTAACCTTAAACTTTAATTCACAAAGAAATTTTTATTTCCTGTGTATTTTTCTCAAACTAAAACAATGAAAAATGGTTAGATTTAAGTTGTTCAAAATTTAAATTACTGCTTGAATGTTTTTTGCAGTATGGAAGATACAAGGTTTGCTGATGATATTTTAAAAAGTCTAACTCAAGAACTTGACTAAATCTGAGGCTGTAAAATAACTGATTACTTGTGGAGACACAAATTGAACTTAGCAAATCTATAAAAAACATACTGCTGATCAGTTTCCCTCACAAAAACTCATACAACTTTAATGGCAATGATACATATTATTCAAATGTTTAACAATATTTGGTCATTCTTCTGTAACAAAGGACACCATATGGTAAAACCTGGTAATCAATAAGCAGTATTGAACAAGTCTAGATAGTAATTTTAGATGGAGGAGGAATAAAAAATACCAACCTCTGGTCAAATAGAATAAATTATAGTCAGAAACAGCATTTACTCTGTCAGACCATTCCTGTTTACCTTAGGGAAATGGGCCAAAGAATTCTAAGTGATGAGTTAATTATGACTTTACGTATTAGAAAAATAGCTTTGCTAATGGTGCAGTTACTGCTCTTACAGTTAATATGCTGGATTGATTGTTGGTAACAGACTGTGAGGATCTGTAAGTAACAAGGGTATGGTAGCTTTAAGAACTGAGGGTCCAACCAGAGTGGGGTTGCCAACAAACACCTGAAACTCTCCTTAAAAATACTAAAATATACACTGTTAAGCCTAGTGCCTCTAGGAGAAAATCTTTTTGCTGTCTTTGGCTTATCCCCCGATTTGTCATGACTTTCATCTCTCTTGATGTCTCTTTGTCTCTCTTTTTTGTCCAAACCTCGCTTTTCAGATTATTATTTTTTTTTTTTTGAGACGAAGTTTCGCTCTTGTTGCCCAGGCTGGAGTACAAAGGCAAATCTCAGCTCATTGCAACCTCCACCTCCAGGGTTCAAGTGATTCTCCTGCCTCAGCCTCCCGAGTAGCTTACAATAATTGTTTTTATGTCGGACTGCCGTTAAACTCACAGAACAATGAATGTCTTGTAAGGTAGCCCTATTTCTATCTCAGTAGGCTGCCAGCACCTCTTTCAGCTTTCAGGATGAAGATCTGGTCCTTGGAGTTCAATTGATCTGGATTAGAATCCTGGTCCTGCTACTCATACTGAGTAAGACTTTTAACCTATTAGAACCTCAATTTTTAACCTGTGAAATGAAAGTAACAATTCTTAACTCACAGAATGGTTTGGATAATTATTGGTGCACACAATTGTAAAACAGAAATACAATGCCTGGAACATAAAAGATGCTCAATGCATGCCACTGTCCTTTAGATCTTCCCCATTCATAAATTTGCAAGGCATAATTCGTGGCTTAAATGACAAAAATCCCTGCTAAAACTGACCTATTTGTGAATTCAGCTGCTCAAACCACTGAGCATTTGAATGAACTGTGTTAATGATGTGAAATTTAGAAATTTATCCATGGGATACAGTCCAGCTTTACCAAGATAATATTATGACGAGTATGGATGTACTTAGCAGTTTTTAATTATACTTTTCTATGTTAAAATAAGAAAATTAAAAAGTATTTTGTTCAACACATAATTTTACTCTAAATAAATAATTGGACAATACATATAATTTTATTTTACTCTATATTAACAATGATAGAAGTTTCCATAGTGCTACAGTGCAAAAGGTGCAACACTGGAAGGTTTGGCAGGCTGCTAGACAGCTTCAGAATAGGCATTCATGTGGTCAAGGAGTCAAGATCCAAGAGCTGCCCCCCAACTAATAGATTTGATCTTGTCAGTCCTCCAGAGTTCACTGACTTACAGTGACTAAACTTAGAAAATACAGACACAATTAATTACCTTCCAGTGAAGACTATAACTGCCAACAGAACTAGACTCTCAAATTCTTGAAGCTATGAATTTCTTTCTATTGCTTCTACATGAGAAACCTTACTATAATCTGAAAGCTGCTGTTGAAATTGGAATCAGCAGAGAATAAACTATGTTTTAAGACTTTAGTGTTAAATGGCGACTGGTTAAGGAAGTCTCTTGCATCCGTCTTCATCACAGGGATACATCTCCTTTCAGGAATTGACAGGCCACATTTTTTGGCCTGGATTAGCCAAGGCAAACATATACCACTTGGATTAGCATTGCACATGTTTGAATCTATGACTTTTCTTTTTCAATGAATTCATGTGAATCAATTCCCCCTTTTCAAATGTCACACACTTTCTTCAGAGCTGTTGTAAGAGCTATCTATGACAAACCCACAGCCAATATCATACTGAATGGGCAAACCTGGAAGCATTCCCTTTGAAAATTGGCACAAGACAGGGATGCCCTCTCTCACCACTCCTATTCAACATAGTGTTGGAAGTTCTCGTCAGGGCAATTAGGCAGGAGAAGGAAATAAAGGGTATTCATTAGGAAAAGAGGAAGTCAAATTGTCCCTGTTTGCAGATGACATGATTGTATATCTAGAAAACCCCATCGTCTCAGCCCAAAATCTCCTTAAGCTGATAGGCAACTTCAGCAAAGTCTCAGGATATAAAATCAATGTGCAAAAATCACAAGCATTCCTATACACCAATAACAGACAAACAGAGAGCCAAATCATGAGTGAACTCCCATTCACAATTGCTTCAAAGAGAATAAAATACTTAGGAATCCAACTGACAAAGGACGTGAAGAACCTCTTCAAGGAGAACTACAAACCACTGCTCAATGAAATAAAAGAGGATACAAACAAATGGAAGAACATTCCATGCTCATGGGTAGGAAGAATCAATATCGTGAAAATGGCCATACTGCCCAAGGTAATTTATAGATTCAATGCCATCCCCATCAAGCTACCAATGACTTTCTTCACAGAATTGGAAAAAACTACTTTAAAGTTCATATGGAACCAAAAAAGAGCCTGCATCACCAAGTCAATCCTAAGCCACAAGAACAAAGCTGGAGGCATCACGCTACCTGACTTCAAACTATACTACAAGGCTACAGTAACCAAAACAGCATGGTACTGGTACCAAAACAGAGACATAGATCAATGGAACAGAACAGAGCCCTCAGAAATAACGCCGCATATCTACAACTATCTGATCTTTGACAAACCTGACAAAAACAAGAAATGGGGAAAGGATTCCCTGTTTAATAAATGGGGCTGGGAAAACTCGCTAGCCATATGTAGAAAGCTGAAACTGGATCCCTTCCTTACATCTTATACAAAAATTAATTCAAGATGGATTAAAGACTTAAATGTTAGACCTAAAACCATAAAAACCTTAGGAGAAAACCTAGGCAATACCATTCAGGACATAGGCATGGGTAAGGACTTCATGTCTAAAACACCAAAAGCAATGGCAACAAAAGCCAAAATTGACAAATGGGATCTAATTAAACTAAAGAGCTTCTGCACAGCAAAAGAAACTACCATCAGAGTGAACAGGCAACCTACAGAATGGCAGAAAATTTTTGCAACCTACTCATCTGACAAAGGGCTAATATCCAGAATCTACAATGAACTCCAACAAATTTACAAGAAAAAAACAACCCCTTCAACAAGTGGGCAAAGGATACGAACAGACACTTCTCAAAAGAAGACAGTTATGCAGCCAAAAGACACATGAAAAAATGCTCATCATCACTAGCCATCAGAGAAATGCAAATCAAAACCACAATGAGATACCATCTCACACCAGTTAGAATGGCAATCATTAAAAAGTCAGGAAACAACAGGCGCTGGAGAGGATGTGGAGAAATAGGAACACTTTTACACTGTTGGTGGGACTGTAAACTAGTTCAACCATTTTAGAAGTCAGTGTGGCGATTCCTCAGGCATCTAGAACTACAAATACCATTTGACCCAGCCATCTCATTACTGGGTATATACCCAAAGGACTATAAATCATGCTGCTATAAAGACACACGCACACGTATGTTTATTGAGGCACTATTCACAATAGCAAAGACTTGGAACTGACCCAAATGTCCAACAATGATAGACTGGATTAAGAAAATGTGGCACATATACATCATGGAATACTATGCAGCCATAAAAAAGGATGAGTTCACGTCCTTTGTAGGGACATGGATGAAGCTGGAAATCATCATTCTCAGCAAACTATAGCAAGGACAAAAAACCAAACACCACATGTTCTCACTCATAGGTGCAAATTCAACAATGAGAACACATGGACACAGGAAGGGGAACATCACACACTGGGGCCTGTTGTGGGGTGGGGGGAGGGGGGAGGGATAGCATTAGGAGATATACCTAATGTTAAATGACGAGTTACTGGGTGCATCACACCACCATGGCACATGTATACATATGTAACTAACCTGCATGTTGTGCACATGTACCCTAAAACTTAAAGTATAATAAAAAATAAAAATAAATAATAAATAAATGTATTCTCCTAAAAAAAAATCTTTTGATTAAGTTATAGTCTATACCATCTACCTGAAAGCCATTCAACATTTTAAGATATATTTACTTAACTCTAATTTCATCCATTAGGTATTAATTTTAAATTCTCAGTGTCAGTGTTATTTTCAAGCTCTTGGGAAAACCACAGGGACCCTGATTCACAAACTACAATTTGCTGATAAGTCTTTAAACTAACAATATGGGATTTACTACTAGTAACTAGAAGTTTTGTTCATTGCATTTCAGAAATTGGCTTGATGTTTTATTACCTCTACACAACCACCTCCATCTCCACACATGAGACTGTATTTCACCTTTACTATTAGTTACTTGTTTTTAAAGGATTTTTATTATTTTCTTTTATAATTACATTCTTCATTCTGTGAATACCAACAACATGTGCAAAAGAAGGTATAACACTTAGGAACAACAGAGTCCCAACAACTACAGGTCACAAGCCAAGTTAACAGGTCGTATCACAACATAGGGAAAAAGGCTATATGTGAATAATTACCACAAAACAAAGCAGTTTGTGGTGGGGCATGGTATGAGAGAAAAAACCACAGTTAAGTTTTACAGGTATAGGCTGTCCATTCCCTAGGTCAGTACTGAGAATAGACACAGGTCCTAATCTAAGCTTTTAACATTAATTTAGACAATTAATATAAAGAAATTGTTGGCCGGTAATGGTGGCTCACGCCTATAATCCCAGCATTTTGGGAGGCTGAGGCAAGTGGATCACTTGAGGTCAGGAGATCCAGATCAGCCTGGACAACATGTGAAACTCCGTCTCTACTAATACAAAAATAATTAGCCGGGCATGCTGGTACACGTCTGCAATCCCAGCTACTCAGGAGGCTGAGGCATGAGAATTGCTTAAACTTGGGAGGTGGAGGTTGCAGTGCGAGATCATGCCACTGCATGCCAGCTTGGGTGACAGAACGAGACTCTGTCTCAAAAAAAAAAAAAAAAAGAAAAGAATTATTTCTACACTTTCCTAGAATATGATTGTTTTTGTGTTATCTAATCTATTTGAATAATGGAGAATAAATGCTAGTATTTCCAGGAAGAGGAGGTGTAAAAGATATCTTATTATAGTACTGTGTTTGATATCATATCATAAATTACAGTTTCTCTGGAGAAGGTTCAAACAAAGTGACTGCATAAGACAGGACAAAACACACTTACTGACTTCTAGGATCTTGCCTTTTTTTTTTTTCTGTATGCTAAAAGAGGATGCATTAAATATATGTAGTTCTTTTTGCTTCTCACAAGAGGCATAGTTGGGCATGCAAAAAAATGAAATCGTTGTTGCAGTATCATGATATTTACTGACATTGGTTAACACTCTAAAACCCATATTGTGTAAGTAAAAAAGATAATCAGTATGAAAGTTATCCTCTTCACTATTTTGTGTAAAGGCAATCATTGTTTTTCTTTAAAAATCCCAAATCCAGAGAAATACTGATGTGTATAATGAGTATGAAACAAACTGATTTATTATGTATTGGTAGTGTTAGGTGTAGGCATGTAATGGAAATTCTGTAGTCTTAAAAAAATTAAATTCAGAGTGTTTTTGACAAATTGATTTCTTGTTGTGAGATGAAATGCTTTATGAATACTCACCTGCCACCATCCATTCTCATGTCCAAAGGGCCATCTTTCCGAAGGGAAAAACCTCTTTCAGGAGTATCAAGTTGCATGGAGGAACACCCAAGATCCATAAGAACTCCATCAAAAGTTCCTGGCTGCACTCCAGCTTTCATTAATAAGGCTTCTGCCTGGCTGAACTGGCCCAGCATAGCTCGGATTTGTTTACTGTGAGTAAACCCAGGAGATAGAGAAAACACTTCTGTTAGATTGAAGTCTTTCTAAAGTCTATGATCAATGGAAGGGAGCACATTCTATTATTACATGATTTAACCGATATATATTTATTGAGTGCTTAGTGTTGTATAAAGACATGGATATGGAAACTATACATCTTGGGTTTCAAACACCAGAGCTGGTTTAATGTAATTTTATTACTGCTGATAAACACAATTTATTGTATATCTTTGTGAAGGGATACAATATATTCATAAGTTAGAAAAATTCCTATGTCAAACCAGGTCTTTCATATTTTCTTAAAAATTTCTTAAATCTCTGGGTAGAGAAAAAAGCATATGTCATTCTATCAAAAGAATAACGAGTAAGCCAATTTAAATACAACACTATAATATAAATCATAAAAAAGATGTCAAATATGTTCAAACCAATCATTTTAGCTTTCTCCATGTTTTTCCTATAAATTAGAATAGGGTGCTATGCAGCTATAAACTTGAGGAATGAAACTATGACTAAAATAAATGCCTTCTTGCTGAAGCAATGTATTATCTCTCAGCAGGGATTCTGAAGTGAATGGAGCATTCAGAACCAACAGACAGGCAGGAATTGGGATCACCTTGCAGCTATACTAATTCTTCTTCCTACACAAAGTGAGATGCTGCCTTTATGGTTCTTCAGAAGCCTTAAGGCAACTAGCATGCATTTTGGAAGGTGAATGAGAAGAGAAAATTGGGCAATGCTCTCAAGATGTCATTCCCTCTGTCTAAAGGTGGGTAGAGTGAGTTTGGATTTCAACAGTGTTGGATAATTTACGTTAATGATATTTACTTACATGGTATGTTGTTTAAGGTGAACTTCAACAGCTCATTAGTAATTTTTAAATACAATTCCAATGGAGAAAGTAAATGAATATTTGCTATGGGTCAGGCATTATGTTATTTGGAGTGTACATAAAGATTAATAAAGCATGACTTTCTGTACTTTGAGCTGAGAGGAAAAGATGTATAAACAGTTTACAAAATAATCTGATGGGTGCCACTAACAGAATAATCAACAAATTGCCCTGTTCTTATTGGGAAAATTAAAATGCTAATACTAGCATTGGAAACACAGAAATAACAGAATCTTGCTATTGAAAGGCAACTCACAAGTCAATTGTTACTATCACATAACTGATACTTGAATTTTTCCCCAATACAACATCACTGCTGTGTAAGTGGACAGAAAGGAGAGTCATTGTTTTAACTACCTCCTGTATATACCATTGGTGAGAGAGGGATTCCAATTCTAAGTTGTGAATATGGCCAAACACAGGATTTCATCTGGCCCAACACTGGCCAGATGAAACAGAAGTTTGTTTTATTTTATTTATTTTATTTAACTTTTAAGTTCAGGGGTACATGTGCAGGTTTGTTATATAGGCAAACTTGTATCATGGGGGTTTATTGTACAGGTTATTTCATCACCCAGGTATTAAGCCTAGTATCCATTAGTTATTTTTCCTGATCCTCTCCTTCCTCCCACCCTCCCCACTCTGGTAGGCCCCAGTGTGTGTTGTTCCCCTCTATGTGTCCATGTGTGGTCATCATTTAGTTCTCACTTATAACCACGAGCATGTGGTATTTGGTTTTCTGTTCCTGCATTAGTTTGCTAAGGATAATGGCCTACAGCTCCATCCATGTTCCTGCAAAGGCCATGTTCTCATTCTGTTTTATGGCTGCTTAGTATTGCATGGTGTATATGTACCACATTTCTTTATCCAGTCTACCATTAATGGGCATTTAGGTTGATTCCATGTTTTTGCTATTGTGAATAGTGCTGCAATGAACATATGTGCACATGTGTCTTTACAATACAACAATTTATACTCCTTTGGGTATATACCCAGTGGTGGCATTGCTGGGTTGAATGGTATTTCTGACTTTAGGTCTTTGAGGAGTCATTACACGGTCTTCCACAACAGTTGAGCTAATTTACACTTCCACTACAGTGTATAAGCATTCCTTTTTCTCTGCAACCTCGCCAGCATCTATTATTCTTTGACTTTTTAATAACAGCCATTCTGGATGGTGTGAGGCGATATCTCATTGTGGTTCTGATTTGCATTTCTCTAATGATCAGTGATGTTGAGCTTTTTTCATATGTTTATTGGCTGCATGCAAGTCTTCTGAGTCAAAAGTTTATTAATCACATATATTCCCCTCCCAGCCGAAGGGAAGAAGACATTACTTGCCATGCAGGGTCACATAGGGGTTGCACTCAGGAAGAGACTGCAAAACCAGGGGCTGTGAGAAGGAGATTTTAAGAGGTTGGGTTGCCCCCTGGTCCCCAGAAGAATGTGATTGGCTTGTTTGGATAATCCCTTGAGCTGGCAGGAATTGAACCTGCTAATGAGGGATAAGCAAAAATTATGCCTGATCCCCTTGATAAAAAGGGTTGTTTGGCTAGGTAACCTTATCTGCAAGAATACAGTGGGGAGAGAAACTTGTGGCTAGGCTATTTGAGAAAAAATTAATTTATTTATATATGTATATTAAAAATATAAATTATAGCTCCTTCCACGCCACCACAATGGTGCACATGGATGTCCTGGCTGATGCTCTCAAGAGCATCAACAATGCCAGAAAGAGAGGCAAATGAGGTTCTTATTAGGCCGAGCTCCGAAGTTATTGTCCGGTTTCTCAATGTGATGATGCAGCATGATTACATGGGCGAATCTGAAATCACTGATGATCACATTGCTAGGAAAATTGTTGTGAACCTCACAGGCAGGCTAAACAAGTGTGGAGTGATCAGCCCCCAGATTTGATGTACAACTCAAAGATCTAGAAAAATGGCAGAATAATCTGTTTCCATCCTGCCAGTTTGGTTTCATTGTAATGACAACCTCAGCCGGCCTCATGGACCACGAAGATGCAAGAAGAAAACACACAGAGGGAAAATGCTGCAATTCTTTTTCTAGAGATGTAATACAAATTTACAAATAAAATGCCTCATGAACACACACACACACACACACACACACACACACACACACACATTGTCTCTCTCTCTCTATATATATACATATGGTATATATATGGGTTATATATATAGTGAGACGTGTGTGTGTGTGTGCATGTACATATATATGCACTCATATATATGTACATATATATAGTGCGGAGAGTACATATATATATATATAGTGTGGAGAATACATATATATATAGTGTGGAGAGTACATATATATATAGTGTGGAGAATACATGTATATATAGTGCGGAGAGTACATATATATGTACACACACACATATATATATAGTCTGTGTGTGCGTGTGTACATACTACTGGTTCTGTTTCTCTGGAGAATCCTGACAGACATAATATCTCAGGTACTATTTGATATTAATATGAGTAAAATAAAATTATACCTGTTTTCTAGTGAACTCCACTTAAGCAAAACACTACTTTCCCCAGAAGTTAAGGAACACATAATAACTAGGCCTTAATCTGGGGTCTTACACCACAGTCCTCAGCTCACGTTTGAACATTCTCAGTAATAGGAACTCACTACTGTTTTGTTAAACAGTTCTTTTTTACTTGATAGCTATTTTATCACTATTTCTATAACTTTTGTCCCTAGTACTCCCCTATGTCAAGCAAGTTGAAAACCTATTCCCCAGAGCAGCCTTTCATACATGTACTGTTAGCTACTGTAAAGGATATTTGTTGGCTACCTTAGTTTCCAATCTGTCAATTCTAAAAGGAACTCATAATTTCAGTTACATATTTTGGGAAAGATTGATCACATCCATGGTAGTTTATATGTCAACTTGGCTAAGCTACAGTGCCCAGTTATTTAATCAAACCCTAACTTATGTGTTGCTATGAAGGTATTTTGTAAATATGTGTAATATCTACAATCAACTGACTTTAATTAAAAGCTATTATCCTTAATAATGTAGATGTGCCTCATCCAATCAGTTGAAAGGCCTGAAGTTTCCCAGAGGAAGAAGAAATTCTGCCTCAAGACCACGACATCAGCTTCTACCAGATAGTTTCCAGCCTGCTGGCCTGTCCTACAGATTTCACATATGTCAGACCCCACAATCAGGTGAGTTAACTCCTTGAAATAAATTTCTTCATATAATAAGATATCATATATATATATTTATCTACTTCTTATTGATTCTGTTTCTCCTAGTAGCCTGATAGATATAATATCTCTGCTCAAGAGGTAGATTTTTGATTAGCTACACTACTTTGTGTACATTATCCCAATGGCCCACTATAATTGGTTCAGAAATTGGCACAAGTCACAACTCTGGCCAGTGAGATACAAGAGATACTTCCTGGGGTCAGGGGAAAGAAGATTCTTCTTTTTTCCATCGAGCTACTGGGGAAAGAAGGTTTTTCTAACACTTGCTTGATATGAAAGAAGCAGCACACAGCTCTGATTATTGCTAGCAAACCAGCAGTTAAATTGTCCCAAGGAAGGAGACAGTGCCAGCCAATTTTGGCCAACACTATAGAAAGCAAAGTAGAGAGAAAGATTAACCAGGCCACTGAATTGAGCCTCACCTAAAATACAATGTACTCCTGAAGTTTTAAGTTATAAGAACCCATAAATTATCTTTGTTACTTAAAACACTTTGATGGGTTATGATTTTACTTGTAATTGAAAACATGCTAACTACTATAGCTATCATGTTCTTTAAGTCTTCTTTACTCCAAAGCAGGGGTGTCCAATCTTTTGGCTTCCCTGGGCCACTGGAAGACGAAAAATTGTCTTGGGTCACATATACAATACACTAACACTAAGGATAACTAATGAGCTAAAAAAAAAAAAAAATCTCATGATGTTTTAAGAAAGTTTATAAATTTGTGTTGGGCCACATTCAAAGCTGTCCTGGGCTGCATGTGGTCTTTGGGCCGTGGGTTGGACAAGCTTGCTTTAAACCATGTATGTTAGTTCATTCTCATACTGCTATAAAGAACTGCTTGAGTCTGGGTAATTTGTAAAGGAAAGAGATTTAGTTGACTCACAGTTCTCATGATTGTAAGGAAATTTATAATCATGGTGGAAGGCAAAGGGGAAGCAGGCACCTTCTTCACAGGGCGGGAGGGAGGACGGAGTAAGTGCAAGCCTGGGAGATGCCAGATGCATATAAAACCATCAGATCTTGTGAGAGCTCACTCACTATCACCAGAACAGCATGGGGGAAACCGCCTACAAGACTGGATTCCTTCACCTGGTCCTGCCCTTGCCAAATGGAGATTATGGAGATTACAATTTGAGGTGAGATTTGGATGGGGACATAGAGCCAAACCATATCACCATGTATATTTTGTTTCTTTAGCCACACCCCATATAAAAAAATATTCTCCATGCTGGCTGCTCTTTTCTAAATGTGTTCCAGTCTGCCTATGTCCCTAGATCTGAATTCCATAACGATCAGCAAGAATAAAGTAAATCCTTGCTCCCCTTGTTCTAGTTATATTAATAGAGCTCAAGCTCAAGATGAAATTAGTTTTAGAATTTATTTCACACTGTTGACTTACATTGCCTAAATCCCTTTAGTCTTTTTCATGTACACTGCTGCTAAGCCTATTTCCTCCATACTGTACTTGGGCAGTTTTGCTATTTTTTTAAATGTAAGTACAATTTTTGTCTTATGCATTTTCTACAGTCCTTTTAGGATTCAGGGATTATCTTCAACTACAGAAATCTTCTTCATACTGCAGCAAAAGCCTATAACAAATCGCTACTGTCCAGTCTTAATTCCTTAGATATTATAGTTATTATCCTGCTTACAGCTAATGTACTTGTAAAAATAAACATAAGATCTTATAGAGGATGTTTGCATTCTTGGATGTCCTCAAGCTTAGCTGTTTAACAGAAAATATTCATATAGTTTCATAACTCACTATGAGTAAATAACAAAGATGTAATAATCATTGTGGTACAAAGCTCAACATTATAATGTACAAGTATGAAAGTATATAAAAAAATGATGCACCACCACAAAATAAATGTGTTTAAGACAGAGTTTTCTGATGCTACATCAGTTATGTGTTTCTAGAAATGAATTGTTCTCTGAATAAAGGAAACATCATTGAAGTTTGCTTACCAACTGTTGAAAACTCAGCCACAACTTTAGACTCTGCTCATTATCTCATATATGCAATTACGTTAGGCTAATTTTCCTAGATAGGCAGATTACATGCCCACTTTTCCCTCACCCACTCCCCTTCCATTGCTCTCTTCTTTCCTTTACTTCTTCTTTTCCTCCATTCTTCCTTTTTCCTTTCACTTTAATTTTCAGTATTTTTGCATGTGCATTTTACAAGTGTTAAAAGTAACAGAAAAGTAACATCCTGTGTTCTCCAGGATGTAAGTAGAATGTTGCTTGTGATCCAGAACACTTTTTAAATGAGAACACTTTCTCAATCCAACCCCACTAAAAGTCAACGGACGCAGCAGTAGAATGCAAACAATACCTTGGTTGTAGGCAGCCATTTCTGAGGTTCTCTGACTGTAATAAGTATTGTTAATCCTGATACTGGCAAGTCATCTGCACTTGTAGTACAAGTTATAAATCTATTTTGCTATAAACGACTAAGGTGCTCTAGTATATATCTGAGACTGAGTGATACAAGAATAGCTACCATTCACTGTGTACTTATTAGAATTGAACATGGAACATGGACCTTCATCATTCTTCTAACGGCATACAATCTAATAAGAGGAGTTAAGAACAAATTGCTTCACAAATTATAAAAATCAGTCCACTCACAAGGTTGGGCATCCTGTAGTTAATAAGTGCTCATCCATCTTGGCTACAGAAATCTAAAATTCCCATGGTTTCTAAGGTGCTTGATATAAAAGGGTACTTTTGCTGTCCAGGAATAAATAATTTTATTTCACAGACAGAAGACTTATTTATGTAGAATCAGGGCTGCTGGATAAAGCAATTTAAAAATATAAAATCTGTTCACAAATTTTCAAGAAAAACTTTGAATTTGGAACTAACTTTCTGAGACAGCACAGGAAGAAAAACATCTATTCGTTTATCCTCCTAGGATGTAACACTCTTCCAGCCTAACCAATAGTATTAAATAAAGGCTTTAAGTAATTATACATCTTTAATCTCAAGCACAGTAATGAATACTACCATAATATGCAAACAAATGTAGAATGCAGACATACACAACTGAGAAAAACATAAAAATGGTCCATGAAAATGATTAATAATGATGGTCATGATTCTCTCTGGATCACTTAATTTTTGCTATGTAACAAACTACCATAAAATGTAGTAGCTTCTTATGATTCTATGGGTCAGCAATCTAAGTTGGGCTCAGCTTGGTGATTCTTTTGATAGTGGGTTGACTGAGGCCTAGTTGGTTCCACATGGCCTCACTTACACATTGGGAAGCTGGTTGGGGTAAAGATGATGAATGGACCATATGTCTCCAGCATTTAGCAGGTTAGCCCAAGTTTTTCCAAAGGAAGAGTGGTCTTGTTTCAAAGTAACAATGTAGGGCAATCCCAGTGCACCAGAACTTTTAAAGTTTCTGACTGTGCCCTGTTTTCTAATATCCTATTAGCCAAGGCAAGTCAAATAGCTCAGTTCAGATTCAAGGGCTATAGTAACAGACTTCACCTCTTGATGGAAAGTGTTGATAGACATTATGCAAGGAATGCATACAGAAAAGAGAAAAATTGTAGGAAGCATTTTTATAAACAATATATCATACTCTTTTTATATTTAGGAGTTAATTTGTAATTAGGAAGGAGAAACTGTACTTTTTTTCCTCTAATCTAGATTCCCTGCTGCTGATTGAGAATTTTTATTGTTACAAGGTAGTTTCTTTTTAAAAGCACTAAGAGAAACATGCAGTGTCGGTTGGTGATTGACAGTACAACTCCTAAGTAGACTAAAGGGCAAGGTTCCCGTGCCAGAAATACAAATCTGGGTAGAGACCAAATAGGAGTCTGTGGCACAGGGGTCTGTCAAAGGTGAATACATGATAATCTGGGAGAGAGTAGCATGTTAGCAGTAAGGGTTCTGTAAGAAGATAATGTGTATATAGACCTAGTCATGTTAGCATCAAGTAATACTTTGAAAGCATTATCTTTACTAACCATTGTCCTTCCTTCCCTTCAAGAAATACTTTTTAAAAACTGATTTAGTCATTCATTTGTAGCTCACACATTGACTTTAACAAAATATATTTTAGAAATAATAAAACACAATTATATTTCTCTCACTCAGTAACCCTTTTAAAATTTATTCAGTGGAGTAATCTTTCCCCACTCTGGAATAACAATCTAGCAGGTCCCAAACCTTTACCACTCACTAATATGTAATAGGCAGTCCCATGATCACTGAGTTGCAGACATATTCATCTCAGGAGTTAAGACTGTCCAGTGCTCAACTATAAAAACAAACAACAAATAAATATTTACTGAGCTTCTACTAAATGTCAGGCACTTTTCTAGTCACCTGAGATACAAAGAAAATAAAGTACCAATGACTGTAGAGCTTGTATCCCAGGAAACAATAAAAATCAATACATTTGGAAACATCTATTTCTGTTTACAGCAGTTTAACTTGATCAGACCAACTCTTCCAGAGAGCAAAACTAGAAAAGCTAGATAAGACAATTATAATTACCCATTTGAAGGAATCAGAGAGCTATAAAAACGGCTAAGACTTGAGGGAACAAAGAAAAGTGAAAACAGGTGAGCCCAACATTGGAGCAGGTATTCCACTAATGGCCTACTTATTTGCAAGCGGATGCTGAGAGCTGAAGAAACTGAGGAGAACTTTCGGCAGCTTCATTGGATACAGGAGATAAATATTAGAGTTCAGGACCCATCCAGGTGGATATGACCAGGAAATAGCCCCAGAATTTCAGATGGGGCTCTAAAGGGCTAAAACTGGGATTAAACTAGTAGAAAGGTCAACAAAAAATAGATTATTACACAAGTACTGAAATTCAGTTTCCAATCAACTCAAGCTTTATTGCATTAGGGTAACATAGTCTTAGATGAATTGCCTGCCAAAAGCAACATTAAGTGGTATCTGGAGGAAGGCACCTTCAAGACTCTCAAATTATCACAATAATTTTTTAAAAAACAATGTGTGAAATAAAATAAAAATTACTAGACAGACACAAGGATAAGAACACATACCAAGCTTAAGGAATATGTTATAGAAACAGACATACAGAATACAGAATAGAGTTATCAGAATGGACTATAAGATAACTGGTTAATATACTCAAGAAAACAGAGGACAAACTAGATAACTTTATCCCAGAAATGGCTCTATAGAAAACAGTTAAATAAAATAAAAATCAGACCAAATGGAAAACAGAAAATTATAATAATTAAAATTAAGAATTCTATAGATGGGCTTAAAAGCAGCTCACAAATAGCCAAAGAGAGAATTAGGGACATGAAACGCAGTTCATTAGAAACTATTCAGATTGAGGAAGAGATTGGAAATAATTTGGAAGATACAAAAAAAAAAAAAAAGCATAAGAGACATGGTGAGAAAACCTAACATACATATGACCAGAATTCCAAAAAAGAGGAAAGAAAGAATGGAGTAAAAGCAATATTCAAAAACAATGGCCAAGCTTCCAAAATGATTCAAGATTGCAAACCACAGATTAAAGAAACACAATAAACTACAAAGAAGATAAACATAGATACAAAAGCAAAAATGCAAAACTAGGACCATCATAGTAAAATGTGAAAAGACAACAGGAAATAAAATTACTAAGAACAGCCAAAAGAAAAAAGATAAATTACACTCAAGAGAGCAACAGTCAGAACTAAAATAAGGGAAGCCAGAAGACAAAAATTGCTAACAATCAAATTTCCATCAAAAATTAAAGGCAGATAGAGATATTCTAAGATAAAGAAAATTGAGTTAGTTCACCTGCAGGAGACCTATATTAAAAGAACTATTAAAAACAGTTTTCTTCAGGCAGAATAAAATAATCACAAATACAACCGAAGCAATGAATGGGAAAAATGGGAAAAAATGGGAAAAAAAGCAATGGAAAGTGTAAGTATATGGTAATTACAGATTAATACAGACTGTACAAAATAATAATTTTGGGGGAGTTCAATATATATGTGGAATTAAAATATATGGTAGTGGCACAAAAGGAAAGAATAGAATTAATGTAGTTAACATGATCCAAGGTCCTTGCAATTACAATGTCCTGGAAGAGGTAAAATTACTAATTTATGTTAGCCTTCCTTTTTTTTTTTTTTTTTGTTTTGTTTTGTTTTTGAGACAGAGTCTTGCCCTGTCACCCAGGCTGGAGTGCAATGGCGTGATGTCAGCTCACTGCAACCTCCGCCTCCCGGGTTCAAGCGATTCTCCTGCCTCAGCCTCCGAGTAGCTGGGATTACAGGCACAAGCCATGATGCCCGTCTAATTTTTTGCATCTTTGGTAGAGACGGGGTTTCACCATGTTGGCCAGGCTGGTCTTGAACTCCTGACCTTGTGATCCACCTGCCTCGGCCTCCCAAAGTGCTGGGATTACAGGCGTGAGCCACCGCACCCGGCCATGTTAGTCTTTCCTAAGACAATCATGTAGGTTGTGATCACCAAAGTAACCTCAAAATGAATAATAAAATAATGTATAACAAATAAGAGAGCAGATGAAGAAATGGACTAATTTTTAAAAGGCAATAAAGGAGAGAAAAAGGAACATAGAATAGGTTGAACAAATAGAGAACAAACAGAAACATGGTGGGTAGATTTAAACCCAAATATATCAGTAATTACACCAAGTATTACTGAAGTAAATACTCTAATTAAAAGAAAAAGGAGTGCCAGATTGAATTTTAACAATCAAATTTTAGGCTGCTTGTAAATGACACAATTCGAATGTTAGTATCAAAAAAAGGTGAAAGTAAGAAGACAGAAATAGATGTCATGCAAATATTAAAAAAAGGAAAGATGGTAGAGTTACACTATTATCAAAATACAATTCACCAGGTCATCATATAACCCTGATACAAAATTCAAAAAAGACATTACATGACAAACTAAGGCCAGCTGGGCACAGCGGCTCATGCCTGCAATGCCAGCACTTTGGGAGGCCGAGGCAGAAGCATTGTTTGAGCCCAAGAGTTTGAAACCATCCTGGGCAACATGGCAAGACCCTGTCTCTTTCAAAAATACAAAAAATAGCCAGGCATGGTGGTGTGTGCCTGTGGTCCCAGCTACTCAAGAGGCTGAGGTGTGAGGATCGCTTGGGTCTGGGGAGCGGAGGTTGCAGTGAGCCAAGATTGTATCACTGCACTCAAGCCTGGGTGACAGAGCAAGACTCTATCTCAAACAACAACAACAAACTTAAAGGCCAATCTCTCTCATGGATAAAACAACAAAGTAATGAATATTAACAAAATATGTACAAACCAAATTCAACTACCTATACAAAAGATGATATTATCACGTTGACATCCAGATGGCAAGATCCATGAGGCAGTCAAGTATGCAGTACTGAAGACAAGAGAGAGGTAAGGACTGAAGAGAGCTTTTGTAATTGCCTTAGAATAGTAAGACTTAGTAAAGGTTTAATAAATGAATATATAACAAATTTTAAAATGGAAGAATTCTTCTTAGATTTACGCCAAGACCCTCAGGAGATAGATATCTGATACTAAAAGAAATATCAAATAAAAATGTGATTTTCTCAAATACAAGGCCTAGAGGTTTCATTAATCTTGGGCCCTCACAGGGAAGTTTATTTACTTTAATATTATAAAACAGATTAGAAAATGAATAAGAAAGAATTTTTAAAAGAAAACTTCCTTGGTGAGAACTGCTTTATCCCTTGATTTTCTTAACATTTAATTTTATTCTTTTTACATGATGTTCAAATGCTGAATCCTATATTCCACATAATTGTCACATAAAAATGTCTACTTCCTCTGTGCTTAAATTCCAATGCCCCAGTGTGTGCCTGCTTCTGACACCCACACGAATTCTCTCTCTCATATAAGGCCTATACAATGCTTGGTGATAATTTCTCCTTCTAGACACCCATAGGGCTTTTCTGGGTTGTTGTTTTTGTACAAGTTTATGGGGCAGATGTGAAATTTTGTTACAAGTATATAATGCATATCCTCAAGTCAGGGCATTTAGGGTGTCCAGCACCAGAGTACATTTTTTAAAACTATAATCATTTTATTCTGCAATCAAACACTGAATTTATTCCTTCCAACTATATGTTTGTACCGTTTAACCCACTTCTCTTCATCCTCTCTCCTCCCCAACGCAGTCACCTTTCCTAGTCTCTGTTATCTTTCCACTCAACCTCCATATGATCAAAATGTTTAATTCCTACATATAAGTGAGAACATACAATATTTGTCTTTATGTGCCCAGCTTATTTCAAATAAGATAAGGACCTCTAGTTCCATCCATGTTACTTCAAATGACGTGATTCCATTTTTTTTGTTGCTGTTTTTTTTGCTTTTTGTTTTTTTAAACCGAGTCTTGCTCTGTCAGCCAGGCTGGAGTGCAGTGGTGGCTCACTGCAACCTCCATCTCCCAGGCTCAAGCAATTCTCCTGCCTCAGCCTCCCAAATAGCTGGGATTACAGGTGTGTGCTACCGTGCCCTGCTAATTTTTGTATGTTTAGTAGAGACGGGGTTTCACAGTGTTGGCCAGGCTGGTCTCGAAATCCTGACCTCAGGTAATCTGCCCGCTTCGGCCTCCCAAAGTGCTGGGATTACAGGTGTAAGCCACCATGACTGGCCAATTTCATTCTTTCTTAAGGTCAAATAGTATTTCATTATGCATACACATACATTTTCCTTATCCATTTATTTGTTGATGAACACTTAGATTGATTCCATATCTTTGCTATTGTGAATAGCACTGTGATAAATATGCTAGTACATGTATCCCTTTGATACACTAATTTCTTTTCATTAGGTAGATACCCAGCAGGGGTATTGCTGGATTGAGTGGTAATTCTATTTGTAGTTTTTGAAGAAATCTCCTTACTGTTTTCCATAATGGCTGAATAGTTGTTAAATATTTTCTCCCATTCAATAGGTTGTCTCTTCACTCTATTGATTATTTCTTTTGCTATGCAGAAGCTTTTCAATTTAATTCCCATTTATTTATGTTTGGGTTTGTTGCCTGTACTTTTGAGGTGTTTGTTATAAATTATTTGCCTAAACCAAGGTACAGGAGAGTTTTCTTCTAGCCTTTTTAATAGTTTCCGCTCTCACGTTTAACTTAATTCATGTTGAGTTGATTTTTATATATGAAGAGAGATAGAGGTCCAGTTTCATTCTTCTGCATGTGGCTATCCAATTTTCCCATCACCATTTACTGAACAGGGTATACTTTCTCCTACAGCTTTGTCAAAGATCAGCTGGCTGTAAATATATGGCTTTATTTCTGAGTTCTCTATTCTGTTCCATTGATCTATGTGTCTATTTTTATACCAATACCAGGCTGTTTTGGTTTTGTAACATATTTTCAAGTCAGGTAATGTGATGCCTCTAACTTTGTTCCTTTTGCTCAAGACTGCTTTGGCTATTCAAGCTCTTTTTGGTTCCACATGAGTTTTAGAATTGTTTTTTCTAATTTGTGCAGAATGACATTGGTGTTTGATACAGATTGTAGTGAAATCTGTAGATTGCTTTGGGCAATATGGTCACTGTAATGATATTAGTTCTTCAGATCCATGAGCATGGGATGTTTATCAATTTGTGTCATCTTCAATTTACTTCATGAGTGTTTTGTAGTTTTTCTTATAGAGATCTTTCCGCTCCTTGGTTAAATTTATTCCTAAGTATTTATATTTTTATAGCTATTGTAAGTGGAATTGCCTTCTTGATTTCTTTTTCAGTTAGATCATTACTGGTGTATAAAAGTGTTACTGACTTTTGTATGCTAATTTTGTATCCTGAAACTCTACTGAATTCATTTATTAAATCTAAAAGGTTTCTGGCAGAGTCTTTAGCTTGTTCCAGATATAAAATTATATGATCAACAAAGAGGAATAATTTGACTTCCTTTTTTCCCATTTGGATGACTTATTTCTTTCTCTTGCCTGCTTACTCTGGGTAAGACTTCCAGTACTATGTTGAAAGGCAGTGGTGAATGTGAGCATCTTTGTCTTGTAACAGTTCCTAGAGAAAAGACTTTCAACTTCTCTTTATTCAGTATGATGTTAGCTATAGGTGTGTAATATATGGCACTTAGTATTTTAAGGAATGTTCCTTCTATGCCTAGATTTTTAAGAGTTTTTATCATGAAGGGAGGTTGAATTTTATTAAATGTTGTTTCTGTGTATACTGAGATTAATATATGGCTTTTGTACATCATTCTGTTGATGTGATGTATTATGTTTATTGATTAGTGTATGTGGAATCATTCTTGCATCCCAAGCATAAATCTCACTTAATCATGGTGAATCTTTTTGATGTGTTTTGCATTATTTGCTAGTATTTTGTTAAGGATTTTTGCATCTATGCTAATCAGGGCTACTGGCCTGTAGACTTTTTTTTTTTTTTGGTATCTTTGTCTGGTTTTGACGTCAGGGTGATTCTGATCTTGTAGGATTAGTTAGGGAGAATTATGTCCTCTGATTTTTTGGGATAGTTTCAGGGAAATTTGTACTAGTACTTCTTTGCATTGGCAGAATTCAGCTATGAATCCATATAGTCCTGGGCTTTTCTTTGTTGAGAAACTTTTTATTACTGACTCAACCTTGCTACACATTACTGGTCTGTTCAGGATATCTATTTCTTCCTTGTTCAATCTCAGGTTGTATGTTTCTCAGAATTTATCCATTTCTTCTAGGTTTTCTAATTTGCAAGCATAAAGTTGTTCATAAGTCTCTAATGATCTTTTTTTATTTCTGTGTTATAAGCTGTAATGTCTCCTTTTTCATTTCTGGTTTTGTTTATTTGGGTCTTTTTTTCTTGGTTAGTCGAACTAGTGGCTTATCAATTTTGTTTATATTTTTGAGGAACCAACTTTTTGTTTCATTGATCCTTTATATTGTTTCTTTAGTCTCTTATTTAGCTTCCCTTTGATCTTTTTATATATTTTCTTCCACTATTTAGGGATTTTGTATGTTCTTGTTTTTCTAGTTCCTTGAGGTGCATTACTAGATTGTCAGTTTGTAATCTTTCTAATTGATGTAAGCCATATATTACTATAAACTTCCCTTTTTTTGAGTCTTTTAGCATTCTTTAATTATATATATATATTTTGTATTATACTTTAAGTTCTAGGGTACATGTGCACAACGTGCAGGTTTGTTACATATATATACATGTGTCATGTTGGTGTGCTGCACCCATTAACTCGTCATTTACATTAGGTATATCTCCTAATGCTATCCCTCTTATCCTAGTATCCATTGATGGATGGACTTTAAAATGGCACTTTAAATTCAATTTAAATAAAGAAAAAGCAAAACTACATACAACCAAGTATCTAAAAATGAAAGGAAGATGTATAATGGAAGTCAGCAGTGCTATTCAAATAAGGAAACCATACATTAGTTCAAAATTACAACTCATGTAGTCTGGGGTTTGAATTTTAAAATTAATGAACATTTTTTATTCTACTCTATATATGTATTCATTTTAATATAAAATAAGTTTAATTTACTTGTTGGCAAGTCAAATTGATGCTCCAGGAAGACATACTATGTCTTTCCTTAGCCTTGAATACTCACTGACAATGCTGCTGAAAAGTACTAGAATACTGAAATGATGCATCCAGAGAAGGAACAGAAACTATGACAAACCTTTTTTCCTGTTGGCTGTTGTCATTAGCTTCAAAACTCTGTAGTTATTACATAAGAAGAATATTATGGCAAATAGCTAATGGTTTTAGTCTAAGGAAAAGAAAATATACCCTTTTACATCTCTGAAAAAAGTTCATTAAAACTTAAAATTGGTAGTATGAGTTTTAGTGGATTTTCATTTCTTTTTTTAAGTTCAGTAAGAGTAAGAAAAATTAATTCCTTCTGTAAACACAAATTAATTAGCTGGGTGTGTTTCAGAAGAAAATTTCTTTTAGCCACACTCTATTGAAGTGACTGCTCTCTGAAAGGGTTTTTCTGTGCCTTCCATTTGCTGAGTTTTATTCCTGTGAATACTGTGTATTATTTCTCATTTTAAAAGAATATGCAAGTGTATATTAGTACGAAATAATCTCCCCAACCAGGCATTAGCTTAGTTTATGTAGATCTTAATTGCCATTGTTTTGCAAAAGGGTGATTGGTGATTAGACGGAAATCTGCAAGTGCATTGCAAGAATAAGCCTTAGAATCTAATTTTTGTTGAGTTAATATTACCTAATACAGCATTCCTTTTTGGTCTGTGAGATTTCACTTCCTATACTAATAAAATATACATCATGAAATATTTTTAGATGTGGTCCAGTGTACTGAAATTCATATCTTTAGTCCATTTACTAACATTAATACATATATACAGTGTCCCAATAATTAGAAACATTTTAGGTAGTTGACTACTGTGACAATTAGGTAGGTTTTATAATTCAATTATTATTAATTTTAGGTACAAAATATATTTTCAGCCACTCAATATATATATGTGACACCTGAAATAAATTATTCAAAAATCTGAAGATTAACTACAGCTCTAGGTGCACAAAAATAGCAACAGTTGTTGGCCATAGTAGATTTAATAAACTTTTAACAATTTCTTTTAATTCAAACCCTACATTACCTTGTAGAAAATAGGGCCTGCTGATAATAGGGCACATATAAAAATGATTTTATCTAGTAACACATTTTCTTGCAGTAAGTCCCTTAGGAATGTTCCACATAATTCAAACTATATATGAATACCATTACATAATCAAAAGAATAAATTATGTGTATTTTAAGCTTAACTTCGGAAATAATATCCTAAATACAAATGGATGCTTTTGAGATCTTTAAGAAAATCAGTCTGCTGCAGACATTTTCTGAATACTTCTATGTGTCAGGTACTATGTTAGATAATAAGGTAACAAAGGAAGACATAGTCCCTATTCTCATAAAGCTCACAGCAAATAATACTAGTATACTACTTTATGATTCACAGAATATTTTAACAGAGATGATCATATTTTGACCTGTATCACAATCCTATAAATTATATAATGTAAACATTTTTATCATTATAGAAACGTTGGCTTAGAGAATTTTCTATTAGTTTACTTAGTAATAGGGTATAGAATAAGTGCTCAATAAATATTTGATAATGATGGAGTAAAACAGTTGCTCAAGGTCACACAGCTAGTAGTGGTAAAGCTAAGAATTAAACTCAGGTAAAGTAAATTCTAAGACCATGAAGTCAAAGTATTCCTGTAGATAGCTTTAAGAGGTTGATTCAGGGCATGGGTTTGCACTCCCCTCTGTGATGAACCTGATTCAGCAACTGCTTGATATAGTAATTCTTTTTTCTTTTATTAATAAACTTTAAGTTCTGGGATACATGTGCAGAATGTGCAGGTTTGTTACATAGGTATACACGTGCCATGGTGGTTTGCTGCACCCAACAACCAGTCATCTACATTAGGCATTTCTCCTGATGCTATCCCTGTCCTGAACGCACACCCCCTGGCAGGCACCAGTGTGTGATGTTCCCTGCCCTGTGTCCATGTGTTCTCACTGTTCAACTCCCACTTATGAGTGAGAGCATGTGGCATTTGGTTTTCTGTTCCTGTGTTAGTTTGCTGAGAATGATGGTTTCCAGCTTCATCCATGTCCCTGCAAAGGACATGAACTCGTCCTTTTTTATGGCTGCATAGTATTCCATGGTGTATATGTGCCACATTTTCTTTATCCAGTCTATCACTGATGGGCTTTTGAGTTGGTTCCAAGTATTTGCTGTTGTGAACAGTGCTGCAGTAAACATATGTGTGCATGTGTCTTTATAGTAGAATTATTTATAATCCTTTGGGTATATACCCAGTAATGGGATTGCTGGGTCAAATGGTATTTCTAGTTCTAGATCCTTGAGGAATCGCCACATTGTCTTCCACAATGGTTCAACTAATTTACATTCCCACCAACAGTGTAAGAGCGTTCCTATTTTTCCACATCCTCTCCAGCATATGTTATTTCCTGACTTTTTAATGATCGCCATTCTAACTGGCGTGAAATGGTATCTCATTGTGGTTTTGATTTGCATTTCTCTAATGACCAACCAGTGATGATAACCTTTTTTTCATGTTTGTTGACCACGTAAATGTCTTCTTTTGAGAAGTGTCTGTTCATATCCTTTGCCCACTTTTTGACGGTGTTGTTTTTTTCTGTAAATTTGTTTAAGTTCTTTGTAGATTATGGATATTAGCCCTTTGTCAGATGGATAGATTGCAAAAATTTTCTTTCATTCTGTAGGTTGCCTGTTCACTCTGATGATAGTTTCTTTCGCTGTGCAGAGCTCTTTAGTTTAATTAGATCCCAATTTTCAATTTTGGCTTTTAGTATAGTAATTCTTGACCTATATATTTATTCTTTTAAAAGGATAGAATGGCATGCCAGGAGAAAAAGTCTATTGATTGATTTAGTTTTAGCATCCAATCTTGCGGTGGGTGGGGTGGGCAGAAGACAGTGGGAAATAAAAAGAAATTATAGAGATCTTGCATTTTTGTCACCAGTGTGGATCGTTAGGCCACTAGCAGGTATTATAAGACAGCAATCATCTACCTGATAACAAACTTTATTGTGTGGTTGAGAATATTAGTATCAACCAATGTCAATCTTAAATTAGAATTAACCAGACTAGCCTCATGCCAACCTAAGTAGGTTTCCTGGAGGGACCACATATCTTAACTTAAAAAAGAGCAACGACAAAATCTGAAACCACATGATTTTACACAAGTATTTAAATGAATTCATTCAGATTTAGGGTCAATTATTTGGGTTAATTTGTGTTAAAATGAGCCTTATAATAAATATTTATTGTAAGGGTATTTGTGGGATTGCTAGGTGGGGTGTGAAAATGTCCAGAAATGCTGTGTGACCAGAGAAATCTTTTCTGCAGTCCGGCCTGTTTAATAATGACAAAATGCCAGGGCTAGACTTAATAGATTTCTAAAATAACAGGAAGCTCACATTCAGTGATTTTTGATATAATAGCTAACATTTATTGAACCCTTACTATGTGACATGCATTGTTTTAAGCACTTTCCTTGTATTGATGCATATAATCTTCAGATACATGTATTAAATATGTGATATTATATTCCCCTATTCTACAGATGAAGAAACTGAGGCAGTGAAGTTAAGAGACTTCTTGAAGGTTACACAGCTAGTAAATAGTACAGCTGGGATTCTAACCCAGGTATTATGATTCTAAAGCCTGTACTATTAAGCACTATGCCATACTACCCCTGCAGACAAGGAGAATTACCAGGTCTAATATAACAAATGACTGATAGCTACCATTTGAGTTATTACTATGTGCCAGACATTGAGTTAAGGGCTTTCTGCTTATTTCATTGAATCCTTATAAAAACAAAAATCGTTGAGGTAGTTCCAACTACACCTATTTTATACATCAGATAACTGACTCAGAATGTTGAAATAATCTGTCTATTGTTACGGGTAGTGGCAGGCTGAGATTCTAACCCTGGTTGTTCTGTTTCAATGTCTCTATTCTTGATCACCGCATAATATTACAATGTTCTGGAATACTACTTTTAGAGTTGGAACTCATCCTACATATTTTGTACCTCAAAAGACTCTTGATAGGTTTCAGGAGAAAAAGATGGAGCTGGAAAAGGTTATAACATGCCGAAGGAGTTACCAATATGGAGTTCTCCTATCAAATTCATGTGTAATGTTAATTAGATGATTTAGCTATTCCACAACGTATACATATTTCAAAACAACATGTTGTCCATGATAACTATATGCAATATTTGTCAGTTAAAAATAAATATGTCAAAATACAAAAAAATGCCAACACGGGAAATAATGATCAGATGCCATATTTTAAAAATTATATAAAAATTTGAATTTTCCAAAGAAAAATAATTCAACAATATGTGAGGATTACTAAGCAGATAATTCATAACAATAACAGTAGTAATAATTATTGAATTTAAGGTGTCACTCAGGAATTTGAGAGAATTAACATTCTCTCCTTATACACAGGCATCTCCTAAACTGACTGAAGTTAGTTATTCCATAAACACAAGTTTAGCAATGTTTTTATACAGGGTTTGAAGAACAACTAGTTTACTAAATAAAAATCTAAAATATTTTCCTCTGCTTAATTCCAAATGGTGGTCCCATCAGATCCAATTTAAAATACACTGGCAGAGATCAGCATGTAAGCTGGCACTAGGCCGGCTCAGGAGTCAAGGGACTTTAACTCCATGCATGGATGCACAGCACATATTTTAATATTTTCAGGGGAAAAACAGTCAAAGCTAAGCAGGAGAAAATCCTGTCTTTAACTGATTATACTAAATGTGTACAAAATGGTATTGCCCCTATGAATTCCCAAAGAATCTAGTGCTGATAGTAAACAAATGTTAAGAGGCCCTTTTAAAATAATAACAAAAGCACTAATACCAACAAACATGGTAGTACTATGCAGCTAATCAACATCCATATCCATAGTAATAACAACAACATGCAGTTAATTCGTTTCCATAAAATAATAATCAGGTGTGAAAATAAGAAAAATAAAACTATGACACTCAGTTTTTGAGAAGAAACTTTTAAAAAAGCTTGATATGTATAATGTTAAAATAAATATGAATATATAAACCTATATTTAAATATATTACACATTTTAAGGATATAAAGCATGTGCAAGTTACATACATGCACATGCATATATATTCATGTTTTTTATATATATATAATTGCTTAGTTCTAAGAGGGAGAGAAATCTAATTGGTCAAAATCAGTCATAAAATTTTAACCATGTTTCTGCAAAAAACAGCAGTGCCAAAGGGTAATGCATCGCTAATGGTTTCCAGTAGAATAAATAGCTACTCTGACGTCAAAACTTTGTTACACTCCAATAACTGGATCACTTGGGGTTTCAGGTACAGCAAGTTACATGTCAGTTTTAAATAAAGTTATAAAAATAGAATGCCTGGTGAAACATATTGTCGCTATGCAACCTGATACAATATGATTTATATCCAATAAAATGTAACAGAAGTGATAGATTATACCAAAATAGTACCTGGTGGTTTAAGATGCCTAGCTTTCTAAATTTCAAATGAAAAATACCATATTTTACTCTCTCTTGTTCTAAAGCAGTATACAACTGAGTTATCCACTGTTAGTACAAATGTGAAATTAGGAATATTTACATACCCCAAGACAAAGTGATTCTTACACTGCTAAATCTTCCCTGATAGATGTAATAATAATATCCTAATCAGGGACATGGGACAATAAGAAAGTCTACAGAATGCAAAAAATGGTTTATGTTATTTCATATAAGAATATCCATCATTTTTCAGAAAGGATATTTCTCAAATAAACATATAAATTTACAATCAAAACACAGCAATTGTACTACCTTATCCTAAAACTAGACTTGAAACTGTTAAGTTGAAAAAGCCCTGAAGGATGTACCCCATTTATATAGTATATATAATAATGAAAAGATGCTAACTGAAACAGTCAGTGTTATCTTAAAGAGAGTACAAATTAGATCTTACACAGCTTGAACAATTCCATCAAACACAATGTACAATCAGAATGATAATGGATTCTCTATACCAGTGTCTTGCTATGAACTACAAAGAGCTTATATTTGTGTAGGTGAAGCAGGAAAAAACTCCTAATCATTTCATTATCAATACTTACTTAATATCAAAAAAGGTAATTATATTTAAGTTACTGATGAATATAGCAATTTCTGTGTAAAAATATTTAAATTCTAGTATTATACAATTATTATTTCTATACTAAAATAGAAAATATTTTAGTCTTTTTTTTTTTTTTTTTTTTTTTTGAGACGGAGTCTCGCTCTGTCGCCCAGGCTGGAGTGCAGTGGCGGGATCTCGGCTCACTGCAAGCTCCGCCTCTCGGGTTCACGCCATTCTCCTGCCTCAGCCTCCCAAGTAGCTGGGACTACAGGCGCCCGCCACTATGCCCGGCTAATTTTTTGTATTTTTAGTAGAGACGGGGTTTCACCGTTTTAGCCGGGATGGTCTCGATCTCCTGACCTCGTGATCCACCCGCCTCGGCCTCCCAAAGTGCTGGGATTACAGGCGTGAGCCACCGCGCCCGGCCAATATTTTATTCTTATATGTAGACATTTATATAAAAGTGTTTATAAAATATCATATAAATTCATCCATATACATGCATTATTCTTTTCCCTTGTTTTCACATACTTTGTATAAGGAAGGCAAGGAGCAGGAGATGTATATGTGTAAATCTCAGTTCCACTTTTACCAGATATTGACTTCAGCCAAGTTAGGTAACCTCTGTGAGTCATATTGTTTCATTGGTATACGTAGAGAAGACAATGAAATGAAATAATATTTGAAGTCTGTGGAACAGAACTTATAACATGCAATATTCTGGGCACTGTACCAGGCTACAAAACAGAGTTCTACCCTCATGGAGCTGATATTCTAATGGGAGTGGGAGATAGTAAACACTACAAATAAGTAAATCATAGAGTTTAATAAGTGACAAGTAATATCAAAAGATACAAAGTAACATAAAGTAGAGAAGAGTGAGATCAGTAGTGCTGGAATTATGATTTTAATAAGGTGGTAAGGTATGCCTTATTGAGCAGGTAATGTCTCAGCAAATACTGGAAGGGGAGAAAAAGTGAGAGAAGAACATCCCAGGTAGAGAAAAACAGCTAATGCACTGACTTTAATTCAGAGGCATGCCTGGCAATTTTGAGGAGATGAACAAGGAAGCCAGAGCGACCAAAGTGAACAAGGGGCAAAGAAGTAGGAAGAGACTAGACACTGGAGGGCCCTAGAAGCCACTGTACATTCTTCACTCTTTTTTTTTTTTTTTTTTTTTTTGAGATGGAGTTTCATTCTAGTTGCCCAGGCTGGAGTGCAATGATGCGATCTTGGCTCACTGCAACCTCTGCCTCCTGGGTTCAAGCGATTTTCCTGTGTCAGCCTCCTGAGTAGCTGGGATTACAAGTGTCCACCACCACGCTCAGGTAATTTTTGTATTTTTAGTAGAGATGGGGTTTCACCATGTTGGCCAGGCTGGTCTCGAACTCTTGACCTCAAGTGATCCACCCACCTTGGCCTCCCAAAGTGCTGGGATTATAGGCATGAGCCACCACGCCCAGCCAATTCTTCCTTCTTTGTAAAACAGTTACCACTACAGAGTTTTGAATAAAGGAGTGGCATAAATCTGACACGTTTTGAAAGGATCATTAATGGCTGCCATGTTGAGAATAGTTTACGGAGACATAATTATCTGGGAAAGAGACTGTTGCACTGATCCAGGTAAGAGAAAGTAGATGGCACAAGGGTGGTACCAGTAGAGGTGGTGCAGTCTATGTCCTAATAATATATTTTGAAGTTAGAGGCAATAAGATTTCTGATGGACTGGATGTAGAGTGAGAGAAAAAAAGAGAAATCAAGGATGACTATAAGGATTTTGGGCAGAGCAACTGAAAATGTGAGAAAAGCGGTAGATAAGTATAGCAGGTTTCAGGTGAAAATCAGGTGTTCAGTTTTAGTCACATTAAAATTAAGATCTCTTGTCCTTGTGATAGTTTGCTGAGAATGACGGTTTCCAGCTTCATCTGTGTCCCTACAAAGGACATGAACTCATCATTTTTTATGGCTGCATAGTATTCCATGGTGTATATGTGCCACATTTTCTTAATCCAGTCTATCATTGATGGACATTTGGGTTGTTTCCAAGTCTTTGCTATTGTGAATAGCGCCGCAATAAACATACATGTGCATGTGTCTTTATAGCAGCATGATTTATAATCCTTTGGGTATATATCCAGTAATGGGATTGCTGGGTCAAATGGTATTTCTAGTTCTAGATCCCTGAGGAATCGCCACACTGACTTCCACAACGGTTGAACTAGTTTACAGTCCCACCAACAGTGTAAAAGTGTTCCTATTTCTCCACATCCTCTCCAGCACCTGTTGTTTCCTGACTCACTCATAGGTGGGAATTGAACAATGAGAACACATGGACACAGGAAGGGGAACATCACACACTGTGGCCTGTTGTGGGCTGGTGGGGGGAAGGGATAGCATTAGGAGATATACCTAATGTTAAATGATGAGTTGATGGGTGCAGCACACCAACATGGCACATGTATACATATGTAACTAACCTGCACGTTGTGCACATGTACCCTAACATTTAAAGCGTAATAAAAAAGAAATTAAGATCTCTATAGACATCCAGTATCTATCAAATGTGGAGATGTCAAGAAGATATTTGGGTATATAGGTGTGGAGTTCAAGAGAAAAGATTTGTATGAAGACAGTGCACGAAATCATTCAACTTGATGACTTCACTAAGAGTGTGAATCTAGATAGGAAAGAAAAGAAAGCCAAGAAATTTCAAAATTAATACTGAGGAAGAAATGCTGATGAAATTGATTGACATGATATAAGTATGTTTTAATATTTATTAATTATAAAAATAATAATATTCATTAAGATGCTCATCCAGATACTACTGTATTTGGGGCTTTCATGCACGTGTATCTACACTCCATGTAAAAGATAATAAAGAGAAGGCCTAAGGACTGACAATTTCGTTTTCTCACCAACTCTTTCATGCTTTTCTCAAAGTTCTTTCTATCCTTTCTATGATGATGCCAGTGAGCATCTACTTTCAGCAAGGCATAGCCTTCATCATCATATTCTATAGATTACCAGTTTAATTGAGTAGCTGAGACCTTGTGAATTTAGGGAAAGAGACAAGCAGAAAGGGCGGGAGAAGTGTGATGGGAATGAGGATCAAGTCTCCCTATGATCCACTAAACAGGATTTGTTTCTACACTTATATTTATAGATTTAAAAGTTTATGTGTTGTTTTGTCCTTGTATTCTGTGGTAGCAGCCATCTTTCATAATTTGCATTTACACACTCTTATCACACCACAGAATCATTTCACAAAGCCTCTGATTGGCTAATTCCATATTTTATAATTGCCTTGGCCACCGTCAATCACATAGAATTGTATATAAGTGATGAATAAATTATAGCTATTATTGATATGAAGCAATACTATAAATTCTTAGATTAATAAAAAAAATATTTCCTCCCATACATATCACTTATGCATGATCATATCTTTCTACAGTCAGCATTTACAACTTAAATATTACAAAAGATCTCTGATCATATGGCCAAAGTAACTCTTCATTGTATAGATAAGGAGAGAAATTCAGAAAGGAATGGTAATTTGTCCAAGCTCAAATTGTTAATTTGTGGAAGAACCAACTCTATTCAGAAATGAGGTCTGCAGTACTATTAGAAAGGGCTGTGAAGAGGGTACAAAAAGGAATATAGTAAGGAAATTGCATTCTAGGGCACTATAATGTTTTACATGTTTATCCTCTAATACCCAGGGGAAAATCTTGATACATAATGATTTTTCTTGGCTTCTGCATCACAGGATTCCTGTATCACAACTGATCCTTAAATTGATTGATAATCAGGTGACATGTAACTATAGAATCTGGGAAGACAGTGTAGTGAGGCTCTTTACAAAACAAACAAACAAACAAACATATTTTAAGGTAGGGTTCTCATTCTACTTTGATTTTTGAGTAATTATTACATTTTAAAAAAACAGACAACTACTAATTATATTGCTTTAATTATCAAAGCACAGAAATTTCTCATAATCAATAGGGGAAATAATAAAATATCAATAAGGATTATCAAATGTAAAGTACTAATTCAGGTAAGGAGTAAAAGTGAATTGCAATATAAATAGTAACATAAATACAAAATAGTCTATGGTGATTCTATCCAAAATATTATACTGGAGAATTAAGACAAACGAAATGCTTTCATGTTTTTAAAAGAGTTTTCTTTCCACAATGTGAATCACAAGATTTGAACGGGGATTATGGTGGCAGAGAATCAACAAGCTGTGTGACAGGCATAAAACTGTGTAGGCCTAAATTTTAAGGTTCTATGTGGTTAAACAGCTGAGAATACAATTCAGGTGTACAAAGTTAAATGCTACATGTGTAGCATTGGGCTGAGCCCTATGGAAGATATATAGAAGACATATTACATGATCCTTGCCCTCAAAACACTTACCATCATCTTGGGAGGATAATAAGTTACGTTCATAGCAAAGGGCAATATATGACAGAATACAACCATACTTTTAATATGTAAATAAAACAGAAAGAATGAAGGAAAAAGAAAGATAAAAACGAAGCCAAGTATCAGAGATATTCACATATATAAAAAGACTATATTAAAAATTATTGTTTTCATTAAATCTGACAGAGCACCTTCAAAAATATGCTTTTGAACAATTACTCAATTCGAAAAAGGTCCATGAAAAATGTTGCACATCTATTAAGTTCCAGAAACTGAGCAAGACATTATGGATGGAAAGACGAAAAACATCTTTCTAATGGAAAGAAATGCAATTACAATAGAGAATGATTAATTATATAATAATGTTTCAAAATTCACAGACACCTAACTTCTTATTCTATTGTCTACAAAAATAAATCATATATTCAGGTTTCAATAAAACTGAAGTTTAAAAAGACATATACATTTAACCGATTTTCTCTCTGATTTAGTTTTTGTCTTTATCACCTTGACTACAAAACTAAATTACACTTCATCAATGTTATCTATGCCTATAACACCAAAAGGTAAAAGGTATGCCAATAATATGTGAACGATAGAGAGTCTCATTTTATATTATTACATCTAACTTGAGAGAAGTGGCTATAGCTAATAAGATGTTACATCCTATGTAAAATGAATCAATGACATTTCTCCATTTCTTACTAATAGGAGGCTCAATTCCAGAGGACAGGAAGACAGAATGTCACCATACTGTATATACTCTAATGAACATACTGTTCAGTTCGGAGCACCACATTTTAAAAAAATATACTGACCAAGAGGTCAGTGAAGTAAAGCGTTTGGAAATCATTTTTTAAGAGATTAAAATGGAAGAAAGTGGAAATAACCCAATTAAAAAAAAGAAAACAGACATGGATTGAAGTACTCTACTCATAAACATTAAAAATATTAAAATCTCAAGATCTATAAAAACATTGTACATTAGTTTCCTCTTTGTGGATGTAGTTTTGAAGCTTCATGTATGTGAGACCAAGAAGACCTGGACATTTGGATGACTCTGCCTTTCTTCTCTACGACCAATGAAAAGCCACAATAGCAAGAAAAGGATCCAGAAATATGAAGGTGCTTAATCTGAATGAGAAGGTGTGGGCTACTATACAGACACACTGTTTTGGCTCAGGAAAGATGGCATATCATATAAAAATACTTGCCTAATGAAAAGCTATTTCTCCCTAAAGAATATGGCAAGTAGGATCCAGTATCTCTGATTAACCTAGAAAGTGAGAAGAGAAATTTTTAGTCTTGAATTTCTATTACATCTCAGTCCTGAAAATGTCATCTCTGTGAATTCAAACACAATATTTTTTCACCCTAGCAGAAGTAATTATGCCATCTTTCATTACTTCACAGTGAAGCGAATGTTTATGCATACACATATATATAAGACTATGTAGTAACTATGACTATGAAAGTACATATCTGTGTATATAGCATATATATAATATATATACTATACAGTTATACTATACACATATATATCTCTGTAGTTATATAGTGTATATATCTGTATGCATAGTTATTACATAGTAGTCATATATATGTATATATACATATATATCTATGTGTATAATTATAGTTATTGCATAGTCAGTTCACATGTTAATCTTCCCTTGGTAGACTGTGAGCCATTCAAAATCAGAAAACTTTCTAGCACTAGGTCATTCCTACAATATAGTAAACAGTCAAGACTTATTTTTTACAAAAATTAACAAATCCACTGGTTTAGTGATTTGTATTAAATCTGCTCTCTTATGGCCTGCCTTAAGTGTTCTTCTAATAGGCAAGACATTACAGTGGTTTAAGAGTAGACTTTAGAGCCAGACTGCCTTGGTTTAGATTCTGGCTCTGCCAATGATTAGTTCTCTGTGATCTGAATAAGCTACTGAACCTCTTTATGTCTTAGTTTCTTCATCTACAAAAACATAGACAGCAATAGTGGTCTATGTGGTTAGTTTATAATGAAGATTAAATAACACTTGCAAAGTGTTAAGAACATTGATTAGCACATAGTATGCAGTCAGTAAATAGTAGCTATTATTATTATTAACACATCAGATGTCAATGTCTTCAGTGTATCAGAGAAATGGATGTAATTATAATAGCCAACTATTTTTACTCCTGACTCTAGAAAACGTAAAAGAAGTATTAAGAACTGTAGTCGATGTGCTCCTTTCAAAAGTTATCTTCAGTTACGGGTGGTATAAAATATAAAATATTTATCTCTTACATCATGAGCACAGAGAGTGACACTAAAGAAAAATACTTTGCTACTACTACTAAAATACTACTTTAATTATTTTAAAGAACTACAATATACAAAATAGGAAACATGAGGATGATCTGGCTGCAACATGTCAACCCATTGATCACCAGAGTTGATTCAGCTGATCTGGCTGACAAGGTGGGTGTCCCCTTCCTCCCTCACTGCTCCATGTGTGTCCCACCTAGATCTGTATACTTAGTCAAAGACGACAATTTTCCCTGAAAGAAGAGGACCATTCTCCAGTCAAGGGTTTATGAGTAGCTGTGCTTCCCCACTAAAATCTCCAAAGAAGCTCTCAAAGTAGGTAGCTTCTAATGTAATTGTGTTTTGTTTTGGTTGGTGTTTTTCTTTATTTCTTTGAGCCAGAGAAAACACAGGTCTTGGTTAATTGGGATTTACTATAGTCTGCTTTACCAGAAAGTAAATTAAAATGCCAGAGATTCAAAGTTCACGGAATCTTCAGATATTATATTCTGATCAAGAAACTGTGTGAAATATGCCATTTTGTTTATGGATTCCAGATGATAAAAGACAAACACGTGACTTTTATATTACCACCCCTGGTTCCCATATCTACAGCAGGTCTTCCTTTGAAGCCCATAAACCATAAAAAATAAATAAATAAAAATGACCCAGGTACAGTAACTACCAACCAACAGGCCTTAACTCAAACTATAGTCTACTTGCCATTCCTACCCTACAGCCTATGGTTATGGCTCAATCAAAGTAAATTTCAGATTCTTTTGGTAATACCTGGGTAAGAAGTGAGCCTGCCAGCACAACATCTATGATTCCTCAAGGCTCCAGTTGCATAATATGTGTTCTCATAATCCTAGAGCCCCCATATTCTTCCCTATTTTAACAAAAATCTTGCTATTTTGCTTAGAAAAGGTTTTCTGTGTCTATAATACTTTTAGTTTCCTCTTCAAATGCATTTATCTGCTCAACTGTAGAGAGACTGGGGGTAGTAGCTCTTTTCTGTCTTTAGTTTGCTCTGGGAACGAATCAGTCAACAAATAGTTGTTGATCACTTACCATATCCCAGAAAACAGAGGGAAGAAGTAAATAAGACAGCAGACTTATTCTCCCTGACAGCTGCAATTCTAGTGGGAGGAAAGAGGTAATAAGTATTGAAAGACATAAATAAATAGGATAGTTCCAGGTAATGATAACTAGTATAGAGAACATAAAATATGGTAAATGGAGGAGAGTGATAGCGGAGGTAGTGATAAAAAGGGGTCATTTCAGCAGCAGTATGAAGAAAAAGCCCTTAGCTAAAGGCTGAAATGTTTGAGCCTGAATGACCAGAAAGTGACATCTATGAAACAGGGAAGAACGTTCTATGCAAAAGGAATAACAAGAGCTAAGTGCCTGATATGGAAATGAAACTGATATGTTCTTAGTACAGAAAGGACAGTATGTTTGGAACACTGTGAACAAGAAGAAGCTTAGAGAAAGATGAGGTTGAATAGATTACCAAAGCCCAACTGAGGCAGACAGAAAAATTAGAAGACTTTTGCAGTAAGCCAGGCTACAGATGATGGCAGTTTTACTAAATTTACAGCAGTAGGGATGGTGAGAAGTGGCTGTATAAGGAGTATATTTTAAAGTAATCAGAAGTATTGGTGAGGAAGAGGAGTCAAGAAGGACTTGTTGGGGAAGTGGAACAAGATGGCAGAATAGAAGGCTCTACTGATGTTCCCCTACTGCAAGGACACCAATTTAACTATCTACACAAGAAAAGCACCTGCATAAGAACCAAAAGTCAGGTGAGTACTCACAGTACCTGGTTTTAACTTCATATCACTGAAAGAGGCACTGAGGAGGTAGGAAAAACAGCCTTGAATCACCTGCAGTAGAGGCGTGGTATGGAGAGTGTTTCTATGCTCAGGGGAGAAAGAAAGTGCAGCATTTATGAGGCACTGAAGTCAGTGCTGCCCTTTTACAGCAGAAAGTGAAACCAGACCAAATTCAGCTGACATGTGCAATGGAGAGAACATTTAAACCAGCTATAGCCAGGTCAGAACTTAAGTACCTATGCACAAGTCTCACCACCAACGGATAAAGAGCTCTGGGCCCCTACATGAACTTGAAAGGCAGTCTGTGCCACAAGGACTGCAACTCCCAGGCATGTCCTAGTGTTGAACTGGGCCCAGAATCACTGGACTTGGCGGGTACATGATGTACTCAGACACAGGCCGGGGCGGCTAAGGGACTGCTGGCATCATCCCTCCCCTAACGCTAGGCTACACACCTCATGACTCTAAAGGAGACCTGTCCCTTCTGCTTGAGGAGAGGGCAGGACAAATGGGAAAGACGTTGTCTTGCATCTTGGAAACCAGCGTAGCCATAGCAAGACAGGGTACTGGTCAATCATAAGGCCACCCTCCCAGGCTCTAGCTCTTGGATGACATTTCTAGACACGGTGTAAGCCAGAAGGGAACCCGCTGCCTTAGGCAAGGACCCAGTCATGGCAGGACTCATCATACCTGTTAACTGGAGAGCCACTGGTCCCTGAATAACAAGCAGTGATACCCAGGTACTATGTAGAGGGCCCTGGATAAAACTGTGAGACTTGCTGGCTTCAGCTGAGACTCAGCAAATTCCCAGCTGTACTGGCTATGGGGCCAGACTCCTGCTGCTTGAGAAAAATAGACATAAAAGTAAAATGGACTTTGTCTTGCACCTTAGGTACAAGCTTAGCCACAGGAGGGCAGAGTAGCAAGTAGGCTCTTAAGGTCCCACATTTTAGGATTTGGCTCTTGGACAGCATTCCTGGATCTGCTCTGGGCCAAAGGGGAGTCCACTGCCCTCAAGGGTGAGTCCTAAGCCAGGCAGCATTTACCACAAGCTGACAAAAGAGCCCTCGTACCTTAAGGGAATATCAGCAGTAGTCTGGCAGTATTCCCCATGGGCCCATGGTTGTGGTGGCCATGGAGTGAGGCTCCTCTGCCTTTGGAAAGGGGAGAAAATAGTAGGAACGACTGTGTCTTGTGGTTTGAGTGCCAGCTCAGCTACGGTACACTAAAACACCAGACAAACTTCAAAGATTTTTGACTATAGTCCCTGGCTCCTAGATAGCACCTCTGGATCAACCCAGAGGGAATTCATTTTCCTGCAGAGAAGGACACAAGCCTGGGTGGCTTTGCTACCTGCTGACTGTTGAGCCTCAGGGCCTGAAGTGAACATAGGCAGTAGACAGGGAGTAGTTATAGGAGGCCTTGGGCAACATCCAGTGCTGTGCTGGCTTCAGGTCTGACCCAGCATAGTCACAGTGGTGGTGGCAACAGTGATGCTTATATCACACCAACCTCAGCTCCAGGTAGCTCAGAACAGAGAGAGATACCCCATTGTTTAGAAGAAAGTAAGGGAAGGGAGTGAAAGTCTCTGCCTAATAATCCAGAGAATTCTTCTGAATCTTGTCCATGACCATCAAGGCAGTACCTCTTCAAGCCTGCAAAAACCAGTTTTACTGGGCATGGGGTGTCCCATTAAGCAGATATAGCTTAGATCACAACTTCCAAGTCTGTTCAAATCTCTGGAAAGCCTTCCCAAGAAAGATGGGTACAAACAAGCCCAGACTATGAAAACTATAATAAATACATAACTCTTCCATGACCAAACACAGAAGAACATCTACAAGTATCAAGATGATCCAGGAAAACATGACCTCACCAAATGAAGTAAAGCACCAGGGAACAATCCTGAAGAATTAGAAATATGTGACCTTTCAGACAGAGAATTCAAAATAGCTATGTTGAGGAAACTCAAAGAAATTCAAGATAACACACAGAAGGAATTCTGAATTTTATGAAATAAATTTTACAGAGATTGAAATAATTAAAAAGAAGCAGAAATTCTGGAGCTGAAAAATGCAATTGGCATACTGAAGAATGCATCGGAATCTGTTAATAGCAGAATGGATCAAGCAGAAGAAAGAATTAGTGAGCTTGAAGACAGGCTATTTGATAATACACAGAAGAGACAAAAAAAAGAATTAAAAAACATGAAGCATGCCTACAGGATGTAGATAATAGCCCCAAAGGGCAAATCTAAGAGTTACTGGCCTTAAAGAGAAGGTCTAGAGAGACAGATAAGGATAGAAAGTTTATTCAGAGGGATAATAACTGATAACTTCCCAAATCTCGAGGAAGATATCAATTTTCAAGTACGAGAAAGTTATAGAACACCAAACAGATTTAACCCAAAGAAGACTACCTCAAGGCATTTAATCATCAGACTCCCAAAGGACAAAGATTTTAAAAAGGATGCTAAAAGCCACAAAGGAAAAGAAGCAAAAAACATACAATGGAGCTCCAATAGAACTAGCAGCAGACTTTTCAGTCAAAATCTTACAAGCCAGGCAAGAGTGGCATGAAGATTTCAAGTGCTGAAAGAAAAAAATATTTTATCCTAGAATAGTATATCCAGTAAAAATATCCTTCATACATGAAAAGACTTTCTCAGATAAACAAAAGCCAAAGGATTCCATGAACACCAGACCCATCCGACAAGAAATGCCCAAGGGAGTACTTCAATCGGAAAGAAAAAGAATAAAACTAGTGGAATTTTGGAAACTATACAAATACATGCAAAGTACAAAATATACTCCTAAATGGCCAGTGGGACAATGAAGAAATTAAGGAAACTGAAAAATTCTTGAAACAAATTATAATGGAAACACAACATAACAAAACCTGTAGGATAAAACAAAAGCGTACTAAGAGGGAATTTTACAGCTGTAAATGCCTACATCAAAGAAGAGGAGAAACTTCAAATAAATAACCCAATGATGAATCTTAGAGAACTAGAAAAGCATGGACAAAGCAAACCCAAAATTAGTGGAAGAAAATAAATAATAAAGATTAGACTAGGAATAAATGAAATTGAAATAAAGAAAACAATATAAAAGAACAATGAAATAAAAAGTTGGTTTTTTGAAAAGTTACATAAATAGACAAATCTTCAGCCAGATTAACCAAAAAAAGAGAGAAGATTCAAGTAAATAAAATCAGAGATGAAAAAGGAGACACTATAACTGATACAACAGAAATCCAAAGCATCATTAGTGACTACTATGAATGACTATATGCCAATAAATTGAAAAATCTAGAAGAAATGGATAAATTCTTAGATGCATATAACCTACCAAGATTGAACCAGGAATAAATCCAAAACCCAAAAAGACAAATGACAAGTAATGAGATTGAAGCCATAATAAAGAAGTCTCCCAATAAACAAAAAGCCTAAGACCCTATCAATGGCTTCACTGCTGAATTCCGCCAAACATAATTTAAGGAAGAACTAATGCAAATTCTACTCAAACTATTCTAAGAAAGAGGATAAGGGAATATTTTCAAACTCACTGTGTGAGGCTAGTATTACCCTGATACCAAAACAAGAGAAAGACACATCAAAACCGACTACAGGCCAGTATGTCCAATAAATATTAATGCAAAAACCCTCAATAAAACACTAGCAAACTGAATTCAACAATACATTAAAAAGATCATTCATCATGACCAAGTGGGATTTATCCCTGGGATTTAGGAATGATTCAACATATGAAAATCAATTGGCCAGGCACGGTGGCTCATGCCTGTAATCCCAGCACTTTGGGAGTCCGAGGCAGGCGGATCACCTGAGGTTGGGAGTTCGAGACCAGCCTGACCAACATGGAGAAAACCCATCTCTACCAAAAATACAAAATTATCTGGGAGTGGTGGCACATGCCTGTAATCCCAGACACTTGGGAGGCTAAGGCAGGAGAATCGCTTGAACCTGGGAGGTGGAGGTTGCGGTGAGCCAAGGTCGTGCCATTACACTCCAGCCTGGGCAACAAGAGCGAAACTCCGTCTCAAAGAAAAGCCATATGATGATTTCAATCGATGCTGAAAAGCATTTGATACAATTCAATATACCTTTATAATAAAAACTCTTTAAAAAACTGGGTACTGAAGGAAAACATCTCAACATAATAAAAACCATATATGATAGACCCACAGCTAATATCATACTGAATGGGGAAAAACTGAAAGCCTTTTCTCTAAGATCTGGAACACAACAAGGATGACTACTTTCACCACAGTTATTAAACACAGTACTGGAAGTCCTAGATAGAGTAGTGAGACAAAAGAAAGAAACAAAGAGCATCCAAATTAGAAAGAAGTCAAATTATCCTTGTTTGCAGATGATATGATCTTATATTTAGAAAATCCTAAAGATTCCACCCAACAAAACTATTAGTACTGATAAACACATTCTACAAAATCAACATACAAAAATCAGTAGCATTTCTATATGTCAATAGAAAACTATCTGAAAAAGAAATCAAGAAAGTAATCCAATTTATAACAGCTATAAATAAAATTAAATACCTAGCAATTAATTTAACCAAAGTAGTGAAAGATCTCTATAAAGAAAATTATAAAACACTGATGAAAGAAATTGTAGAGGACACACAAAAAATGGAAAGATATTCCATGTTCATGGAATGGAAGAATATTGTTAAAATGCCTACAGTACCCAAAGCGATCTACAGATTCGATGCAATCCTTGCCGAAATATCAAAGACATTCTTCACAGAAATAGAAAAAAACAATCCTAAGATTTATATGGAACCACAAATGTCCTAGAATAGCCAAGGCTATCCTGAGCAAAAAGAACAAAACTAAAGCAATCACTCTTACCTCACTTCAAATTACACTACAGAGATAATAGTAACCAAAACAGCCTAAACAGACACACAAGCCAATGGAAGAGAATAGAGAATCCAGAAAAAAATCTATACATCAACAGTGAATTCATTTTACACAAAGTTTCCAAGAAATATACTGGGGAAAGGAGAGTCTTCAATAAATGGCGCTAGAAAACTGTATATCCATTTGCGGAATAATGAAGACCCCTATCTCTTGCCATATACAAAAATCAAATCAAAATGAATTAAAGACTTAAACCTAAGACCTCAAACTATGAAGCTAATAAAAGAAAACATTTGAGTGACTCTCCAAGACACTGAACTGGACAAAGATTTCTTAAGTAATACCTCACAAGCAAAGGCAACCAAAGCAAAAATGGACAAATGAGATCATATCAAGTTAAAAAGCTTCTGCACAGCAAAGTATACAATCAATAAAGTGAAGAGACACCTAAAGAATGGAAGAAAATACTTTATGAACTACCCACCTGACAAGGGATTAACAACCAGAATATATAAGGAGCTCAAATAACTCATGGGGGAAAAAAATCTAATAATCCGATATAAAAAGTCAGCAAAAGATCTGACTAGTCATTTCACAAAAGAAGACATACAAATAGCAAACAGGTATATAAAAAGATGCTCAACATCAGTGATCATCAGAGAAGTGCAAATCAAAACTACAATGAGATGTCATCTCACTCCAGTTGAAATGGTTTATATCCAAAGACAGGTAATAACAAATGCTGGTAGAATGTAGAGAAAAGGGAACTCTTATACACTGTTGGTGGGAATGTAAAGTAGCACAACCCTATAGAGAACAGTTTGGAGGTTCCTCAAAAAACTAAAAATAGAGCTACCATATAATCCAGCAATCTCACTGCTGGGTATATACCCAAAAGAAAGGAAATCAGTATATTGAAGAGATATCTGCACTCCCATGTTTGTTGTAGCACTGTTCAGAATAGCCAAGATTTGGAAGCAACCAAGTGTCCATCAACAAATAAATGGATAAAGAAAATGTGGTACTTATACACAATGGAGTACTATTTAGCCATAAAAAAGAATGGATGAGATTGTGTCATTTGCAATACCATGAATGGAACTGGAGGTCATTATGTTAACTGAAATAAGCCAGGAACATCACATGTTCTCACTTATTGTGGAACCTAAAAATCAAAACAATTGAACTCATGTAGATATAGAGTAGAAGGATGGTTACCAGAGACTGAGAAGGGTAGTTGGCGGGGGGAGGGAGGGTAGGAGATGGGGCTGGGGGTTGGGGCCATGAGGGGATGTTTAATAGATGCAAAAGAAAAAAAATAGAAAGAGTTAATAAGACCTAGAATTTGACAGTAAAATAGGGTGACTATAGTCAATAACTTAATTGTATATTTTAAAATAACTTAAAGAGTACAATTAGATTGATTTTCACTCAAAGAATAAATGCTTGAGGGGACGCATACCCCATTCTCCACGATGTACTTATTTCACATTGCACACTTGTATTAAAACATCTCATGTGCTTCATAAATATATACACCTACTATGTATCTACAAAAATTAAACAAACAAACAAAAGAATGACTTGTTGCTTTCTTGGCCTAAGCAACTGGGTGCCAATTACTGAGATAGGAAATGGAGGATGGAGGTGAAAAGGAAAATATCTTTCGGTTTTCAGCCTACTGAGTAGCAATTTCAAGTAGCTAATTAGACTAAACTTCAGTGGAGCTTAGGGGAAAGGTTAGGGCTGGGGATATAAATTACAAAGGTATCAGTCAAGAGATGACCTCAGAAGCCATGGGATCATATTTTGCAAAAGTGTAGACAGTGAAAAAGGCCAAGGACCAAGGCTGGAGGCACTCCAAAATTAGAAGTCTGTTAGAGGAGGAGGAGACCAAGAGGCAGAGTGAATGAGGGAAACCAGTGACTCTGAAGTTACAGAAGACCAGAGAAAACATTGTAGCTAGAAGGAAAATGTAGTTATTTCAGTAAAGTAGTGAGGATGAAAACTCAATTGGAGTGATTGCAGGAGTGGAAAGAAAGTGAAGAACTGGAGGGAGTGGACGTGGACAACTTTATTAAGGAGTTTTTTTTATAAAGTGGAAGAAAATGTAAAGCCAAGCTGCAAAGGAATATGGGATCCTGAGAGCATTTTTGAAGTTGTGATATTAAAAATGTTAGTTTATTGATGAGGATGCTCCCATAGACGGGGAGAGACTGATAACCCAGGCAGGGAAAAATTCTAGAAGCAAAGTTCACTAGAAAGGAAAAAGACTATAGGATTCAGTGCTTAAGTGAAGAAATTTTCTTTAAAAAAGAGATACTTCATTACAACTAAAGGGAAGACATAATAAACTCATACAGATACAGGTAGGATGGTGGAGCTAATGGCAAAAATGTGAGACAGTTAATGTTTCATTGTATCTCTTTTATCTGTGAACTAGGTAGGTAGCTGAGAAATAAAAATAAGGTAAGGGAGTTACAGATTTAAAGAAAGTCAAGTTTAAGAGAACGGGAATGGCAATTTACTGGCAGTACTAAATGTTCTTTGAAATCTGTGATGCCTTCCCTATTAGCTAAAATTGCAATTCCTCCCCACTCCTCCCACCAACATTTCCTATTCCCTTTCCCTTCTTTATATTTTCCTTAGCACTTGTTGATAACTTCACATACATTTTATATTTCATTCATTGTCTGCCTCCCACTTGAGTATATCCCCTATGAGGGCAAAGACATTTTTGTTGTTGTTCACTAATATACCTTCACATTGAGAGCATGCCTTGCACATCGTTGGTGCCAAATAAATATCAGTTGAGCAAATGAATTTGTAGAAGCAAATTTGAAGTTAGGCCAGCCAGTACAATTACAGGGTTTTCTCTAATAATGTTCAGTTGAACATATACATTATGGAGTTAGGTGGGTTTAGCAAAATGTGACAGTTTTGCCCAGTAATATAGCAGAGGAAGAAAAAGGAAGGAAGTTAAGGGTACTTACAAAGTGTCTCACCATGATGGAGTGAAAAACAATTATAGTCATTGGGCAGTGACTAGAGGTGGGAGGTCCCCATGGGCTGAAGAATAGTGCACTTATTTTTTTAAGGGATCAAGTGGTACAGGAAATGATGACCAGAGTGTGAAATGTTAGAGATCTAGATTATAATCATGTGAGTAGATGGCTAAGGTAGAATGGAAGAAAAATTCAGAGAGTTATGGAAGCCAAGGAACCAAGAGACTACTGTGTTGAATAGATTGGCTAGCAACATAATGCTAATGTTGATTCCTGGAGCACTTGATACTACCTAGTATATGTGACAAATGGGGCTTTGTGAGTTATTATGAAAAAAGTCTTATTCATTCCGGATGGCATGAAAATCTCAGAGCCCTGCAGTAACGACTAATTTATATGAGAAAATTGATGACCTAGCCAAATATAAAATTAGCCTGTAACAATTTCTGGATAGAAATGTTTAGGAATTTGGAGTTAGTAAAAAGGAATGTTCAACCTAAAGTTAGCAGCTTTCTTACTTACAAAATTTACTGCTGAGAGGGTTATTTGTAAACTTTGAAGCAAAACTCTAGTCAAAATAGCATGTTTCTTGTTTAGCAAAAGGAGGCAGGACCAAAAAAGGATAATTCTCATTCATTCCTTTGCTTGAGAATATAAGATTTGGTAGGGTGGAAGAATAATATGAAAAGGGAGTAATTTTGCCATCTCTTCAAATTTGCTTCAAATATTCCTCTAGTTAATAGAAATACCAGAGATCTGCTCTACTGAGAAACAAATGGGAGGTTAGAAAGTCACAGAACCTTAGAAAAACAAGATATATTTCAAAGGTGATTGAAGGAAAGCTTTGTTTAAAAGGATGAAGAAAAATCCAGATCTGATAGTGTTGATTTAAGAATTATCCTTTCACCAAAATATCTGCAGAAATCCCTGAAATTCTTCTCTTACACCCCCAGCCACAAATAATGCAAGGAAAATAGGGGAAAAAAAGGGCTCAAATTGACAAGGTGGTTGACCTGATATATTTTATTAGTGATGCAGAAATAGCAAAGTTTTGAATGTTACTGACAAGTCAAAGGTCACTGATAACAAGAGAGAAGATGCTTTTTCTGGCAGGTAAAAAACAGAATTGAAGATGATTTTCTGGACAAAGAGAACCAACTAAGAGAAGGTTGATTTGGCTTTTGAATCAATAATTAATTTTGCTGAATCAGCCATGCACACTGCCTCTGGACTGTTACATAGGCTACTCTGTGCTACTTTTCTGAGAAAGAAGCAAATGATGTAGGAAAAACATCATTTTTTTTTTTAAAAAAAGGAGAGTAACTTCTAAAACATCTACATGAACAGACATTTTTCAAAAGAAGAGATACATGTGGCCAAAGGCATATGAAAAAATGCTCACCATCACTAAATATTAGAGAAATGCAAATCAAAACCATAATGTGGTACCATCTCAAACCAGGGCATTTTTTAAAAGTCCAAAAATAGCAGATGCTAGTAAGGTTGGAGAGAAAAGGAAATGCTTATACACTGCTGGTGGTAATGTAAATTAGTTTAGCCATTGTGGAAAGGAGTTTGGTGATTTCTTAAAGAACTTAAAACAGAATTATCATTCAACACAGCAATCTCATTATTGGGTATATACCCAAAGGAAAATACATCATTCTACCATAAAGATACATGTACACTATGTTCATCACAGCACTATTCACAATAGCAAAGACATAGAATCAACCTAAATGCCCATCAATAGTACACTGAATAAAGACAATGCAGTACATATAGACCAAGGAATACTATGCAGCCATAAAAAAGAATAAGATCGTGTCTTTTGCAGCAACATGGATGGAGCTGGAGGTCATTATCCTAAGCAAACTAACTCAGGGATAGAAAACCAAATACAACATGTTCTTACTTTCAAGTGGGAGCTAAACACTGAATACACATGGACATAGGGGAAAAACAGACACTGCAGCCTACTTGAGGGTGGAGGGTAGGAGGAAGGTGTGGATAGAAAAACTACCTATCAGGTATTGTGCTTATTACCTGGGGGATGAAATAATCTATACGCCAAACCTCCATGACATGCAATTTACCTATATAACAAACCTGCATGTGTATTTCTGAACTTAAAAGTAAAAAAAAAAATCTCCTTAGTGTAGTAGCAAATTAGTACAAGATCACACAATAGCATTATCTGTGTAATAGGGTGACAGAACTAAATTATATAACACGATATACATACTGAGAAGCATTAACTCTTTAGTGATGTAAAGACACGACTTATCCATTCATGAATACTTACTGACCCTTCCTTTAAAACACAAGGCAACAAGAAAATACAATATTTAAGAAGCATAAACCTTCCCATCACAGAAACTAAAACCTAATTTAGCAATTAATATATTTACATATTATAATATAGTATCGGGTTGAGTCACTGGAGTAAACATAAGGGTATTTCAATTTTTAGCTAAGTACATAATGAAATAAAAGTAGCAATAATCATCTTCATTATCTTATATTAATTATCCTAATTTGTTGAATGTGTACTATGTGTAACATGTAAAATTCTTAGCTAAGTACTTTATAAGTATCTCTGTCAAATCTCGGAAGATGCTTATGAAGATAGGTACCACTGTTATCCTCATTTTTAGATGCAAAAGCTCAAGTTTGAAAACATTAAAAAAAATTACCTAAGGTTTCCTCATGTGAGCTTGTGAGGGAGTCAGTCTAAATCCTGAGTCCATGCTTAATTCTTGACTAGTACCTCATATTGTCTCACTTATCTAGTCAAATAATAAAGCATTATAAGATTTCTAGGAAAGGATGGTCCCTTTTCTGGTAGGAGATAGCTTCACAGAATGGTGAGTTTAATACAGTTTAAATGAAGAAAGTAAAAGAGAGAAATAACAAAGAAAGGGTGAAGACAGAGCAGTCTGAAAAAAAGATTATCAAAATATTATTTGTGTTCAAGATTAACTTAGAGGTATTGAGTTTTGTGGGAGAGTGGCATGTTGGAAGATAAGTTACTTAACCTTAGTGATGCTTTTTTTTTCTAATAATAAAATGGGATAAATAAAAATACCTATCACAAAAGTTTATTGTAAAGATTAACTAAAATAAATTGTAAAACACCATTAAAAATAACTTTCATTTTGTGGAATATAAAAGAAGCAAAGTAAATAGGGACTTTCTCTAATATTAGTTATCTACCCATAAAATGCCAAAATAAAGATAAATGTACATTCTCTAAAAAAATTATAGTTTAGAATAAGTGGTTTAAAATGTGCATGGATGTTATATTTTTACTTACAAGGCTAATACAATGGAATAAAATTAAAGGGAGGTGGATCTTTCACTTCAGGCAAAATGGAGAAACAGAGGGCAGAGTTATCCACTGGCCTGAATCAACTAAAAACCCAGACAAAATCTATGAACAAGGGATTTCAGATACTGGATGACAAGCAAGGCAGAATGGTGATCGTAGACAGATGGGAAACCAATTAGGTCAGCCAAAAATTACCCCAACTTTCCTTGCTAGGAAGTATACAGGCAGAAATGCAAGTAGGGGAAATTCTGATGGAGCTTCCTTGTCTCCCTGAGGTCAGTATTAAGTGGAAATATGAGGAGGTCTCATTGTTCATGGGGCAGGAATACTGCATAAGAGGCAACTATGCAAAGAGAAGAAAGACAGGGACCATATCATTAATGGCTTTCAACCGATTACAAAGGATTTTGAATTTCATCCTGAAAAGTATGAGAAGTGACTGAAGGTTTTTAAACCAGTGGATGATAAGATTTATAGAATAAACCAAATAGTGTTTATTCCCCCAAATACTCTTATTGCTATCTTCAACTAAATACAAATTACCAAGAATTTGAAAGCCCAAAGACATATTTTGACAACTTAAAAACTTTAAAATCAATATTATAGCTGCCCTATTTTGATTATTTTAACCAGCAATTGTTGGTTAAAATAAGCTACTCAACAACTTTCCTTTGATTATTTGTATGGTTGATCCTAAACCCTTGGTTGACTTGTTAGTAAATGATTTGAAAATAAAACATAATGCAAAAAATCTCGTAACGCCTTGTTAACTCATTTTGCCTGTAAGCCATCTACTGTACCACTAAAAGTTGATTATGGGACAAAGACATCAGCAACCCAATAACGAGAGAATGAGTTTTTAGTTCCGTATTTGTAAATGGTACTTTCATTCCCCACAAGAAGCTCAGTTTAAATTACCGATCAATCTTAAGTGTTCTTAGGTTTTGAACTTACATAAAGCTTCATTTTTGGGTCAAATTACAAAAGATGCAAATTGACTGACATTTATGACATTAAAGTATGAATTCATTTCATAAACCAGTGAAAGGCATAAATGCCTCCATTTTTCAGAAAGATTCCTTTTCATGAACAAAATCTGTGTCCTAAGGAATTATGAAAATCAGTCACAAAACAAAATTAAAACTGTTATTATAAATTGTCTAACTGTGGCAATATCTACAATTTCAAATATGTAGAACTTTTCAATTCATTTATTCAATTTTCAATAATTTTGCCCCCTGAAAAATTATAGAAATCAACAAATTTATGTCTCATTAATAATTTTTATATTCAGATATACCACGATGGACATATTTATACATGCAAATTTGTTTACATTCTTTATTTATACTAAGTATTTGAAATCAGTGTGCATTCACAGCACATCTCAATTCAAACACCAACATTTCATCAGAAATACTTGATACGGTATTTAGAAATATTATAATATTCTAGTTAGTATATAGCATATAGAAATACAGTATTCTAGTACACATCATACTAATACAGTATTTAGAAATACTAAGTATAGCATTTATAGTTCATAAAATACACAGTGAAAGAGGCAATTTATATGCTAAAGTTGTTCAAAAATGCTTAAAAGTTTTCCAATAACTAAATCAAGTATTGTTTTTATATTTAAATTAAAATTTAGAATTTAGTTCCTCAGTCATATGAGCCACATGTCAAGTGATTAACTAGCTGCCACATGTGGCTAGTGGCTACTATATTGGACAGTGCAGTTCTCAAATATGGTAACCCTTGCTCACAGACATTACCCATGTGTATCACTAATATACCTTAGTAGGAGATGTGAGCATGAAGTACTGTTTGGTATCCCATACCAATCCCATAAAAGCCCCAGGACAGTTTTCCCTTGTTGTCATGGTAATAGCAATATAGTAGCTAGAACTGCAATTCTATTGATCATTTACTTTGGCCCATAATAGGTAACACTTACATAGCACTTATTACCTGCTAGGCACTTTTCTAATTATTTAACATTTATTAGCTCAGTTAATTCTCCTGACAATGTTATGATGTACAAAAGTTGCTCGCTTACTGCACTCCTAATGTCTCAGTAATATTTTCACATGACCCCCAAGCCAAAATAAATATCTAAGAGTTCCATTTATTATGTAGTTAGGGCCTAATAAGTACATATGTCTTAACAATTTTGAGCAGTCACTTGAAATACATACTAAATAAAAGGATAAATAATTTTTTATTGACACATAATACACATATTTTCAAACACATATGATATTTTAATACATTCATATAATGCATAAGATGAAATTAGGGTAATTATCAATTTCCTTAAATATATTTTCTTTATGCTAGGAACATTCAAATTATTTTCTTCTAGCTATTTTGAAATGTACAATATATTACTATTAACTATAGTCACAATATTGCTCCAAACATTGCTTTATTTCTTCTATATAGTTGTATATTTGTATCCATTAATCAACCTCTTTTCATCGCCGCCTCGCCAGAAATAATATTTTTATTTTATTCTCAAATAATCATACTTACTTACTGATTTGGTTTGGCTCTATGTCCCCACCCAAATCTCATGTCAAATTGTAATTCCCATGTGTAAGGGGAGTGGTCTAGTGGGAGGTGATTGGATCAGGGGTATGGATTTCCCCCTTACTGTTCTCATGATAGTGAGTTCTCATGAGATTTTGTTGTCTGAAACTGTGTAGCACTTCCCTCTTCACTCTCTCCTCTTCCTGCCAGCCACGTGAAGACACGCTTGCTTCCCCTTCACCTTTCGCCATGACTGTAAGTTTCCTGAGGCATCCCCAGCCATGCTACCTATACAGCCTATGGAACTGATAGTCAATGAAACCTCTTTTCTTCATAAATTACCAAGTCTCAGGTATTTGTTATATTAATAGCAATGTGAGAATGGACCAATATACTTACCAAAGGTATATATATGCCTGTTAGACACTGCACAACTTTTCCAATTTTGAAAATCAGGTTGAATACTATCATCTTATTTACTGTTCTACGTTGATTTTCATGTGATACTTTTTTTTTCATGATCACTAAAAAAATCAAGCTTTGTAAAGATATGACACCACTGAAGGAAATAATACATGATCTAATGCTGAAACCACTAACCACCTTGAAATAGTAGTTTGGCTGTGTACAGCAGGTTTTGGGTATCACTGTTTCTCTTGAAAATTTCAAATATCCTTTTATGGCCACAGGAATTTGCTTAGTCTTCCTGGTGCACAGTTTTTAAGTGACGAGGCAGATAATTATTCTCATCATTTTACAAATGAGGACACAAGCATGGAGATTAAGTAATTATCCCAGAGTCACACAGTGAGTAAGGGTAGAGCTGGATTTTGAATACAAGTTGTACAGCTCCATTGTCTGTAATTTTTAACATTTTGCATTTTTGATTCCCAACGGATACAGCCCAAAGTATGAGAAGCAAATCAATTAAGAATTAAGACATTGCCTGTCTAGCTGAACATCAGTTCAGGTCCTAGACCTGCCTATCTTCAGATCTATCCTTTTCCTGCTCTGCTTTGTATTTCCGGGGATTAAACCTTGCAGGCTGCACAAAGATTTTTATCAAGGTCAGCCAATAGAAGATATTACCAAAATATCAGAAGAAAGGAAAAAGAGAAAAGACAGGATATCTCTACTAATTCCTCTCAGTTTCTTTTCCATAGCTTCGGCCCCAGCCAGGTGACCCAGGTCCTTGAGCTCTAGTACCCCCAGCCCAGAAATGTAGTGGCTTCTGACTGTGCCTCCCTGTTTGGCTTCTCAACTATTCAATCACTGCATATAATCCTCTCATTAAAAGTGTATACCTTTGTCCCAGAATATTCCTGACACTTGCTAATACTTTTCCTAACAAGTATAAGGTTTGGATAATAGATACAGTAGTTCTCAAACCTGGACATATGTCAGAATAACCTGTAGGAGTTTTTAAAATGCAGATTCCTGAGCCATACCAAAAACAAACTGAACTGGAAAATCAGGAGTTACAGCCTAGGAATTTATATTGACCTGAGAGACTGGGGGCAACAAACACAAATTAAAAAAGAAAACAAGCAAACAAACAAAAAAACCCAATCTTATGTAGCTGAAATTGGAACTACTTAAATACCACAGAATATACAAAATGAATGTTAAATTAACTCTTATCTACATAATATCATGTTAAAATTCAAGCAGAATTTTTAAAAGTCAGGACAAAAAATTACAATAAATGTTTCTTTTGAGATTAAAGAATAACAATTAAATGGATACTCTTGCATACACTTACCAGGCAAAGAAAAAGAAAATGACCTTACCTTCTGCAATCTGATTTCCTTGCCTAACATCAAGATGAAACCAAGATCTAGAATTCTGCACAAATAATTCCCTTGCTTTTTAGTTGTATGTTCTTGGTTTTTTGTTTTTGTTTTTAAACAATCTATGAATAAATCTTCAAATAATATTATTAGGTTGCCTATTTTTGAACTTTAAAAAACATCTGTTTTGAGCTAGCTGTCCCAGCAATTCTAGCCAATTGACCCAATCAGCTAAGGCATCAGTCATTATAGAGCAAAAATGAAATATCCCTCATTGTGTCCTGCCCAAATTTCTGACCCACAAAATCACTAATATAACAAAATGGTTGTTTTATGCCAGTGTTTTGTAGTAGTTATGTGGCCAAAGATAACTAAAACAAAGATTTATTGAAAAGTTCTTATTTTTTTCTTTCAATATGACATTCTCCGGGGGAAGACTCATGAGGAAACAATGTTCCCTCAAACATATGTACTGAATTATTTTAGGATTTGCATAGTTAAGATGAGTTTTCAACGATCAGTAAAATTGATGATTTGTCATATACTTTATACAGTGCTATCATAATGTACTTGGAGATCCTGGAATGCTACTCTTAATTTGAAATAAACTTTAACACTAACATCTTGCTTAGGTATTTGAATGCCGCAACATTGGCAAAGAAAGAAAAATAAAACAGAACAGTTTTCCTCTCAAAAAAGTAGCTGAAATGCCTATAGTTATGATACATACTATTTTTATTAAATCAGGTAGGAAGATAAAAGGGCCTTCAGCCACAAGAAATCCAGGGAAGTAAAAACATAGTTTTTTGTTTGTTTGTTTTAGTATTCTATCCATTTGACTACTTTAATTTCACCAAATATTACACTGCATGAACTTCTATTGCTAAGGAAAAAGGTACGGCCAAAAGAAGTCACAAGACTAATTCTAATTTTACCAATATTTCCACAGCTGACTTCATACTCTGCTTGGAATAGTGCTGCTGGGAGACTGTTAAACTTACATCAATGACGGCAACAAGTTTCCATATTATTTTAAGCTCCTCTTTGGCATTTATCTTTAAAATCATCTAAAAGTCCCTCTAGAATGCCAGTTTTTAAACATACTATTTTTACTTCCACACTGTTTTTTTTTTTTTACACTCCAATCATCAGGCAGAATTATATTTTTCCCTCAATAAGGTCTCTCATTATTAAGGAGATTATAAAAATACATAGGGTCAGTTCTGGCTAGAAAGTTTAATCTCTATTAGCACCTTTCAAAAGAACACTCGCTCAATGACGGACACTTATATCATCAAAATTATTAAAGCGATATAATGTCTAGAAGACAATGTAAAAAATTTGGTCTCTGCCACTAACCAACTCTTGAAGAAGGCTGGCTAGATCTGAGAGATTTAGTTATCTGACCACTTAGCACACCCTTTCCTCTTAGTACAACCAGAAAAACATTCCACCAGGGTTCATGGAGAATGCTTTGAAAATCACTAGTCAGATCGGCTTTAAGGTCATCTTTCCTAATGCTTCAAACTGTTGTTATCATTTAAAATTAAAATAGATATAGAAACCCAAGTAAGGAAAAACAAGAGTTGTGTCCATAAAACAAAGGAAAGACACTGATGAAAGTGAAAAGCAATAATATAATAAACTCAGAATAAAGGAAACTACCATATGACTTTATAATTGGATACAATCATTTTCTTACTTTTAGAAAAATGAGCATTTTTATATTCTAGGAATGATGTTCTCTAAATTATCATTGACTGAATTTTACTATTTAGAATTTGCCCTTTAGTTCATGCTCAATAATTTTTGCATACTAACCATGCATTTGGGCTTTTTAAATTTAATTCAAGAAACAAACTTTGAGCACTGAGAATACAGTGGAAAATAAGACATCATTTCTGTCTTTGAGCTCATATTCCAGAGTAGAGATGGAGCATGAGAGGAAACCAATAAACCTAAATATAGTAACAGAAGAATTTTAACATGAATGAATACTTAATAATGATTGACAAATAAGTATATGCTAATAAGATGCAAACATATGTATACTTCTTCTATACAAATACCAAATACCTGATTCTGACATTCTCAAAATTTTAGTCAATATTCTAATCTTAAACAGAGACTTTTATTTATATTTTAATGGATCCCTGTTTCTAGCTTCCCTGCTTTTGCCCTAGGCTCCTTGAGAGTGTACTCAACATAGCAGTCAGAATAATGCTTTTAAAACATGTCAGACAATGTCACTCACTGAAAACTCTGCAATGATTTCCCATTTCACTTAGAATAAAAGCCAATGTTCATTCAATGGTCTAAAAAGCTCTTGCATGATCTGTCATCTGAGCACACCCATTAGCCTTCTGACATCATCTCTTTTTCTTACTACTCTTCTTGCTCCTTATGTGCTCCCCATATGGGCATCTTTGCTTTTCCTTGAAACCAGGCACATGTGGTATAACTTTCAGGCCTTTACCTTGCTCTGGCTTTTCCTTTGCCTGAATGCTATCTTCTCAGATTCATTCCATTCTAACTCCGTACCTCTTCCAAGTCTTTCTCAATATGTCTTATTCTTGAGACCCTATTTATCCTTTGGAAAACTGTAAAAAGCTTTATCTACAATCCCCATGTTCCCAATCCCCTTTGCTTTTCTCTGGTTTTCTTTTTTTTTTTTTTCTTTTTTTGAGACGGGGTCTCCCTCTGTCGCCCAGGCTGGAGTGCAGTGGCACAATCTCTGCTCACTGCAAGCTCCGCCTCCCGGGTTCACGCCATTCTCCTGCCTCAGCCTCCCGAGTAGCTGGGGCTACAGGCGCCCGCCACCATGCCCAGCTAATTTTTTTGTATTTTTAGTAGAGATGGGGCTTCACCTTATTAGCCAGGATGGTCTTGATCTCCTGACCTTGCGATCCGCCTGCCTCAGCCTCCCAAAGTGCTGAGATTACAGTCATGAGCCACTGCACCTGGCCCTCTGGTTGTTTTTCATCATAAGTATCACTTTGTTAACATACTAGAAAACTTACCTATTCTGCTTATTATAGGATCTGCCTTGCTAGAAGTTAACTCCCATGGTGGCAGTGTTCTTTGATTTATTCACTGATTTATCCCAAGCACTGAGAAAAGTACCTGGCACATTGTAGGTGTTCAATAAATATATGCTAAATAAATGAGCAAATGACCTTTTTCCTAGAATAAAACAGTACTTCAAGAAAATACTGAGTATATCATTATTTTCAGAAACATATAAGCTCTTTAAAAGTACAGCTTTTATTTTCTGACAATCAAATCTTCTTAAATAAGTCACTTGGCTTTTTAAAAAAAGTTTGAAACACATCAGACAACTAAAAGATTAAAAGGGTTATCCATTATTCAATTTTTTAATCTTTATTAAAAAAACTTGGCTATCCCCTATGCTTTTCCTCTATCATCTATGTTTCCCTTCTTTTTAAATTTTCTTAACATCTGATAAGAAATTGGTTAAGACCGATTCAAGTTAAATTTTGGGAAACCTAGGACAAATTAAAAGATTGCCAATACATCAATGCAGATCAATCATTTAAAAGATTAGGCATATTTTAAAGGAACAAGCACTAAGCTCTTACGCATATATTTAAGATTTTAATCCTAGTAGAACAAGCTATTTGCTATATGACTGGATCTCTGTTACTACACCTCAAAAACTGGTATAGAAATCTTAATCGTACATTTAATCCTAATATTCTACACAGTCAATGTGATGATCAAATGAAATAAATGAATGCGAATACACATTAGAGTTTAAGTTTTGATGAAATTTTGTTAGCTATTGTTATTTTTACAACTATAGTTTCATAGTCTAATCCATTTAAAAGATACCTATGTTAAAATCCTTGATTATTCAGAAATCTTTCTAGATTATATAACTTTGTTACTTAAAGCACATTCTTCTCGTTTAACAAATATTTACGAACAAAGTATAGCTGATCTTTACATGATACTTAACAGCTGAATGAACGAATGAATGTGTTATATATATTTACTTAGTTTTAATGAAACTGAAGTAGCTCATGAAAAGTCAAGTATTACAGGGCAGCTTTATTTAAAGAATATTTGCAACTGCATCATTTATAGTGCAATAGATCATGGGCATCTATTCTATTTTACTTGCTATGTTTGTTGCTTGATTGATCCCTTTACTCTTTCAGCAAATATTTATTGATACCCTATTATGGCCAGCAACTGTTATAGGTATTAGATCTATAACAGTAAGGGAAAAATACTCCTACTGTCATGGTAGTTATATTCTAGTTGGGGTAAACAGACAATAAACTAGTAATTATTATTTAAAATAAATATGTACTATGTCAAAGGGTGATGTTGTATAACAAAATATAAAGCAAGGGTAAGGAATTATAAAATACTACAGTTGACTTGTAAATTTGATACTTTATATAGAAAAGTCTGACAGAAGACATTTGAGCAGAGACTTGAAAGAAATGAAGGAATGTGCCACAGAACATCTGGGAAGAGGAAATGGCTTGGAGGTGCAAACATGCTAGGTGTACTTAAAGAACAGCAAGGTAGCTGGGAAGCTGGTGGGGCAAGAACAGAGTAAAAAAACAGGGGTCAACATAGCAGAGGAAAAACATGATCTAATTTGCTTTTAAGAAGGATAACTTGTCCTGGGGCTGATAATACACTATAGAAGGATTTTAATGGCAGAAGCTGGAAGACAAGTCAAAACACAAAACTCCAATTAGGAGATGATGGTGGCCTGGACCAGGGTGGTAATGCTAAGGTGATAAGTAGGGGTCAAATTTCATATACACCTTGAAGGTAGAGTTAATGGGATTTCCAACAGAATTGTACTGCCATATCAAAAGGATTAGTATGCTTTTTTATTATTAAAAGAATTTTATTTTGCCTGAGCAAATAGAAAAATAGAATTGCCCTTAACAGATGGGCTGGAATCAGGGCAAAGCATGTTTTAAGGAGAAGATCAAAAGTTTTGTTTAAACATGTTAGATCTGAGATTTCTATTAGCCAGCTAAGTGGAAATGCCAGCTAAGCAGTTGGATGGGATAAGGCTGAAGATAAAAATCTGGAGTCATCAATGTGTAGATAGTTTTTACAGCTCTGAAACAAGGCAAGATTATTGAGGGAATGAGTGTAAATAGAAAAGAGGCCTGTAGAATGAGCCCTGAAGAAGAACAAATATTAGGGCAAAAGAAGGCACACATGAAGAGTTTGACAAGGAACAGTACAGATAGGAAAAAAAAAATCCAAATAAAATCATTTGAAGGAATAGGAAATAGTCAACTATGACACACGATGCTGATGGCTTATGTGTTTATCTAAGAAAAATCAGAACTAACCACTGAATTTGGCATTGTGGATATCACTGGAGTCTTTGACAAAAGGAGTTTTGGTAGAGCCGTGGGGTGGGGCAGTTGAAAGCTTTATCTGGGGGAGTCTAAGAAAGAATGGAGGAGCCAAGATGCCCAAATAGGAACAGCTCCGGTCTATAGCTCCCAGCGTGAGCGACGCAGGAGACGGGTGATTTCTGCATTTCCATCTGAGGTACCGGGTTCATCTCACTAGGGAGTGCCAGACAGTGGGCGCAGGACAGTGGGTGCAGCGCACCCTGTGCCAGCCAAAGCAGGGCGAGGCACTGCCTCACTCGGGAAGTGCAAGGGGTCAGGGAGTTCCCTTTCCTGGTCAAGGAAAGGGGTGACAGATGGCACCTGGAAAATCGGGGCATTCCCACCCGAATACTGCGCTTTTCCGACGGGCTTAGGAAACGGCGCACCAGGAGATTATAACCCACACCTGGCTCAGAGGGTCCTAAGCCCACGGAGTCTCGCTGATTGCTAGCACGGCAGTCTGAGATCAAACTGCAAGGCGGCAGCCAGGCTGGGGGAGGGGCGCCCACCATTGCCCAGGCTCCCTTAGGTAAACAAAGCAGCCGGGAAGCTCGCACTGGGTGGAGCCCACCACAGCTCAAGGAGGCCTGCCTGCCTCTGTAGGCTCCACCTCTGGGGGCAGGGCACAGACAAACAAAAAGACAGCAGTAACCTCTGCAGATTTAAATGTCCCTGTCTGACAGCTTTGAAGAGAGCAGTGGTTCTCCCAGCACACAGCTAGAGATTTGAGAACGGGCAGACTGCCTCCTCAAGTGGGTCCCTGACCCCTGACCCCCGAGCAGCCTAACTGGGAGGCACCCTCCAGCAGGGGCAGACTGACACCTCATACGGCCGGGTACTCCTCTGAGAAAAAACTTCCAGAGGAATGATCAGACAGCAGCATTTGCGGATCACGAAAATCCGCGGTTCTGCAGCCACCGCTGCTGATACCCAGGCAAACAGGGTCTGGAGTGGACCTCTAGCAAACTCCAACAGACCTGCAGCTGAGGGTCCTGTCTGTTAGAAGGGAAACTAACAAACAGAAAGGACATCCACACCAAAAACCCATCTGTACATCACCATCATCAAAGACCAAAAGTAGATAAAACCACCAAAGATGGGGAAAAAACAGAGCAGAAAAAGTGGAAACTCTAAAAAACAGAGCGCCTCTCCTCCTCCAAAGGAACGCAGTTCCTCACCAGCAACGGAACAAAGCTGGACGGAGAATGACTTTGACGAGTTGAGAGAAGAAGGCTTCAGACGATCAAACTATTCCGAGCTACAAGAGGAAATTCAAACCAAAGGCAAAGGAGCTGAAAACGTTGAAAAAAATTTAGACGAATGTATAACTAGAATAACCAATACAGAGAAGTGCTTAAAGGAGCTGATGGAGCTGAAAGCCAAGGCTCGAGAACTACGTGAAGAATGCAGAAGCCTCAAGAGCCAATGCGATCAATTGGAAGAAAGGGTATCAGTGATGGAAGATGAAATGAATGAAATGAAGCGAGAAGGGAAGTTTAGAGAAAAAAGAATAAAAAGAAACAAACAAAGCCTCCAAGAAATATGGGACTATGTGAAAAGACCAAATCTGCATCTGATTGGTGTACCTGAAAGTGATGGGGAGAATGGAACCAAGTTGGAAAACACTCTGCAGGATATTATCCAGGAGAACTTCCCCAAACTAGCAAGGCAGGCCAACATTCAGATTCAGGAAATACAGAGAATGCCACAAAGATACTCCTCGAGAAGAGCAACTCCAAGACACATAATTATCAGATTCACCAAAGTTGAAATGAAGGAAAAAATTATAAGGGCAGCCACAGAGAAAGATCGGGTTACCCACAAAGGGAAACCCATCAGACTAACAGCTGATCTCTCAGCAGAAACTCTACAAGCTAGAATAGAGTGGGGGCCAATATTCAACATTCTTAAAGAAAAGAATTTTCAACCCAGAATTTCATATCCAGCCAAACGAAGCTTCATAATTGAAGGAGAAATAAAATACTATACAGACAAGCAAATGCTGAGAGATTTTGTCAACACCAGGCCTGCCCTAAAAGAGCTCCTGAAGGAAGCACTAAACATGGAAAGGCACAACTGGTACCAGCCACTACAAAATCATGCCAAAATGTAAAGAACATCGAGATTAGGAAGAAACTGCATCAACTAATGAGCAAAATAACCAGCTAACATCATAATGGCAGGATCAAATTCACACATAACAATATTAACTTTAAATGTAAATGGACTAAATGCTCCAATTATGAGACAGAGACTGGCAAATTCCTCGACACATACACTCTCCCAAGACTAAACCAGGAAGAAGTTGAATCTCTGAATAGACCAATAACAGAATCTGAAATTGTGGCAATAAACAATAGCTTACCAACCAAAAAGAGTCCAGGACCAGATGGATTCATAGCCGAATTCTACCAGAGGTACAAGGAGGAACTGGTACCATTCCTTCTGAAACTATTCCAATCAATAGAAAAAGAGGGAATCCTCCCTAACTCATTTTATGAGGCCAGCATCATCCTGACACCAAAGCCAGGCAGAGACACAACCAAAAAAGAGAATTTTAGACCAATATCCTTGATGAACATTGATGCAAAAATCCTCAATAAAATACTGGCAAACCGAATACAGCAGCACATCAAAAAGCTTATCCACCATGATCAAGTGGGCTTCATCCCTGGGATGCAAGGCTGGTTCAATATACGCAAATCAATAAATGTAATCCAGCATATACACAGAACCAAAGACAAAAACCACATGATTATCTCAATACATGCAGAAAAGGCCTTTGACAAAATTCAACAACCCTTCATGCTAAAAACTCTCAATAAATTAGGTATTGATGGGACGTATCTCAAAATAATAAGAGCTATCTATGACAAACCCACAGCCAATATCATACTGAATGGGCAAAAACTGGAAGCATTCCCTTTGAAAACTGGCACAAGACACGGATGCCCTCTCTCACCACTCCTATTCAACATAGTGTGGGAAGTTCTGGCCAGGGCAATGAGGCAGGAGAAGGAAATAAAGGGTATTCAATTGGGAAAACAGGAAGTCAAATTGTCCCTGTTTGCAGATGACATGATTGTATATCTAGAAAACCCCATTGTCTCAGCCCAAAATCTCCTTAAGCTGATAAGCAACTTCAGCAAAGTCTCAGGATACAAAATCAATGTACAAAAATCACAAGCATTCTTACACACTAATAACAGACAAACAGAGAGCCAAATCATGAGTGAACTCCCAATCACAATTGCTTCAAAGAGAATAAAATACTTAGGAATCCAACTTACAAGGGACGTGAAGGACCTCTTCAAGGGGAACTACAAACCACTGCTCAAGGAAATAAAAGAGGATACAAACAAATGGAAGAGCATTCCATGCTCATGGGTAGGAAGAATCAATATCGTGAAAATGGCCATACTGCCCAAGGTAATTTATAGATTCAATGCCATCCCCATCAAGCTACCAATGACTTTCTTCACAGAATTGGAAAAAACTACTTTAAAGTGCATATGGAATCAAAAAAGAGCCCGCATCGCCAAGTCAATCCTAAGCCACAAGAACAAAGCTGGAGGCATCACGCTACCTGACTTCAAACTATACTACAAGGCTACAGTAACCAAAACAGCATGGTACTGGTACCAAAACAGAGATATAGATCAATGGAACAGAACAGACCCCTCAGAAATAACGCCTCATATCTACAACTATCTGATATTTGACAAACCTGACAAAAACAAGAAATGGAGAAAGGAGTCCCTATTTAATAAATGGTGCTGGGAAAACTGGCTAGCCACATGTAGAAAGCTGAAACTGGATCCCTTCCTTACATCTTATACAAAAATTAATTCAAGATGGATTAAAGATTTAAACGTTAGACCTAAAACCATAAAAACCCTAGAAGAAAACCTAGGCATTACCATTCAGGACATAGGCATGGGCAAGGACTTCATGTCTAAAACACCAAAAGCAATGGCAACAAAAGCCAAAATTGACAAATGGGATCTAATTAAACTAAAGAGCTTCTGCACAGCAAAAGAAACTACCATCAGAGTGAACAGGCAACCTACAAAATGGGAGAAAATTTTTGCAACCTACTCATCTGACAAAGGGCTAATATCCAGAATCTACAATGAACTCAAACAAATTTACAAGAAAAAAACAAACAACCCCATCAAAAAGTGGGTGAAGGACATGAACAGACACTTCTCAAAAGAAGACATTTATGCAGCCAAAAGACACATGAAAAAATGCTCATCATCACTGGCCATCAGAAAAATGCAAATCAAAACCACAATGAGATACCATCTCACACCAGTTAGAATGGCAATCATTAAAAAGTCAGGAAACAACAGGTGCTGGAGAGGATGTGGAGAAATAGGAACACTTTTACACTGTTGGTGGGACTGTAAACTAGTTCAACCATTTTGGAAGTCAGTGTGGCGATTCCTCAGGGATCTAGAACTAGAAATACCATTTGAGCCAGCCATCCCATTACTGGGTATATACCCAAAGGACTATAAATCATGCTGCTATAAAGACACATGCACATGTATGTTTATTGCAGCACTATTCACAATAGCAAAGACCTGGAACCAACCCAAATGTCCAACAATGATAGAGTGGATTAAGAAAATGTGGCACATATACACCATGGAATACTACGCTGCCATTAAAAATGATGAGTTCATGTCCTTTGTAGGGACATGCATGAAATTGGAAATTATCATTCTCAGTAAACTATCGCAAGGACAAAAAACCAAACACCATATATTCTCACTCATAGGTGGGAACTGAACAATGAGAACACATGGACACAGTAAGGGGAACATCACACTCTGGGGACTGTTGTGGGGTAGGGGGAGGGGGGAGGGATAGCATTAGGAGATATACCTAATGCTAAATGACGAGTTAATGGGTGCAGCACACCAGCATGGCACATGTATACATATGTAACTAACCTGCACATTGTGCACATGTACCCTAAAACTTAAAGTATAATAATAATAAAAAAAAAGAAAGAATGGAGTCAGAGGAATTCAAAACAGTGAATATAGACAACTGATGGCATAACTACAAAGGAGAAGTATTCCTCACCACTCATGTATTTATACTTGGATGTTAGCTGAGTGACTGACTCCAAATTAATAAAAGCAGGAGAAACAACTGTTATGGTAACAATAATTAGCATTTATTTCAATAATTATTATTTTATCACTTATACCTCACTCACCATAAGGAAGATGAGGTGACTGAGGCTTGGAGTAACTTGCCCAACAATAGAGAGTTAAGAGGGAAAACTGAATGCAGTGTTGTATTCCAGAGGGACTTTTATCCTTTAAGTTAAAAAAAAAATTAGCCACAGTCTATATATGAGTATTTAGATGTTACATAAGGAAAACAAAAAAAGCTAATGGTTTACATAAACAAAAAAATGTAATCATTTATACAAGAAAATTACTTTAAACATGTATTTTCATATTCTGTCTTATAACTATCCTGATTACTTCCAAAGGATTCTACTAGGATTACTACACAAAGCTTTAGTCTTCTTTTAATTATTATCTATGTTATTAAGCAGTATATTATGTCCTAACAATTGAGTACAAAGGAGAATTCTTGATTTATAGTGCACTCTATTTTTGGCATTTATAGTCACTGCATTTAAGAATACAAATGTACATTTTAAGCCACTCAAAATAAAACTATATTCATGAAATTAGATGTGATTCCTTAATGTGATAAGATTGTTAAGGGCATAATTTAAAAAAAATAAAGGCTAATTTTGTTGTCCGCTTCAATTCCTTGCATACAGGTAGATAACTTTTTGAAATTCCAAGCTTAGACTAGTCCTTATTCTATCTTTCTTCATGATGTGTATGCTGCTATATTAATAAGAGAAAAAAAATGGGTCAAGCCCTGTTAGATATTCAGAGTGTGGGTGGAAATCCTTTGACGAGCTTTCTGGGGATGCCTATAACATGGGAGTAGCTGTTGAGATTCCAGGAGAAAAAGATAAAATTCTGTCAGCAGCAATATCTCTTACAAATAAACCCTTTCACGCCCACTAAAACGGAGGTTAGAAAGGTGCCTGAAATCTAGCAATTAACCAGTATCATTGCAAAATTTTAGTATAGAGAATCCTATGCTGGGCCTACACATTGCACACAATATGTTCCTTTTAATATACTTGCTGATATGAAAAATGCTAGAAGACACAAAATAAATAAACGTGTTCATATAAAAAGTACTTTTTAAATTATTGCATGAATTATAATATCTTTAATTATTATTTAATAACTTACTATTATATAGTATACTTTTTCTTTCAAAGAAAAAATTTTTATGCATAGGAGTTCGCATGCCAAACATGAATTTTTTAGATTCAGTGAACACAGACTAGCATTATTCAAAAATAAAGTTTATTTATAATATAGAGTATCTAAGCATCTTTTTCTAGTGATAATATATATAATTCCCATATAGATTCCCTTGGCACAGGACTGCAAGTGGAAATAGTAGTGAAAACTATTTTCTCCATAGTAAAAGCTAGTAATAAGGATTTTGAGCCCACTGGAAGATAGGATATGGTATATCTAATCAGGGTTTATCACTTAACATTTTTACATAAATATTTACTGAGGAAGTGAATCTGCAGTTTACTCCACAATTCTCTCTAGAACTTAGATCTAGACTTATAACATATTTTAAAGAGTAGTCTGGATATTTTTAAAGGTTCTATTTACATTGTAAAATGCAAATTAAGATGAACTCAGCCCATTATATCTAATTTCTATTTTATACATTTGATATAGAAAATGAAAAAATCATCATCCATTCATTTATTCATCTAGCCATCCATCCATATGATATTGAGTATGTACTATATGCCAGGGTTTGAAAAGTATAAAGTCTGTTAAGATACAGCAATACTTCAAGGAGCATATAATATATGGAAGTAAACCAAGAGAATGATGAAAAGCTTGGATAAAGGTAGCACAAGGTGTGCTGAGGAACAGAAGAGAAAAATTTAAATCAAATTGGAAGTATCTGGATGATTTTGCAGAGAAAATAGTGCTAAGTCTTGAAACATAAGTGGGATGAATAACGCTACGTAAATAAACAGCACATAGACATGAAGAGAGGTATGACACAACATTGTGAGCTAATGTGAAAGTAGTTTAGATTTCAAGGAGGGTATGAAAAAACTGTTGTAAAATTGTAAGAGATGAATCTAGAGAAAAGAAAGGCCATATCCTCAATGGCCTCCTGTGGTAAGCAGAAAAGTTTAACTTTATTATGAAAGTAATGGTGTACCATTGAAAACTGTAAGAATTTTACCATAAGAAAAAAAGCCTGTTTTATAGAAGTATTCCTTAAATAGCTAACTTAACTTGATCAATGATATCTTAATCAGCGATATCTTATTATTTTATTTGTCCTATGAAAGGTCCATAATGTGTCCTATGTAATGAGTACTCTTCCTTCTTGTAATTATTTGTTGTAATGGTATTTTATTTAAATAACATAGTTATTCCATGCTATTTAAAGCATACTGCCTTGGTATTTAATGTTTTTGGGTCCTGACACTTATCTTAAATAAATACTTCTTAATTATCTGTCTTTCCTGATAAAGTAAGAAGGCATTATGTTGACCTTTTTATCCAGCTGTAATACCAGAATATGATTTAATATCTGCCCCAAAACAGTGTCTGGAATTGAATTAAATGAGTAACAATGCTAACAGAGAAAATAAGAATGTATATTCCTCAAATAATTTAAGTTTGAATTTAGAATATGTTTGGTATTTTCCCTGCCAGGAGATTTACTTACCTGATCTCATAGAGGTTTACTTGTCTATCTATTAGACAATGAGCTTTATCTTGTGGTACAGAGGCCTTATCTTGAGCTTCTGAGCATTCCCCATGCCAAGTCTATTTCCCCATACACAGCAGGCACTAAAATGTACATTGAATTGTGCATTAAATTTAGATTGCATTCTCTCAGGAAAAAAGGAATAAAATACTAAAGTAGATAATCCAATCCAGCAGCTGTTTGTCTCAGTTTTACTTTAAATATCAGGCAAAAATGGGGGGTGTCGAGAACAGGAGGATTATACATGTAATTATAGCAAACTCATTTGACTTAATTAGTTGACGATTTAGAGAAAATACAACTATTGTTTTCACTCTTTTAATAACTCAGAAGCCCAAACATGAAGGGTTCTACTAAAATTTTCTCATATGTAATAAAATATGTCTCTAAATATGTATTATTTACCCAAGATAAAATGAAGTCTTTCTAGGTATAGTCATTCTTGTACTGAACAAGCTGCTATTCTTATCCTGTACCATATGGATATGTTCAAATGACGTAGGCAATAAAAATGGATTATCTCAAGTTTGTGAAGAGGTAATTCATTTTCTCAGTTATCATAATATAAATATCATTTGCATTTCAAATATACACGTTGACTTTCATGAATCAGTTTTGAAACTTTTAAGCCAAATATTCTAAGAATAAATATATAATAGTACTTAGGAATGGATGCAGAGGTGTTAATTATAATATATAGGTCTATACTTATATTTGTATTTGTCAAAAGAGAAAAAAAGAGTTTATTTAAAATAAACACAGATTCTGTCTCCTCATGTCAGTAATGAGCTAAATAAATAATCAACAATGAATGTAAATGTAAAGGTAATGAAGGTGACTCAAGATTTTAGCCTTGCAGAATTTTCAGGCTTCAGAACAAGAAATGGCTAAAAATTAAACCTTGTACCTTCTTTACTGAGAAAAAAGTAGCTTCCAGAAAGCCAGCAGCATATGAATATAGAAGGAGAGGGTCAAAGAATAGAAGACAGATAAGAAAGAACTTCTGATTTGTTGATGACATTTGTATGATATTAGTTATTTTTATCTAAAGCCAAGAAGTGATGGAAAAATCACAATCAATAAAAAGTAAGTCTGGGGTTAAAAGAAGACACTAATACAGCTCAGTGCAGCAGTGTCTGTAATTGTGACACGCTGTCTCAGTCCATTTAGGGTGCTACAACAAAACATCTTAGACTGGGTAATTTATTGAAACGGAAATTTATTTCTCATAGTTCTAGAGGCTGGGAAGTCCAAGATCAAAATGCCAGCAGATTCAGTGTCTGGTGAAGGCATGTTCTCTGCTTAAAAGGGAGCCTCTTGCTGTGTCCTCACATGGCAGAAGGACAAAGCAACTCCCTGCAATCTTTTATAAGAGCATTAATTCCATTTGTGAGGGTAGAACACTCATAACTTAATCACTTCCCCAAAGGTCTCATTTCTTAATACTATTAGGTTTCAACACAGGAATTTAGGGGAGACACCAATATTCAGAGCATTGCACAGGTATAGCCTTCAGTATTTACACTGACAAGGGGAGAAAGTCTATAACAAAAGGCAGATGCCAGAGCACTTTGCAAGGTGAGGGAAGTTGAATGCAGTGTCCCAGGCCTCAAATCTTAAACAGTTCTATCTGTGCATATTAAGGAACCAAGCAGGTAAAGACAGGAAATAACTGCCAATCATCATCTTGGTGTATGCCAATGAAAGTTTCCAAAATCTTAGCATAATGACAATAATAATTAATATAACTATGTATTATCTTACATGATAATTCTAAAAGCAATTATAACTAACATTTATTAAACAATGTTATGATAAACAAATTGCATAAACTTATTTAATATTCATAACATCCCATGAGGTAGGTATTAACAGTACCTCATTTTAAAGGTATAAAAATACAGACATAGAAAGATTAAGTCATTGACCTAAAAATCTCATAGCTAGAAAGAGGCAGAACTAAGACTCTAAATCAAGACTGTTTGATTCTAAAATCTAAACTACTTTCTCACCTGTGGGGATGGACATTTGAAATAAGCCAGATCCAGATGAGTTCAAAGAGGGAGGAACCAGCTAGAAATAAAGAAGTTTCAGATACCTTGTAAGTCTGCAAAGTTTTTGGCAAAAAATTAAAAATTTAAAAATAACATATCCAAGCAGGGATATGACATGTTAGACATAGTTTTTGTCTTCAATGAATATTTAATATACAACATGAACAATATATGTGGAATGTAGTCAAATAGCATGGTGGTTTTCAAAAAATTTTGATCAAGACACTTCATCAACAATAAGGTTTAACTGCAGTCACATATACACAGAAACTTACAATACATATATATGTATATGTATATATGTATACATAAAATTCTTTCATTAGAAACAATACTTAATTTAACTTCATATGCTGTACTATGATATTCTTATTCCATTCCATTAAACTCTGATCAGGACCCAACAAAATGATTTCATGACTCATTAAAAAGATATGCTAGACAGTGTTCTAAGCCTAATCCTATCATTTCTAGGAAGTATGTAATGTTATTATTTCCATTTTTAAAGATGAGAAAACTGAGTAGCAGAGTGGTTAAGTAACCTATTCAAAGTTTTATAGTGAGTAAATAGCAGAGCTGAAGTTAAAAGAAAAAGCTCAGCAGTCTGGTTCCAGAGTTATATGGAAAAGAAGGAAAAGAGCAGTCAGATACTAAAGCAGATAAGCCTTGAGGTAGACATGAAAAAGCCTTACTGATTACACACAAGGGAGGAGATTCTGAGAAAAAGGTAATTACCGAAAGTCTTCTGTGAGAATAAAAATATACTGCTGGACTTGAGAACACGGTAAGACTGAACTTATTCCTTGTCTCCTTCCTTATACTGGCTAAGTCAGAAGAATGGGAATTCTTGAGGGTCTTACAAAATTTAGTGTCACAATATTAACTTCAGTTTCACCTATAAACACAAAACATACTTTTATCTTGGAATAAATTGTTTTAATTATTTAGAATATCATTAAAACGGGAAGCCAGAGATCATTAAAGCAAAGTAGAATTTCTAATAGAATGATCAGGAAACAAAAATCTAGGCCCAACTATCCTCAGCTTTCAGATACAGCAGCAATTCCTAGCCTTCTAATTGATCTCACTGAATCCTTTCCAATTTTGCCCTCCTCCTACTCATTCTTCACAGAAACAAGAAGACTATTCTTTTAAAAGTGCAAATATGATCATGTCAGTTCCCTGTTTCAAAAACTTTGGTGCTTTCCCTTTGTTCTTAAGGTGAAGTCCAAAATCCCTAACAAGTTCCTGTATAGCCTAGCCCTAACTTACCACTCTGTCATTCCTCTCCCTTTCTATCATCCATTCACATTACAGTTCTTTCAATATGCCATTCTCATTTCTGCCAAAGATCTTCGAATATTCTCTTTTCAACACTTCAATTCTCTCTCTTGCCAGAATAGCCCTCCCTCCTTCACCCAGCTAACTATCATTGATCTTTCATGTTCTAAATTGAATTCAAATACTCTGGAAGTCTTCCTAGATGTTCTAAACTAGATTAGATCCTGATATCATATTCCTGAGATCATACGCTACTCATTCATAGCCATGATCACAATTTTAATTAAATAATTAGTTGTAAAATTATCTGTTTTCTGTCTAATTTCTGCTTACATTGTAAACTCTATGAAGTCACAGACTATAGGTCTTAATCCCTCTGGAACCGTCAAAACTAGTAGATTGCCTGAAAAGTAGTTGGTATAATACATGTTTATGGAATAAACATATATTCCTCAAGCCTCGGAACTATGTTTGGTAGACTAGAGTCAAGTTTTACCTCCTCAAAAAAACAGCTTCAGCTTACAAGGCTAACATCTCCTGAGCGAAGGTTATATTTAATAATATTAAATGGGGCAAAATACAATATCCTATTTTCGTAATGTTTTTGTTACCAAAAACAATGAACAGGTAACAGATCATCATCAATAGTTCAAAATGGTTTAGATAATTTTTCCAAGTTGTCTTTTTTCATGCTTGTTTATATTTGTGACAATTCTTTCACTTTGACAGTGTATGACAGAACTGACCTCCCATGGTTAGTAAGATTAGTAACAACTGTGTCTCATATCTAATCCTAAAAGTCTAAATTTTAGGTAGATAGGGCTGTTTAAGAGCATGTATTCTTTTATAAGATTTTTACACTGGCCTTAGGGTCAAAATGCTTGGGTTTCAGTCTTGACTCTGTTCAACAATGTGACTAAATTGCTTCTTGAATAATATTGTAGTGGTGTAGAAGGAATACAAGCAGCAAACCTGACGCTATGAGTTCGAGACTTGCCATTGCTCTGGCTTCCTGTGTAAATTTGGCCAAAAATTAAAAATGGCAGCTTAAAATAAAGAGAAGGAAAATGATAAACTTCAAGTGCTAGAAAATAAGTCTACACAACTTAGATCATGTGGGTAGTTCAGAATATATTATATCATATGAAAAAATATTTTTGTAACTCTCTAATTATATTACTATGTTAGCTGGCTTCCCTCTTTTTGCTCCACAGTAATATAATTTGTTTGTTTAATCTTTTCTGAAAACAAACAAAACAATGGAAGTTCAAATTGTATAAATCACTAAAAATAGTCCCCAAGGATATGGCAGAATACAGAAAACCTACCCCTTCTTACCAAATGTAAATCTGAACCCTGATTCAAGGCAGTGGAGTGAGTTAGGAAAAAGGTTAAGAATGTTCCACTCACACCCACTGCCTCAGAGACACAAGACAGCACCAGAAGGAACCTATTGCTTGATGTATATACTCTGTTCACAAATAAAATATAGAAATGAAATGGTAAGAGAAGAAGAAATAAAAAGGATTTGGCAGAAAGGAGAAAGTCAACAAATTAAATAAGAAAATATTATATAAGAAAAGATAACTTCTAATTAGCTGAATTAAAACTTGAACAATATTGACAATAAAAACCATAAACAACACTGTAGAAAATAAAATCCTTAACCCAGAGAATAATCTCAAAGAGATTTTGCAGAATACTGCAGTAAAGTGAAAATAGCTGAAAACACTAACAGATTAAATCAAAGACATGCAGGACAGATAATACACATCTAACCAACAAATAATGAGGGCTCATAGGGTAGAAAATAGAAATAAGGGTAGAGAGGTTACTAAAACAAAAAGTCATCTTTGTAGATGAAAGACCTGATCCACAGGACAAAAATTGTTCATGGAGTATACAGAAAATTAACTAAAAGTGACCAACCAGTAATATTTTTTAGTACAATTTATAAATATCAAACGTTTTCAAAGAACTGTATCGAATAAGCATCCAGCCAGGGGGTGAAAAGAACAAGTGAGAAATAGATTTCCAAGAAACAGAAATAAAAAAGAAAAAAAAAAACTGGGTTGACCTCAGACTTCTCCACAATACTACAACCAGAAGAAAATGAGTGATATCTATAAAATTCCCCGAATTCTATACTCTATCAAGTTATTGCAAATGTAAGAAGGCATGAGAAACACTGTTTTCTCAGGTAAACAAAACCTCAGATGTATCCTTTCTGCATATTTATCTTAAAGATAAACTACTTAAAGACGTAATCAATTGACTGAGACATGAACCCACATAAGGAACGCAAAATGGAATTGAAAATATTATAAAAAGGCTAGTAGGCCCATTGAAATAAATTAAAATGGCCAAACTATAAAGTATTATTTTAGATAATACAGCCAAAACTGTAAATGCTAATAGTTATCATAAGAGTAGACACTAATATCTAAATCCCAAGATAGAATTTAAAGAGCCAAGAAGTAAGATAGCAGAAGAAAAAATACAAATAAAGGAGTATTACTTTATCACCTTACATGATGGTGGTTAATCAATAAATATTATTTTAAAAACATACTTAAAAAAGTGTTTAAATACTTTTTATCTTAAAAAATACTAAAGTCAGTGATGAATAAATTAAAAAAATAAAAGTGATTAGTGTCACTAAATCACTAGTGAAGACGCAAAATCAAATAGTGAAGAGGCAAAATCAAATATATATAATGGACATAAGAAATTATAAAAGTTCAATAAAACACAAAAATTAAAAATACAGAAAAAGATAACACCAATGTATCCGGATATAATTACCCTTTTATAGAAAACACACTCAGATTTGTTTATGCAAAACGCATCAGATATTCGCTATTTATTAAATCATCAACAATATGAATATAGATAAGAGTATATAAGAATTAGGGTTCTAATAAATTGTTATAATTATACGATAAAAATACCCTACAACCAATAAAATCGTGTGTTTTAAAACAATCTAATGAAAGAGGAATGTGCTGATAATATATAAGTAGAATCCACTTAGGAAAATATACATCCATGTATCATATATGAACATATATGCATAGATAACCAAAGTAATTAGAAGGAAATATTCCAACCTGTTTACGTTGGTGTTAGTTCTATGAATTATTTTAATTTTTTCTCAGTACTTTCCTGCATTTTTTAATTTTAATTAAGAAAAAATTTCACTAAGAAACACAAAATACCAGAATAAGTGGAAAGATATATCAGGCTTCTGGATTGGGATACAGAATAAAGATGTCAATTCTTTAAAATGCAGTTATGCATTTAATACAATTAACCAAAATGGATTTTAAACTTTGCCATGATATTCTAACATTTTAGAAGTACAAAAAGTGAAAGTGTCCAAAAAAAAATTCAAACAGGAAAGAGTATACATAATGAAACACTGACAATTAGAAAGATGAAATGAAAAACGTAAAATCACTAACCCCGATTACCTAAAGTGGTAAAATTATGGGTGAGTTTATACTTTCATATTATAAATTTACCCCAGTATGCATATCTTCTTTTATAAAATGTTGAAAATAACAGTTTATTATATTTTTAGAAACAAAATTATAGTAAAATGATGGAATGATTTTTATTTTCTTTATACATACCTATATTCTCTAAACTTAGTATACATAGTATGTATTATTCCAAAATTCAGAAGATAAAAAACTTTGATTTTTAAAATTGTCTTCCAATATCCATCTTCCACTACGTTAAAAAGTCAACCAACACCTCATTGCTGCAAGTTAAATGTGTTTCCTCTTATACAGTCTTCAGAGGCAACAGCAAAAAGTTTCAGTCTTCAAACAACAGGTGATCTGACATGTCATCTTTTCTGAAAGAGCTAAAATGGGTTAGCCTAAAACTCAGCCTTCCCATGAATTGCTCAGTTTTCTGTAAAAATGTTAGTTTCTATTTCTGACTTAGTTTTGACAGAGTAAAGGACATGGGATTTTTTAAGAGAAACTTAACTCCTCTTTTAGAATAACAGCAAAATAAATAAAAGAAAAAAATTACTATGTTTCTTCAAAAGGTGTTTACTCTAAAATGACAAACTGTTTCATTCTGTGCCCTACTACAGGTTGCAATTACATAAATATTTTTAAGAAGATATGTAATCTATCTATGCATCCTTTCAACCAACTATCCATTGATCGATCCATTATTGCCACAAATACTCCCAAACACAAATTTGTGTTTTTCTTTCTCATGCATACTTCATTTTATTACTACATATGTGGATATTAATAAATTATATATAACTCTGAATTTTCTATTTTGCATAAATATGCAGAGATGTAAACATAAAATCTCTGGGTTTTTCTTAGTCATTGTTTTATCTTTCCCTGAACCTCCCTCCATTGTTAATCCTGTCTTTTTCAAGTTTTCCATGATTATATATACACAAGCGATGTATATATAAAGTTTGTAGGAAATGTAAAAACATGTTTCCTTAGATATTCTTTTACTTAGATGGAAAAGATTCTAAGAAGATTATGTGTTTTATATTAAAAGATGTCCACCCAAAATAGATGAAAGTATCCTTTTCTGCACATCCTCACTAGCAAAATTATGTTTTTCAGTATTATACCATTATTATTTTGATTGCCCTCATTATTGCTACTGAATTGGAGCATCTTTTCACAGTTTAATCTTCTATGAATCACCCTTCTGTATGTTTTGTTGTCTTCTCTCTAGTTTTGTAAGAACTTATCCTATATAGTAGATATCAATCTTTTTCCTATCTTCTATATTACTAACATTTATTTTTCAAATTTGCTGTTAGAAATTACCAAACTAGTCTTGCCATAGGTTTTTTAAAATTACATAATCATATTTATTTTATAGATTTATGATTTCTAGTCTAAAGAAGTTTCTCAGAGGGTGGTTCCAAGATGGCCGAATAGGAACAGGTCCAGTCTACAGCACCCAGCATGAGCAAAGCAGAAGATGGATGATTTCTGCACTTCCAACTGAGGTACCAGGTTCATCTCACTGGGGATTGTAGGACAGTGGGTGCAGGACAGTGGATGAAGCACACCAAGCGTGAGCCAAAGCAGGGCGAGGCATCGCCTCACCCCAGAAGTGCAAGGGGTCAGGGAATTCCCTTTCCTAGCCAATGAAAAGGGTGACAGACGGCACCTGGAAAATCGGGTTACTCCCACCCTAATACTGCGCTTTTCTGACGGTCTTAGCAAACAGCACACCAGGAGATTATATCCTGGGCATGGCTAGGAGGGTCCTATGCCCACGGAGCCTCACTCATTGCTAGCACAGCAGTCTGAGATCAAACGGCAAGGGAGCAGCCAGGCTGGGGGAGGGGCGCCCGCCATTGCTGAGGCTTCAGCAGGTAAACAAAGCAGCTGGGAAGCTCAAACTGGGTGAAGCCCACCGCAGCTCAAGGAGGCCTGCCTGCCTCTGTAGGCTCCACCTCTGGAGGCAGGGCATAGCTAAACAAAAGGCAGCAGAAACCTCTGCAGACTTAAATATCCCTGTCTGACAGCTTGGAAGACAGTAGTGGTTCTCCCAGCATGCAGCTTGAGATCTGAGAACAGACAGACTGCCTCCTCAAGTGGGTCCCTGACCCCTCAGTAGCCTAACTGGAAGGCATCCCCCAGTAGAGGCAGACTAACACCTCACACGGCCAGGTACCCCTCTGAGACAAAACTTCCAGAGGAACGATCAGGCAGCAACATTTGCTGTTCACCAATATTTGCTGTTCTACAGCCACCTCTGCTGATACCCAGGCAAACAGGGTCTGGAGTGGACCTCCAGCAAACTCCAGCAGATGTGCAGCTGAGGGTCCTGACTGTTAGAAGGAAAACTAACAAACAGAAAGGACATCCACACCAAAACCCCATCTGTACATCACCATCATCAAAGACGAAAGGTAGATAAAACCATAAAGATGGGGAAAAAACAGAGCAGAAAAACTGGAAATTCTAAAAATAAGAGTGCCTCTCCTCCTCCAAGGGAACACAGCTCCTCACCACCAACGGAAAACAGAGAATGACTTTGACAAGTTGAGAGAAGAAGGCTTCAGACGATCAAACTTCTCCGAGCTAAAGGAGGAAGTACAAACCCATGGCAAAGAAGTTAAAAACCTTGAAAAAAAATTAGATGAATGGTTAACTAGAATAACCAATGCAGACAAGTCCTTAAAGAACCTGATGGAGCTGAAAACCATGGCACGAGAACTGCGTAACGAATGCACAAGCTTCAGTAGCCGATTCGATCAACTGGATCAAAGGGTATCAGTGATGGAAGATCAAATGAATGAAATGAAGCGAGAAGAGAAATTTAGAGAAAAAAGAATAAAAAGAAATGAACAAAGCCTCCAAGAAATATGGGACTATGTGAAAAGACCAAATCTACATCTGATTGGTGTACCTGAAAGTGATGGGGAGAATGGAACCAAGTTGGAAAACAGTCTGCAGGATACTATCCAGGAGAACTTCCTCAATCTAGCAAGGTAGGCCAACATTCAAATGCAGGAAACACAGAGAACACCACAAAGATACTCCACGAGAATAGCAACTCCAAGACACATAACTGTCAGATTCACCAAAGTTGAAATGAAGGAAAAAATGTTAAGGGCAGCCAGAGAGAAAGGTCCGGTTACCCACAAAGGGAAGCCCATCAGACTAACAGTTGATCTCTCCGCAAAACTCTACAAGCCAGAAGAGAGTGGGGGCCAATATTCAACATTCTTAAAGAAAACAATTTTCAATCCAGAATTTCATATCCAGCCAAACTAAGCTTCGTGAGTGAAGGAGAAATAAGATACTTTACAGACAAGCAAATACTGAGAGATTCTGTCACCACCAGCCCTGCCCTACAAGAGCTCCTGAAGGAAGCACTAAACATGGAAACGAACAACCGGTACCAGCCACTGCAAAAACATGCCAAATTGTAAAGACCATCGAGGCTAGGAAGAAACTTCATCAACTAACGGGCCAAATAACCAACTAACATCATAATGACGGGATCAAATTCACACATAACAATATTAACCTTAAATGTCAATGGGCTAAATGCTCCAATTAAAAGACACATACTGGCAAATTGGATAAAGAGTCAAGACTCATCAGTGTGCTGTATTCAGGAAACCCATCTCATGTGCAGAGACACACATAGGCTCAAAATAAAGGAATGGAGGAAGATCTACCAAGCAAATGGAAAACAAAAAAAGGCAGGAGTTGCAATCCAAGTCTCTGATAAAACACACTTTAAACCAACAAAGATCAAAAGAGACAAAGAAGCCCATTACATAATGGTAAAGTGATCAATTCAACAAGAAGAGCTAACTATCCTAAATATATATGCACCCAATACAGGAGCACCCAGATTCATAAAGCAAGTCCTCAGAGACCTACAAAGAGACTTCGATTCCCACACAACAATAATGGCAGACTTTAACACCCCACTGTCAACATTAGACAGATCAACAAGACAGAAAGTTAAAAAAGATATACAGGAATTGAACTCAGCTCTGCACAAAGCGGACCTAACAGACATCTACAGAACTCTCTACCCCAAATCAACAGAATATACATTCTTCTCAGCACCACATCGCACTTATTCCAAAATTGACCACATAGTTGGAAATAAAGCACTCATCAGCAAATGTTAAAGAACAGAAATTATAACGAACTGTCTCTCAGACCATAGTGCAATCAACCTAGAAATCAGGATTAAGAAACTCACTCAAAACCACTCAACTACATGGAAACTGAACAACCTGCTCCTGAATGACTACTGGGTACATAACTAAATGAAGGCAGAAATAAAGATGTTCTTTGAAACCAACGAGAACAAAGAAACAACATACCAGAATCTATGGGACACATTTAAAGCAGTGTGTAGAGGGAAATTTATAGCACTAAATGCCCACAAGAGAAAGCAGGAAAGATCTGAAATTCACACCCTAACATCACAATTAAAAGAACTAGAGAAGCAAGAGCACACACATTCAAAAGCTAGCAGAAGGCAAGAAATAACTAACATCAGAGCAGAACTGAAGGAGTTAGAGACATAAAAAAACCTTCAAAAAAATCAATAAATCAAGGAGCTGGTTTTGTGAAAAGGTCAACAAAATTGATAGACTGCTAGCAAGACTAATAAAGAAGAAAAGAGAGAAGAATCAAATAGATGCAATAAAAAATGATAAAGGGGATATCACCACCGATCCCACAGAAATACAAACTACCATCACAGAATACTATAAACACCTCTACACAACTAAACTAGAAAATCTAGAAGAAATGGATAAATTCCTCATCACACACAGCCTCCCAAGACTAAACCAGGAAGAAGTTGAATCTCTGAATAGACCAATAACAGGCTCTGAAATTGAGGCAATAATTAATAGCTTACCAACCAAAAAAAGTCCAGGACCAGACAGACTCACAGCCTAATTCTACCAGAGGTACAAGGAGAAGTTGGTACCATTCCTTCGAAAACTATTCCAATCAATAGAAAAAGAGGGAATCCTCCCTAACTCATTTTATGAGGCCAGCATCATCCTGATACCAAAGCCGGGCAGAGACACAACAAAAAAAGAGAATTTTAGAACAATATCCCTGATGAACATCGATGCAAAAATCCTCAATAACATACTGGCAAACCGAATCCAGCAACACATCAAAGAGCTTATCCACCATGATCAAGTGGGCTTCATCCCTGGGATGCAAGGCTGCTTCAATATACGCAAATCAATAAACGTATTCCAGCATATAAACAGAACCAACGACAAAAACCACATGATTATCTCAATACATGCAGAAAAGGCCTTTGAAAAAATTCAACAGCCCTGCATGCTAAAAACTCTCAATAAATTAGGTATTGATGGGACGTATCTCAAAATAATAAGAGCTATTTATGACAACCCCACAGCCAATATCATACTGAATGTGCAAAAACTGGAAGCATTCCCTTTGAAAACTGGCACAAGACACGGACGCCCTCTCTCACTACTCCTATTCAACACAGTGTTGGAAGTTCTGGCCAGGGCAATCAGGCAGGAGAAGGAAATAAAGGGTATTCAATTAGGAAAACAGGAAGTCAAATTGTTCCTGTTTGCAGATGACATGATTGTATATCTAGAAAACCCCATCGTCTCAGCCCAAAATCTCTTTAAGCTGATAAGCAACTTCAGCAAAGTCTCAGGATACAAAATCAATGTACAAAAATCACAAGCATTCTTATACACCAACAACAGACAAACACAGAGCCAAATCATGAGTGAACTCCCATTCACAATTGCTTCAAAGAGAATAACACACCTAGGAATCCAACTTACAAGGGATGTGAAGCACTTCTTCCAGGACAACTACAAACCACGGCTCAAGGAAATAAAAGAGGATACAAACATGTGGAAGAACATTCCATGCTCATGGGTAGGAAGAATCAATATAGTGAAAATGGCCACACTATCCAAGGTAATTTATAGATTCAATGCCATCCCCATCAAGCTACCAATGACTTTCTTCTCGGAATAGGAAAAAACTACTTTGAAGTTCATATGGAACCAAAAAAGAGCCCACATCGCCAAGTCACGCTAAGCCAAAAGAACAAAGCTGGTAGCATCAAGCTACCTGACTTCAAACTACACTACAAGGCTACAGTAACCAAAACAGCATGGTACTGGTACCAAAACAGAGATATAGACCAAAGGAACCGAATAGAGCCCTCAGAAAAAATGCCGCATATCTACAACTATCTGATCTTTGACAAACCTGACAAAAACAAGAAATGGAGAAAGGATTCCCTATTTAATAAATGGTGCTGGGAAAACTGGCTAGCCATATGTAGAAAGCTGAAACTGGATCCCTTCCTTACACCTCCTACAAAAATTAATTCCAAATGGATTAAAGACTTAAATGGTAGACCTAAAACCATAAAAACCCTAGAAGAAAACCTAGGCAATACCATTCAGGACATAGGCATGGGTAAGGATTTCATATCTAAAACACCAAAAGCAATGGGAACAAAAGCCAAAATTGACAAATGGGATCTAATTAAACTAAAGAGCTTCTGCACAGCAAAAGAAACTACCATCAGAGTGAACAGGCAACCTACAGAATGGGAGAAAATTTTTGCAACCTACTCATCTGACAAAGGGCTAATATCCAGAATCTACAATGAACTCCAACAAATTTACAAGAAAAAAACAACCCCTTCAACAAGTGGGCAAAGGATACGAACAGACACTTCTCAAAAGAAGACATTTATGCAGCCAAAAGACACATGTAAAAATGCTCATCATCACTGGCCATCAGAGAAATGCAAATCAAAACCACAATGAGATACCATCTCACACCAGTTAGAATGGCGATCATTAAAAAGTCAGGAAACAACAGGTGCTGGAGAGGATGTGGAGAAATAGGAACACTTTTACACTGTTGGTGGGACTGTAAACTAGTTCAACCGTTATGGAAGTCAGTGTGGCGATTCCTCAGGGATCTAGAATTAGAAATACCATTTGACCCAGCCAGCCCATTACTGGGTATATACCCTAAGGATTATAAATCATGCTGCTATAAAGACACATGCACACGTATGTTTATTGTGGCACTATTCACAATAGCAAAGACTTGGAACCAACCCAAATGTCCATCAATGATAGACTGGATTAAGAAAATGTGGCACATATACACCATGGAATACTATGCAGCCATAAAAAAAGATGAGTTCATGTCCTTTGTAGGGACATGGATGAGGCTGGAAACCATCATTCTCAGCAAACTATCGCAAGGACAGAAAACCAAACACCGCATGTTCTCACTCATAGGTTGGAGTTGAACAATGAGAACACTTGGACACAGGAAGGGGAATAGCATACACTGGGGCCTGTTGTGGGGTGGGGGGAGGGGGGAGGGATAGCATTTGGAGATATACCTAATGTAAATGATGAGCTAATGGGTGCAGCACAGCAACATGGCACATGTATACATATGTAATAAATCTGCATGTTGTGCACATGTACCCTAAAATTTAAAGTATAATAAAAAAAAGAAGTTTCTCACTACTAGATTGTGTATATAGTCTCTCCAATTTTCTCATAGAACTTGTATATTCAAATTTTCACAATTTTTTCACACCATCTAGAAGTTATTCTTGAATCCAAATTTTGAAATGGATCTATTTTACTTTCTTCAAGTCTGACAGGCATTGTAACAGCATCATTTTTTAATTATGCACCATTTTCTCAATGAATTAAAATATTTTAATCTTCAATTAAATGCCTTTATTTAGCAGAATCAATTTTTGGATTATTTCCTCCATTAATCCACTTGCCTATTCTTGTATCAATATTGTATTGATTCATTACAGTGATTTTATAGTGTAATCTTATATCTAGTAAGGCAGGTTTCCTCTTACTTTTTAATTCAAAAAACATCTTGTCACTTTTTGCCCCATACAAACTAAGGAGCACATCATCCAAATCTAAAAAACAAAGTAATTTACATGTACAATACATGTATATATTAATTTAGGGAGCATTAACTCTTTTCATTTGTATTCTTTCTGATCTGTCTATCCTTCCATGCATGCATCCATCCATCCACCCATCTTGAGACAGGATCTTGCTCTGTCACCAAGGTTGGAGCGCAATGTCATGACTACAGCTCACTGCAATCTCAACCTCCTGAGTACCACCACAGCCTCCTGAGTACCTGGGACTACAGGTGCACACCACCATTTCTCTGTAAGAAACGGTGTCTCACTATGTTGCCAGGACTGGTCTCCTAACTCCTGAGCTCAAGAGATCCTCCTGCTTTGGCCTCACAAAGTGGTGAGGTTGCAGGTATGATCCTCTTCGTTCCATCCTCTTTTTATAATATTAATTCTCTCTACCTCAAAAGAAATATGTCTTCCCTTTTGTTCAAATCTTCTTGTATGCCCTTCAAAAACATTATAGTTTTCTTTAACTTGGAAGTGTGCTCTTTGTTAAATTTATTACTAAATATTTTATACAATTTTAGGAGCTGTTGTGAATAGAATATTTTTTCCCATTTCCCTTTCTAGGTACTGTTGGGGCTCAGAAAACAATAGCCCCAAGTGAAGGCCTAAGAAGCAGACTTAGAAGCAAAGTTACCTTCTGACCACCTCTTTCCCTGCTGTCTCTCATTCTCCTCAGAGGCGAGCCACACTAGATTCCCTCTTCTCCAACGTGGGTCATAGAAACCAGAACCCCTTTCCTCCAAAGCCAGCTTTAAAGCCTAAAATATTACTCTAACCTCCCCTATAGAAACCAGAACCTTTTTTCTCCAAAGCCAGCTTCAAAGCCTAAAATATTAATCTAACTTCCCCCACTTCTTTCTGTGTAATAGAATAAATGGCCATAAAGAAATTAAGACCCTCATTCACAGGGGTCCTACCTTCACACCCAGCAAAAAGGAATGTTGCATAGAGAGGCCTTATTGAGTTCCCCCAACTCAGTCAGTTAGCATTAGACCATATATCCTTTTTGTCCAATCATAGTTCTACATGCTCTCCATACTTTATTGAATTTAAGCATAAAAAATGGATAGTTCTCTCTATATCTTTGCATCTTCTTTCTGAAGGCTCCTATGCCATGTAAAACTATGTCAAATAAATTTGTTATTCTTTTCTCTTGTCAACCTCTCTTTGTTATAGGGGTATCAGCTGTGACCCTTATGCTGGAAAGGAAAGGGCTTACTTCCTTGTTGTCCCTAGAGTTCTTCTATTCTGAATAGAGTTTTAAATTTTTAGCTAAACATCTTATCATCTTACTAATTTTATAAGTATTTGGAGTTTTTAACTATTCAGTAGATCATTATAAAAAGAATATTCTAACCTTGCTTTAGCCTTTGTCAGACCTTCAAAAAATATTGAGAAATACTATTTATAGAAAAATCCTATTTACATCCTAATTTTGTCTTAAATAGTTACAGTACTTCACATTTTAGGAAAATAATTACTGCTTGTCCTTGATTGAGAATATTTTACATTTAAGTAGTTTCCTTATATTTAACAGAAATTTAAATAAGAATAGCTAGCTGATTATTGTCATGCTTATCAACCTATCATTGATTAACTACCTGACACGGAACATCTCATCTTCATGAAATAAACTTCATTAGGCCACGGGTATTACTGTTTTAATTAAATAACAGGTAAATTAGATATACTAGTATTTCCTTTTCAATTTTTGTATTTCTATACTTCAGCAAACTTAGACCTTTTTCCTTTTTATACTATCTCTATCAAGATTTGGTATTAGGCCAGGCATGGTGGCTCATGCCTATAATCCCAGTCCTGTGGGAGGCTGAGGTGGGATGATCACTTGAGCTCAGGAGTTCAAGACCAGCCTGGGCAACATAGAGAGACCTCATCTCTACTAAAAATAAAAAATTAGACAGGTGCATACCTGTAGTCCCAGCTACTTGAGAGGCTGAGGCAGAAGGGTCACTTGAGCCCAGGAAGCAGAGGCTGCAGTAAGCTATGATGGCATCACTGCACTCCAGCCTGGGCAACAGAGTGAAAACTTGTCTCCAATAAAAAAAAAGATGGGTATTAAAATCATGCTAAATTCATAATGTTAACTGAAATAACTTTCCAAATTTACCATGGTCAGGATTAGTGTAAAAGGCATTGCTTTGGCCGGGCGTGGTGGCTCACACCTGTAATCCCAGCACTTTGGGAGGCCGAGGCGGGCGGATCATGAGGTCAGGAGATCGAGACCATCTTGGCTAACACGGTGAAACCCCGTCTCTACTAAAAATACAAAAAATTAGCCAGGCACGGTGACAAGCGCCTATAGTCCCAGCTACTCGGGAGGCTGAGGCAGGAGAATAGTGTGAACCCGGGAGGCGGACCTTGCAGTGAGCCGAGATAGCGCCACTGCAGTCCGGCCTGGGTGAAAGAGCTAGACTCCGTCTCAAAAAAAAAAAAAAAGAAAAAAAGGCATTGCTTTTTCCTATTTTTTTTTTTTTTTTTAAGAATTAGATAACTGCAAATCCATTTGGTCAGGGTCAGTTACCTTCTAATTTCTATTACGGTAATGACATTCAAATTTTGTAACTATTAATCAAGTTTTAATAATTTATATTTTATTAGGATATCATTCATTTCATCTAGGTTTTGCAAGTTACCAGAGAATTGCAGTTTTATTATCTTATGATGAACTTATCTTGTGTCTATGGTTGGTCTTCCCTCTGAATCTTAATCACACTTTTTGTCTCTAGAAATCAGGTTCAAAAGTGATTTTGCTATTTTCAAAGACTGATCTCTTGTGATCTCTTTATCCTTTCAATTTTTTTCTTCTTTTTTTGTTTATACTTTCCTTGATTCTAGCTTTTATCTGTACTAATTCCTTCTTCTTGGCTTACTCTGATTTGTTTCCTTGTTCTTATCTAATTTATTATGTTTGACAAAGAAATCATTTTGTCAGTGAAGTAAAAAAAGTCTCAAGATTTGAGCCAAGGCAGTAATATTTAATAAAATGAGGCTAGAGATTGGAATACATGTCGCAGGTCTGTCCCCATAAAGTCGTTTATGCCTTTTAGCAAATCACTTCATCTATCTGGCTAATAGTTTCCACATCTATAAACTGAAAAGAATATACAGCCTGATAGTTCCTGTTAGGTTAAAAAAAAATTACACATGGTAAAATTTGTAAACTTTAAGCTACATTTGAGAAAGTGTGGTGTTTAAAGGAATAAGAGCCACTGAAATCATTGGATTGGGAATCATTGCCTTAAGAAACAACAATATCTTACGAGAATTCAGTTTTTCTATGACAGTAAAGTATGACTGGCCCTCCTTATCTGTGGATTCCACATCAATTGATTCAACTAACTGCAGATCATAAAAAAAGACACGTGCATCTGTATTAGACATGTACAAAACTTTTTTCTTCTTGTCACTATTCCCTAAACAATAAAGTATAACAACTGTTTAAACAGCATTTACTTTGTATTAGGTAAGAAACTTAGAGATGATTTAAACTATATGGGAGGATGTGTGTAGGTTATATGCACATACTGAACCATTTTATGTAAGGGAATTGAGCATCCATGGATTTTGGTATCCACTTCTCCTCAGGTACAAAGGGACTGCTGTATAAAAGAGGCCTATACTTCATGAATGTTCACATCATAACCAAGTGAACTCATACAACGTTTCGCAAATATGAATGCTCTAATAAAACATCTTCTTAAAGAAGGCGCATCTAAGTTACACTGCAGAAGACAGATAGATTTAAAATATTAAAAATTAGTACCATGTCATTAAATCACGTCTTCATATTATTCTCGGAAGAAATGAAATAATCTGCGGTCAAATGGTAGGTTTCAGGGACTCCATAAATCCTATGATCTTGTAAACAAAAGCTTATGTGTATTTATTTATAGTTTTATGGGGAGAGTTAATCACATTCATTAGATTTGCAAAGAGTTTGGGACCAGAAAGAGGCTGTAAATACTATTCTAGATGACGAATTACACTTCCTATTCTTAGTGTCTGATTAAACTTTTCCATGGTCATACTTTTCGAACTTCACCAAAGAGACCATTTTGTTGTTGAATAGCTACAACTAGTAAAAACTCTAGTCCACATCAAGTCAAAACTTCAACTTTTGATGTGAACTACAGTTCACATCAAGTCAAAATTACCTCTCAAGTTCCCATCTATTTTCTTGACTCCAGTCTCTGATGAATGACAGAATAAAACAATTTCCCATTCCTGAAAACAGCCCTTTATGTATTTGGAGAGAGCCATCTTAGCTCCAAGATATTTTTCTCTTTTAAAATGATGGCTTTAAACAACATACCATGTCTACTCCCTAATTCAAAATGTTTCTTTAAAGGCAGATGGTTTTACCACTCATTCATATAATATTTTATATTTTTAAAAAGTTCTTTAGTTATACATCACTTTTTCTGATAGAAGGATGGATCACTCTAGATTTACTTGTGAATTTCAGAAAATTCAAAGGAAACAAGTATATTATGTTGATGTATATGTCCTCATGAGTTCTACAGAATTCTCACATACTTATTTACTCTGCTAAATTCTTAGAAATAAACTCATAAAAATGTTTAAAAATTATTTTTTGACTATGAGTTATTGTCAAAACTCATTTTTTGTGGATGGATTCCAAAACACTTTCAATCTTGTAGGTGGAAGACATTTTGTATTTCTTTTTATGGATTCAGAAAGGATAACTGGAAAATAGCATTACTTTAAGTGGTACTAAAAACATCACTTACATTAATTCTTTTTGGGGAAAAAAGAAGAAAATATTTACTGGAGTAAAATATAGCCCATGCAAAGCAGAACAAATTCCAAGGTGGTAAACCAAGCTCTGTAAAACTAAGAACCAAAATCAAATAAATATGCAAGGGTATTACTTACGGATACAACTCTGAAAGATGTTCAGCTAATGCATAAGCTGTTGGGTCTCTGTCCAAGGCATAGAGAACAATATCTGACTCCTTCTGCAGAATGGCTTTTGTGTGCCCTCCCGAACCAAATGTCATATCTAGAAAAATCTAGCAAACACAGAAAAAGAAAATTACAACTTAGCATAAACAAAACTTATTCTTGACAACTATCTCAATTTCTAGAAGCACACAATGATTTTCAGACTTGACAGTAAATAGGAAAATAATTACAATCGTTGTGCCTATAGTTGAATTTGTTACATGTGAGATCTGGCTCAATTATGAGTGATAAGTCTAAAAGAACTGATCAGACTATCAGTAAAATAACCTCTAACACAGACTGGCTAATTCAAGACAAATTTATATTTCTCTCTATAAGGTCAAACTGGTCACACTGTTGTGCCCCCAGCTCTTTAACACTTCCCAGCATCCAGCTGGTAATAACATTTTCAATAATTTCTCATTTAGAGATGGCTTACAATTAGTGTGGCTCATTTTATCTCAATTTCTCTTAAAGCTTTCTATGAAAATGATACTCAAGAACAGAAAGACAGAGAGAGAGAATAAACATCCCTAATAATAAATAAGCACAGGACAAATCAGATAAAATCTGGAAAACTGACAAACTTACAGATTGTATCTGTAATAATAAAATAACAAATATGAACTGAGAAGAAAAAAAAATGCTTTTCAAGTCAAAATACCTAGGGTAAACTCTAGGTTTGACACAAAGTATCTATGTCTTTGGGATAGTTACTTAAAGTCGCAAAATTCCAGTGTCTTCAGCGGTTAAAAAAAAAATGAAGAAGAAAAGAAGATACCATCACCACCTGCCTAATTGTTAAGGTAACATATCATTTCTCATGTAAATCAAAACATTTTTAAGAGTGAAACATTTGCCAGTAATAATTTTGCCAGGACAACATGATAGGATGTACTTAAGTACAAATCACTCAATGCTTGGCTCATTCCAGATATACAGTATGGTTAATTGAATCTGAATCTATTTCTTGGCTATTTTATTTGGCCACACTCTAAAGAGAATAGTCACGTCACAGTTGAGCAAGCAACCAGACCTGGATCATAAGAAACATATGTGTGTACAAGTTAGTTGATTGTAACTAGTTTGCAAGTCAAGACATTCTCCACATATTCCCTCAAAGTTATGCTCTTAGTTTAATGGGACCTTTCAGTAAACTTCATTGGTGTTATGAAAATAAAACAATTACTCTAATAATATTGACTACAATGACAACATAAGTCTACTGGCTAGATTTAAAAATATCTAAACATACAATTTTCTTAAAGTTCATGTGCATAGTACATAACAAGGGAAATTCCTGTCATGGATTTGAATATATTTCCATGCTCTGAATGTTTCCACTTATTTCAGGGACAGTGGTCAGAAATTGGGCATGCAATTATGCTTTGATTTTTTGGCTCGTATCTACCATGCTAAGTCCCATCCGCTGATCAAGTCCTCATAAAAGTTAGCCTGCTACTGAAAGAATAACATGGAGGAAATCGTCTGATCAAAATTGGAGGATGGACATAAAATATAAAAAGATGTAAATGTGGTGAAAATGTACAAGCAATGCTTTTTAACACAAATGTTGTAGTGTGACTTAACTTTGTACTTCTATCACTATCACCATAAAAGGCATGGCTAAATATATTTTTACCATTTTAAACAATATCTTTTTATTTATAGAAACACTTAAATCTCAAGATCAAATAATTTCCTTTGCCAGTCACTTATTTTACACATCGATGAATTGGCAAAAATCTTCCACTATGCATTACATCAATTTGAAAATTTTAAGAAGTTCAACATAATTTAACCAAAGAATTTTTTCCAAGGCAAAACCATAAACTACTTCCTTGTCATGGGATCAATACCTAGCCTTGCTGTAACTATAGATTTAAACTAAAAGTAGATTAAATAAAACAATTTAGATACAATTACCCTTATTCTGAGACAAGAAAGTCCCAATCAATATTTAAAGAAAAATCATCATCATTAGCAATATTCTGAAAAATGTGAGTGATTATAATTTACATGATTATTTTTAATGTATCATGATTATGCCCTTGTAGATGTACTGACAATCAAGAAAGTTTCCACAGGGGAAAAAAAATCTATTACTACCAGTCAAGTGTAACACAGAAACCAAAAAGTGGCAGACAAATGGAATTTATGAAACTAGAAGGGAAACCCATCATATGTCCTGAGTTAATACGTGATTGGAGCCATCAACTCTCATTTTTACAATTCTAATATTCATTGTTCATCACATGTAATAGTGACATCTAGGCCTCATGAGCCAACCAGCACCACAATTGAAAAGGGAGCCAATTAGTTTACTCCTTCTTCTAGGTCACTAACATAAGACCACAGTTTAAAATCTGTAGGAGTTGCAAATAAAAAAAGCAACTGAATAATAATAAGAGACTTTAACACCCCACAGTCAACATTAGACAGATCAAGGAGACAAAAAGTTAACAAGGATACTCAGGAATTGAACTCAGCTCTGCACAAAGCGGACCTAATAGACATCTACAGAACTCTCCACCCCAAATCAATAGAATATACATTTTTTTCAGCACCACACCACACCTATTCCAAAATTGACCACATACTTGGAAGTAAAGCTCTCCTCAGCAAATGTAAAAGAACAGAAATTATAACAAACTGTCTCTCGGACCACAGTGCAATCAAACTAGAACTCAGGATTAAGAAACTCACTCAAAACCACTCAACTACATGGAAACTGAACAACCTGCCCCTGAATGACTATGGGGTACATAACGAAATGAAGGCAGAAATAAAGATGTTCTTTGAAACTAACGACAACAAAGACACAACATACCAGAATCTCTGGGACACATTCAAAGCAGAGTATAGAGGGAAATTTATAGCACTAAATGCCCACAAGAGAAAGCAGGAAAGATCAAAAACTGACACCCTAACATCACAATTAAAAGAACTAGAAAAGCAAGAGCAAACACATTCAAAAGTTAGCAGAAGGCAAGAAATAATTAAAATCAGAGCAGAACTGAAGGAAATAGAGACATAAAAAACCCTTCAAAAAATTAATGAATCCAGGAGCTGGTTTTTTGAAACGATCAACAAAATTGATAGACTGCTAGCAAGACTAATAAAGAAGAAATGAGAGAAGAATCAAATAGATGCAATAAAAAATGATAAAGGGGATATCACCACAGATCCCACAGAAATACAAACTACCATCAGAGAATATTACAAACACCTCTATGCAAATAAACTAGAAAACCTAGAAGAAATGGATAAATTCCTTGACACATACACCCTCCCAAGACTAAACCAGGAAGAAGTTGAATCTCTGAAAAGACCAATAACAGGATCTGAAACTGTGGCAACAGTCAATAGCTTACCATCCAAAAAGGGTCCAGGACCAGATGGATTCACAGCCAAATTCTACCAGAGGCACAAGGAGGAATTGGTACCATTCCTTCTGAAACTATTTCAATCTATAGAAAAAGAGGGAATCCTCCCTAACTCATTTTATGAGGCCAGCATCATCCTGACACCAAAGCCGGGCAGAGACACAACAAAAAAAGAGAATTTTAGACCAATATCCTTGATGAACCCTGATGCAAAAATCCTCAATAAAATACTGGCAAGCCCAATCCAGCAGCACATCAAAAAGCTTATCCACCATGATCAAGTGGGCTTCATCCCTGGGATGCAAGGCTGGTTCAACATATGCAAATCAATAAATGTAATCCAGCATATAAACAGAACCAAAGACAAAAACCACATGATTATCTCAATACATGCAGAAAAGGCCTTTGACAAAATTCAACAGCCCTTCATGCTAAAAACTCTCAATAAATTAGGTATTGATGGGACGTATCTCAAAATAATAAGAGCTATCTATGACAACCCCACAGCCAATATCATACTGAATGTGCAAAAACTGGAAGCATTCCCTTTGAAAACTGGCACAAGACACGGATGCCCTCTCTCACCACTCCTACTCAATATAGTGTGGGAAGTTCTGGCCAGGGCAATGAGGCAAGAGAAGGAAATAAAAGGTATTCAATTAGGAAAAGAAGAAGTCAAATTGTCCCTGTTTGCAGATGACATGATTGTATATCTAGAAAACCCCATCGTCTCAGCCCAAAATCTCCTTAAGCTGATAAGCAACTTCAGCAAAGTCTCAGGATACAAAATCAATATACAAAAATCACAAGCATTCTTATACACCAATAACAGACAAACAGAGAGACAAATCATGAGTGAACTCCCATTCACAACTGCTTCAAAGAGAATAAAATACCTAGGAATCCAACTTACAAGGGATGTGAAGGACCTCTTCAAGGAGAACTACAAACCACTGCTCAATGAAATAAAAGAGGACACAAACAAATGGAAGAACATTCCATGCTCATGGATAGGAAGAATCAATATCATGAAAATGTCCATACTGCCCAAGGTAATTTATAGATTCAGTGCCATCCCCATCAAGCTACCAATGACTTTCTTCACAGAATTGGAAAAGACTACTTTAAAGTTCATATGGAACCAGAAAACAGCCCGCATTGCCAAGACAATCCTAAGGCAAAAGAACAAAACTGGAGGCATCACGCTACCTGACTTCAAACTATACTACAAGGCTACAGTAACCAAAACAGCATGGTACTGGTACCAAAACAGAGATATAGACCAATGGAACAGAACAGAGCCCTCAGAAATAATACCATACATCTACAACCATCTGATCTTTGACAAACCTGACAAAAACAAGAAATGGGGAAAGGATTCCCCATTTAATAAATGGTGCTGGGAAAACTGGCTAGCCACATGCAGAAAGCTGAAACTGGATCCCTTCCTTACATCTTATACAAAAATTAATTCAAGATGGATTAAAGATTTAAACGTTAGACCTAAAACCATAAAAACCCTAGAAGAAAACCTAGGCATTACCATTTAGGACATAGGCATGGCTAAGGATTTCATGTCTAAAACACCAAAAGCAATGGCAACAAAAGCCAAAATTGACAAATGGGATCTAATTAAACTAAAGAGCTTCTGCACAGCAAAAGAAACTACCATCAGAGTGAACAGGCAACCTACAGAATGGCAGAAAATTTTTGCAACCTACTCATCTGACAAAGGGCTAATATCCAGAATCTACAATGAACTCAAACAAATTTACAAGAAAAAAACAAACAACCCCATCAAAAAGTGGGCGAAGGACATGAGCAGACACTTCTCAAAAGAAGACATTTATGCAGCCAAAAAACACATGAAAAAATGCTCACCATCACTGGCCATCAGAGAAATGCAAATCAAAACCACAATGAGATACCATCTCACACCAGTTAGAATGGCAATCATTAAAAAGTCAGGAAACAACAGGTGCTGGAGAGGATGTGGAGAAATAGGAACACTTTTACACTGTTGGTGGGACTGTAAACTAGTTCAACCATTGTGGAAGTCAGTGTGGCGATTCCTCAGGGATCTAGAACTAGAAATACCATTTGACCCAGCAATCCCATTACTGGGTATATACCCAAAGGACGATAAATCATGCTGCTATAAAGACACATGCACACGTATGTTTATTGAGGCACTATTCACAATAGCAAAGACCTGGAACCAACTCAAATGTCCATCAATGATAGACTGGATTAAGAAAATGTGGCACATATACACCATGGAATACTATGCAGCCATAAAAAAAGATGAGTTCATGTCCTTTGTAGGGACATGGATGAAATTGGAAATTATCATTCTCAGTAAACTATTGCAAGAACAAAAAAACAAACACTGCATAGTCTCACCCATAGGTGGGAATTGAACAAGGAGAACACATGGACACAGGAAGGGGAACATCACACTCTGGGGACTGTTGTGGGGTAGGGGGAGGGGGGAGGGATAGCATTAGGAGATATACCTAATACTAAATGACGAGTTAATGCGTGCAGCACACCAGCATGGCACATGTATACATATGTAACTAACCTGCACATTGTGCACATGTACCCTAAAACTTAAAGTATAATAAAATAAAAATTAAATAAAAATAAATAAATAAATATAGCAACTGGTCAATTTTTGTGGTTAACAAAGAAATGCACAGGAACAAATAAATCTGAATGTTTCAAAGTAACCCTTCTATGGATCTCATCTATACATACATTTTAAATGTATATTTTGTGCTCCAAAGACACATGGAACTTCTTTGAAATTACCTGATATAATTTATCTATAAACAAAACTCACATTTTAATACTAAGTTTATTCTGGTTATTTCACTGACAACCTGTATAATCGTAAAGAAATCACTTGAATTCTTTAAGCCTCAATTGTTTCATCTAAGAATAAATGGGAATAAAAAGTACCTCTATTTATCTTACAGAGATTTATAAAGATTACCTTATATCATCATTACAATCATGAAGGAGATGTCATTAGATGTTATATACACATTTTACAAACTAAGACTGCACTAAACTAGTAAGTGGCAAATGCAGGAATTGAATAGAGATGAATCTGGGCTTAAAACCTGGGTTCTTTCACATACCTCTCTGTGTCTTATTAAGTCATGAAGTCTGTATCTGCTTATTGCTTTATGGTTTACCAAGCATCGATGTTTTCCTACTTGGTCTAACAAATGCTCCGTGAGGGAATTAGACAACTGGCATTATATCCCTTTTTACAAAAAAAAAAAAAAAAAAAAAAAAAAGGAAAACTCAGGTGCAGAGAGAAAATGTGACTTGATTAAGATCCTATTACTAGTAAGTTAGGGGAAGTGAATTCTAAACTAGGTCTCGCCAACACTAAATTCTCTGCTCTTTCTGAAGAGAGAAAGAGGAAGAAAAGGCAAGAGTGATAGAAAGAACAAAAAATGTAAGACATAATTGGGGTTCAGAATCAAAATGAAAGTGAATTAAAGTAGAAAATATACAAACCAGCATTTGAGGAAAATGATTCTTGATTTCTACAATCCCCCAACTTTACCTCCAACTTAATGTGGCAGCATCAGTGCAAAACAGTAGGTGCTAAGTAATGTGATATGAATAAAGGAGCTCAGCCTCCCAAGGTAACTATGTTAAAGGTAGCAATTTTCATTTGTGCATTTGAGTCTAGAAACATTCTTCAAAATATAAGACTCATTACCACAGGACCATATAAAGTAGTTATAATTCAGCTCAAGATGTCCAACTTTTTAGAGTCATTTAACATCAATGTATTCCTAATATTGCCAACTGATTCATTAATGAATAGATCTCTCCTAGAACACAAATAATGATCTGTTATTAACTCTTTTGCACCATGTTTTTATTTGCTAATCACTCTCCTTTACATTTGAAATGAGAAAACAAGCTTTTCTTATTTTAGGCTAGTTCTTTTTAATCAAATACAACTAAATGTCATTTTATCCCCAATGTTCTTCAAATATGGACAGACACAGACACCACATTTCACAGGTCAAAGGGACATAACAGACTATTCCAATCCCTCCTTTTACTTATGAGGAAACCAAGGCCTGGAGAGGTTACCTGGTCGCTAGTTGGGGCAAAGCTAATAGTAAAATGTAGATCCTATGTCCTTTCCACATCATGTTGTAAACTTCCCCACTGAAATTACATAATCACATTGAAATAAAAACAATTGTTTCTTCAAAAAGTTTTCTCTTTCTTAATATGAAGATAGATACATATGGAAACATTGTTCCTATACAAGGATTCCTCCAATACAGTTAAAAACAACCAGTGTTCTACCAACCTAATTTTTTAAGTCTTTTAATTCAAACCTGCTAATTAAGTCTCCAAGAAAGATAATTATTTTGTATATGATTTAGTATAAATGTCCACCTATTATCTGTACCAGTTACTGATGAAGACTGACTTACTGACAGGTTATAGATTCCAATTTGATTTTGAAATTTAAAAATGATTTTTAAAATCATAGACTCATAGGTGGTTAGAGCAATCAGGACCCATGGAAATAATGCACATTTAATTCCTTTATTGTACATACTGTTCCACCTTTCTAAAGAATACATAGCTCTATACTTTCATACCTTTCAAATTTGATATCCTTTAAGACTCATCTCAGACTCCTCTCTGGAGTTGGAGATTGACAGAAATCAAGGCATTTGCCCAAGATCATCTTGCAGAGACTAGATAATTTTTTTTTAATCCAATCATTCTAATCATTGAAATTTTCACACTGTAACAACACTGTCGAAAATGAACATGAAAACATTTTTAGCCATAACAGTATGAGGGCAGATCTTAAAATTTCATTTTCCTAATGTTGCTTAGTCATTTTCAATCTGCAGAATATTTTTAATAGTAAGTTCCCATCTTAGTTTGGAAACAATATGGCCTGACTTCACTTTAAAACTTCATCCTATGAATCTTTTCTGGCAATTGCTAATTTGAATTTTTAGAATTGAAGTGCTTTTGAAAAAATTTTAGTTAAACTTCACCTATTTGCAACTAGTTTCATTTTGGAGTACTGAAATGTGCCAAGCACATGCTGAACTATATAGATTTTTTTTTCAGGAGGTAATTTAAAATGTTAGGCATTAATTAATCATCTGTATATTTATTGAGCATTCAGTGTAGAAGAGATGATAACAGGTAGATATTACATTATAGGCCTTCCAGTCTTGTGAGGGACTTTAGACATGCAAACAAACAGCTATAAGCCTAGTTAAAAAAAAAATCAGCAATGTAAGAAAGATATACATAGCATTCCATAAGGAGTCAAAAACCAGACATTTATTCCAGTCAGTGGCAAGATGGACTAAACTGGAGGAGGGTACAATTCAATTGATCTTTGAATGCTAAGCAGAACTCAGAGTTCATCCTATCTTCTCACTCTCCCATATACTCCAAACCCAACTGGTTACCAAATCCTGTTGATTTTACCATGTCTTGAATATTTCCACCCCCACTTTAATTTAGGCCCCCATATTCCCATGCTTTACTATTGAAATAGGCCCACAATTGATACCAATTCCTCTAATCTCACTTCTGATTTTTCTTACTACACTGTTAACAGGCTATACTATCTTACATAAAACTTTAGCATGTCACATCTGCATTTAAACCCCCTCAATGGCTCTCCAAAGCTACAGGATAGAGTCTAAACTTCTAGGCATAATGGGTAATATTCTTCATATTCTGGCCTTTGCATTTCTTTTCAACATTATCTCCCACTACTCTCAAAAATGAATTTTACAACGTATTTTCTAGCCATACAGAATATGTGAAATTGTCAAACATGCCAAGATGTCTCATGTCTTCTCTCACTTTTTTGCCTTGTTCCATCTTTGTCAAATTTTATTCTCAAACAATGAGGACAGCCCTAATATATCCACAGCATTGTTCTAAAAACTAGAAATACAACAGTGGGCCAAAGTAGATATGGTCTCTGATCTCATATAGTGATCCCCCAGAAATACAAACTACCATCAGAAAATACTATAAACACCTCTACACAAATAAACTAGAAAATGTAGAAGAAATGGATAAATTCCTGGACACACACACACACCCTCCCAAGACTAAACCAGGAAGAAGTCGAGTCCCTGAACAGACCAACTGCCTCTGAAATTGAGGCAGTAATTAATAGCCTACCAACCAAAAGAAGCCCAGGACCAGATGGGTTCACAGTCAAACTCTACCAGAGGTATAAATAGGAGCTGGTACCATTCCTTCTGAAACTATTATAAACAATTGAAAAGTTGGGACTCCTCCCTAACTCATTTTATGAAGCCAGCATCATCCTGATATCAAAACAGGGCAGAGAAAAGAAAACTTCAGGCCAATATCCCTGATGAACATCGATGCTAAAATCCTCAATAAAATACTGGCAAACCAAATCCAGCAGCACACCAAAAAACTTCTCCACCATGATCAAGTTGGCTTCATCCCTGGGATGTAAGGCTGGTTCAACATAATCCATCACATAAACAGAATCAGTGACAAAAACCACATGATTATCTCAATAGACTCAGAAAAGGCCTTTGATAAAATTCAACATCGCTTCATGTTAAAAACTCTCAATAAACTGTATTGATGGAATATATCTCAAAATAATAACAGCTATTTATGACAAACCCACAGCCAACATCATATTGAATGGGCAAAAGCTGGAAGTGTTCCCTTTGAAAACCAGTACAAGACAACAAGATAAGGATGCCCTCTCACCACTCCTATTCAACATAGTATTGGAAGTTCTGCAGGGCAATCAGGCAAGAGAAAGAAACAAAGGGGATTCAAGCAGGAAGAGAAGAAATCAATTTGTCTCTGTCTGAAGATGACATGACTTTATATTTAGAAAACCCCATCATCCCAGCACCAAAACTCAAGCTGATAAGCAATTTCAGCAAAGTATCAGGATACAAAATCAATGTGCAAAAATCACAAGCATTCCTTTACACCAACAACAGACAAGCAGAGAGCCAAATCATGAATGAACTCCCATTCACAGTCACTACAAAGAGAATAAAATACCTAGGAATACAGATAAAAATAATTTTTTAAGGACAAAAAAAAATTTTACTTCTCACAATATTAGACCGCTGGTAGGGTGTGAGAAAATAGTGATGACCTGAAGGCTTCCACTAGCGTAAAGCACCCAGTTAAGTAGAAACAACAGGCTGAATGGGCATCAGGAATGAAGAGTAATAATAACGACTATGTATGTTACATTTATGGAAGCTTATTTTATGACAAGCACAATGCTAAACATTTTACCATTCATTCATTTTATACATAGGCATAAAAACACACACATACACACTTTCAGTTAATTAAGTAATTCTCAAAGCTGTACTCTGAGGTAAGTCACTATTATTATCATCACTATTTTACAAAGAAAGGGAGGTTTAGGAAGAGTTAGGTAAATTGTTTGAGGTACAGCTAATGAATGGCAGAGATGGATTTCAAAAACAATTCTGTCTCCTGCCCACCTGCACAATTACCTACTTTGCTTTTTCACAGAAGTAGAATAAATTAGATGTGGTGAGTAGAGAAGTGAAATAAAAAATAATCACAAAGCATGCCATTTGGATAACTTGGAAGACAACAGATACAATTTACTATGCAATTACTATGCACCAGCACTCACTATGATAAACCCTTTAAAAAGTCAACTTTGGGAGGCCGAGGCAGGTGGATCACCTGAGGTCAGGAGTTCGAGACCAGCCTGACCAACATGGTGAAACCCCGTCTCTACTAAAAATACAAAAAATTACCCAGGCATGGTGGCGGGCGCCTGTAATCCCAGCTACTTGGGAGGCTGGGGCAGCAGAATCGCTTGATCCTGGGAGGAGGAGGTTGCAGTGAGCCGAGATCATGCCATTGCACTCCAGCCTGGGTGACAAGAGCGAGACTCCATCTCAAAAAAAAAAAAAAGTCAACTTAATTTAATTCTTACAACAGCCTGCAAGATGGATAATGTAATCCCATTTTACAGATGAGTATATTGGAGCCATTTACTTCAAAAAACATGATAGCACAATTAGAGATAGGCACAGAAATAAGCATTTTTCCCTACCTTCCATATCTCCCTCCCAGCTGCCACCTCTCAATTAGTGTTGTACTGGCCAAGAAGCAAATTCTTACTCCAGAAGAGAAAAAATTAAGAGCGTTAAAAAATACAGGCATTTTAAGAGAGAAAATCAGGCATTTTAAGAGAAACTTCTTGAAGAGGTTTAAGAATTTCATGTGGGAATAGAATAATTATTTATAGTAAACTTGGAACAGTGAAGTGAAGGGATTGCTGGGTACAGATTTTGAAGAGAATCTACAAATATAAGAAAAATTGATAGCTACTTAATGTAAGAGGGCTAACTATAGCAGCATTAATCCACAGTAAGATCAAGAAGGTTGGTTTGTAACAGTGCTTAAAAACACTAAGTTCTAAGTATACTTTTAAAAGATCATCCTAATCAAAAACATTGATTCATGTAAAAAACAAAAAAATAAATTAAATTACCTTCACTGTATATACAATTCATGGGGTTCAGCCTTTGGGAATATTGCGCCTCCAAACAAGGTCAACCTGGCAAATATTTGACAACAGAGGGATGCTCCTTTGACATAATTAGTAAGGTCAGTGTTAAGAGAGGGATGAGCTAGTATGACAAGTTTATTTGGACATTAAAAAAAAAAAAAATCACTAAAAAGAGTTCATAATGCCCCTGAAATGTTTGTAATTGCTAAGGCAAGCTATTGTTCTACCATTGTGTGCTGAATCACTCAAGACTATATTACTGACTTCTCTAAGGCTCTGCATGTTTTCTGTCTAACATGTCGACAACTAGAAATCTGTCACATTTGATATAGTTGTTAGACCTGAAATAAATTAGAACATGTAACTGTGAACACAGAAGTCCAACCTTATAGTTAGCTAACATTTTTTAACAAACATTTCTCCTACCAAAACCCTTGATTTATTATTGTCTTGTGAAGCTCGGTCAAGTATCTGTCTGCTAACACTTACTTTGTTTTATTGGTAACTATTATATGGGCTTATACAAAAGGGAAAAAACTCTCAGAAGCACATAAAAGTTTTACAACAAACAAAACAATTAATGCATTGCAATAAATTTATATCTCTTCCCATTTTATCAGAAGTATTGGTGTTACTATGATGACTCATTCTGCCTAATTCTGCAAATGTTTCCTCTTGTAGCTTAAATCCTTTCCTATTCACAAAATAAATCTTTACTTGTCATAAAAGTAAAATTTATTTTCTCTTCTTTTAAAGTATGTCCTTCAATTACATTAAATAATTGGAGTATTTATCATTCTTTGTGATAAATAGCTTTCACTCTTATGTGTAACATAGGATGTATTTAATCATAGTCCAAGTCACGTACAACAGAACTGTCACTTAATCTATTTACAGATAGAACGGCTAAATTAACACAAGTAGCTAATCTCAAAAATCTAATTTCACAGAGGTCTCTGTCCAAGACAATGCCAATCTGTCAGCGTCTTTTTTAAAAGACAAATAGTTTTTATCTACATTATCAAGAAATTCACATAACCCATACTGGACAAACACCAATGAACATACTAACTACTAAGAATGCTGGAGAGGTACTTTCTTTTAAGAATTACTAAATATATAGACTGTTTATAGTATTTGGAAAAACAATGTGAAAACAAAGAAATACTGAGCTCTTTAATCAATGTGTTCAGCAAATGCTCTTTTCAAAAAAATCTTTTTTGGCACAAGTCATTTTAGTGATGGCAGTTTCAACATGGTTCTAATATTAAATTCTTCTCATAAGCAATAATTAAATTAAAATAAATGATGGTAAGATTTTCTATGACTTGGCCTCCAAGTAACATTAATTTTACACAAATCAAAGCAGATCAATACATACAAGTGTTGGTGTACAACCCAGAGTGTCTATGTGTGCATGTGCAAACATGCATGTACAATTACATATATGCACATATGTGCATATTGCAGGGAGAAATAGAAACTTACATATTCCTGAAAATGTTTAAACATGTGACTTCAGATAGCACAAGTTTCAGACGTAGAAAAGGCCATACTATACCACCAGGAAATCCTTGTTAGGCAAGTTACTTAACTTCTCTGAGCCTCAGTTTCCTCGTGTGTAAATGGAAATAAATACACCATCCTAGTCCACATCACCAGGAAATTGGGATATGCAAATAAGACAATACACATGAACAAAATCTGAAAAAAGTAGTGTCATATAAATAAATAATATTATAAAACGGATTTTAATCAAAAAAATAATTATTCACAAAGGCCTAAATTCCAAAAAATTTTATGCTAAATCCTAAAGTAATTTAGCAATACAAAAGATATTTTATGGCTTCTGAATTTGAATAAACAGTAATAGAACCTTTGGTTGACAGAAGGTCTTTTAAAAAGGAGACTCTCGATAATACACTTCCAGCAGGAGAAATTTCAAAGAACTTAAAATTCAATAAAAATTACCGTTGTATATCTGAACTACGGCAAAATTAGTCCAACTATGCTGCGTTTCTTAAAACTAAGAAAACAACTTTGAATTAACTTTCATTCAAGCCCAAATTGAAAAAAAACAGCTTAACAGATGATTTTTTAAATGCTCTTTAAAAATATAGTTTCAAAATGTAAATATTACTTTTCTTTCTCGGATACTAATACTTTAAAAGACTTTGGTATTGCTCTTTAAAATTTTATCATACCACTAATCATAGTTTGGAATTTGTAAACAACTCCATGGAGGGACGATGAATTGAACAATAGGCCAATTTAACTATATTGGTACCCTGACTTATTACTAGAAACAGGCATTTGAAATATCTCAATTTTTTACTGACCAGAAAGACTTTATACAACTTTCAAAGTGGCCAGTTGACTTAAATGAAGTAATATTCATACTAAGATCAATTAATTACTTTAACAGTAAAATTGTTTGTTCTTATGTCAGTCTTCTCCTTTAAAAAAAAAAAGTCTTTCTTAAGAGGGAATCAAACTATTTGTTTGCCAATGATATGATCTTATATACAGAAAAACCTAAACTATCTTTCAAAAGACCCCTAGATTTGATAAATGAATTCAGTAAAGTCTCACGTTACAAAATCAATGTATATACATCAGCAGCACTGCTGTACATCAATAAGCTGAGAATTAAATGAAGAACTCAATCCCTTTTACAAGAGCTGCAAAAAAAACGAAAACAAAGAAACTTAATATATTAACCAAGGAGGTGAAATATCTCTACAAGGTGAGCTACAAAACACTGCTAAAAGAAATCATAGATGACACAAAGAAATGGAAATACATCCTACGTTCATGGATTGGAAGAATCAATATCATGAACATGACCATACTGCCCAAAGCAGTCTATATATTAAATGCAACTGCTATCAAAATACTAATGTTATTCATCATAGAATTAGAAAAAACAATCCTAAAATTCATATGGAACCAATAAAGAGCCCGAATAGTCAAAGCAATCCTAAACAAAAAGAACATATCTAGAGGCAACACATTACTTCAATTTCAATTATATTATAAGGCTATAGTAACCAAAACAGCATGATATTGGTGTAAAAGTAGAAACACAGACCACTGGAACAGAATAGAGAACCCAGATGTCAAGCCAAGTACTTAACAACCAACTGATCTTCAACTAAGCAGACAAAAATGTAAACTGGGGAAAGGGGCACCCTATTCAAGAAATGGTATGAAAATTGGAAAGCCACATATAGAAAAATGAAACTGGATCCCTATTTCATTTCAGACCAACTCAAGACAGACTGAAGACTTAAATCTAAGACCTGAAACCATAAAAATTCTAGAAGAAAACCTAAGAAAAATTCCTCTGGACATCAGCCTAGGCAAAGAATTTATAACAAAGAATGCAAAGGCAAATGCAACAAAAGCAAAAATAAATAAATGAGACCTAACTAAACTAAAATGCTTCTGCACAGCAAAAGAAAAAATCATCAGAGTAAACAGACAACCTAGAGAATGAGAGAAAATATGTGCAAACTATGCAACCAACAAAGGACTAACATCCAGAATCCACACGGAACTCGAAAAAATGAGCAAGAAGAAAACAATCCCATTAAAATGCAGGCAAATATCATGAATAGATTATTTCTCAAAAGATGATATACAAATGGCCAAACATAGAAAAAAATGCTCAACATCACTAATCATAAGGGAAATGCAAATTAAAATAACAATGAGATACCACCTTACCCCAGCCAGAACAGCATTATTATAAAGTCAAAAAACAATAGATGCTAGTGTGAATGTGTGGAAAAGGGAAAACTTATACATTGCTGGTGGAAATGTAAATTAGTATAACCCTTATGGAAAACAGCATGGAGATTTCTCAAAGAAGTAAAAGTAGATCTACCATTCAATTCAGCAATCCTACTACTGGGTATCTACCTAAAAGAAAAGAAATCATTGTATCAAAACAATACCCGCAAAAAGGATACCTACATGCATATGTTTATTGCAGTACAATTCGCAATTGCAAAGATAGGGAATCAACCTAAATGCTCATCAACCAAAGAGTGGATAAAGAAAATGTGGTATATATACCATGGAATACCACTCAACCAAAAAAAATGAAGAAAAAAATGTCTTTTGCAGCAACTTGGATGGAATTGGAGATCATTATTCTAAGTAAAGTAACTCCGGAATGGAAAACCAAATACTCCATGTTCTCCCTTATAAAGGGAGCTAAGCTATGGGTGCATAAAGGCAGACAGAGGGGTATAACGAACACTGGAAACTCAGAAGACGGAGGTTAGGAGGCGGGTGAGGGTTGAAAAAAAAAACCTATTGGGGCACAAGGTACACCTATCACCAAGTGATAGGTACACTAAACTCTGAGACTTCACCACTATACAATTCATCCACGTGGATAAAAACCACTTGTACCCCTAAAGCTAGTGAAATAATTTTTTTTAATCTTTCTTTCTGACAGTGGTCAAAAAATTTAAAAATAAAATAATCTTTTATTTTTTTCTTTTTCAACAAAGATATATTTTCCTTATTAAAAAATGTATTTGTCTTCTATGAAGTTAAACTCATCTACATATGTCATCATGCTTGGTCACAGTTCTGTTACCTTGATAGTTTCAACCGCAGAATGAAAGTAAATAGCCAGACATGGTGGCTCATGCTTGTAATCCCAGCACTTTTGGAGGCCAAGGCAGGTGCATCACCTGAGGTCAGGAGTTCGAGACCAGCCTGACCAACATGGTAAAACTCCATCTGTACTAAAAATACAAAAAATTAGCCAGACATGGTGGCAGACGCCTGTAATCCCAGCTACTCAGGAGGCTGTGGCAGGAGAATTGCTTGAACCCAGGAGGTAGAGGTTGCTGTGAGCTGAGATCGCACCATTGCACTTCAGCATGGGCAACAAGAGCAAAACTCCATATATTAAGAGAGAGAGAGAGAGAGAGGAGAGAGAGAGAGAGAAAAAGAAAGAAAGAAAGAAAGAAAGAAAGAAAGAAAGAAAGAAAGAAAGAAAGATCAACCATCAAAGCAAGTAAAGTCCTTGAAAGAGGGCACTATGTAGTAAGTTAAATGACAGAGCTATTTTGGAGACTGGGAGAAGGAATCAAATAAAACATAAAGGGATTGCAAACCGGTATTGTGGGCAACCTTGAACAAAATAGATAACCCTAAGAAAAAAAGATTCAAGTAGGAAACAATCTTATAATAGAAAAATACAAAGAATACATTAGGGATAGTTAATGTGTAGGATTTAAATGTCAAACTAAAGAGTCTGGACTTTAATTTACAGCCAATATTCTTTAGAGATCCTGTGCCAAGGGGAGTGATATAATTTGAATGAAATGAAACATAAAAACTTGAACATGGGATATAGTTATAGCAATTTTTTATATTGGATTTCTTTTTTCTCAGAGTCATCCTGAAAATAGCTAATGATATGATTTTCGGTACACACAGATAAACCTTTGGAGATGTCAATTTGTTGAGATCACAGTTCTAACAGTATATAAACAATTATGGAATGGGGGTGGAAGGTGATATGGTTTGGATCTGTGTCCCCACCCAAATCTCATGTTGAATTGTAATCCCTAGTGTTGGAAGTGGGGCCTGGAGGGAGGCAATTGGATTATGGGAGTGGTTTCTAATGGTTTAGTACCATCCCCCTAGTGATGTTCTCATGATAAGAGTTCTTACAAGATCCGATTGTTTAAAACTGTCTGGCACCTCCACCTTCTCTCTCTTCCTCCTGCCCTGGCAATGTAAGATGTGCCTGCTTGCCCTTAGCCTACTGCTATGACTGTAAGTTTCCTGAGTTCTCCCCAGCCATGCTTCCTGTATAGCCTCCAGAACTGTGAGCCAAAAGAACTTCTTTTCTTTATAAATTACCCAATCTCAGATATTTCTTTATAGCAGTGTGAGAACTGACTAATACAGAGGGTAAACATCTATATAAATATATCCTTTAAAGAATTTGGAGTCATGGAAGGAAAACTTCTAAATTCAATGAGAAGTATAGTGTTGTATTCTCCTGAGATAGAATGGCTTAAAATCCAGTGGAATTTAGTAATTAGTCTAAAAGTTTAGTCTTCTTATACTAATGCTGAAAGCCTAAGATTTTAATTATAAGCAGACATAAGAAAAAGATAAAGTACTAAGATTGTACAGATAATAAAAGAATAATGCAATATTATGAAAAAGTCTACACACATAAAGTCAACAACTTAGCTGAAGTGAACAAATTCCTTGTAAAACACAAACTATCAAAATTTACTCAGAGAAGAAACAGCTAATCTGGGATTTCTCAATCTTGGCACTACTGACATTTGGGGCCAGATAATTCTTCGTTATCAAAGGCTGTCCTGTGGATTATAGGGTATTTAATAACATTAGTGGTCTCTACTATTGAGATACCCTAAAAAGCTCTACATCTATTTTTAAAATTGAGTTGATGGTTAAAAACCACCTAATAAAGGAAAGTCCAGTTCCAGATAGCTTCAACAGTGAATTCTATAAATTCTAAGACTTAATGAAGAAGTATAACCACTATTACAAAAATATCTTCCAAGAAATAGTAGAGGAGTGAATATTTCCCAATTCATTGTATGGGATCAACATTACTCTGATACACAAATCAAACACATTATAAGAAAATTACAGATCAATAACCTTCACAGAACATAGATGTAAAAATGTGCAAAAAAAAAAAAGGCAAATCAAATGCATTAATATATAAAAGGAATAACTACATTGTGGTCAAGTGGGGCTAATCCCAGGAATGCAAGGCTGGTTCAACATTCAAAATCAACTATTATTTTGGAATTGTTGCAATAAATATGATTCCAAAATAAGTAGATATTCACTTAAAGCCTGGAAAACTTTTTGATACATCAAGTTGTATATTGCAGAATGTGTTATCATTTATTGTCAGACAATATTAATTCTGCATTCATAATGCAAACTATCAAGTATTATATGACATAATCTTAAGACGAGATATCACAAGATACCAAAGACATGATCTCAGAATGAAAACCTCATCAGGAGAAGACACACAGATAGACACAAAAGAAACTTTAGTTGCCTATGTTTGATGTAAAACATAGTAACTCAAATAACTTGAGATTATCTGGTTAATCATTATTTTAAAAAGGCTTTAAATATATAAACACTGAGTATACCAAACAGAGGTCAGGAACAGGCTGATGAAAAATAATAATTATTAAAATATTAACCTCAGTTTAAGAAAATTCTTATTACCTTTGCTAAGGGAGGAAAATTAGGCAGAAACAACTAGCACTTTATGTTAATTGTTTTAGGTATTTTACAGTCAGAACACAATGCTAAGCTCTTTTCTGACTACTAGTTTTCACAATAGGCTTAAAAATAAATCAACTTTGCCTTTCAGGAGTTTATCTAATTTCAGACTTGAAGTTTTGGTTACTTCTTAAAATATTTCCGTGCCAAAAGAACTCATCCATAATATATCACCACTTGCTTATAATACTTGGAGTTCATAATTAGACACTAGATTACTAACCATAGAACCTGAAAATATACAACAGATTTATATCCATGTACAGTTTTATATAAAGATTTTTTAAATTGAAAAGATACTATTATTGACTACATGTTGTACTGAAAAAAAACCTTTTGGAAGATGCAACCCTTAAAAGGTAGATTTCTTTACATTTATATAAAGCATAAATAAAACTCAGATCTTCTATTTTAATCCCTTCAACTTCTATTTTGGGATTTTTTTAAATCTTCCTATTTTAGTTGACTATTAAATTCTCAGGAACATCCAAAGTACAAAAAGCTGTAAAAACAAGGAGAAAGAAAGGGTAATTTAAATTACCTTGATACTCAAATCAGATAAAGATATTATAAGAAAAAAAAACTTTCACAAACTTCAATTTATATATAGTTAATATTTGGTTTTAAATAAAAATTTTAAATAAAAGTATTGTAATCAATATTGAAATTCTACAGGAAATTGCAAAATCATTCATGCCAGTTCCATTCTAAAAAACAATTTATAAAAAAGGGATAAGTTTAAAATACAAACCTTATAATAATCATATGAAAGAAGTATCATTTGCCTTCTAGGAGATACACAGTATCTCCCTGCTGTCAAGCAAACTTATTAGTAGGCTCAGTGTTATAACTCCATTATACAGTATAATGTAAGTGAAACCTAGGATAAGGCTCATTAGTGCCAGTTTACACATGTTACTTTGGTTGAACAAGTTATAACTAAAGCAAACGAGCTAAGTACATAAAATATTGCCTTATTCCATGATTACAAATGTTTTTTAAAAGATCAGTTAATTTTGCTAACATTTTAATTTGTATTAATTTACAATTCTATCTAAGTAAACATTGTCTCCCTCATCTATCATTATAATTTACCTATGTTTCGATACATTCCTAATTCAGTAGAAAATTATTAAACACTTCATATATAAGCATCATACTAAGCTTTTTATTTAATAATATGGCCACATGACTTCAAGCAAGTCACTTTATCTTGCCTGAAGGTAAAATTTATACCTTAATTTTCTCAATGATAAGGCCAGGAGTTTCAAAACGACAATCTCTTCACATTCAAATAATTTGTAATTCTAAAATAATTCTAAAATAAGATAAAAACATGTCTGAACATAAATTAAGAACGATCTTCTTTGCACTCTTAATAGAGTTACGTAGTCTTGAAATAACTCATTTAACTTAACACCATGACAAGTAAATTGGAATTTACATCCAAAGAGTAGACAAAAACTTAACAAATGTTTGAAATGATTCTGCCTACAACTTCTGAGAATAATAATTGACCTCTATTCATTATTTATAAAAATATAAATTCTCTTTGTTATTGTAAGGAATTTTATCTATATTCTAAATGCAAAAAGACACCATACATTTCCCCTCTCTAGGTTATAGTCACAAGCAAGAGAAGAACTATTAAGAGAAATTAGAAGCCAAAGATTTCTCTTTATGAGGAGTAATCTTAAAACCATTACTAATAAACAGCACTAAATCAACTTTTGAACAACTATTGATCAAGAAAAAATTAAAGTAGTCAATAAAGTATAATCACCACTTAAAAGCAGATCAACAGCATTAACTCAAAATACAGAGCACTCTATGGAACTCTAGCAGGAGCCCTGAAAAAAACAAATTATAAATCAATAGCATTGCAAATATATATGAAGTCTGTTTCAATGAATTTTGTAGTAATGGCTTCATAACTAAGTACTATCACAATGAAAACACAGCTGATTGTGATCAACTTACTTCCTTCATTTTGTTGAAATTTCGATTACAATGTTATCTGAACAAATTATAAAATACTCTTGTATGGCTCCTAGTGAAATTTTACAAAATGTGAGATTGACTGTATTGGCTAACTAATCACCACAGGGAATCATCAAATGGACATGATTCACTCATGAAAGCTTACTCTTGTAACTATTCACCAGTTGTAAATTTCAATTGATAAAGTACTCGCATAGTCAAGAGGGTTTTTAAACTGGCCTGTGTTATTTACTACCACTTGCTCCATGGTTAATTGAGATTCTGATAAATTCAGATTTGTTCACATTTGTCAAAGTAGGTATTTGAAAAAATGCTACAAGAAGTTTATAAAAAAAAACTACATTATTCCAATTAGTGCTTTAGCTAAAATCCTTGGCAGTATTTCATGGTATCTTTCTTCAAAAATAATATTTGATATTGACTTTAGACATAATCCTATATTTATCTATTATAACATTCTGTAGGCTTTGTTCCATTCTTTGGGAAATAAAAAATGAAGATACACAAGACAGAATGTCATTACATTCAACACACAAAAATCTCATTTTGTAGTTCAAATTAGTAGTGACTTTGTAGCAATTTTTATATGCTCAAATTTCAAAACAGTATGTTAAAGAAAGAAATGAATCATGGAATTGTGAATTAACACTATTTAATATTTCCTGTGGGCTTCTGAAGGAAATGAAAATTCAACAACATATTTATTGGCAAAGTATTTAAGTCAGTTTATAATATTATATGTTTTTGCTTTATTCCAAGTTCAAATGTGTTCTAGAAAATGAAACAACAAAATAAGCTACACACCTACATCACACATTGAACACATTATGGTAAACGATATTTTACAAATGTAAACATTAAAAGTTACCTAGGATGAATAGATTACTAAAAATAGGCTTAGATATTTTTATGCCACTATTTAAATGAATAATCACAGTTTCCTTTAGGAAATAAACATTATTATGTTACACATAAAGGAGTTCGTAATGACACTTTCCAGTATAAGAAGAGAACAGAAGAACTGGCACCTATACTTATACCATTTACATTGGCTTTGGGGAAATAATAATAAAAACTATGCTACCAAAGACGTTCCAAAAGGTATGGTTTAGCTAAATGAGTGTACGCAGGGCAGCAAAACTCTAAAACTAGGCAGATGATTACTTCAGGTGAGTTCTAACATTAGCTTTGAAACTGATACGATATATATCAATTTTTGAATGATAGTACATACCTTCCTGTTTCTTCAGTACTTAGATTCAACAATTACTTACTGTTAAAAATATTAAAATATTATAAGCTAGTAAGTAAACATTTGGACATGAGTCAATTTTTAAAACATTTGTTCATTATCATTAATTACATCAACTCTTCATTCAGAGCAATAAAATTTCAGTAAATGAATAATATCTGACTTGACATTTTACATTCTTAAAAATCCAAATAAAAAGTCAAAGCTATTTCATAATTTTCATTGTTAATAATTACAACAAATGTAATACTATATATGCCTTGGTTTAAGACTTTGTCAGAGTATTAAAATATCTGTTTGATATGTTTGAATTTTTTTCAAATAATATATGTGATTCATGTATAGTTTGGTGAAGCAAATGTCAGCAATAGGCTGGTTCAACTATGATATGTCCCAAAATGTCTTTCCATTTAAAAAGCTAATTGGATAAAATTTTGTAATGTGATATTCACTATATTTTTAAATGCCACAAAAACTAGTGGAAAGAAAGGCAATGAATAGAATTTCAACCTGATCTACTGGCCATGAGCCAGGGGTGAGGGAAACCTCTAAGAGTACATGGCTAGTGGTGAAACATGTCCAAAAGAACAATGCTTGCGTATTTAAATAATATATTCTCAAGCACTATAATCTCCAAAGACCTTTTCATATCAGAAGATACATTTTAAAAATTTATTTTTTAGGAAATTTATTAGAAAATTTTTATTTTCTTAAAAATAAAATGTATTTTCTTTTGAAATTACAGAATACTTTTTGTTGTTACCATTTGCAACATTTCAAATAATAAATAACAATGAAAAGTTCATTGTAATTTTCATCTCCTCCATCCAGCCTGCCCAATATAAACTTAGAAGTGCTTCTTTTTCATACCTTGTTCTATACAGGAGCAAACATAAACATATTCATTTATGCATACATATATTTTTCCCTATAAAGATAACAAAATAAAATTATACTATATGTCTAGTGTTGCAAGTATGTGGTGACTATGTTTCTATTATTTTAATATAAGATGGACATCGGTCCGTGTTAAAAAAAAAAAAAAAAGCACAAACATTTATTGTGTTCTTATGTACCAGGTACTGTCCAATACGCTTTCCCCTTTTCAGTCCTTCTTAATGACCCTGAGTTATACATTATTAATATCACATACCTCCCCTACGAGATCTACCTCATCCATTTTAAAAGTTATATGGTATACCAATGTACAATCTTACTATTGAATTTAAGCACTTCATAAGTGATGAATTTTCAAACATTCTAAAAATCTCTAGCAACTTAACAACAAAGATACTCAAAGCTCAGCTGTGATTTATTTATTTGGTCAGAGAAGGCCATAGCACTGGGATAATTATCAAACTCACCTACTTTTGTTCAGAACAACTTCTGGATTACTGGATAAATTTAGTTAATTTTATATTTACTAATTTTTAATTTTAAATAGCTATCATATCTCACAGAAATTTGAAGCTTTCTATTATTTACTTCTAAGAAGTTTCCAGGAAAGATTTGTTTAAGGTTATTCCAGTTTAATCAAGCTCATGAAGAAAAACATTGCTTTTATATTTTTAAGAAGTTTCTTTATAAGTATATTAACACTGTAGTTATTTTATATTATGTGATTAAGGAAATGAAGGTATGTGTTTGACAGTGATTTAGTATAAAAATAGAGATTAACTCATTCGTGCATATCTTCACAGGTTCCACTACCCTAAGCTACCAAAGAATCCTCTTGCTATTAACAGATACATTATGAACATATATTAAACTTACTTAATCACAGCATCCTCTTTTTTAAAAAAAAATGTTATATTACAATAGTGGCTGGTAAAATTAAAAGGTAATTATTAAAGAAACAAATATATTGTTTTTTAATAAAAATTAACAGCATTATTATCAAACTAAATATGATCAAGTTTTTAAAACTTCCTTCTCACTTTAACCTTCACTATTTTCACCTATAACACAGTACTATATATTTTTGTATATGATGAAAAACTAGGCATTTATAGTTATCTATAATTAAGTCAAGTAAGCTTTGTGAAATACACTATTTTTATCCCAAGGGGTTAACCAGTAAAATAACTTTTATTGTAACTATAAAATTCTAAGTCATAAAATTAACTCTCCAAACAAATCATAAATAATGCTGTAAAGAAAGATTATTAAGATATATACAAAAAAATTCTGAAGACATAAAATCATTTTTTGTTGACTAAAATATTTTGCAAATATTGATAATACACAAAATCCCATTATATAGGTTGGCTATACTTGCTGTTCTTATAATATTCTCTCATTCCAATCAGCTTTTCAAACTCAATCATTTCCCTGAAACATCTTACAAAATCAGCAATGACTTCTATTTAAGCAAAATACAGTTCTTATCTTACTTGACCATGGCATTTATTATAGTGGATGATTTGTTCCCTGAATTACTGTCTTTCCTGGCCATAGCTTTAAACAGTTTCTATGGCCTAACCTTTCATTTGTTCATTAGAACCCCAAACCCAAAGATACCATGTTTAACATTTCTCTATTTGGATTTCTACTATGCATCTAAAACTTAACATTGCTAAACAGGACTCATAATTCCACTACATATTTATAAAAATGAATGCACACATATATTTTAAAAATATATGTATATATATTAGATACGTGTGTATATTTATATATTTATTTATATATTAATTATATCTCCCCAAATACATCAGAAACTCCATGAAAACATAGATATTTTCATGTTAACTGTTATATCTTCAAGGCTGCGAACAAGACCTGAAACATGATTAAAGCTCTAAAAATATTTATTAAGTGAATAAATAAATAACATACAGAATTAGAATAATTCACTTTGCTTTGGCCTGGGACTTTAGAATACAAGATAAAACAATTTAAAACCTAAAAGCATCAAAGGGAAATAATCAATCCATTATTTTACTTCTAAGTGGATTAAAGAACAATCAACATATTTCTTTTGTTTCACCGCAAACTGAAGTTGATCCTGAACTATCACTAATAAAATTGATGGCAACAGCTACTAATTGGTTGACAGTTATAATATACTAGTAACTTTTGAAGATGATTTGTATATATTTAGTCTATTCTAAAAGATAACTTTTATTATCTATCCAAATATTAACAATAACTTATAAGCACAGGCACAGAAACCAAGGCTCAAGACCAAGCAATTTGCCCAAGCTTTTAAGGAAGCAGGGCTGGGATTTGAACCCAAAACAGTCTAATGAAAAATTAAATATTGTTTAAAAAAAAATCTGTACTCTAGCTGCCTTTCTTTTTAATTCTAGTGTTTCGTTATTTAAAATGGGATTCAATTTAATCCAGAAAACAATCAGTGAACAGCTATTTACCATACATTATATTAAACAAATATAGAAAAGATATGATCCCTGGTTCTACAGAGTTTATATATAATTTAAGGGACCACTGTAGATTGACTTCAAAATTAGAAAACAGTTAAAGACTCTATATAAAACAGTAACCTTATAATTTTTAAAAATGCAATATCCATTTTCTTATATATGTTAACATTCAACACATTATGTAAAATGTGGATTAGGTGGGACTCATAATTAAAAATAAACTTTCAATATATTTCCTTTACTCAGGAACTGTCTATCAGACCATTCTCAATGATCTGGTATTTTCCTTGGATACATGCAATAGCAAATAGCTTTCATGCAACACACATATACTCCTAGAGGCCTACTCTGTAGAGAATATAAAATATCCTTTATTTTTCATTTTTAACTAGTCCTTATTATTTAACATTTTCCTTTCGCATAAGAACAGATATGGACATATCTGCAAGTTATTAAGTGATATATTAACATAGCATTAACTTTAATCAATCATAATTTTTGAAATTTTAAAATGTTTCAATATATAGTAATACATAATGCTTGTTGATAATTGTAAGCTAAGTACTGTACTAAGTATTTAAACGTGTTATCCTTCAGAAATAAGAAACTCACTCAAAACTGCACAACTACATGGAAACTGAACAACCCACTCATGAATGACTACTGGGTAAATAATGAAATGAAGGCAGAAATAAAGATGTTCTTTGAAACCAATGAGAACGAAAACACAACGTACCAGAATCTCTGGGACACATTTAAAACAGTGTGTAGAGGGAAATTTATAGCATTAAATGCCCACAAGAGAAAGCAGGAATGATCTAAAATTGACACTCTAACATCACAATTAAAAGAACTAGAGAAGCAATAGCAAGCAGTTTCAAAAGCTAGCAGAAAACAAGAAATAACTAAGATCAGAGCAGAACTGAAGGAGATAGAGACACAAAAAACCCTTCAAAAAAATCAACGAATCCAGAAGCTGGTTTTTCGAAAAGATCAACAAAACAGATAGACCGCTAGGCAAGACGAGTAAAGAAGAAAAGAGAGAAGAATCAAATAGACACAATAAAAAATAATATGAGGGATATCACCACTGATTCCACAGAAATACAAACTACCATCAGAGAATACCATAAATACCCCTACACAAATAAACTAGAAAATCTGGAAGAAATGGATAAATTCCTGGACACACACACCCTCCCAAGAGTAAAACACGAAGAAGTTGAATCCCTGAATAGACCAATAACAAGTTCTGAAATTGAGGCAGTAATTAACAGCCTACCAACCAAAAAAGTCCAGAACCAGACGAATTCACAGCTGAATTCTACCAGAGGTACAAAGAGAAGCTGGTACCATTCCTTCTGAAACTATTCCAAACAAAAGAAAAAGAGGGAATCCTCCCTAACTCATTTTATGAGGCCAGCATCATCCTGATACCAAAACCTGGCAGAGACACAACAAAAAAAGAAAATTTCAGGCCAATATCCCTGATGAACTTCAATGCGAAAATCCTCAATAAAAAAATGGCAAACCAAGTCCAGCAGCACATCGAAAAGCTTATCCACCACGATCAAGTCGGCTTCATCCCTGGGAAGCAAGACTAGTTCAACATATGTAAAATAATAAACATAATCCATCACATAAACAGAACCAATGACAAAAACCAAACGATTATCTCAATAGATGCAGAAAAGGCCTTCAACAAAATTCAACAGCCTTTCATGCTAAAAACTCTCAATAAACTAGGTATCTAAGGGACGTACCTCAAAATAATACAAGCTATTTACAACAAACCCACAGCCAGTATCATATGGAATGGGCAAAAACTGTAAGCATTCCCTTTGAAAACCAGCACAAGACAAGGATGCCCTCTGTCACCACTCCTATTCAACACAGTATTGGAAGTTCTGGCCAGGGTAATCAGGCAGGAGAAAGAAACAAAGGGTATTCAAACAGAAAGAGAGGAAGTCATGTTGTCTCTGTTTGCAGATGACATGAGCGTATATTTAGAAAATCCCATCATCTCAGCCCAAAATCTCCTTAAACTGATAAGCAACTTCAGCAAAGTCTCAGGATACAAAATCAATGTGCAAAAATCACAAGCACTTCTATACACCAATAACAGACAAACAGAGAGCCAAATATTGAGTGAACTCCCATTCACAATTGCTACTAAGAGAATAAAATACCTAGGAATACAACTTAGAAGGGAAGTGAAGCACCTCTTCCAAGGAGAAATACAAACCACTGCTCAAGGAAACAAGAGAGGACACAAACAAATAGAAAAACATTCCATGCTCATGAATAGGAAGAATCAATATCGTAAAAATGGCCATACTCCCCAAAGTAATTTATAGATTCAATGCTATCCCCATCAAGCTACCACTGACTTTCTTCACGGAATTGGAAAAAACTAGTTTAAACGTCATATGGAACTAAATAAGACCCCGCATAGCCAAGACAATCCTAAGCAAAAAGAACAAAGCTGGAGGCATCACCCCACCTGACTTCAAACTATACCACAAGGCTACAGTAACCAAAACAGCATGGAACTGTTACCAAAACAGATATATAGACCAATGAAACAGAACAGAGCCCTCAGAAATAACACCACACATCTACAACCATCTGATCTTTGACAAACCTGACAAAAACAAGAAATGGAGAAAAGATTCCCTATTTAATATATGGTGTAGGGAAAACAGGCTAGCCCTAGGCAGAAAACTGAAACTGGACCCCTTCCTTACACCTTATACAAAAATCAACTCAAGATGGATTAAAGATTTAAACATAAGACCTAAAACCATAAAAATCTTAGAAGAAAACCTGGGCAATACCATTCAGGACATAGGCAAGGGCAAAGACTTCATGACTAAAATACCAAAAGCAATGGCAACAAAAGCCAAAATTGGCAAATGGGGTCAAATTATAATAAAGAGCTTCTGCACAGCAAAAGAAACTATCAGAGTGAACAGGCAGCCTACAGAATGGGAGAAAATTTTTACAATCTATCCATCTGACAAATGACTAATATCCAGAATCTACAAAGAACTTCAACAAATTTACAAGAAAAAAACAAACAACCCCATCAAAAAGTGGGCAAAGGATATAAACAGACACTTCTCAAGAGAAGACATTTATGCAGCCAACAAACATACGAAAACATGCTCATCAACACTGGTCATTAGAGTAATGCAAATCAAAACCACAACAAGATATCATCTCACACCAGTTAGAATGGCAATCAGTAAAAAGTCAGGAAACAACAGATGCTGGAGAGGATGTGGAGAAATAGGAATACTTTTACACTGCTGGTGGGAGTGTAAATGAGTTCAACCATTGTGGAAGACAGTATGATGATTCCTCAAGGATCTAGAACTAGAAATATCATTTGACCCAGTAATCCCATTACTGGGTATATACCAAAGAATTATAAATCATTCTACTATAAAGACACATGCACACACGTATGTTTATTGCAGCACTATTCACATTAGCAAAGGCTGGAACCCACCCAAATGTCCATCAATGATAGACTGGATAAAGAAAATGTGGTACATATACACCATGGAATACTATGCAGCCTTAAAAAATGATGAGTTTATGTCCTTTGCAGAGACATGGATGAAGCTGGAAACCATCATTCTCAGCAAACTAACACAGGAACAGAAAACCAAACACCACATGTTCTCACTCATAAGTGGGAGTTGAACAATGAGAACACATGGACACAGGGAGGGGAACATCACACACAGGGTTCTGTCAGGGGGTGAGGTACTAGGGGAGGGATAGCATTAGGAGAAATACCTATTGTAGATGACGGGTTGATGAGTATGGCAAACCACCATGGCACGTATATACCTATGTAACAAACCTGCACGTTCTGCATGTATACCCCAGAACTTAAAATACAAAAAAAAAAAAAATTAAAAATTAAATAAATAAATAAACGTGTTATCTTTAGTATTAGCAAAAAATTACTTAAAATTTATTGTGACTCATTGATATCCCTGTGTACATATGTATACAGACCATATGTTTTATAATCGACTACTCATTCCTCTGGGCATACATATTTTTCTTTATTATTTATCTTGACTTTTCATTATTTTCTAGCTCCACAGGACAAAGAGGAAAGGAGAGAAAACAAATTGGCATCAGTCAATATTATTACCTCCCAGTGGCTACTGTCAGAGTTGAGAAGTAGAAAACGAAACCTAGCAAAAAATCTGAAAGATTTAACGTGCATGTACATTTCATTTATTCATGTTTTTACTCTCTTTACCAACAATAACTGAAAATAAACTGATAACAAACACTTAATGGCAGTTGTCAGAGTTCATTTTTCTTATTTAAGTCCTAGAGTCTACCAGTCGAAAACCTAAAAAAATTAAAATACCAGTACCACAGGACTGGGGAAATTGGTATTTCAAATATACTATTCTTTTCATTTGTATTTCTTATCAAAATCACCTTGTTCCTACCTCACTTTTTGTCATCTCAGAAAACAAGACTACTAAGAAATTGCATACTAATTCTTAAGAGGGAAGTAGTACAAAGAAAGGTTGAAGAGAAGTACAAAGAAAAGGTTGCCATAGTTTGTTAAATATGTTTCTGATAAACACTAGCATCCTTAAACGACAGAGGTTTCAGGCCCTTCTTAGTTCTAGTCCTTATTTAAAAATAGTTCTCATTGACTAGACCAAACAAGTCAAAAGGGAAGGAAAAGCAGACAACTAATTACAGTTTTAGATTACTTTTTCAAAAGTAATAAATAAAAACAGACTATATTTTAGACAGCTCTAGTTTCACAACAAAATTGGCCAGATTATTTTTAATTCGCTTCTGCTGAATCCAGGATTGTTCAAAGATTAAGGTGATAGCAGTGATATCAGAGAGAAAACATTTTAAAATGTCTGTTATATAAAATTATAAAAACACATCAATTTGAAAAGGATGCATAGGAGTCAAGGGTTCATTTGCTCATTCATTCACTCAACAACAAAACATAATTTGTACTCTTACAGAACATTATGGTCTACCATAGTACTCAGACAAGACAATATAGATTCCTGGTTTAACAACTGAGTAGGATTATAGCTTTGTTAACTGAAAAGTGGAAGGTATGGGTGAGGAGATAATAAAGATCCCAACTTTAGACCATTTGAGTTTCTCAGGGGTACTTAATATCATCATTCATCAAGTAAATACAAATTAATACCAATGACATACCATACACCAGAAAGGATAACATTAAAAAATATTGTCAATGCTAAGTCGCATTGCATATGTGAAACAACTGGAACTCTCATACGCTGCTGATACAAATGTAAAGAGATTCAACCACTTCATAACACTGCTTGGCTCTATTTCCTAAAGTGAATCAATAATTCTACTATTAGCTATATGCTCCTGGAAAACGAGTGCCTATGACCACCCAAAAAATACATATGAGGATGTTCATATGAGCTTTATTCATAATAAACAAAACTAGAAAATATCCACAAGCCCATCAACAGGAGAATGGACAAATAAATTGCTGTATAGCCATATAATAGATTACTGCAATTTTAAAAAAGAATGAACTACTAATCCCATCAACAATATAGATGACTATCACAAACATGTTGAATGCAGAAAGCCAGCCATAAATTAGTTTATGATTTCATGTGAATGAAATTCAAAAACAAGGAAAAGAAAGTGACAGAGTAAGAAAAGTAGTTATGTTTGAGACAGGCTTTCTGAGTGAGAGATGTTACATATCTTCATTTGAGTAGTAATTACAAGAGGGTATTCATTTAAAAAATCATAGAATGGTACACTTAAAACGTCTGTATTTTTATACATGCATTCTAGACTTCACTTAATAAAAAACTGTTACAGAAAAAATAACGCATAATGAAAAATTAACAGAGGGTAAATATAATATGTATTTAAGCCATACAAATAGGGGGAAAAACATAAGATTATAGACTTCAACCCACATTGATCAGTGACGATATTAAACGCAACTGAACTAAAAACTCTAATTAAAACATTTCCAGATTAGATTCAAAATACACACACAAACCCATGTGTGCACACAGGTGTGTGCATTTTCTCTCTCTATTTAAATCAGAGAGGGGAAATGTTTTCTTTTATCATAAATTGGGTAAAAATAACAGATTACAAATAGTATAAAAACAAAGTGCAAGAAGAAAATACAAGTGAGTATCAATCATTATAGTTCTGGAGTACAGAAAGTCTACCCTAGTCTGAAAACAATTTGTACTTCTTGTTTTCTTGATGATGTCAAAAAAATCACCAAATTGGTTCATAAAAATGAGAATTTCTGAAACATACACATATACGAAACCTATAAGGAATATTTACACATAAATCTTTTTAAACTGGGTAAAATATTCGCAATGAATAAGATTTGAAAGTATTAATGTAAATAATGTTTTTATTCAAAACAATAAAAAGATTAACACTTAAATTTTGAAAAATGGGACTATTAAAAAGTAACACATACAGACAAATGATTAAATGTTACACTTCACATACACTAAGGGAAAGCACATTAAAATGTAAAAATAGTGTTCTTGACCAAAAAAAACCAGACTATTAATATCTGGCCTTGTAGGGAAAGAGTAATGATAATACTGCTAATAGAATGTCAACTGGTAGATATTTTCTGGAGGGCAATTTAGCAACATATATCAAACACAATAAAATGTACGTTACCTTTGGTGCACCTCAAATAATTAATCCCAGTGAAATAATTACATGAGTTAATAATTTTGATTGCAACACTACAGATAATACCCAAAATGGAGACAAAGTAAATTTCTAATAGCAGCGAATTGTTAAAATAACTGATACATTTTTATGGCAGAGTATTCTCCAGTAAACAGGTTTTGTTTACTTATGTTTACTAATATAAAAATGTTAATGATATATTGCCACCTAAAAGAATGCTGGTTTATGAGGAGTGAATGTGTGTATGTGTATGGGTATTCATAATGGCATATTCCTGAATAGACAACCACGCTGCCTGTAAACTTCTCAGTAGAATGTCTGGGCAGGCAAATGATAACTCATGCAAATTGGGCAGCCACTCATCAAATCACTTCTAACCTCTATGGAAAGTAAAAAGAAGGTAACTTGGGTTAAATATTCTTTCTTTTCCTGAGATCAAAAGTGTTTAAGTCCCAACCAAATCAGCAATGTAATAATATAATAAGAGTAACTGTCTTCGATTATGCTTATGTCTTCAATTTTGTCCCATAGCCTTACAATAAATTCATGAAGGGTTATTAAACTTTTGTTTTTAATCCATCTATCTATCCATCCACTCAGTTATCTGAAGTAACTAGAACTATTGACCTCTCTTCAGGATTTCACATTAAATGCTCCTGCTAAGGACCCAAAAAAACTCTAGCAGATCTAATTTCCAATAGACTCCAACGCTTTCATTATATCAGATGAGGAAACCAACGCCAAAAGAATCATGAAAATTAATAAATTAAATGTAGAAAACATTCAACATCAAATACTTTCCTAATTCGTTTCATCATGTAAGTAATATAACTTTCAAATCCCCAGAGTTCTATATTCTGATTTTCCCAAAAAATCACTTTTTCTTACCTAATCCATACAACTTAAATGTTGGGCCTACATTGCCATATTTCATATTAAATACAGCTTTTTACATGCATAGAAAACATTTTACTTGGAGTCTTCACACAACCTAAAACACTTGTCTCGAATGAAACATCTGCTTTGCCAGCAAATGTTTCAAATTTGAAGACATTTGTTTCAATCATCTTTGAAGAAACCAGCATTTTTCTTGATTTCAGGCCAAGTACTTTTTTTAAAAATCTAACTCTACTAAATCTTTTCAATTGGAAGCCTTATTCACTGATGGAAATCTGTATTCATAATAAAATGTCAGATGCTAATTCCTTCTTTACAAAACATATATTGCATTTTACTATTTTAACACAAAGTTTATGTATTTTCAAACTTCAAATATATATATTCTTTCACACACTGTCAGTGTTTATTTATAAAAGGACTTACCAAATATCTTAAATTAACAATGTGGAAGACCAAGAAATTACTACAATGGGAATTCAGCTTTTATTCATACAGAACTGTCCTTCTAGTGTATCCATCTAAGAATTATTATATTTATAAAAGAAAGGCAAAAAGTTTATCAACTTATGCCTTCTCAATTTTGAAAATATTATTGAAAAGTTTAGACTTTTGATGTCCATTATCCAGCTATTCCACTTTGACAAGAATAACAGGTAGTATTTATCAAGTGTGTATTTCTTGCCAGGCAGTTTTCTAAGTTGTTATTTCATATGGATGTTTCCTTTTTTACAAAAACCATACACAGTAATATCATAATTCCATTTTACATGTAAGGCAACTGAATCTCACAGAGCTAAGGTCAACTGCTAAAGGTCAGATAGATAATAACTGACAGGTTAGCCAAGTCCACTTGGCCACAAAGACCACACATAATACTGTCTCCTGAGACTGCATACCATATGATGCAATACTATACAATCAATAAAAATTAATAGTGTAAAGGAGTGAATGGTAATGATAAGAAATACTTATTAGGTACCACATGCTATTCTAAACATTTCCTAATATTAACTGATTTAACCCTTATTATACTCCTGTACTAATTTTATAGATGAGGAAACTGGTACACAGAGGAGTAGAGTAACATGCCCAAGGGCATAGCTAGTAAAAATCGTAAGGCAAGGATTCTGACTCAGACACTGTGGTTCCAGAGTCAGGCTTTTAATGACTGCATTAGAGAAAAAGACATTTAAAACTTTTGCTAAATATGACAAAATACAAATAGTATGATTGTAATTCTGTAAGAAAAGAAAAACTGTATAAACACAAGCAACACCTTGGAAAGATACAAGCCAAGAGATTAACAGTTTAACAGCAGGATTACAGGAGAAATTTTTTTGTCTTCCTCAAGTCTATCTATATTTTTTAAATTTTCTAAATATATTTCTTTTGAAATACAAAAATACAAATTTTTAATTTATTTTTAAAAATCTATGATTTCCTTCCACCACTGCCATTATTCCAGCCTTCATTACTTTTTATTCATTAACTGATCTTACGTTCAGTCTTCTTTCCTCTTTCTAAACTCCTTAGTAATATTAAATTGACCTCCCTACAGCAAAATTTACAACTTTGATTATAGTATCATCTCATCATCTAAAAAATTATATGCCTATACATATATATATATATATTTGCACATTTATTTTCTATCTCTTACACCAATATATGAGATTCTTGAGGGCACGAATTTGTCTTGTGCATGAAGAGCAGAGCAGAATTACAGTGATCAAAGAAAATGATAGTAGTGGCCAAGATTAGGGCAATGGCAGCAAAAAAGAGCTAAATATATTTTAGACAATTCTGGATATAAGTTCAACAGGGATTGGTGATTTAATAGGGGAAGAGTAAGAAGTTTGAAGGTGATACTCAGATTTTTGACTCTGGCAAATTATGTGCTCATACCATTTACTGAGATATGAGGAGATGCAGGTTTAAGAAAGTTAATAAGTCATTTGGGCAATTTTTAACTGATGCCTGTAAGAATTCATGTAAACTAGTTCAACCATTGTGGAAGTCAGTGTGGCGATTCCTCAGGGATCTAGAACTAGAAATACCATTTGACCCAGCAATCCCATTACTGGGTATATACCCTAAGGATTATAAATCATGCTGCTATAAAGACACATGCATACGTATGTTTATTACAGCACTATTCACAATAGCAAAGACTTGGAACCAACCCAAATGTCCAACAATGATAGACTGGATTAAGAAAATGTGGCACATATACACCATGGAATACTATGCAGCCATAAAAAAAGATGAGTTCATGTCCTTTGTAGGGACATGGATGAAGCTGGAAACCATCATTCTCAGCAAACTATCGCAAGGACAAAAAACCAAACACCGCATGTTCTCACTCATAAGTGGGAACTGAACAATGAGAATACATGGACACAGGAAGGGGAACATCACACATCGGGGCCTGTTGTGGGGTGGGGGTAGGGGGGAGGGATAGCATTTGGAGATTTACCTAATGTTAAATGATGAGTTACTGGGTGCAGCACACCAACATGGCACATGTATACATATGTAACTAACCTGCACGTTGTGCACATGTACCCTAAAACTTAAAGTATAATAAAAAATAATAATAAAATAAAAATAAAGTAAATTTAAAAAAAAAGAATTCCAAAGAAAATCTTCAATACATAGAAAGATGTATGGTTTTACAGTTCAAAATAGAGATTTGCTTTTTTTGCTTTTTTATGTTTTTTTTTTTTTTTTGAGACAGAATCTCGCTCTGTCACCCAGGCTGGAGTGCAGTGGCGCAATCTCTTCTCACTGCAAGCTCCGCCCCCCGGCTTCATACCATTCTCCCGCCTCAGCCTCCTGAGTAGCTGGGACTACAGGCGCCTGCCACCACGCCCAGCAATTTTTTTTGTATTTTTAGTAGAGACGGGGTTTCACCGTGTTCGCCAGGATGGTCTCAATCTCCTGACCTCGTGATATGCCCGCCTCAGCCTCCCAAAGTGCTGAGATTACAGACGTGAGTCACTGTGCCTGACCCAAAATAGAGATCTTAAAAAAATATGTCTGGAATTAATATTTGAGTCCCTACTTTATGCTGTAGATATTATAATAAATTTGAAATAATGCTGCATATTACAGTAAATTCCAAATAGGGTTGGTATTTAAAGGTAAAAATAAAACAATGCGGTATTAGATAAACCTTGGTTATAATAAAATGCAGTGGGAAAACCTTGGTTATAATAAAATGTAGTGGGAAAATCTCACTAACTATGATTCAAAATCAAGAAGCAGTAAAACAAAAACAATCGTTCTTAAGTATAAATAAATATCCATGAGTCCATACTGATATAAATAAAAGATTGGACAAACAAATAAATGGAGAAGAGACGAATTGCCTGTGTAGAAAAATTCCAAATTAATTATGTAGATATTCCACCCCCAATGAAGGCAGTGTAACTCCCTACTCCTTAAGTATGCACTGTGCTTAGTGACTTCCTCCCAAAGAGTACAGCATGGCAAAAGGAAAAAATGAGTAACTTTACAATGGAGAAATCTGTAAACACAGCCAGGTAATGGAGGTCAACATCAACAATGAAAAATCATATTGATAGTACATACCCTTGACATGACATAATGAAAATGGCACTTTACCTCTGTAGTCTTCCTCCCCGAAACCCATAACTTAAGTTAACCATGAGAAAAACATCAAGCTAACTCAATAGAGAGGCATTCTACAAAATACCTGATTGTATACATCTCAAAACCACGAAGGTCTTCAAAAACAAAGTCTGAGAAACTGTCATAGCCAAGAGGAAGCTAAAGGGACATGACAACTAAATGTAGTGTGATATCCTGGATGTGATCCTGGAACAGGAAAAGAACATTAGGTAAAAGCTAAGGAAATATGAGTAAAGAACAGACTTTAGTTAATGATTGTGTATCAGTATTAGTTCAATAATTATAACAAATACACCATACTAATGTAAGATGTTAAATAACAGCAGAAAATGAGTATAGGTTATATCATGTCTTAGTACTCTTGGGTTGCTATAACAAACTACCATAAACCAGGTGGCTTATAAGCAACAGAAATTTATTTCTTGCAGTTCTGGAGGCTGTGAAATCTAAGATCAAGGCTCCAGCAGATTTGATGTCTGGTGAAGGATTTTTTCCCGGTTCACAGATGGTGCCTTCTTGCTGCATCTTCACTTGGTATAAGAGACAAATAAGCTCTCTAGGAATTCTTAGAGGGTACTCTTCCCCTTCATGATTGCTTCACCCTCATGCCCTAATCACCTCCCAAAGGTCCCACCTCTTAATACCATCACACTGGAGGTAAGAATTGCAACATATGAATTTGTGGGGAACACAAATATTCAGACTATAGCTTAGGGAACTCTGTAGTATCTTTACAAGTTTTTTTTAATTCTTGAACTGTTCAAAAAAACAAAATCTATATTAAAAATTTTGTCTCTTTTTTTAAAAAATAAATATCAAAAAAGTTAAAATATGCTAGAGACTTTTCATCAGTTACTATCAAACCTCTTTATAAGAGTTTCGTTAAGTCTTTAAGATTCTTCATATTGAAATCAGTTGTCCCAATCACTCATTAATTTCTAGTCTCCTGAAATACCAAAGTGAAATGTGAAAGAAGAAAGGAAAACAAAAAAAAGTAGCCAACAAAAGGAGAGATATTCTTCTAAGCTCTCCATACTTTGCTCTTCTTTCCTTGAATAGTTTGCTCATAGCTCTGTATGCTATTTTCTGTCTATTCATTTTTGAGAAATACACATAGGACTGATATTAGAAAATCAGAATACAAAAACTGTTCTCAGCTCCCTCACAGGCTACTAGTACCTAACGCAATGTCTGAGACAATGAATAAACTGATTCAGTCTTTCTTTGCATCAGTCTCTTTATCTCAAAAATGAGGATTTAATATGTATTGGGTGACTGTGAGGACACAATGTAAAACAGAATGTAAGGCAGTTAGTAGAGTGCTAAAACGGTATAATAAATGGAAGCTATTAGGAACAATAACAAGGTAGAATACAGGAATGAAGTAAAGAAAATTAGCAATCTCTAAAGCAATAAAAAAGTAAAAAGTTAGTAATACTGAGCTTTAATTATCAAATTAGTAACCTGAGCTATAGCTGCTGTGATGCTTTTGAAGCTAAGTTGCCGTATTTTAAATAAAAACATATTGACTCTATTAATGAAATTTCATTCAGTAAACTAATCAACCCTAGAATAATACAAGCTACCAGAAAATAGGAAAAAGGGAACTGATCTATTTATCCTGTCTTTATAGATCAGCTCCAGTTCATTTAAATGGACTTTATGCTAAAATTGTGCTAAAATTTGTGAAGCCATATTTTGTCTTGTTTTGAAAGAAAAAAAAATCACATATTCCTGAATCAGAAATATTAATTTGTCTGATTATGGTAGAAGTAAAATTAAGAAAACATGGCCAGGTAAAGTGGCTAACACCTGTAATCCCAACACTTCGGAAGGCTGAGACAGGAGAACTGCTTGAGCCCAAAAGTTTGAGGCCAGCCTAGGCAACATAGTAGAACCCCATCTCTTCAAAAAAAAAATTTTTCAAGACATTTAGCTGGGCATGGTGGCATGTGCCTGTAGTCCCAGCTACTGAAGAGGCTGAAGCAGGAGGATCACCTGAGCCCAGGAGATTGAGGTTGTGGTGAGCTACAGTTTTGTCACTGTACTCCAGTCTGGGTGATAGAGGAATACCCTGTCCCTAAAAAAAGAAAAAAAAAAGAGAGAGAGAGAGAGAGGCGGCGGGCAGGGGAAACAAAGATTTGAAAATTTTTAAAAATATATAAATACTCAAATTATGAAAGTATCAAAGAAGTAAACATTCAAGAATATGAGGTTTTCTGTTAGGAACCCAATAACATCACTATATTTAGCATTGCTCAAATGATGCTAGTTTGCTAATGATAAAAATGTGTTAAAACGAAATGTCACCTAAAATGTTTAGAAAACTGTTCATTCTCATTACTGAAAACTGAGATTAAAATAAAGTCAGAATTACCTACAATTAAGACAAATTGTTTTATCTCACTTTCCAGTTACGTTTTTAAAAAATTACATTAAGAACATTTGGCAAACCTTTTCATATACATCCTCTCTTATGAGCCTCAATACAACCTAATATGATGGGTAATATTGCCTCTATCATGGAAATAAGAAACAAAGGCTTTAAAAAGCCAGGCCACTTACCTAGTGCTGCACTACAAGTCACAAAGAGTTAAGACTGATCTGAGGTCACTTGATCTCAAGTTTAGTGTTCTCCGCATGACACTTCAACTACCATGCATTATTTATCTTTCTCTCATTTTAAAATTAATATTCACTCCCAAAACTCCACTTAAGCTTAAAGAAATATAAAAAGGTATAAATTCCCAAGAACAAAGATGAGAGATGTCAACAAGTGCTCAAAGATGGAACAGAACATAAGTGGAAACCTAATAGTCCAAGGGAGCTGAAGTAGTGGCCAGCTTCTCCAGAAGACAGAAGAGATGGGATAGAAAAAGCAGTAATGGTTGGAATTCTGCATAAGGATTAGTTTTCTCAGAGGTGTTCGAACCACAGCGACTCCATCTTGAATAGGGGCTGGGTACAATAAGGCTGAAACACAGGAGGTTAGGCATTGTAAGTCACAGGATGAGACAGGAGGTCAGCACAAGATACAGGTCACAAAGACATTGCTGATAAAACAGGTTGCAATAAAGAAGCTGGCCAAAACCGACCAAAACCAAGATAGCGATGAAAATGACCTCTGGTCCTCCTCACTGCTCATTATACACAATTTATAATGCATTTGAATGCTAAAAGACACTCTCACTAGGGCCATGACAGTTTACAAATGCCATGGCAATGTCAGGAAGTTACCCTATATGGTTTAAAAAGGAGATGAACCCTCAGCTCTGGGAATTGCCCACCTCTTTCCCAGAAAACTCATGCATAATACACCCCTAGTTTAGCGTATACTCAAGAAATAATTATAAGTATTATCAATCAAGCAGCCCAAGCTGTTGCTCTGCCTATGGAGTAGCCATTCTTTTATTCCTTTACTTTCTTAATAAACTTGCTTTCACTTTATGGACTCACCCCAAATTGTTTTTACACAAGGTCCAAGAACCCTCTCTTGGGGTCTGGATTGAGATCCCTTTCCGCTAACAGCTTCACCCACAACCCCTTCCTCTCCTCATGCTTCCTAAGAGACAAGAAATTCATTATCTGGAGAAACCAACCAGGAAAACCTAGGTGCTAGGTTACCAGGCACAGCAGAGGTCAGAGAAAATGAAATGAAAGCAATTAAGTCCAAGTCCCCATCCTGTGCTCTGGGATCACAGCTCCGTGACTTGGTTCTGAGCAACCTATTGCTATCTTCTGGTGAGAGATTAGAGAATTCTCTGGAAAATCTGATCAGCAGAAGAGAAAAGACCTACAGTCACTAAAATTTAGAATCTCCCAAACAAAGCAACCAGCTGTCAGCCTAGTCACTCAGTACAGAAGCCCAACAGGAACCACATCCTACCCCCCACACCAGAGCATACTTACTCAACCACCCACTCAACCAGGGTTATCAGAGTAGAAGAAAATCATTAGTAAATAAGCAAATACAAATTTTGCTTGTGTTCAGGCTTTAGGAAAAATTTTCAAAATCACTTTATTTAAAATAACAACACTCTGCTGCAAAAGTAAGAGAATAGAATTATTCTTATCTAGTAGGAGTTTGCATTAGGTTTTGAAAACCAAGTGTTTTGTGAAAGAAAGGCTTATATTAACTTTGAATTATTTATATTATTCACATAGCCATAGATTTATGATTAACGTAGTTATCTAAATAAGGTTTCACAACTCTGGTAAATAGCTCAAGAAACGGGAGTGTTTACTATGTGTTTCTTATGTTAAAAACAAGTTTTAATGTTAAAAAATAGTGTTCATCATTCAAAAAAATGACTAAGGAATTTCAAAAACAAAACAGAAATCACCTCCTGTGATTCCACAGCCAGTAATTCTGGTACATCATCTTTCAGATCTATAGATCCAGATCAACATTTTAATGCTTGTTTTCTTCTATATCAACTTGCTTTTAATTTCTAATATAATTTTAAAAATATTATAGAAATATGAAAGCAGTAAAAATCTTCAAATCATAATATCAGTTTTAAATCTAAAGCTTTCAAATATTTGAACAACCAAGATAAAAAATATCTGGAGAATCTTTACTATGTGAAGTTGTCAAAGTACTTATAACAGCCACGGCTCCTGAATTTGTTTGTCCACTAATAACCCTATCTAGTTTTTTGAATACAGAATTCATATTTCTCTGTCAAATCTATTCCCCTCTCACAATAGTAATGATGATTGCTTTATTTAAACTCTCACCACCATTTGCCTACATTATTAAACATACATTTTAATCAGTTTTCTCTACCAGTCTCTCTCCATTTTGGTCTAACCTCCACTTTACCTTGTGAAACTTCATCTTAGCATCTTATGGGCATGTCTCTCTTCTATTTCAAAACCTTTAGTGATTCCCTGTTGCCTACAGGTTAAAGTCCAAATTCCTACTGTGGCCCAAAGGTCATTCTAATCTGGTCCTGACCTGCCTCCAGTCACTTGCTTCCATCTTCTGTCTTACGCTCTGGCTTCCCTGAATTGCCCTCTGTTTTCAGTGTCAGCATTTTCCCACCGGCTGTTTCATCTGTTGCAATGTCTTCTCCATGTAAATTTTTAAATGGTGTGATAAATACCATTTTTTGGTGTGGAATGCACTAACATTCCACAAATATGTTCTATATTATATAATTCAGGTACATGAGAATATGGGTAATATTTGTACTACAGTTTGTGTTTTTCTGTATTTTAAAATTTCTCCTTAACAAAAAGCATCACAGGGCTTGTTGTGGCATGGGGGGAGGGGGAGGGATAGCATTAGGAGATATATCTAATGTTAAATGATGAGTTAATGGGTGCAGCACACCAACGTGGCACATGTATACATATGTCACTAACCTGCATGTTGTGCACATGTACCCTAAAACTTAAAGTATAATTAAAAAAAAAAAGCATCATTTAAACTACTGATTGTTTGCTCTAAAAGAACAAGAATGAATGCAAGATTATGTTCATTACTTACCCTACTCAATATGATCTATTTAAGAAAGATTTCTGATCTTTATAGGTTTTTTTTTTTATTTCTCAATTACAGCAGTAATTGCTTACTTGCTAATGAAATTAGTTTACATATGCTTGTCTATCATTCTACACTGGACTGTGAGTTTCCTCAAGGATGAGGATGAGGGTGACATTGTCTTATTTTTTCTAAAAGAAAAACATCCATGCCTGAATATAGAAGTGTTCAATAAATATGGGCAAAGACAAAGAGGGCTTAATACAGGATGGGAGGGAAGAAAACCAGAGGAAGAGAAAGAAAAAGAAAGTAAAAAACTGATGTCAGTATAGGAATCTTTCCCTAAATGTATATAAAAATAATGAATTACAGGTTTTAAATAATCTTCATTTCGATCTTCTAATTTTAATTCTAAAAAAAATGGACTGGTGCATTCCTGTCTTTTAGAATATAAAAAGGTTTTATAAAATCAATGCAATTTTTGTCCACCACTTCAAAGGCTAAATATTAAACCAAGGAAAGAACCTCAATAAAAAAGTTAACTTATGTTGGATAAAAGAAAATCTAAGCAGATGATAAAGTTGATAAGGTGTTGAAATAACATCTGAGAAAGATTATAGGATTTTGTCATTACAGTATAAATTTATATATTTTTTCGTATCTAGTATATTGATACTAGATATGAATCTAGTATATACAGGTGAATCTCGTACTGTGGGATTCTGTGATAGGAAATGCTACTCCATCTCATCTTATGTAAGCCCCAGTGACTAGATGATCCATTAGGCTCTCATTCCTTAGCATCAAATGACTTATACTTACATAATTAGATGTTCCCAACTGGAATACTGAATCCTGGAGGGCTGCTAAGACTCAGGGACAGTTAAAAAATTATCTGCATAGAGAAAAAAGTACTACGGTGGTAACAGTGTTGAGAATTCAGCAGCAACAAGATTGAGAATCCAGCAGAGCTGAACCAGTGACAGATTCGCAAGGTGGACTATTTGGTGGCACGACCCTGGTTGTGTTTGCCACTGCTGAGCTTTCCTTGATTTCTGCTCATTTTCAGATCTGGTTCTCCCATGTTCTTGCTGATTCTGAGAGCTGCCCAACCTACTTCAATAAATTCCTTTTCTGCATAAGACAGCCAGAGTCAGTTTCTTGGTTACAGACAAGACTTCCAACTCATAGTCACCCAAAATATACCCATCCTAACTCCCGCTGTAATAATTAGCCACATTCATTTGTTTAAATAAGCAAAGATCACTCAAAGTTCCTGAAAGCTCCATTATTTAATGACTGTGTCTATCAATACCAAACTTCCTAATTCAGAAGGACAAACAAAAGAACAAAAGAATAACAAATACAATCAAAAGGTTAGGTCAGAAGTGCCGGATATAGAAAGAATAGATGAAATATGCATTTTCATTTTCAGTATTTTTATTTATTTTTTTGAGATGGAGTCTCACTCTGTCACACAGGCTGGAGTGCACTGGCACGATCTTGACTCAATGCAGCTTCCACCTCCCAGGTTCAAGTGATTCTCCTGCCACAGGCTCCGGAGTAGCTGGGACTACAGGCATTCACTACCATGCCTGGCTAATTTTTGCCTTTTTGGTAGAGACAGTTTTCACCATGTTGGCCGGGCTGGTCTTGAACTCCTGACCTCAGGTGATCTGCCCACCTTGGCCTCCCAAAGTGCTGAGGTTACAGGCATGAGCCACTATGCCTGGCCAGTTTCAGCATTTTTTCATTGTGAAGTCCCAGCCTAAGATTCCAGAACCACTTAAAAGTAATTTAATAAAACATCACAAATGAATCCTGAACCAGAACGTAAGTTCTCTAGAATTCAGAATTTAAACTACACATTATGGCTCATAATATCAAAAATGAGGATGATAACCAAGAAGAAAGCTACAAAGACATAAAACAGGCTAGGAAATTTGTATTCTGTACCTCACTCTACTTTTACCATGACATTTCTTGTGTACCTACATTGCTTTCCAGACTAACCAAATGAAACCATAAATTCACATTATCTTTGAAAACACAGAAACTAATCCTACATCATATCCAGGCACTAATAGCAGAGAATTAGATAATCAGCATAAAGATTAGTGTTTGCACAAGGAGGGAAAAGAGAAAATGCAGATTAGTTAAGTATACCACCAGACTCAGAAAACATTGAGTTTACAATACAATCTCTATCAAAATTCCAGTGTCATTTTTTCCCAGAAATGAAAAATGCAATCCTTAAATTCATATGTAACCACAAAAGACCCTGAAAAGCCAAAGCAATCTTCAGCAAAAATAACAAAGTTGGAAGAATCACATTCCCAGATTTCAAAATATATTTGAAAGCCATTATAATCAGAACAGTATGGTACTGGCAATAAAAACAGACACATCAACCAATGGAAAAGAATAGAAAGCCCAGAAATAAACCCACACACTTTAGACAAAGGTGCCAAGGCCACAAAATGGGGAAAAGACAGTCTCTTCAACAAATGGTGTTGGAAAAACTGGATATCTTCATACAGAAGAATAAAAGTGGATCTTTATCTGAGACTATATGCAAAAATCAAGTCACAAGCTGAAGACTTAAATACATTATCAGAAAATACGAAAACTACTAGAAGAAAACATATGGGAAAAGCTCCACGACATTGATCCAAGCAATTTTTTTTTTATACAACCCTGAAGCATAGGCAACAAAAGCAAAAATAGACAAATGGAATTGTATCAAACTAAAATGTTTTTACACAGCAAAGGAAATAATTAGTTGTAAAGAAATAACCCAGGATGAGAGAAAATATCTGCAAACCATACATCTAATAAGGAGTTAACAAACTCAAAAAACTAAATAGCAAGAAAACAAGTAAACCAATTAAAAAATGGTCAAAGAACATGAACAGATATTTCTCAAAAGAAAACATATAAATGGCTAACAGGTTCATGAAAAAAGCTCTATATCATTAATCATCAGGGAAATGCAAATTACAGTGAGATATCACCTTATAACTGTAGAATGGCTATTAACAAGAAGATGAAAAATAACACAAGTGTTTTCGAGGATGTGGAAATAATAATCCTTGCCCTTTGTTGGTGGGAAGATAAATTAATACAACCATTATGAAAAACCATATGGATACCTCAAAAAACTAAAAATAAACTACTATATGGCCTAGCAATCAAATTCTAGATGATACAAGATAACTGAAATCAATATATCAAAGAGATATCTGCACTCCCATGTTCATTGCAGCTTTATCCACAATAGCCAAGATACGGAATCAACCTAAACATCTACCAGTGGACAAATGCATAAAGAAAATGTAGTACATACACATAATGGAAAAATATTCAGCCTTTTAAAAAGAAGAAAATTTTGTCATTTGTTACAACATGGGATGAACCTGGGAGGATATTATGCTAAGTGAAATTAGCCAGATACTGCATTATTCCACTTATATGTAGAATCTAAAAAAGTGTAACTCATAGAGTTAGAGAGTAGAACAGTGGTTACCAGAGGCCTGGGGAGGAGGGAAGAAATGGGAGATGTTGCTCCAAGGGTACAAAGTTTCAGTAAGACAGGAGGAATAAGTCTCTGAGAACTACTGCAAAGCAGGATGACTAAGTTATATGTAACAAACCTGCACGTTGTACACATGTACCCTAGAACTTAAAGTATAATAATGTATATTTCAGAATAGCTAAAAGAGTTAATTTCAAATGTCTTACCATAAAAAATAAGTGACATGTTAATTGGCTTGATTTAATCATTCCGTATTGTACATATGCAGCAAAACATTACACTGTACTCCATAAATATATATTATTATAATTGGTCAATTAGAAATAACACTTTTTTAAAAAATTGAGATAATTATAAACTAATTTTCCAAAGTGAAAGAAAATCATGTATGGCTAAATATGGGGGAAAAACCTATAAATTATGGCAATGTCAGTTTCACCCACTTTCAAGCAGAAACATACATATTCCTTTTAAATAAATACGTTCTACAGTATCAATAGTGAATTAAAACAGTGGTCATAAGGTACTTATAAACCCTGAAACTGAAGGCAATGGTTCAGTATTTCTTGTTTTATGACATCCCAGGAGAATGATCACATTATGATAACATCACTTCCTAATGTGTGTTTTTAAGTAATCATTTTGTTCACAAATAAGCCGTTACGTGTGTGAGCTTCTGCATATGTTGTGTTTGTGTATGTAATAAGTGAAATATTAACATAAAGTACCCAAAGAGATATAGTGATTTTATTTTGGCAATAATCAATCTCCAAAGATAATTAATGTTCATATTTAAAGAGCTATACATGTGATATTTTGATGTTTGCATTTTCTTCTGAATTACAATTACCTCTAAAATTCAGATTTAAGTTAAAACATAAATGTAATCCCATTAATTATAAAGTAAGAAAAAATTTTGGCTTGGCTCTTTAAAAAACAAACAGAATCTCTCCTAAAGAGACATAAATCATAATTTGAAAAATGTATTAAAATTATAACTCTTTCTAATACAAGAGGGGACATATGTTCAGTTGTGGCAAGTTTTCAAATTGAGGTTCCTACTTTAATGATCAAAGAAAAAGCTTCCAGGCTACAGAAAAAAAGGACTTAAAAAATTAACAACAATAAAAATAGCTCACTAAATTTTAGTTAAAGATATTTAAAAAAAAGTATATTAAGTTCTCAGGGTATAAGCCATTTTGGGGCAATTGATTCTGGGGGAAAATTAAATAGATAACATTATTTTACCTAAGTCATTGAAGGTGAGGAAATACATTTGATTGTGTATTCTCCAGACAAACACACACACACACACAGAGAGAGAGAGAGAGAGAGAGATCAGTAAGAAGAAGCATCTTATTAGAAAGATCTATGCAAAATTAGATAACCGAGTAACAGCATGGGGAGAGAGTTACAAGAGGAAAAATTTGGAACCGATTTCAAATGACAGCAAAAGCAGGGCTGCTGTAGAATGAAGTTCTGGTAACAGGTGCAGAAAGATGAGCACATGGGAAAAAGACCATGAAGCCTGACAGAATTCTGTGAATAAAATAATAATATTTAGAATTTATGCCATACTTTTTTTTCTTCAAGCATTTTACACAAATCAACAAATTAATCATCAAAACACCCACATGAATATTTCTCCACTCATTATCACACCCAAGAATGAGTTGCTTCTTCTTGACTACGTATTACAAATCACACTTTTTTCACTTTTCACATTAAACTTTTCAGCAATATCTGCCTTTTCATCTAGAACTAATTTAATCATTGCATTTGGTATTTTCAACAAATTCTATTGCCCCAAACAAATCCAAAATTAGATTGCTTATTTCTGATAGATTTCCCTTGAGAATAACACAGAATTTCTTAAAACAATCTACACCATGTTTGCTTAAGCTCAAAATACTACCTATCTGATAGAATACAGATAGTCCCCAATTTATGATGGTTTGACTTACAATTTTTTAACTTTACTATGGTGTGAAAGTTATATGCATTCAGTCAAAACCATACCTTGAATACCCAGACAAACGTTCTGTTTTTCACTCCCACATCACATTCAATAAATTACATGATAATCAGTACTTATTATATTATTACAAAATAATTTATTTTACCTATTTGTCTACTACAAAATAGGCTTTGTTTGATGATTTTGCCCAACTATAGGCTAATAGAAGAGTCCAGAGCACGTATAAGGTAGGCTAGGTTAAGCAATGATGTTCAGTAGGTTAAGTATATTCAATACATTTTTGACTTATGACATCTTCAACTTATGATGATTTTATAAGGATGTAACCTCATCATCAGTCAAGGAGCATTTGTATCTTAAAGTCCAGAATAGCTAATGGACAAATAAAAAGCATATTGAAAATTTCTAGAAAGTCTCATGAAAACACATGCTTAGATCATTTTCTTGGGCTTTGCAACATTATTGAATAACCATTTACCAAAAAGTTACTAATCATCAAATCTAGTGGCCTTTTCTAAACTGCTCTGAAACCTGTGATACTACCTACCATACTCTGTTTCTTAGCCTTCCAAGACAATGTACACTCTAATTTATTCTTTTACCTAACAGGTGTTTGTTTCTTGTTACAGTTGCCTCCAAAATTAATGAGCTCCTCAAAAATCCTTCCTTTGGAAGAAGGCTCTAGAGCCTGGCTGCCTGAACCTCTATCCAAACTCTACTACTAGCTAAGTTGTCTGAACTATGGCAACGTCTTGGTGTGTCAGCAGTTTCATCTGCAAGAAGGATATGTTGGTAATAATGGTACTTATTTTACAGAGGATTTGAGAGAAATATGTGAAAAAATAAGTCAAAAAGAGGAACAGTGCCCGGTATATAATAAACATCAACAAATGTTAGCAGTTTTTATGTTAAATTTTATGATTACTATTATCCTATTTGCAGTATCATCTAATCTAATGGCTTCAATAATTCCTGCTCTGTAAGTGACCCTCAAAACTAAATCTTGTTGACATAACCTTATCTGAAATTGTAATTTTCATTTTCAACCACCTGCTTAGTATTTCCATCAACAGTGCCTTGCCAACAGCACATATTCAAAAGATCCCAGGCTGAACTCACCATCCCAAAATTATCACTCATCCTATGTTCCTTTTTTTCAAGATGTAAAGTTTCAAAATACAAGTCATATTTTCTATTCAATTTTCATTATATCACCCTTTACGACAACCTAGACAATTAGTATAATATTACAATTAAAATAAGGCCCAACTCATTTTCTTCAATTTGACAGGATATAATTTGTCTTCTCATAGTTTTCCTTCTTTGGCTAAAATTATTTCCCTTTTGCTTAAATCAAAAACTAATAAATGTGACCTGCTATTACTTATTCTAACATCACTTTTTATTCTAGTGTCCATTTGTACATCAATTCTTTCAAATTAGTACCCTTTATGTAAGAAATGATTTATGATCTTCCTACTTTTCTTAATTCCAAACATTCATAGGTGCAAGCAGGCCAAGGCAGGTGGATCACTTGAGGCCAGGAGTTGGAGCCAGCCTAGCCAACATGATGAAACCTAATCTCTACTAAAAAACAAAAATTAGCTGGGGTGGTGGCCTGCATCTGTAATCCCAGCTACTTGGGAGGCTGAGTAAGGAGAATCACCTGAACCTGGGAGGCAGCAGTGGCAGTGAGCTGAGATTGTAACCCTGCACTCCAGACTGGGCAAGACAGCAAGACACAGTCTCAAAAAACAAAAAACAAAAAAAAAAAAAAAAAAAGGAAGGTGCAAACATCTGACTATATCACTGTCATCTTTCATTTGTATACTGTAATACTTAATACTTAATGTGATTTACTTTGCTTTTATTTCTTTCAATTACAGCTAGTATATTATATTGATATTTTAGTGTGTATTTCTGACTGTATTTTCCAGTAAGAGGGTGCCTACAAAATATTTATTATAAAAAAAGGATGTTGGGTCTAATATGATTGAGAATCAATGTACTAAATGAAGAGCTACCTAAATAAGTTATATTGTCTTGCTAGGCTTATTAAAGGGATGAAAATTTTACTCTTGGTTTGTTTATTTTATTATTATGGTTATATAGTACATTTATATACAAGAAATGGAGCAATGGTAATTGTTACCATTATTGTTAAGATTTTCAAATAACTATAATATGTTATTATTGCAAAATCTCACTCACATATTGATATCATAGGCACAAGTTCTTTGGCAAATTTAAGTATACCAACTCCAATGTATTACAATGTTTTTAAAGAGTAATCAGGATTGCCTTTAAGAAGCCAGGGTCACACAAAAAATAAACTCAGCAGATCGATATTTAACCATGAACTTGTATTTATAAAGAATATCAAGGAAATCATTCTTGAAGAAATTAAGCTCTACCAAAATCTTAATCCTGAAACTTAAGCCAGGTCTTTAGTTGTAGAATCCTATTGTTTTACATAAATAATTCTGAAAATAGTATAATACCCTTAAGAGAAGGATTGTGTCATCATTTCCTCCTTGATCACTTCCCAACAATAGGCTTGTATTAGTCAGGGTTCTCTAAAGGAACAGAACTAACGGAATATATATATAATGGAATATATATATTCCAATAACGAATGGAATAATATCCAATAACTAATGGAATATATATATATATTCCATTATATTGCATGGAACTCAGTTCGAGTGCCAAAACTGAAGAACACGGAGTCCGAAGTCCAAGGTCAGGAAGCATCCAGCATGGGAGAAAGATGTAGGCTGGGAGGCTAGGCCAGTCTCTTCACATTTTTCTGCCTGCTCTTTTATTCTAGCCATGCTGGCAGCTGATGAGATTATGCCCACCCAGATTAAGGGTGGGTCTGCCTTCCCCTAGCTCACCGACTCAAATGCTAATCTCCTTTGGCAATACTCTCATAGACATAACTAGGATAAATACTTTGTATCCTTCAATCCAATCAAGTTGACACTCAGTATTAACCAAAGTAAGTCCACCCCTTGTCAACTTGAACTCATACACATCTCCTGAAATCACACATAATCTTCAAAAAAAGACAATAAGGTCATAATTATGCCTAACATAATACAACTATTCTTCGTACAACTGGAAATGCAGCAATCCCTAACCCAAATACTATTACATAAAGTTAACGATACTTAAATTCTGATGTGAAGTCAATAAATCTTATGTCACATGATAAAGGAGAAAGGAAATAAAATGACGATATTTTCTTAGTACAAGTGTATACATGCACAAACATGTTTTTAACAAAAGAAGGGGGAAAGACTCATGATAATTACAGTCTTCATTTCTGCAGCTGGTCACGTGGTCATAGCTGGTATTGATGACTACCTACTTCTACTACCCATTCTGTATTCCCTTTCCCTTCAGCAAGCACCTCAGCAGGTTGTGTTTTTTTTTTTTTCCTGGTGGAGTGATTCAAACCTTCATTCATGAAGGGTCTGGATCACTTGTAGTCCTGCCTGGATTGGGCTGCTATAATTTCCCATTGACCTTAATCACAGGGCATGGTAATACTAAGAGATGCCCTAATGGATCTCCTGTATTCCATGCAACTCTTCCTCTTCCTTACCTCCGTTGCGGCGTAGTAGACTGATTTCATCTTCATAGTCCAGGTCAATCACCCCAGCCAACACTGTATCTCCCTTCTTAGCCTCTTCACTTAAAGGTAGGAGGAACCCAAAGTGTCCAGGTAGCAATCTTAAGTTTCAGTTTAATGGAATTTTTGTGTCTCCTGGTGGCAGCATTCCTCCCTCTAGAACTAAGACCTCTGTGCCAGCAGAAAGTAATGTCGCGGGAACAGGAAGCAAAAATTTTGCTAGTGTATCACTAGGGTTGATGGTAAGTGGTGCCACTTCCACTTCCACCCCTTGATTCCTGGACCCGTGAATCCCGGCTATGGGAGAAACAGTACCATATATTGGACGCTGATTCAGAGCACACACAGCCTTCTGGAGAACTTTGCCCCAGCCCTGCAAAGGATTGTCACCTAGTTGGCATTGTAATTGTGACTTCAAAAGGCCATTCCACCATTCTACCAATCCAGCTGCTTCAAGATGATGGGGAAGATGGTAAGACCAGTAAATTCCATGAGCATGAGCCCACTGCTGCACTTCTTAAGCCATAAAGTGAGTGCCTTGGACAGAAGCAATGCCGTGTGGAATACCATGACGTTGGATATGGCATTCTGTAAGTCCATGGATGGTAGTCTTGGCAGAAGCATTGTGTGCAGGATAGTCAAACCCATACCTGGAATAAGTGTCTATTCCAGTGAGGACAAACCTCTGCCCATTCCATGATGGAAGAAGTCCAATATAATCAACCTGCCACCAGGTAGCTGGCTGATCACACCAAGGAATGGTGCCATATCGAGGGCTTGGTGTTAGTCTCTGCTGCTGACAAACTGGGCACTCAGCAGTGGCCGTAGCCAGGTCAGCCTTGGTGAGTGGAAGTCCATGTTGCTGAGCCCATGCATAAACTCCATCCCTGCCACTATGGCCATTTTGTTCACAGGCGCATTGCATGATGACAGAAGTGGCTGGGGAAAGAGGCTGAAGGTGTCCACAGAACGGGTCATCCTATCCACTTGATTATTAAAATCCTCCTCTGCTGGGATCACCCGTTGGTGAGCACTCACGTGAGATGCAAATATCTTCACAGTTTTTGACCACTTAAAGAGGTCCATCCACATACCTGTTCCCCAAATTTCTTCATCACCAATTTTCCAATCATGCTTCTTCCAAGTCCCGGACCATCCAGCCAAGCCACTGGCTACAGCCCGTGAATCTGAATACAATCACACATCTGGTCATTTCTCCTTCCACTCAAAGTGCACAACCAGGTACACTGCTTGAAGTTCTGCCCACTGGGAAGATTTCCCTTCACCGCCGTCCTTCAGGGGTGTCCTAGAAAAGGGCTGTAGTGCTGCAGCTGTCTACTTTCAGGTGGTGCCTCGGTATTGTGCAGAACTATCTGTGAACCAGGCTCTAGTCTTCTCTTCCGCTGTCAACTGATCATAGGTAACTCCCCAGGAGGCCATTGGTGCAGGCTTGGGGAGAGAAGGCTGGGTGGCAGGAGTGGGGACCGTGGGCATTTGCGCCACTTCCTCATGTAAATTACTTGTGCCTTCAGGACCTGCTCGAGCCCGATCACGTAGATACCACTTCCATTTGATGATGGAATGCTCCTGTGCATGACCCAATTAATACCTAGATGGGCCAGAAAGTACCCAGTTCATGACAGGCAGTTCAGGTCACATGGTGATGACATATAGTCAAATGTTCAGTTTCCACCAATGCCCAGTAACAGGCCAAGAGCTGTCTCTCAAAAGGGGAGTAGTTATCTGCAGAAGATGTCAGGGCCTTGCTCCAAAATCCTAGCGGCATCCTCTGTGACTCACCTATGGGGGGCCTGCCAAAGGCTCCAAAGAGCATCCCTATCTGCCACTGACACCTTAAGCACCACTGGATCTGCTGGGTCATATTGCCCAAGTGGCAGAGCAGCATGCACAGCAGCCTGGACCTGTTGCAGAACCTTCTGTTGTTCTGGTCCCCACTCAAAACTGGCAGCCTTTCAGGTCACTCAATAAATTGGCTGGAGTAACACACCCAAATGAGGAATGTGTTGCCTCCAAAATGCAAATAGGTCTACAAAGCATTGTGCCTCTTTGTTGGATGTAGGAGAGGCCAAATGCAGCAACTTATCCTTCACTTTAGAAGGAATACCTCTCCCAGGATCAGTACTTTGTATCCTTCAATCCAATCAAGTTGACACTCAGTATTAGCCATCACAGGGCCTGCAAGTAAGAATCATAAGACCTTTTGCAAATAAAAAAATAAAGAGTTTACGATTTCAGGAATAAGGGTTAAATACCATTTATCTTATATCTATCACAGATTAAACAAACATGTTTTCAGAAACAATTTAAAGTGTCTGTTTTTGCAATCTTTTGCTGTCAAAGATATTTTTCTGTGCCTTTATTTGTGTTTCAAGGCCATTATCTCCTGGGTGGATCCAATGGATTTGTTGGTAAAGCTACCAAAGTATAAAATAATTGTCTATATTATCATTTATAAGTTTTTCAGTTAATATATATAATCTTATAACACAGAAATGAAACAAATTTGTCTACAGGCAAATCTGAAAGCTCATAAAAATAATAATTTTTGGAGTTTGTATCATTTAAAAAATTAACCTTGTACACATGTTTGGTTATCTCATTCCCTTTCCCTTCTCCCTGGGAATAAAGCCACTGGTAATTTTTAACACTTCAGAAGAAAAACAAAAGTGACTTAAAACATCTACAAAGTAATGACATAAATGTTTATGGGCAAATATATTTATCTATTTGAAAAGGTCATTTTTAAAGGCTTCTGAGATTCTGTTGTACTGAATATCTACCGTCAGGAACAATTATGGCATTTTGAACTAAATATACACTTTCTTAACACACTGAAATCTATTTATGTTGAAGTCTCAAAAACATGAAATGCATTTATGACATGAATAGAAAGATAAATTTCTAACCATTTTACTTGTTTTAAAAATAGAAAATGTCTCAAATTGTATATGACTTAATAGGGATTTCAGGTCCTCAACTCCTACTTCTTCCTCAACTGGGTACCTTTCAGGATCATGTCTTCTGTAAAGACCAAGGGATGAATGATATTTTTTTATGAGGTGACTTCCAAATCTTATTTCCCATCCTGGGGTATATTTTAGGCTCTAAAGTATAAAGAATAATAACACATTAGACACACATGGGAACATACAAAACTTTCCAAGCAAAATATTAATCTTAAAGAAGAAATTTACATTTATTCAGTCTTCAACTTCAGTCGTATTAGTTTCTGCTAAGTCACGTTTACCACACAAAATGAAGATCGCGCTATTAATTACTATACTTACTCTCAAGTGGCATATAAGTGACCTTACAGAGACAGCCTGCTTCCTGATGTAATCCTTATAAGATTCTTAGTAAAAAACCTTTTAAAAAATTGTAATACTAGCTACCATTTATTTAATGCTTACTAAGAATGAAGCACTGTCTTAAGATCATTACCAAATACATAATCTCATTAATACAGTCCTATGGGAGTTATTATCCTCATTATACTCAAAGAAATTGAGGCACACAAAAAAGCCAGAATTTGAACTCACACAGTCTTTATCCAAGATCTAACCTCTTGTCCTCTTCCCTGCATTGCCCATTCTTCCTTGGCCTTCACACAAACCTACAGATCCTATATGCAATATGGTCTCCCTATCCTCTCCCTCTCATCTCTGTTAAGAGGGTCCATAAGCCATTAATTCAGACAGAGCACTCCAGAAACCTGGCAGAGGTGGGAAGGAAAAGACAGTGAATTCTAACAAAGTTAAAAGTAAAGAGAGAAAGGATGCATTATTGAGGCTGTAAAGTAATAAGGTCCATGTTCCTGGACAGATCAAGAATTGGCTCTAAAGGCAAACATTTAAATCATCTAGTTTAATCTCGTTCTCTCCTCCACCCCTTGTAAAAGAAGATGCTGAAACTTAGAAAAGTTAGTTGTTTTTTCTTCAATGCCTAACAAAACTAGTTAAAGAACCAATGCCATATTCCTATTGGAGAGCATTACATTCTAAAAATCATTATGAATGGGGATGTATTGGATCTAATACAATCCTAAACCAGAGAGAAACCTTAACAAAATAAAGGAATGAGATAGAAAGAAGCTGGGACCAGTTTCCCATAAAATGCTACCTTAATGCTGCAGACATCTAGAGAACACCTTACCTTTAACCTGCTTTCTTAATTCTCTTTTCCTTGTATTCTCAATCCTGATCCTGCCAAAATAAATCCCATTAGGAGAAACTTCTATCTTTTGTAGTTTCTTAATGGCTCTTCCTTCCACAAAGAACTGGATAAAACTTGCCCAGTTTTGTCTCACAAATTCACTTAAGTCATACGCTAAAATCATCTTATACTGAGAATGGCACAAATTCAAATGCATAAATTAGAGAGATACTCCTTTGTGAGAGAGAACTGAGAAAAACAGAGACCCTGTGTAAGAGGGATTTAAGTGCAGTAGCATTATTAACTACATACTATATAATCAGGCATTATAATTGACATTTTGCAGGTGTCATTTCTTAAAATCAGCACAATCCTTGTATGAGAGAGTTCTTATTATTCTATTTTATAGGTAAAACTAATAAAGCTTAAAGAAGCCAACAGACTTGCCCAAAGTGACACAGTACCAAGTCACAGACCTCTGACATTACAACTTTATTTATTCAAGTACTTATCTAATAACAAAATTTATATATTTTTCATACACTTATTCCATAAGCTGTGATATGCCATTTTATTCTACTAAAATCAGTTCTAGAACTAGAAGGTAAACTAGAGCTTATCTATACCCTCATACAAAATTAATAAACAAAGCCCAAAGATATAAAGTGACTTGCCAAAGATTACAGAACACGTTCATGGCAAGGAAGAAACTACAAATTGTTAAGATTTACCAAGAATTTACTACCCTATAAGGTAGGTATTATACTATCCACATCGTACAAGTGAGAAAACAAAAAAAATGGGAAATCAAGTGGCTTGTCCAAGATCATAAAGCAAGTAACAAGAAAGAGAAAGAACATAGATTTGTCCTCAAGCAGTCTGGCTCCACAGCCTGTGTTGTTAACCACTATGCTAGAATCTCCCCTTCAATTACGAGTTGTACCTCCTAATTTCCTTCCAGCTCCTCTGAAATTAAGATAAACTTTGCACTTATGAGTTACACATGAAAGAATCAATAACAGAAAAATCAGGTAAGAACCCACTTTGAAAATTCAAACAGCTCCATTATTTCAATTGATATTTAGAAATTTACATTAAAATGTAAATGAGTCAATTTATAGAGATTAACAGAGGCTCAAATTTTAAACCAGAACTTTTCCCAGCACTACCAATTTCTGCGCTTAGCTCATCCTTCCAACTCTACCACATGGATATTTGTAAAATGAGCCTAACGATTAGATCCTCTGTCCAGAATCTGGACAATTTAGAATGCTAAATTGGGACCTTAATTGTTTCTGTTTCATGAGTCAGTGAGTATAATATTTTATCTGTTGGATTTTCTAAATGCCAATTCCATCATGTTCTAAGCACATTCTTTGCCCACTCAGTAGACTGGGTCACTCAAACAAAACTTAAGTACAACAGTAAAATGAAGTTTTCTAATTCTTTATTTTCTTACAAGCAACCAACAGACTAATATTTTCATGGGCTCATCTACCTATGTATCTCAAATTTTTCTTTTATCTATTCACTCTCTCTCCATTTATCCAATCCCAACTGTGTAAATCACACATTAGAATATAGTCAGCCCTCCATATTAATGGGTTCCCCATCCATGGATTCAACTAACCAAGGATCAAAAATATTCAGAAAGAAACATTCCAGAAAGTTCCAAAAACCAAAACTTGAATTTGCCAGCATGGAGAGTACTGTTGAATCCCATTGGAGTAAAGGGATGGAGAGGCATTATATTAGATATTATAAGTAATCTAGAGATGATTTAAAGGGAGGATGTGCGTAGTTATGTCAGAGGTATTCGAACCAGAGTGAAACCATCTTGAATAGGAGCTGGGTAAAATAAGGCTGAGACACAGGAGGTTAGACATTGTAAGTCACAGGAAGAAATAGGAGGTCAGCACAAGATATAGTCACAAAGACCATGCTGATAAAACAAGGTGCTGTAAAGAAGCTGGCCCAAACCCACCAAAACCAAGATGGCCATGAAAGTGACATCTGGTCCCCCTCACTGCACATTATATGCTAATTATAATACATTTGCATGCTAAAAGACACTCCCACCAGCACCGTGACAGTTTGCAAATGCCATGGCAACGTCATGAAGTTACCCTATATGGTCTAAAAAGGGGAGGAACCCTTGGTTCTGAGAACTGCCCACCCCTTTCCCAGAAAACTCATGAATAATCTACCCCTGTTTAGGATATAATCTAGAAATAACAATAAAAATAGCCAAACTGCAGCCCTTAGGGCTGCTCTGCCTATAGAGTGGCCACTCTTTTATTCCTTTCTAATTCTTTCTTGCACTAGATCTAAGAACCCTCTCTTGAGTTCTGGATACGGACCCCTTTCCTGTAACAGTTATATACAAATATGACATCATTTTATATAAGGAACTTGAGTATCTTCGGATTTTGGTATCCAAGGGGATCCTGGAACCAATCCCTCATGGACACTAAGAGATGGCTGTATTTTACTTTTTCAAAATTATTTTCCAATGTACAAAAAAAAAGGCCCTCAAAGACTGTGAGTTAAAAAAAAGAAACGTTTCCTAACATTTTTTCCCTTTTTCTCTGTCAAACTATATTTAAAAAACAAAATTTAGTGACCATCATATGGCTATCACTAAATACATAAACAAATTCCTTTCAACAAAATTGACTAAAAAGAAAAAATTTATATCCTAAAGCCTACTTCCTCCTCACCATCCATTTGGAAATGAGAAATGAATTCAACATAAGGGACATTAGTACATAATTTAAGACAGCAGCTTAGGCCTAGTGCTTATGAGGTTAGCAGTGTGCTGCAGTTAATTAAAAAAAAAAAAGCACACATAGGCTTTGAGGACATATAAAACTAATTATATCATTTCCTAGCTCCATGATCTTGGGCAACTCATTTCACTCCTCCAAATCTCAGTTCACCTGTCTAAAATGTATATAAAGTAGCAGGTGTGGTCCAGGAGACAGAAGGGAAAATCTAAAAGTCTTGGGAAATAAAAGTAGAAATACAAGATCCACTAACTAGTGTTATATAGTATAAATAAACCAGGCACTCACGCTGGGAATTGACCTTCTTTATTTCAGAAGCAAATAACTATATTTGATTATTGAAATCTGAAGGAAGAGGGTGGGACCAATAACAGTGGGTATAAAAATTAAAGAATTATTGAGGGGAACACTCAGGAAATTGACAGGTCTTGAAGAACAGCTATAAGCCTACTTAAGATTCTAAACTTTGTTGGGCTGAGACACTCAGAAATTTACAAGATACAGAAGGAGGGACAGTAATGCAATAAACTGTTATTGAATGAGGTACTGTGCTAAATGCTAGAAATATATAAAGTAGGTATGAACCCTCCATAGTTTTAAAGAGGAAACAGGCAAGTTAAGAGACAATTACAAAAAGTGTAATAACTCCATCCTGGAAGAAAGAGCAAACAGGGTAGTGAACAGTGCAATAAATGTCATCATGGAAGAAAGAATGGACAGAAGCAAGTGCAAAGTCAGAGACCTGAAAAGAAAATTATGTGCCTCATATGGTTATCAAGTAGGAAGTAACGCATGTTGGCAGAAGGGGAGGTTGAAGAGGTAAAATGGGCCTGGTGGTAAAGGAACTTTGTATATTTTGCCAGTAATTTGCAAACCATTACCCTAGAAAATGATGTGATGAGATCTAAAGTTAGATCCATATAACAGTAAATTAAAAGATATATTGAAAGTAAGTGGCCAATTAACAGGTTCTTGCAGTCAGCACGGTAAGAGATGAGAAGGTGGGCACATGATGTTTTAAAGAAGGGAGAGGGGTGAATAATAAGCAGTCAAGTATGCTAATAGTTTTAAATCCAAATACCAACCAAAACAAGTAAATTATATATAGTATAATATTTAGAGTTATAACTTTGTTTTTAATTCAGGTCCAAATACATCTTTTGAACATCAGATCCAAATATTTATCATGTGAAAACAATTCGTCCCAATGAAAACCTTTCATCACAAAAAGCACGGAAAACTTTCCTTATTACCTTTTTTTCCTTTTCTTTTTTTTTTTTTTTTTTTGGTCACTGTTGCCTCTGAACAGATGGGAATTTCCTCCTCTTAATCTGATGGCAAAAACTTCAAATGGGAAGAACTTTCTGGCATGGATTTACAAAGAGTGCTTACATCTATTCCAACAACATGGTGTGGGAGTATTTCAGCACAGGCTGGAACAGTTTCAGGTTCATCATTACCTCCTGAGAATACCTTTGATAAATAAAGACTCATAGAAAAGTAAAGCTAAAGTCTCAACTCTTGAAAAGGCAGCAATGATTTTCTTGGTTTTAACATTCCAACCCTAATGAGCAGGATTTCTAAACTGATAACTAGAAGGCGAGAGCAACAAAGCTCTTTCCTTTAGAATGAAATTATATAAATTTTAGGGGTTTTTTTTCTATCACACAGGCGATATGTGTATAAAGGAGAGGGATTTTTCATTTTTTAAAATCACCCCCATTTTAAAGTTAGTACAGATATTTTTAGAATACTTTTTCCAATTCAATATCCTCACCTTTTCTCCTTTTAATTTTCTTCTCAGTGTCTCCTCCCTCTTCATATTCAAAATAATAAATGTTAGTTTGTGTGTTTGTTTGAGGAAGAGGTGTTAGTGAAGCTTTATCAGTCCAATTCCTTTTTTCCCTCAATATCTCTCACAAAAATCCACCTCAATTTCATGGCCTAAGTAGACAGTAACAAGAAGAAAGAATATAGAAAATAGGCAACAGAAAAGAGAAAACAAAAGAACCAATGAAACACAAAAGCCAAATGAAAAAAGATCAATACTATACTAGTGTAGTATAACTAATAAATTGAAAGTTATCTTGGAAATCTTTTAGCCCCACTCTGTTGACAATAAGACACAAAAGAGCACTGTAGGAGATTGGAGGGCTGGGGTGCAGTGGATAAGAACTGATTAAACCTTTCAAACCTAATCTGAGCAGGAGTTTAGGACTGCCTGCCCAAGAGATGTACCCTGAGAAATGGCAGGCCTATAGTTTCCTATATTTGAAATTCAAAGAAGCGACATTGGGCCCTGGGTTTGCTGAGAGTGTAAATTTATCAAATATTATTCAATTTATTTTTCTAAATTCCTCAGTTGTCTCAATGAGTGTTTCCAATTGCAAGGCATCTCAGAGATGTTTTCTTGCCTCAGAATTTTCTTTATTGACTCTCAATTTGAGAAATGCAAATATATTTTAAATAAAATTTAAGTACTGTTTTGTTATAGTGCTTTTTTATATAGGCCTTTTTGTATCGAAAATAAATTTCTATGGGAAGCAGATAAATTCCAAAGTCATATACCAGTTCGGTTTTGGGTAATCCATCAGAAACAGTGCAATGAGATAAAAGAGATGATCCTACTTACATGTTCTCCTTAATGGATCCTCAGCCACTCCTTGCCTATCCCTAAAGAATCATATATTTTAAATCTAATAATTACCTAATCCAAATTCATTATTTTATCTATGAAGGCACCACGGCCTAGAAGGAAAGGTAACCTGCAAAGTAACACAGAGTTGGGATAAGAACCCAGGTCTCTTGATTTCCAGTCTAAAAAATGCAAACTGCAAGAATGGCCCTGGTGTGGTACATCTGATACATGGCTAGTTTGGCTAGATTAGAGCACATTTGGTAGTTCAACACCCACCACTCACCCCTGCCACACAAACACACACACACTTCAGCTACATCCATAATCCAGTATTTTTGTCATTATATTATCATCTCTGTCTGTGCCAAGTACTGTCAGTTAAACACTTTATGAACAACCTCTAATTATCAGAAAAATCCTATTACATAGGTTCCTCAAAGTAGAAATGGCTAAAAAAAAAAAAAAAATCAGAAAATGAATTGAAGTCCAGAAGATGTGATGATAAAGTACCAAGCTCCTACTTGAAATAATTCAAGTGTTTAAGCTAACTATATGGCAGAATAGAAAAAATAAAGTGTATTATTGCCTTTCTCAAAAGCTGCCTTAGCCTAGCAGTGTCTTAGTCTGGCCGTCAAACTGCTAAACAATGTGGTACCAATCCACATTTCTATTCTCATTTCCCATCCTTTTAACGCAGTATTATTATGCTATGAATGCAGTAAGTTATAAATTAATGGGTTTTTCCTCACTGAGATCAGAGTGTTTAAAAACACAGAATATATAAAGTCTAAGATGGTTAGCACAGTGATAGGAAGAAAACAAACTTAAGAATACTACTTGACAGGACTGACCACCACAAGCATAGACCATGACTACAAATACAATAGGTAAGGAAGAATTTTGAAAAAGTTGAAATAAAATCAGTTTATCTCAATCCCTTGGTGACTTACATGTGATAAACTACTGTGACAATCGGGGAAATTGGTAAATAGAAGCTCATTTAGCTTAGGTATAAAAAGCCAAAGACTTAGACAAGTTCTCTTGTAAAGTGCTAAAAGTAGGACTAGAGAAGCAAAATTATAAAAATGGAAAATACAATTGGAAATAAGCATGACCCAATATTACAGAATTAAATAATGCTGATAGAACATAGAATCAGTAAATAAGTTGAGTCCAGATTTTTGAGAGAAGGTAGAGGGAAGTGGTGAAGAAAGAAGATGTGAAGGCCAGGGAGTGAAGAAAGAAACAAGAAAAATAGCAGGGAATAGAGATTTACTCTTCAGAGAGTCTCTGTTCATGAAAAATGTTGTACCTTTGAAGCAATCAGCGTAACATGGAAATAAGGCTACCATAACCTACTGACTTTTAGGTATCATAAAATGCAAGAAAAATTGATTTCTTTCCTTTCCAATTTATACATGAACATTAATTCTCTGTTTAGAATCTTTAATGAAACTCTAAACATCCAGTTAATAAATTTCAAATATCACAATTTGCTAGCAAATGAAAAACTATATTCCCAAGATATGACTCAAGAAGTAAAAGTTGAAACAAAAGAATAAGAAATTGGTAATGTGGTTCTGGCCAATCTATGAGCAAAATATACATGAATAAAATGAGGTTGGATAAGAAGACTGAAGAGAAAACTGTGTGGACCCTCAGAAAGATTTAGACTCTAACTGGTAATACTCAATTGTAGGTAAAAAACCAAGTAACCCAGCATTTCCCAAAGTTAGATAGAGCATTAAACTCCTCAGGCACATTCATAATGTCCTTTGAAAACTAGGTAAGTAAAAAAGAGTTTGTCAGGGTGGAGGAAATATATGATCAAATAAGTTTGTACAATGGGTTAAACAAAGGTAAAAATGTTGTTTTTTTGCTAGAATTTTTATATGCTAGTAGGCACTGAAAATCTCCAAGAGAAGGATAGATTATGCTGTGTTTTTAAAACATATTTGACCACAGAATTTTTCAAAGATCATCTCATCAGAACTTAGGGATAATGAACAAAAACCCAATAGGTTACTGTTGTTCTTAAAATTTCCTAAGGAATGATTAAGATCATATACTGTATCCCATCAAAGACTGACCATCTACTGTACTCTATCAAATCTAAGATGATACTGATTATGAGATGCAGCATTAATTTTACATACTATAAAGAAAAGGTACTGCCAATTAAATTATAACATGTCATCAATTATAAAATGTGTCTCAATTTCAATCAATAACTTCAAAAGAAACATTTCAGAGGAATGACTGAAAGATATGTAATCCACTTATTGCCCTAAAGATTGTCTACTCTGTAACTAGATCAAATGCTTCTCCTGAATTTTCCTTTAGCATAACGCCTGAATCTGGCACTAGACAGCACACTAAAATGCTGTTGTAGATTGCATTAGGTGTTTATTATACAGATATTGTTGAGGCTTCAAGATTCACATTTGATTATAGGTAAATAATTCCCATCTCAGAGATGCTGGAAGGATTTAGAAAAATAATATATATAAAGTGCCTGAAACCTATCAGGTATTTAATATGTGACTTCCCTTCTCTTCCTCTTTTATTCAGTAATCCTTTCTAGCATTTTATCATTTTGCCAGAACATACTTGCTCTCTTAAGCCAAAATACCTTCCTGGTCTTGATTTACTTTTGTTTATTCTTCTATAAACATGAAGAACACCTAATCAATCCCTCTTTGCAAAATTCTTTATATAAATGAAATATTTTCTTTCAAATACTTTATTTTAAACAAATATGAACCTAATGAAGGAAAAGACTTTTAAAAACGTCATTTTTAATGAATTTATTAAAGTCAAATTAATGCAATGTAAAGGAATGTAAGCAAGCCACTTAATTTGTTTTTTATTAAGTAAAACGTAACATCTAATTGGATAGTGGGCTATTATTGAACAAATCAATATGCTATTACTTATGAACTAGTTTGTGTGAGGCATAACACACTTTCTCATAGATTGATAAATTAGCAAGATAAAAAGAAAAGATATTGTATTGAATATTTTTAAGAGAAAAAAGGCATCAAACAAGGAAGAAATTAATCACAATGACACAGGGTTCATTACAGGATTCTAAAAAATAAAAATCAACATGGTAACTACAGGTCTATTCAACAGATTTTTAAAAATCTATGAAGCAGAACAAAAATCTAAATACCAAAGAACAATTAAGCAAGTTGCCAAAAGACAAAATACTTTGGTAGGATGTCAATCAGTAACACTGAGCTGACAACTGTGCCTTAATTAATCTTGAAACTGTTTCCAATTAGTTAGTATAGAACACTAGAGGCTTCATGCTGCCTATGACTCAGTACACTGACTCATCTACCAAAACTTTTCTTACACAAGAAATATCCAAGCACTCGCCAGGATGCAAGATCAAAAGGAAAGAGGGTTCACCAACCTTCTTAGTTAAAACCTTGTGATAAATTTAGATGACCGGAAGGATATGGAACAACTTTCCAGAAAGTTTTAACAGTCAGAAATAGCTTGAAAAGTTTGATTTGTTAACAAAACAATGAAAATATATTATTTTAAAATCAGTCTTGCAAATATATCTATAAAATATGCTAGCTGTTTTTTAAACTATATAGAGGATATAAATAATATAACCAACATTAAAGTGTTCAATGAACTTCACCAAGCCATATTTAAATATCTCATATTTCCTAACTCATTAAAATAGCAGTGGAAACAAAATTCAGATGCGAAGAAAAGCCTAAAATCATCATACATCTACCCCATAGAAACTTGCTTACATTTTCAGATTTAGCTTATCATGGTATAATTCAATTACAGACTTTTCTAGAATAAATCTAAAGCTTTAAATGATTCTTCAAAAAAATTACAAAACATTAATATGAAAAAGAACACAATAACTTTTATTATACAGTTTATCTAACTCAGTTTATTAAATCACAGAGTAATAATGTAAGCAATTATATTAATAATTTTTTTAAATTTTAAATAGTTTTGAAATGCCATTGGGTTGGGAGAATGGGTAAAGGACCACAGAAATGAGGAGCAAAAGACCACTCGTTGCAGGGAAAACAAAGAAGACCCTTTATTCAGGAAATAGAATGCACAAGACGAGGTGTTCCACAGGCCAAAGCCAGTTCTAACATCCTGGAGAGTCTAGGAATCCAGTGAGAGAAATCAAAGTTAGTACCAAGTCAGTTCCCAAACAAATTACCAATAAGAGATCCATTATGTTATAGATGTCTACAAGTAATTTTTTCATGCCATATGAAAAATTTTAAAAAAATTAAATTTAAAAAATTCTGAGATGACTTACAAAGGTAAATTAGTACAGAAAGTATAACAGTAAAGAAATGGAAATATGAAAGAGATGAAGGTAGCAATAAAGATAGGAGGAATTTTAAAAGTATAATTAGCTAGCCATTTGGGGCCATGGATTTTTCATCCTAAAACCATGGTCTGATTTGTCTGGAACCTGGAGGAGGAGGCTCCAGCGCTGGTGAACACTGCTGTGACGTATTTGAAGCCTAGATTGGCCACATTTAGATATTAAGCCAAAGTTGAGCTAACTCCTCCAACTCCTACTGAGATCCTGACAGCTATTCAGAGCCTGAAAAAAATAGTCAACAGTGCTTACACTGCTAGCTTCTAACAGCTGACAGTTAAGGAAGCTGTGCTGAATGGTTCAGTGGCCACTGAGGTGTAAATGTGGTTTTATATTGGAGCAATCATAAGTAAGCATTGCACCATTGCCTATAATGTATGACAAGTCTTTAACATCTGATTATATTTGACTTACTATTTCAGTGTTCTTGGATCATGTGTGATCAGACTGCTATCTGAATAAAGTGTGTCAATAAAAAGTATAATCAGTGGTATGACTGTTACTCAAAAGAAAGGACATAAAATGTTTACATCCTTTAATATAAGCAGACCACAAAATTTACCAATGAGTTTCCTAAAAACCACTACAAGAGAGAAACATAAATGGTTGCATTATTCACTATATCCACCAAAAATTACACACACGCACATATATATATCTAAACCCTGGTCATTCAAAATAAGCCTTCCTGCTACTGCACTTTGAAAAAAAAATCCTATTAGTCCTCATAAACTGATAAGACAGTAAATTACCACTTCCTCCTCCATCTCTGGAGTAAACACAATAATGAGTTTCAAAGTTGCATTACTTTTAATATTTCTCTATATAAGCTATGGAATAACAGTGAAACATGAGTATGAGTAATTCTAAGACTGCGAATATTATATGGTCCAAGTACACTGCAGTCCTTCATAAATTTTATTTCCCCCAAACTTTTTATAGGTATTAGGTGACAGAGAGGTCAAAGTCATAATCTGATATAAGAACCTGGAGTACAGCTATTTTATGTTGTTTTCTAAAGAACAGATCTATATATTTTGGCAGTAAGCTAAGTAGAAAATATTGACATACACATATGAAACCTAATGAGCCAAACGAGAATACCTGCCTGAATTAATTAAACAAATGCTTATTGCAATCCACTACATAAAAGATTACACTTACTGGGGTTAAAATGATGAACTTGTCTCTCATCCTCCCAGAGGTTAGAGTCTATTGGGGACCACATGCAATTAAATAAATAATTATAGCAATGATAAGGACCATAATAGGCAATCAGTGCCTGCTGGAGCAGAACCTAACCTGGAAATGAAATGTCAAAAAAGGCTTTTCAAAGAAACAAATGCCTAGGCTGCAGCCTAAAGCAAGAGTTAGCTCAGAAGTTCCAGTCAGATGTCAAAAGAGATCCTAATCAGTCTCCTCTATGCTCATCTTCCTAAACCGAGTCATTAAATGATGGAACTACTCAACGATCAAGATATCTTTTCTCAAGGCAAAATTCATCTAGACTCATGGTTTTAGTTTTTACTTACATGCTGATCATTCAGTTACATGACAAAAATCATTAATGCGTCTTTGTTCCCATAACTGTTCTCTGACTTTCCCCTTCCTAAGGCATCAAAGGAACATCTGGCTTTATGCTACCAGCTTCTTTCCCTATCATCCACTGCAAGGAAGGTCCTATGTTGTCAAAATAGGAACCGTTACATCAACGTAAATAGTACAGAGCAAAGTACAAAAGAAGAAGGATGAATTAGAATAAAACTAGCCTGGATGAGAGTAGAGGGGTAGCTTCTTCAGTAGTTTTTGAAAAAAGAATGGAACACCAGCTACATTTGATGAAAACAAAAGATGAGAAAGGGAACAAGAGCAATACTAGAGAGTACTGCTGGGAATTAAGAGTCCCTTCATGGTTTTGAGAAATGCATAAAGAACTTGCTTCGTTTTTAAATAATTGTTGTTTTAATGTACTGTGTTCTTTTGACTATAAGACTCCTCAAGGACTGTATCACATGGGTTATGACTTAATAAGAATTAAATCTGGTAAATCTTTGTCTCATGCTCAGACATTACCTCTGAGCTCCAAAACAGACTCTTGAAACCCTATTCTGGCTGTCTGAAAAGTATCTAAAAACATGTCCAAAAAAATGTGATCTTCTATTAAGGAAAAAAAAAATAGGGTCCTTGTTCATCCTACGACAAGGCCACACACCTACCTTTACAGTTCCCTCTCTTCACTTACCATATCTAGCTCTTAACCAGATTCTGTTTATTTTATATTCAAAACCCCTCCTATCTGCCCACCTCTCTCCATTTAAACTGTTACCACTCTATCTAAACTACCACCATCTCTTTCAATAAATACAATTGCTTTCTAACTGGTCTCCTTTCATCTACTGTTGCACAACCCACTCCCAGCCTACCACTTCTAATCTATTTTCCACTAGGCAATCTGAATGTTCTTTACAAAATATCTATCTAATCTAGTTAGCCCACATCCTCTGCTCAAAATGAATTTAATGAATTTTCAATGAATTCCCACAGCTTTTAAAGACCAAATATTCTTAACATGGTCTAAGGCCTAGCATTTTCTGTTCTCCTTAACTTCATCTTTTTCCATACATCCTTGCTGTCTACACTTAGCCACAATGGGCTTTCACGTTAAATAAAAATTATAGAAATCTACTGTTTTGGGCTAAGCTCCTGCACTAGGCCCCAACACACTAGACTAAAAATCAAAATCAAAGCATTAAAGTTCCCTATCACCAAATCAAAAAGTTATCTGACTTTCCAATAAATCAGGAGAGAAAAATAATAGCCAAATTTCCAAAATAGGCCAGGCAGCAAGACAATCAAGTTCCTTCTTCCTTTAACACTTACCCAAAAATAAGTAAACTTAAGTAACCTGATATTAATAGTTATTTTTTTATTGTGCTGTTTCCCTGTTCTTGCCTTACTAGAAAAGTAACTTTGAAGTGACCAATCCACTTCTTGTTCTTTGTTTCTCTTTTCTTTGGCCCTTTTCTATCTATAAAACCAATCTCCTCTAGTCCACTCACTGTAACACTCATTCTATTTTATGGAATGAAGTGTTGTACAATTCTAGAATCATAAACAAAGTCAATTAACATCTTTAAACTAAATTTGTTTTCATTTTGTTTTTTGACATTTGGTTTCTCAAAAGTGTCCTGCTTTTTCCCATAACAGTAAAACTGCCTTTGCAAATAATACGACTGAGAGAAATCTAACATAGCTGACTTCATCTCACTTCTAACCTCATAAGTTGTCTGTACGTTCATTCCTCCGTGTAGGCCAAGCTAACCATAGGAGGAATTTAGTTTACAGTTTGAAGCAAGGATGATAATAGTCCCTGCTTAAAACTAACCTCCTCTTTGTTCAGGATGGAAACTGCCTTTGTGAAAATAATGAAAGGCCACAAGGTTAGAATTATGGTAAGGACCTAAATTCTGTTAAGCTGTAAGCATCATTAAGCAATAACCAGCCATTGTTCCCTAGCTTGCTTACTACTCAGGAGTCACAAGATTTTATTTTATTTTATCTTATTTTATTTTGTTTTGCTTTGTTTTGATACAGGGTTTCAGTGTGTTAACCAGGCTGGAGTGCAGTGGTGGGATCTCAGTTCACTGCAGCCTTGACATCCCAGATCAAGCGATCCTCCCAACTCAGCCTCCCAAGTAGCTGAGACTACAGGTGTATGCCACCACGCCAGAATAATTTTTTTTTTTAATTTTTTTGTAGAGATGGGGTTTCACTATGTTGCCAAGGCTGGTCTCCAACTTCTGGGCTTAAGCAATCCTCCTGCCTCTGATTTTGTCTCTGTCTCCCAAAGTCAAAGTCTTCCCCAGTTGCTCCTTTAGATAACAGCACTATTATCAAAAACTAAGATTGATCTTTCAGATATTTTTCAGACTCGTGCATTCGGCCATACCACCTGATACCAACAGGACCGTGATTCATATCAAGGAACTGACTCAACCAGTCCTGTAACACCTGCACCCAGATACTGACTCAGCACATGAAGACAGTTTGGACAATACCATGATTTCATGCCCAGTCAATCAGCAATACCTATTCCCTAGTGCTCTGCCCACCAAATTACCGCTAAAAACCCTAGCCTCCAAACTCTTAGAGAGGCAGATTTGAGAAATATCTCCCATCCTCCTCCCAATTAAAGTGCTATGACTAAACACTATCTCTGCTGCAACTACTGCTGTTCTCAGCATATTAACTTTCTGGGCATCGGGCAAGAAGAACCTATTTGGCTATAATAATGAAAGGAGTTAGCCAGCTTCAGGCATACAGTAAGGCAAGGATCCCTGGAGAACCTCCCACCTTTGTTTGGTCCAGATAAGGGAACTTGAACAGGAGCTTTGCCTAAACATGCCCGCAGCGGACTAAGTGCCCACACGCCCACAGGGGAAATGGGGTGAATCGACAAGGAATTCACACCTTATACAAGTAGGGAACACAGCCCCATCAGCATGTATGTAAAATGCCCTTGTATTCAACTGTGAAGGGGGCAACCAGCAGCCTGCTTTCAGGACCCCTCTTTTTGCTGAGAGCTTTCCTTTTCACCTAATAAATTCTACTCCACTCACTCTTTGATGTCCACATGGCTATTTCTTCCTGGTCATGAGACAAGAACCTAGACCTAGCTGAGCTAAGGAGCAAAAAACCCTTCATCATTTTGGGGGCTTGTCCAGAATACCTGGCAGGTGAGTAAACTGCAGATCTGAAACCTTTTGCTTTCATTTCTGAGTCTTCTCCTCCTCAGACTTTTTCTGAAGGCAGATGCAGCACCAAACCTCTGGTGAGCCAGATAAGAATGAATGGCACAGCTACAGAGGACAGGATGCTGGAGAGTACCCCCAAAAACCCCTATCACTCTCAAGGGTTGGGAATGTCAGCCTTATTCCAAACCAGTCTTTTCTACAGTATTTTCCTTCTTTTGTTCCAGGATTATCCTGGCACTTAGCTCTTCTTTTATAATGTTAAAGATGTTGCTGCAAACTGCAGATACTACTAGGTAGAGTGAGCATTTAGCCCAGCCATCAGAAATGCCATTCAGAACAATGCGATTTCCATCTGTTCTTAGAGGCACATCTCACACCCCCACCCCAAGGGCCACAGGCACACGCTCGGAACAGAAAGGCAAGCGGAGGCACCCATCCTCCCTGCTTCCCTCCCAGCTAGGGTGTATGGACATGTCTGCACATGCACATGCTCCATCCAACAGCCACATGGGGCAGGAATGAGCTGCAGCCACCAACTCCCGCCATGGGTCTCCACAGAGTCTTTCCACCCCTGGCCTAGGCAAAAGGAGGGAACAATGATTAAGAGTTTCTCTCCCTGTTGGAGGAACCCATTTGCATAGAGCTAGAGGATTTTCCCTCAGGCATTTTCTCCATCCTGCATTTAAGCTGTTTTTTTCTTTTCTTTTCTAACATGGCCCTGTGAAAACAGGGAGCTTTTCTATGCAAGAGTTTTGTTTTTTTTTTTTCCTTTTGGAAAACATCTTATTAAGCCAGGACCCCAACTCACAAGACACCCTTTACTCTCCCTTGTTTGAGGAGGACTCAGCACCACAGATTTACCTTAGCATGACTAATTCCTGCCAGTTAGGACCCCTCCCATTTCATGGATAGAGGTCATGCTAGCATCCATGGCACAGACAAGGTCTAGGGAACTCAAAGGTTACTGACAGCAGAGGAAAGGCAGCATGTGGGTAAATGCGGATAATTCCCACCTCCTAGGCCCCCTGTTAACAAGGGTGAAAAGCCACATTGGCACCCATGGTCTGCACCATCCCAAGGTTACAGGGACTCAGGGATGTGAGGACAGCTCTTCTCTCTCTCCCTCACATAACCCGGTTATTCCCTGGGAGAAAAAAGGAACTAGGGATGACTTGTTCCCCTCTTTCTAGTTGAGTAACCAATCATCTTCAGTCTGTATTTCTCTCAAATGCCTCCTGAATCACTGGGATTCCTTTGAGGGAAAAAAAAATCCTTACTCTGTCCTCTCTTCACAGATGGGTAATTGTGTCCCCATACCACAGGACACTCCCCTCAGATATATCCCCCAAAGTAGGAAAAGTTAGTTTCCCCAAACCTTAAACTGCTTGGCTTAAAAGTGAGCTCAGGGGAAGGAAACCCAGAAGTCTGACATGCTGGTAAAAGAGTAAAAGTTCTTAACAGCTGGACTTCGGGCCTCCCTCTCCCTGTGCAGACCGGTTGAATAAATGATAAAATTACTGTTTGTGTCCTCTGTGAAGTCTGGATTAATGGAAAAAAGGATTTGTGAGGCTAGTCTTAGGCTGTAGCCAATCTGGTGTGCTTTTTGTGTCTTCCTGTATGGTTCCATGATAAGGAGGAATACCTTAGGATAGAATGCAAGCCTAGGACCCCATAAGCCTGTTGTTCAAGCCAACCAGCAAACTGGGCAGTAACAAACATTGCTGCAGGTTTCCATTTTGTTTTACGTCCTTGGGAGCTTGACCTTGTAACCACGTGGCAGTACCTTCTTTTGGCCTCTGCCATTTTAAAATGGTGGCCCGGGTTCAATTTTGGCATAGGGAATGAGTACTTTCCGGTTAGTATCTGTGTGACTTTTAGAATTTGCTGATTCTCTTCCCGTCTGTGAACAAATTCTAGCTTTCTTTCTTAAATCTTTCTTTCTCTGAGCCACCTTTAAAGATTCTAGATTTTGTAGGAAGTGCTTACCACTTCTTTGAAAATACCTTGTACACTCACAGTTAAGCCATAACCTTGATTGAGGCTTGTTGGTTTCACCTGTGAGGTTACTTTTGGTAATGTTCAAAAGTTAGAAATATTGGCCACTTGGCATGGCTAAAGTAGGGTAATGAGGGATTTAAAAGGATTTTCTTAAAAAGCACTCAGCTTAATTTAAAGTGGATATCCAAGCTAGAGGTATATTTAAAAGGCCTTTATGTTTTACACTTCATGGATCTTGTTTTTCTGGAAAAAGGACTTTCTCTCAGTCAAATGAATTATTTTTCTCCATTTCATTTTGCTACTCTTAATGCACACATGAGAGGCCCTAAGATAACTTCTGATAGCCTAGGACACCTGGCGAGAAACAGAGAAGGTGCCACAAACCCCATTTTGGAAAAAAAAAAAATCCCTTGTTTTCCACATGGAACTCCAGCAATTAAAATTGGATAGATTCCTCTCAAAATCTGTTTTTGTCTTCCAGCTATACCTGTTTACTGGTCCCTAGAAACTGCATGCTTTCCTAGCCCTGCTCTTGAAGGGTACCACCCTGAGGCCAATGATCTGACTAGGAGATTAGAAAATGAAGAATCTTACAATTACTGGATCTTCTTCTGTCTGTGTCTGTATAATCATACATGTGTTATGTGTGTGATGGTTTTATAAAAAATAGCTCTAATTGATTGGCCTAAAGAAAAATAAGTGCTTAGATCCAATATTTTTTGAAAAAAAAAAAATAAAAGCTGTAATGCCTGTTAGTTCAAGTGACTTTAATCTTTGAGAAATAGAAATATTTTTGAAGACAAATGGTAAAATACAAATGTCTTCAAAATGTAAATATGTGATCTGAATTATGCTGGTCAGATACTAGGTTTGCTACATGTTCGAAGGTTACAAACTGCTTCTTTGGCTTTTGAGAACTGTTTGACTTGCCTGCTTTACAATTTGATAAGGCTTGAGGACATATGGAATTAACCACGCCCTTAACTATGTTGGAAAGAGTCAGACTTTATCTGCACCTAGCACATAATTAAAACAACTTGCCAGCCTTTACACTAAAATTAAAAATTGCTAACAGTTACTGTTATAACATATAATTGAGATTATTGACAACAGATTCACCCGCAAGGTGCATAAAGAAAGTAAAATGTGTTTTTAGTAAAAGATTATCAGAAGGCATGGGAGTGTAAATTTCAGACTAGGGTTAAAGGATTGTTTATAAGATAAAGCTGAAGGTTTAAACAAAGAGTGGAAGGTTTATAAAAATTAATCTTCCAAAAGAAATTCTATATGAGAACATATTGATTAACTTCAAAAAGGTATTATACGGTCTTTCCATAAATTGCGCATTGAAATAGAAGTACAACAAGGTTTTATTAACACACTGATCTGCTACTTAACAGAAATTTGTAAAGTGTGATAAAAGGTTTACCAAAATCTCACCTCATGGTCAAACTGGCTAAGATTGGATAAAAATTATCTATAAAGTTCCACTAAAACAAAAAATTGGGGTTGACATTAATAGCAGACTAACGTAAGGGTGAAATCTGGCTTTTTCTCTCTTAAACAGGATTTTCATGTAACAGTAAAAGATAATGAAAGGTTTTACCTTTTTTTTTTTTAAGTCATCATTTTGGCAAAAGAACTTACGGTAATCTGGAATTCTATTCCATAATATCACATGCTTTTGAACCTCTAACATATATATTTAACATATTTCCCAAAATCAAACTTCAGCTTCAAAAATTGTCTTTCCTGACCCCTAGCTTTTGGATGCTAGAGGACCCCTAGAGCATCCAAGAGAGAGGTAAACAGGATTATTTGACATGTTTAGTTACAGAGGATTGCCAAAGTGATGTTTAATCTTCCATAGGTTATATTTTAATGAATAATATTAATATGTGTTTTAAAATCATATAGGATGTCTACCATTCTAATGTCTGAGTATATGCTATCAATCATAATTAAGGTTATTATGTTATTGTAAACCACATGTATTAGTCTGTTCTCATTCTGCTAATAAAGATATACCCAAGACCGGGTAATTTATAAAGGAAAGAGGTTTAATGGACTCACAGTTCCACACGGATGGGGAGCCCACACAATCATGGCAGAAGGCAAAGGAGAAGCAAAGGCACATCTTACATGGCAGCAAGCAAGAGAGCTTGTGCAGCAGAACTCCCATTTATAAAACCATCAGATCTCGTGAGACTTACTACTATGAGAACAGTATAGGGAAAATTGCCCCCATGATTCAATTATCTCCACCTGGCCCACCCTCGACACAAGGGGGATTATTACAATTCAAGGTAAAATTTGGGTGGGGACACAGCCAAACCATATTGCTACAGAAATAAACAAATTTCTTTGTCCATAGTGTTTTTGAGGTAACTACCCTGGACATTTTGCTATTCACAGACAATTGTTGTCTAGCTTTGATCCTTTTCAAAAGATGGCTTATAATCAGATATAGTACTTTGACAGGTGCTCTTAAAGGCAGGTTTCTGATATCTTTGGAGATTGGGACACTGGAATAGAGAGAAACATACAGGACTCATGAAGAGCTGAAAGGTTCATGAATATCAAGTAGAACAAGAGTTAACAGAATGGACTGAACTAACAGAAAACTGAAGTAATCTTTTTAACCTTTTGTGCTTAAAATGTTGCTCATCCTTGTTTTGTTTTTAGAGTCAAGGAAATTTATTTTGAGCTAATTACAGCCTTTAATAATTGAGTAAGGTATACTCCTGTGAACAAAATTTGGAGGATATTTATTTCTCCCCGCCTGGCATCTCCAGAATTTGGAAACTATTTGTGAGTATTCTTTAACTTACGGCAATATAGTTATTTGCATCTATGCAATAATAATTCATTTTCCTTTGCAACAGGACACAATTGGAGAAACTGGTTGTTTCACCAAGGTTTTGACTGGAAGGGTTTGCTTCCCTTTAAGGAATCAAGCATGGCTTGCAGAGCCAATAAAAGCCCCTTGGGAAATCTGGCCTCATACCTTGTCTACACAGTCCCCATAAAGGGTTACTAACCTGTGGTGAGTAAAGAATATCACTTTCTCACAGGCCCAGGAGCCCCAGGTTCTTGTGACCTCAAAAAGGGAGGAATTTACCCAACTCATAGGTATTTGAGGGTACAAACCCATGACTGGGCTCAGCTTTTAAAGGTCTTATCTGAGATTCCTTGTGGAACAGAGTTCCATTAAAGCCAACTTAGAAGCCTATGTGAAAAATAATTATTCTTGCTGCACCAATAATCTGGTCAAGTATAGGACTAAAGTTTATTTTGCCAACAACTCAGTCCTATCATGATTTGTTTTTCACAAAAATGAGGACTGAAGAAAGAAAAATTATGCTTCAAAACTTATCATATACCTGTTATTAAATTCTAATCTCATCAGTTGTTTTTAAGTTTTTGCCTACATTTTAAACTAACCCTGCTTATTCCTGTGAACCAACCAGCAATAACTGGCTGTAGCTCAGAAGAAACAAAAGGGATGGGTGATAAAAATCTGGATCAATATTCTAGTCCTGGAAAATTATCCTGCAAATCCTACCATATGATAAGAGTAAACACAGAGCCCATAACTCAAGGTTTCTTTGTTTGGAAAAATCAAGAGAGCTACCAAAGCCAAGCCCCATGCACCCAAATCTTAGCAGGTATAGTAACTATAGCTAGCTACCAGCTATCTGAGCACATTGGCAGCCTTGGGATTTTTGAGCAGTCCTTAACCCCTTGTTTCGTTTTGATATATGTCTTCTAATAACCCGAATTGTTCCTTTTTGCTTGGAGGCCATTAAACTTCAAATGGTGATGCAAATGAAACCATGCATGGACATGCCATTCTTCCCAGGACCCTTAAACTGACCTCAGGAGGAGTCCTAACTGCCGCTTTTCCAAAACAGCGCCTCCTGTCAGCAGGAAGCAGTTAAGAGAGGTCTTCGTCCACTTTTTCGCAACAGCAGTTGCTGAAGGAGGGAATGAAAGGGGTTAGCCAGCTTGCTTTTGACAGACAGTACCAGAAGGATCCCTGGAGAACCTCCAACCCATGTTTTGTGCAGATAAGGGAACTTGCACAGGGGCCTTGCCTAAATATGTCCACCGCCAACTAAGAGCCCACATACGCACGGGGGAATGGGGTGGAGCTACCAGGAATTTGCGCTTTATACAAATAGGGAACCCAGACCATTGGTATATATGTAAAAAGCCCTTTTATTCAACTGTGAAGTGGGCAACCGGCAACCTGCTTTCAGGACCCCTCTTTTTGCTGAGAGCTTTCCTTTTCACCTAACAAAATCCACTACACCTACTCGCTCTTCAATGTCCACGTGGCTATTTCTTCCTGGTCATGAGACAAGAACATGGACCTTGCTGAGCTAAGCAGCAAAAAAATCTTGAATCAACAACAGGGCCAGTTCACATGTTGTTCCGTTAGGAATATCTTTCCTGTTCTTTGAATCTGAGCTCACAAGCTTTTCCCAAACCTCCATATTAAAAAAGAAGTCTGTTGGTCACTCGTATAGTAATGCATACCTTTCCTTTAGAGCAGTCAACATAGTTGAAACTTTGCCTTTATTTCTGTGTATATTACTTCTGTATCCTGCATAAAAAATTACCCTAAAATTTAGTGGCTTAAACCAAATATATATTCATTATCTCATGGTTTCTATGGATCAGGAATTCAGTAGCAGCTTAACCAGGTGATTCTAACTTGGGGTCTCTTTCACAAGGTTGCGGGCTTGGTTAAGACTAGAGGATATATTCCCAAGACTGCTCAACCACTGGGTGCTGATTGTTGGTAGGAGCCTCAATTCCACTCTACATAGGCCTCTCCATGGGCTGCTTAAGCATACAATGATATGGTAGCTGTCCCACCTTGAGCAAGCAATCCAAAAGACAGCATGGAAGAAGCCAAAATTTATTTTATGACTTCCCCTTTGAAGTTGCACACTATCATTTTTGCAGTATCTTATGGATTACACTGGTCAACCTAATTCAATGCAGCAGGGAACTACATTTGAGCATGATTATTAGGCAGTGATAATCAATGGAACCCATCTTGTAGACTGGCTACCATAGTGTGTTAAGAGAAATATATTTTTTTCAAAATCTTCCTCAATTGATCAAATGCCAAGACCTAAAGTGACCACAGTAAGCCTGAAATTGTCTTGAAGGTTTTTAACACGAGTCATAGCTCCCATCTATAAGGCATCTATTCCCTGCCATTGTAGTAAAAAACGCTCCCTTTAGAGGATTCTACAATCTCCTTGCACCCTTGAACCACCATTTCTAGCCCAGCTATTCCAAGAGACATTTTAAAATCAATTTTTCTAAATATTCCAAGAAACAAAAATTTACAAAATTACGATACCCTAAGATCTTACTTTTCGTCTTTTTCTTAAATCAGATTGCTCTTAAGCCATACCCCCAGTTAGGATATTGTTCTTTATGACATATTTCAACAAATAACACCAATTAATACTTTTTACTTTGTAAGACTTAGAAACTGTAATTAAATTCCTTATGCATCATAATTCTAATATGTTTTTGGACTGCCTTCTAAGGAGATAAAAATTAAAACTCAAAAAAATGTATCTTCTTGTTAAAAATACAAACACCAATTTTGTAAGTAAGTATTAATTCAGTACTCTAAGTTCAAATAAAACATACTAAGATTATAATATAATGCAGTGGGGAAAATAGAAGATTTTGAAATTCAGTGTTCACAAACTTTTCAGGAATCTGTGGTAATGAAAACAAAACACAAGCAACTGTATCATATATCAAAGATGATGAAATAATTCTCCTGAAATGTAGTAATACCATAAGCTACCCCAATGTGAATTTTCAAAGGATAATTTAAAAATTCACTGTAGGGTAAATATAAACTCAGTTATAGTTTATGAAAATCTCATGGAAGAAACCCTCCGCAAGACAAACTTAAAAGCAGCTGAAATTAATTAATTGATTTAACTGATTCATTTTCAAGATTATGATAAAAACAGAGAGAGAGAAGAAATTATTTTCAACCAGTTTAAAACACAGAATAAGTAATATATTAAAGGTAAGGTTAAGGGACAAGAACAAATTGGATTTTATGAAATATTCAATTTTTCTCACATAAAATTATATATATTTTAATATGAAAGAAATGTAACTTAATGAAAGATACCACCCATATCACCCATACAATATAATTGTATATTATTACATATTACCATTTAAATCAGTCAAGAGACCATTATACTATTCCATTTTAAGACAATGTCTGTTGCTATGACCTTTACAGGGCAAAAAAAGAGGTTCGTTTTTACAAGTCTGGCTTCTTTGCAAGGAGACCCAAGAAGCATAACAATTAATGCTAATCATAGTGATTTCCATAGCATGGGCATTTCCCCTAGGAAAGATATTGAAACTAGAAATATATTTCACAAGGTATGCATACTTCAGGAACTACTTCTAATCTTCACTATGGGTTTTACATCACAAATGAAGCTAAAAACCTCATCAGACTTGGTTTAATGCCCCAGGTAAATAATCATTTTTTTAATCACTCTAAATTTTATTTAAAATGAAGAATACTGTTCCACATTACAAAGGTCACCAAATTTAGAACAAGTACAACAACTAAATAGCTCAACAAGGCTAGACTTTATAACATTAATCTTTTGAAAGTAATACTTCCGATTTATCAGGATCATTAGAAGTAATCTGCTGCATATGAGACGATTCTTCCAAGACAACAAAAACTGTTAAAGTTGGCCAAAGGTGGCTCTATTAAAACTTTATCAATTTGAACAAAAGATAAAACTGCAATGATCATCTTCACTGATTCCAATGCATTTTAGTGCATTTGGATATGTTCACAATCAAACAGAAATACAAAGATTACATTTTATGCAACACATTTACCTAACAGCAAGAAAAAAATAAGAGAAATAAACATTTACCTGAGAAATATCAGGCATCTTTTGTGACTGCCTTCAAATGGCAAAAAAAAAAAAAAAAAAAATGCTTGGAAGTATAGTAGAAAGGAAGAAAAATGCTAATTTAGTTAGAAAGTATGCTGAAATTACACACTTTACCAAAACCAGTCAAGAATTCTCACTGGGGCCACCGGTGTTAACATAACCAGGCTACCAGGTAAACCTGGGCTAGAGATGGTGCGAGGAAAGAAGCTAAATGTGGACAGGAGGTTGAGATGGTAAGAAAACTTTACCACCTTGCCTCATGGCAATTTTATTTCAGGAACGTACTTGAAACTCTGTTGCCAGGTGATTCTCTGCTTCACATCTCTATCGTATTGGTCACTGTGCAAAATAGAAGCTTTCTCCTTGGGTCTAATCGACATATTGCTCTGTGCCTTCTTTCCTCTAACCTAGAAATGCTCAATGGGGGCATTCTGAAAATGTGTTTAGACTGTAATTTAAAAAAAAAAAATGGGAGGATGCCACTAGCACTTAATGGGTGAGCTACAGGAATGGTGGATATCCTGCAATGCACAAATGCACAGCACATGCTACAAAATAAACTGATCCAAGGTCTCCATGACTTACAGTGTCTATTCATGAAGGAGAGGGGGCAGCAACAATTATCCAAGCCTAAAACAAAATGTCATTTTTCATATCACACAGTACTTTTTATAAGGATTTAATTAATATACACTGAATTTTCTAGAAATGTAACTATTGCATAAATCAAAAGAAACTTAACCAAGAATAGCTCTCTACTTCAGAAAATCAAGTCATATTTAGCAATGCCATATGTCATATTTAAGTGGTCAAGTTTAAGTGTTTGTACTTATAAACAGAATAACCATGAATGCAACATCTGCGCATGTAGACTGACACAATGTCTCATACTTTGACAATATGTACACCTCAAATCCAGTGACCTTCATCTCTCTCAGTCAGTTGCTAGACCTTTCCATCAGCTCAACGTATTCTAACTGAAATTTGAAATATTCTGTTCTTTAAAGATCCAGTACTCACATGTATACATCTGCTTGTGTTTTCCCTTCTCTAATTTGAACAGCATGCCTTTCTTATAACACTTATTTTTTCAAATAGTATGACTATTATGGTTATGTGCATACAAACTATCCTACCTATTGGATTATAAACCCTGATATTTAAATCCATCCTCACACATATCACCCTACGCAAGGCTGCCAAGAAGGTGTGTTGGTTTTTGTTGGTTTTTTGAGACCAGGTCTCACTCTGTCACCCAGGCTGGAGTGCAGTGGTGTGATCACGGCTTACTGCAGCCTTGACCTCCAGGGCTCGTGTGATCCTCCAACCTCAGCCTCTCGAATAACTGGGACTGCAAGTGTACACCACCATATACAGCATTATTTTTTTTGTTTTGTAGAGATGGGGGTCTCACCACCTTGCCCAGGCTAATCGCGAACTCCTGAGCTCAAGCGATCCTCCAATTACAGCCTCTCAAAGGGCTGGGATTATATGCGTGAGCCACCATGCCAAGCCTGGTATGCTCTTTAAATGAAAGCCCTCTTCTCTTTTCCCCATGAATTGTGTACCCTAGCTTTTTCTCCATCAATTATAGATTTAGGTGATCAAATTGTATTCAGTGTCTTCTTAATACTGGTATTCCACAAAATAAGCCTTTAATTATAAGATAAATCTTCTGGGCATAGTTTATCCCCTCCACACTTATTCACTCACTATTTTAGCAATCCCCAGATCCCCCAACACAATGCAAAATACATAAAAAAATTAATACATGTTTATTGAATTCAACTTTTTAAAGTTCTTTTATAGCATATTTAAAAACTAATTATAAGGGGCTGAGCGCAGTGACTCACACCTGTAATCCCAGCACTTTGGAAGGCACAGACAGACAGACCACTTGAGGTCAGGAGTTCAAGATCAGCCTGGCCAACACGGTGAAATCCCATCTCTACTAAAAATATAAAAATCAGCCAGGCGTAGAGCTGCACACCTGTAGTCCCAGCTACTCAGGAGACTAAGGAGGGAGAATCTCTTGAACCTGGGAGGAGGAGGTTGCAGTGAGCCAAGATCGTGCCACTGCACTCCAGCCTAGGCAAGAGAGCAAGACTCCGTCTCAAAAGAAAAAAAAAAAAAAAGTAATTTTATATGATTTGAAGATTTTTTCCCAAGTTTTATATTTAAGAAAAAGTACAAACACCAATGTCAAAGTATGACTGTGTTTTTCTTCTGCAATGTCACAAAATCACTATATAAAATGTTAAGAAAATTGGGGGAAATCTAAACAATTTCAAATATTCAAGATAACCACTTATTCATAGACATGTTGACCTAGTCTACTGAGTTGCTGTGTAAATGAATAGCATCTAAAAGATTCCTCAAGTGTTTGACAGAGGAATACCTTTGTAAGCTAACCTTGAGAATATGTTATTAGAACATGTTTCTTTCTCCATCATGTCCTATGAGGACTTTCTCCATCATGTCCTATGAGGACAAGTTGAGAAATCCAGCAACAAAAGGACCATGTAAACAAAAAAGTTAGAAATTAAAAAAATAAAAAATAAAAGGATCCCCCAGTCTGAGTCATTAGAATAAATTAACCTAACAAAGAGGAAAACCATCAAAGGCTAATTTATACAGTATAGTGAATTTAATGTATTTGTACTCTCCTAAAACACCATTAGTACCACTTTAGATTAGACTAAAAAATTTAGTTGATGGTCAGAATATCCCAAATCACCTAAGACTAATTAAATAATAAAGTCTTAAGTACTAAATCTGAATGATCATAAAATTCATTTTATAGAATTTAGTTTCCCTACTCACACTTTTACAGCAAATCCCATATCCCTGAATTCTACAAAGGGAAAAAGAGTGATTGCATAGTTTCCGCTCACTTTTCAACTTTTACGCAAAACATTGCAAAATAAAACCACAGCGAAAGATTCATATAAAATGTCCATTGTAAAAAATTTAAGTTTCTATCACTAGCATTAAAATTATTTTGAGGAAAAACTATAGAAACTACAACATGTCCAATTTTTAAGAAGCTTGAAAATAAATGTATATAACATACATACATAATGTTGATTTTCAGCAAACAACACATTTACAAAACTGTACTCCCCGAATGTCTTTCTCATACAAACTATTTTCAATTTCTAGCATTATATTGATTAAAGCTAAATTATTATTTATATGATTATTTTAAACATTCTTATAGAATATGAATGTAGTATATAGTACCTAACAGCAACATGCATTAATCTAGAGATTATACTGTTATTTCTGGTTAATTTTTTTTCTATCCTTAATTTATTTTTTACCCAACCTATAAAACACCATTAATACATAAATAGGGAAACAAAGTTTCTATCTTGGCTAAAACGGTTGCCATATGAAAATGCCCACAGAGCATTCAATGGAAATTTACATGCAAGAAAATCCTTCCTTCTTTTCTATTAGGCATTATAATTCATAAAATAGCTATGAAAAGATACAAGTAAGAAATCACATTCAGACTCAAGTGGGTGTTGCCTGACACTTAATTTACCAGTCTCTGAATGGTGGTAAGTCAACTAATAGGTTGAATATTAGTCCAAGGCAATGTAGCTATAAACACATGAAAAGAAACAGCAAATTTCAAATAATGTACCAAAGATGAATAATGTCATGGTTACTAAGCTGGCAAACTTTTAACTGTCGGGGTGATTTCTTTGGTATACTTTCATGTAAATAAAAGTTTACATAAAATTTTTACACAGAAAAATTTATATAATTTTATATAGATTAATAGTTATAACAGTATTAATTGGTTCTATGTGGTAATGCTTATTCTACATAAAATAGCAATAAAATGCTTCTTTCAAATAAATTAAAGTCACTTTACAGATACAAGTTTCTAAATGAAATAAAATAATGTGTATACAGTGGATCAGCATGTGGGTGTTTTGGAACTTAAATATGATTAACAATAGCAAGGAAAAAGTTAAGAATAAATATTAAGAAAATAGCCCAAGTATTGAAAGTATCATAAACAATTTACCTTTCACTCCAGCTTCATGGCGCCAGAAAACAATCTTTTTCTTCAAGTCCTAGGTCCTCAACAGATACTGGATCTGTGGGCACCTTGATCTCAGACTTCCCTTCTCCAGAATTGTGAGAAATAAATGTCCATTTTTTTTTAAGCAACCTAGTCGTTCTAGCAGCCTGAACTCACACAGTATTTAATAAATGTCAGCTTTGTCCTATGCTTTTTACCTCTTAAATCTCCCTCAAATCTGCCCATTCTTCTCCAATGTCTCAACTATTACCACTCATTATCTTTTGTCTGGACAAAAGCCTCATAAGTAATCTGGACCAATCCATCCTCCACAGTGTAGAGAGAATTATCTTTTTAAAAAGCAGACTTAATCATCTCTCACCTCCACCTGCCTCTCCAGCCTCATCTTGCACCATCTCCCTCTTTGCATTTTCAGCACACTCACTCAGTGGCTTGCTTACAATCTTTCATTCTTACCAAGCTCCTTCCCAGCACAGAACTTTTGTACATGTTCCCTTTCCTCTTTGAAATGTTCTTTACCCTCCTCTTAACCTATTTAATTGTCTAGATTCTTTGTCCTTATGATTACTTCCCACTCAAGAAAATCTTACCACTTTAAATCCTCCTGTTCGGAGATCTAAGAGCACTATATACTCTTTCATGGCAGTGGAAATTTCATATTCACTTGAATAATTACTTGATAAATGCCCATTTCAACCACTAAATTGTAAGCTCCTTAAGGGCTAAGACCATGTCTAATTTTGTTCTATATTGCATATCCAGTACTAAGTGCATTGTACCTGATATACAGTAGAAACTTAATAGACATCTTCTGAATAAATAAGAGAATGGTTTAATTTTCACACTAAAACTCAGATATAACACCTCACTGCCATTTTTTAATTTCTCCCTATCCTTGCCTCTCTTCACCCAATCATTGCCACATCTATCTCCTCAATGTCTCTTTCTGTAGGACCTTTCTTTTCATTCCTCCATTCAATAATTATTTCAACAAATATTTATGGGGTATCTTCTACATATCAAATGCTCTTAGCACTGAGGATACAGTGGTAAAAGTCAGACAAAAATCCCACCTTTCAAGCTAGTGTGCTATGGAGGAAGGCGGTAGAGAAGGGAGTTGGGGGAGGAAGGGGCAGACAGTTAAGAAGAAAAAGAGAATGGTATATACAGCATATCACTGTTAAGTGCTAAGGAAAAAACAAACAAACAAGCAAGGAAGGAGGATACCAAACATTTGAAGATGGTAGTTGAAATTTCAGACAGGGTGGCCAGGGAAGGCATCCCTGAAAAGGTAACATCTGAATAACAACCAGAGTGAGAGAGTCAGCCATGTGTATATCTGTGGGATGTGTACTCTAGGTTTTCTGATTTAATGTGCTACCTACTTTCACCAAGAAAATCCCACCAATTTGCTTAGATTAAATGTACTGGAAAATTTCGTCAAGAAGATTCAATTGCTGGAGTGAGCATACTAAGATATAAGCACTAGCTGAAAAGAAATAAAGGCACCCAAAAATACATAGCCATGTGTGGATTTGGAGAAATAAGGAATTAAGTCACTTAGAATTCCACTGATGCGTAGAATACGGAAACAAAAAATATTCAAAATTACTACCTTAAGTCGATCAAGAACAGTTTAATTAAGATGCATATACTATAAGGTAAGTTTACATTTCAGAAAAATAAGATTTTAGAAGATTTTTTATCCAAAAAAGAACTTAACAAAACAGTTACAGCAATTTAAGTTGTACCTGGAATACGCAATCATCGTAACTCAAAATCAAATTTGTTAAAAATTGGTTTATAGTTACCTTATTTAACCAATAAATTATTCTAATTCCCTTTATTACAGAAGTACAGTGAAAGGTGTGAGAGACCTGTAACATTGCGGTTTTGATTTTTTTCCATATGTAATCATAAAATCAAACGTGTAAAATCAGCTAGCTTGGTTCCAAAATTCAGAATAGAATACACTGAAATAAAAAAAATGAAACAAAATTTCAGAGTTTTGGATGGATACTCGTTTATCCAACTGCATAGAACTCAGATATAATATCATCAGCACAATCAAACCAGAATAGTGTCAATCTATACACAGATTTCACAGGAAATGGAGAATTTGACCCTACACAACTTACTCCTGGCTTTCAGAAGGCATACTTACCTTAAACAAAACTGATATATCCCTGATATAAATTGCTCAAAGAAATTTTAATACCTACTCTGAAGAAATCTTGAAATAAAAGTATTTATTTTATATGCTATCAATCATGCCTTTAAACTCCTCAGGGGAAAGCTTAATAACTTTAGAAAAATCTGGATGGTTTCTATTACTAACATGATATTACAAAAATAAGTACAAAAACAAGAAAACATTCTACAACATTCCTCTCTCACAGTTATCTCAATTTTCTGAAAAACCTGTCTGTATTTAACTTCTAAAACAGGCCCTAGCAAGAGAAGTTACTTACATTTTCATTCATAAAAGTAGTTCACTATTTCGGTAATTTTAAATTGGAGAAAAATCAAGTTTTTCTACTAAAAAATGTTGGTTTCATATGTATTGCTCAAAGAAGAAACTGTCTTGGCGATGATATTCTATACCGGTAGAAAAATTAAAGTATTCATATAACCATTATATAGGTCATTTAAAATAAGGGGGTATAAAACTGAGGTCAATTTTAATTCTTTCATATTTCTGCTACAAAGTTAAGAGTAATATTAAAGCCATAGACAAGAGACTAATGGTACCTCGGTGCTAGAGAAAGCAGGGAAAACGTACAGAAAGGACAGAAATTCATGGAGTTTTTGCTTTCCTTTTTAGTATTAACACTCCATTTCTTCAAGTCATCCTCTTACAGTTTTTTATTTCCCTCAACACCACAGTTTCTCTCCACCCTCATTTCTAAGCCTCAGTCACTTAATGGCTCTAGTTGGCTTATCCCATATCTTTCTTTGAGCAATTTATCTTCTGATACTGTCATTATAAATATAAGGTTTCCTTGCACGAGTGAGAGATCAATCTGAGATCAAGCTCTGAAAAATTCAGTGAGCTAGCCAATTAGATGTGTCTGCACTCCTCTGCAGAGGGTTATGAAGACAAGAACAGCATAACGTGCTCCAAATGACTGAGCTTGGGCATAGTCACAAGTGCTCAGGGGGCTAGTGATCTATTCTCTAGTAACGTTAGGCCAAATAGCTGTCCTAAGGGATTAAGGGGCCTGATAACAAGCTCTGAAGATCTTCTAGGGTGTCCTCTAGAACATAAGAACACTTAGGTTTGAGGGGAAAAAGCATACTGTATAACCTGATTATTAGCTAGAAGCATTCAAGTCCAAAAAATGTCATTTATTACTATATGGTTCCAGTAAAACATATGCATTAGAGACATTTCCTGTCCTTCTTTCCATATCTGACATGATACTTTGCACAAAACACTACTGAAATTAGTATTAATGAAAAGCACAGTCAATAATATATAAAAGTGCTTCATAAACAGTAAAATCTTATACAACTCTATGTTGTTATTATTAATAATCTTCTTCCCAGTGTATACTCGCCTCAAGTGGGAAATTCTCCATCTTTATGAATATATTAAATATCCACAGTTTACTTCTTTTGCTTGCCAGAAAGAAAAATACATGTAACAAAAGAAAGATTTCAGTTTTATCTTGAAATTTAATTATATAGAAACCTATTACAGATGACACAGGCCAAATAGGACAAAGATAAAAAATATATGCCTAAATTAGCATGTAATTTGATAAAATGACATCTCAAACATTGAAGAACAAAGGAAATAGTTTATACAGACCAACAGAGAGAAAATAAGTAGCTATAAAAAATGCACATACTTTCTAAAGCAATATTCACCAAGAAAAATAAAACATTTAAATGCATATTACCTCCTGGTATTTGTTTCACCCAAAGGGGACAACTACTAGCAACTGACCACAAAGGAAAAAAGAGAGTTTACAGAACATTATAAGATGAGTCACCATAAGGCCTTGCAACTTGGTTTATTGTAAAATAACATTTTACGTATGCTACTTACACCTCAGCTCAGTAGTTTGTTACATGAGGAGAAGGCAGTGGAAGAAGAGTAAAATAAAATGTTATGAGAATCACAAGGTCAAGGTACACTTCCTACCACTCTTCATAAAACAACATGCAACTTAGGGGAACAATGGGAAAAGACAGAGCCACTAAGCCTAGACTCTTGCAGTAACTATGATTAGACTATTGATCAGGGACTAATGCTGACCTAGAGAGTAACAAGTACTGAGGATGACTCGTGTGTATGTGCTTTAGGAACAGAAAAACCTCACTCGTTTCTCCCTTTTCTTTCTATGAGCTTCTCATATACAATGAACCTGTTTTCTGCCTGGGTCATGTCTATTTCCTGAACCAGAAGAATGGCTCTTAAGCAAATTTAAAATTTGGATTCAGTACATACGTCTGATTTTTAAACATGAGAGTGTAACATTTTTATCAACTATGAAACCATAATTTTTTGGTTAATTTTAAAAACTAATTTCTAATTACCTTGGAAGCTTGATTTTTTTATCTTAATTCTTATATTTTAGTAGCAAAGAATTAGTTTGGGACCATGAGAAAGAACAACTAGAAAAAAGATAATTTAAAGCCACTGGATAGGAAAAATAATTGAATAAGTTGTTGGTCTTAATTATTTGATGTCCTAGTAATAATTTGCTTCACAATTCAAATAAAGAGAATTATATATGATGAAAATGCATTAATTCAGTGGTAGAAAAACAAGCATATTTTCATGAATGCCAAATTTTAAAAAAAAGTTATACATTCAATATACACTGTAATTATTAGATTTGAATATGAAAACCTAATTATATAGTTACTTATATGTATACATAAATGTATATATACACACCTATATACATATATATATAAAAACAATATTTTAAATGTTAACCCGTCATTATGGAAAAAATAAGCATGAAAAAATATGTTATTTTCATTTTAGTTATAAATAATGTTTACTTCTAAAACTCTAAAAAACTGTTAAAGAGATTAAGTAACACTTTAGGCATAACTACCTCATTTACCTAAAAGACTATATATATATATATATACACACACACACACACACACACACACACACACACACACATATACACACATCTATATACTAGGATTTGAAGAGATAACCAAGAAAACTAATTTCTGCATCAGTTTTTCACATTTTATAACATGATATGAACAAAGCATTTTATAAAAAATATAATCCATAAACATTCTCATTTTAAAAAAATGTTAAATTTACCTGTAGGATTCATATTCCCACACTCCTCACACCAAGACTCTGTAAGAGGAATTTCTAAACTTGATACTTTGAGTGAGTAAGATGGAGTTAATACACATTACAGTTTTAATAAACTATAACTTTTATTAACTAAAAATATCATATACAATTTATTAAATGATCAAATATAAGAATTCAACATTTAATTGTTGTCTAGTAGTTCTGCATTTACTTTGACTCCCTAAAGATTTTAAATACCTTAACAACAGCATGCAAAATATTCATCACATTGCCAGGCAGTGCGAGTTACCTATAAATGCTACATTTATCCCAAATAACAGATAAACATGCCACTCTTAAAATATTGCATATAATAAACATAAAGCTTATCATAAAATCCAATACTAATGAGACTTTTAAACACATATCAAAGATATGCTTTAAAAGTTTTCATAGAAAAAATCTTCAATATAGAACCTTCAACAGTAAAATAAAGCAACAATATTCATTTTGCTTAAGATATCATCATAAAACAATTGTCTATTTCTAAAAACCATAAATATGAAAAATAAATTGTTTTCTTCAAAAAGATAATTCGCTTCTAAAATGTGTACTATAATATTAATAACATGTTGTCATTCTCAAGTTCTGTTATAAACCATTAATAGCTATGTTGGAAAGTTCAGGTTAAGAATATTTTGAAACCCTTTTAAGGTTTATTAGAAGTGTCAAAATTTCTTCTTTCTAAATCTATTACACAAATGAAGCAACAAATTTTTGTATAGCACAGGGCCCAAAGACAGCACTCTCCTCAGGTCCCAGTGCATAAATTAAAAAGCCAATTAAGTTAAATCAACTGATAACACTAATAAATCATCAGTTCAACTACAGTTAAAATAAATATTTATTGCCCTCCCACTAAGAGTCAAGCACTATACTGGTGCTGGGGAAGCAAAGAAGAAAAAGACATTGTCTTTATTCTTAATAAGTTTCCAATCAATAACAATGAAGAAATAATTATAATACAATGTAATACACTCCATAATTTTAAAAAGGACAAGGTTCAATATAGTTAGGTAGAATGAATAAGATTATTTAAAAGCACAACAGGGTAACAGTCAACAATAATTTATTGTACATTTTAAAATAACTAAAATAATATAATTGGAATGTTCAGAGCACAAAGAAATGATAAATGCTTGAGATGACAGATGACCCATTTACCCTGACGTGACTGTCACACATTGAATGCCTGTGTTGAGACAGCTCATGTGCCCTATAAATACATACACCTGCTATGTACTCATTAAAATTTAAAAAAAGAAAAAAGGAGAAAAAAAGGACAAGGTTCTGAAGCAGTCAAGAGAAGAAAGAGTGAATAACTTTGCAGAGAAACTTTAAGAAGGATAAGTTGACAAACCCAGATACTGAAATATGAACAAGATGTTCTCAGACCAACAAGTCACAGGGAAAAGGGCAAGTATAAGGGCACAGAAGCATCAAATACTACAAAGTGTATGGAAAACTGCATCGTGATTGATACAAAATTCAAGAAGAGGGAAACAGAAGTTGAAGAAATAGGCAGAGACTAAATCTACATTCCATGACATCAGGAACGTACCCCATGGAAATTTGCAAATACTAAAATCAGGATTTTTTTTTGTTTTTTTTTAATTCACATACCACCCCTTACCCCCAGAGAGCCAGGTGTTAAACCTTTACCAGAACAGCACTGGCAGTGTCACATTTCAGAAGATATTTTAATACAAAGGCCACTTAATGTGCTACATTTTTTAGAACATTCTCCAAACAAAGGAAGAATGCAATGTAAAATAAAATTTGCTTCAAAGAAACCTGTATTTTAAAAAATAACAGAGGGAAAACACAACATCAACAGTCCATCTCATATGAAATTTTAAGTTTTTTCTTAAGAAGAAAAAAAAAAAAAAAGGCTGGGCACAGTGGCTTACACCTGTAATCCCAGCACTTTGGGAGGCTGAGGCGGGCAGATCACGAGGTCAGGAGATGGAGACCATCCTGGCTAACACGGTGAAACCCTGTCTCTACTAAAAATACAAAAAAATTAGCTGGATGTGGTGGCAGGCGCCTGTAGTTCCAGCTACTCAGGAGGCTGAGGCAGGAGAATGGTGTGAACTCAAGAGGCAGAGCTTGCAGTGAGCCAAGATCGCCCCACTGCACTCCAGCCTGGGCGACAGAGTGAGACTCCGTCTCAAAAAAAATTTAAAAAGATATCTCCCTCTAGGTGCTATGCCATTGGTCCTATTCCTTAGAAAAGTTTCTCTTTAACAATTTGGAGTCAAACAAAATAAACTCCCGTCATCAGCCTCCAATATTTAAAGAGAGCAAACATACAGTTTTAGTATTTTTCTCTTTGATGTCTACTCTCCATTAAAGATTGCAAAGATTTTTAAATAAAACAAGTAAAATACTGCTACTGATCTTAAGAAAATTCCATTGTACAGAGCATAATGCATTTAATAAAGAAAATTATCAAAGCTAGTACCATAACTATAGAAAATCTAATAATTATAAAAAGTAATACTAAACATTATAACTTAAAATAGGTAAAAACTTACTTTGAAATATTTATAACCGAACCTAGCAAATTTAAACTATTTGTCATCATAATCTATTTTGCTTCCGTTTAGGTGCCAGCTTATTTTCTCAGCCTTTGTATCTGTTTTTTCAGATCAGTTACTTGATCAGACCTGGCCTGCCATACTGACGCTGAAATTATATAAAAGTCTTGAGCCAGAGAAGCTACCTCAGTACCCAAGGGACATTCCTCTTATTGGTGCCTCACATCTGTCTTCTAGTTTACTTTGACTTTTATTCATTCACTTAAAACATCATTACAAAACTACCATGTGGCAGGCCTTGTGCTAAGCACTAGAGATATAATGGTAAGCAAGACAAATATGTCCATGGCTTCATGGAGGGCAATCTACTAAGAGAGGTGTATATTGAACAAATAATCTCATCATAATTATAATTATGACTTATTAAGTTGCTATGAAGAAAAGTACATGATATATAATTGGGATACCTGTCTTCTGTGGAGGCTCATGAAAAGTTCCCATAAAAAGGTAAAACCTGACTCCAGGCCTGAAGGATGAAGATGAGGAGAGTTCCAGAAAGAGGAAACAGTACTTTTTCAGTTCCAGACAGGTTGGTTCCACCTTTGCTCTCCCCTTGCATTTTTCTCCTGAATTTCTTTTTTAATCTAGCTAACAACTTTGACTCTTTCTATTCCCATAGTAACAGCTAATGTTTATTGGGCTCAACTACTTGGAAGATACAATTCTAAACAATTTATGTATATTAACTCATCTAATCCTTACAGTAACCAGGAGTGAGATAGGTTCTCTTTCCTTATTTTACAGATAAGGAATCTGAGGCACAACCATGGAAAGTTAATTGACCAAACTGCACAGCTACTTGTACTAGTGGGGTACTTGTACCCTTATAATAACACTCAAAGAAGCCCCAAGGCACCAAGCTAAATTAGCACTACTACTGGGGCAAGAGTATCAGGTTTCCTATACTCTCCAAACTGCTACCATCTTAAACTAAGCAGAATTTAGCTATTTAGAAAATAACCAAACTTTTTTTTCTCCAGTTTTCAGAAATCAAGAATAAAAAGTTAATCTATTAGCCCAGACTAAAATATCTCCAGGAGAAAAAAAAAAGTTCTTAGGATAATACATTTTCACAAAAAGTTATTCACCTAGAATATGAAATGATGCAAACTAAGCAGGGAGAAATAATTATAATTTCTTTAATTTCTCCTTAACAATTAAAATTTTAAATACCTTCCAAGAGAAAGAGGATATTTTTCTCATAATTAAAACTAGTAAATATTTTAAGTGTATTTGAAAAACAAATCTGTAGTAAACTACATAGGTAGTAAACTAGCTATGATGCTAAAGAAATTCCCAAAATCACTATTTTCTTTAGGTGAGCACCTTTCAAGTATTAAAGAAAAAAGAACTATAAAATGCCTTGCACCTCACTTCAAATACATTCAGATATTTTTTAAAGTTCCTGTTACATCAAAAGTTTCATCTGGAGAATGGAGTGAACCTGCGAGGTGGAGCTTGCAGTAAGCTGAGATTGTGCCACTGTACTCCAGCCTGGACGACAGAGCGAAACTCCGTCTCAAAAAAAAACAAAAAAACAAAAAAAAGTTTCATCTGTAAATTCATCATTGAAGGTGATGCAGAAAAAGGTAATAGTAAGTAAGTAAGTGACTGATGCAAGTGAGTGTATGACTCATAGTTTGAAAAGGAAAATGATTTTGGGGAAAAGGCTCAGGAAGAAGAGAAGCAAATAATGGATTATGGACAAAATGAAGACCTTTCCTGTCCAAGGACTGTCACCAGTTCTTTATTACTTGAAGATTAAGGGAATAGTGAATAAAGCTGTCTGCCAGACAGCAGAAAAGGTAAGAAATAACATTGTCTCTAAGTGTACCTCACAAGAAAGTTTTTAGAAGTAACATTGGAAACATTAAACTTCTTATAAAAAGTTACTGGAAAACCCAACTCAAATCAGAAAAAGGAAAATGCCAAAATAAACCAACATTACATTTGTAGGTACTTGAACAGAATGAAACAGCAGTGTAGGTCAAGTTGTAGAATTATCTAATTTTATTCCACTTGGTTTTAGAAAATAGTTGGATACAATACTGATTTGCTAGAAGATGTAGTGCAATTTGTTTTTGTTTGTTTTTCTACTCCATGGCTTAGTGCAACATAAGCATTTGGCTTTGTTACTAGGGTTTAATAAACTAATACAATGTGCTTCGGTTTTTAGTTTCAGAAGTCAAGTTCAAGCCACTGAATTTGGTTCCAATTTTTACTAACTGCCCCTATCCTTTCATATATATATATATATATATATATATATATATATATATATACACACACACACACACACACACACATACATATATAGGTGTATATATGTATGTATATATACACACACTAACAAATATCACATATATTTCAATATACATTTTTTAAAACTCACACTTATGTATGGATTTTAATTGTTACCCCTGCATTATGGATCTTTTTAAAGCACGAAGAGAATTTCATTTTGATGAAGTCACTCACATTCAACAAGAAGTTTTATCCAATTTAATATTTTAATTTACATTTTCATGTATATTTGGAGTCCCACTACATGACAGCATTGAGCTAAATACTTTATACACGTAAATTCATTTAAGAATACTGGGTTTATCTGGGTGCAGCAGCTCACACCCATAGGACCAGCTACTCAGGAAGCTGAGACAGGAAGGATCACCTGAGCCCAGGAGTTCCAGACTACAGTGAGTTATGATCACATCACCATACTTCAGCCTCAACAACAGAGACAGACTCTCTCTAGAACAATTAAAATTTAAAAAAAAATTTTTTAAAGAATGCTGGATTTATTTTGTGTGTAAACTTGCCTGTGTATACTGCCTGAGGAGAAGGTAAATAATATTTTTATGAAGAACCCACATCGTATCACTGATGGCTTTTGTATGAGCAACATCTAGCCATTGTAGTACACCTTATACATATAGCTTAAATTTAGTTCATGAAAACTGCCTGATCCAACATGAAAAAGTTTCAGAAAAAAGAAAAGCTGGGTGTGTGCACACATGCACATGTTTCCTAGACAAGAGCTTAGAACCTAGGCAGTCCAGTTCCAGAATCTTTGCTCTTAACCACTAAGCAGTATGTTGGAAAAAGAAGAAAGATATAAAAATAACTGATTTAGATAAAAACAGTAGCTTCTAGAATAAGGGATCACATTTCTGAAGTCAGTACACTAAGAAATATAAGCATTAAATTATCTTTAAAAATTGAAGACAATCTACAATACTTTTTTCTCTTGTGAATGAATATACATATCAGAAAGTTTCTAGCTTTTTCGTTTTCAATATTATATCAACCAACATTTTTTACATTGCTTTAAAGAGATCATACCTACCTTACAGTATTCATGGCAGGATTAAAGAAGGTCTTAGATTATGACTTTAAATAATAATCTAAGACCTTATTTAATTTAATCTAAATTAAATATCTAGATTATGATATAAGGTCATAATGAAAGATCTTATGTAATCCTTTAATCCTCTCTTTCTATAAAGAGAGAGACTTATGTTAAGGAATTGGCTTAGGAGATTGTGGTGCACTGGTAAATCCAAAATCGGTAGGGTTGTGTGTGTGTGTGTGTGTGTGTGTGTGTGTATGTGTATGTGTGTGTGTCTGTGTATACATGCATATATGTATGTGTATATATATACACACATATATATGTGTATGGGTATACACACACACACACGATTTATCCTTGAACAACACAGGTTTGAACTGCGAAAGTCCACTTATTTGTGGATTTTCTTCAGCCTCTGCCACCCTTGCAACAGCAAGATCAACCCCTCCTCCTCTTCCTCAGTCTACTTAACAAGAAGACAAGGATGAAGACTTTTATGATGACCTACTTCCACTTAATAAATAGTAAATATATTTTATCTTCCTTATGATTCTCTTAATATTTTTGCTCTAGCTTACTTTATTGTAAGAATACAGTATATAATACACATAACATATGAAATATGTGTTTATGGAAGGGTGTGTTGGCTCACACCTGTAATCCCAGCACTTTGGGAGGCCAAGGTGGGTGGATCACCTGAGGTCAGGAGTTCGAGACCAGCCTGACCAACATGGAGAAACCCCATCTCTACTAAAAATACGAAATTAGCCGGGCGTGGTGGTACATGCCTGTAATCCCAGCTACTCGGGAGGCTGAGGCAGGAGAATCAATTGAACCCGGGAAGCAGAGGTTGCGGTGGGCCAAGATCATGCCATTGCACTCCAGCCTGGGCAACAAGAGCAAAACTCCATCTCAAAAAAAAAAAGAAAACGAGAAAGAAAAAGAAAAAAAGAAATATGTGTTTATGTTTTCAGCAAGGTTTCTGGTCAATAGTAGGTTATTAGTAATTTTTTGGAGAATCAAAAGTTATACATGGATTTTCAACTCTGTAGGGGTCAACACCCCAAATTCCCACATTGTTCAAGGGTCAACTGTCTGTTGGTTTTGATTCTCTGGGGAACTCTAATACTTCAGGGTAGTTGAAAACCAAGGCTTAGAAAACAGGAAAAGGAATTCAGATTCATATCTTTGTCTCCAGCCATTCCTGAAAGGATTATGAAATAAAATTCTCAAGAAGCTCTACTGGATTCAGTTTTCATACCCTAACCACTCAGCCAGTGTAATGTTCTTTTTCTTTTAAGACTGTAATTTGACAAAACCAATCAACTCTGAGAAACAGTTTGTCACAGCCTCAAAAAGTTAAGCCTAGAGGAATTCCACTCCTAGATATATATACCCAAGAGAACTGAAAACATATGTACATACCAAAACTTGTACAAGGCCGGGCATGGTGGCTCAAGCCTGTAATCCCAACACTTTCGGAGGCCAAGGCAGGAGGATCACCTGAGGTCAGGAGTTCATGACCAGCCTGGCCAACATGGTGAAACCCCATCTCTACTAAAAATACAAAAATTAGCCGGCCACGGTAGTGTTCACCTATAGTCTCAGCTACTTGGGAGGCTCAGGCAAGAGAATCGCTTGAACCCAGGAGGCGGGGGTTGCAGTGAGCCGAGATCACACCACTGCACTCCAGCTTAGGTGACAGAGCAAGACTCTGTTTCAAAAAAAAGAAAAGAAAACTTGTACACGAATGTTCGTAGTAGCATTATTCACAATAGCCACAAAGCAGAAACAATATAAATGCTCATCATTTGGTTAACGGATAAACAAAATGTGGCATATCCATACAATGCAATGATTCAGCAATAAAAAAGAACCAAGTACAGATACATGCAACACCATGGAAGAACCCTGAAAACATGCTGAGTAAAAGAAGGCAGATAAAAAATGCCACATATCTATGAATCCATTTAAATGAAATGTCTGGAATAAGCAAATTCATAGAGACAAAAAAAATAGCTTAGTGGTTGTCAGGGGCTGGGGGAAGGATGTCAATGGCGAGTGAATACTAATGGGAATGGGGTTTCATACTGGGATGACAAACACATTCCTCAATTAAACAGTGGTCATAAGCTTATCAATACAAATTCTCCTCAACTTACAAGGGGGTTATGTCCTGACAAACCCTTCATTAGTTGAAAACACCATGTGTCAAAAATGCATTTAAGTACTTAACCTACCGAACATCATAGCTTAGTCTAACCTACCTTAAACATGCTCAGAACACTTACGTTACCCTACAGTTAGGCAAAATCAGCTAACACAGAGCCTATTTTATAATCAAGTTATTGACTATCTCATGTAACTTATATGAATATTGTCCTGAAAGTTAAAAAAAGCATGGTTGTATGGCACTGAAAAGTACAATTTCTACTGAATGTGTATCACTTTCGCATCAACCATCAAAAGTTGGGATTCATCTGTATACTAAAGGCCACTGAATTGTATACCTTAAAATAATGAATATTACAATAAGTGAATTTTATCTCAACAAAAACTTGCTAAAAAATAAAAATTCAACTCACCTGTCCTTTTTGTGGTGACAAACAATGAACAACTTCATCCACCATTACTGGAATATGTAATTTAGCCATAGTTTCAAAATCTCTATCTTGAGATCTGTGTAACTCCTGGGCTTGAGTTTGATCTGTTTGCTCCCGGGCTTCATATTCTCTATATTTTTCTGCTGTAGTATGTATTCTGTTTGGCCAGACACCTAAATTAGGTATGCCAGATTCCAACCAACATGAAAGGCATTCTTTATACATTCTACAAAAATATGGATACCGAAGCATTTTGTAGGTAAACAAATCTAGAAAAAAAAATTAAAATATGATTGTTGGATTTTTTTAAAAGAATGTTCTAATACTTGGGGAAAATCAAATTAATATGCAATATTTAGCACATCAAAAAAAAGTTAAGACTCATGATCCTAACATCTTAAACAAGTAAAGGTGACAAACCCTTCTTATATATACAAAGCAAGGAACCTAAGAGGACCCAGAGACGTAATTTAAACATAATTTAAATACAATTTTTAATGTAGCCTAATACATTCTAATATCATTAACATTTTAACCATTAGGGATATGAAAATTGATTATTAGGTCAACATTTTTATGAAACATACTTTTTTGAATTTTAATTAAGGCTAAAAAGTAGATTCAATGAATTAAAACTGTTTATTTGAAAAGTAATCAGGATGACTGAACGGATTAAAAGTATTACATTTTAGATTCAGATGGTCTTCTATTTCAAGCTCTTGTATTTGTTTTTCTCACAATGCTAAATTCTCATCTTCAGAGACTATCCCTGGGAAAAGACTACGCATGCACATCCAAAAAATAAAAAAGATAATCAGTCTATCAGTCCGATTCTCTGACGAGATCATCTCCCTGTACCCTGTATCAGTGGAGTGTATATCAGTTTAAACTATGACTGTATAAACACTCAACTGAGCACACTTCGGTATTTCATGTCTACCTTTAATTATCTGTCCCCGGCACCCAAAAAACAAATAATTGATATATTCCTTGGATTTACCATAGGTGCTCCATTTTCTTCAGCAATCCATAACTCTTTAAAATGCAGAAGAAAAAAAGGATTTATGTACATATATTAACAGGAGACCTTTTGAAAACACCATGCATTTTATACCCAGCTGGTTTCAAGCAAAGTTTTTGATACTACCACAGTAAACACCGCTTGATACTACCCAGTTAACACTATTCTTTCCTTACAGGTTATTAGTTATTTAAGAATATGACCCACACCTTCGTATACACAAAATAAGATGCACATCAGTGCTTAATAAATGTTTTCTGAAGAAAATGAATGAATGGATTAATTCCAGACTCCACAGAATTAGCATTGTTATCAATCCTCACTTTGGGAAATTTCCCCTGCATGACTGACCCCACCAAAAACCATATGTTCTCAAAATACTACAAGAAGCATAAATCCCACTTAAATATGTCTGTCTTTCCTTTTGCAATAAAAAAAATTAAAAACGTTGAAAAGCTGATCACACGTAATAAAACACAAAGAAATACAAATATGATGTAACATCAACAAGATGTTACCTTGAGGATAATATGTTAACTTCACCAAAGCTATAATCTGCAGAATTGTGTGGCAAATGTGACATTGAAAAAATGTCGGTGGGGGGGGGAATGAGTGATCTAAGTAGATTTTTGGTTGCTTGGCAGCAATGAAATAGCCAAATTATTAATTATGCCTAAGGTTTCTGGAAAGCGTACAAAAGTAAGCTCAACTACCCTCTGACTTAGTGTTTCTAACAGTTTACAAAATAATAGCTAACATTTATTTAGCACTTACTAAGCACCACTTACTATTATAACCACACTACATGCGCTACCTCATTCAATCCTTACCACGACTCTTGAAATATTATTCCCATTTTATAGACAGGGAAAACAGAGAAGTAATTTGCCAAAGGCCACATAGCTAGAGAGCCGTAAAGCTAAAATTGTAACACAGTCTACCCCCAGAGCCTGAACTCAATCTCCATGCTATAAACATTGCCCACTGGAACTATTTAATCCACTTATGTAATTTAATAGTACTTCAATTAAATTGACTATATATCTGTAATATCTCATAGATTCATTTTATTAAGGAACCGACATCCAATGGCTTGGCTCTGTTCCACTTAAAAATAACAGTATGCTGCGGGGTTCCCAGTAATGAACGTACAATGTATACGCCTAAAAAGTGAACTCTGGAACAACCTACCCTATATGTCCAGATTTTGATAACTAAAAAGAAAAGTAGTATCATCAATTCTAACATAGGAATAAGAACTATACAGGAAAACGCAGAGTAGCGGGGGAAAAACAAACAAAAAACGCTATCACTTGCATTTAATTTTTTTCTATTGCATTCAGTCTCTATGTGTTTATTCAACTATGGTCAAGGCACAAAGCCTGAATATTTTATTATGAACTAATTGCCTGCCAACTTGAGTCAACCTGGAGAAAGGGTGACAAATAGTTCATTTGCCTCTTGTTTCCTGCAATACCTCCCTAAAAAAATGGAAGCTGGGGGTGTGGCATGCTCTAAAGAAAATTATATTCTTCTCTTTTGGAGCCCAGTTTCCTACCAGACAACTTGGAGCTCTCCTGCAGTCTGCTAGTGGCCAGCTACCCTAAATGATTTAAGATTAAGTTCCCTCTGGTCATAAGGAAGCAGGGAGTCAGGAAAACTGCCTCTGTGATCTCCTAGTTAAGTCATTTAACTTTTCTCTACAAGCAAAGTTCACTTTTGGCTGTTGAGAGCATAAAATTGCCAGATTACTCTTTTAATTGTGAAAACACACAGGTGAGTGATGCCCATGAAGGATACTCCCTCAAGGGCTCTAACAATTATAATCATTGCAGTCAATTTTGTCTGGCAGGGAAATCCTGTTTGAAAATGTAATTTTTAAGGACAAAAACGCGACGTGGCGGCTGGCACACGAACGCTGAGAAAGTGAAAGAGGTTCTAAGGAAAGAGAAAAATACACCCTTTTGCCTAAGAATTACGCTCTGACGAGGAAAAACTATTCGGAAACTTCCAAACCCAGGTTGAAGGCGTGTTGAAGAGAGGGAGAGGGTCAGGGGCGTATTTTTCTTTTGCTCCGGACGAATCCAGCGACCCCTGTGGAGTACCCCCAAAGGTTTGGTGGTTTCCAAAACGAGTTCCCGGGACTCGGTCCCCTTCTCCTCACCTGAAGCACGAAGACTTCTCAGCTGGCCTCTAACTCGGGCCAGCGACTACCACTACGGTCCAGGAGAACCTGAATGCGCCGCGCGTCTAGGTCCTGCCCCTGGGGGAAACTTGTAAGGACGGACAGATTGGGTCCACGTCCGCCCAAGCAACTGAGGACCGTCTGCCTTTGGTTCCGCTGTTTCCAGCCTCAGCTGCCAAAGGGTCCTGTTGGCCTGGGGTTTCCAAACGACTTTCCTGGGGGAAATAAATAAGACCTCACTATTGCCATGTTTAAATTCACTTTTACTTTTTCCATTTTTATTTTTTGGTCTGAAACAACTTTAAATCTAACTTTTCATTTATCCTTATCTCTGCTCTTTGGTTTACAATGAAAGTATATTAAACTTGTATTCTGATAACACAGCAGTTATACTCCAATTTTTAACTAAAAGTGGGAATTTCTGTCTCATTAGCTCTATGTTTAGAAACTACAAGGAGCAAGGTGGCACAGTAGTGGGATTGATTGTAATGTCAAAATCTCTCTGCTTTAACCAAATGTACAATTCCTTTAAAATATGGACCTCATCATCTGAACACTGTTAAATGGCAAGTGTAACACTGAATTTGAAATCTAAAGTACTTGGATTAGGTGTGAAAACATCTGTGGCACTGATAAACCTTATACAATGTGGGTGTCAAAAAAGACAAACTTTAAAACACTTCTATTCTTCACCAATGATCCATGCAATTTTACAAGCAACTGGCAAAATATGCATATTTTCAGACTGGATTAAGATATTCTCTTAATGTCACTTAATCCAGAAAGTATTTCAGAGACAAATGACTCAATTCTGAATTGCCTTGCCTGTATAGTTCAAGACAAAATTTTGTGTTAGGAATTTTCTGAAAACTTCAGTTTTCTCTCAGAAAAATGAAAATAATATTACCTACGTCTCATGGGCTGTTTTGAGAATTAACTGAGAGACCATATGTAAAGGGACTAATAAAATACCTGGGAAGTCAAAACGTAAAGTACTATACAATGAGTTCTTACTGGAAATAAAGACATCTCGATTTTATTACCAAGACCAGCAGCACACAAATAACCATTTCATTAGCTAAGATACACGTAATACAGCCAAAAATAAGTAGTAGCTTTATTGATCCTCTGTCTAGTGATCAGAAACAATAATATAACATGCATCACATACAGTACACAATACTCCCGATTTTCCTCAACAGGAAATAAATGTCCATAATACAGAGGTTTCCATATATTGTTGCATTTATAATACTCTGCATGGGTATGAGTCATCCTATTTATAAAGTGATATTGAATCCACAAAATATAAGCTCCAAGAGGGAAGAGTTTGATTCCATTGCATACTATTGTGTCTAAAATCTAAATAATTGCTAAATGGATACAATAACAGTAATATATAGAACAATGAAATTCAGATACTGTTATTAAAAACACCCTGCCAAATAAAGTTATTTTAGCAAACGTATTTCCGATTTGTTCCAGGTATTTTCTCTCTTTTTAAAGTGTCTATGCTGAAATAATATCTATAACCTGGGACTTAAAAAAAATCACTTCACCTAATAATAAACCAAGCCAAAATCTTTAAATTTATTTTGTTATGCCATCATTAGACAGAGAATGTAAAAAGTAACCAAACAGAAAATAGTTTCACGGTCAGTACTAATGGGAGTAGGCCTGGAAGTCCTGAGAAATGAAGCCTGAGGCCTCAACCCAAAAGATCTCCAATTAATTCAGGTGAAGAGACCCCACATTTTGGCCCATATTAATGTGTCTGGAAGAAACAGGTCCCTACAACTTCTTGGAGGCCTCACTACTCAGAGAAAAGAAAATAAACACCCAGAACCCATTAATCCACACCCAAACTCCACCTCTCCCCCTAGCAGAGGGCATAGGCCAACCCCTGCCCGCAGCAGTCTCACTCACACCCTTAACTCTGGGACCGGGCCCTGCACCCGCCGGTCTACAGGAGGCCTGGTGATCTCAAGTGGCTGCCTCCCACCAGCAGCTCCGGCCTAGCCCCGCCCACTTTGGCCACCGCCTCCGGAAACGGCCGCGCGCGTTGCCACGGTGACGAGCAAGCAAAGAGCTTCCCCTGCGCAGCCAGGCTGAGCTTCTTGGCGCCAAGCTGCCGCGAGCCGTGACAGCGTCCGACGTGATGACATCACGCGAGCGGCAGCCAATGAAACGAAGCGCTGAGGAAAGTGGCTTGGGTTTGAATATTGTGGTTGAGTCTGAAGCGCTGGGAGGCGGACATTAAAGTGAAGTGGTTGCGGTAACCTGGCCTGGGCCTGAAGTGAGTGAGAGGCACATGAAGGTAAAACTGGACTCTGGGACGCTCCTTTTGGTGACTTGTATTATTGGGAACGGAGGGTCCTGCCGCTTCAGGTCTAGAAGACCAGGTGGGCTTCTTGACAAACACAGAAGCGTTGAGGGGTGGGGGATCAGGGTACCTGGGGAGAAAGTGAAAGGAAAAAGGGATTCGAGAACCTGCTAAGAGCACAGCTCTGCTTGACCGTAATCCTCGACTGCTCAGCTGGAAGGGCAGGGATCTCCTTAAGTCCTGAGAGGAAGTCTTAAGTTTTAAAGGGCATCTTGGCCCCTTTCCCAGACTGGCAGAGAACTTTAACTGCCCAGCACCTTGTAGTGTCAGCTTTTTTCCGGACTCCAAATTGGGAGTGTTTTGTTTCAGACTCACATATAAGCGTACCCAGGGGCTTACCTATCAAACGAGGAGCTTTTGTTCATCACTGCATAAAATTTTTGTCTGAAGAGCTTTAACTGTTAGTCTTGCACTGGTCAATCGGGAACCCCTCCTGAGCCCCAGTTGTAGGTAGCATCGAGATAAAAGCCGCTCTGACTGCCTAACGGGATTGCCGAGGATCAGATGAGGTACGGAAGAGATACTGTTTGGCAAATGCTCTGCAGATGAAATTAAACTGTAAACATTTAGAATCAGTCCTATAGTCTGTTCTTGGTTTCCGCAGGACTTTTTTTTTTTTTTAGGAGCTCATTAGTCACTCAGTTACAGAGAAGCCAAGACTGACTGCTGTTTATTATATGAGAAGAGAGTATTTGACCAGAATGAACTGATTTTGTGGTATAATATATAGTTTAGATTATGGATAATTAGGTAGAAATTTAGGCACTCTACAGATTTTAATTTTTAGTGTCATTCCACCACGTCTAGCCTCCTGTTTCGTTTTTGTAAGGTTTTTATAAACTTTGATGCTAGAGAATGTGATATCCAATGACTAGATAGTGCTTCTTATTAAGTTCATAGTTTGTAAGAACTATTTCAATAAACAAAGATTATCTACAAAGCACAATCACAAAGAAAAAAACTTAAAAGATTATCTGCCTTTAATAGTAGTAATTAATCTCCTTTTCTATTATTTATTCATTTATTTGAGACAGAGTCTCGCTCTGTGGTCCAAGCTGGAGTGCAGTGACGTGATCGCTGCTCACTGCAACCTCCACCTCCCAGGTTCAAGCAATTCTCGTGCCTCAGCCTCCCGAGTAGCTGGGATTACAGGCGTTTGCCACCACACTCGGCTAATTTTTGTATCTTTGGTAGAGACGGGGATTCACTGTGTTGGCCAGGCTGGTCTCGAACTCCTGACCTCAAGCCATCTGCCCGCCTCGGCCTCCTAAAGTGCAGGAATTACAGGTGTGAGGCAGGGCACCCAGCCCTTCCTCTTCTACTATTGAAAAGTATTTACAAATACATAATATTTTTATATTGAAAGTGCATCTTGTCCCATCATAGAAATACCCCAAATCAATTAAGAGACACGATAAAAATGATTTTTTTTTTTTTTTTTTTTTTGCTGACAACTGTGAAAACTAAGAGGAAAAAAAATAGCTCAGCTGTCAGTGCCGGCCTTCCCTCCAGTTGAACCTTTTATTCTTCCCTGATGGTTGTAAGTTGGTGGGAGTAGTGCCCCCAAGACTGATATTCCAAAAAGAGCTTTAAGATGGACTGTAGATGATAGTGTTGAGTATCGTTTTCAGTCCTATACAGTGTTTGTTGAATCTGAATCTAATTCAGGTTTGAGTTTGTATTTAATATATCATAACTGTCACTCTACTTCTGTATCATTGTTTGGAAGCATTCTCTTCTGATTCCAGTAGAACCTAGCTGTTAATAACATGGACTTTAGATTTGTACCCGTTAAGGAGTTTGTGTTTTATTCTTCTGGTGAGAAGTCATTGGAGACTTTAGAGCAGGTGAATGCCATGTGATGCATCACATGATCTGAATGCTTTTGATGAACGTATCAGTGAATACAATCAATGAATTAAATTTATTATAGTACTTTCATAAAATTAGGGGTGAATCTTTGACTGAATTGACTTATATTTGACATTTGGTTGCCCACTTGTTACGTCATCTTGGAAAAGTTACTTATCCTAAGGCTAAGTCTTTGTTTTTGTAAAATGGAAATACTACTACAACCTACCTTACGTGATTATTATAAGGATTGAATGCAATGACGAATGTCAAGTGTTTACTATAATGCATGAGACAGAGTGTACATACTCAAATGAAAAGCATTGTTGTTCATTATTAATAATTATCACCATATCAACCTAATCTAAGCATTGTTAAAGCATACTTATTGAGAATGGCCACTCTGTGATATCTGACAAGTACAGAGAAATCATAATCAGTTTTATTTTCACATTCAAGAGCTCCTGTGCCAGGCCCTGAGGTTTCTATCAAAAGTAAGGAAATATAAGAGAGTGGTACCAGAAGCTGAGTTTTGGGGGAAATAGGGAGATTTTGGTCAAAGGGTACACTTTAAGTTATAAGATAAATAAGTTCATGGCATTTAATGTACAGCATCAATGGTGATAGACGTATTAATTTAATTGTGGTAATCATTCCATTGTGTATAAGAATATGAGACCATCACATTGTACATCTTCGTTTTATACAATCTTTGCCAATTAAATGTTTTAAAATTTCTAAAAAAGTAAGCAATATATATATTTTTAACTTCTATAAGAAAATTTCTGAGGGTTATATATTTACATCAGGGAGAGTAGTGATTAAGTATTTGGCCTTTAGATTCAGTCAGTCTGAGTTCAAATCCCATGGCATGTGCTTCCTCAGTTGTGTGACTTTAGCCAGTTAATTTCTCTGTATTACACTTTCTGCCTTAATAAAATAGGAATGACAGTACAGGGTTTATGTCATAGGTTGTTATGACGATTTAGTAAGAGTATGTCAATTGTTAGTACATTTCTATTTGTGGGATATGAGCTCAATAGAAAATATAACTTATTGTTACTAAATTAAATGTTGCGATTAAGGTAAATTTTAATAGTGGTTTTGTTGTTGTTGTTTGTCTGTTTTGAAATAAAAATACCTAGACCTTGTTTAAAATTTAAATATTACAAAAGAATATGAAATGGAAAATAAACCTGTCTCTCACTCAGACCTTCATATTTCCCTTCTATAGGGAAAGTGGTATTATCAATTTCTTGTGTACCCTTCTGGGAATGACCATGCATATACATATATATCTTTTAAAAATACAAATGGTAACATGCTATAAGTCTATTAAAACTGTACTGGTTTATTCATTCATTTATTCAACAAGTATTTATTGGGTCCTAAATATTTGACAAGCAGTGTCCTAGGTGCTGGTGTGCAGATGAACTCCGTGCTCTCACAGTGCTTACATTCTAGAGGGAAAACAAGCAATAAATATGTAACCAGATAACATATACTTTCCAATTAGTGCTAAACTCAAGAAAGAAAAATAAACCTAGTAAGGGATTGGAGAAGCAAAGGCAGGGTGACACTATCTTAGATAGATTCTTTAGGGAAAGCCTCTGTAAAGTGGCATTTGAAGAGACCTGAATAATGAAGTGAGGGATTACAATTTGCAAATATCTGGAGGTAATGCCTGCCAGTAAGCAAAAATAAAAAAGCCAGGAGGCCAAAACAAGACTGAAGTGTTTTAGGAATGCTAAGAAAGTCATTGCAGCTGAAGCAGAATAATGAAATGGGGAGACAGCAGTAGAAGTCATTGTCAGAGAGGTAGGCAGGGCCATATGTGGAATTTATAGGCCATGGTAAGGAGTTTGTATTTTATTCTTATGATGAGAAGTCATTGGATAGTTTGGAGCAGGTAAATGACATGCAATACATATCATGATCTGAATGCTTTTGAAGAAAGTATCAGTGCATACAATCAATGAATTAAATAAAATTTATTGTACTTGCATATAATTAGGGGTGAATCTTTAATCTGGGATGAGCACTAGCTACATATGTTATAAGTTAAAAATTGACCTGTTCAACTTGGCTTATTACCATGCAAGTATTCAGGATAAATAGATTTTAATACCTCATTAAACATTGCAGAGGCATGAGCTGTTCTACATAAATGAATCTTCCAGAAAATTGAATATTAGCTTTGCTAAGTAATAAAGTATTTTAACCACACTTAATGATGAAAATAAAACATGATCTTGCCATTTCTTTAATTTTCTAAACAAGAAATTGGGAACATTATTTCTTTCTTATTTTTTTCTTTTTGATGCCTCAGGGTTCTCATTGTGATTGCCTGTTGTTGTCAACTATTGTACTCTAATATGTTGTTTCTCTTGGAGATATACATTTTCTTTTTCCTTCTACTCTAAGTGAGTAAATTGCTTTTTGGGGTCTGTGAGCATTTTTTATAGTTTATTAATTCATTCATTGGTATATTTGAAAATTTACTATATACTAGACTCTCTATGAGAGAATAGGGATATAAAGTAAAAGTCTATTAACTGTCATTTCTTATTCTCTTGTACCCTTTTCTAATCATGCATAATAATCATAAAATTTTGGAGCTAGAAAAAGACTTTCCGTATCATATAATCTAACCCTTTTGTTTTATACATTAGCAAGTAAAGCCCCTTTCCTTAGCCCCTTCATTCTTCTTTTTTGATACCCTACTCTCTCTAGACTAGACAAATATTCTTCTTCAGGTTTAGTATCTATTATATAAAATGCTTGGTACCAGAAGTTTTTTTGAATTTTGGAATTTTTTTTTTTTTTTAATTTTTGCATTGTGCTTACTGGTTGAGGATCTCTAATCTGAAAATCCAAAATACTCTAATGAGCATTTCCTTTGAGTGTCATGTTGGTGCTCACAAAGTTTTAGATTTTAGATTTTCAAATTTGGAATGCTCAACCTGATTATAATGAATAATCACGTTGGAAGTATTTGTCTTTCATGTTTTAGTTCCACCAATGAAATCCTACCAGTTTGCTCTTTTGATTCTGTTCAGTAAATACCACTTAGGGGTAGATAGGACAAAATTGATCAGAGGCTATAATACTATCTTCTGAACAGCTGTCTGAAAAGAATTTGTGAATCCACACATTCTTGCGCAGATAACGATATTTAGGCTTTTCTTTTGCTGCTTCATATTAAACATGGTTGAAGAATTTACTCTCTCTGTGCCTTATTCAGAATCAACTAAATGCTCATTTCTTTTAGTCAGCCATCCTAGAAAACAAAGAAGGCACCACATAATAATGTAGGAACGATCTCATTAATTCCTGCAGATGTAAGTATATTTGAACATAGATTAATTTTTACATTTGATGATTCTGTTGACCTTAGGCATTTTTATTAAGAAAATTCTATCCACATATTTGTTTTTAAAAGATAGGGAAATACATGATACTTTAAAAATTAACATCCATGTCTTTGTTAAAATATGCAACTAGTTGTGAAACAAAGTTATATTTGACATTATACTTAAATTCTATTGACTGAAAGAGTCAAACTCTGTAAAATATTTGAAGAGATTTATTCTGAGCCAAATATGAGTGACCATGGCCCATGACTCAGCCCTCAGGAGGTCCTGAGAGCATGTGCCCAAAGTGGTCAGTGTACAGCGTGGTTTTTTATATTTTAGAGAGGCATGAGACATCAATCAAATACATTTAAGAAATACGTTGGTTTGGTTCAGAAAGGCGGGACAACTCAAAGCGGGGGCTTCCAAGCTATAGGTAAATTTAAACATTTTCTGGTTGACAATTGGTTGAGTTTGTCTAAAGACCTGGGATTGATAGAAAGGAATGTTCAGGTTAAAAATAATTGTGGAGACCAAGTTTTATTTTGCAGAGGAAGCTCTCAGCAAATTTCAGAGAGAGAGAGCAGGTTGTAAAATGTTTCTCCGCAGAGCTAAAAGGGTGCCTGGCTTTTAGTTGATTATCTACTGGATCTGCAAAGAAAAGAGGAAAACAAAGAGGGAAGGGGATTCTCTATAGAACGTGGACTTTTCCAACAAGAAACTTTGCAGGGCAATTTCAAGGCTTGGCAAGTAAATCTATTTTGGGTGTTAAATATTTTTTCTTTGTCTCATAATGTTATGCCAGAGTCAATTGAAAAGCAAGTCACAATATACGGGGTCAAATAAAACGCATCTAATGAAAATCCATGATTTATAGGGCGTGACTCCCCAGACCCCTTAGATAGGAATTTGGGCAAAATAAAAAATCAGAGTTTAGTCCTCATTCCTTTAGGTAATTGTCCAAATTTCTCCCTGGAATGTTACTTAAATAATCCCCTCATTATAGTCTTATAAAGCACTGTTAACCTTTTCCCTATAATGGCACTTGTCACAGTTATACCTTTACATGTTTGTGTCAATATTTTATTAATATCTGTTTCCCTCACTACACTGTAAATAATAATAGCAAACACTTGTAGTTCATACTCTGTACAAAGTATTGTTCTAAGTGTGTAATCTTTACAACTTTATGAGATAGGTACTGTTGTTAGTCTTACTTTACAGATGGGGAAGCTGAGCCACAAGGAGGTTAAGTAACTTATCCACTATCACAGTCAGTACGTCATAGAGCTGAGATTTTAACCTAGGCTGCCTGGCTCCAACATGTAATAGTTGTCATGAATTAATTAACTAATTAATTAGGGAGGGATATCCTCCAGCCTTGAGATTCTAAGGTTTATTTTGAAATAATCACTTAGTATTTTATGTTTACTTTGTTAACAATTTCATTTATGTATATTTAATCTATCATTTAAAAATAGTATATCTGTTAAAATATTGTTGAATATTTCTAAAAGCTTTTAGAAATGTGTATAGGAGATAGTTTTTGTTATCACAAGGAATATGGGACACTGCTGGCCTTTAATAGACAGGGGAGAGAAATGCCAAACATCCTCTAATAGGGCAGTTCTAAATGCCCTATAACAGGGCAGTTCTAAGCAAGGAAGAATTGGCCTACCCAAAGTGCTAGTCATAAGCCCATTGAGAAAAACTCAAAAGATGAACTCAGTCTCTTTGGCAAGAAGAAGCAGGAGTGGGGCAGATAGGAAGAGAATTGGTATTTACTGAATACCTTAATACTTACCCCTTTTAGCCTTTGCAACAAACATTGAGGTATTATTATCTCTTTTATACAAATAGAAACCTGAGACTCATGGGGTTAAGTAACTTGTCCAAGGTCATAAAAGTGAGGTGTAGGTGCTTTGTGACACTTGGCTAGACGGAAGCTCAGGGATGAAAAACAAAGTAGTAATTCACCTGGGACCTGACTTAGAATCCAAATGACCATCCCTTCCTTTTCAGTATTCTATTTTTGGCCAAAGACAGAGTCCTAAAAAGGCAAAGATATGTCTAGCATCTACTGCTTTTAGATTCCTTTGAATTCTGTCCTTATTTGAATTCTGTCCGAAAGTATATGGCTAAGTGGTTTTGTGACATATTTCAGCTTGAATATTGCTATTTCTCCCATTTAAAAAAAAATACAAACAAAACATCTTGACACCACCCCCCCCCTTCACTCACACCATTTTTCTCCTCCCTTTGAAACAGTCCTTTCCATATACCTTGTCTATGGATCTTCTCCTTTCGGGTTTTTTCCCCACTACTGCCCCAAAATTGCTTTTCTCGATGGCCTCTGTGTTAGTAAATCCCATGGTTAATTCTCAGTAAGTACTTGACCTATTAGCAGTATTTAACACAATAGATCGCTGTTTCCTCCTTCATTTAGGATTTCCCGAAAGTTTTTAAAGCTTAATACTGCATTAAGACTGAGGACAGCCTTTATTTTCTTATTTTCTTAACTTCCACCTGCCCTGACATTTCCACCTGGATGTCTGTCAAAACTCTGAGACTTAAGCTATCCAAAACTGAACTGATCTGACCCTGCCTCCCACCACTTCCCGCCCTGCTGAAAAAAGCCCTGCTTCTTATTTCCATCTCAGTTGGTGACTACTTTATCCTTCTAATTCTCAAGCCAAAAACCTTGGAGTTATTCTTCAATCCTGTCTCTCTCTTTCACTCTACATCTACCTGTCAGTAAATTCTGTCACCTTTACCCTCAGAATACACCCATAATCTGACCACTTACCACCTCTGCTGCCACTACCCTATTCTGAGCTGACAGAGTTGTCTCTTGTCTACATTACTTCAATAGACTAGTCTATTATATTATCCACATAGCAGTGAGAGTGATAGATTATGTCACTCCTGTGCTCAAAACGACTTCCAGTTGTTCTTTGTCTTACTCAGAGTACAAGCCAAAGTTCTTTTAATGGCCTCCATTTCTCCTCTCATGTCTTACTACACTCCCCTTTGCTCACTCCATTCTGGCCAACATAAAGTAGCACCCTGGGTCCTTCTCTCTATGGGGAAAAGCTTCCTACAATACCTGTATGACTAACTCCCTCACCTCCTTCAAGTCCTTACTTAAATGTTGTTTTGGGTGAATTTATTATTTTTGTCTCTTTTATTTTAACTTACAAATGACAAAAAAAATGTGTAAGTTTATAGGATACAATGTAATGTTTTGATACATGTGTACACAGTGGAATGAGCATATCAGGCTAATTAATTAACATATCCATCACCTCACATACCATTTTTTTGTTGTGAGAACATTTAAAATGTACTCTTAGCAATTAACCATGGTCACCTTGCTGTGCAATAGATCACCAAAACTATTCCTCTTGTATAACTGAAACTTTGTACCCTTTGACCAACATTTCCCCTTTTACCACCCACCCCACCCTCCTCAGCCTCTGGTAACCATTACTCTACTTCTCTGTGTTCATATTTTTAGATTCTGCATAAAAGTGAGATCATGTGATATTTGTCTTTTTGTACCTGGCTTATTTTACTTAGCATAATGCCCCCTAGATTCATTCATGTCGTCATAAATGACAGAATTTTAGTCTTTTTTAAGGCTGAATAGTATTTCATTGAGTGCATATACCACATTTTTTCGATCTATTTATCTGTTGATAGGCACTTAGATTGTTTATATATCTTAGTTATTGTGAATAATGTTGTAGCGAACATGGCAGGGCAAATATCTCTTCAACATACTGATTTTAATTCCTTTGGATATATACTCAGAAGTGGGATTGCAGGATCGTCCTAAGTCTCACCTTTTGGTCCTTACTCAGATCTTGTTGTTTTGGGGTGTTTTATTTTGTTTTGTGGTTTGGTTTTTTTTTGTCTTTTTGTTGTTGTTGTTGTTTGTTTTTTTGTTTTGGTTTTTGGGTCTGCAGATTCTAGAGTATTTTCTGGATAGTTGAGACTTCCAAATTATTGATCTTTGTTACTTTACTTTTCTTCTTTGCATGTGAACCAGTCATAAAATCAGACCATAATTTTTAAACCTGCTATCATTGATTCCTTAAACTTGCACACAATTAGAAAGCAGAGAGTAGGATCAATATTCAGAGACTAGGTCTCTGAATACACCAAGGAGTCTATGCCATCTCTATCACCTTCAGACCTGAGCTATCTAGTTGAATGCATCCTTGGAACTATTTTTAACCCTATGGGCTTCTGAGATACAGGTAGAGACCAGCCTGGGTGTATCACTTTCCACGGCCAAGGGGCTTGCAGCCAAGATCACTTTTACTAAAAATAGTTCACAAGCTAAGGCTCTCCAATCATACCTTGATATGGTTCTGGGAGATCCTTTTCTATTCATTCCCATGACCTAAGCTGAAATAGTGCTGGAGGGCTTGTGAAAATCAAATCTGGGTTTTAGGATAGCATATCTGTGATTATATATGGTTCAGCTATAGTATTTGAGTTTAAGCCAAATATCCTACTAATATTTCAGGTAAAGAGATTTTTATCGTAGTTGTGTGTACGTATGTGCCATTTAATTGTTTGTTTTAGGGTACTTAAGTGCATATGTGTGTATGTGTGCATATATTTGTGTGTGTGTGTTGTGTGTGCCTACGTATGTATGTATTTTTCCCCCAGTGTTTACCTAGTGAGTGAAACAGAATTATTAACATCTTTTTTGAATGAATACTACATGCCAGTTGTTTTGCATGAAAGTAAAAACTGATATTAAAACTTTATTTTCTTTTTTAATTTCAGAGAAGTATTCAAGTATTTATACAGATAGGAATCAAGATAATCAACAATGTCTGTCACTGAGGAAGACCTGTGCCACCATATGAAAGTAGTAGTTCGTGTACGTCCGGAAAACACTAAAGAAAAAGCAGCTGGATTTCATAAAGTGGTTCATGTTGTGGATAAACATATCCTAGTTTTTGATCCCAAACAAGAAGAAGTCAGTTTTTTCCATGGAAAGAAAACTACAAATCAAAATGTTATAAAGAAACAAAATAAGGATCTTAAATTTGTATTTGATGCTGTTTTTGATGAAACGTCAACTCAGTCAGAAGTTTTTGAACACACTACTAAGCCAATTCTTCGTAGTTTTTTGAATGGATATAATTGCACAGGTATTTGTTTCAATTTGGGATTTAATTTCTCTATCCGATTTCACTTTTGCATTAGGACGGACATCTACTTGACCCTTCTAAATATAATCAAATTTAAGGAGCTTGTATGCTAAAAATTCTTAAGAAATTCAATAGACTTGAACTGTAAATATAGACTTTGAAATTTTAGTTATCATATATAACTTATACATCATTTGTAAACCTTTCTCTTCCAGGGCCTTACTGTGGCCCCTATAGACATCTGTCCTTTCAGTTGCCTATGTTATTAAACCACATGCTTATTGCAATTAACATCAGTTTTCTCATAACCTGTATTTATAACTTTTCCTACAGCTTACCTATGTAATTATCTATTCCTGGAGAGTAGTCAGACATTTCTGAACATTTGACAGTTTCTTTTCAGCAGTTTTTCTTCATGGCACATTGAAATAAAAATGTTTAAGTTGGCGAAGGATAGGAGGAGACTGAGGATCAAAAAACTACCTATGGGGTACTACACTCCTTACCTGAGTGATGAAAAAATCTGTACACTAAACCCCGCAGCATGCAATTTACCCATGTAACAAACCTGCACTGTACCCCCAAACCTAAAATAAAAATTGGAAAGGGGGTAAAAGTGTTAAGATCCCATGTTAATTATCTCATGCCCTTTAGCTCATTGTTAGCCCAAGAAGCATCTTTAGTGCTTTTTTTGGCCTTTCAAGAAAGCCATGTTGATTTCCTTTTTAAAAAAAAAAAAAGAGAGAGAGAGAGAGAGATACCCAAGATGCAAAATGGCCAGTTTTTCAGTGCCTACCAGGCACTAAACACCATTATTAATATCTTATTTTTGTAATTATTAGTATTTATGATATTTTCCCCAAGACAGCTCACAACTATAACATGTTTCACTGTCTTTTCCTGATTCATTTCAGTTTTATCATGGAAGACATACCCTCTTGATCAAGTAAGGATGGAGTGTGGTTTATTGATTGGTACTACTGTGATTCCCATTTTTAAGAAGATATTCTTTTCCTCTTTCATGAAACTTCATATGTCTCTAGAGATTTTGAAATCTTCTTAACTCTAAGAAAAAAAGTAGACTCTCTATCAAACTACTATTGAATTTTTGGTTTCTTTTTGGCTTTCTTTATATTCTTACCCTGTCTTTAAGACAGCTTAAGAATAAGCTTAAGAATAAGCCATTTTAAACCTTCCTTATATACCAGCTTACATAAAATAGAACAAAGTAAAATATACACCATCTTAATTCATCCTACTGAAAAGTATTTTTGTGGTTTGTTAACATTTGGTTTAGCAGACAGATTGAATTTATAAAAATATTTTCAACCAATAATGATATGAGAAGTTATTGCCTTAACTGATTATTGTATTGGGTGTTTACCATATGTAATTCACAGAGTGGATTTTTTTCTTTCTCTTTGTCTTTTTTTTTTTTTTTTTTTTTTTGATGAAGTCTTGCTGTGTTGCCCAGGCTGGAGTGCGCTGGTGCAATCACAGCTCACTGCAATGATATGAGAAGTTATTGCCTTAACTGATTATTGTATTGGGTATTTACCATATGTAATTCACAGAGTGGATTTTTTTCTTTTTCTTTGTCTTTTTTTTTTTTTTGATGAAGTCTTGCTGTGTTGCCCAGGCTGGAGTGCGCTGGTACAATCACAGCTCACTGCAGCCTCAACCTGCTGGGCTTAAGCAATCCTCCCATCTTAGCCTCCTGAATAGCTGGACTACAGGAATGAGCCACTGCCCTCAGCTAATTTTTTGAAAATTTTTGTGGATACAGGGTCTCACTGTGTTGCCCAGGCTGGTCTCAAACTCCTGGGCTCAAGCAGTCCTCCCACCTTAGCTGTCCAAAGTACTGGGATTGTAGGGATGAGCCACCGAGCCTGGCCCACAGAGTGGATTTTTTATACATTGGAAGAAATTCACATGACTTTCTTGTACTGAATAGAATCTAGGAAACAAAGTAATTCACCTAAAACAAAAACTTAAAAAGGAATCTTATAAATGGCATCTATCTGGTATTTATTCAAGTACCTGCTTTGTGGCAAGTGATTTGTTAGGTGATAAGGATACATGGCCTCTGCCTTGGTGGAGCACTCAATTGGAAATACAGTGTGATACATGCCAGAAGAGAGGGATGTGGATATGCAGCATATACTAAGGGCTGAAGTGAAAGAGTGGATGTGTCTGCCTAGGACAATGAGGGAAGGCAGAGAAAAATGATATTTGTGCTGAGCATTTAGAAGCAGGTGGAAGTTTTCCAGCTGGATCAAGTAGAGGGACTCCTCAGAACAAAGACAGCAGAGTAGAAAGGAGCAGCAAATGCTGAGAGTATTGAATAATTAAGTATCCCTAGATCACAGCAAGGAAGCAGTAGGCTGGCAAAATAAGCAGGCACCCTCTGAGTGCTTTATAATATTCCAAAGTGAGGAATTTGAACTTATGTAAACCTGGAACAATTAAGAAGGTTTAACGTATTCCAATTTCTTTTTCATAAAGATGACTACAAATTGCAAAGGATAAAGAAGATGGAAGATGAAGACTAATCTGTAGGGAGATTTTAAGATTGCTTTGAAAGAGTAGTTGTTAGAGTGGGGGGCCGGGGGTAGTGATACCATTTATCAGAGTAAAGAACATAGGAGTAAGAGTAGATTTGTGGTAACATTCCCAGGTTTTAAGGATAAGACTATAATTTTGGATTTGTAGGGTTTAAAGATACTGTTCAGGATATCCAGATGGAACTATCCACTAGATAGTAGATATAATAGAGTTATATTTCATAACAAAGAGTTTTGATCCCTTTCTTAAAAACTCAGTACTTGCCTATGGTGCCACTGGTGCTGGGAAGACCCACACTATGCTAGGATCAGCTGATGAACCTGGAGTGATGTATCTAACAATGTTACACCTTTACAAATGCATGGATGAGATTAAAGAAGAGAAAATATGTAGTACTGCAGTTTCATATCTGGAGGTAAGTTGGGAATTTAGATTAATCAATAGTTTTGGGAAATCATTGACATGATTCATACAAATGATTTTATTATATAAGAGTTTTCCGGTGAATATATAAAATCATTAAAATTCCTTGTCTTGAATATTTGTTATGCATCTTTTTCTGTTAATTTTTTTTTTTTTTACTTTGGCAAAATTTCAGACTTATAGAGAAGTTGCAACAATAGTACAAAGAACTTCCAGATACCCTTCATACAGATCCCCCATATGTTAGCATTTTACTGCATTTGCTTTCTATGTGTGTGTATACATTTCTTTCTTTCTGAGCTAGGTTGCAGACTTGTAAAAACAGGACTTTTTAAAAATAACTGCTAAATAGGTACCAAAATCAGGAAATTAGCAATGATACAATATAATTATCTGTAGATCTTAGTGAGATTTTGCTAGTTATTTCATTAATACCCTTTATTGTAAAAGAAAATTGTATTCAGTTGTTATATCTTAGTCTCCTTAATCTGTAATTTTTTGTCTTTTATAACACTGCCATAAAAATCCTTAGTTTGGATTTATCATGATTAGATTCAGATTATGCACTGACAGTAACACAAGCAAAGTGATGTTCACTTCTTACTGCATCAAAAAAGGCTTAAGCCGTTGATTAGTCCCCATACTGGGAATGTTAACTTTGATCAGTTTTATTATGCTGTGGTCTGTAGAGTTTCTCCACTTTGAAGATACGTTTTACCATTTATAATTAGTAAGTACTATGTATGTAGACAATGTAAATATTCCTTACTCCTCAAACTTTTATCTATTGTTATTAGTATCCACTGATGATTGGTGACTGAATCAATTACTATTATGATGGTAGATGATGGTGATTTTTAAATTCCATCATTTCTTGTACATTTCTTTATTGACTTTCTACTATAAGGAAGAGTTTTCCCCTTATTATATCAGCCTCCTGCATTTTTACTTTATTGAATAGATTATAATCCCTTTCTGTAATCATTTTTTGTATGTTCAAATTGTGTAAGATTTGGCTAGTTGAGACTTCTTCATGTTGTCTCTTGTGTCCTTTTGAAATACCCCATCATTCTTTGAGGCCTTCTACCCTCTTAATAGTCAACAAATGGTAACTAAGTGGCAGACACTCTAACTTTGCATTCAAATAGTGTTTCAGAAACCAGTGCAGAAACATAAAAACCCTGATTTCATTGCCTATTTATTTCTGGTGCCATAAAATTTCTCTCTTATTAACATCTTGTAGTTTGGTCCCTACTGAGAATTTCTTCCAAAGATTGATTAAAATCATATATGTTGCTAAAAATTTCTTCATTAGAACTTATAGATAAAAAAGAAGTAAAACTCATTTTCTTTGGTTGGTTAACTATGAAAAGAATTGTTCTGAACTCAATTGGGAAAAGAGGGTGCCAGCATTCATTATTTTTTCCTTAGATCCTTTTTATAACTGGGAGAATTTTGAAGTTTGGTTATTTTCACAATTTTTATTTTTTCTTTTAATCTACTTTCATATTATTAATGATAAGGCAGTGTATAATATGGTTTTCTACTCAAGCTGTGCACCAGAATTGCCTATAGAACTTTTTAAAAATAGGCCTAGGCCTCACACTTGGGATATTTTAATTTAGTAGGTCTGGGGTGTGGCTGAGGCATCTGTGTTTTTTAAATGCTCCTTGGTGAGTGTCATACATAGACCAGCTTGAGAACAATTATTCTAATTTTTGATTTGTTATGATTGAAGTGGGTAAGGGGAAGCAATAGTAAAGTGACTGCTGCTCATCAAAAAGATATGATTTAAAAATATTTCTTCATATTATCATTTTACTACTTTTAAGGGTTTATTACATTCTAATGCCTATCATTCATTGTAGAGAATTGTACCAGCAATGAATTATCACTATGAGCTACTTATTAGAACACAGAAGGAAATAACACAAAATAATTTTTTAGAGACTAAATTTTGTTATTTTTTTTCTTAAATCTTGTCAGTAATAGTTGTAATTGTCATTTGGTTAGCAAGTAATAAACTTTATACCTTTAATAAATTCATAAAATCGGGTCACTAGTACTACATAGAAATGTGTGTTACTTATAAAAATTACTTTTTAAAAAATGGCCAGAGATATAAACTACAGATATGTATTCAGTATGATGCAGTAGAGTGAAGCTGTCTAGGCTCCAGTTCCTACTCTGCTAATACCTTTATGACCATGGACAAATCATTTAACCTCTCAGAGTCTTAGTTCCCTCATCATTCAAATGGGTCTCCTTTTGAAATTTATTATTAGTAATTATATGTCAAAATTAATGTAATTGAAGGATAACCGAAACAAATACCACCTGTCCTTGGTATGGGTTTTCTGTAACATTTAAGCTCTAAAATTTCAAAAGTTTGGACTACTTGGACATTGTGAAATAATAGATATCTTCCACAGTAAGAACCATGCCATCTCCATACAACCTGCATTTCCCAGAGTTTCCCAGTACCGTGTGTTCCATACATTTCCTGAAAATAAGAAAATGGGCCGGGCGCGGTGGCTCACGCCTGTAATCCCAGCACTTTGGGAGGCCGAGGTGGGCGGATCACGAGGTCAGAAGATCAAGACCATCCTGGCTAACATGGTGAAACCCTGTCTCCACTAAAAATACAAAAAATTAGCCAGGCGTGGTGGCAGGCGCCAGTAGTCCCAGCTACTGGGGAGGCTGAGGCAGCAGAATGGTGAGAACCCGGGAGGCGGAGCTTGCAGTGAGCCGAGATTGCGCCACTGTACTCCAGCCTGGGAGACAGCGAGACTCCGTCTCAAAAAAAAAGAAAAGAAGAAAATGCACTTCAGCTATCTTACTTATCTCTGTTTCACCATAGTCATCAAGGCAGGAATTATGAGTGAGGGGATGACTCCAACTTTAAGTTTCAATTTCAAACCTAGGTAATCAAACTCTTCAATTTTCTGGAATGATAGAAAATTAATGGCAACATGAGATCGAAGGTATGAGGTGAATAAAAGTGAGGTGCTGCTTGTCTTTAGGATAAAATTCTAATAACTTTAAATTAGCAGTGTATGTGTGATGTAATCACCATTTTTTTTTTTTACATCAATGCTAAAGCAGTTCTTTTTATTTTAAGGTATATAATGAACAGATTCGTGATCTCTTAGTAAATTCAGGGCCACTTGCTGTCCGGGAAGATACCCAAAAAGGGGTGGTCGTTCATGGACTTACTTTACACCAGGTATGTATATAAACATCTTTTTCCCTGTTAGAATAGCAAATGTGACTATTAAGCTATTTTCACCAGCCATGCACTTACTTTCCATCCTGTTTGAGAAAAAAAACTAATGAGGTACAGAATTTAAATGATTAGGGTATATTTTTAGTCTTATTTTGTTTTCTTTTAAAATAGAGTGAACTTTTTAAAAACATTTTTTAAATTTTATTTTTAAATTTTAATCTACGTATGTATGTATGTATGTATGTATGTATGTATGTATTTATTTATTTATTTATTTATTTATTTTGTGACCGGGCTATGAGACTGGCTAATTTTTGTATTTTTGGTAGAAAGCGGGAGTTCACCATGTTATTCAGGCTGGTCTCAAACTCTGGGGCTCAAGATCTGCCTGCCTCAGCCTCCCAATGAGTGAGCTTTTCTTTCAAAAATCTGCTTGAACATTTAATGTCATATTATTCTACTCAATAGACTCCACTCCTGAGAAACTAGATTTTATCTTTTATTCTTCATATAAACACACACAATACTAAGCAGATGAGACAAAGTTAGTATTTAATAGGATTGAATTTATAGAAAACATTTTCTTTTACCTTTAAATCTTTTTGTTTTTTGAACATTTATTGAAAAATTTAAAGATATATTGCTGATTTTTAAATTTTGCTTCTACTTAAACTTCTCCAGCCCAAATCCTCAGAAGAAATTTTACATTTATTGGATAATGGAAACAAAAACAGGACACAACATCCCACTGATATGAATGCCACATCTTCTCGTTCTCATGCTGTTTTCCAAGTAAGAGGCCACTAGACTATCACTCTTAAAATTGGATTTAAAATAAATGAAGCTAAATTCATGAATCATCATTTTCATACATGTGAAAAAAATCTGTCTGTAGACTTCACTTGTCAGTACTTTCCTTTATAGCTTTGAAAAGTTTCTGTCACCAAGAGTATTTATAATTGAGATGCTTAAAACAAAAATACAAAATTTCTACCTTTGTAAACATACAGGAGGATAAAGTTGTAGTAATAAAAGTTTTGTTTTTGCTGAAAATATTTAATCTTTCCAATAAATAATCTTATATTCACAGTAAAACTTATCTCTATAAATCTAGACTTGTAGAACTAATAATTTGGGAACATACTGATTCATCTTTAAAAGATTTCACCATAAGGACCATGTAAATAGTCGCATTCCTTAAGGAAGTATGATTCAGTTGGCACAGTAAGTCTTAGGAATACAATTCCAGAAAGAGCTAAAGCATAGGTTAATAGCTATTATTTCTTATAGTTTCTAGTCCTTTTAATACCCAAATGATAATATAAAGCTTCTTTTAGTATTATGCCATCTGAGATACATCTTATAAGAAAGAAATTGTTATAGTTGAAAGAATTGATATTGAAGGCAATCAAACCATTCATATAGTCCCTGGTCAACAAAAATTTCATTAATCTTTTTTGTTCTTACCACTAACTCTTCGGTTATTAATAGTCTTGAGAGAAATGTTTCTCTGTGAAACTGAGATGTCTCTGAAATATCTTAGATCCTGCTTTATAAAACAATTTAATAAATGGGTTTATAATTAAGTAATATCTTACTTTCCTCATCTTTTGTTTGCCACCTAATGTAGTTCAGATAATCCTTACAGAGTAGCTTAAAATATTTGAATAAATTATGCTTTACTAGGCAGTTGAAAATGACAAGTAGACTTTACTGTATAGTCATGTGCCGCATAACGACATTTCAGTCAACAACAGTCCACATATACAACAGTGGTCCCATAAGATTACAACAGAGCTGAAAAGTTCCTATTCATCTAGTGATGTCATACTCATCATAATGTCGTGGCGTAACACATTACTCAAATGTTTGTGGTGTTGTTGGTGTAAACGAACCTGCACTGCCAGTCATATGAAAATATAGTACATACAATTATGTACAGTACATGAGACTTGGTAATAAATGACTGTGTTACTGGTTTATGTATTTACTTTTTATTGTTATTTTAGAGTATGCTCCTACTTATTACCCCAAAAGCAGTCTGCTACATTCTGTTTACCAAGTCTGTGGATTTTATCATTTTCTCTCATGTTTGATTTATGATATTTTCACAATGAGGAAATCACCTAACAGTGCATTTCTCAGAAAGTAGCTGTGTTGTTAAGTGATGCAAGACTGTACTATCTTTTTTATATATGATATTTTAATTATGAGGACATATACAGGTTTGGGGGATTAGAATAAATTTACTCTTCAGTTTGGATCAAGATTCGAATTCAGCTTCCCTTGAGGGGCAATCTCTAGATACATACAAGGCATTCTAACGAGTAGCTTTGGTTTTTTCTTAGGAACGTTATTTCTATAGGACCTGTGTTTCTAACCATCACCTCTGATAATTCCATGTCCTGGTTCAAGGGGTACCAGAATAGAAATGGAAGTTTTGATCTTCTATCAAGTCAAGAGTTATTTTTCCTCTGGTACACATATAGAAAGTCTTTTCATTTTTATATTTTTCTCAGCTATAGTGATTACTTATAGTGCTCTTAAATATCAATTAGATTATACCTTGTTCAGTTGTTTTTTAAAATGAAAATAATTTTGATTTTGTGCTCTATTAAAGTATATATTTCCCTTTTAATTTTGTTAAATCTTATCCTCATTTTTTTCTATTTTGTAATTTCAAAAAGATTTACTTGCGACAACAAGACAAAACAGCAAGTATCAATCAAAATGTCCGTATTGCCAAGATGTCACTCATTGACCTGGCAGGATCTGAGCGAGCAAGTACTTCCGGTGCTAAGGGGACCCGATTTGTAGAAGGCACAAATATTAATAGATCACTTTTAGCTCTTGGGAATGTCATCAATGCCTTAGCAGATTCAAAGGTAGGCATTATATGTTTATTTGTTAAATAGTTTGAAATATTGAAATAGATAAGAAAGATACTATTTAATATGATTTTGTTTTAAAGGTCTGATATATATCACATTTCAAGGGTATATCAGTAATGTTAATATATAGATCAAAGACCTCAGAAAACCTAGTGTATTAAACTGATTTTTATTTCTTTTTTAATTTCCAGTTTTATAATGAGAATTGGTTAAATAGAAAGTAATGAATACCAGATTGATAGTTAATATTTTATGGTACATTCTCATCACTTATTTTGAACTTGGTTTTTAAAGTGATCACTACACAGCAAACATGTTAATTAAATTGGCATGAAGACAAACTAACCATATTTTTAAAAACTAAATTCTGTTGTTTAGTATTTTATATATTATAAAATAGGGTTAAGTATTAAAGAGTGTTGATTTTTTTTTAAGGGGGGTTTAAGTTATAAAATGTCATGAAATCACCTAATAAGGTAATGTTTACTAGATGCTTCTGGGCATATTTAAATATAGTTTACATATACCATATGCCAGAAGTGCTTACCTAGAACACAGTGTATTTCACAACATAGATATTTGTAAAAATGACATCCTTTCAAAAAAATTATAATATGGCAATTTAAGTTAAACCATACTCGAAAGCTTTAGCTTGTTAAACTGTTCGAAAAGCTCATCATTAGTCATTAGAAAAATGCAAATCAAAACCACAATGAGATACCATCTCATGCCAGTTAGAATGGCGATCATTAAAAAGTCAGGAAACAACAGATGCTGGAGAGGATGTGGAGAAATAGGAACACTTTTACACTGTTGGTGGGAGTGTAAATTAGTTGAACCATTGTGGAAGACAGTGTGGCGATTCCTCAAGGATCTAGAACCAGAAATACCATTTGACCCAGCCATCCCATTACTGGGTATATACGCCCAAAGAATTATAAATCATTACTAGAAAGACACATGCACACCTATGTTTATTGCAGCACTATTCACAGTAGCAAAGACTTGAAACCAACCCAAATGCCCATCAATGATAGACTAGATAAAGAAAATGTGGCACATATACACCATGCAATACTATGCAGCCATGAAAAAGGATGAGTTCATGTCCTTTACAGGCACATGGATTAAGCTAGAAACCATCATTTTCAGCAAACTAACACAGGAACAGAAAACCAAACACTGCATAGCAGGTTCTCACTCATAAGTGGGAGTTGAACAATGAGAACACATGGACACAGGGAGGGGAACATTACACGCCAGGCAGGGCCTGTCAGGGGGTGTGGGGGCTAGGGGAGGGATAGCATTAGGAGAAATACCTAATGTAGATTACAGGTTGATGGGTGCAGCAAACCACCATGGCACATGTATACCTATGTAAGAAACCTGCACGTTCTGCACATGTATCCCAGAACTTAAAATATAATTAAAAAATTAAATTTAATTTTTTTAAAAAAGCTTTGGCTTGTTAAACTGTTCAAAATGTTACCTTTGATTTAGAATAAGTATATTAAAATAATTGGAGCAGGTTTTTTTTTTAAAAAAAGGCAAATTACTGAAATCACATGAAGATTGCAAAAGCAAGATGTCTTTTATATTCTGAGTTAAAATCTCAAACTTGTAAGCAGACAGCATGACACAGAGACGGATTTTGTAAACTTAAGCCATTCATAAGATTTTTGCCATATGAACTAATCTATAATTTTTTAATAATGACTCCTATTGAGTCATTTGTGAGTCAATGTTTAATATATGTCTTGTACATGTAAAATCACTTAAAATAGCACCAGCAGTGCATATTTCACACTGTTTGGGAAAGACTGCTATGGTGGAAGCACATTGCTACTGAGAATTGGGGGAACTAGGACCTATTTCTGGCTCTTTGAACTACTAGCTTTGTGACCCTAGTCAAATCATTTCACTTTATGCTTAGCTTCAATTTCCTGTTTTGCAATATGAAAGGTATACATTGGATAACATTAGGTTGCTTTTAGCTTAACATTGTAAAGAATCTGTTCTTATATAAACATTCTACTTTCTGGAAAATTTATTTGTTACTTCAAAATCAGAAACAAAACTTAACAAAATTTATTTGTTACTTTTACTTTTTTCTTTTTAGGTAAAAGAAAATCTTGAAGTATTAGGTTCTTTTAGAACACTATAGTGATTTCAGGAGAAATGTCTGTAACATTGTAATTATAATTTATTTCATATCGATATTAGATGGTTATTTAAGGAGAAAAGTAGCTCTAAGCCATGCAGTTATTATTCCTCTAGTATATTTGTATAGGACATCTGTTTACTTTTGTGTTTTAATTTTTTTCAATGATTGGAAATATTTTTAAATAGACATTTTCAAATAGTTTTAGATTTACAGAAAAGTTACTAAGATGATACAGATTTTGTTAAATATGCTCCACACCTGGTTTTCCCTATTGTTAATTTTTTATATTAATATGGTACATATATCACAACTAATGAACCAATATTAATGTATTATTTTATTTTGAACTAAAGTTCATACTTACTCAGATGCAGATATTTTTAAATATGATATTTGTTTCATATATTCACTGAATAATCCTGTAAGATTCTTTGTCATCACCTCAATCACCAATTATAAGTCTGGATAAAATTGGGTAGCGCTTAAGTTCTTATAGTGAAGTGTAGGGTCAAGCCCTACGGGACTTGGCAGGTGTCCTCCCCGTGTGCGGAGACGAGAGATTGTAATAAATAAAGACACAAGACAAAGAGATAAAGAGAAAACAGCTGGGCCCCAGGGGACCACTACCATCAAGACACGGAGACCGGTAGTGGCCCCGAACAGCTGGGCGCGCTGATATTTATTGCATACAAGACAAGGGGGCAGGGTAAGGAGGGTGAATCTTCTAAGTGATTGACAAGGTGAGGCAAGTCACGTGATCATAGGACAGGGGACCCTTCCCTCTTAGGTAGCCGATAACAGAGAGAGAGATGGCGCATACATCCGTGTTTTCTTCTGTGCACTTATAAGAAAGATCAAAGACTTTAAGACTTTCACTATTTCTTCTGTTGCTGTCTACTGTGAACTTCAAAGAGGAACCAGGAGTACAGGAGGAACATGAAAGTGGACAAGGAGCATGACCATTGAAGCACAGCACCACAGGGAGGGGTTTAGGCCTCCGGATGACTGCGGGCAGGCCTGGATAATATCCAGCCTTCCACAGGAAGCTGGTGGAGCAGAGTGTTCCCTGACTCCTCCAAGGAAAGGAGACTCCCTTTCGCGGTCTTCTAAGTAATGGGTGTCTTCCCAGACACTGGCATTACCACTTGACCAAGGAGCCCTCAAGCGGCGTTTGTGCCGGCATAACAGAAGGCTCACCTCTTGCCTTCTAGATCACTTCTCACAATGTCCCTTCAGCAGCTGACCCCATACCCGCCGGTTATTCCTAGGTTATATTCGTAATGCAACAAAGAGTAATATTAAAAGCTAATGATTAATAATGTTTATAATAGTGATTGATAATTGTCCATGATCATCTCTATATCTAAGTTGTATTATGACTATTCTTATTCTAGCTATTTTTTTCATTATACTGAAACAGTTTATACCTTCAGTCTCTTGCCTCGGCACCTAGGTAATCCTCCCCCCACAGTGAAGTGCTAAAGTGGTAGCAGGTTTGCATTTAAATGTGGAAAATGACATAAGATCTCTTTTTTGTGCTTTCAGAGAAAGAATCAGCATATCCCTTACAGAAATAGTAAGCTTACTCGCTTGTTAAAGGATTCTCTTGGAGGAAACTGTCAAACTATAATGATAGCTGCTGTTAGTCCTTCCTCTGTATTCTACGATGACACATATAACACTCTTAAGTATGCTAACCGGGCAAAGGACATTAAATCTTCTGTAAGTCTGTTTACTCTGCCTTTGTTGTGAAGGTATTGTCTGCATATGATTTTTATAATTGTAATGAAAGTATTAATTCAGGTTATGTTTCTACATAATGAGTTAGGCAGCTGAGGGTTAGAAGGGTCTTTGCTAACCTGCTTAGTCGAACATTAATTTAGACGGTTAAACCATAAAGCATCTTGATTATATATATATATATATAATAGATACTATTATTCGATCTTTTGGGTACTATGGTACTTGAGTGGCTTTCTCCCTAACCTCTTTGATGTCATGGCGTATTGTATTTGGATGGCATCTTGGAGTAATCACTCAAAACTTGAACACATTTGTTGCAGCCCAGGATGATGCTCTGCTTTAGCTGAGAACCAAAACTTTCACCTGAAAATCTTGGATATGTTAGTTAAGCTTTCCAAGCCTATTATTTCATCTGTAAAATAGGTATAAAGCTTATTTTTTAAAAAGTCTTTTCTACATAATTTATAGTCCACATTCATGATGTTGATGTACCAATCTCTGTATTTCTCCAGAAATATAATAATAATAATTGGTTACATTAGTATTTTTGCCAAAGATGTGTTGTACTTAAAAACATGTATATCAAAATATGTATGTTTAAATTATAATATATCGGGGTTGAAAAAACCTAGAGTTAAGCTGTTGTGATGACTCCTCCTCTTCTCCCTTTCCCCTCTGCCACTCTCCTTAAGTGTCTGAAGATGAGCATGTTATTGTCATCTTAAGAAAAATGTTCCCAGGCTCATTATATAATTAATTGTAAAAGGTCATACTATATGGGTGTACAGAAAGGTTTGTAACACATGATTTTCATGTAGCCCTTACACTAGCCCCTTGAGGAATGAATTCTTAGCTCCACTTTACAGATGAGTAACCCAAACATCAAACAGTTCGAATTCTAAGTCAGGTTAAGTGAGAAGTAGGCAAGGTCTCAATATCAAGTATTTGGATTTATATGTTTAATATCCTCTCTACTATACCATAAATGTCAAGGGGCCCATACTATGATAAAAATGTTAAAATATAGTAAGAACTCAGTGAAAACCAACTGAATTCCTGAAAGGGTAGCATGAAAAACTATCTCTGCATTACTTAGAAGTCAAAGGAGTAAGAAAGTAGGGAATTTTATTATATTGCAATTACATGCTTATAAATACCTTTTCTCAATAAAGTAATTTCTTTATAATTTCATTTACATTATTAATGTGCTCAGCAGATCCTCTTGTCATAGATTTTAAATGTGAGCATAATTATCACAAATTCTGAATTCATGGAACTCAATGAAAATGCAATGTCATGTTATTCATGTATTTATCTCTGTGATTATTATCTCTCTATAAACAATCATAATTTCTATCTTTCAACAGTTGAAGAGCAATGTTCTTAATGTCAATAATCATATAACTCAATATGTAAAGATCTGTAATGAGCAGAAGGCAGAGGTATGTCTGTTTATATTTTTATGCTAGTCTTGCGCAGTTCTTCATTTATAGAATTTTATAATCTTAATTGTCCAAAAATTTAACATATTTTTCTATTAAAATTAAAATCTGGTTAATTCAGTTATTTTTTACAGCTAAATTTGGCTGTGGCCATGTAAATGACTTCTTTTGTATTTTAACTAGTGATTTCTCTCTACTAGATTTTATTGTTAAAAGAAAAACTAAAAGCCTATGAAGAACAGAAAGCCTTCACTAATGAAAATGACCAAGCAAAGTTAATGATTTCAAACCCTCAGGAAAAAGAAATCGAAAGGTAAACATTACATTAAGATCTAATTTTGAGGAATTTATTGTTTTAAAATTTTGTTAAGTATTTTATGTTAATTATCATTTGTTATGTCTTTTATATGTACATAGATATGTATGTTTATAATTTTATATATACACACATACATACATACATACATAACAGGCTTGACTCAGAGATATTGCAGATTTAGTTCTCCAGACCACTGCAATAAATGAAATATCATAATAAAATGAGTCACACAAATGTTTTGGTTTTCCGGTGCATATAAAAATTATGTTTACACTACACTATAGTCTATTAAGTGTGCAATAGCATTATATCTGAAAAGATAATGCCTTGCTTTAATTTTAGACATACTTTATTGCTAAAACATGCTAATGATAATCTGAACCTTCAGCAAGTCATAATCTTTTTGCTGGTGGAGGTCTTCCCTCAATGTTTATGGCATCTGACTAGTAAGAGTAATGGTTGCTGCAAGTTGGAGTGGCTGTGACAATTTCTGAAAATAAGGCAACAATGAAGTTTACTGCATAGATTGACTCGTCCTTTCATGAAAGATTTATCTGTAGTGTGTGATGCTCTTTGATAGCATTTTACCCACGGTAGAACTTCTTTAAAAATTTGAGACAATCTTTTCAAACCTTGCCACTGCTCTATCAGCTATATTTATGTCATATTCTAAATCCTTTGTTATTTCAACGTAGATAGCATCTTTATAGGGAGTAGGTGGTAAACTTTCTCAAGAAACCATTTTCTTTGGTTATCCATAGAAGCAGCTCTTCATTTCTTCAAGTTTAATCATGAGATTGCAGCAATTCAGTCCTGTCTTCAGGCTCCACTTCTAATTCTAGTTCTCTTTCATGTCCACCACATCTGCAGTTAGTTTCTTCACTGAAATCTTGAACCCCTCATAGTTATCCATGAGGATTGGAATCTACTTCCTCCAAATTCCTATTAATGTTGATATTTTGACCTCCTTACACATATCACAAATGTTCTTAATGGCATCTACAATGGCAAATTCTTTTCAGATGCTTTTCAATTTATTTTGCCTAGATCCGTCAGAGAAGCATGATCCATGAAAGAAAGTATCTATAGCAGCTATAGCCCTACAAAATGTATTTCCTAAATAAGAAGACACAAAAGTCAAAATTGCATGATCCATGAGCTGCAGACTGGGTGTTGAGTTAGCAGACATGAAAACAACATTAATCTTCTCGTCCATCTCCATGAGAACTCCTGAGTGACCAGGTGTATTGTCAGTGAGCATTAGTATTTTGAAAGGAATCTTTTTTTCTGAGCAATAGGTCTTAACAGTGGGCTTAAAATTATTAAGTAAACGGATGTGCTGTCCTCTAGACTTTGTTGTTCTATTTGTAGAGCACAAGCAGAGTTAAATTTAGCATATTTCATAAGGGCCCTAGGATGTTTGTAAATGGTAAATGAACATCGACTTCAACTTAAAGTCACCAGCTGCAAAAGCCCCTGACAAGAGAGTCAGCCTGTTCTTTAAAGCTTTGAAAGTAGGTATTTACTTCTCTCTAGATATGAAGGTCCTAGATGGCATATTGTTCCAATTAAAAGCTGATTTGTCTATCTTGAAAATCTGTTGTTTAGTGTAGCCACCTTCATCAGTGATCTTACCTAAATTTTCTCGATAACTTGCTGCAGCTTCTACATCAGCACTTGCTGCTTCACCTAGACTTTTATGTTCTAGAGAAGGCTTTTTTTCTTACACTTTTAAACTTTATGAACCAACACCTGCTAGTTTCAGAATTTTCCTCTGCAACTTCCTCACCTCTCTCAGCCTTTGTAGAATTGAACAGATTTAGAAGGCTTGCTCTGGATAAGGCTTTGACTTAAAGAAATGTGATAGCTAGTTTAATCTATCCAGACCATTGAAACTTTTTCCATATCAGCAATAAGGCTGTTTCACTTTCTTAGTGTGTGTGTTCACTGGAGTAGCACTTTTAATTTCCTTCAAGAATTTTTCCTTTGCATTCACAACTTGGCTAAATGTTTTGTGCAAGAGACCTAGCTTTTCGCCTATCTTGGCTTTCTACAAGCCTTCCTTAGAAGCTTAGTAATTTCCAGCTTTTGATTTAAAATGATAGACATGCAACTAACTCTTTCACTTGAACACTTGGAGGCCATTTTAGGGTTATTAATTTGCCCGATTTCAACGTGTTTCAAGGAATAGGGAGGGCTGAGGAGAGGTAGGGAAACAGCCAGTCAGTGGAGCCGTCAGAGCACACACAACACTTGATTAAGTTTACTGTCTTATATGGGCACAATTTGTGACACTCTAAAGCAATTACAATGGTAACATCAAAGATCATTGGTCACAAATCACCATGACAGATATGTAATAATGAAAAAGTTTACAATATTTCAAGAATTGCCAAAATGTGACACTGAATGCTCATGCTGTAGGAAAAATGATGCTTATAGACTTGCTCACAGCAAGATTGCCACAAACCTTCAGTTTGTTTAAAAAAAAAAAAAAAAAACAGTGTCTGCAAAGCACAATAAAACAAGGTATGCCTGTATATATATTCTCAACTGAATTCAAGAAGTCAGTGATTTCTCTTTATATTTCACACTTTGTAGATCAAGTAATTTTAGTTTTTATTTTACATATATTGAAGAGAACCAGAACTTAGGTATAAGATAGTGGAGACAAAGCCAGTTATGTCACCCTGTAGACTTAGTTTAATTTTAGTGGCGCTCATATTGTTCTTTTCTGACATAATCATTATTTGTATATTTCATGTAAATCTACTCTATTCTTCATTTTATTAACTCTCTATAGCTTAACTAATCTACTTATTGAGCCTGAATGGGTAATTATTTGAATGAACATCTGTCAGTGATATAAACCAATACAGAATTTTGAGAGGTTTCTACTAAGCTTCTTAGCAGGTAAATTTTTAAAAAGAAAGCAGTTAGTAATACAGTATGCAAAAGTACTTTTTCCTCAAGCAGCTAAGACAGTTTTCCAAATTGACCCATTGAGACACTGGATCAAGATGTTAATCTTGAGTACTTCTAGGAGGACAATAAGGAATTCCTGTATAAACAAGTTTGGAAATTACTCCATAAGGAATCTAGGAAACTTCCAAAGTACATCAGCTTATTAAAGGGAAAACCTGTAGTAAAGGAATCTGTTCAACTTTCATTAAAATTGAGTAAAGGTAAACTTATTTGACATTCTGCAGAGCCAGTTATCTGTTATTAGTATGAGAAACCAACTACAACTTAAACCAATGGTTATTCATACTGTTTTGGAGCTCTAGAATTAGTAGAAAGTGTCTCAGTATCTATAAGGAAAACAAGATTATAGTCAAAAGTGGCTTTCAGACCTGATTCAGCTATAATTTTTTAAAATTGCATTTGTGTGTTGAAGTTTTACATAAAATATTTTACAGTATTTCTTAAGAAATAAGTAAAAATGATTTCTGGTTTTTCATCTCATCAAAGAAAACTTTTAACTCTGATATAGTATTATTAGTTGTTGTTATTTCATTTTGTTAGTTAAATGTGGGAGCGGTCCTCATGTAATTGGATATCTATTAGAATTCTCCAGCTTCTCAAATTTAGAGTAACTGATTCCATAAAATTGCTCAGCACTGCTTAACCAAGTCTACTATACCAATTAAAACCTTACAGATTAGTAAACTTTTCTGGAGTTGATGGCTTTAAATAATTGAACCTTTCTTTCTGGTAAGGCCCTCCTCTCAGGAGGGAAGGGCCTGAGCTATGAAATAAGTATTTATTTGGATGTTTTTCATATTTCAACCTGACTTTTGACCAACAATAAAAGCTTTGATTTTAATTCTGGCAATATGTTAAGTAACTTACTTGTATTTATGAAGAAGTTAATGATAAAAATTATGTACCAAATAACTTTTGTTATTTCCCCTAAAAATTACTGCCTTTTGAAATAAATGTATGAAATATCTTTTATTTTATCCATCATACTGTTACATGGGACTTTTTTAATGCCATGAATTTTCAAAGTGTCTTTTGTTATAAAACTTAAATAACATTTTTATGAAGTTTAAACAGATAAAAGGAAGAATCTGCAGTATTTTCTGTCTATCAGAGCTATTTGGAAAGGTAATTCTCAAAAGGAAATCATAAAAAGAAAACACAATTGTTCTTTTATAAAGAGTAATTATAAAACTTCACTTATGACTATACCAAGAAAATTGTGGAGTTTAATACTCATGTATTACCTAAAAATATTGGTGCAGATACTTTTAACTTGAATGTTTGCTTAGAACTCTTTCAGTTTTAAAACGATAGCTTTTTTTGGTGTTGTTAAGGAGCTCTCTAGAAACCTTTGATACCAATTCCCTTCCTTTCATCCTAATCAGTGAACACCACCACCTAAAATAAGTCTAGATCACAAAATTGACAAATATTAACTTTGTCCTTGAATAAAAAGTTATAGAAAAACTAAGAAATTATCTCTTTAAGTATAACCTAAAGATAACTTATCAATTCATTTACTGGCATTACCGTTGGTGTAATATAATGCAATGAAATCACAGTGTCTGTACATATTTCCTATGAAATATTTATCAGTTTGACAAAACTGCAGTAAAGTCAGTGTTTTGTGGCTTATATTCATTCCCAATAGAGTTTCATTAAGAGCTACTGACGTAAATTGGCAGTGTTTTTACCGCTGATCCTTATGAGTATATCTAAAATTCTGGCCAGTTTAGAACATTTTTTTTAAATGCATGTACTTGATTTTACTTTATTTTAAAGTCTTCACTGTTATGAATGTTTATACTGTTACTGTAGCTCAGAGCTGATCTATGACTTAAAACCATGAATATATTTTAAAAAATTAAAATATTACTGTGACCAGTGTTCTACTGACCCAGAAGGATACAGGATTGCAGGTTCCATCCAGAGTTTTCATAAAATTTAATCAGCTTGAAGTCTGTGGCCATTTGGAAATATGAATCAAACTCCTCATCTTTGATATTCTAGACCTACATTGCCCTTAGGAGGAAGCACACTGCAGCAGCTTTTCTAGGTTTACCACATTATAAACTTGGATGTTTTAAGTCCTGGAAGTGTCAGTTGATTCTTAGCCAGGCTGTAGGGGGTACCTAACCGTATGGTCTGTTTTCACTATAACAAATTCTGAAGCTAAAAACTGGCTCTGTCACTTTCCCTAGGGGGCCATGGAGGCACCATATGATTATGCCTCCTACTGCTTATTCCTTCACGGTGAGCCAACACCGTAACAACACATAATGCTGTGTTGCTAATAGGGCCTTGTGAATTTGGATAGTGCATGCCCAGGTTATCATCCTTTTCCAACAAACAAAAATTATTTTATTTTTGCTAAGCAATAGGATTACATATAGATGTAAGCATAGACAAAATGCAGTATGTTAGCAATACCAGACACCTTATGATGCCCATATCTTTCAGCAACATGATCTTCCTTGGGTGAGAAAGAAACCTAATGTAGTATAAGTAAAGTTAATAACTTTTTCTAAACATTTTTTATAATAGGAAATAGTCATTTTTACCTATTTGCTGTTTATCATTGAGTGTAGTTCTGTGAATTACATATATTCCTTTGTTTATGCATTTCTCTTAAGTAAACTTTGTATGATTTGCTACAAAATTAGTGAGATTCTGTAATGTGTTTTAATTTTGGTAGGTTTCAAGAAATCCTGAACTGCTTGTTCCAGAATCGAGAAGAAATTAGACAAGAATATCTGAAGTTGGAAATGTTACTTAAAGAAAATGAACTTAAATCATTCTACCAACAACAGTGCCATAAACAAATAGAAATGATGTGTTCTGAAGACAAAGTAGAAAAGGTAATTAACAATTTTATAATTAAATTTTAGAAAGTATAAAAACATGGGGGCTTTTTTTTTTTTTTTTTTTTCAGAAGGAGTCTCTTCTTCTGTTGCCCAAGCTGGAGTGCAGTGGCACAACCTCAGCTCACTGCAACCTCTGCCTTCCGGATTCAAGCAATTCTCCTGCCTCAGCCTCCCAGCTAGCTGGTATTACAAGCGTGCACCACTACGCCCAGCTAATTTTTGTATTTTTAGTAGAGATGATGTTTCACAATGTTGGCCATGCTAGTCTTGAACTCCTGACTTCAGGTGATCCATCCGCCTCAGCCTCCCAAAGTGCTGGGATTACAGGCTGAGCCACTGTGCCCGGCCTGGTGGCGGTGGTTCTAACTCTGGAAATTTTATAGTCAAGGCTACTTACTCACCCATTCTTTACAGACATCTGGAAATGTTGGAGAAAATGTAGCAAACATTTTTTAAAATACATAGTTAAGTGCACAAGAAAGAAATTTTAATTCCTGGATGTCAGTAACAAAAAGGAAATAAACAAAAACAACAGAATCTCAGTTACAACTGTTGTTTTTCTGGGCATTTTATGGAACTTTTAACACGAAGTTTACCCACTCAGGTTAGCCAGTTACTAAAGGTAGAGCAATAGAAGCAGTCTATCCTGGATGCAGGCAGTAGCTTACAACTTAGACCAACAGGAGATTTTTGTTGTCAGAGAAGAATTTTATCACTGAAATTGTTAGATGTGCCAGGGCAGGGGCCTAATGAAAAGCAGACCAAACATTTAATCAGTTTTACTATTTTTTTTAATACAATAATATACTGCCCTCTCCCTTCCAAACACAGACCACTCCCACTCTTCTAACTTTGATTACATCACTACTTAGATAAGAGACCCAAAGGAGACGGTGAGTTAGAAATGAGAGCTCCTATCTAAAGCCTGAAATTTCAGTGGCCTATATCCTTTATACTAGGGGTATACCAGGAAAAAAAAAATTCTTGCCAACCATCACTGTTGGCAAGGATGGTTGCTTTTCTTACCCCAAGTAACCATGCCTGGGGTAAGAAAAAAAAGTCATTTGAACACTACCATTATAGGCTTGCTTTTCACAATGATTGAGGTTTAAATTGTTACAACCCATGTATTTTGTATAGAAAACCCCTAAAGTTGGTCAATTACAATGCACATTATCAAACCAATGATACCACTAGAAAACCTGGCAGAAGCAATGCAAAAATCAGCCTCTTAAGAGAAACAGATTCTCAACTCTAGCCACTAATAAATTCAACTTTCAAAATTACAAAACAGATGGAGAAATAATTCACTCTAGACAAGATTCAGTACTCTTAGCAAATATGACAGAACTCCCAAATCTTTAGATACTAGAGCAATCTAATAGAAAATATAAGAATGAACAAAGATAAAGGAATCAAAGATAAAGACACCACAAAAAAAGAACTTTCAAATATGAGGTAAAAAACACATGAAACTTCCAGAAATTAAAAATTTATTCATTAAAATTAAAAACTCACCTTATTGATACAATATCAGAAAATGTTAAAGCACTTTACATATATTGACTCTTTTTAATTCTCAGAAAACCCCATGAAATATTTAGTAATATTATCCTAATAATCAATGAGGAAACCAAAATACAAGTCATTTTGTCCAAGGTGACACAGCTCCTAGGTGCTGAGTTCTGATTTGATCTGCAGCATGCCAGATCTAGAGCCTGTGCTCTTATGTTTATGCTTTTTTACATGAGCTGGGAGACAGATTTGAGAAAATTACACCAAATGCAGGATAAAGATAACACATGTGGACAAGATGTTGTATAAAGGATAGACTTCATGTAACAAGAAGAAAAGTCATACATGCATCTAATAGGCATTTCAGAAGGAGATATTTAGTGAAAAAGAGCAATATGCAAAAATTTGTGGTTGAGAATTATCTAGGACTAATAAGATGTAAATTCAAGAAGCATGAGTTCTAAGCAGTATAAGATAAATATATACCTAAACGTGTGAAACTACGGAGCACCAAAGATCAGAAAAATAAATATTTTGAAAATACTGACAATTCTCCCCAGTTTCGATATTCATTGGTGATGAGTTTATTTGTATTTTTATGTATTTTATGTAATTTAATTACATAGACATATGATGTTCAAATACTACTTATTAAAAAGCTTTATCTTATAAGTAACAACCCATTCCTCTCAAACTACCACCCCAAACATGTTTTCTTCTTTTCCTACTTTCACAGAAGTAATAATTATATAGAAAAATTTTGCATTTCTTAATGTCCAGAAGCTGTCAGATTTTAAAGAGTGCTTTTCAAAGCTAACATTTTAGATTTTTGTTAGCCTATGAAATGGGAAAGATACGCTGTACCGGAAATTAATCATAAAGCATTCAGTAATGTATCATTGATACCAGTTTGTCAGTAGCTATTAAACTATATTATCAAAATTAGTAATATATTTATTGAGTGTGTGCTTTTTATGCCTTAATGAAATTTTCTTTTCAATTTTGTGTTTTGAGATGCATTTAAGATGTTCCTTGCATTCTTTTAAGGCAGAAAGGAAACAATTTATTTCTTCGAATTTATATCTTGCTGCTATATTTGTACTTTCACTTTCATGAACTTCAAATTGTTGCCAATATTCTTTGATAAATGTAATGACTTCCAAATAACTATCTCATTGGATTAATTTATCAATTTGTTGTTGTGAACTTCTTTCATATGGTTGCTGAACAGAATTCTGGAATAGTACCATATTATATAAGAATTATATATTTTATTTCAAATTTTTAAGATGTTTTTCTTCTTTTCTTTATTTTTTATGTTTATTTTATTTTATTTTTGGAGATAAGGTCTCACTCCACAACTCACACAAACCTCCCAAGTAGCTCAGACTCCCAAGTAGCTGAGACTACAGGTGTCCACCACCATGCCTGGTTTATTTCAATTATTAGCACTTATATTACATAGTAATCTTCAGTGGGTAATAATTCTTCTCAGTTTTGTGTAGATTATATAAGTGTCAATTATTTGAATGTGCAGTTATCTAAGATTTACTTTTTGACAAAAGGCAAGAAATGCAGCCATAGGAAGCTGATATTGACTTAACATCTCAACTTTAACGAAACTCTTATTGAACACTTGTTTACATGTAAAACCCTTGTGCTTGACACAATGGAGGTAAAGAAAGAGAAGTGTTTGTCCTTCAATTATTTACATACTAGTTGGAGCAATAAAAATAATAAAAATGATAAGGCACTATATGCTTGTCATATAAATAGTAATAATAAAAACAGCTGATATTGAACGCTATTTGCCAGACATTTTTCAAAGTTTTTTGCATGGATTAATTAATTTAGTATTTATAACAAGCCTATGAGATAGATCTAATATTATCACCATTTGTGAGGAACAGAGGCACTGAGAACTCAAGTAGGTTGTCTGGAGTTACTTACCTAATTAATGTGGCTGAACCAATATTAAACCCCAGCTGTCTGGCTTCAGAGCCTGCACTCTTAATCACTCTGCTATATTCTAAGTACCGTGAATGCTATAGCTATTCAGAAAAGTAAGCAGTGACTTCCTATTTTTAGTAAGAAGGCTTCCTGGTGGAAAGATGAGATTTGTACTGGGCCTTGCATTTCTATACATATTGTCCAACAAATGTGACTTGCTCTGCTGAGTTTGACCAGAGCAGGTCACATTTGTTGGACAATACGTGTAGAAATGCATAACTATACTCAAAACTTCGTGCCAATTCCCACTCCCTTACCCACAGCAAATTTCACTGATCTGTGGCCATACCTTCTCTCAGAATTTGAAAGTAGCCAGAACCACAATGAATGGACTGGAGTTGGCACATGATGTTAAACATATTTGCCATGTTAGGAATTATTAACAATAGATTGGGAAGGTAGGATATTGGTATAGATTGTGAAATTGTTGGTTGCTAGGAGTCTAAAATCTATTTTTGTAGCCAAAATGCAGTCTTTCAAGCAAGGGAGTAGCATTATCAAAACTTTGAGTTCCATTTTTTAAACACTTGAATATTATTATTTAGTATAATTAATGAGCTTGGACTATGTAATCCCAAAGTAATTTAGATAATTGTTATTTTACTGTCTTAATTCCTCCATTGAATTTTGAATGTGGTTATCTAGAAAGATTAAGACATAGAGTAATAGAATGGGTTTGACTGGTTTTATGGTTTTGTTTTTTTTTTTTCTGTTTTCATCCTTATTTTTCTGCACAGTAGCTTAGACTTTTTTCAACCCAATTGCCTTTTCTGATCTCTTACTTTTGGTCATTTCAATCCTCAGGTTCCCAATTATCATAGCTATTCTTATGAGACTAGGTAAGCAGTGGAGATAAAAACTCTTGAGTTATTGGGTGTAGTTAACCCACTGAAAAACATAGGAAGACATCTAGAGGTTGATTCGTTTTGTTTTTACACAGAAGTGTCAAACTGTAGTATGAGTAAACTGCTTTTCTAAGGCAAGGAATTTTATGTTTTGGATTCTCTCCAATAGAGGTTTGTTATCAGAAGTGCTGAAAGAATCTCATAACATCGATTCAGCTATAAATAGTTCTGGAGTATGGATTTTGAAATTACTATTAAAGGGAAGCTCCTGGGTAATTTCATGACCCCATAAAAATAATCTGTAAGATTGTTTTTAATGTAAAAATATGAATTTACCATATTAGCAATTATTTTACACAAAGCAGTAGTAACAACTAAAATTGTAGAATTATGTTTGTTCTCTCGCAAGACTTTTGTGGTGTGCAGGGGATTTTGTTAATGAAATATGTAAAGCTTTTTTAAAACTTAATGGGAAACATTTCACTCTAATGTCAGGGTTTAACATGCATATTTTAGAATGTATTCCCAAACACTTACTTGCCATTTTAGAGCAATGGGTGGTGGTAGTATTCTGATGGAAAATGTCCTCTGAGAACCATCACAGAGGATACATTTGATGGACATTAGAAGTAAAAAGTCATAAATGGACTTTTTGAGGTTTCATTTAGGATTTTCTGATATTAAATATTGCTGCCACCAGACCCACATGCCCTGGTTTCTAAGAGTCCCTACGACTGTAAATGCTAAAGCAAAATAAAGATGATTTAATTAGCTGCCTGCCTTCAGTTAGGTACAATATTTTCATCTTCATTTTTCAGACGAAGTAACTGAAGACCCACTAAAATCTGTTTGCCTAAATTTTTACATCTGCTGAATAGCAGAGAAAAGTCAATAGGTCACACCTCCCACCTTCTGTTATAGCAGTGGCTCTAAACTTCAAGTTTCAGGACCCCTTTCTGCTTTTAAAAATTATTTAGGACTTCAAAGAGCTTTTGTTTATATGTATTCCCTCTACCAATATTTCTATATTAGAAATTAAAACAGATTTATAAAAATATATTTATGCATTGATTCATTTTAAAATAAATAATATTAAATAATAGCTTAATTGTAAATAATAAAAATTATATTAATAAAATATAATAAATAGCAATAAATTATAAATAATTAAATGTTAAATAATAATTAAAATAAAAATTATGTGTGGTTACATAAATAATTTTATTTTCTCAAAAATAGTGAAAATAGAAGAGTGGCGTTGTTTTACATGTTTGCAAATTTCTTTAATGCCTGGCTTTTCATATCAGCTCTATTCTCATAACTGCTGAATTGTTATTCTGTTGTGATGTTACACATCATTTAGCCTCTAGAAAACTACTGTGCAACTAACTGTATGAGCAAACAAGAATTTTAAAAGACTAATAACATTTTCCTGATATTATAAAAATGGTTTTGATAGTTTTAACCTTGTGAACTCTCTGAAAGGATCTCAGGAATCCTTAGGGGTCCCTGTACCATGCTTGGGTAACCTTTGCATGATAGCATTCTTTTTTTAGTTTTTGCTGTCAGGGTCTCACTTTGTTGCCTAGGCTAGAGTGCAGTGGCACAATCATGCAGTCATGGCTCACTGCACTGCAGCCTCAACCTCCCGGACTCAAGTGATGCTCCCACATCAGCCCCTCCACCCCACCAAGTAGCTGGAACTACAGGCACATGCCACGAAACCAGCCTAAATTTATTTTTTAATTTTTGTGTGGAGACACGGTCTCTCTATGTTGTCCAGGATGGTCTTGCACTTCTGGCCTCAAGCAGTCCTCCTGCCTCAGCCTCCCAAAGTGCTAGAATTACTGGCATGAGCCACCATCCCAGCCTGCATTGTAGCATTCTGTCACAATTCTCATCCTAGCGCTGTGGTCAGTTTGATGGGTTACATTTTGTTTTGTTTTCTCTTCTTGACTATCCAGGTTTTTGTTTCTTTGAGACATTTGTTTTGTTTTTGTTACTGTCTTACTGTGACAGACAGAGACTAGGATATTATAATTAACCAGAGAAGCCATAAAAAAGAGTCAGGAACCTTAGTGAGAATGACGGTGGCTATCAACTATTTTTCCCTTATCTATGACTCTAGCCTGAAATGGAATCTGCTTCTCTCTGACTCTTGTATTTCCCTTGAGGGGAAGGTAAGTAAAATTTTATGAATATCTAAGATTTGGTTATGACTTCATGATAGCCACCTTTGCCTGACCTTAAATCATTTATAAGCTCATATCCTCTATCCAGATGAAGATAACCATATTTTTCTATTATATGCCCAAGTCTCAATAGTACATCTTTTGTCAAAATTAAGAGATATTTATCTCCCAAAGAGGGGGAGTTCTTCGACCAAATTCAAATCTAGTTTCTGCTCTTCTTTTTTTTGATTTCCTGCTTCCAGAACCAGCTGCAAATGCTTATTTTAACCTTTGGGGATCCACTGTTTCAGGTCTACCCATCCTATCTGATAATTATTGACTTTAGTGTCTGTGGGCAAATACCCCAGAGACGTCAAGATGTTCTGGCCCATTGTTTTCATGATAGTGTGCAAGACCCTTAGGGTAAGAAATCAAAGACTAATTTTAATTTCAATTTGTGCCTAGGTAAAACACCAAAAATATTTTGAATACTCATTATGGCTCCTGAACCAAGCTACAGGCAAGATCAGATACTGATAAGCACTCTGATATAAGCTCTTTTTTCTGTGATTTATATCAGCCAATTTGAGGCCTTATAGGCAAACACAGAACAATAGAACACATTATTTCTTCACATCAAAGACAAGAGCAATATATGCATCTGCTTTGATTTTGAGTAAGGAGATCATGGAATGTATCTGACCTTGTATGAACTTTTCAAATGAAACATACTGAAGGGACTGTACTTTAACGCCAAAAAAAAAAAAAGTTATAGTCTTTGATTTGGTCGTTGTATTTCTTAAAGCCATAAACTCTCAACCTGTAATTTTATAAAAATGACTCACAGCTCAATTTCCTATTTTCTTGCAAGCAGTAGTATTCTGAGATTTCAAGGGGGAAATAGCTTTAAATACAAAAATGTAGCCTAACTTAATTTACTACAATAGTACACATAAGAAAATATACTAGTTTACTAATATCATGTACATCAAATATCATAAAAATTAGATTTACTGTTAAATGAATCGTGTTTCAGGCCACTGGAAAACGAGATCATAGACTTGCAATGTTGAAAACTCGTCGCTCCTACCTGGAGAAAAGGAGGGAGGAGGAATTGAAGCAATTTGATGAGAATACTAATTGGCTCCATCGTGTCGAAAAAGAAATGGGACTCTTAAGTCAAAACGGTCATATTCCAAAGGTACAAATATCTCTGTATGTTCAGATTTAATTTGTAGGAACTGAGCTCCTAAAATGTGTTCTTTTTCTTATTGAGTAAATGTCTTTCATAAGACAACTATTATTGCCTCATAACTCTGAGATTTAATTTACTTTTAAATGTTATTTCTAAGTGATTGCATCCTTTTATAAGGTAGCTTTTAGGTTAAAATAAACAATTCTATTTCAACCTGCACTTGAGGATTCATTATGTAGGTAATTTGTTTGAAATCTTGATATTTTATGCAAAAATAGTTTAAATGAGGTCAACATTAAATGTGTTATGGTTAAAGAAAGTTGATTTGAAAGGGGGTGTGTGTGTGTAACTGAAGATATTCCACCTTAGAATGGCAAAAGGTTTTATTTTTGAAGTGTAGTGATGGGTAATGACAGTATCATATTAGAATTATGTTCTGCTACAAGGTTGCAGTAGTCTAACTTTAGTGCCTTAACTAGTGTGGGCTGTCTTTTGTTCTCTTAACAATAAGTCTTGGAAGTATGCAGTTCATTTCTAATGCAGTACCTTTAAAATGTCATTATCGTGCTTGTCGTTTCATGATTGTAATATTACTGTTTCATATCTAGTCTCAAGTTTACACACCTAAGCCAGAAGAAGAGGAAAGAAAGGAGGAGGGATGTCTATATCAGGAGAGCAAAGATGTTTCCAAAAATTCCTAACAGACTAATGTATTGGCTAGAAATATGTCACATGGCTATCTGTAGATAGAAGACACTCTGAAAAGATTGTCTTTTTTTTTTTTTGCATAATTACTCTGAACAGTATTGGAGCTCCCTTTTTTTTTTTTTTAACTTTAAGTTCTGGGATACATATGCAGAATGTGCAGGTTTGTTACATAGGTATAGATGTGCTGTGGTGGTTTGCTGCACCTATCAACTCGTCATCTATGTTTTAAGCCCGGCATGCATTAGGTATTTGTCCTAATGCTCTCCCTCCCCTTGCCCCCTACCCCTGACAGCCTCTGGCATGTGATGTTCCCCTCCCTGTGTCCATGTGTTCTCATTGTTCAACTCCCACTTGTGAGTGAGAACGTGCAGTGTTTAGTTTTCTGTTCCTGTGTTAGTTTGCTGAGAATGATGGCTTCCAGCTTCATCCATGTCCCTGCAAAGGACGTGAACTCATTCTTTTTTATGGCTGCATAGTATTGCATGGTATATATGTGCAATATACCTTTTCTTTATCCAGCCTATCATTGATGGGCATTTGGGTTGGTTTCAAGTCTTTGCTATTGTAAATAGCACTGCAATAAACATATGTGTGCATGTGTCTTTATAGTAGAATAATTTATAATCCTTTGAGTATATACCCAGTAATGGGATTGGAGATCTCTTAATAAGAAAGAAGAAGAAAGTAAATGTGGGCTAAGCAACTAGGAGCAACTGCTATGAAATAACTAATTTTCACCCAAATACTTAATAGTTTAAAAGAACAACTTCTTTTCAGTCTTTTTCTAAAAGAAAAAATATCTACAGTCTCTACTTTGGTGATGCTCTTCTGAAATTCTATAACTCTGTATCAGCTAATTGATATGGAAACTTCTAAAATCTTTGAATTCCTAGAAAGGCACCAGACAGAAAATACAGGTGAAGGAAAATATGAAATATTTACCAACAAATGCCAGAGATCTTTAAATGTTCAAAAGTACTAATTTTTTTATAATTCAAAGATACTAGTCAATGCATTATGACTGGGGAATGGATTCTCTGATGGGCTAGCAATGGCTGTAAATGATTATTCTGTTAATATGGAAGCTCAGACATGACTGGAGAGAAAAGACTAGCAGTAGTAGTTAATGATGACAGTTCAAAGTAGTGAAAGGAGCAAGCAGCAGATATCCTGTTTCCTAAGAAGGAAACCAAAGACAGTATTTCCTTATTGTGGATATTTATTGAGCCAACAATTTAATCTGCACCTCAAAATATCTTGATAAAAGCATACCAGTCAGTTAGTTAAGTAGATTAGGACATTAAACATAGAATACAGCACATTCTAGTAATATTTTGCAATAATATAACTTAGTTTGTAAGGCACTTTAAAATATTCCCCACAAAAATAATGTAAACATTGGGAAAAGGATAGACTTTGGAGTTGGAGTGTTTGGTAATTCTGGCATATAGTAGTTGTTTTGAATAACAACTCTAACAATAATTATATGACTTTGGACAGTGTGTTTAACATTGATGTCTTAATTTGTCATCTGTAAATGTATTTAAGATATTATGAGCTTAAGTGGAGTGCTACATTCAAAACCTAGCAACACTTAACAAATAATAATGGATGATAAATAATAGTTTAATACTATTCTAAGCAACAATAGCATAGACATCAATATCCAAGCAAGTTGTACAAAGAAAAGTGTACATAGTTAACAACAGAGTTAACTGCATCATATAATATAATATAATATAATATAATATAATATAATATAATATAATATAATTTCTCTTCCAGAACAATGATTCTGACCTTTTTGGGGGTCATAGATGCCTTTGAGAATCTGTTCAAAGCTGTGTAGATTTTCTTCCAGCTGGGAGATTGGGGAGGTCAAATTTATACAATTTTGCATATTTCCTAAGTCATTGGGTTTCCTAAAGCCCTTCCATTGACACAAGATTAAGAATATCTACTTCAGAAGGAAACTATAGCACGTTTTTTTTAAACGTTGTGTCCATCTTAAGATGATATAATGACTCAAAAGGAGTAAGCAAAAAAAGACAAGATTCATTAATAAACTATAATATAAGTTAGCTAGGATCAGAGGATATAACTTCTGAAATTCCATATAAAGCCATAGAGGCTCATCATAGAATGCAACAGGCTCTATCACAGTGCCTGTAGGAATACTGAAATATGGTTATGTTGTTGATAAAATCACTTCAAAGAAAACAGCTGGATAACCCTGGCCAAATGAGTGTTTCTCATTTAATACACAAGAGTTGATTCTCTTGGATTGGTAGCAGGTGTGGAATGTTGACAGTACTTTTCAGTTTATTTCACTTATTATTTAATAGTTTATTTGGAGACTGTATATCTAAAGCAGTCATATTCTCAAGATTATCATTTTCTAAACTACATAAAACTAAGTCTTTTGGTTAGTATTAAACTTTGACCTCATTTAAAATTAACTACTGAAGCTTCCTTAATTTGTTTGTTTACTTATGGCTGTGATATTCTCATAGATTATTTACCCCTTATAGTTGGCAAAAATTTTCTCAAGAAGAGTCTTGAAACAATTTTTTGTGTGTAGTAAAATATAAAATAAAATTTACCATCTTAACCATGTGTACATATACAGTTCAGTGGCATTAAGTATATTCATTAAAAATTTTAAATATGTTTGTGTATATAAGTTTTAAATGATATTGCTAGAGTATTTTCACCTCTCAAGATCCTAACTTAATTTACATTATGCTTGTATTATATGTTTGTCCATGTAATCAGCATTCCAACTACAGAAGTACTAAGAACTTATGAAGTATTAAGCAGGCAAAAAAGTCGATTGTAGAAATTTACTAGTTTGCCTTTTCTATCCCACATTACCGTAAGCTTCCAATTTTAAAAATGGTATGGTATTGTTTCTGATATCATTATTATCGCTATTTTGTGTTTGCTTTTTTGTCTACTTAGTAGTGTTTATGAAGTTAATCAATATTGTCTGGATTTTTAATAAATTAAAACTTTTTCAATATGGTCAAATCTAATTTTTCTAGCAATCTGTCTTCTAGATTTCTCTTACGAAGAACTTTTGTACACCTGAATGTGAACCTGGAATTGATTTTTGTATCTTTGATTTTTATGCATTTTATCACAAATAACTTGAGCAAATAAAATTAAAACCATTTTCATTGCCATCACCCAAATCTAACCCTCAATTCTTTTTTGTGCAGATATTTATAGCTGAAAAAATAGCTGAGAAAATTATCTAGTTATAAGCCATTATTTTTTACATAAGCAAATTGAGACATAACTTTACGATAAAGGGACTTATCCAAGGTCACACAACTCTGGACAGATACCCAGAACTTCTGACTTTCAAATTGGTGCTGTTTTCTCTGTACTCTCCTGCATTATTTACTCTTCAATATTCTGAATCTATCCACTTCTCTTTATGCCCCTCTGCTGCTATCCTAATGCAGACTCCTATGCCCCATTATTGGACTGCTACGTTTGGTCCTTCTGCTTTCGTTCATGTTCTACTGCAATTCATTCTCTCCACTGCAACCAAAGCAAGTTTTTAAAACGCAAAACTGATCTTGTTGTTCTTCACTGCCTTCTCCCTAGAATAAATTCTCCATTGTGATTTACCAAGCCTAGCATGGTCTGGCACCTGAATACTTCTCAAGGCTTGTATATCACCTTTCATTATACTCTATACTTTAGCCATTACTGGCCTACTTATAGTTCTCAAAATAAGCCATGTTCTTCCAATCAGATTTAGTCATTAGTATGTCAAGAAAGACTTAAATTGTAAACTTGATTTTCCAAAGTTAACAGGCTAGCCAAAGACCCATTATTACTAATACAATTATACAATCAAGTCTTGTCTCTTTAAAAGAATGACTCAAGAAGATAAAGGAATAAGATTATCAGAGGATGTATATAAAGGAGGGATTGTTTTTTCTTTATACTTTAAGTTTTAGGGTACATGAGCACAACATGTAGGTTTGTTACATAGGTATACATGTACCATATTGGTTTGCTGCACCCATCAATTCATCATTTACATTAGGTATTTCTCCTAATGCTATAAGGAGAGATTTTTTTAAAGGAAAAAAGATGCAATATGTGGCAAACATGTTCACACTATTATGATCATCCAATTTTCTAACTAGTAATAGAAAGAACTGAAGAGATCATCTGATCCAGCTCTTAAATTTTAGTCAAGTAAACTGATCTCCATAAAGGGCATATATTTGGCTTAAGGTGACATTTGTTTCAAGGCTAAGCCCGTCTCTAAAATCACATGACTCTAGCCGTATCGTCCTGCCTCCATAAAGATAAATTTTTTTCTAAAACATTTGCTATATTTCTTGAAGTATAATGAATTATATAAATAACTCCTAACTTTAATATATAAATATACTATATTTCTTGAAGTATAATGAATTATATAAATAACTCCTAAATTTAATATATCCTAACTTTAATATATATAAATAACTCCTAACTTTAATATATAAATAGGATGAGTGACATTGTTCTCTGTCATAGTCTCAATAACTGGCATTGGAAGTACTTTCTAAAAAGGAGAAAAATAACTTTGACATTTTAGAAAATTATTGGTCAACTGCAGATTGGAAAGGAGTTTTATTAAATTTGATTTATTAAAATTATTTTATTAAAATTGATTTAATCTTAATATTCTTTAAAAGAATCTGAAGAATACTTTGCATTGTTTCCACTCGCTAAAGCTAAGATGGATTATGAGAATTGTCCCTAGGAGGAAGTTTCCAGTTTCCAGGCATAGCTCCCCTGCATATGGGGTTCCTGTCTTAGCCATTCAAAATGTCCAAAGAATTTAAATTTTTTTCATTGTATTGTTTGAAATTTTTCCAATAAAATTTCTGAGAATGTTACTAGATTATCACCATTTATACTTTGGTGTAATCCCTTCGCTGATATATTCTGTAGATAAGGTTTAGTAGGTTTAAGGAAAGACAAGTAACTTTAGGTGGTAGATTACAGGACACCTGGCCCTAGACAGATGAGGCTTAGGAAAATGGAGCCTGCAAAAAAACATTTTCACACTTTTGCCTAGGATGGAGCTAATATCAAGAGTGGGTCTCAAGTCTTGTCTCTTTAAAAGAAGAAAGATTCAAGAAGATAAAGGAGATTATGAGAGGATGTATATAAAGGATATTTTTCTTTTAAAGGAGAACAGACGTAATATTTGGCAAACATGTTCACACTATTAGGATCATTTAATTTTCTAACTGGAAAGGACTGAAGAGATCATCTGATCCAGCTCTTAAATTTTAGTCCAGTAAACTGATCTCCATAAAGGCTGTATATTCAACTTAAGGTAGCATTTGTTTCAAGGCCTTATAAGCCCATCTCTAAAATCACATGACTCATAGGCCAGTGCTCTAACCATGTCATCCAACCAAAGGTGATATCAACCATATGATCTTTTGTTTCATGCAAAAACAGAAATTTTTATTGCACACAACTCAAGACTTTGTACACTGGGGCTTTAACACTGAACTAACCTGACTCGGTGCCTGTCCTGGTGGTAAACTATATGTTCTGGTGTGAACAGAGAAATTATAAATAAATGAATACATCAATGAAATTGTTACTCATCAATAGAGTAAATGCTATGACAATATTGAGGGGTGGAGAGTGTCTATCCAAATACAATGCTCAAGGAAAGCCTTTCTGAGGAAGTGACATTTAAGCAAAAACTGGTCATATTTATGTATTTTTACAACATTGTGAACAAGTTGGATAGACCAAGAAGCTGTCATCATAGTAAAATTTCTTCTGAATTCCTAACATTCAGTTTCTGAGGAAACATGAAAACTTATCTTGCTTGTAAATTATAGACCACCTTTTCCAGAACTCTTATTTTTCAAATTGTTTCTAAACATATTATTTAATATCTAAAAAGAATTAAAACTATTGGCAACAATATAAAATTATTAAACTGATTTAATTTCAATATTCTTAGAGTGATCTGAAGTACATTTTGTATTGTTTGCCCTAGGAACTCAAGAAAGATCTTCATTGTCACCATTTGCACCTCCAGAACAAAGATTTGAAAGCACAAATTAGACATATGATGGATCTAGCTTGTCTTCAGGAACAGCAACACAGGCAGACTGAAGCGTGAGTACATACATTTACCTATTTTCCAATTTTAACACTATATCTGAAGCACAGAAGTTCAATTTTCCACTGCCAGAAAGTTGAGTTTTATGTGTTACAGGATACATTATTTTTAAGTGTCTGTCTGAACCAGAAAACATTAAGAGAGTTATTTCCTTCCAACAAAGTTTTTACATTGGTTTATAAATTTGAAAGTGTTTTTCTTTAAAAGTATGTTACTTTTACTTAATATATGCTATGTAATACAAAATTTCATAAGTACCTACACACATTGAAAAGAAATCTGCCTTCTACCTCTATCTTCTAGCCATCCATTTCTCCACTTAGAAGCAATTGCTGTTAACATCACTTGAATTTTTAAGTAGGCAATTGTTAATTATTCATAATTCCAGAATTTTTTGCTGTCATTACAGTGAAGTTGCTAAATATCAGGTGTCCTGATTTTTATGTGATGCTATAACAGACCTTTTATGTTCTCTCTTCTAGCTCAGTAGTAACATTAGTCATTTAGTTTTTAAAACATAATAATAAAAAGTATGGCTTAATCTTTTTTTTGTCACATTGGATACGTCAGTCAACTCCTTAGGCATCACTTTGATGTTCCATGCAAATGGGATATTTATTTCTCTAAGTGCTTTCTGCTACTCTAAGAATCTATTCATGTTCTACTGGTATGCTCAAATAACTGATAATTATCTTGATTTAGAGGAAATCATATTAGTATAGCTTTTTTTAAAAAAGAAAAATGAAAAACTTCAGGGAGTTACTCTTATGTGGATGGAAGTTCAGACTAATCTCTTTATACTTTCTGTGTCTATTCCTAGAGCAGATATTGAATATTCATTTACTAACACTCAAACCACTTACAAGAGCTGAAGTCATCAAGAAACAATAATTTCTTTTAACCATATTACATTTGCTATATCAGACCCCAGATGAATATACTATCTTAAGATAAACATTTACCTTAAAATGGGGGGAAAAAGACTAACTCAACAATTTAGAAAACTGGTGAACCAGAGGATCACAGAGGAAATGTAGCATAGAAGAAAGAGGATGAGTTTTGGAATCAATCTTGAATTCTAGCTTATATGAGCAATATAACCTTACGCTGATTATTTAGCTTTGCTAAGCTATAGTTTTCTTATATAAAAATAGATTATAATACAGTTCATATAAAGGTTATGAATAGATTATAATACATTTCATATAAAGTTTTTGAAAAGATTAAACATAAAAATAAATAACATGATATAATTCCTGTGTTATAGGTGCCTAGGACTACTTTCAGGTTCAGTGATTCATTAGGAGGACTCACAGGACTCATCAGATAGTTGTATTCTTAGCTGTGCTTTATTTCAGCAAGAGGCTACAAAGCACATTCGGCAAAGGGAAAAGGTACAGGGCGCAAAGTCTGCAGGAACCCTGACACAGAGTTTCAAGAGTCTTCCTCCAGTGGAATCACACAGAATGTGCACAATTCCTCCAGCAAAAAGTTGTGGCAGCACATGTGAAATGTTCTCTGCTTTGGAAGCTCTTTTGAGTTCCATGTCCCAGGTTTTTATTGGGAGCTGGTTGCATAGGCACTTTCTGCCAGGATGTATCAAAATTCCAGACTTTTCAAAAGGAGAGAAGGTGTTTTAGCATAAACCACATTGTTTGTGCAAACAGTTTAAGCACAGTGAGCCACTCTTGTCATATGAGTTCTGGAAATGCTGGGAACCCTCCTAAAATCCATATTTTAAAATACCAGCCAGGTATCAACCTTATAACCAAGCCTTTCTTAGCAGTGTCAGACCTACTATGATAACTTTCCTGCACAGTACCTGATTAGTGTAGATGCTAAATAAGTAATTGTTTAAATGACTTTGATTAATAACTTTTTCTTGTACTTGTTACCTACTTGACTTAAATGCAGCACCCTCCAGCCACCCCCACCAAAAGGAAAAAGGTCACAATTTCTTGTGCTGCTATTGAAATATTTAAGACTTGTAGGTTAAAAGGTGGTATTTCTTTGTGTATGAAAGTGAATGCCCGATTAGTCTTTTCCCACTACCCTATCCATACTTCTAATGGTTCTCTTCTCCTCGATGTTATGAGTCAACTGGAACATCATCTATTGATGGACTCAGGATTCCAGGACTGAATCATTTCAAGATCATTCATGTTGTTAGACATATTTCTTTATAGAAAATTTGGGAACCACTGATTGAGTGTATAAATTTATAACTGTTTAGCTGTGACATTTCTTCAATGAACACTTACACAGAGGTCTGATACACAAAAAATTACATTCGGTGCTGCTGTAATTGTTGCTAATAAGGGAGATTTTGAGTTAAAGCCGTGAATCCAGTGCCCTAACGATTATTTATACTCCCCATCCTTATCCACAACTTTTCTCCTTAAAATCCCTTTAAGTGCCATTCCAAAAGCCATTTCTTTAGGTCATTTAACTTAAAGGAGAGGTAGGTTTTGTTATTTTGTTATGTGTTTGTGTGTGTGTGTGTGTTTTAATGTTGTATACCTAAAATATGTCTCATCATTTCACATAGTATATTAATTTTTCATTTCAATTTTATGATAATTAGTAGCAGTAACAACATCTGTAGTTTGGAAATCACATTATGTTTTGCAAAAAGCTTTTATGTACATTTAATTCATTTAGCTAGGGACAGTGGCTCATCCCTGTAATCCCAGCACTTTGGGAGGTGGAGGCAAGAAGATCTCTTGAGGCTAAGTGTTTGAGACCAACCTGGACAACATAGCAAGACCCCATCTCTACCAAAAAATAAAAAAATTAGTCAGTGTAGTGGCACACATCTGTGGTCCCAGCAACTTGGGAGCCTAAGGTGGGAGGATCAAGTGAGGCCAGGAGTTCGAGGCTGCAATGAGATGATCATGCCACTACACTCCAGCCTGGGCCACAGAGTGAGACCCTGTCTCTAAAAAATAAATAAACAAATATACTTAACTCATTTAGCCCTCAAAGCAATCTCCTATTATAAGTAGTGGCTATTTATCTGTCCCTCACATTACAGAGGAAAAACTTCAGTTTTTGCCTTGTCCAAGGTCATATGGAAGCAAGTGAAGACAATCTGAGACTAGAACTCAGTTCATACATGGGAAATTATTTTAATGATATGCTAATGCTTTGGGTGTTACATAAAAGAACTAAAATAATGTGTTTAAAATGTCATATTTATCTCTCCTTTCTTCTCATCTTCTGTATATAGAGTATTGAATGCTTTACTTCCAACCCTAAGAAAACAATATTGCACATTAAAAGAAGCCGGCCTGTCAAATGCTGCTTTTGAATCTGACTTCAAAGAGATCGAACATTTGGTAGAGAGGAAAAAAGTGGTAGTTTGGGCTGACCAAACTGCCGAACAACCAAAGCAAAACGATCTACCAGGGATTTCTGTTCTTATGACCTTTCCACAACTTGGACCAGTTCAGCCTATTCCTTGTTGTAAGTATAACTTTCGTTTTAAGTAAATAGTAACATTATTTCTAAAGAGAACCTTTGTATATCAATCTATAGAACAGTTAATTTTAATAGGTTTGTCTATTTTATGAAAATTAATGGGAAAATTAGCTTTATAGTCATTTCAATTAACCAGTATCTTCCAAAGATCTAGAACAAGTATGCATTGATGTTCTATATAACTCTAGCAGTAAAATTCATTTTACAACTCTTTTCTTTTTTTTTTTTTTTTTTTTTTTTTTTTTTTTGGTGACAGGGTCTCACCCTGTTGCCCAGCCTGGAGTCCAGTGGTGCAATCAAAGCTTGCTGCAGCCTCCACCTCCTGGGCTCTAGCAATCCTTCCACTTCAGCCCCACAAGTAGCTAGGAATTACAGGCATGCACCACCACTCCTGGCTTTTTTTTTTTTTTTTTTTTTTTTTCCTGTAGAAACAAAGTATCACTGTTACCCAGGCTGACCTCAAACTCCTGGGCTCAAGCAGTTGTCTCCCCTGGCCTCCCAAATTGCTGAGATTATAGGCATGAGCTGCTGTGCCTAACCCATTTTATCTATTTTTGATGGAACAATTTTGCTTCCCATCCTTCTTTAAAATGTAACCTCTATTAAGGGCAGGAAATTATAATTAATCATATCATATTTTATGATAATAATCTGTTCTTAAGATCAACTAACAGTGTAGAGTTTACTATTTTTCTATTGACAAATCACTTGATATTTCTCTTTCTCTCATAAAAGTATGTGTGAGACATTTTAATTGCAAAGCTAACATATAATCTTAGTTAAGAAAAAAATTCAGACAATGTAGAAGAAAAGAAGTAGACTGCCACCTTCAACTCTTCTCAGAACCTCAATTTTATGCCCTATCTCAGAGATTAAATGCTGTTAAATATTTATCTTTGCAGTATGTGTGTAATACACATGTATTACATAAAGCTTTTTGTTAGGTTTCACGTGAATGCTAGCACATTACACATAGTGACCTGCAACTTTTTTGTTTAGTTTATTATGTTTATTGGTTTTATTTGTTTATTATGAACATTTTTAGGGTGCATACATGAAGAATCTACCTCATTTTTTTATTGTTTTTGAGAATCCAGAGAATAGATGTACCATAATTTAATTAACCTTTTTTCTATTAGTGAACAGTACATCAGAGAACACATCTGTGTATTCACATTTGTGCGTGCATAGCAGAATCCTAGAAGCTGATTTGCCAGGTTAAAGGACATATCATTTTTTTTTTAATGCATCATGTTAAACTGCTTTTCATAATTTTTTTCTGTACTTAGTACCCATGAGAGTAACTGTTTCATCTTTACCTAAACCAAAAATAGTAACAACAGCAATAATAATGCATAGTCTTTTTTGTTTTGTTTTTTTTGTTTTGTTTTGTTTTGAGACCGAGTCTCGCTCTGTCACCCAGGCTGGAGTGCAGTGGCGCGATCTCTGCTCACTGCAAGCTCCGTCTCCTGGGTTCACACCATTCTCCTGCCTCAGCCTCCAAAGAAGCTGGGACTACAGGTGCCCGCCATCATGCCTGGCTAATTTTTTGCATTTTTAGTAGAGACAGAGTTTCACCATGTTAGCCAGGATGGTCTCAATCTCCTGACCTCGTGATCCATCCACCTCGGCCTCCCAAAGTGCTGGGATTACAGGCGTGAGCCACCGCGCCCAGCTGCATAGTCTTTTAAAATGTGTAACTCTCAGATTATCGATGAGGCCAATTCATCCCCTGTCAGGTATCCTTTGCTCATTCACACTAGTGGAAATTTTTGTTTATTTGTTATGGGTTTGAGGGGCTTTTTGTTTGCTTGGTTTTTTACTTGGCACTTCGTATCTAATAACTCTTTGTTCATTTGGTGCTGCTTTTTTTTATATATATGTTGAGCAATAATTGATCAATTTATTGGACTTTTAACTTTTATATAGTCAAATCTGCCTATATTTTCCATTATGGGGAATTTTCTTGGGATCTGGTGTTTATTAGCCCCTCACTCCCAACTAGAGTCCATTTTTCTTATGTGAGCTAAATGTGTGCTGGGACATTTGGCTCAAATGTGTCCCAGCACACATTTAGCTCACCTAAGACAAATAGACAAATAGTTGGGAGTGAAGGGCTAATATGTAAGACCTTATTCACAGAGAATAATAGTCTGTTGAAGTCAGATTTTATGTTAAGTGTTGCCCCTCTGAATACAATCTGTCTTCTGGCTTATTGAAATATTTCCTCAGTCTTTGGCTTGTAATAGTTTTATTATGTTATGCCTAGTTGACTTTATTTTTACTTCTCTTAAGTGGGTTCCTGACTTTCTGAATTTGTTTCTGCATTATCTTTTGTTTGTTTTGGAAAATTCTTAACCATTATCTCCTCACCTATTGCTTTTGTCACTTTTGCTCTCTCCTCTACTTCTGGGACTCCAATTATATTGCATGGCACTTTCCCATTGTATTGTCTATGCCCTTTACTCTTTTGCTTTTAATGTTTTTTTCTCTTCCTGGATAATTTTGTTTCTCACATTCTTCAGTTTACTTTCTTTTTTCAGCTTTATCAAATGATCCTTAAATCCATAAAATTTTTAATTTCAGTCGCTATATTTCCAATTCTGGAATTTCCATTTTATTCTTTTTTATAGTTTCATATCTTTGCAAAAATTGTTATTAAGCACAAAGGGTATAATTATAGTCAGCCATCCATATTCCATGGGTTCTGCATCCATGGATTCAACCAACTAATCAAAAAAAAAAAAAACATGGATGGTTTCATCTGTACTGAACATATAGACTTTTTTTGGTCATTATTCCCTGAACAATGCATCATAACTATTTACATAGTATATATATATAGTATTAGGTATTGTAAGTAATCTAGAGATTATTAAAGCATATGGGAGGATTGTATAGGTTGTGTGCAAATGCTGTATTATTTTATATATAAAGGATATGAGCATCCATGAATTTTAGTATGGTCATGCAACCTATCCCTCACAGATACTGAGAGACAACTATAATTTAAAGTCTGTGTCTGAGAATTCCAAAGTCTGTAACCACTGGATCTGTTTAGACTGATTTTCTTGCATGTGGTCTTAATTCCTCATATGCATGCAAATTTTTTGTGTGCCAGTCAGGTATTTGCAAAATTATTTGCAGAATATTTTGATGCATCTGATCATGATATTAAATATCTCAGAGAATATTTACAGTTCCTTCTTTCATATTCTAGGTAGCATTAGCAATTCAGAATCACCTCAGTCCTATTTCAGAGACTGAGGTAATTTGATACTAAACTGTAGTTTCCTGAGGTCCTGCCTATTTCTGATTTGCCCTCTACAGTATAGCTGTTCAGAGTCCCAACTCAAAGCAAGGAAGATTTACAAAGATCCTAAATTCCAGTTCCAGCACCCTATTCCCCCAAAGCTCTTAGCACTGTTGCTATGCTTTTCTGCCAGCTCTTCCAGCATAAGCAAACAACCTCAAGGGGAAATTAGCTGAAATTGCAGAAATTACTTTCCTGAGCCTCCAGCTTCCTCCTGATACTCACCTGTAATTTTTCACCATCTTATTAATAATCCAGTGCCTTCAAACAGATGTTTTTTATATTTTGTCCAGACTTTTAGTTGCCTTCAGAAGAAAGGTTGGTCTGAGTTATCTCCATCTTTATTATTAGCAGAAGTTCCCTATATTATACCTTTACATTAAGAAAATACGGAAGTTGGATAGATTATCTTAAAACATATATATTGTATATACACATATGTATTCTTTTTCTTTTAATAAAGCATTAGACCTGACCTAGTTGTGATCTCTGGAAAGCAAAACTTAAGTTTTTTTCAGATTCTCTCATACCTTTCGGGCATGATTCATTTTTTATAATGTACTCAAGATGTTAGAAAGGAAATAGGATTTTAACACCAAGATTGAGAAATACTGACCACCTGCTATATGATGCTCATTATTCCTTATTTAAAAATCTATATTTCACATACAGTATAATTGCACAGACTATACTTGTCAACAATAAAACAAAAGAATTTACTTGACTCTTAATTCCTTCTCATGATATTTTTGAAGGAAAGACTTGAAGCCATGTTACATTTTATAATTAACGTGTTTTCTCTTGAACACATATTAGAAGGTGAGTTTTGTTTTTATAATGTTTTGTTCTTGGTTCGTTACTTTACTATTTCATTCAAATGATTTTAGAGATCAACTATTTATTTATTATGTATTTTCCATTTCATGAATTATGTATGTTGTATACATGACTAATAGTGTCAAGGAGGAATAATAGGAACGGTGTTTATAAGTGAGTTCAAGTGCCTTAGGGACCTTTAAAAGTATTTACTAGATTAACTATATTCTTTTTACTTAAATACACACACATGCAGTGCTTTTAAGAATCTGGGCCAGGGACAGTGGCTTACGCCTGCAATCCCAGTATTTTGGGAGACTGACGCAGGCCGATCGCTTGAGTCAGGAGTTCAAGACCAGCCTGAGCAACAGGGCGAAACCCTGTCTCTACAAAAAATACAAAACTTGGCAAGGCATTGTGGCCCATGCCTGTAATCCTAGCTACTTGGGAGGCTGAACTGGGAGGAACACTTCAGCTTGGGAAGTTGAGGCTGCAGTGAGCCGAGATTGCACCATTGCACTTCAGCCTAGGCAACAAAGCAAGACTCTGTCTCAAAAAAAAAAAAAAAATCTGATGAGATTAACTATAATGAATATAGTCTATATTGTTGGGCATTTGGGTTGTTTAATAAATTTTCACTATTATTGCCAATAATGTTTTAGTAAGCAAATATGTATATTTATCTTTGTGCTCATATCTGACTATCCCTACAATAAATTCTTAGAAGTAAAATTTCTGGCTCAAGATAAATGCCCATTATGCAAAATTTGAAATATATATTGCCAAATAACTCTCCTCCTTCAAGTGATTTAACCCCCATCAAGCAGTATAAATGAAGGAGCTTTTTTTTTTTTTTTAGCCTCACCAGCTTTTGATGTTAAAATATTTTTAATTTCTACCTTTAGTAAATCAATTACAAACATGTATATAAGCACAAAGAATACTATGAGTACCATGTGCCCAACACCTAACTTTAAAACTTATCAGCTCATGTCTAGTCTTGAAAACCCATCTGCTTTCCTCCACCCCAGCTCTTACACTAGATTATTTTAAAGTAGATCTCGGAGAACACATGGACACAGGAAGGGGAACATCATACACTGGGGCCTGTTATGGGGTGGGGGAAAGGGGGGAGGGATAGCATTAGGAGGTATACCTAATGTTAAATGACAAGTTAATGGGTGCAGCACACCAACATGGCACATGTATACATATGTAACTAACCTGCACGTTGTGCACATGTACCCTAAAACTTAAAGTATAATTAAAAAATAAATAAATAATAAAATTAAAAAAAGATTAGGATTCATTTAGTTGTAGCTTGCAGGCCAAAGCTGATTCACTATCTGTTTTTTATGTCCCATGTGCCAAGATTTTTTTTTTCACATTTGTATATGACTGGAAAAAATTAGAAAAATATTTTGTGACACCTGATAATTATAAAACATTCAAATTTCAGTGTTAATAAATAAAGTTTTATTTCAAAAAACAAAACAAAAAAAAGTAGATCTCAGACAGCACATCATTTCTTCCATTTACATCAAGTGTGTATAAAAGAAAAATGTCATCAAATATCTAATGTGTGCAAATTTCCCCCATTGTCTCATAAATTATTTGTTTCTATGATTTGTTTGAATTAAGATACAAACAAGGTTCATGCCTATGCAGTCTTTTTTAATCTTGGACACTCTCTCCCACTTTTGTCTTTGCTAATTTTTAGGTTAGTGCAGAAGTAATTGTGGTTTTCATCATTGAAAGTAATGGCAATGCTTGTTGATACTTTGCCAATAGTCATAAATACTATCTTTTTTCCATATTCATTACTAATATAGTTGAGTGTGTTTTTTTTAATTGAAGAGTCTTTTTTCTGTGAATTGCCCAGCCATCCTTTGACATTTTTCTGATATAGTCATCTTTAGTAACAATCGTTACTTTTTTACAAGATCTTAAGTGTAGGTTTTTTTTCATTCATTCAACAGTGTTTAACTTACAGCAGTATTTCAGGCACTTGTCTGATGATAGGGATCAAAGTATGAAACAAACTCCACCACCCTCAAGGAGCTCACTTCTAGTAGAGAAAGACAATAATATAGTAAATAAATTAAACAGAATGCTAGGAGGTACTACATGCTATAAGAAAGAAATAAAGGGAGTTCAGGAGTGTGGCCAGGGAGGAGAGAGATTGCTATTTTCAGTAGCATGGTCAGGGAGGATCTCACTGATAAAACTTGAAGGACTTCACAGGACTAGCTATATGAATATCTGGGAGAAGAAACTTTTTTAGGTAGAGGGACACAATCACAGTGCAAAATCTCTAACATAGGAATTTGCCTGACATATTCAAAGGCTGGTGAGGATATATAACTGGTACAAAGAAAAAGAGAATGAAAGTAGTGAGGAGATCAGAGAGATAAAGGGAAGGAAGGCAGATCACATAGGGCCTTGTAGGTTACTATCAGGACTTAATTAGTCTTTTACTCTGAATAAAACAAGGAGCCATGACATGGTCTGAGCAGAAATGTAACATACCTCAATTGTGCTCTTAAAAGATCTCTCTGACTGCTGTGGTGAGAATAGATTATACTATGGCAAGGGCTGAAACATGAGGAGGCACTAGAATAACCCAGGCAAAAGATGGAGGTTATTCAGACCAGGATAATAGCATTGGAGCTGGTGAGAAGTGGTCAGATTCTAAAATGTTTTGAAGGTAGAGCCAGCAAGATTTCCAAGAAAATTAGATTTGGAATAGGAGAGAAAGAAATGCTTAAGACTGAATCTAAAATTTTGGAACTTAGCATCTAAAAGAATTGAGTCACCTTCAGAGAGATAAGGAAGACTTCAGATGGAGCAGGTATACAGGGTGGAGGTTGTAGAAAATTAGGAGTTCAGTTCTAGGCATGTTAAATTTGTCTAAGATACATCCAAGTGGAGACATCATGTAGGCAGTTAAGAATCTGAAGTTCAGGAGAGAAGTCTAAGCTAAAACATAAATTCGAGAGTTGTTAACATTTAGATGATATTTAAAGCCATAGGACAGGATGAAATCACTAAGGGATATTAACTTTTTCCTGTAATATACATAGTATAACTATACCCTTCAAGATTTGCCACTTATTCTTGCTTTTGTTTGAGGTTTCCTTTTTAATGCTGAAAGTTAAAACATTTATGTAGTAAAATAGCTTTTTTCTCTCTCTTACTGCCTTCGGGATCTTTCCTCAAAAGGCCTTTCCATTCATAAGCTTTTAAATTTTTGTTTCCACTTTCTCCTAATTTATGTTGGTGTTAAATGATAGGCAAGAATCTAAATTTATTTTTTCCAAGGAGACTAGCATTCTTATATAGATATATTGGCAATGCATCCTTAACAGCCACTGTGTTTTTTGTACAGTAAGTAGTCATATATAATTCTGTTTACTCAATTTCTACTCTATTGTTTCACCTGTTTGTCTGTCTTAGGGCCAGTAGCTATTATTTTAATATGTGATACTTTATAGTTTTTTTTATATAGTATGCTAGCCCTTCTTCATTATTCTTTGTCTGAAAAATATTCTTTGCTTTGTCTAGGAAATGAATATCAGAATAATTTCCAGTTTCAAGGAAATGAAATTTTTTTAATTCATAAATTGACTTCACATATTTCCAATATCAAATCTTCGTACTCTAGAATAGTTTGTCTCCCTGTATGCATATCTTTTTGTATGTTCCTCAGCAAAGTTTCAGAGTTTTCTTCGTAAGTGTTTTATAAATTTGACTGAATAGATCCCTAGATACAATATTTTGTATTTTTGTGACATAGACTACTTTTTACTTTTCTTAAATTAATAAGCCTAAATTCTTATTTTGGAAGAAACTAATTTTGTAAATTTTATGAATTTTAATTATTTTCTAATAAATAGACTTGATTTTTGAATAGATATTTATTTGACGTGAAATCTTTACCTTCAAACTACAAGTGTATTGACTAAGAGTAAAATATGTACCTATTTTGGGGTCTGGAAAATAGATAGCACACTCACTAAGTGTAGTGCAAGACGGGGGTGCTGACAGCAAAATTTATTTATGGAACTGATAAAATTTCTGACATTAAATGAAAAGTCAAGATTTCCTCATTATCCATCTGGAAACTCACATTTGGTAATACTTCTGTCTGTAACCTTTCCTTTTTTAAAATTTTGCACCCAATGTCAGTGATTTTATCTTAAAGTACAATAAAAGATACTAGGAGAACCAGTCTCTTAACATAGTACCAATATTCTGATTGAATATAGAGTTCACACATAAGTTTAAGTTTCCCCTAAAATTACTTGAATACAAGGAAATTTCATTTGAAAGATAGGAAATCTCTATACTAATTTCTCATATAACAAATATAAAGCAGGAAAATGTTAATAAACCAAATCTTCCATATTTTTTCCATTTGGCAACAAAATTTAATCATGAAACAATGGAAATCATGCTTGTATCCCTAAATACATTTTGTTTGACTTATCATCCCCATGTACATAAGACAGTATTTAGTTATTCATCTATAGCTGCAAATATTACTGTGAATTAAAAGGTTCTTTGTATTGTCCCTTCTTTTCCATCTTTGGTAAGTGTAAATACTGAGAAAATGAAACTGAGAGAGAAACATGATATCTGCTATTTCCCACAGAAAAAATATCAAAAGGTTATGGGTTGATTTATTATTCAAAGTGCTGGATTAATTTAAAGGACTATAATAGTTCCCTATGTATTAGGACAATAGTTCCCTATGTATTAGGGAACTATTATACATCCCTAACCATGAGAGTGTCTCATAAGTGTATTATAAAATGTTTATTAGTTTGGTTAATTTAGTGGTACCTTATCTTATATTTGGTTAATTTAATGGTACTTTATCTTATAAGATAAGTTTACGTATCTTATAAATAGTTAAAATTCATTTACCTGTATCATTTGCAACTATGAATTCCATGAGTCATAAGGCTGTTAAAAAGAATCCAGATTTATGATGAGTACACTAATTGTATCAATCATTTGTAGCCTAGAAGTTTTTATTGAAATGTATACATTAATATTTGATTTCACTTTAGAACTTTGCCAACTAATTTTGATTTAGCACAGTTTCCCAGAATTTCTCCTCACGTACATATTAACAGGAGTGCTTGCTTGCAAAGGAAGAATCCTTGCCATCGTTTTGTACCAAACCTCAATTAGATCTAATCCCATTCATCAATGTCTCCCTGTCATGAACCCTACTTTGCAGCCTATGACTCATGTTTGCTAAATACCGCATTCTTCCTTTACAATAACATACAGCTCTATAAATCTCTTAACGTTTACAGTCTTAAACTTTTGATAAATTACTTCCTCTGGGTAAAATCATTCAGAACACATGATATGGCACATCAAAAGATGACCCCAAAAGCCCTGCCCATTTTTAAGAGAGGGATTTTAAACCCATTAGTGATAAATTATCTAGTCTCTTTATTTTATGTAAAGGAACCATCTGTGAAATATTTCCAAAAGCTGAAAAATAAATATAAAGCCCCCTCTACTTAAGAAACCACATGAATTGCCATTTAGCAATTATGTTTTAGAGATTTATTTAAAACAAAGAGAGAAAAAGATGTTTCTTAATTTATTTTAAAATATTTTTAGAAAATTTGGCATAAGAAATGAATAATATAGTGACATCTAAACTAGTTTTAATTTCTCTTGTCTCTTTCCACTGCAGTCTACACTTCACACTGCCAACAAAGTGATCTTCCTAATAAAGTGTAGACCTCTCAGAAGAGTCTTCAAAGGCTTTCCAAGTCCAGTGTCAAGCTATAGGCATACTTTTGTCCAGCACCTTGTATCCCAACCTTCTGTTATCATGATTTCTGTTTCTGGCCTCTGCAATTTCCAAGCTTTTCCATCAATTTCAAATGCTTGTTTTCTCTACATCCATCCCACTTCTTGGCCTAAATCTTTCTCCACAATGAGAGTCCAATTCAGATACTTCCTTCTTTATTAAATCTTCCTTTTAATGGATCATCTTTCCTTTGCCTGCATATATTCATCTGTATTCCCATGGCTTTTAAGTTTTTTATTCCTTTCACTAGTGTTTTAACCTTGTTACTGTCTTAGCAATAAATATTTGTTTATTTTAATTTGGAAAAAAGTGAAGCCAAAAGAAACAAGATATACTTTATTAACTTATATTAGTATTTAGTTTTAATAGCCTACTGAACTTTTTTTCTAAGCATACATTTGTGGTTTGCTTTTTTAAAACAAGAACAGTGGAATCTATTATATATATATAGTTGATAACCAGCCTCTTTTTCACTGAACTACTTGCTGTAGACACATTTTGCTATCAACGAATATGAATTTAAGTCATTTTTAATAGCTGCATATTATATTTGCCTAATCTCCTGCTAATTAACATTTAGTTTGTTTTCACTTTATTATTACAAGCGACACCCCATTAAATGTCTGTGCATGTGTATTTATTTTGCAACTTGCCTAATTATTTCCTTAGGCTAAGCCCTTAGAAGAAGAATAGCTTAATCAAACAGTATGTATACTTTAAAGGCATTAGATATGCATTGTCAGATTCCCCACCCCCAGAACTATTATAAGTGTAGTCTACCATTGTAAGTGGGTAATGAAGGTGAAGGTGAACATTTTTTCATGTGCTTTTTGTCTAGTTATAGTTTGTTCTGAATTAACTGCCTCTTCCTTTGCCTTATTTTGCTCTTATCCATTTTGTTTTGTAAGAATTATTTCTCTCAGAGACAGACCAGCCAACCTATATACACATGTATACATAGACATACATACATACACATACACGAGCTCTAAATCCTTTGCCAAATGTGTTACATGTATTTTTTTCTCTCTTATTCATGGTTGGTTTTGATTTTTATGTAACCCAATTTTAAGTTATGAAGATATTCATATTTTATTTGCCTACTTTCTCTTTTCAGTAATAATAGGAAATAGCATTTCATTTTGGGAGCAATGAAGTAGTATGTTGCCTCCTATTCATATTTTTGAGTCTGTGAAGAAAGTTTTATTTTTTTAAGTCTCCATTATGTTTATTATATATGTTATTACTCTGTATTACTTGCATTACTTTTTACCTGACTTCTACCTGGAAAATAAGAAACATGACTCCAACTCTGGCAACAACAAATATAATTGCTATCATGACTTTGAGAATGTCATTTTCTTGCTGTGAGCAACAAATTATAAAATAATGAAGTTTAAATAAACACTAAAACCATCTAGTACTAAATTCTGGTTGTTTGTATAAGATGATCCCCATTGTAACTTTCCTGGTGGCCAGTAGTTAGGACCACTCTTTTAAAGTAGAGATTCAGTGAAAAATAGATATAGATTGCTAAACTATATAATTCCCATGACATAGAAATGTCATAGTTAAAGTACGTAAGGCCTTATCTTGCTTGAGCCTTTCAGTTTTTGCTATTAGGAAACATTTGTGTGTAAGTTTATTCCTTTTTTCTTGTAGCGATGGACTAAAACCAAGCATTTGGTTTCAAATTATTTGGATTTGACTTGTCATTGACAACTGTTTTAAGGACATTTCCAACATTTCTTAAAACTATCCTTAGGAAGATATAAAATTACTGGGGATTTTTCTGTTTTCTATTGGAATATATGCTGGATGATTATATATAACAAACTTACAATATTTACAATATTTCTTTCTCTTTTTTTTTTTTTTTTTTTTTTCTGAGACGAAGTGTTGCTCTTGTTGCCCAGGCTGGACTGCAATGGCATGACCTAGGCTCACTGCAACCTCTGCATCCCAGGTTCAAGCGATTCTCCTCCCTCAGCCTCCCAAATAGCTGGGATTACAGGCGCCCACCACCAGGCCCGGCTAATTTTTTTGTATTTTTAGTAGAGAAGGGGTTTCACCACATTTACCAGGCTGGTCTTAAACTCCTGACCTCCGGTGATCCACCTATCTCAGCCTCCCAAAGTGCTGGGATTACAGGCATGAGCCACCACAGCCAGACAGTATTTACAATATTTCTTTTTTTTTTTTTCATTTAATTTCAATATTTTTTTTCTTTTTTTTTTTCTTTTATTATTATACTTTAAGTTTTAGGGTACATGTGCACATTGTGCAGGTTAGTTACATATGTATACATGTGCCATGCTGGTGCGCTGCACCCACTAACTCGTCATCTAGCATTAGGTATATCTCCCAATGCTATCCCTCCCCCCTCCCCCTACCCCACAACAGTCCCCAGAGTGTGATGTTCCCCTTCCTGTGTCCATGTGATCTCATTGTTCAATTCCCACCTATGAGTGAGAATATGCGGTGTTTGGTTTTTTGTTCTTGCAATAGTTTACTGAGAATGATGATTTCCAATTTCATCCATGTCCCTACAAAGGACATGAACTCATCATTTTTTATGGCTGCATAGTCTTCCATGGTGTATATGTGCCACATTTTCTTAATCCAGTCTATCATTGTTGGACATTTGGGTTGGTTCCAAGTCTTTGCTATTGTGAATAGTGCCGCAATAAACATACGTGTGCATGTGTCTTTATAGCAGCATGATTTATAGTCCTTTGGGTATATATACCCAGTAATGGGATGGCTGGGTCAAATGGTACTTCTAGTTCTAGATCCCTGAGGAATCGCCACACTGACTTCCACAATGGTTGAACTAGTTGACAGTCCCACCAACAGTGTAAAAGTGTTCCTATTTCTCTACATCCTCTCCAGCACCTGTTGTTTCCTGACTTTTTAATGATTGCCATTCTAACTGGTGTGAGATGGTATCTCATTGTGGTTTTGATTTGCATTTCTCTGATGGCCAGTGATGATGAGCATTTTTTCATGTGTTTTTTGGCTGCATAAATGTCTTCTTTTGAGAAGTGTCTGTTCATGTCCTTCACCCACTTTTTGATGGGGTTGTTTTTTTCTTGTAAATTTGTTTGAGTTCATTGTAGATTCTGGATATTAGCCCTTTGTCAGATGAGTAGGTTGCAACCTACAATATTTCTAAACAGTATGCTATACTGCTGTTTCTTGATTCATTAGTGTTTAGATGTTATAACTTCTAATCATGAGAGATGAAGAATTAGCTCACTTACAACACCGCCACCTTATTTCTTCTCTGGTTTTGCTAATGTATTTTAGCAGGATCAGGTAAGAAGTGACATGTGTATGTTATATAATATATACATAAAGTATGCAATTTCACATTATATTTATACATATGTTAATATGTGTAACATTTAGAGCCTACTTAAGGAAATATTTTATAATTAAATAAAATATTATTTAAAACATTTATTAGAAGTAAGAATATACTGACATTTCTTAAAACTAATTTTAGGGAAACAGACATGAAGCATCTCTTTTTTTTTTTCCTTTTTTTCTGCTTTTTACTGGAAACGTTTCACAGTCCTCAGCCAAATCTGTGAGATAGACTTCCTGGAGAATTGAAATATTTGAAAGATGCAAATACTGAAGTAGATTGATTGTCCTTATAGGTAGACTTAAGTAGCTTAAAGAGCAATACCACCAATAAATACATTTGTAGATGTTTCTCTTGAGGTATAGGCAGTCAATTTATCAAACTTTTTTCAAGTCTTTTTTATGTACTTCATCAGATTATCCTATGTTTTATTGTCAAAATCAAAATGCCCAATTTATTGCTTTTATTACACTACCATTCATCAATTATATGTCTTAAAATCCTACACATTTGAGAGATAGTGAATGGCAGATGAATATCCAAACTTTGTTTACTTTTTTAACCACTTAACCACTCACCAAATATTTATTTATAATTTTTATAACCACTTAGCAAATGTAGTTTGTCATGCAAATTAATTATGTTTTCATTATGATTTCACTGTTTTTGTTTTTATTTTTAGCTGTGGTTTTATTAATAGCAAATTTAATACTCTATAATACTAATGTTAATATACTTCTGTTGTAATCCATGTTACATTGTTTTAGAACCTGGGTTATTGATGAAAATATTTGTATTTCTTCTCCATCTAATCCATGATTTCAGTGCATGCATTTACAGTTAATTTTAAAAGTGGTTTTAATACTTAAAAGTCTTTTGAGAGGCTTCTAAAACTTGGCAGTCTCAACAAAATGTTTTTGTCTAACTTCCTTTTTAAGTCTGTCTTTGGACTTACAGTAAACAAACTTTTTGAAGCGGGAATCTCTAGCCATAATGCAGGAACAGATGAATAGAACACTCGCCACTTTATCCTGAAACGCATACTTTCAGTTTTTTATAGGATGCCTTAAAGCATCATATAAATATTTTAAAAATGTTTGCTAAACTATTAATGAGTAACTATTACAAAACTAGGGTTGGACTTATTAAACAAAGCTCTGATTTATAGTTATCTCCAGAAAACTAGTCAATCTGGGGGAACCTACAGATGTCCATCTTTTTTATTTTTATGTTTCATTTACAAAGAACTTTTTGATTTTCCATTTAGGGGGTATATGGGCCTGGCTACCAGTATTACAGAGAAGTGGGAGAAAAATCAGCATATATTTATTATTAAGAAATTATTTAATGCACCTAGTGTCAGCTGTGCATGTTGGCCCCAGTCTACAGCCTATCCAGAGAGTAAAACTTCATGTCTTTTAATAGGGTAACAAAGGAGCAGTTACCTAGCAATGTAGGTGATGGTAATGGGGTAAGGGAGATCTGGGAATCCAACTTCCTTATACAGACTTCCAAGAATTCTCCTGTTTTAACTCCACCCTGTGCTTTCAGAGACAACCTCATGCCTTCAGTTCCTGAGATCTTCAGAGGTTTGAAAGAGCTGATTTTTTATTGGCTTCCTACCCACCACCCCAAACATTATTCCCCCTTTTTTTTTTTGGTCATTTATTATTTTACAGAGCAGGATTATATTTATTATATAAAATAATCAAATGTATAAAAAGGAAAATAAAATAATTCATTATTTTCCCAGTGAGCTATAAACCTGTGTTAACATTTTGATGAATTGGATTATATTTCCTTCTCTGTTTTCTATTACTTTTCCCCCCATTTTTGCTCAGGAGGTTTGTGCGCTTTGATTTGGTTTTTGTTTTTGTTTTTGTTTTTGTTTTGTCAAAATTGGGATCATACTGTATACTACCTCATTAATGAACATTTTTTTATATCATCAAATAATCTATAAAATATAGTTTTAAATATCAGTGTAATTGTGGATGTTCATGTTCATTTAGTTATTTAGTCATTGCCTAAGTGATTTAATTAACTTCTGTGGTAGGGGCTCAGCATTGTGTGGTGGTGAAGAACTTGGCATCTGGATTAGCAAAAGGTCTGAGTTTGTATGCCAGTTCTGTCATTTCTTTACATTTTCTTTTTATAGGTCCAGTGAGTTTTCTGTTTGCTTATTATAATTATGTTTTTTCCTGTAAAATTAAGGGGAAAAAATATATTCCTGTCCACTGATCCAACAGCCCAGGGAATGTAGGGAAGGAACCAGAGCCACAGGTAGTCTCAGCTAGAAATCTGCCCCTTTGCCCAAGAGTATCTCATCCATGTGTGATATAGCCAACAGTGATGGGAACAAGCCTGATAATATCGGGTACTTTTTAATATTTTTTTTCTGCACTGAAACAACTGAGCCAGGACTGAATTTTAGAGCCTCTTAGCGCTACTTTTAGTGTTCAGATGTTGCCATTTTACTATATTGCATAGCTGTGTCTCACTCATTCTCCCCAACTCCCACCTTACCCCATCATCCCTGGTTCTAATTTAAGGCCCTTTACTGATATCTGCCAGTGTCTTTTACTTAACTCCTTGGGATAGCACTGAAGGGTAAAGGATAGGGAGTACTATAAGTCATTCTCCTCCATGCCTTCCCTTAAGAGTCTGAGCTATACAATACTCTTTAGAAAGTCCTCTAATGTTCTGGCACTCAGATGATAATGTTTTCCCATTACCAACATTAGGTCAAGTTTACCCTTTTTTTAATGATGTGATCATTTTAAAGGGAATCTGAGTGGGCGCTAGATGCCTCTATTCAGGTTATCACTTTGGTTAAAATTGTCTTTTGCAGTTAACCTTCAAATGCCTCCTTGTACTATGGGTATTTCTCAAGTGTGCCAACCAAGTACTGTTTCTAGTGAGAAATTCTTCAAGCAGCCAGTGTCTTTCTAAATTCCTTCCCTATCAAAAAGAAAAGATTCTAATATGTATATTCTTTTATCAAAACTCATTCATTACAAGTTTGCATTTTGCATTTTCAAGCTTCCTTAAACATGGATCAAAATGCATTGGCTCCTTTTTAAAGAACTGAATGCTATACTAACAAAATATTATAAGAGGAGCAATTAGACCTTGTATCTGAAAACATAGTATGTCTATGCCTGGAACTGTCTATAAACCTGTTTTAATTGTTTGGGAGTGTCCAGAGATGAATATGCAGAGACAGTAGGGTGCCTAACCTAAAAAGAGATGCTGTTTTTAACATCATTCTACCAACTTAAATCTTACCCATTAATTGCCTTTGGTACAACTTCCTAGGAGGTGAACTTCATTTTCAATACTGTCTCTATCTGCTACTTTTGTTCTAGGACTGTTTCCTACTTATCCTTACTCCTTTTCTTTCCTTTCCCCTACCTCAGCATAATAATAACACTCATCGTCTCTGAATAAGAAATCACAGCCTCAAACCCCAAAGAGTTTCTACTGCCTCAAGTCTCTATGAGTGTCCAAACTAGAAAGGGAAAAATGCAGATTCCAGGACTCCTACAGTTACATGGATCAGAACTCCTGAATAGAGGACAGGATCCCAAGCTTGATGAGTGGGAGTAGAGGGAAGGGGATGTCAAAAAAAAAAGAATGCCAAAGTTGAGGGAATGACATGCATAAATGGTTCATGGTTTTATGGAGCATTGTCAATTTCTCTTAATTTACTTATGTAGAATTAATATATACTACTTTCTGTGAACTCTTTATTATAAGGCAGCTAATTACATATATAGATATTATAATACCCTTCTCACATCTCTCCATCACTGCTCCTACCACTCTTACCCAAGCTGTCATTTCTTGCTTAAGCTATAGCAATAGCCTTGTTACCGATTTTTCTGTTTTCTCTCTTGACCATTCTTGACACAGCAAGCAAATCACTCTTTTTCCTAAACATCAATCAGATCACATTATATCCATATTTGAAACCCTCCACAGATCTCCCTTTACACTTGGAATAAATAAAAACCCTTGTCTTGTCCATAAATCCTAACATAAGTTGCCCCTTTTGATCTCTCTAGCCTCTTATTCTGCCTGTCCCTCTAACTCACAGCACTTCAATCAAACTAGCCTCTTTTCCTCGAGCTCAACAAATTCATTGTTGCCGTTGGATCTCTGCACATGCTATTTTTTCTGCCTTTTCCCCCAGATCTTCATAGAACTGCCTCCTTAGCCATTCAAGTCTCAGATCACATATTCCATCCTTAGAATTGTTATTCTAGCCATCATAGTTAAAACATCCTATCTCCCATCACTGTCTATTCCATTTCTCTGTTTTATTGTCTTTACAATTAATTTATCATCCTAATTTATTTTATTTGTTTATTGTCATCTGCCTTCTCCCCTCAAAAATGTAAATTCTTAACTGTCTTGTTTACCACTGTACCTAGCATGGTATGGTAGGTACTTAATAAATATTGGGTGGGATGAACAGTGAATTCTTTTTATGCAGGTGTACTCCTTTTAGATTGTTGCTTTTGTACCATAGCTGACTACAACTTTTTTTCATAAATAAAACATATGTTGATCCTGGATTCAAAATAGTAGTAGTGATTTTTTTCTTTTAAATTTTTTGACATTATGCTTCCTGTTATTATTTGGGCATAAATTTCAAAAAGTCCTATTCACTTACATCCCATGGGTCATAATCATTCAAGGTAATAGAAATGGAGCACACTTACAATATGTTGAGGAGTTAAAGTCTCAAGAGATGTTGTGGAAATAGCAAAATTACTCAGAAACCATAACATACATTGCTACCCACTACCTCTTATATTTAAGTATATGATACACTGGACTAGTTCCTTAGATAGACCCTAGAGATATGTCTTCCCAAGTGACTGCCAGTCTTCCCTATTCCAGTTTGCAAGAGCGTGCCTTATAACAATGCATTTTTAATTTCCTGTTCCCTTCTGTGTAGCACCCACGTTGCTAGGGTATTTTATGGGCTATCATCATCTATATGGTCTCTTGTTCTGCAAGGCACAGCCTGCAACTTTGTGATTCATTTTCTCATTTTATGGGGCCTTTCTGAAGGAATTATAATCTGCCTCCAAGTTCCTTCTTATCACTTCTACTCTATAAGCACAAGAATTATGGAATATTGTTAGATAGTGTTTTCCCAAGCTGAATCAGGGGAAACTACAACTGTCCCATGCCTGCTCTTCTGGAAATTTACTGTACACCCTTTTCCTCTAATGGAAAAGTACAGCAGATCTCTTTTATAGACATAGACCTAACATATCCAACAGTTCTTATAGCCTATTGAACTTTCTGATCCCCCAACTCAACACTCTCCACTTGCCATACCCACATAAAGTTCTTTATTACCTAACTTAGCTAAAGGATAATAATTATTTGTTATGTAATTGTATTTATATATTATAAAAATTGTATTCAGAGTAAAATTTAGTTGTTTATGCTTTTAGTTTTCATTAAGTTGGGTCATTTTCCTTTTATGTTTATAGTTACAGAAGATTGACTTAAATTTTTATTTAAACCTTTAAATTTTGTTTTTGCTCTGGTTAGCTCCTGAAGCTTTCTAAGCAACTAATCAGCCTAAGTAGTTCTGAATTGACCATCTGCCTTCTGCCCTTTTATTTTATCTGAACTTAATAATTGAGAGAATGAAAAGAACTCTTTAGATTTATATCATATACATGTTGTGTGTCTGTAGCATCTCTTCTTCTAGGCCCAGTAAAACAATTGTATGTAAATCCACATTAACTACCACATCTCCATGCTATTCCTTCAGCTTATACTCTGCCAGGAGAGCAGGATTATAGCTAAAGATATATCACTGTAACACCACTATTCCTTTTACTGACAAATTGTTAGTCAGTCTGATCATACTAAATTTGATGTCGGGTGTATGCTTAGATTATCCCAGAGGACACGTGGATATTTCTTCAGTGTTCTACCAGAAGACTGTGATTTTTATCACTCTTTACTAGCAGTAGGGAAAATGTGGTCCACCATGATGGGAATTTGCCCAGTTGCCACTCCCAGAGATTATACCTGCTAAGTATGTATTTTAAAAAATAATGACTCTATAATTCTTGTCCCTTGAGATTTCATGTTCCATTGTATTTTAAAGTTTAAAATGTTATTATAAGGTCTGCATTTGCAAAGAACATATATACCTGTTTCAATAATACCTGTGGTTTATATTAATCATCAGCCTTGATAAACTGGATATCTGATAAACTGAAAGTGAAGCACTGTTTGAAATATATTGTTTTAGAGATAACAGTAAGTTTTTGATGATTGGAAAGTAAATTACAACTCTCCTTGTAAAAGTTGTAATATTAACAGTTGAAACATATTTGCATTTCTAGAGCCTTTCTTTGAACCCTTATCATATAATCCTATTCATATATAAAAAGGTAATATCCGCTTTTTTCTAGGGGATATTAATGCCCACACTGCTTAAGTGAGTTGCCCAAGGTCACTTGGTGAGCTGTTGGTGGAGCCAGAAATAGAATCCAAGTCTCCTGACTCCCAATTCAGTCCTCTACCCTCCATGTAGTTTTCTATCCCCTATACCCCTGCTGCCTCTCATGGGAAAAGAAGTTAATCTGCCAGCTATTAATAGCCACCAAATTGGTGGTAGCAGCACAGTGGAGAAAAGTAACTGTCTTTACTCTGCAGCATTAGTATAAAAATATCTGGTAATGGAAAATTTGACAAATGTCATGTTAAAGGGAGTGGAAAATTATTTTAAGATCTGGATCTCATTTATCTAGTTCTCAGAAAAGTAAAATTCCTCAGTAGAACAGGGATCATATTTTTCTTCTGTTTTTGAATTTTATTTCCTAGAGGGTAATTGTCAACCTAGCCAAAGCAGAGCATATTGTCAACTAATATAATAAGAATAGTGCTTGTACTGTTGCTGATTGTTTAAGTGTATTTTCTAACTTGGTTGAAAGTTTGAATTGCTTTATTGAAATGCATAACACTTATCTTATTCTGCTTTCAATGTTCTTTAAGTTAGTATTATACAGTAAAGTAAATATCAACTGGGAATTTTACTTCATGATTAGACAACGTGAATGGAAATACACGTAATAGTTTCTTCCATTGACCGTACACTCCAAGCAAAGGTATTTCATGTCAGACACCATGAAGTTCACCAGAATGAAGTAGGTAGAGTAGAAAAAAGTTAATTGAAAAATATAAGATAATCACACTGAAGTTGATCAAGTGTATTGTTACATATGTCATTATTTGGGGCATTAATAAAAGGTGTTTACCAGATGTTTGTGTTTTTAAATGTTAAACATTAAATACTAAATCTAGTATTGTGGTAATAAATTCTAATGAAACAATTTGTTTCTTAATTTTGGACCAAGGACCAAGAATTACCCAACTAAAAATATCAGCATATTTTGTTTCTATTTAAAGATTACTAAAAAGTCTTTAATCAGAAGGATGACATGAACAGAATTATGTTTTAACTATAAGCATAAAAAAGACAGAATTGGTATACATTGGAAAATGCAAGGGAAAAGGTAGAAAAAAAAATCTAGTAATTTGGAACCCAGGTGACAGAGAAGGTAATGGTAAGAGGATAATTAGAAATATGAGAAACTGTGTAGAACAAGGCAACTAGAGGGTCAAGTACAGCTCCTTAGGGAAATGTGTACATTTACTAGATGGAAGAAGAGAATAACACAGATGTTAGAATAGTACAGATATAATTTTGAAAAGCTACAGGAATTATCAGATAAGGCTGAGAAAGATCATCAGACTTAGTGACCTCTTGACATTTGGGAGACTGACTTCTCCAGAGTGATGAGGGTGAAAGTACTCTGAACTCTCTGAATTATTTCATTTATCTTTAGTATTAAATCTTGTTTTTACAAACCTATGAGTTATGTATGATACAGGAGACAAATCAGTTAACTAGAATGCTTAATTGACTACAGTTTTCTCTCAATATCCTGGGGACAGGCAAGTTGATTCCAGGAACCCTCCCAGATACCAAAATCCATGGATACTCAAGTCCCTTACATAAAATGGCATAGTATATAGCCTACATGTATCCTTCTGTGTACTTTAAATCATCTCTAGATTACTTATAATACCTAATACAATACAAATGCCATTAAGTGGTTGTTATATTGTATATTTTTTTAATTGTTTTGGTTTATTTGTTTGTTTGTTTTGTGAATATTTTCAGTCTCTGGTTGGTTGAATCCACAGATGCAGAATCTGCAGCTACTGAGGGTCAACTCTGTATACCTGACACTGTAACAGAAACAATGCTTTCATTCACCCAGAATTTTACTGGTTATTGCCATTCTTGTTCATTTAGACTAGACTTCCACTCAATTAGTAATAAACTGGTCACTGACACCCAAACCCTAGCATCACCCAGTATACTCATATAACAAACCTGTACGTGTACCCGCAAATCTAAAAAACAAGGCAAAACAAAAGTAATAAACTGGTAATATTTTACAATGGAACAAGTGTTAACCTCTGTGCCTATAAAAGTTTAATACTGTTTTCATCTTAAACCCAAATCAAACATGAAAGCTAGAAATTGTGAATTTTATTGGAATTGATTGATAATTTGTTTCCTAATTACCCAATATCTCAAGAAAGCTATACCTATAAATTAATATTGATATTAGCAATATATTCTTTTGTTATAGAATTTCTTTATAATGAGTTTATCTTTATTTAAAGTTTTTAGCAGTAAACCGTGATATTTTCCTTTCCAACTTATATTTTTCAGATTTTTATCAATTGGCATAAAAATACCTTATTATTAGGGTTTCTTAGTTTTAAAAGTAATGGGGGTTATTTAAAAAACTAGGAAACATTATCGAGTGTCTTTTTTTATTTTTTTGAATAGGCTCATCTTCAGGTGGAACTAATCTGGTTAAGATTCCTACAGAAAAAAGAACTCGGAGAAAACTAATGCCATCTCCCTTGAAAGGACAGCATACTCTAAAGTCTCCACCATCTCAAAGTGTGCAGCTCAATGATTCTCTTAGCAAAGAACTTCAGCCTATTGTATATACACCAGAAGACTGTAGAAAAGCTTTTCAAAATCCGTCTACAGTAACCTTAATGAAACCATCATCATTTACTACAAGTTTTCAGGCTATCAGCTCAAACATAAACAGTGATAATTGTCTGAAAATGTTGTGTGAAGTAGCTATCCCTCATAATAGAAGAAAAGAATGTGGACAGGAGGACTTGGACTCTACATTTACTATATGTGAAGACATCAAGAGCTCGAAGTGTAAATTACCCGAACAAGAATCACTACCAAATGATAACAAAGACATTTTACAACGGTACAAAAAAATAATATTTGCCAATTCTTTTTTTTTAACATAGACTTTCAACTATTAGTTGAGGTTTATTTCATAAACCAAGTGTGCCATTTTGATTATAAAACAGTCTGTTTTATTTTCATTAAATTTTAATTATCTTTCTCTCTGAATATTAATTCACTAACAAAATATTTTAAAGTCTTAAATTTGATATCTTAAGTCAGTTGACCGTCGTTAGTCTAGGAGAGACCTTAAGATATGTTTAGTTTGTTCTTCTTACTCTGAAGGTGGATTATACAAGCTATTGTTGGAGGATTATCATGTTTATTATTCATTAATATTTTCACTGAAGGAAATTTCACACTTTCTATTGATGTTTAGCAAACCTCAACTTACTCTGAAATGGTCATACCCCTAAAGTATGGTTGAATGTGTGTCATCCAAGCAAACATATCCTTCTCACTTTATCTGCATAATCATACCCAATCTAAATATGGAAAGAAAAATACCTTCACTATTCTATGCCACTGGGAATGCAGAAATCTCTTGATAGCAACTTTACCTGTGTTATAAAGAGAAAAGAATACCCCAGGACAAGCAAGGGAATCTTTACAGTATAGCAGAATGTTTTTCTTTATATATTAATACCAAATGGTTTTCTAATTATGGACACATTTGCTTCCTTTTCTCTTCATAGTTCAAATCAAAATTATTATTTTTTATTTGTCACTATTAATATACAGGCTTGATCCTTCTTCATTCTCAACTAAGCATTCTATGCCTGTACCAAGCATGGTGCCATCCTACATGGCAATGACTACTGCTGCCAAAAGGAAACGGAAATTAACAAGGTATGATTAAACATAAACTGGTTTGGTTCTGTAGTTATATAAGATAATCTTTATATATTATATGCTATTGCTTTTTTATTTTTTATAATTAGACTCTCAATTCATGTTTAAGCATACTTAGGATAAATTTCTCTGAATGGGGTACTGGATTTATATTATCAAAGGGAGATCTTGAAAAACTCAAGTATTTCACTTGATATTTTATAAAATATTTCATATTACAGACTTAAAAATAAATTGAAAAGTTTTCTGTCAAAAACTACTTAATTTTAACTTTTCTGGGGTGACAATTTTTACTTATTTCGTTATTTCTACTTACTTCATTATCCTTTTTAAACATTACCAAATTTCTTCCATCATAGAATTATGTTATTTTAATGGATTAAGATATATGACTAAAATATAATGAGTGAAGAGACTTTTATTTCTGCCTAAGACAGTGTAGCTTGTATCAGACCAAGCTACCTATCAAGAACAGTTGTAAAAAGTGCATAAAATAGAACCAACAGCTGCTTGAAGGCAATGGAGAACAACCATGATAGCCAGGATGGAGAGCCTGAGATCCCAGAGAAAAGAGAAACATGCTATAGACAGCTAGACTTTCTCTGCCTCTGTTTTTTATTTAGCATTTGCCAATTTATGGCATAAGGCATAGAGGCCGAACAGAAAATGGAAACTTAGAGCTATCAGCTGTCTTACTCTGAGCTAGGGAAACAAAATTATTCTGTACAGGTTTTGTCCTCAAGGTATTCGCCAAGTTCTCAGCTTTGTGGAATGAGAGGCTAAGATGCCTAGCTGAAAGTAGCTGCTAAGAGGCTAAAGTATTAAGCAGAGTTTTGATGTTCTTATGAGGCTTTCACAGAAAAATTGGAGTTCAGGGACCACCATGAAGAAAAGACCCTGTTAAACACATTAGGATTTTATTTGAGATCCCTGAAGGGTGTTTCACTAGGAGTAGGGCAACCTAGAAATAGGCCAGTTCTTGAAAGTCTGAAACAGACCTTAGACCAACTTAATTCTTGATTGGATCAAGGTGATTTATCTTTGCTCTGCATCAATGTTTGGCACTTAAACAAAAATTACAAAGTATGCCAGGAGACAGGACCAAATGACTAAAAATTAAGAGAAAAAAACATCATGGGAGCAGTGATTCATACGTGAGGCAGATATTGGAATTATCAGATAGGAATTTAAAAATTTTAACTGTAATAATTTCAACAAATAGATACTTCCCCAAAGAACCAGATTCTATTAAAATTAATCAAGTGGATATTCTAGAACTGAAAATATAGAATTTACTGAGATGAAGAACTCAATAAATCAATTCAGCAGATTACATACAGCAGAAGAGAGTATTAGTGAACTGAAAGATGGATTTGTTTTTTACTTTTTATTTTTGTGGGTACGTAGTAGGTGTATATATTAGGGGGTGCATGGGATATTTTGATACAAGCATACAATGTGTAATAATCACATCAGTGTAAATGGAGTATTCATCCATTTATCCTTTGTGTTATAAACAATCTAATTATACTCTTAGTTATTTTTTAAATGTACAATACATTATTGTTGACTGTAGTTACCCTGTTGTGCTATCAAATACTAGATCTTATTCGTTATATTTAGATTAAGCATCCCCCCATTAACCATCCTCCCCAATCTCCCGAAAAACCCTTCCCAGCCTCTGGTAACCATCATTCTACTCTCTATCTCCATGAGTTCAATTTATTTTTTAGCTCCCCAAAATAAGTGAGAACATGCCAAGCTTATCTTTCTGTACCTGGCTTATTTCACTTAACATAATTACCATCAGTTCCATCCATGCTGTTGCAAATGACAGGGTCTCATTCTTGTTTCATGGCTGAATGGTACTCTATTGTGTATAGGTACTATATTTTCTTTTTCTATTCATCTGTTGATTGGCACTTAGGTTGCTTCCAAATCTTGGCTATTGTGAGTAGTGTTGCAATAAACATGGTAGTGCAGATATCTCTTCAGTATACTGATTTCCTTTCATTTTGGCATGTATCTAGTAGGGGCATTGCTGGATCGTATGGTAGCACTATTTTTAGTTTTTTGAGGACTCTTCAAACTTTTCTTTATAGTGGTTGTACTAATTTACATCCCCATGAACAGTATACAAGTGTTCCCTTTTCTCCATATCCTTGCCAGTGTTTGTTGTTGACTGTCTTTTGGAAAAAAAGCCATTTTAACTGGGGTGAGATGATATCTCATTGTAGTTTTGATTTACATTTTTCTGATAATCAGTGATGTTGAGTACCTTTTCATAAGCTTCTTTGCCATTTATGTCTTCTTTTGAGAAATGTCTATTCTTTTGCCCATTTTAAAAATCAGATCATTAGATTTTTTTCCTAGAGTTGTTTGAGCTCCTTATGTATTATGGTTATTAATCCCTTGTCAGATAGATAGTTTGCAGGTATTTTCTGTAATTCTGTGGGTTGTCTCTTCACTTTATTGATTGTTTCCTTTGCTTTACAGAAGCTTTTTAACTTGATGTGATCCCATTTATCCATTTTTGCTTTGGTTCCCTGTGTAGGGTATTACTCAAGAAATCTTTGTCCAGTCCAGTGTCCTGGAGAGTTTCCCCAATGTTTTCTTTTAGCAGTTTCATAGTTTGAGGTCTTAAATTTAAATTTTTATCCATTTTGATTTCATTTCTGTATATTGCAAGAGATAGGGATCTAGCTTCATTCTTCTGCATATGGATAAACAGTTTTCCAGCACTGTTTATTGAAGAGACTATCTTTTTTCCCAATGTATGTTCTTGGCAGCTTTGTCAAAAATAAGTTTATTGTAAATATGTAGATTTATTTTGGGGCTCTCTATTCTGTTCCACTGGTTTGTGTGTCTGGTTTTATGCCAGTCCCGTGCTTTTTTGGTTACTATAGCTCTGTAGTGTAATTTGAAGTCAGGTAATGTGATTCCTCCAGTTTTGATCTTTTTGCTCAGGATAGCTTTGGCTATTCTGGGTCTTTTGTGATTCCATATAAATTTTAGGATTGTTTTTTCTATTTCTATGAAGAGTGTCATTGGTATTTTGATAGGGATTGCATTGATTCTGTAGACCACTGTGAGTAGTGTGGACATTTTAACAATATTGATTCTTCCAATCCATGAACATGGAATATCTTTCTATTTTTTTGTATCTGCTTTTCTTACATCAGTGTTTTATAGTTTTCATTATGGAGCTCTTTTACTTCTTTGGTTAACTCCTACTTATTTTATTTTTAGCTTTTGTAAAGGGGATTACTTTTTTTTTCAAATTATTTCAGTGTTTGTATATAGATATGCTACTGATTTTTGTATATTGATTTTGTATTCTGGAACTCTACTGAATTTGTTTCTAGGTTCTCATAGTTTTTTGTGGACTCTACGTTTTTCCAAATATATGATAAGATCATGTCATCTGCAAACAAGGATAATTTCACTTCTTCCTTTCCAATTTGGATGTTCTTTCTTTCTTTTCTTTCTCTTGTCTGATTGCTCTACTTAGGACTTCCAGTAATATGTTAAATAATAAATACTGGTGAAAGTGGGCATCCTTGTCATGTTCCACAACTTAGAGAAAAGAATTTCAGATTTTCTGCATTCAGGATAGTACCAGCTGTGGGTCTGTCGTGTATGGCTTTTATCGTGTTGAGATATGTTCCTTCTATACCCAGTTTTTTGAGAGTTGTTTTTTTTTTTTATGCTTTAAGTTCCACGGTACATGTGCATAACGTGCAGGTTTGTTACATATGTATACATGTGCCATGTTGGTGTGCTGCACCCATTAACTCGTTATTTACATTTGGTATATCTCCTAATGCTTTCCCTCTGCGCTCCCCCTACCCCACAACAGGCCCCGGTGTGTGATGTTCACCTTCCTGTGTCCATGTGTTCTCATTGTTCAGTTCCCACCTATGAGTGAGAACATGCGGTGTTTGGTTTTTTGTCCTTGCGATAGTTTGCTGAGAATGATGGTTTTCAGCTTCATCCTGTCCCTACAAAGGACATGAACTCATCCTTTTTTATGGCTGCATAGTCTTCCATGGTGTATATGTGCCACATCTTCTTAATCCAGTCTATCATTGATGGACATTTGGATTGGGTACAAGTCTTTGCTATTGTGAATAGTGCCGCAATAAACATACGTGTGCATGTGTCTTTATAGCAGCATGATTTATAATCCTTTGGGTATATACCCAGTAACGACATGGCTGGGTCAAATGGTATTTCTAGTTCTAGATCCTTGAGAAATCGCCACACTGTCTTCCACAATGGTTGAACTAGTTTACAGTCCCACCAACAGTGTAAAAGTGTTCCTATTTCTCCACATCCTCTCCAGCACCTGTTGTTTCCTGACTTTTTAATGATTGCCATTCTAACTGGTGTGAGATGGTATCTCATTGTGGTTTTGATTTGCATTTCTCTGATGGCCAGTGATCATGAGCATTTTTTCATGTGTTTTTTGGCTGCATAAATGTCTTCTTTTGAGAAGTGTCTGTTCATGTCCTTCGCCCACTTTTTGATGGGGTTGTTTGTTTTTTTCTTGTAAATTTGTTTGAGTTCATTGTAGATTCTGGATATTAGCCCTTTGTCAGATGAGTAGGTTGCGAAAATTTTCTCCCATTCTGTAGGTTGCCTGTTCACTCTGATGGTAGTTTCTTTTGCTGTGCAGAAGCTCTTTAGTTTAATTAGATCCCATTTGTCAATTTTGGCTTTTGTTGCCATTGCTTTTGGTGTTTTAGACATGAAGTCCTTACCCATGCCTATGTCCTGAATGGTATTGCCTAGGTTTTCTTCTGGGGTTTTTATGGTTTTAGCTCTAACATTTAAGTCTTTAATCCATCTTGAATTAATTTTTGTATAAGGTGTAAGGAAGGGATCCAGTTTCAGCTTTCTACATATGGCTAGCCAGTTTTCCCAGCACCATTTATTAAATGGGGAATCCTTTCCCCATTTCTTGTTTTTGTCAGATTTGTCAAAGATCAGATGGTTGTAGATGTATGGTATTATTTCTGAGGGCTCTGTTCTGTTCCATTGGTCTATATCTCTGTTTTGGTACCAGTACCAGGCTGTTTTGGTTACTGTAGCCTTGTAGTATAGTTTGAAGTCAGGTAGCGTGATGCCTCCAGTTTTGTTCTTTTGCCTTAGGATTGTCTTGGCAATGCGGGCTGTTTTCTGGTTCCATATGAACTTTAAAGTAGTCTTTTCCAATTCTGTGAAGAAAGTCATTGGTAGCTTGATGGGGATGGCACTGAATCTATAAATTACCTTGGGCAGTATGGACATTTTCATGATATTGATTCTTCCTATCCATGAGCATGGAATGTTCTTCCATTTGTTTGTGTCCTCTTTTATTTCATTGAGCAGTGGTTTGTAGTTCTCCTTGAAGAGGTCCTTCACATCCCTTGTAAGTTGGATTCCTAGGTATTTTATTCTCTTTGAAGCAGTTGTGAATGGGAGTTCACTCATGATTTGTCTCTCTGTTTGTCTGTTATTGGTGTATAAGAATGCTTGTGATTTTTGTATATTGATTTTGTATCCTGAGACTTTGCTGAAGTTGCTTATCAGCTTAAGGAGATTTTGGGCTGAGACGATGGGGTTTTCTAGATATACAATCATGTCATCTGCAAACAGGGACAATTTGACTTCTTCTTTTCCTAATTGAATACCTTTTATTTCCTTCTCTTGCCTCATTGCCCTGGCCAGAACTTCCCACACTATATTGAGTAGGAGTGGTGAGAGAGGGCATCCCTGTCTTGTGCCAGTTTTCAAAGGGAATGCTTCCAGTTTTTGCACATTCAGTATGATATTGGCTGTGGGTTTGTCATAGATAGCTCTTATTATTTTGAGATACGTCCCATCAATACCTAATTTATTGAGAGTTTTTAGCATGAAGGGCTGTTGAATTTTGTCAAAGGCCTTTTCTGCATCTATTGAGATAATCATGTGGTTTTTGTCTTTGGTTCTGTGTATATGCTGGATTACATTTATTGATTTGCGTATATTGAACCAGCCTTGCATCCCAGGGATGAAGCCCACTTGCTCATGGTGGATAAGCTTTTTGATGTGCTGCTGGATTGGGCTTGCCAGTAGTTTATTGAGGATTTTTGCATCAATGTTCTTCAGGGATATTGGTCTAAAATTCTCTTTTTTTGTTGTGTCTCTGCCAGGCTTTGGTATCAGGATGATGCTGGTCTCATAAAATGAGTTAGGGAGGATTCCCTCTTTTTCTATAGATTGAAATAGTTTCAGAAGGAATGGTACCAGCTCCTCTTTGTACCTCTGGTAGAATTCAGCTGTGAATCCGCCCGGTCCTGGACTTTTTTCGGTTGGTATGCTATTAATTATTGCCTCAATTTCAGAGCCTATTATTGGTCTATTCAGAGATTCAACTTCGTCCTGGTTTAGTCTTGGGAGGGTGTATGTGTCCAGGAATTTATCCATTTCTTCTAGATTTTCTAGTTTATTTGCATAGAGGTGTTTGTAGTATTCTCTGATGGTAGTTTGTATTTCTGTGGGATCGGTGGTGATATCCCCTTTATCTTTTTTTATTGTGTCTATTTGATTCTTCTCTCTTTTCCTCTTTCTTAGTCTTGCTAGCAGTCTATCAATTTTGTTGATCTTTTCAAAAAACCAGCTCCTGGATTCATTGATTTTTTGAAGGGTTTTTTGCGTCTCTATCTCCTTCAGTTCTGCTCTGATCTTAGTTATTTCTTGCCTTCTGCTGGCTTTTTAATGTGTTTGCTCTTGCTTCTCTAGTTCTTTTAATTGTGATGTTAGGGTGTCAATTTTAGATCTTTCCTGCTTTCTCTTGTGGGCATTTACTGCTATAAATTTCCCTCTACACACTGCTTTAAATGTGTCCCAGAGATTCTGGTATGTCATGTCTTTGTTCTCGTTGGTTTCAAAGAACGTCTTTATTTCTGCCTTCATTTCGTTATGTACCCAGTAGTCATTCAGGAGCAGGTTGTTCAGTTTCCATGTAGTTGAGTGGTTTTGAGTGAGTGTCTTAATCCTGAGTTCTAGTTTGATTGCACTGTATTCTGAGAGACAGATTGTTCTAATTTCTGTTCTTTTATATTTGCTGAGGAGTGCTTTACTTCCAACTATGTGGTCAATTTTGGAATAAGTGCAGTGTGGTGCTGAAAAGAATGTATATTCTGTTGATTGTGGGTGGAGAGTTCTGTAGACGTCTATTAAGTCCGCTTGGTGAGAGTTTTTATCATAAAGGGATGTTGAATTTTATCAAATACTTTTTCAGCATCTATTGAAATGATCATATGGTTTTTGTTCTTCATTCTATTGATACAATGTATCACATTGGTTAATTTGCATATGTTGAACCATCTTGCATCCCTGGGATAAATCCCACTTGGCCATGATGAATGATCTTTCAGGTTTGTTATTGGATTCAGTTTGCTAGTATTTTGTTAAGGATTTGTGCATGTGTTCATCAGGGATATTGGCCTGGAGTTTTCTTGTTTTGATGTGTCCTTGTCTGGTTTTGGTATCAGAGTAATACTGGCCTCATATAATGATTTTGGAAGTATTCCTTCCGCCTCTGTTTTTCAGAATAGTTTGAGTAAGATTGGTATTGGTTCTTTTTTAAATGTTTGGTAAAAATCAGCAGTGAAGCCATCAAATTCCAAGCTTTTCTTTGCTGGGAGACTTTATTATGACTTTGATTTTGTTACTTATTATTCATTTGTTCAGGTTTTGGAATTTTTTCTGAAAGATAGACTGGTAGGAAAATATCCAAACTGATGTGCAGTATGATAAAAATATGGGAAGAAGTGAAAGAGACATGGGACACAATTTTTAAAAGTCTAGAAAATATGTATTTTGTGTCTCAGAAGGGAGTGAGAGAAAGAATAGGGAAAAGTAATATTTGAGATGATGGCTAATACTTATTCAAAACTAACAAAAGACATTAAACCATGGATTTGAGTAGCACTGCAAACCAAAAGCCGGGTTAATATAAAGAGAAACATACCTAGGTATATAGTAGTAAAACAACTAAAAACTAAAGATAAGGAAAAATCTTAAATATATTGAGTTATATGACTAGAAGTTCATGATGCATTCTTTATATCCTATAAATTGAATGCAATGACAAATATACTCAATAAATATAAAATGGATCTGACTTCCTCTACCTCTTTTTCTTTGCTATGTGATTATGGGGAGAAAAGTTTATAGAAGACCTTAAAATGACTCTTTTTAAATGTATTTTCCACCAGGAGCCTGTTATCATTTAAGTAACAGGAAGCGAATTTACAAGTAGCCTACTTATTTGTGCTACATAGAGTATCTTCTCATAAGTGAATTTAATATCTGTCCTTGTCCCTCCTAAACAAAGTATAACAGAGACTTGGAATGTGTAAATTTAAAATTTATGGATTTTTCCTAAATGTCTCATCTATGACATTTAAAATTTTATATTTGCTAAGGTACAAATTTGATTTGTACAATTATTCTGGTTTATATACAGAAGTCTGTCACTTTATGAGTGAGCCTAGCTAACCACAATCATCTGTTTCGTCTACTTTTATCACTAATTTGCATAGTGTCAGTTTTGTCATTTGTTCCATTAATTAATTTTAGTGAGTTTTCTTGTCCTTCACTGGTAGTATGTTGTGTTTACTAAGATGTCACAAATGTTTATAGATAAGAATAATTTTTAAATATGAACTTAGCTATTATAAAATCAAATAGTTTTTCAGGAAATGTCCAGGTATGTGAATTGTGTATTTGGAGTGATTTTAGATAAGTTAAAGGGCTTCCACATGAACAACTAATATTGTGAAATAATATTAAAGGACATGTAAAGAAAGTAACTTGATTTCTTATAGCCTATTAATTGTTCTATTACATTCCCTCTGGTACCAGTAATTAGATCCTGCCATTAACTAAGGTTAAAAGAGATTAATGCTAGAAATGTACATGATTACTTTTTTTAATCTTCTTTTTCCCCAATTAAAGTTACATGCGCTTCAGAGTAATAAACTGTGGTATTTTCCATTTAGCAGCTTTATATACATATTTAGTTGTGTATATATTCTAATATAGTTTTTAAAATAAAGAAGGGGAAGCTCTCTATATATGTATTTCATTTATTTTGCATAAAATGGCATTAGAGTTTGAAAGCACTGGATATTCCAAAACCTACCCAACAGATTTGTTTAAATAATTGAGTATATTAGATTTTTAATCTTAACAATTTATTTAATATTTCTCTAGCACACTATTTTACTAAATTGATTAGCCTATCAAATATTTAAATATAATGCATACATAATGTTAGCTTTTACTTCTCAATTATATTAATCAGAGTTTTGGATTGTTTGTTTTGTATTTGTTTGGTTGATTGGTTTTTTGTTTGTCCACAATCTTCTGAGCACCCCAAAGCAGTTTCATATTTGCCATACACTTTTATTTTGTTTTGAAAGATGTCTAATTATTTCAACTAGAAATTATTTCAGATAAAATAGTAGAAGAGGTATTATGTTGAGTAGAAACATTCTACCTATATAAGGGAGCAAAAGGTTAATTCTTAACTTTATTTATAGTTATGGGAATATGTTTTGTGCACAACTGGAAGTGTCTTTGGATTTTTCAGTATAGCCTTTAACATAATTTGAACTTGCGCTCATCAGTTTTAAGTCTTTGTAGTTTATGACCTACAACATAAATGTTAAACATTTCATCAGTGGACTATTTAACTAAATCGTAAACATGTTTGGGTATATTTTACTTTTATATAAATACGCAATTTATTAGGGTTGGATTTGATTTCTAGAAATATGAGTTCTAATCAAATGGCTTTATTCAAAAGCCTAATTTTCAAGAAAGAACATGCTATGAGTAAAAAGTAGGGTCCTGGAACTAGCCATAATGCATAATCGTACTATGAAATAATAAAGACAACTTTGGGATAAATTTAAGAAAAAACAATGTTTTATCAAAAGTAACTAATAATATTGATCTTTATATTTGAAAAAATAAAATCACCAAATGATCAAAAAAGAATTTCTGCCTTGGACAGCTGATATATACAAAAGTGTGTTTAATATGCAAAACAGAATCATAGTAATTTATCACCATTTAAGAAGTGGGGACTACTGTAGTTGATATAATATTTGTGCATACAAATTTGTGATTTTATCTTCTTAAACTGTGTCATTTTCATTACTTCCACTGAGTAGTCACCCCTTATTCAAGTTTTGCTTTCTGTGGTTTCAGTTACCCATGGTCAACCGCAGTTCAAAAACAGGCGATTGTAGAACAATAAGATATTTTAATAGAGAGCGAGACCACATTCACATAACCTTATAATAATTATAATTATAATTGCTCTATTTTATTATTATTGTTAATCTCTTACTGTGCCTAATTTATAATTTAAACTTTATCATAGATATGTGTAGGAGAATACATAGTATATATCCGGTTTGATACTATCCTCGGTTGCAGGCATCCACTGGCGATCTTAGAAGATATCCCCCCCGTCGATAAGGGGGATTACTATATAGTATCTTTATTAGCCAGAATTTCCCTAAGCTTAGGTTGTTTGAATCAGCGTGGAAGGATGTTCTTTTTCCACCCAACCCCCCCCAATCCTACCTGTTAAAAATTGATCCTCTTTAGGACTAGGAAGGATTGCTGTTTTTCAGGACCCAGATCAAATTCATTGCATCCACAAAATTTCCATTATTCTTTCTTACTCTACACTCAAGAATCTATAGCTCCTTGTATTATGGAAACCTTGGCACTATATTTTTACTTTACCTTATATTATTTCATGTATTTATCTTATTTTTTTCTCATCTCCACTGTATGTCTATTCTATAAGTTTTTAGGACAGGGATTTTTGTGCCTTGTTTACTTGTATATCATGTAACACAAGGCCATAATAGGTGTTTACTAATATGGCAACTCAAATTGAGTAAGAAAGTTGAACCATCAGCAGTGTAAGACTGATTAAATTTTTGAAGCTAGAGCAAATGAAAACAGGTCATTCTTTTTATTTCAGTTTCTGTGATTGTAATAATTAGAGATTTTTATTGTTACCCTGCTTTCATTTTAAAACAAGGTTTTTCAAACAATCTCACTTGTTTATACCTTTCACATTAGGATTCTTGGTCCAAATTTGTAACATGAGCTTAGTTTTTTTTTTTTTTTTTTTTAACCTCTTGTGACTATGTGCTACTGATCTCTACATTTTGAATAATAGTGCTTACTTATCTGCCAGCAAAGCACCCTGGAATATTCTGCTACAGAATTGTAACATACACCTACAATCATAACATTCAATTTGAATAAAAATATAAAATATCCAATTTAAAATCACACACAGCTAAATTTCTCTGTGGGCCAAAAATGTATTTAGTACCTCCACTTCTGTGAGATTTCACAACTTAATATTTTTGTGTTTTATTTCTTTAATCATTGTCGCATGTACAATATGTATTAGAACTTTGAGGTATAAAAAAAATGCTTAACTAAATTAAAAACTTTTCCTCTCAAGTTCTACATCAAACAGTTCGTTAACTGCAGACGTAAATTCTGGATTTGCCAAACGTGTTCGACAAGATAATTCAAGTGAGAAGCACTTACAAGAAAACAAACCAACAATGGGTATGTCTCAGCTTTTAATTTGATATTTAATGGTATGACTCTGTAACACACATATAGTACTTTACGTTTTTTATTGTGTTTTCATAAGAATCTCCCTTTATTCATCACCTTTACTATGTGGTAGAACAAGTATGATTATCCACATATTATAGATAAGGAAACTTTAAAACACAAAAGCATTTACCCAAGATCACACAGATATTATATTGGTAGAGCCAAAACTCAAGAACCAGATCTTAAAACTCTACTTTCTACACCCTTTTAGTTATCCCTACTGTCTCATAATAATTGAAATAATTGGCTAAATGTATTACTTAATGTTACTAATTAAGTGTATTTTGCAGATAAACTATACCCACTTTAAATTTTTCTCTTAGCGTAATATTTTGAATAATTTGGCCTCTAACTCAATGTGTAACTACTACACAGATTCCAGTCTGTATCTAGTTACAATCATATTGTAACTCCCATTGGCAAGTTGGAAAAGATACTGATGGATCTTTCCCATCAGTATGAAAGATACTACATTCCATCAACCGCATATGGGAGTGACATGAGTTTATGGTAACAAAACCACTTCAGTTAAACTAGTGGTGTATCATGCCAGCCAGTTTTCAGGCCCCAACATCTAGACCTCTGTCTCTGATACTACAGTTCCTAAGACTTCATTCAGAAACTATTTATTCACTAGGCATTTACCATGTCCTGTGATGAATACAGAGAGCAGTAAGACACAGTTTGATTGTTCTCTATAGGAACTGATAATTATAGCAAATGCAATTTAAAGGTGTCTCATGATATAATTTTTCTAAGGATAACATGAAAGCTATTGTTAGTTTTTTTCTGTCGATGCCCTTTGATTAGAGTAATATAAAATTCCTCAGTAACTTTGTCAAACTATATTGGTAAATGCCTGCTTCCTGTAGTAGCCAGTGTTTACCTTAAGTTCAATGGAAATTGAAGCATCAGACAGCAAATTGAAACATCAGACAGTAAGGTAGTAAAGTACAAAATTTACCTTGATCATTTGGTTTGACATGTTGTATTTAATAATGCTTAAAAATGTGTATCTGTAGTTAGTTTAGGTGTGTACTGCCCCACTGATCTTCTTAAAAAGTTCTTCAAGAATCATAATTCTACAGCCAAATAATAAATTTATAAAAACTCTCAAATTGGCCGGGCGCCGTGGCTCACGCCTGTAATCCCAGCACTTTGGGAGGCTGAGGCGGGTGGATCACGAGGTCAGGAGATCGAGACCATCCTGGCTAACATGGTGAAACCCCGTCTCTACCAAAAAAATTTTAAAAAATTAGCCGGGCATGGTGGCAGGCGGCTGTAGTCCCAGCTACTCGGGAAGCTGAGGCAGGAGAATGGCGTGAACCTGGGAGGCGGAGCTTGCAGTGAGCCGAGATCGCACCACTGCACTCCAGCCTGGGCGACTGAGCAAAACTCCGTCTCAAAAAAAAAAAAAACTCAAATCATAGAACTTGGCTTTTTCTAATATGCTTATTATCTGAAGATACAAATTCATCAAATATTTCATGTATAAAGAGATGTGAGTAAAAATATCTACTATGGGGAAAAAAAAGTGGGAGATGATAATAAACCACAATGCTTGCCAAAGAGGTATTAGTTTGTAAGGAAAGATATTTTATATACATTATAATGTTCAAGTGAAAAATGTATTAAACCAGTTTTCTAACTAACAATGTACAAATAAAGAAACATAGGACCATCAGTAGGGAAAAAGGCAACTCCTGTTAACTTAGCAGTTAGAGAAATAACAGAGAGTGTTAAGGGAATATGTCCCTCTAAAACTAAAACCTAATATGGCCAACAAAGTGGATAAGCAATTAAACTAATCCTGAAAAAAGTCAATGGCACCCTGTTGTAACAACACTTTGTTGAGTAGAAAATGACGGTGAAAGCTAATGAAGAACCAGAAGAATGGGCATAAATAGAACATACTTGAGAGGTGGCAGTAAAAGAAAAAAGAGCTATAGGATTAAGATCAGCCCTTTAGGAAGTACTAGATGCAAATGATAATTTTAAAATTGGAAAAATATGGAAGTTTAAATCCCTGGGGAAATATAATCCAAGGAATGAGAAAAAATGGTGATACAACAAAGAAAATGAAGAAATGCTTGTAGAAATGGTCTTTTATTAGTCAGAAAGAAAGAAAATGAACATAGTATTTAATTCAGCGACTTCACCCGATGTCTGTGTATGTGCACGCACTCACTGAAACTTTAGTTTGCAATATGAATTTGAACAGCTTTTAAACCAAAGGTATTAATGTCTCTTTGTTGTTGTTATATTTTAAATTATGTTAACTAACAACTATGAATTTCAAGAGTAAATTTTTCTTTCTATGGTCATAATTTTTATAAGTTGAACGATGAAAACTTTTTGAATGATATTTATGCCATATTTATGCATCTTTTTATTTCTTCTCTAGAACATAAAAGAAACATCTGTAAAATAAATCCAAGCATGGTTAGAAAATTTGGAAGAAATATTTCAAAAGGAAATCTAAGATAAATCACTTCAAAACCAAGCAAAATGAAGTTGATCAAATCTGCTTTTCAAAGTTTATCAATACCCTTTCAAAAATATATTTAAAATCTTTGAAAGAAGACCCATCTTAAAGCTAAGTTTACCCAAGTACTTTCAGCAAGCAGAAAAATGAAACTCTTTGTTTTCTTCTTTTGTGTTCTAAAAAAATAAAATTTCAAAAGAAAAGGTTGTCTTTTAAGTTTTTTAAATATTTGTTGCCTTTTAAAATCCCTGAGTGTAAGTTACCATGGTGGCAGCTTAGTTTTACTATGCCACAACAAGTTGACTAGGACATTTTAGTAAATGGTAGTGAGTTAAATTATCTTTATTATTTTTTAAAAATAAGAATTTAGAAGTGGTAAAATTATGGCCCAAGATGTATTTGGTTCTCTATTATGTTTTGATACATTATTTTAATCATATATATGACTTTCCTTTTCAAAAATACTTTAATGTACAAGTGTAAATATATGTGCCCATAAAATCATTGTAAATATTATTTAGTCATCACAAATAAAATATTGTCCCTTGCTACTTGATATATTAAAGATGTAGATTTTAAAGTGTTTCATTTTCTTGTCTCATTACTACCCCTTTCATACTCTAAACCAGTGGTCCCCAACCTTTTTGGCACCAGGGACTGGTTTTGTGAAAGACAAAACCTCAGACTGAGAGTAGGGGGTGGTTTCAGGATGATTCAAACACATTACATTTATTGTGCATTTTATTTCTATTATTATTACATTATATATTACATATATAATTAAATAATTATATAACTCACCATAATGTAGAATCATTGGGAGCCCTGAGCTTGTTTTCTTGCAGCTAGACGGTCCCATCTTGGGGTAATAGGAGACAGTCACAGATCATCAGGCATTACGTTCTCATAGGGAGTGTACAACTTAGATCCCTCACATGCACAGTTCACAATAGGGGTCACACTCCTATGAGAATCTAATGCCACTGCTGATCTGATACGTGGCAGAGCTCAGGTGGTAATGCCAGCAATGGGAGCGGCCACCTACCACTCGCTTCCTGCTCTGCAGCCTGGTTCCTAACAGACCACGGTTGGGAACCCCTGTTCTAAACTATTATTTTATAGAAAATGTGAATTTTGTAGATTTGTATTTCAGGTAAGATCAAGATATGTGGCGCCAGAGCCAAGTCTGAAAATAATCCACAGGCCTCGTAATGATAATGGGAAAAGATGTTTCAATCATTCTTGCTGCTATAGGAAGTACATGGAGCTGCAACTTAATTATACACTGTTTACTTGCCTTGCCTGTCCTGTTTGTTTGCTGAATGTAACATATTTGGCCAAATGCACTTTTAATTTTATGCAGCACAGGACCCTTCACACCAAAGCAAGCAAGCTGAAATATTTTAAGCCTTTCAGCTAATCAAGTTTATCCACTTAAAATCTGGCTGGGAGAGTGTGAGAATAATCTTTGAGGTCCCTTTCAGCTCTGACACTGGTGATTCCATATTTATAGAGCATATTCAGGATGTGTCATACAGAAAACCACCATAAACACATTTTTTTTTGGTCCCTTCGACATTTGGTTTTTGGTTGTGTTGCCTGTTTAACAATCACTTTCACCTCTCTATTCCTTTCAATTTTAGGTAAAAGAAACCTTTTTACCAGATAGTGACGAGTGGCTACCATGATTAATAAGTGACTAGACCTCATGGTCCTCCTCATACTAAAAGGTATGAGCACGATTTTCTTATATACCATTTTTATCAGGTAGAGATTTGGACTTCTATAAAAATTAATAAAAGGGACTTTTGTCATATAACTATATTAAGGGGAAGTTGGGGTAATAAACCATAATGAATGGGAAAAGACAGCTATTAACTATGTGAATTTAAACTAAAACAAGAATGCTATTTGATAAGTCACTGTGAAAACATTTTTAAGTGAGCCTTATGTAAAAAGTAGATCACTCATAAGTGAATATGTAACAGTGAATTTTCAAAGTGAACATGCCCACATAACCAGCACTCAAATGATGAAATAGAAAATTATCTGTACCTCGGAAGACTCTCTTACACCTTCTCCCAGTCATCACCTCCCTCAGTGGTAACAGCTATCCTAACTTCTAACACCACAGTTTAATTTTTAATTCTTTCTTAAAAAATTAATATATGTACTTTTAATTGGCACATAATAATTGTACATATATGGGGTACAATGTGATATGTTGATATATGTATACAATGTGTAATGATCAAGTCAGGATTTTAGCATATCCATCACCTCAAACCTTTATCTTTGTGTTGGTAACATCATAGATCTATTTTAACTAAAATAACTAATTTTTATTTTTAAAAAAAGTGTTGTTCTAAAAAATGATACAGAACAGTACGAAGTAAATGTGCTTCCTCCTCACTGCCTACTAATATCATTCCCACGTGTAACCACTGTTAATATTAGGTTGGTGCAAAAGTAATTGCGGTTTTTGCCATTACTTTCAATGGCAAAAACCGCAATTGCTTTTGCACCAACCTAATAGTTTAGGTACCATGACTAGACATTTACTTTTGTTTTTTATATATATATATAAAACAAATAATATACTTATTATATATATTTATATAAAACAAATAATATATTTATTATATATTTATATAAAACAAATAATATATATATTTATATATAACAAATATATATATTTATATATAAAACAATATATTTATTATATATATTTCAATATACCTATATTCTTGGATTTTTTTATGAAAATAGGATCATACTTGTTATATTGTTTTGCACTTTTCATTTTTATTCACATTTAAAACCATCATGGACATATTTGTAAAATTTTTAAGTGTGAATTTCATAATACTGCTATGATAATTTTTATATAGTAAATATATCGAGAGAAACGTAGATAATGGTCTCTTTTGAGCTACACTGTTCAGCATTTCTGAGAATACTTTGGAGTAGTCACTGTTATTTCTACATTATGATGTGTTAAGCATGTTCCACAGAACACACCAAGTGTCATAAACGACAGCACTGCTATAACATGGCATATGTGTTCATAAAACACAAAATGCTGTGCAAAGTTGTGCAATGAAACCACAAGGTTTATGGGAAAAATGGGGTTAGTAGCACAACACTCAAAAGGTTAGTCACTGACACATTAAAAGAAAGATAGGAACCTAATAAAAACAGTGGCCTAATTTTACACGTTAACTGGTTAAGAAATGTATGAGTACTATGACAAATATGGCACTTTGCCTTGAGAAGGAAAGTTTGCTTGGAAGTTGATGTGGAAGGATTGTAGCTTGTGAGTTACTAGGAAATGATGGAAGGAGGGTGATCTGAATTCAGACAGGAATTTATAATGCCAGATGTGGATGGCTGTGGCCCACTGTCATGAGGTATATTCATTTTGAATATTCTGATGTAGCTTGATACCACTGAGTGGAGCTTTCTGTTCACCTAATGTTTCATCCAGATGAAAGCTTGTGTATCCAGGTACAAAACTCACATTAGGCCCAAATGGTTCCCTAATGTACCAATGCCATAGGAGCAAATCTGTACTTTCAAAATAGTTACAGCAGAACTGACTATATATATATATATATAGTATATATATTTATACACACACATATATACAGCAAAACTGTACATTTATATGTGTACATGTATACATATACAAAACTACATTTATATGTATACGTGTATACATATACAAGCATCTACTACAGAAAACATGCTATATACATATACATGCTGTATATATATATATAGCAGAACTGACTATACATATATACACGTGCATATGTATATATAATTGTTAAACCGAAGAGGGATTCATATTTATAACAACTGCATTTTGTTTTATATTATGCTTTGACTCATATTTAAATAACTTGGAAATATCTACAGTAACTGCTCAACAAGAGCTTTGATGTTAATGAAGTTGCAAATTCTGGAATCAGATAGGATAATCTGACCTTACTCTGAGAACAACTTCCAACCACAAGCCTTATAAAGTGTCCCTTTATTTGTAAAGGGGCCCTCAGTCCACATTTGTTAATGAACACGTAATAATAGTCATACTTTTTTGAGCTCTTATCATATGATAAATGTTTTAAATGCATTTTTCACTTATTCCTCAAACAAGCTTTTAAAGTAGATGTTACATTTCATGTTGAACATGATAAATATGTATAAGTTTTATTTATCAATTAAGTACATTTTTTAAAAAAGTAAATGTTACAGATCTACAACTTCTTATTCAATTCCAAAACTCCACAGATTTTGAAAATCAGGTTTTGTATAATTTTTGTCTGTAAAACCTGACTTCTGCTAATATGAGTCTATTAATTGTATTTACCCTACTTAGTATAAACATTCAGAGGCTTTGCTGCAGAAATGTTAACATTCAGTTATAGAGTATTAGCCCAGACCCCACCAGGGTGAGGGTGTTATGTATAAATACAGTATATGCACTGTATTGCATTTCTAAAACAAAAAGAAAATACTGAATTATAAAACAACTACCCATGAGGATTTCAGATGATGATGTCTAGATAACATATTTAGTTTTCTAATTGAAAAAGGAGAAGATGCTTGGAAAATTAAGTAATTTGCCAAAAATTCCACAGCTGTACAGTAGCAGAATTGGGATTTTTGAACTAAAGTTGATATAAAATACCTCTATCTACAGTGTGGCTAACACTGCATATGGATGGCTATACAAAAAGCATCTCTCCTACACAAAACAAATTTGAGTCACCTGTTCACTTGTGACTGGTAATTAGCTTTAATTTGTGGGTGAAGTTCAGTAAATTATATCCAGATTTGGGATTGATTCAGTGCATTTTATAATTATAAACAAATTATATCTAACTCACCTTGTTTATATTAAAAACAAAAATGGGCTGGGCACAATGGCTCACACCTGTAATCCCAGCACTTTGGGAGGCCAAAGCAGATGGATCACTTTAGGTCAGGAGTTCAAGACCAGCCTGGCCAACATGGTGAAACCTCGTCTCTACTAAAAATATAAAAATTAGCCAGGCATGGTGGCAGGCACCTGTAATCCCAGCTACTTGGGAGGCTAAGGCAGGAGAATCGCTTGTACCTAGGAGGCGGAGGTTGCAGTGAGCGGAGATTGAGCCACTGTACTCCAGCCTGGGCAACAGAGCGAGATTCCATCTCAGAAAATAAAAAAAAATTAAACAAAAATAAAGTATTGTGATTTGTACATGTGGAAAAGTCATTAGTATCACTGAAGGCATTCACAAATCCTATGGACTGATTTTTCAAGGATGTTGTTTCTTTACAATCAAAATTTCACACATATATTGCTTTTTGCGTATTCACAACTTACTCATAAGTTGTTAACCACTCAAGGTAAGATATGTTACAAAATCACTCGTTTACATCCTCAATTTTTTTGTGTTAAGACTCCATATTCAAAGTCTAAAGGCACAACTGGGACATTAAGACAAAATATAAACATACGTTTCAGGAATTAGTACAGGGCAATTGTTTTTGAAATGTATATGCAGAGCACTAAGCTTGTCGCCTCCTATGACTTCCCCCAAAGAGTAGTAATTGATAGATAGTCCATACTTATCTGAATGAACATCATCTTGACAAATCACTCAATCCTTGCAAATGGCAAATTCTACATAACAGCCACTATGGGGATTAGTCCCTCAAGTTAAGACCTTTTGGGGAAGTTTAGTTCTGAAGTATTTCTGTCATTTATATGTACATACAGATGCTCCTCAGGTTATGTCCTGATAAACACATAATAAGCTGAAAATCTTGTGAGTCAAAAATGCATTTAATGTATCTAACTTACCAAACATAGCTTAACCCAGCCTACCTTAAATATGCTCAGAATACTTATATTAGCCTACAGTTGAGCAAAATCATCTGACACAAAGGCTATTTTATAAGAAAGTACTGAATATCTCATGTAATGTATTTAACACTGTACTAAAAGTGAAAAACAGAATAGTTGTACGGTTTCTCTCACAATGCTGGGCAGCAGCAGCAAGCCGTAGCTCCCAGTCAGCCACACAGTTCAACTTAATGAGACTTTGAATTTACGATGGGTTTATCAGGACATAACCCCATTAAAAGTAGAGGAATATCTGTATGTGTGTGCCCAAGTGAGATATAAGACAATTTTTTTCAGAAGTCATAATTTAAATATATATATATGCATTCTTATACTTTTAACTAGATGGAAGGTGAAAGGTACCTGTATAATTAAGAAGAGTAGAGACATGAGAGGAAAATAGTTCTATGATCAGGACCTTGGACACAAATACTGTGTCTTCAGCCTTATTTCTCATCCCTGCAGAATAATCTTCCCCTCTGCAAGCCACTTCTCAAATATGAAATGCTGAAAATCCTTTCTAATATCAACACCCTTGGCACACATCCCTTTCCCATTATCTCCTTCAGTGTGGTTATTTCAGAATCATTGTAAGTCTTTTTAAAAATTTTTAACCCCTCCTGTTCTTCCCAATAACAATTGTTAATGTAGATTCTTAACTTCTACCACAGTTCTTAATCAATACAAAATGCTACTTCAAAATGTTTTTTCCCAAGTGCTCTGTTCCCCTGAATTCTTCATATCAAGTTAAAAATATTAATCTACCCAAATTAAGTCTGAAAGATCAAACTATTTTATTAGTCTTCAGTTAGCTCTGCTCCTACACTTTGAAGAGAATCTTCTCACTCAATGTACATCCCTGGCAACCAACAACCTCTTTACCATCTTGTGCTACAGAGTATTACCTAAAATGACCCCAACTCAGTAAAATGTCCCCATCTACCACTGAGCTTAATAATCACCACAGTGGGCTTTGGGCCTATATAAAGGTATTTTCTAAGTTTGAATGCATACGTGGGTATTTTTAATTATTAGATCAATGTTAGAGAGCCTGTACTTTTTTTCTAAAACTTTAACCTGTTTCAACTACTAATTATTTTACATATAAAACCTTAGTTTTCTATATAATTTAAAGAGTATGGTGAATTTCTGATTTTTTGTTAACATCTTCACTTACAATGCAATGTTGAGATTCATTTTGCCACTCATCCTGGAACTATGTTTCTTTTAGGCTTTTGGTTAATTACTAAATTTTGTTCAGTCTTTCTAGCCTTTTCTTTCCAAAAGTAAGTAACATTTAAACCTGTAAACATTATTTGTTATAGTAATATTTAAATGTTTTACAAGTTAAAGTATCAAGTATTTGTTCATATCTACACTTTGATATTTGAGTGGTATAGTAGACATCTGCTATTTTGCCAGGTCCACTTAACCTGAATTTGATTAAAACATCTCACTTCTTTGGGAAACCACTCCTTTCCTCAGTGAGGTCCCAGTGGAGCTATCTCTGTGTGCGCACACACATGTAGACACACACTCCACTCACGCACATGTAAACACACCTGTTTTTCCCCAGCACATTAAGGCCCATCAGTGTAATAATCATCAAAGGTCTTCCTGACAACAGTGATTGGTTCCAAGAGGACTGATCCACTAAGATTGTAAGAGACTTTTTGTCCCAGGTTACAAGGTATAAGAATCATGTAAGCCTTAATCTCTGGCGTCTTCCGCAGCTTCATGGAGAAAGCTGTCTACAGAATTAAGTCAACACAGAAAAGTGAGCAGAACCTAGAAAAGGAAAAAGAGAAAAAGCTCCAGATGACATTGTGTGAGCTCCTGAATCCAGGTTTGCGTGAGGCTACCTAGATTCAACCCCTGCACTGCCAAATTCCATAAACCAAGTAATTCCCTTTTTCACTTGAGCCAAATTTTTAACTCTATGCTAAGATAATTATAGATTCAAACAAAGTTGCAAAAATAGTACAGAGATGTCCTGTGCACGCTTTACCTAGTTTTTCCCAATTGTTCTTAAGTAACTGTAGTATAATATCAAATCCAGGAAATTGACATTAGTGCAATACGTGTGAATCATTCTATGCCATTTCATTATGTGTGTATATTCATGTAACCACCACCAAAAGTGAGACGCAGAATTATTCCATCACCACAAACTTCTCCTTCCTATCCATTCTTGCCTTTGGCAATCACTAATCTGTTCTCCATCTCTATAATGTTGTCATTTTGAGAATGTTATATAAATGGAATAATATAGTATATGACCCTTTGAGATTGGCTTTATTTTTCAATCACCTTAATGTCCTTTAGATTCATCCAAGTTGATGCATATATCAGTAGTTCATTCCATTTTATTGCTTAACAATATTCTATGGTGCGAATGTACCACAATTTGCTTAACCATTTACCTACTCTAGGACATTTTGATTGTTTCCATTTTGGGGCTATTACAAATTAAATTGCTATAAACATTCATGTACAAGTCTTGTGTTTTGAGCCACTTTTATTTTCTGTCCATTGCAACCAAAAGTTTTAAATAATTCAAGCAGAAAAATGACAAAGCAGTGTAAGGAATAAAAATTTTCTTCATCTTTATATATTCTTTCATTTACCCATGAAATAGAAAGTAACATTTCCTCTCTTTCTCTGAGAAGAAATAGAGAATCTTCTTTCTTTACTTTCTTATTCACTCTTCCCAAAAAGAAATGATTTGTATAATCTGGGATTGTAAAATACCATCATCCATCGTTCCACATTCCTCTATTGGGTTGAGTTAAAGTATAGAGCATTACTACTCTATTTCATGTGTAGCCAACCCTCTTGCTCCATTTTCTCAAATCTCTTTTTGCCTTCTCGTGGCCTTTGTTCTCCCAGTTTTTACTTCCATACAGTAAATAGCCACGGTAGGTACACAAGCCAAGAGCCCCACTGTCCTTCTCTTAGCATTTCCATTTTTGCTCATTTGTGTTCAAAGCACATTGGTTAGGTCATGTTTCTTCATGGGGCTGGCTTGATAAGAACCAAGATCTAAACTTGGGGAAGAAGTAGCAGAAAACCCTTTATTTTGTTAGTACGCCCATCCCAGATCTTATTTATGTCTATTTCTCAGTTGGTTTTGAATCCAGAAAAGAGATGTGAGAGATTCGTTTTTCCCAAAACTCCCAACATAAAACGCTTATATATACTATATGACCTTTCAAAGATATGCCACATTTAAATTTTTTTATTTGTATAAATTTAAGGGGCACAACTATAGTTTTGTTACATAAACATATTGTGCAATAGTAATGTCTGGGCTTTTAGCGTAACCATCACCCAAATAATGTACACTGTGCCCATTAAGTAATTTTTCACCCCTCATTCCTCTCCCCCATTCCACCCTCTGAGTCTTCATTATTTATCCTTTCTCACTCTATACCCATGTGTACACGTTATTTAGCTCCCACTTATAAGGAAGAACTTGCAGTATTTGACTTCCTGTTTCTGAGTTGTTTCACTTAAGATAATGGCCTACAGTTTTATCCATGTTGCTACAAAAGACATAATTTCATTATTTTTTATGGCTTTTGTAAGAATTTTATTATTTTATGGCTTTTTGTATTTCATTGTTTATGGAATGTGTAAAGGACAAGGACTTACAATATATATGTATACACAATAGAGTACAAAAAGTAAATATATATATATAAATGTGATATACATATATCACATTATTTATATATTATATATCAGGGTGATGATGGCTTGAAGTCTAATCTGTTCATATTCACTCCCTCGCCTGCCCCTCCTCCTTGATAGATATAGATATAGATAGGTATATCTCAAAATTAGAACATTATTTTCTGAGTTTCTCAATTAAATTATTTCCTATGCACAGATGATCCATAACTACATTATTCAATTCCACTGACTCCTTCAACTAAGTACCTGTCCTCAAGTTTTCATCCTAGCCCAAACTATCTTTATTATAGCAATTAATGCTACCATATTTTTACATTTTTACACTACTATAACATACATTTTTTACATTACTGTTTTTTACTCATGTATCTTATAAAAATCTACCAATTTTCCCTTATAACCAATCTTCCCTCCTTTCCTAATAAGCTTTTTTTTTATTTAATTGAAAAAAAAGCCAAAAATTGGTATCAGTAAGGCTTGCATTTCCCTGCCTGGCCATCATTGGCACATGAGCAGCAAAGCCAGGAGGAAAGGGAAGGTATCAAAAAGAGATATACATGGTAGGAAAAGATAGGCCATCTATTGGTAATTACAGCAACACAAGCCTATGTATCTTGGCCATCCTTCACATGGACTTTTTAAATATCAGTGTTTAACTCCACTAAATACATGTATTGGCCATTAATTTGATAAAGGCCCCCTTATACTTGCCCTCTGGAGAATAAATCATTCAAGCAATTTGGTGCTTACACTGCTAAAGGCTAAAAGTCCATGATCCTAAATATTGCTTTCAAAGCCTATAATGAGAGAGTCTTCCCTTTTGGTTATCTTGTCTGTTTTAAAGCAGTGAACAATCCTAATTGGCTCTTTGTAGTACCCAGCCAGCCAAACATACTCCCTTAAATGCTTCAAGTACTTTGATGATCTTGAAGAAATGTTCCATTGCTGTCTTTCCTTTCATGTGAAGATTTAAAGGACAAGCCTTGAGAACTAATTGAACTAAATAAACTGTACAGGTGAACTTTAGCACTTCTTGGTAACTAACACAATACGTTTTGACTCCTATAATAATTATTTTTCTGTAGAGGCTGCTTCCTCATGCTTATAAGTTTAATTTGGCAGGCAATATTATATAAAGAAATTTGATTTTATTTAGTAATCTTCATATCTCCCTTCAGATCGACTCATTCTGCCTCCCAAAAAAAAGAAATTGTGGATAAAAATTCATGATATTTAACATCTTTTGTAGATATTGGGTAGGTTTCATCATCTTTTTCCCACTATTGGAAGTTAATTTTTAACCAAGGAGGGTGGGAAGTGATGGCTGTCAGAATTAGTTGGAACTCTTTTCAAAATTCTCCATCTGTCTGTAATTTAGCATCATTGCTCATAGACCCAAGATGATATAGTCGATTGCAAAGAAATGACATTTCCAGATGAAATCCATTTATAAAAGTAAACTAATCCCCTGTCATGACCTTAATGACCATTAGAGGGTCCCTTAGCAACCAAAAATAAGCTGTGAGGAAGAGATGAATGCATTTATTCATTCATTTCACATGTGCCAGATATTAAAATTTTCTAGTTTCTTCCTTCAATTCATTTAATGCTCATTTTTTGCACACCCAAAAGGACTTGATATTTAATTCTTTTATAAACTGTAAACATATCACAGTGGTATTTGGATATCTTACAGACTTTGTCTGTAAACAGAACTTGCTTCATGGCATATTCCAGATACTAGCGGGTACAAAATTTTATATACTTAACAAGTTCTTCAATTGAATGCCAATAATTTGTAACATTCGGATAGGAAAAGCACATTTAATACAATGAATGTTATTTATGTTTAGTCTTAGTGGCCATAATAAGGGCTATCTGTAAAAGACATTTGCAAGATAAATTCTGAATTATAGGAAGCATCTTGAAACATATCTACACCTAAAACACATATTTAAATGAAAATTAAATATTCTACATCCTATCATATTAACTAATGCCAGATGGAATGTAACATAATATTGCACAACTTAGCATGACTCAGCAATGTTAGTGGCTTGGATTTAAAATATTTTTCAATTGTAAGTGGCATTAGAAAGAAAAGTGTTAGGTTGGGGAAAGAGAGAAAACCTGTTCCTGAATAATTAAGTCTTCAGACTATTACAATGCTGAAGCCAGTTGCTGCTTTAGTTACCCATCTGTAGCAAAATGGACCTTTTATATGAAAACATGTCTATTTTTGAAAGGGTCAATTAGCCTCTCCACAGTTGTACATTAAGAAATATTCATAATGGTAAAAATTTCAAATGAAATCATTGATGCAAAGATGAAACTACCTGTACCTTAGAAGAAAACAAAAAGCTGAGTAGGAAAACACCCATTGTAAATATTCATGAGACAATCACAGACTTTGAAAACTTATATTTTGTATTATAAAATTAACTCACATACAAAGAGTTTGGAAATGTCATCTATGTTTATTTTACTTAACTAAAATCAGAACCAATAGTCCAATAGGTTTATATAACCATAAATGTTGGGCAGAAACCATTGACTTATTTATAGGTAAGCTTGCATTTCTTGAGAGTGAACCTATCTCTACTTAGGATGTGAAAAACCATAAAGAAAGTATTTCCCTTATAAAGAATAAACAAGCAATGTCATATTCCATTGCATTTTTGTTGTGTGATGTTCATGGCAACAAGACTAATAGGGTCTATGAAATCCAGGATCACGTTGCATTTGTTTACCCTTATACGCCAGCACCTAACACAGTACCTGGTCCTATATTTGCCTGTGTTCAAGAAATGCAATGGGAGACCCTAATATGGTTCACATGGCATTTGCCAGAGAGAAGCAAATTGCTTAATCTAGGGGAAAACAACTCGAATGCTGTACAAATAGCATGGTGAATTTATCTTGTTTCCACAGTAATTTTAAAAGTGACTTATTTCTTATAATTATCTTTTAAAATATGTTCTAACTCCTCCAGATTGGCCTAGGTCATATGTTCTATATCTCTCAGGTAGGGAGTGAGTCATATAATTTGAGAGGTATATGCTATTTCCCCTTCGTGTGGGTAGAGGGATATGCGTTTCTACCATTCTTGGCAAGGCTGTCATTGTAGGCCTAAACATTGAGTTGTTTTGTTTTGTTTTAAATTATAACTTTTGTCAAAATTTTTAAAAATCACATCTTAACATATTGGACTTTAATGTAATGTCAACATTATGAAATAATCACCTGGAGTTATAACTGTAATTGTTTAGATAGTATTTTTAGCTAAAAGTAAAGAATTTCTTTCCTTTGCTAAATTAAAACTCACGTAACACATCCAGTAGACAGCTTTTATTAGTCCTGTGTAAATTTACCCTGTCAATATATTTAAAAGTTTAGGTTTTGTAGTAAGCCCATAAAAGAAAGAAAAAATAATCATACTTTATATGTAAATTAAAGGTTTTATTAATATTTTTATGAATGAGAATTGCATGGAATTACTATTAGCTCTAATTGGCCTGAATAATCTCAATTAGAATAGAGGAATTGGGTGTTCTGGTCATTTTAATTGGGATTTAACAGTTTTAAAGAAGTTTTTTTATTTAAAGCCTTTTTGATTTTGGCCCTTTAAAGGAAACTCTATTTTCTCCTCTCCAAGGAGAACTCCTTGTTTATCTCTATTCTAAATACTCAACACTTCACTACATTCTCAAAACTTCACTCTGACACCATATGTGTGGATGTTTTGCTCTTACTAACCAATTCTCCAACTCTCTGGGCACCAACTGAGTATCCTGCAATTCAGTTATCACATTGACTACCTGAGGTTAGTGCACATCCCACGGGTTAAGGGCTTAGTCCCACAAGACTACTTCCCACTTCATATACCAATTGCAAGTAAAGGTCCCCAGGTTACCCATACATCTGTCCAACGTGGCTACAAATTGAGGTTCCCAAGACCCCTCTTTGGGTTTGGTACTTTGCTATCAAGACTTATAGGACTCAGAGAAACACTTTAATTATGTTTACATCTTCAATCTAAATAACTAACAAAAGATCTCTAAAGGAAAATTATACACATTCAGAAACAGCATTGCAATGGGAGTATGTGTGCTATAATAAACTATGTATATATTCAAGGAGGTAGATGAAGACAAAGTTTAAAAACAATTGAAGAGAATTGTATGATTGTTTTGAGATAATTATCCTTGACTACAAGGAGCAATAAGAAGGGTGATGCTAGTCAGAAATTAGATATGCAGTTGTTGGGCAAATGTCCTCACTGAAGTATTAAAAAATAGATTTTGATGGCCTTTGTGCAAGTTTGCAGTTTTGGCAGTATTTGGTGATAGTTTGGTTATCAAGCATTTATGCATAAAAACCCTTACTTTATAACCTTCCTGGCTCTATTTGTCAGGATTTTTTTTTTAACACAAGTGATTCCATTTTGATCTGACAATGTTCACATTTCCGTCTTTTGATCAGTATCGTTCTTCAAAAGCATCACTGATCAATCATCTGTAGTTAGGTTTTTATTGTCCCCTGGGGCCAGGATGGACCTATCGCAGTTTGTTAGTCTAGTCCCACATCGGAGGGAGTGATTGATAGCTTGGATTTAGTTTCAAAACCCTTTTAGCCACATTTGAGCAATATGAAAGTTTTGAAGGGAGTAGTCCTGAGGCTAAGTCTACCTAGAGTCCATTAATAAGTTCAATTTTATCTGTTTCATTGTCTTTTGCTATCAATTTCAAAGTGCTGGCCCAGCATTATTTTGTTAAGGGTTGTACTTCTGCAGAAATTTAACTAGTAACAAATATAAAGTCTAAAAAGGGAAAATACAAAGTAAAATTAACAGTAATATGTCAATCTCAGTTTGCATAATGTTTTTGAGCCAAAAACCTCTGCTTAAAGGCAACCAATTGAACAAATCAAACGCCTGTTACCCTGCCAAGTAGAAAAGGTAGACATTGAGAAGGGTAAGAGTTTTATTACAATATATAGTCTTGTTTTAGTGTCTTGGAAAAAGTTGTCTACAGCATGAAAACATCAATTTCTCATCCTGACTTGTAGTTTAAATATCTATGGTATGACATCAGACAGTTTGGTGAACTTTTTATGTGGCCCATACATCAGACACAACACTTGTTCCTTAAAATTCATCTAGTATTAGCTTGCAGGGCTTTACGAACAGAGCAGTTTCCATTTTGAGTAACTTCATGAAAAAAGTGTTATTGGAGGAATATAGAAGGATTAAGGATCTAGTCTCGTTTATATGCAGATAAAAACACTTGAAAACAATATATAGAGTTGCAGTCTAATAACAGGTGTATTATAGCTTTTCTTTAAAAACATAACTTTTTCTCTATATATAGATCACATAGGAATCTCAGATTTTAAAACTTTTTGAGGTTAGGAAGCCAAACTAAGGCAGATTTTAAATTTTAGCTACATTCTTAAAGTTCCTGAGCCTACACAGAAGTGACAATTTTTTTTTACTCACTGTAAGGCTGGGAACCCTTGAAGCCAGGTATTCTATACACATACTCAAATATAATATTTTATGCAAAGCCTTGGTAATATAACCAGTTGTATCCTACCATAAAGAGAGAGCAGATTATTATTAGACATACAAATAACCATATTGACCTAGGAATACACAGGAGTAGTTTTCAAATTTTAGAGTAATCAAGTAGGCATATAAATCAAATGTTTCTATCTTTATTTTAAAAAGTATACTTTTCATAATATGAGAAACAAAGTGTTTAAGTAAAGACCAATAATGTTTCAATTAAATGACATAAAACATTATCAGTTATTCACTCTCATGTAATTATTTTTTATTCTGCTTGAGCATGATTAGAAGTTTTATGAACCCATCAGTTTCTTCATTAGAGTTTTGAAAAAACTTAATTTAGTCCACTGATCTTAAAGTTAGTAGAAAACTGTATTTTAGAATACTTTTCAGAGTCTCTTCCGGGAATTTGATTGTGAATGCCTTTAGAGAAGAATTTAAAGCAATAACTATAGATGACAAAAATTTAGGATAGCCATGGTTGAAAATCTGATGTAAATTCATTATAATCAGTAATTGACCAAAAAAATTATTTTTTTGTGGCATAAAACATCATATCCAGAATAAGACTGATGACATAGTTGATTACTGAAAGTTTTATATAATTTTAGGACATACCCATAAATGTAACTGAAAAAAGATTCAGCATCACTTACCATTTGACAATGCTTCCCATACAATTTACCAAATAAGCCTAATAATTTAATATGTCTACAAGATGAGAGATATATTATTTGATGCTCTACAGGAGCCCAAGTGGATAATCTCAAAGTTAATCCTTGGTCAAAAATACTTAATTTAGAATGTTTATCCTGGGGAAGGCTGTCAAAGACATCAAAACATTCAAAATGTTTGACTAAAGTGAGAGTACATGTCACTATGAAATAATAGTCATTAATTTAACCAGAATAATAATTGAAAGACTTCAAAAGCAGTACAGAAAGGTACATGGATGTAGAAACCTTGAGCCTTTCAAAGTTCACTATTTCTAAGTAATCAAAAACCTAATAGATATAACTCAGGAAATTATCCTGATAAAACGTAAGTTATTTTTTAGTCCAGTTACCAAGAAAAGTTAAAAAGAAAAAAAAAACTTTTATGTGATTGCTCCTTCTTTTGGGAAGCCTATTTAGATAAACCAGAAGTCAAAACTGATGAAAAAGATACTTGAATTTAATCAGACACAGGAAGAGTGTGTCCAAGGTTACGAGTGCTAATTATAGTCAACTTGGTCCCACACAAAATCCATTTTATCCACAGTATCCTTCATGAACCTTATTATGACTTGCTCAAACCTTTGACAACATGTTTAGACTCTGTTTGTCCTGTCTTCCTCTTTCTTAAATAATCAGTCATTTACTTAAGGACAAAAATTTATCACACAAGATTCTTTCTCATTCAAAATTATTTCTTTTTTTAACCTTCCTTACCAAAAATACATTTTCATGCCTATAACTTTCTTCACATATTTTTCTCCTATTTTTTCCTTTCAACCTTTATTTATTTCCTTCATAAATCTATATTTTTAAACAACCTTTAGATAACCTCTGAATTAGATGAAATTATTTTTTCTCAATGAAGACTACATTTTTATGCCTTTCTTATAATTTTTCTGTCAGTAAAAATATCTCATTTTTGGTGCTCTTTATATACAGAATTATATATATAATAATTAGTTATAACTCTCAGTAACCTTAATTTTTAGCAAGCAATTTTGAACTGTCACATATCAGTATCTGATAGATGAAAACCATTTTACACGTTTTAGAAATCTGTTTCCTCATAACATAATTGTTATATGTATAAATACACCAAATAATATGATATATTTAGTTTTTTTATAAAATTTTAAGAAGTAAAGAACAAACATGTTATTATCAGTAATATATTTTAGTTTTTATCTTATTTGGAAATTACCCAGATATTTAATCTATCACTTAATAAAACATAACATAATTTAAGATTTTAAACTACATGAAAAGTTTATTTATAAATATTTACTGCATTTACATTTACCTACTTTATTTTTAAGTATTATAACTAGATTACTTATGAAACCTAAGATATTAGACAAAGTCAACATTTCAAGTTATTTTCCTCTTAACCATTTTTATACCCTGTGAATATCAGGTGTTCACCTAAGTAAAAAATATATGGATATTTTCTGGTAACTCAGAAGATATACCTGTTCTTGTTAAAAACCAACAATATTACATTAGCCTTAGTCATCAAATAATTATACAATCAAAGATCATTTAGTGTTAGACTAAATTTATAGTTTTATAACCTTTGTATCAAACCTTGACACCTAAAAAGAGACAAATATATAATTGTCTGATGAGTAAACCCAGGCAAAAATGTATGCTATTTTGAAGACATTTATTTTTATTTTACCAACAATATAAAAACCAGCTTTTTAAAGATTTACTCAAGTCATGTGAACAAAAAGCCATTTGGGTTGATGACTGTATAGTTTATATAAGCACTAATGCATGTAAGCCAATCTGAATAGAATTTCTTAAGGGATTTCTGGTTGACTATAACAGTTTTCACCATGCAGTCATGACATACAGCTTAATACATGTACATGTGCATAAATATACCTAAACACATGTACACACCCAAAAATAGTATTGCTTTTATTTAGAATATTAGTCTTGACACAGTAAAACATACTAACTCACCTGTTTGTAAAAGACATTTAGATACAAATTATATTTCTGTTAACATTCAATTTTCAAGCTGCTGATAAAGACATACACAAGACTGGGAAGAAAAAGAGGTTTAATGGACTCTCAGTTCCACTTGGCTGAAAAGGAAGGCAAGGAGGAGCAAGTCATGTCTTACATGGATGGTGGCAGGCAAAAGGAGAGCTTGTGCAGGAAAACTCCCCCTATATAACCATCAGATCTCATGAGACTTATTCACTATCATGAGAACAGCATGGAAAGGACACACCCCCAAGATTCAATTACCTTACACCAGGTCCTTCCCACAACATGTGGGAATTATGAGAGCTACAATTCAAGATGAGATTTGGGTGGGGACACAGCCAAACCATATCATTCCACCCCGGCACCTCCCAAATCTCATGTCCTTATATTTCAAAACCAATCACGCCTTCCCAACAGTCCCCCAAAGTCTTAACTCATTTAAGCATTAACTCAAAAGTCCACAGTACAATGTCTCATCTGAGACAAGGCAAGTTCCTTCTGCCTATGAGCCTATAAAATTAAAAGCAAGTTAGTTGCTTCCTAGATACAATGGGGTATAGGCATTGGGTAAATACAGCCATTCCAAATGGAGAAATTGGCCCAAGAAAGGGGCTGCAGGCCCCATGCAAGTCCAAAATGAAGCAGGATAGTCAAATCTTAAAGCTCCAAAGTGATCTCCTTTGACTGCATGTCTCACATCCAGGTCACACTGATGCAAGCAGTTGGTTCCAATGGTCTCAGGCGGCTCTGCCCTTGTGGCTTTTCAGGGTACAGCCTCCCCACCTGGCTGCTTTCATGAGCTGGCATTGAATGTCTGTTGCTTTTCCAGGTGAACAGTGCAAGCTGTCGGTGGATCTACCATTCTGGGGTCTTGGGGACAGTGGCCCTCTTCTCACAGCTCCCGGTAAGGACTCTGTGTGGGGGCTCCAACTCCACAATTCCCTTTTGTACTGCCCTAGCAGAGGTTCTCCATGAGGGCCCCACCCCTGCAGAGAACTTCTGCCTGGGCATCCAGGCTTTTCCATATATCCTCTGAAATCTAGGTGGAGGTTCCCAAACTGAATTCTTGACTTCCATGCACCCACAGGCTCAATACCACGTGGAAGCTACCCAGGCTTGGGGCATGCACCCTCTGAAGCAACAATCCAAGCTGTTTCTTGGCCCCTTTTAGCCATGGCTGGAGCAGCTGGGATGCAGGGCACCCAGTCCCTAGGCTGCACAGAGCAGAGGGGTACTGGGCCTGGCCCGCGAAACCATTTTTTTCTTTTAGGCCTCTGGGACTATGATGGGAGGGGCTGTTGCAAATTTCTCCGACATGCCCTGGAGACATTTTCCCCATTGTCTTGGTGATTAACACTTGACTCTTTGTTATTTATGCAGATTTCTGCAGCCGGGTTGAATTTCTCCTCAGAAGATGGGTTTTTCTTTTCTGTCTCATTGTCAGGTTGCAAATTTTCTGAAATTTTATGCTGTTTCCCTTTTAAAACTGCATGCTTTTAACAGCACCCAAGTCACATTTTGAATGTCTTGCTGCTTAGAAATTTCTTCCACCAGATACCCTAAATCATCTCCCTCCAGTTCAAAGTTCCACAAATCTCTAGGGCTGGGGCAAAATCCCACCAGTCTCTTTGCTAAACATAGCAAGAGTCACCTTTACTCCAGTTCCCAACAAGTTCCTCATCTCCATTTGAGGCCACCTCAGCCTGGATTTCATTGTCCTTATTATTAGCATTTTGGTCAAAACCATTCAACAAGTCTCTAGGAAGTTCCAAACTTTCCCACATTTTCTTATCTTCTTCTGAGCCCTCCAAACTGTTCCAACCCCTGCGTGTTACCCAGCTCCAAAGTTGCTTCCACATTTTCGGGTATCTATAGCAGCACCATACCCTAGGTACCAATTGACTGCATTAGTCTATTTTCACATTGCTGATAAGGACATACCCAAGACTGGGAAGAAAAAGAGAAGTTTAATGGACTTACAGTTCCAATGGCCAGGGAGACCTCACAATCATGGCAGAAGGCAAGGAGGAGCAAGTCATGTCTTACATGGATGGCGGCAGGCAAAGGGAGAGCTTGTGTAGGGAAATTCCCCCTTATAAAACCATCAAATCTTGTGAGAGTTATTCACTATCACGAGAACAGCACTCACAGTAAAGACCCACTCCCAAGATTCAATTATCTCCCACCAGGTCCCTCCCACATGTGGGAATTGTGGGAGCTACAATTCAAGATGAGATTTGGGTGGGGACACAGCAAAACCATATCACATGGCTAACCTTTATTTACCCCAATAGGTAATCTAATGAAGGATATGGACCAAAATTGGGTAAAGCAGTTTCCATTGTGGTTTGGTTTTGAAAGACCTTTTTTTTTCAGTTTCAAATGAGTGGAAGATTCAGTTTTCAATCTTTACATTTTAGCTAGAACTGGCTGAATTGTATAAGGAAAATAAAATCTCTAAAGAGCCGTAACTTTTAGTAACAAATCTATTTTTTGTTGGCTAGTTGGATTTGATTGACTAATCAGTGCAGATGGAGAAGTATTTTAGCAGGGTCGTTTTTTTGTTTGGTTGGTTTTCTTTTGGGCTCCTGTGTGGCAGACAAAGCAATTTTTATGATAGATAGAGATAACTTATATTATTGCTGTGAGCTCAAGGTTTTGACCTGTTTGATCATCTGTGATCTTAACTTCTATAAGCACTTATCTAGTTATTTTCTTTTATAGTATCAATCCTTCAATTAGCTGTTCTGTCATCCTAAGCAATTGTTAGGCAAACCTGACTAACAGGTTTACTTAAATTTACATTTTAAAAAGGTGTCTAGATTGTTGTTTATAATAGAGCTGTTTTAATTTGTAAGACATTAATTTGAAAGCCCTTTAAGACTGTTTAAAAGTCTTGACTGAAAAGCCATAAGCAGAGAGTTTTATTTCAACACCAGTAGAAAAGTTAGAAAATTAGGCAGAGAAATGAAATAGAGGGATAGAGAGAGCTAGGAAGGCTCTACACATTAATTCTGTAATTACAGGGGATTTTTAGAGAGTCTGAATAATGATCAATCAAGCCTTGAGTCTTTCTTAATGTAATTTGCCCATCAGTTTAAAAATGTGCATGAGAACAGGCCATAATACGTAGTCAGCTAGAGTCCCACAAACCCTTGGCATGCCTTAATGTTTGAGAATTCCATTCTATTTCTCATTAATCTCTTGAAAGCAAAGCTAATTTTATAAATCCTTTTGGACCAGTGTTTTAGATGGTAGTGGCTGTGGCAGTGACTTTTAATTAGCCATCCTGAACCCATCATTTAAAATATTTATTTTTGCTTTCAGAAATTTTGAAATAAGTAAGGGAAAAAACCAAATTATTTACAGATACACATAACCAACCCAAAATAAAAGCAAAATACTAAATTAGGCACACAGAAAGAACTAAAAGTAAATTCACTAGGAAAGACACTCCTCAAAGATAGAATGTAAATTTTGTGAATCCAGAGTGCTCAAACCAGAATAACGCTTGTCCTTATACCCTAAAGGACTTGCCAAGAAAGATAAAAAGTATTTTATTATCCCAGAAAGAATGCAAGGTTCTTCATTTCAGTTGGCTTATAACAACAATAACAACAACAAAAAAAAAAAGTCAGGCACTTCTAACAAAAAGAGGGAAGCTTGGCCTGACAGAAGACTCACAATGGCAGAATAGGTGAGTTGTGGAAGCAGGGAGCTGAAAGGGCTCAGAAGAGTACTGCATACCAGTTCCAAATATTAACAATTCCTTTTGATAATAGTCTTTCTTCAGATCCCACTTCTGACACCATTTACGTCAACCTAAAAAACCAGAGAGGGGCTCTCTAAAAGAAAATGATATTTATTTGGGAATACGGCATTGTGATGAGAATACATGTGCCATAGTAAACCATGTGCATATTCAGGGAGGTAAAAAAGACAACGGATTTTAAAGAAAAAATGAGCAAGATTACACAGTGGTTTTGAGGTAATTAAGATAATTATCCTTGGCTCTAAAGATCAATAAAAAGAGTAATACCAGTCTGAAGTTAGACAGCCAGTTGCAAGAAACATGTCCTTGCAGAAGTAGTTTTTGTGTAAGGTTGTGATGGCCTTTATGCAAGGTTGTGGTTTTTGCAATCATTTGTGATAGTTTTTATCATCAGGCATTTATGTATACGAACCCTCTTTTCATAGCCTTCCCTGGCTCTAATTTTCAGATTTTTTTTTTAATAAACATGAATCCATTTTGAATCTGATAAGTTTCACAATGTGTTTGTCTTAAAGAATACAACTCAGAAACACCCAAACAAGAGGAGGTATGGGGAAGGCAAGTGGAGCTCCGAGGTACTCTTCAGGTATACCACTCTCCCAGCACAACCAACCTGTTCACCAACATGGAAGCTCTCCAAACTTCTTTCTCTTGAGTTTTTATGGAAGCTTCATTATGTAGGCATGATTAATTAAATCATTGGCCATTGGTGCTTAAGTCAATCTCTAGGCTCTCTACCTTCCCTTCAATTACATGGTTGGGTCTCTTGGCAACCAGCCTTCATCCTATGATTATCTAGGGGCTTTCCAGAATTACCTCACTAACATAACCCAGGTGTGGTTGAAAATAGCTTGTTATGAATAACAAATGATGCTCCATTCACCCTTCTGTTATCACTTAGGAAATTCCAAGGGCTTTAGGAGCTCTGTGACAAAAATAGGTACAGACACCAAATATATATTTCTTATCACAGTATCACAGACCCTAATTGTTGAAAATTGATATTAGAACCTTACAGTTAAAGAAACACTATGAGTTTCTTTCCATCCCACTTAACCTTCCGTGCAGTGCTGGAATCTCTTCTATGGTATTCCTACCTCTTTCTGAAAATTTTAATGGATAGGAAACTAATGTCTTTGGAAGGTAACACACTCCATTACTGAAATATTATCATTGTTAGAGAGTTCTGATTTCTATTAAATCCAAATCTGGCTCACTGAGACTTTGGTCCGTTGTTTATAGTTTTATTCTTGAAAGCAATAAAAATTACATATCTTGCCCCCAATTTAACACTTATACCTAACATAAAATCTGCCATGAAGTACTATCAATGATTTGTTATATAAAAATTACAGGAGGTCATTGTTTTGGACTCGGCTCCTGTACTAGGCCCCAAAAAACCAGATTAAAAATAAAAATGGACTCAGCTATGCTGAAGTACCATTTCACCAAACCTGAACTAACTTGATATGTGACTTAGTAATTAGAAGAGAGAAATAACAATTTCCCAAACAGACCAGTTTAAAATCTTTAATCAGCATAATAATGAAGTTTCCTCTGCTTTAATCCTTATTCACAAAAAAGGTAGTGTAAAGTAACCTGATGTTATTTAATGAGTTATTTTTCTATTCTTCTGTCTAAAAGTAACTAATATACTCTTTGTTCTTTGTTTCTGCTTACTTCAGCCCTTCTCTGTCTATAATGCTAAACTCCTCTGCTCAGCCCGTTGGAACACTTATTCTATTTTATGAACTGAAATGTTATCCAATTCTAGAATCACAAATAAAGCCAATAGAAGTATTTAAATTAAATTTGTTGTAATTTTGTCTTTTGACACTTTCTTACAAGGGCTTGATAATGTCATTGGGAATGACCCAGTTCCCTAATGTTTGCATTTCTTGTATTGGTCAGAAATGCCTTCAGCTGCAAGGAAAAGCATACTCAAATATAATAGCTTAAGAAGTGAAGACATGCTCACATAACTAGAAATCTAGAGATAGGCAATTGCTAACGTTTGCGCAACAGTTCAGGGATGCTCAGGGATATTTTCTCTGCAGTTCTCTAGGTCTTTATGGTCATTTCCTTTGTCTAAGGCAGGAAGAAAAAGGAAGTGCTATATCTTTTATTTTCTCATGAAAGCAAATGCTTTCCCAAAAGTCCTGCAACCAGACTGCATGACTTATTTACCATTAGGTTTCCAGCCCTTAATAGAATATGGCACCTATTATGTGAGCACTAAATGTTATAAAATTAATAAATGAATGAATGTCTTATATCAACACAACCATATGAGTAAAACTCTGGCCTTAAAGGTATTCTGACTAGAGGAGAGATAAACATAAAATTAAAATACAAAGCAATCAAAAAGCTCTCACTTTTCTTTAAAGGGAAAGGAAAACAATCATAAGGAAGCAAAGTAGACTTATTTAAGTGTTATTTCTTGCTTGCTAGTAATTTAAAATTGACAAAGGGAGCTCCAGTGGCACATGTTTAATGATTATTATTTTCAAATAAAATAATAATAGAAAACATAAAATAAGTGATCAATAAGTTGGTGTTGTGGAGTCTTCCCTGGTAAAATCTCAAAACACCAAGACTAAAAGTAAAATAACAAAAGTTTTAAGGAAGGAAAAAAACCTGAAAGCTTGTGAGATATCCAAAAATCTCAGACTTCATTCCAGATCTCCTGAATCAAATCTGTATGTTAGCAAGATTCCCAGGTGACTTAGAATGTGCACATCCTTTCATTTTTTTCCTCACTTCACCATCCATTTCTCTTAATTACATTATTATGTAATAAGTGTTCTATTCTTTTACATAATTGTACTGAAGACTCCCAATATTATTATTATATTTTGTACAAGTCATTGATATAGAACTAAGTAATATGGTTTGGTCTGAGATGAAGGACATGTGTACTTTACATCAGAGTTTCACGACCTTGACACTATTAACATTTTGGGCCCCACTGTTCTTTGCTATGGAGGGCTGTCCTATGCACTGTAGGACGTTTAGCAGCATTCCAGGCCTCTACTCACTATATGTCAGTAGCAATCTCCACTCCAGTTGTAAAAACCAAAGGTATTATCAGACATTATCAAATTTTTCCAGGAAACAATATAGTCCCTGATTGAGAAACAATGCTCTACATTAAAACTTTGCCATTTGATAGGAATCTTCCAAGCCATGTTTCTAAATTTCTTTTTATATCTTTTTTTAACTCTTCAGTTTATAACCAGCTGCCACTGTTTACTGTATGTTATGTTATTCTATTACAGGCATATGTCCAAGATATTTTGGGTTCGGTTCCAGACCACTGCAATAAAGCAAATATCGCATTAAAGCCATCATATGGACTTTTTTGTTTCCCAGTGCATATAAAAGTTGTGTTTATACTATCCTATTAGTCTATTAAGTGTGCAGTAGCATTATATCTACAAATCAGTGGGCATGCCTTAATTTTAAAATGCCCTATTGCTAAAAATGCTAACAATTATCTGAAACTTCAGCGAGTTATAGTCTTTTTGCTGGTGAAGGGTCTTGCCTCAATATTGATGGCTGCTGACTGATTAGGGTGGTAGTTGCTGAAGGCTGGAGTGGCTGTGGCAATTTCTTAAAATAAGACAGCAATGAAATTTGTCACATCAGTTGACTCTTCCTTTCATGGAAGATTTCTCTGCAGCATGTGATGCTATTTGATTGCATTTTACCTACTGTAGATGTTTCAAAATTTGAGGCAATCATCTCAAACTCTGCTGCTGCTCTATCAGCTATGTTTATATCATATTCTAAATTCCTTGTTATCATTTCAACAATGTTAACAACATCTTTACAAGGAATAGATGGTGAACTTTCTCAAGAAACCACTTTTTTTGTTCATCCATAAGAAGCAACCCTTAATTTGTCCAAGTTTAATCATGAGATTGCAACAATTCGTCACGTCTTCAGGCTTCATTTCTAATTTTAATTCTCTTGCATGTCCACCATATCTGCAGTTACTTTCTTCACTGAAGTCTTGAACCCTTCATGGTCACCCATGAAGGTTGGAAGCAACTTCCTTCAAACTCCTATTAATGTTGATATTTTTACCTCCTCTCCAAAATTACCAGTGTTCTCAGTGGCATCTAGAACGGTAAATCCTTTCCAAAAGTTTTTTCAATTTACTTTGCCCAGATCCATCAGATGAATCACCATTTATGGCAGCAATAGCCTTACAAAATGTATTTCTTGCATAAGAAGACTTCATAGTTGAAATTACTCCGTGATTCATGGCCTGCAGACTGAATGTTGTGTAAACAGACGTGAAAACAACATTAATCCCTTTGTACATCTCCATTAGCAATCTTGGGTGATGAGGTGCATTGTCAATGAGCAGTAGTATTTTGAAAGAAATCTTTCTGAGCAGTAGGTCACAACAGTGGGCTTAAAATGCTCAGTAAACTATGCTATAAACAGGTACACTCTCATCTAGGCTTTGTTATTTCGTCTATAGAGCACAGGCAGAGTAGACTTAGCGTAATTCTTAAGAGCCCACAGATTTTTGGAATGGTGAATGAGCATTAGCTTCAACTTAAAACTCACCAGCTGCATTAGCCCCTGAGGGGAGAGTCAGCCTGTCCTTTGAAACTTTGGAACCAGGCATTGATTTCTCTCTAGCTGTGAAAGCTGGCATCTTCTTCCAGTAGAAGGCTGTTTTGTCACCACTGAAAATCTGTTGTTTGGTATAGCCTCTTTTATTAATGATCTTAACTGTATCTTCTGCATAACTTGCTGTAGCTTCTCCATCAGCACTTGCTGCTTCACCTGGCACTTACATGTTCTGGAGAAGTCTTCTGTTAAACCTTGTGAATCAATCTCTGCTACCTTCAAACTTTTCTTCTGCAGCTTGCTCACTTATCTCCCAGCCTTCACAGAATTGAAGAAATCTAGGGACTTGCTCTGGATTAGGCTTTTGCTTAAGGGAATGTTGTAGCTGGTTTGATCTTCTATCCAAACCACTAAAACTTTCTCTATGTCAGCAGTAAGGCTGTTTTGCTTTTTTTATGATTCATGTGTTCACTGCAGTAGCATTTTTAATTTTCTTCAATAACTTTTCTTTGCATTCACAACATGGCTAACTACTTGGCACATGAAGCCTATCTCAGCTTTCAACATGTCTTCCTTGGTAAACTTCATCATTTCTAGGTTTTGATTTTAAGTGAGAGATGTGCAACTCTTCCTTTCACTTGAACACTTAAAAATTAGGCAATTGGAGGGTTATTAATTGACCTAATTTCAATATTGTTGTGTCTCAGGGAATAGAGAGGCCTGAGGAGAAGGAGAGAGATCAGGAAACAACTGGTCAGTAGAGCAGTTAGGACACAAACATTTATGAATTAAGTTCCCCATCTTATATGGGTGAGGTTCATTGTGCCCCAAAACAATTCCAATAGTAACATGAAAGATCACTGATCACAGATCATTATAACAAATATAATAATGATGAAAAATTTTAAAATATTGTGAGAATTACCAACATGTGACACAGAGATGCGAAGTGGGCACATGCTGTTGGAAAAATGGACTTGCTCAACGTAGGCTTGCCACAGGTCTTCAATTTGTAAAAAACACACAATCTGTGAAGCTCAATAAAGCAAAGTGTCATAAAGCAAGTCTATACCTGGATTTGCTTTTTATTTGGTACTATATCTCCTTGGGTAATTTTTCAATAGAGGGTGTGTAGACATAGACTTCTTAAGTTCTTATTTGTCCAAAAATAAGACAATTTTGGACAATTAAGTTCTTCTTTGTCCAAAAATATCTCAACTTGGCTCTTAGTAGCTTGGGTGATTAAATAATTCCAAATTTAGCATTCTTTCCACCCAGAACTCTGAAGATATTGCTTCACTGGCTCATGCAGTGTTGCCTATGTGAAGTCTGATACCTGTATTATTATTCCTCATAGATTTAGGGATATATCTACTTACTACAGGTTGAGTTAGATAAAACTGGCAATGTGTGACCATTTTTTTCTTATAAAGCAACAAGTTCAGGTAGTTTAATCTAATATTTGCTATTTGTCTTTTTATTATATTTATATTATTATATTTCCTTTCCTCCCTTGATCAAATTCTTTTGAATTTTTTGGTTACATTTTTCTTTATTAGTTTGAATGCATACTTTCTTTTACTGTGAGTAATTACACTAGAAATTATAACATGCGCCATTGACTTACCAAAATCTAATGGTACTTGGCAATGTTACCTCCTCCCAGACAATACAAAGACCTTTACACACTTTCACTTCATTTACCTTCTCTTGACTTACATGTTTTTGTGTATATATAAGTTTGCTGTACATTTTAACATTAAAAAAGTTGCTATCTTTATACAATGTTGATTTAGCTTTATTCCCATCACTTTGCATTTTGGTTGCTTTCCATTCCTCCTGTGTCTTCTGGATGCCACTAAGTACTCTTTTCTTTTGGCCTGAAAAATCCCCTTTAGAGCAGTTTGTCTTGTGGATTTTATGAGTACTTATTTACTGGAGACTATCTTATCCCAGCTTTATTTTATTTTATTTATTTTATTATTTTATTATTTTATTTTTTTGAGACAGGGTCTCACTCTGTAGCCCAGGCTGGGGTGCAGTGGCACAATCACGGCTCACTGCAGCCTTGACCTCTTGGGCTCAAGCAATCCTTCCCCTTCAGCCTCCCTAGTAGCTGGGACTACCCACATCCACCTAATTTTTAAAAAATTTTTTGTAGAGATGAGGGCTCACTCACTATGTTGTCCGGGCTGGTCTCAAACTCCTAGGCTCAGGTGAATCTCCCACCTTGGCCTCCCAAAATGTTGGGATTATATGCCTGAGCCACCGTGCTGGCACCATATTTATACTTGATGAATATTTGATTGGCTATAAAATTCTAGGTTGGCAGGTGTTTTCTTTTAGTGCCTTAATGACATCCATTCCACCGATTTTAATTAGGAGGAGTCAGGGTCAGTATTACTGTTACTCCTTTAAAGACAATGTCTTTAATATTTTTTCCCTTTGTTTTTGGCTTTCTATTTCTACACTTTCACTATATTTGGATGTGGATTTCTTTCTTTTCTTTCCCCTTTCTTTTTAAATCATGCTTGAAACTCAATGAACATCTGAAATCTGTAGATTGAGATCTTTTATCAGGGAACTTTTCAATCATTATCTCTTTAAATACCTTATTTCATCATGTTCATAATACTGTCGATTATAACTTGCATGATTAATTCACATATCCAAGAAAAAAAAAGAAGAGACTCATGGCTGATTAAATAAACTCTAACATACACCACTGTCGCTTAAGAATTTGGATCTTATTCTTCTTGCAGAAGCTCTTTTTCTAAGATAAAATTGTGTTATATGTCATTGTTTAGATCTATATACATTGGGGTTCTGCAGAGAAACAGAGCCAATATGGATGTGTATACAGAAATAAATATATTTATTTTGAGGAATTGACTCATGTGATTGTGAAAGCTTAGTCAGTCCAAAATCTGATAGGAGAGGCTAGCAGGCTGGACACTCTGGAAAGAGTTTTAGTTCGAGTCCAAAGGCAGTCTATTGGGAAATCAAGAAGAACCAATATTGCACATGAAGTCTAAAGTCAGTCTGCTGGATAATTCCCACCAGCTTAGATGAGGTCAGCCTTTTGTTCCATTCAGGCCTTCAATGGATTGGATGAGGCCCACCCACATTATGAAGCACACTTGCTTTACTCAGAGTCTACTGATATAAATAAATGTAAGACTCATCCAAAAATACACCCATGGAAACATACAGAATAATGCTTGACCTGATATGTGGGCACTGGGGCCCAGCCAGGTTGATACATAAAATTCATCATCACAATACCCATCAAGGAAAATATATGCAAAACAATTACCAACATAGATATTCCTAAAACTTTTTCCCACTAAGAATCCAAATTTTCCTAATCACATTTTGACTACTGTCCGTGTATAGCATTTTCTCAAAGATTCCATAAAGGAACAAAAAGCCATAGTGATAGGCTCTCAATCTGGCTTTGAAATTATGTAAAGCTAGCCTACTACTGACCTCCTTGAGAACATTGTTAAACAGTTCTGATTGAGCTCCTTCATTCCCTCCCCACAAACATTTGTTTCCTAGGAAAGTGAAGAGAGTGCTCCATTATTGTCCTTGAGATTTTATTCCAAATAACTGACCTCCCATTCTGGAAGTTTTCATGGTTATCCTTTTGATATTCAAACATGCACAAGAATGATCATTGATAACTGATGCCCAGCTTCAGTAAAAGTGATATGCTATCAACTGTAAGATACATCTTTATTTAGAAAAGGTAAAGTATGAAAAATAAATATGCAACTCAACATCAATTAAAGAATTTATAACCTCTGCCCTTTCCCTTTTCTCCTTCTGGGACTCCAATTAAATGCATGCTAAATCTTCTATATATTTAAGTGTCTTTCTCCCCAAATTTTTTTTTATCATTTTACTGCTGCGAAATTCATCATATAAGTCCTTACTTTCTATTATTGCATTTTCAGTTCTAGAATATCTAGTTGATTCTTTCACACATAAGCAATGTTCCAATTTGTATGTATTCCAGGTACTTCTTGAAATTTTTATGTTTGTCTTTTATCTCCAGGAGTATTTCAGGTATTATTTTACAGTTATATTTTATGAAAGAAAAAAAATTAAATAAATGAATAAATGCATGCTAGGGAATAAAAACATTATATGCAACTTGCAACTACAAGCTGTGTACACACCACAGATCATAAAGCGTCAATGATGAATTTTTCTATTAGTTTCCAGTTCCTCCCTGATAAAACAGTAGTTGAATATAGAGGTCACAAGCAAACTCAGTTAGAGAATTACCTTTGAATTCTAGCCAGATAATCTTGGGCAGTTACTTTTTTGAGTCTATTTGTTTTTGGTTTTTTTTTTTAGTCTATTTGTTTTTAATTTGAATAAATTTACAGGGTACAAGTGCAATTGTGTTACATGTACAGATTGCATAGTGGTCAAGTCAGGGTTTCTTGGGTATCCATCATCTGAGTAACATACCTTGTACCCATCAAGCAATTTCTCATCATCCACTACCTTCCTCTACCCTGTGTTTTCTCATTATCCACTGCCTTTCCCTGCCCTCTTCTGAGTCTCTGCTGTTGATAATTCCATTCTCTATGTCCATGTGTACACATTTTTAGCACTCAATTATGAGTGAGAACGTGTGATATTTGACTTTTCTCTATCTGGCTTATTTCATTTAAGATAGTGATCTCCAGTTTCATCCATGTGGCTGCAAAAGACATGATTTTATTCTTTTTAAAGACTGAATTGTGTGTGTGTGTGTGTGTGTGTGTGTGTGTGTGTGTGTGTATACATATCTCACAATTTCTTTATCCAGTCATCCACTGATGGACACAGGTTGTTTCTATATCTTCGCTATAGGGAGTTTCATTGTCTTTATTCATATAATTAAGATAGTAACTGTAGTGATTTTAAAGTGTTTTCTTGGATCAAGTTAGAGTAAGTATGGATTGAGTACATAATGCACTAACATAGCGCCTGATATATAGTCAACATTGAATAAATGTACTCTATTATCATTAGGGAAGTGATGATAACCAACCCCTTATCTGAGACAGTCTGTGTCTTCCTTAAGAATGTCTTACTCTAGTCACATGTGTGGCACGGATTCTGGAGTGTCTGCTGTTTCTTTTAGGACCTTTCTACTGAGTCTAAAGCTTTGCTGATGCGTTTGCCCAAAAGTTTGTACATATGGTACATCCTTAATTTCTAGGGCTTTATCCACTGATGTATAGCCTACAAAACCTTGATTTCTTCTATGTTGCTCTGCAAAGTGCTGGCCATGCATCATGCTGCTGTTTTCTCTCTCATGAAAGCATTCTTGTCTTCATGAGCTTTGGCAATTGTGGGGTAGGAGAGAAGAAAGGAAGAAGGGTGCAGTTGTGGGAAAAGTTGAAAAGAACATCTAAATTACCTGTGGCAATACAAACCACTTCCTGCACAGAGTCCAAATTAGAAACAGATCTTCCAATGCACAAAAATAAAGGTGCTGAGAAAACTTGTGGACCAGTCTGCACACCTGGCCCCCTTAGACTTGCTCAGAAGTGGTTTACAGGTGTTTCTATTGTGCTTTTTACTTATATAACATTTTAAATCTCCATGAAGGGGAGCATATGCCCACCAGTGCAGCCTGGGAAGGTTACATGGGAGCACTGGATAATCACAAAAGTGGAAAATGTTAGCTAGGTATATGAAAGATTGGGCTCAATCTTGATTAGCCCCAGGAGATGCCTTGCTACTGTAAAAAAAAAAAAAAAAAAAAAAAAAAAAAAAAAACACAAAGCAGAATCCTCAAGTTTACCTTACCATCTTTTATTTGACTCCTTCCTCCTTAAACCTGATATAGCTGGAAACAGCTATAGAATAGCTGGATGTGAGTTAAGAAAAAGTGTAATTTTTATGAGGGTAGAGTCATGCCTCAATTATCTCTGTATCCCCAGGGACAACCCTGTGTCAGGAACATTATTGCTGCTGCTTAATTCAGAAACAATGGTATTGCTGAACTTGGTTTACTACAAATGATTTGATTCATGATTAATCCATGTTTACAGAAGAGTAACAATACATGCTTTGTTCCCCCCAACACACCTAATGGTAAAGAAAAAAATGAAATATTTCTAAAAACATTACTAGACAGTGTCAAGATATTTATTACAATTTTTATTCATGTAACTTGGGAGCTTATGAAACTTCTGTCGCTTCTCTGTTGAAGCTATTCCACTCTCACAATACTGTATGATGTAGTGAAGATTAATATTAAAGACATATCACGATTATCTCTTTAAAAAGTCATTTTCAGTTTAGTCTGTAATATTAACATGAATTCACTGGCCCCAGCCCCTGAGAAGGAAAGTTCACTGTGATATTTTTTCTGTTACAAATGTTTTTAGCAAGCCTTGCTGTAGTCATAGTCACTGGGAAATATTTAGTGCCTGGCTGTGTGCATAGCTCTAAAACAAATGTGATGATGGTCATTTGGGGGCAGAGATTGGATCCCACTTATTATTAACCTTCCTCCTTTCTGAGGCTAATCTCTCCACCTGGCCTCTGGTCACCTCTCCTTCTGCCTGCCCCTGAAACTTAGTCCATTAGTTATGCTTTTTCCAGCACTTAACTCTTTATTCTTCTCCTTCTCAGGCTCTTTTCTCACAAGTTAATTCTTTAGTTCAAGAAACTTCAATGAAATACCTGCCATATGCTTTACACAATGCTGGACACTGGGACAAATGCAAAGAACATTAAGACATGGTCTTACCTTCTAGATTCTAGAAGCTCACAGGAGGTTGACAGCTAAACAAAATATCAAAATACATATGCATGGTAACAGAGGCATCTAAAAGTTGCCATGGGAGTAAATATGGTCAGATGTCTCACCTAAAGCAATTACGGTCCTCCATTCTTCCTTTCATTGTAAAGTTTCTTAATGTAGTATTAGACCATATGTACTAATGTCTTCCTATGTGTTGGGTACTATGCTTGGTGCTTTTACCTACATTATTTTTTAATCTCCACAACAAATCCAGAGCTAAGTTGTATTATTATCCTCACTCTACAAATGAGGGAACAGAAGTAGAGAGAGGTTCAATGACTTGCTTTAGATCACACAGTTACTAAATAGTATCTACCTGGTTGGTTAAGATGCTTTCAGTTGCAAGTAACAACAACAAAATCCTTCAAGCTGGATTAAATAATCAAGGGAATTTATTGGTTTTTATAAGTGAAAGAAGTAGGACGAGCTTCAGGCAAGGCTTGGTGCAGCAGCTCAGTGATGTAACCATAGGCCCAAGTTATTTCTCTGTCTTTTGCCTTCTTTGAAATCTTGTTAATTTCACCCTTACGTTGATCCAGCTTGTGGTAGTGAAATGGCTGCTGGAGTATCCTGTATCACATGCTTTCTGCTTCTTATCCAGAAGAGAGAAGTCTCTCCTCCAGCCATCAAACAAAGATTCTGGGCTTCCCTTTGATGCTGTCACTTCTACCCCTGAACCAATATAGAAACACTGCCTCAAGGAGAATGAAATGCTGAGAGATAATCCTCATTGCCTCCTTTACTGCAGAGTTATTGGGATAATTGGATGGGATGATGTATGTCAGTACTTAGTATAGTGCTAGCATACAGGACGGCTCATAGAGGTTACCTATTACTATTATTATTATTAACTATAGTTATGTGCTGCATAACAACTTTTTGGTCAACAACAGACCGCATATAGGACAGTAGTCTCATAAGATTATAAAACTGTAATTTTACTGTCCCTTTTCTATGTTTGCTATGTTTAGGTACACAAATACTCACCAATATGTTGCAACTGTCCATAGTATTCAGTACAGTAACATGCTGTTGAGATTTGTAGCCTAGGAGCAGTAAGCTATATCGTATAGCCTAGGTGTGTAGTAGGCTGTACCAATTAGGTTTGTGTAAGTACACGCTATGATGTTCGCACAATGACAAAATTGCCTAATGAAGCATTTTTCAGCATGTATCTCCATTGTTAAGTAACACATAACTATACTTCATTATATGTGCATGTATTCAACATTCATTCATTCAACCAGCATTTACTGTGTACCCTTAATGTTGTAGGCACTCTTCCAAGAATACCACAGTGAACAAAACAAAGTTCATGCTTTTTGGAGCTGATATTCCAATAGAAGATCAATGAGTAAATAAACCACATATGAAAAAATAAAAAGTGAATATGTACAATGAAGAATAGGAAAGGGTGTGGGGGATCAAGTGAAATGAAAGAGTGCACTTTTATAAAGAGTGATCAGAAAGTGATATTTGAGCAGAAGCATGAATGAAAGGAATCTGTGAACCATGTGTGTGTCTGAATGCAGAACATTCCCAGAAGAAGGAACAACACATGCCTTTAACCCCTGTGTTGCCTCTAGTGTTCAGGGTCCCAGGATAATGCAAGGATCATAGGAAATTTCTGACAGCGTTTTCAACACCAAGGTGAACACTTACAGCAAAATGCCTGGAAGCCACACAACATTTCATGAGTCTTAAAACCCACTGACTCTACTATCTGCCAGTGCCAGCTAAACAATAATATACCTTCCACTATTTTCCCCTCCTTTTAACTTTGCAAACTAGTGCTTTGGTATAATCTGCTAGCAAGTCCTCTGCTAGCAAGTTTTCTGACAAATGTAGTTTTCAGTCTTGCAACCTCTTCATTAAATGGGATAGACTCGAGGAAGGAAAATGAAGCTGAGTTGTCAAAGACATTTATAGGCACATTTATGAATACTATTTTTGTCATTTTATATATGGATCCTAGAGGGATAAATGGAGACTATGTCCCTTATACTTCTTGCATGAATACCATTTTTCTCAGCTAAGTTTTTGGCGGGGACTAGATTGCAGTCAATTTAATGTTAAACTCTGGTATGTGCCTGGGACCTGGAATTTTGGCTGACTGTTTGAAGGCTCATCCATTTTTAGTTCTATCTGTGAGAATGATAAAGGCCAGGGTCTCTTATAAAAATTAAAATGCCTAGCTAGTGACCTCAGGTGTTGGGCCATTCCACTGCCATACCTTATGCATGCCAGAGAATTGGAGAAACATTGAATCTGTGTAAACAGTTGCCAAATGTCAGGAGTTAGTCTTACAGGATTACAGGATTATGAGGGACTGTACACAGTCTTCAGGTGTGTGGAGGTAGTAAAGCCTGTGAGATAAGCTTGTAGGTGATGATAACAGATAGATCAGGGTTTATGTGTGCACTTGACTCTTGGTATGTATTCAAAAGACAGAATATGGTACCCTCTGAAATTGTGATAATGTAAGGATGATCTCTATAGAAGTTCATTTTACTTATTTTGCCTGGCTATAGCTTCCTGTTGTTCCCTGACTTAAAATATCTGATCTTTCATTTAACCTCACTCAAATAAGATTGATTGTTCTTAAATAGGATTAGTTGTTCTGCGCTAGACTTTTGAGCAGCTTTACTTAGTCTATGCCATTAAAATTAAGGTCCTGACGTTAAAATATGTTTGGCATTTATGATTTTATTATATAAATCTTTAAATGATCAGTGGAAATTTCTTTGCAGGTGTTTTGATCATTGCTTCCATATTTAACAGCCATTGCTTCCAAAAGCAGGAGACTGGGTTCTAACTAACCATATTAAAAAAAAAATCTGGAGAAAGCAACACTTGACCCCCAACTTGTCATTTGCCACCAAGAAAAGCAAATCATACAATATGCTGTCAACTACCTGACAAAACTCAAGGCCCAGTTCAAACGTGTGTTTCTGCTGAAGACGTTTCCATCTGTTCAGGCCAATACTAACTCTCTACCCATGCAACTGATGATGCTTATGATTACAATAATAATGGCAATAGTTGACATAAATTGCAGACCTTGGCACAGATGGTCAGGTTCTATTATTGCATCTATAGGTGCAAATATCTTTTGATTTACTTTTTCCCACTAAAAGAGAACTCAGTTAATACAGGATTAAAGCCCTATTCCTTTTTAAATGCCCTGTGCCAAAATGGTTTCTAGCACTAAGTAGACATTCAATACATGATAACTGCATGATGAATAAATGAATGAATGAAGTCTGAGTCCCAGTGATAAACACGAGGTTTCTTCCACTTAGACTGGAGACTTGAATGTGTTTAAAATTCCTTTATAGGGGTAATGGTATCTGCTGATCTCTGCTCATTGACCCAGATGTGGCCTCTGGACTTCTCATCAATCTTGTTACCTGATATCCTTTAGTCAATGGGCTCTTGAGGAGGGAGAAATGGGCAAAGAGCCTGGAGTAAATGAGTAAAAAGTGGAGTGGGATAATATTATGGGACTAAATCCTAAAGAACTGGCAGGTGTCAGTTGCTTAAGAGAAGAAAAACATCATAGCTTCAAATGTGGGGAGTATCAGTGCAAAAGAGATGGTAATGTTTGGGATTCCCTTCACTGGTCCCAAGGCCCTTTCCTATCTATTTTCTTATTTGTACTAAGACAGAAATGATCTGCCCTGTGAAAGAGAGAAGAGGTGATTTTACAAAGAGCTATAATAAGGAAGATAACTGAGCTGGAGAAAAGAAAAAGCAAAGGCAGCAGCCCTAGAGTTGGAAGACAGGAGTTCTAATTCTGGCTCCACCCATTTGTAGCTGGTGATCCCAGATAATTTTTATACGCTGTATAAGCCTCAGTTTTCTCATCTATAATATAAGGCTAGATTCCTATCATACTAAGTTATCATTAGGACTAAATGAGACAGTAAACACACACACACACAATTGAAATGATACAGTTCTACGTAAATGTAAGGATTTTTTTTTCACTAAACAGGTGTTACAATTAAGATGGACAAAATTTTTATAATGAACATATGTCTCTATACAAATCAGAAAAAAAAATTTAAACCTACCTAATTGTATGTACTTTGTATAAATTTCAGTCCACAGGCTCAGGAACACAAAAGCTCACCTTCACTATAGCTGAACTTAATGTGTATGTAGGGCTCTTCATTCCCCTTTGTGACAGGAAACTTAATTTTGATCAATTTAGGGTAAATCAGCCAGTTCAGTGGTTGTGTCTGTGTTTCTGAAGGAGCTTATAGGGTATTAGCATCAGAGGTGGTTCCTGGTCCTCAGCCATCACCTCTCCCTTATGGCACCTACAGAGCCATTTGCCACCCATCTTCATGCCTCTACCTGGCTTCACTGCAGTGGTTCCCGTCTGAAATGTCTTTACGAGAAAAGACCTGCTAACAAGAATCCTCATTGCTCTGGATGATGGAGCCTGCATGGGAGCATTCCCCACTGGCTGGTCAAATAGGGGCTGGTCATAAGATTTATTTTATCTAGAAGAGAACCGGAGCAACATTTAAAACAAGCCACCACTGAAATATTTGCTCCTCCAAGCACCTTAGAGAAGATTTGGTGAAGAATCACCCTAGTTGTGTCAAAGTAGACCTGAAGAACTTTGACTTGCTCAAAGTTCCTGATCTGGGTCCCCTGATTCCAGGCCATGAGTCCTTCTTTTAAACCATCATATAGTGTGTGAGCTGTCATCTGAGAGAAGCCCAGTAAGTATACCAGTCCTCAGAGTGCAAGGAGGCAGTTATTTCATAAATTACATGCTAGTGTTTTATTCTGGTCTTTTATTTAAGCAACAACAACTTGAGTTTCTTGAGAATAATATTTATATTTTTGGTGTGAGTAGTCTTAATCCTTTGTAGCATGTGGTAGGGATATAAACATACCAACAAACAAATGCGTAAATGAATTTGTGCTCTGAGTACAATCTGAATTCTTACAGTGGAATGCAGCATAATAAATCAATTAAATTTAATAAACTTTTACTTAGTGTGTTCATGATGATGTCTTGTACTAGCTTCCAGATCTAAACAAAATAAAACACACTGATTTGGCCCCAAAAGGCTCATAGCATAGTATGTAAGTATAGCATCCGTAATACCTTTTCTGGCCAGGAATGGGGCATAGAGCACAGTGTGCAGAAATAAGAAAGAGAATCAAAGCTACCATGGAATGAGGACTAATGGAGTACCAGGCACTGATCATTTAATCCTCACAACATGTCCATATGGAAGGTACAAGCACATTGTTCCCAGGTTCCCCCCCAAAAGAGATCAAAGCAAACCCTCCACTTAAGAAAGCTAAATATAAACTTTTATTACATCCCAATGCAAGATGTTTCCAATACAATCTATTTCCTTCAAAGGTGGGGTGGAGAATGAGGGGTGGGGTTTGGGCCACATATTTTTATGTTTACATTTTATTTCAGATTGGAAAATTTGTATTTCACTGTCAAATCAAGTAAGAACACATTTATTACTTAGTGTTGCTTGAAATAATATCTACAATGTTTAAAGTTTCATTTAAAAGCATAAACTTCTTTTAAGCTCAAAGTTAAAAACACAAATATAAACTGCATTTCATGTTCTGTTAATATTTAGCTGTGTGGCAATGGATGAGTATTTTTTCTCTGTGAGGCTTTGTTTTCTCATCTGGCAAATGAGGAAATTGATGCAGATCATCTTCAAGTTCCCTTCATGATATTTAATATAACTATTTATGTCATGCTTGTAAATAGTAGGTGATGATGAAGGTTACTGTTCCCCACAGGTGAATGCTGCAATGATCATTGGTAGGACTGTTAGGCTTTGTTTCTCAAGAGGATAATCTGATTGGGAAAAGAATAAGAGTGCAGCTGCAGCCCATCCTTGTGAAGAAGGTACCAGTGCGCTCTCAAAGCCAAGTCTTGAAAATAATAGCGAATGCTGTATTGGATAACAGCCATGCCAGGTGATTCATAGATTTATCTTATTTAATCATGGTAAGAAGCTTCCAAAAGAGTTTTCTTTGATGCTGAAATAAAACAAATATTTAGAAAAGTCAAATGACTTGCCCAAGGTGATATAGCTAGTAATTCACAAACATTCACACTAGAAATTCACACTCAGAAGATGTTCAAAAGGGGTTGCTTTGATAGGTCAGGCTAGGGCTGACTGGGCCCTGGGCTACTGTAACTAATCCTGAAATTCTCTAGGAGGCAAGGGTTATCAATACCCTCACCTGTAGCCCTCTAACAACAAGCTTGTATGTTGGTGTTATGCCACCCCCGCCCCCACTTTTCCTACCACAAAAGACTCACATAGTGTCAGTACAGAGCTGATGGCATGGATTCACTGGCCCGTGCAGGGGGTTTCAACATTTGAGCCAACATTTAAAAATTAGGAGATCACACATGAAGATGCATATTTCCAGTTTCTTTTCAAAAATCCAAACATCTAGAAATACATAGCCTACACTCTAGACTGCGAACAATGAACTGGAGCCAGGGCTGCCCTCTGCCTACATTGCACTTTTGCACAAATTATAAAAAAGGTGCCCCACTGGGCTGAGGGAGGCCAGTGGGGTCACAGCTTGGTGAGAAGAGAGCAAGCTGAATTTCACTTGCTTTTTTGATTCCATAGCCAAAGCCCTTGTGCACAGTTGCTTGGGAAATAGGGTAATTGCAATCATGCACCGTTACCCATGGCAGTTCTAGCCAAGTGGCTCTTTCTGCAGATGGTGCATATACTCTTTAGTTTGATACAATCTCTAACACTCCCTTAATCCTCTCTAGGAGTGAGGCCCAGTACCAATTAATTACTAAAAATCTATGGACTTTCAGAATTCTATACCCAGCCCACTTCACTCATTTCTCTTATTTCCTGGCTCCTGTAGGTCTTTTCATTTGCAACCCTTGCTCTAATGAGTCATGGAAGAAGGGTAGCATGGCGACCTTCATATATATTTGCAGGAATTCTCAAAAGATAATGGCAAACAGGCAGGCATAGGCTAGAGTTATCAATCTTGAGGGCAGCTGATCCCAACCATTTAAATATTTCCACAGATGAACTTAAGTTCCTCCATTCCATGGGCCTACTTGGTCTTCCAGCAACCAACTCTCCTCTTGAGGTGTGTCTGAGCCTCAGGAACTACTGCTGGGGTGGCTCACCTGCTCCAACCATTAGCTTTGCCCAGACTCACAGCTCAGCCACTATGGATTTATCCTTACCTTCTCTTAAATGCCCTGAGCATTCCCTTTACTGCCCTTTCCTTATATCTCATGGAGCACTGACTCACAAATCAATGTCAAAAGTGCCACATTTGATCATTCCAACTGGACACAACCCTCTTCTCAATTAAGGAAGCAAGCCCATTGCTCACTTAAGCCCATTGCTCCCTGTTATGGGCTGAATTTTGTCCCCCAAGAAAATGTGTTGAAGTCCTAACCTTCAGGACCTCAGGAGGTGACCTTGTTGGGAAATAGGGTAATTGCAAATATAAGTATTAATATGAGGTGATACTGGGGTAGGGTGGGACCTTAATCCAATATGAATGATGTCCTTATAACAAGAAGAGGGCTGGGTGCGGCGGCTCATGCCTGTAATCCTAGCACTTTGGGAGGCCAAGGCAGGCAGATTACCTGAGGTCAGGAGTTCAAGACAAGCCTAGCCAACATGGTGAAACACTGTCTCTACTAAAAATACAAAAAATTAGCCGGGTGCAGTGGTGTGTGCCTGTAATCCCAGCTACTCGGGGGGCTGAGGTAGGAGAATTGCTTGAACCAGGAGGCGGAGGTTGCGGTGAGCAGAGATGGTGCTACTGCACTCCAGCCTGGGCGACAGAGTGAGACTTTGTCTCAAAACAAAACAAAACAAAAAGAAGAGGAGAGACAGACAGACAGATGTGAGGAGAACCATGTGATGACAGAGACAGAGGTTGGCATGATCCATCTACAAGCCAAAGAATACCAAGGATTGCTGGCAACAGCCAGAAGCTGGGAGAGGGGCATGGAACAGGTTCTTTCTCAGTGCCCTCAAAAGAAATCAACCCTCCTCAAACCTGGATTTTGGACTCCTAACCATCAAAACTGTGAGAGAATAAATTTCCATTGTCTTAAGCCATCCAGTTCATGGTAATTTGTTATAGCAACTGTAGGAAACCAACAAGCTTCAGTTAATAAAAATCAGTGTAAGTCTGGCAGCCCAGGCCTGGACTGTTAAAACAATGCAGCTGGGATTTATTTCAAAAGGACAAAGCCCAATGGGCGACCCCTTGGCTTTGGCCTGCTCTTGATAGCCTGGGTGAACTGAGCAGATTGGAGACTGCAAATTTTTCTTTCTGTGTCTTAAATATGAAAAGTCTCTTGAGTTCTCCTAACTTGCTATCCGACACTCTACTACTCCCTTTCTCCCCATCCCCTGACATCTCCGCTGGTAGTGTGTTAAGAGCAGTGTTTCCCTGCATGGATGGTGCTCACTTCTTTTCAATAACACTCTCTTCCCTGAATAAACAATATCCTGACCTAAGTGATGGTGTATTTAGGTCATTAAGCAAGGTAGCTATGGCAGTAGAAATGAGATGCAGCTTTGTTTCCAAGGTATTTTTGCTTTTGGTCCTATTTATCTGGATAATGTAGTACAAACACAGCTTCTGAAAACTGACTAACGAGAAAACTGAGAATACAGAGTTGTTGCCATTGAGCAAGGAAGCCAGGAAAAGGTGGAGAAGGAGCTCTCATAGGAAGAGGTGGATCATTTTGGGTAAATCACATCCCCTCTCTGAACTTCAGGTGTCTTAAGAGGTGTAGAGTAGAACAGATATTATCTTTTCTGCATCCCTGTGCTAGAGTTATTTGACTCTATTGTCTTAAAAATGACAATATCTAAAAAGTCAGAATATGCAATAGCCTCAGGCTTCAGGTTTGCTCCTTTTCAGGGGAATGTTCATTAAGAACATAACTGCTTTTCGATGATGGCTTTTGTAATCCTTGAGGCACGCTATGGACATTGACTTACCATGCCTTTCTACTACAGATACAGAGAAGCCACAGATGGCATTGTCACCAGAAAATGGAAGCACAAAGCGCTTTGGGTAACAGCAATTCAAGAATGACTGCAGAGAAAATCTATTAAGAAATTCAAATGCAGATTTCAATATTTACTCCTTTTCATTCTCTTCCTCTCTCTCTCGCTCACTTGCTCTTTTTCTCTCTCCCACCTTGTTTTTCTCGCTCTCCTTTTTTTTGCATACAGTTTCTCAGTAAAATACATTTGATTAAATTTTATAACAAACAAGCTTATGAAATGCAGATATACAAAAAGGAAAACATAAGAAGCATGCATAATTCTACCACTGAAAAATACTACTAAAATTTGGTATTTAAACTTTTGAATGTTTGTCACTGCACTTGCATGTGTGTGTAAATATAATCTCCAACTCTGCAGAGAAATACAAGAATTGTTATGAACCTTAATAAACTCCCAAAAGATTTCAAAAGCAACTTCTCTGTCATTAGAATATACTCAGAAAGTCAATAACATATTTTAATCCATTCCAAGAGCCCCATATTTATTGGGTCTATGAGAAAGCAATTTATAGCGTTGGTTTTTTTATAAGAAGAGTAGATGGCCATTTGGGGGCAAGTCATGTGTCATTTGGAATAACCACAATAGGTGGAAAAAATGCCTCAGATTCTGCTGCAAGACTAAGAGCCACAAGGAGCTTTTCGTTCCATCACTAGTTGGACATTTATTGGACATCAATTTCATATACAATCTCATGGTCTGCACTGGGGAATGACAAAAAAGTATAAGAAATTATCTCTCACCTGAAGAAATGTATAGTGTAGGTTTGTTAAAAATTAAGTTTTAGAACTCATTTTTCAAACTAAAATCTCATGCTAAAAATAATATATAGAATAGATCAAAGCAGACTATTATGAAAGATGCAAAGATAGATGGGCCTGGGGACCCATCCATCTGTTTTCCTCAAGTACCACTTAAGGCCCCCACAAACTATAGAGTGGAAACCAATAGCTACAGGAGATAAATGAAAACATTGACAGGTCAAGGTTTGTGAATATAAGTGTGGTTGGTCATGGTAAAGAAACCACAGTTAATACGCTCCCTCTGCGTGCTGGATGCTCATCCTGGAGCTTTGCCTCTATCAATTAACTTAATCCTCACAACAGTCTCGATCTGTAGGTATAATAAATCTAGGTTTGAAAATACAAAAATGACTTGTTCAATATATCTCATAGCTATATTTAGCAGATCTGAGTTTCAAATGCAAGTCTAGATGACTCTGACATCCATGACAACTCTTACACCTAAATAGAATGCAAGATTTGAATAACTATACACACACACAAGCACGTGCATGCACACATGCACACATGCACACACAGGATATACATGATTAATTGTGAAATGAGAGGTTAACAGTCAGGTTTGATGTGTCCTGATTAGTGAGGGGAAGAATTTACCTAAAAATTCTGGGTGTAGTCATTCAAGTATGACGTAAAAGGGAATGGATTGCCAGGTAGATCATGATGAATGAACAAAGATAGAGATTTGTGGATATATTACACAAACTGTGTGTGAGAAAATCAGAGGATGGAAATCTTTATTGTTAGAATATCTGCCTGGAGGAAGAAGGACTTGATTTAGAGTTAAAATAATGCTTGGTAGCCTCAAAGGATCTCCTCCCCAATATTTATTAATTACTGTGTTGTTTTAACATATGTCCACAAATCCTTTGATACTCCTCCCTCCAGGTGGTAGAAATTAATGTTCCATCCCTTGAGTATAAGCTAGACTTAGTGTCATGCTTCTCTGAACACAGTATTGGGAAGAAAAAACACAGTAACAAACTGACAGACACCGTCTTAACCAAGAGATCAAGGTTAACGTCACCAGCAAGGAGTCATATTGGTATCATGCTGAATGACGCTATGAGAAAGGCATTTGCCTAGGTGGCATTCCTTCCCCTCAATCCATAACTTCATTCTAAACATGAGACCATCAGTCATGGTACTTCTAGATTGAAGTAGGTTGTACAAAATACCTGACCACTACTTTTCAAAAGGGTCAAAGTTATGAGAGACAAGAAAAGACCAAGACACTGTCCAGACTGGGGAGACTGGGGACACATGGTGATTGATACAATCTAATATTCTGGAACAGGACATTAGTAGAAAAACTGGAGAAATATTAAGAAAGTGGTTTAGTTGTTGGTATTGATCTGTTGTTATTTTCTAACTTTTTTAAAAAAATTATAGATGGATTTGTATTTCAAAGATAAAACAAAGGTGCTTCTTAGAATTACTGACATAGGGCATAACAAATTTCCCTATAACTAGGGATCTAATTTTGGGTTCTCTATTCTATTTTCTTAGTTTTGATTAATGTAAGATGTTATGTAAGATATTAATATTAGAGGGAAGCTGAGCACAGGATATATAAGAATAATCTTTGTAAATGTTCTATAAATCTAAAATTATTTTACAATAAGAAGCTTAGCTCTTTTTTTTTCTTTTTTTTTTTTTCAAAAAAATGGTGCTTGATATATTAATGAGTGCAGAGGAGTTAAAGAATGTTTCCAGTTGGGGGAAGAGCGTGCATAAAGGCACAGAGGCTGAAAAGTGTGAGACGAGTTTCAAGAATGAGTTCATTTAGCTGGTTTAAAAGCAGCCCTGGAACCAAGTATGAATAAGGATTTAGCCAACCTAAACCCCAAAAGACGCTCTGGGGGCAGATTGCAAAACATCCTGCGATTAAGATTGAGAATTTTGCCAAAAAATATTATCTAAACCCCATGCACTTTTAAAAGTTTGTGAGGCCAGTAAATTAATAACAAAAAGGAGACAGAACCCACAAATGAAGCAGAAGAATGAATGTTACAAGATATAGGTAGTAAGTTCAATACCATCATAGGGCACTGAATTAAGTGTTTCTGACACTTAAAGCATAAAATAAATAGATTGTATTGTTGCCATCCCCTGATTTAAAAAAAATGCTAAATTGTTCCTTTGCAGAAGAAAAAAAATACTATTTTTTTAAGGTAGGAAAAATCATGTAGGCTATTTTATAATTCATTGGTGACCAGACAAAGAAGTTTTAAATGTTGTGAAAGACACAAAGTTTTAAATGTCGTGAAAGACATCAGATAGATGATCCTTATAAAGGTCTTTGCAAAAATGCTTCATGTTTACAATCAAACTGTAATTCATTGAAGTCATTCCTGCAACATCTGAGATAATGTAAACCAACTGGTTTGTTTTATGACTACCTAAATTGATTCTGAGAAAATTGCCCTGAAGAATTGAAAAGAATAAATAGTTAAAGCATCACTTTTTATCACACCTCTCTCTTACTAAAGAGCTTACAATGATTCTCCATTACCTGCAGGCTTATAACTAAATATTCCATAGTAAAAGAGCTGTACTTCTGAGACTTGTAGAGCATTCCCTCATAAACTATTTGTAGCATTAGCCATAGGTTTACATATTACTAACTTTGGTTGGCAAGCATCTTCATCCATTTCTGCTGCTACAACAAAATATCTTAGACTGGGTCATTTATATATAATACAAATTTATATCTCTCAGTTCTGGAGGCTGAGAAGTCTAAGATCAAGGCACTGCTAGACTTGCTTGCTCTCTGCTTCCAAGATAGCGTCTTGTTTTTGTGTCCTGCAGAGAGGATGAATGTTGTGTCCTCACATGGCAGAAGTGGCAAAAAAGCCACTTTCATGCCTTTTGTAAGGCACTAATCCCATTCATGAGGGCAGAACTCTCATGACTTAATCATCTCCTAAAGGCCCCACCTCTTATTCCCATTGCACTGGAAACTCAGTTTCAGCATGAATTTTGAAGAGACAAAAACATTCAAACCATAGCAGCAAGTATCTAGAGGATTTGTGAAAGGAGGCATAGAAAGAGGCTTGGTTGAATGAGACTGAGAAAGGTGTGCATGCCGTAGAGATAATGTGTGATGCTACTGGGGTGTTCCTAGTACCAGGTGATACATGTTTGCCTGGGAAAGTAATGACAGGACTAAAAATGATGATAGACATTACAGAACTTCTTTCATTTATTCAAAAATAGGCCAGGCATCGTGGCTCACACCTGTAATCCCAGCAATTTGGGAGGCTGAGATGGGAGGATCACTTGAGGTCAGGAGTTCAAGACCAGCCTGACTAACATGGTGAAACCTCGTCTCTACTAAAAATACAAAAATTAGCCAGGCATGGTGGCACATGCCTGTAATCCCAGCTACTTGGCAGGCTGAGGCAGGAGAATCACTTGAATCCCGGAGGCAGAGGTTGCAGTGAGCCAAGATTTCACCATTGCACTCCAGCCTGGACAACAAGAGTGAGACTCCATCTCAAAAAAAAAAAAAAAAAAAAAAAAAAATTTGTTGAGAACCTCCCACTGCTCTGGATTCTTAGAATATGTCAATAAACAAAATGCATAATAACAGACTGCCCTTGTGACACTTATATTCTAGTGAAGGGAAATAGCAAACAATTAGATGAATAAGTAAGTTTTATAGTGTATCACTTATAGGTGACGAGTGCTATGGAAAAAGAAAAAAAAAATGAAAAAACAGAGGAAGGTAAAGGAGATTGGAAGTGCAGTGGGGTCAGGTTGCAATTTTAAATAGGTGTTCAGGGAGGCCTTGCTAAGAAAGTGAAATTTAAACAAAGTTTAAAGGAAATGAAGCAGTTAGCCATGTAGATATATGAGAGAAGGTTCTCATCAGAGGGAAAAGCCAGGGCTGAGGTGCAGCCAGGAGTTAAGAGCCACAGGAGAGGAGTAGGACAAAAGGTCAGGGAGGTGACGTGGGGTCTGTGGGCTGGTGTAGGAGCTTTGGCCTTTACTCTGAGGCTAACAGGTAGCCGCAGGAAGGGTCTGAGTAGAGGACTTGATCTGGGTTAGGTGTTAAAGGCTTCTGACTGGGGAATGGGTAGACACAGAAAGAGCAGTTTATGAAGGAAGACCTACAGAGCCATGGAATTAAACAAGGTCTAGTGCCAAGGACTGCTTATGAATGACTTCATCTGAGCTGGCCCAAGAGACTTGTCGTAACATAAAGATGTCCAGAGGAAGGCTCTTTCCTAGTTTTCCCAGTTGCATGTTTCTTAGGCTGGGTAACTTGGACCAGAGATCAATTCCTGGATGTCCTGGTGATCACAGAGCTGGCTGACTTCCTCGCTCACTCAGATTTTAGTCTTGTAGTCATATGTGGCTGCCATATTTTCTTTTTCTTTGATGATATGAAGAGCCTTTAATAGCTCATGTATGGCTTTTTTTTTTTTTCAAGGCAGTGACATTCACAGAGGACTCTTTCCCTGGAAAAGGGTCTATTCCTTTCTCCCTCGGAGCCTTGGAGTTCATTCCCAATCTAGGGAACAAGAACAGTCAAGACTTCATTTGGACAAGGCCCGTCTATTTCCTAGATCCTTTTAAAGTGATTCTAACACCATCGTGCTGGGGAGAATCATGTCTTTTTAACAATTAAAGAGGAGTTAAGGAGGCTAGAACTAGCTCACTTCCAGACAGTTCTTTAGAGAAGTGCCGCTCAATAGCAATATTATATATGCAAGCCACATATGTAACTTTAAGTTGTCTGGTTGTCACATTTCAAAATGTAAAAAGAAACAGTAAAATTAGCCTTATTTATTTATTTTGAAACAGGGTCTCACTCTGTGACCCAGGCTAGAATGCATTGGCGTGATGATAGCTCACTGCAGCCTTGAACTCCTGGGCTCAAGCTATCCTCCTGCCTCAGCCTCCTAAGTAGCTAGGACCATAGATGCACATCATCACACTCAACTAATTTTTTAGCTGTTTGTAGAGACAGGGTCTAACTATGTTACCCATGCTGGTCTTGTCCACCTAGCCTCAAGCAATCTTCCCACCTCAGCCTCCCAAAGCATTGGGATTACAGGCATGAACCACCACACTTGGTTAATTTTAATAATATATTTTATTCAATTCAATATGTCTAAACTATTTTTTCAATATGAAAAATAATCAATATAAAACTATTAAGGATATATTATTTAAATTTTTTTCATGCTAAATCTTCAAAATCTGGTATGCATTTTATACGTCCAAGCACCTCTCAATTCACCCTGGCCCCATTTCAAGTGCTCAGCAGGCACAGATGGCTAGTGGCTATTGCACTGGATAGCACGGCCCTGGAGTTACAGATCGTAAGATGCTTGGGTTTCTCTAAGTTGACTAGCTTTGCACAACTGTTTTGTGCAGCAAGTGACTAATGATCTAAAACTTTGTGAAAGTGGAATTTGGTATCACATGGTGGATGAGAAGCAGAGACACCTTGATCACATCCTGTCCTCAACTGCAAGTTATTTCCTACTCCCCACAGTGAGAACATGATAAATGAGAAAGAACTTTGTAAACAGAAAAGTGTTTTGCTCAAGCTTATTACTATTATTAAAGTGCTTGCTCTATCTTTGGAGCGTACACACTGTCTCAGCCAGTATGTACTTGAAGAGTGAAAAGGCACTCAAAGAGCAGAAAGTCTGCCCGTGGTAAGAGTGGTTGACTCACTCCAGGGGTTTAGCCCCAGGAAGATGGGACACTCTAACATGGGGCAAACAGATCTTTATGTGAACCAGGTTTTCTCCACTTGCTATTGTCAGAGTAATTTATGGCTAAGGTTTGGTTTGTTTTTCACCAAGGCAATTTATTTCCAGCCCCTGTCAAGGGTCTCCATATTGCCTGTCAATGATTACTGGTCCTGGCTGGGGGAAGTTTCTCCAGCAAACACAGCCAGCAGAATGACAATTTGGGCTTCAGCAGATGCTTGCACTAGGTGGGCTGCATGCTGTGGGGTGGAGAAAACGCAGCTGAGAGGTATTTCCATACCGCATATAGCGTTCTTTTTACTTCCTCCTACAGTCAAATTCAGGCTGTTGAACAAATTCAGGACAAAGTGCTAAAATTGCCAAGCAGGCTAAATCAATAACAAGGATGTTGAGGGCAATAGAGGAAAGAATTAAGGAAATATACAGGTATTTTACTAGACTGCAAGCATCTTGAGGATTGGGTCTATTTTGATACCTCTCCCTCCACCTTTTATGAGTGAATAAATTATGTAACTAATACATTGTATTATTCTTTGGCCCAAGGCAACAATTAACTCAAATGCTTATACCTTTCACAAAGTCAAGTTATAGAATTCTGAACACTGTATAATTGGACTAGATGACCTGTAAAGTCTTTATGAGACTATGATTCTGTAATTTGACAGGAAATGTGCTAATGATTATCAAATGTCATTAGGCCTGAAAAATGCAAGCTTTGATTGAATTTGGGTGTAGCTATTAAAAACAATACTTGTTCATTTTTTCATGGCCCACTCTAGTCCAAGAGCTGGGCCCAAACTAGTGTGGATATGAGACTCTACTGAGTGAGGAGGATCTTCTGTGATTTGGATTAGTGAATAAACACTGGACGATGCAGTCCATGATATTAGGCACTGGCCCTGAATTTTTGTGTCTTGGGCAATAATTTCACCTCTGTGGGACCCAGTATTTATAACTGGACTAGATGATCTGTCAAATCCCACAGGCTCTGACTTTTTAAGTGAGTTTCAGTAGAAAAGCTGCCCAGGACCACAACTTCGCCCAAGCATTATGACACATACCTTTAGATCCCATAATTCCCCAGGCATTGAATGGGATTCTTTTGCTGTCTCCACGTTCTCAGCTCAGTATAAATGTGGAGAATGATTCATATTGGCACAGTGAAGGTCATCAAATTCCAGGAAGTCCAGGACATTTTGGGAAGCTCAGGAGAGGACCCATTTATTTGAAAAGTGAGGAGTTGACAGGCTCCGGGGCAGACATTCCCAAAGGTGGGTAGGGGAATAATTTTTCTCTAAGCAGTCTCTCCTCACCTAATCCACCACACAGCAAGAGTAGTTTTGTTTTGTTTTGTTTTTCCTGCCCAAAAAACCAAAGTCAGATCTAGTCATTCCCTAATTCACAAACCCTAAATGGCCCCTCAACACCTGCAAAATGAAGTATAAACACCTTCATGAGGGATTTCAGGCTGTCACCATCTGACTCCAACCCATCATTCCAACCTCATATCATGTTACATCCCTCTATGTATACTGGGTGATGTCTCAGTCCACTGGACATCTCATTATTCCTTAAATTCAACATGCATTTTCTCCCTTACATCTGTGTTTTTGACTGCAATGCCCTTCCTAGCCTTTGTGGGTCTACTGAAATCTTTCTCATTCTTTAGCCCATTGTAATAACTCCTCTGATGTCCACAGTCTACCTAGTACCCCTAACCCTTATAACATATTGCTTATATCTTATTATTGCTCTAATTTAATTCTGTCTTTGATTAGAGTTCATGGTATAAATGTCTGTTCTCTCTTCCTCTGCAACTTTATTTTATGGGAGCTCTGATGACATGGATTACATCTTGCTAATTTTTGTTTTTCCCATAGTTCCTATTATATGGTCTTGATCATGATAGATATTCAGGTAATGTTTGTTGGATAAGAGAATGGGAAGCTGACTTAGGTCTCTTACTTGAGCTAGTTTTCCATCTGGCGTTAGTGAGATAGGATTTGTGATAAATTCTTCACTGATTAAACAATTGGAGACCATTTGGAAGAAGATCTTTGTGAGAGAAAGAACATTGGAGTAAGATTCAGAAGACTCGTGTTTGGATGCTGGCTGGGGAAGCAACATACCCAGTGGATGGGGCAGAGAGTGTAAGTAGTCCCCTAGTATGTGTTCTTCCTTTCTCTCTTGGTAATAGGACACTCAAGTTTTAGCTGGGTTCATGACTATCCAGATGAAGACTACATTGCTTAATCACCCTTGAAAACAGGTATCGAAGTTTTAGCCAAAAAAAAAGTGAAAGGAAGACATGAGCAACATTGGAAGTGTGCCCTTAAAATGCAAAGGAATGTCTTTCACCTCCTTTCCCTCCCTGCTCTTCCTACATGCAGGAACGCAGAATTAGAAGGTGTGGCAAATTATATTTGGCCATGAGGATGAGGGCAATTTCCTAGGGTTTGATGGAACCATCCATTCCACCTGCAGTCTTTTCTATCTTGGTGTCTTAGCAGTCTTTTCCTTCCAGTTCCTTAGGCTTAAAAACCTGAGGAGTTACCCTTCCTTCTTTATTCTCTTGAAGAAAGGTGTCTGATCCAGCAAACCCCATTGACTCTACCCAGAAATCAATCCAAAACCTATGCACTTCTCACCACCTCTATTGGTCCTCTATTGCTGTTCCTTGTACATTCAGCACACTAGCTCCTGGGCCTTTGCATTGGTAGTTCCTTCTTGATGCTTCTAGTCTAATGAAGGATCCAAACAATAAACAGAATACCCATATTTATATCAATATCTATGTCACATATTTATATGTTTTATGTTTATTCATATTATGTAGAATTTATTTCTTAAATGTGTATGGTATGAGAAATGGAGGTAGGTGCTATAGAGAATAAACTAGGGAAGGAGGACAGAGAGTGCTAGGGGATTGCAATTTCAACTGGGAGCCGTCAGAGAAGCCTTTACTCATAAAGCGAGATTTGCATGATGACCTGACAACGAAGAGGAGGCAAGCTGAGAGTTCTTGGAAATTACATATTTTGTTTACCAGTCAAGATGTGCTACAAGCATCTTATGGCTCTAAATATCAAAGGTTTATTTCTTGTTCAAATTATATGTCCATTCTACTTCATCAGGGAGCTCTGTCTGATATTTTCCTCACTCAGGGACAAAAGCTCTACTGCTTGGAATGTCATAGGTTACAGAGGTAGAGGATAGAGAGGGCTGGAGAGTCTCATGCTGGCAATTAAGTGCTCCAGCCCGAAAATGACACACATCACTTCTGCCTACACCCATTAACCAGAAGAGGTCATATGGCCCTGACCAACTTGAAGGTGGCAGGGAAGTATAATCCTCCCATGTACTTCAAAGGGGTGGAAAACAGGATGCAGACAATAGAAAATCCTACGACATTTAATAATCTGCTTTTTCCACATAATAAGATATTACAAAAAATATTTCTAAGATCATCAATATACATATATCATCATTTAAAACAGCCTTTAAATTAAATGAAATTAAAACATCTTATTAATTTCCCTTAATAAAGGGAAATTCCAAATACAGGATACAAATGCAAAACAGGATACTATGATGAACCCCCAGGTATCCCTCGCCCTTCAACTCATCACTATTTCTAAGCACTGAAACTGTTGGCATTGTACAAACAAGCTTTATTTATCCAGTCACCTGCATTGGACATTTAAATATTGCCAAATTTTTGTCACTATAAATTATACTTCTCTGGACATTCTTACTCATAATTTTTTCATCATTGTGTGATTATTTCTGTATAATAAAACACGTGGCCCTTTTAATCACAACTTCCCAGACTCATCTTGCTTTCTACCAACTGACTTCCTGAGTCACTCAGTGCTTATTCCCACAGCAGGGTACAGTCCCAGCATAAAGGAAATGGCAGGGCAGCAAGTCATGCCCAAGCAATATATTTTTCTGTCTCCAACAATGCTCTATACCAATATATATTCCAAGAAAAATACGATTGATTAATGCATAACTTATCAGACTGAATTAAAATGATTTGTTATTTAATTAGAAAAACAAATTTTAATCCCAAAATGCTCTACTTGCTAACATAAACCCCCTTATTGGAATGAGTACTTTGAGTGAGGGCAACCATGCAATTTGATGGAAAGACATGGACCCTGGTGTCAGGCACAAGCTCCGTTATCTGTAAGCTGTGAGACCTCAGTCAAGTTACTTGGCTTCTCCAAGCCTCTATTTTTCCCCATTTGTGTAGTGGTGATTCTAACTCAGAGGTTTGTTGTGACATGTAGATAACATGGTGTTTGTAAAAATATCTATGACTGGGGTTGGCATATGGTAGATGCACAATATGGAGGCATATGGTTAGTGCATGAAAGAGAATAAATATTTTTTATTTTCTTTCTCTTTTATTTTCAGGATATACTCAAGGCATGAGTACTGCAGTAATTTTGAATGAAGGTGTTCATGTCATAGTTCTTAGTAATTACATGTCTTCTAGAGGACACGTTCGACAATTGTTAAAATTAGTTTGGAATTAGTGTTTTTCCATGACATCAAAATTTGGAAAATTCTTTCAGGTAAGCCCTTTATTTGGAAAATCCCCATTCCCTCATTTGCAGGAGCCAAGTGCTATTTACCCCAGGACCCAACACCTTTCAATATGTTATTTTCAATGTTAATAAATGATTTAGTTCATTTCCTGTTTTCCTCTGCTCACCAACCTGCCAGCAGCAGTCACAAGCCAGCCTTAAAATAACTGCACTGGTAAACAACTGATTCAAATTATTAGTAGGATATCTGTAATTGTGTTACACAGTCAACCCCATTGGAAATAGGCAGACATGGCTCCAAGCATGCAGCTGTGCGATTTTGTGAATGCAAGTGAAGAATAGTTTAGGAGGGCTTGGAAAGAAGGTTGTCATAAAACCTTGAAAGATGTATTCAGTCAAAACCTTTTTTCCTCTTTTCTTCTTCTCCTCAAAAAAAATGAATGAATAAATAAATAAATAATGATGTTGGTTGCACAAGCTTGTAAATACACTAAAAACTACTGAATCATGTACTTTTTTAAAAAATGAATTTTAGGGTATGTGAATTACATCTCAATTTTTTTTTTTTTTTTTAAGAATTTAGGCTTTTGGAAACTGATGCCAGAAAAAGAGACTTCTCCTTCTTCTCTTTGTCTTGTCACTCTCCTCCCCTCAGGTAACAGCAACAAATGAGGTTAATTCTGTTAAATTGATCAATATTAGTGCTTACCCAGGCAGTTTAACTCCAAAGACTAAGACCACCACCACCCCCCAAACTTTTTTTTATATCTGTGACACTACTGAGCCATCATCAGGGGTTGTGACTTACTTCTTTCTTCCAAATGCCTCTCAGATCTACCTGTGACTTTCTGTCCCCATTATCATAAAAAAAGACGTATTCAAGTTTGGTAAAAACAGAAGGCTCTGTCTTGCCTGGCACACATCTCGTCCACAATAGGCATTAATAAGTATACCTGGGTTGAACAGATGCCAGAGGAGCAAGTGTTTTCCCTCCCTAAATTATTTTTTCAAGACCATTCTTACATTTTTAGTAGTTTTCCTCATTTTGGGTTTCTTTACTCCCATTGCCAAACTCTTCTTTATATTTCTCACTGTACCTAGCAGAGAGGTCAGCCCTCAGAGAGAGTTCAGTAAATATCTGTTGAATGAACAAAAGGTACAAAAGGTTTTCTGCAAAATATATAAAAAGCTAAGCTTTGTACTTTGTACGAGAAAAAGAAAGAGATGCAGGGTGGAGGGGAGAGATGAAAGGCATGCCTTTGTGCACAGATATGTACAGATATGCACTTACCTATGTGATTTTAAAGGTGCTCCCCCACCAAGTGGGATGCTAGATCACACTTACATACTAAGATGTGTATTCATTACTCCTAACTTTGTGATGTTGAAACTTAATTAAGAAAACTTGAAGCATTATTCAAATCTGGTTTCTCAACAGTGATTTTGATGACTTCAGTTGTGTTTTTTCAACATTATTGCTTTGAGATATACATAAACCTTTTTCCTGCTCCATTCTTTTCCATGCAGGTGAAATGTGATACTTTTTCATATTCTTGGGTTCTTTTGGAATCCAGACTTTTCACTTCCTCCACATCTGCTATGAAACCAAATATTGATTAATGTGACCTGTAAACCTAACCACTTAAGAAAAGCTAATGAACAATTTCTATTCCTGAATTTTTAAGAAATTTTTATTATTTTTTTTCCAGTATCTCTATTCATGTGTCTTTTTTAGTTTATGAAAAGATTAAAGGAAAATTATACCAGCAGTAAAGTTCTCAGCTACATCTGAGGATTAAATTCCAAGACTTTTGACTAACATTAACCTAGACCATTTCACTAACTTCCAGATAAAAATGTTTCTAACCTTGCCTTTTTTGTCCTATAAAAATTACAATGTGATATAAAAATATACAAAACCTAACCATCTCCAAAAGGTAGTTCTTATTTCCTTGAAAGACTCGTAAGTATGACAAAGAATAATTAGCAATAAAACAAGGCCATCAGTTAGTGATTCCATAGGAAGAAAATGTACTTAAAGAGAAAAAAAATTGTAAGCCTAAAGGGTCTGATATTCTGACTTGGACGGGTGAAAACGATGCTTGCTTAAGACTTGAAGAATGACTCTTCAGTGATAGGACTACTTTGCCCCAAACAGAGTAGGCTATACAAAGAGGCTCAGCATTACAAAATTCCAGGAGGAGCTATTTACATAGAATACAATGAGACCAGGACTTTGTAGTTGTGCAATGTGACCTGAATGTATGCATACCAATGAGCGGAGTAGCCACCTCTGTAGACAGCATCCTTAATCCAAAAATATCTTCTTGTTCAAAACTTTGGAATTACCTCAATGTCTATGTTATATTCTTTGGAATGGCCTAATAGCTGGGAATAATCCTTCAGTAATAAATTTGACATTTGTAAATTTAAAAAATGTTCAGGTACCAAATCTCATCTAAAGAGTACAACCTAAGGAAATGCCATTTTTTGGGTTAAAAAAAAAAAAGAATTCTGAGGTGTTTGGAATGATTTTTCTGTGTGATTCCAGTGACTATGAAAGCTTTTCCCAAGAAGGTAGGAGAAGGCTAAGAACAAAGGAAACCTCAGTAGAAACAGCACGTGGCTTCCCAATCTAATTTTGAAGGGAAAAATGTTAATTTGAATATTTTATATATTTTTCCAATTCGTATTTCGTTAATATCACATGGAAAATTTAGTCTGAGTGCTAGTGTTGGGACCTCAGTCTTCGCGGAGGTGGAGCGGGGAATGGGAAGAATGTGCTTTAAGGAGACTGTTTCTGAGAATGTGTAAATTAAGACGTTGTGCTGGGGATTTCGGATGGCAATGTTGAATGGAGAATTTTCTTGCAAAAGCCTCTGACTTGCGGCAAAGTCCTTGATCCCCTGCCCCAACTCATTATGGGCTTATCAACACTAAAACTCTACATTCAATATCACCATTTTGCAGAAGGGATGTCTAGGGGGAGCTATTATGAGTTAACATGATTGCTAGAAAGTTGTATTTTCACACTTCACCTGTTGATTATAGATAACGATTCTGCACAAGATTTCCAATGGTGGACAAAAACAATCAATCAACGGACATCTTTCTCTTGATCCTTTTGGTTTGATAATGAATCCAAGTGCTAATTAAGCTGAACATGCTGGACTTCCCTAAAAAGCAGGAAAGCACCCTTGCTTTGAGAAGGGACAGCCACAAACTCAGTAAATAAAACCAGTCTTTACGCGCAGCACTGGTTTCTTCTACCAACTGAGAAGCTTCCCTATTTCCTAGTTGCTTCTTTGGGAAATAAAATCTTTTACGATTAGTCAGGGCAGGGGGAGTTGTATGGGGTATATGTATTCTGTCTTGTGTTGGTCTGCTATTGTCATGGAACTCACAGGATCATGGGAGGCAGTGTTGAGTGACCCCTTTAATGTCTAGACAGATACTCATAATGAAATAGATGTCTGGCTCTTGAAACTAACTTCTTAGTCTGGAGTTATTGTGGTTTACAAAGGCCCAAATAAGAATGGATAACATTGTCTTGGGTGAAGCCACAGAGACTAAGAGGAAAAATGAGCAGGGCATGTGGAGAGGGGAAGGAGATCTCCTGTTGAAAGTTAAAATGTTGTCACCTAAGGCAGAATACTGACTATAATAAGAATCCTGTGTGTTAAAATCATACCAACCTAGAAAGTTTATTCTTTAAATCCAACTTTCCCAGACATCTAAATAACCTGCCTTGATCTTCTTAATGTCCCAAAATAATTGCAAGTTTTCTCAACAGCTCGTTTTCTTTTGGTATTCTTAGAACCCTCGATTTTTGCAGAAGCTAGAGCAAGCCTCTGAGGGTTCATATTACACAGCTCCATCACCATTTTATGCATTTCTTCATAAGGAAAGCCAGTTGGGTGCTTGCTTTTTTCCTATTCACCCTCATCCCCACCCCTTGCCAATTTTCCATACTGTAGAATAACAATTGAAAAGCTTTTCTCGTGTGACTACTTCTGTCTGTTAATGAAAGTGCATATCTGTTGCTTGGGCAAATTTAATGACTCTGCTTTATCCACAAATGAGGGTGTAACAGATTAAATAAAGTTAAAATTGAGTGAGCAGAGATGGTAGGACTTTGTAAAAACTCCTGTCATTTTTTTCCTTTTAAAGTCTTACAGTCGTCTACCTGCCAGGTGGAACTTATTTGGATAATACAGCACAGATGTACCTTGTTGTACTCAACAGATGAATTCCTGAAAAGCTGCATTTGATAGAATTTTTATAAATCGAATCACATTTTCCTGTAGACTTGCATTATAGTAACAGAAGCCATTATCCACATTTGACTGATTTTCAATTGGCAGAGGCCTCCAACACTTGAGCTTCAAGTTTCTCAGCCAAATCTCTATGTCAAACAGTTAATGATCTGGAAATAATAAGCACTTATGTGAGCTAGGAGAGCACTATACTTAAAGGAAATTTGATTGTATTCCTCCGAAAGTAAAGAATCTTTATTCCATGGTGTGAATTTTCACTCATGGAATCCTAGGTTATCAAGAACATTAGAGATGATGCAGACTAAACCTCTCTTTTTGCAGATGAGGGAAGTGAGACCCTGAGTGTTTGTTTATCTGTGGCAGCAGGTAACAATATAATATAAAGAAAGAATATTCATGTTGAGGTTGACAGACTTGAATTCAAATGTTCCCTTCCAACTGTATGTACTAGCTGTTTGGCTTTGGGCAGGTTATCACAGCTTTCTGAGCCCAGTTTTCTCATCTTTAAGACAAGGGCAGTATGACCTACCTCTTAGGGGTTTTGTAAGAATTAAATGAGATAATGTTTATAAAGTAATAACACAGTGCCTAGAATATAATAAGCGTTTAATGAATGTTTGTCATCTCTTCTCCCCAATTTGGATTTTTAAAATACATCTTTTTTAAACATACATTTCTTTTCAAATTACAAAGGTAATAATGCATGTGGTTGAAATTTAAAGAAGATCAAAGAATATAGAATAAAAAGCAACTTGTCCCTTTTTGTTCTCCCACAGCCCCTGCCCCTTTTCCCAAACCACTTTCTAAAGGAAAGTACTGTTGATAGTTTGTTTTTTTATTGAGAACCCTGGTCCAGGAAAGTCCAGGAAACATATAGCAGGAACACTATCCCCAAATGTTATTTGTGTATATTTGTGAAATTGCCACTTCTCCTCCAGAGCTCAACATGCGTTTATCAAAGCATGAGGTTGGCAGCCAATATTCTGAGCAGGCCAGAGGTTCTGGAGTTGGCCTTCCATCAGTCAGCCATAATTTTTATGCCAGTGTAAACCTTTGCTTAATTGCTCTGGCCTGACCATCTTAGAATGACAAGCCCATCAGTAATGTGTGGAAATATAGAATGCAGCTTGCCTTAAATGTCAGTGGTGTGGCTGCAGTGTTGGCCTGACATGGGATCCAACCCAACTGCCCTTTATAATTTGTTGTGTTAACAGGCAGAGTTGGTAAAGGGAATATTTGGGGGCCACCTGAAGAAAGACTGGCCCACTGAGGCTGTGAAGAGGACTTGCTCCTGTTCAGGAAGGAGGGGAGCCAGGTGGGGAAGATGGTGCCTTTCCTCTTAGGGTGGTGCTGCGATCCCACAAAACTGCCTTGATCTCCCTCCCATTCCCCTCCTCCACTCCCTCAGGTTTACCTCAGGGCTGTCCCATCCTCTTTGTGTGTTACTTAACGTTATCTTTTGGATAATCATAGTGTATTTATATAATTAACCTAATTGTGGGTAATTGTGTGTCGCACTGTGTAATTATGAAACCTAGCCTCCAACACTGTGGCACAGTATGTAGTCAAAGAGACACCGTACATGCAAGCAGCCACTTGATCCTTCTTCCCATTCAGGAATTTTTATTCTTTCAAGGTGCCAGAAAAGAAGAACAAACCTCTTTGTAAATCCATTATCTGCAAAACAAGGCTCCTGACAAACACGTTTGCAGAAAAACAAGGGCTTTGTAAAGAGTCTTGTGTTTTGGCACTGGAAGTCAAAACCATGTGCAGAGGGAATGCTGTGTTGTTGCTGGAACTGGCGAAGGTTTTATTTCTTACACTGAGCAACAAGGGGGTGGAATTCCAATCTTGCAGCAGATTCTCTAACCCTGAGCAATCTCACTGAGGGTGGCTTTGAACCCAGGCCTTGAATATGCTGGTATTTATATAAGCTCATTAGCGTGGATTTGGATGTGGGATGGTCCTTCCTCTCCCAGAACATCTCTGGTCTCAGCCTGACTACAAATAGCATATTCTGGGCTTCATACTGGTCAAAATAGCAAACACGTGTTGACTATTTAAAATCTACCAGGCCAGTCACTGTGCTGACCGTTGACATAAATTATCTCATTGAACCCTCTATCTTTTTTGAAATTTACTTTTTGATATTAAAATTTTTTGTAGAGACAGAGTCTTGCTGTGTTATCCAGGCTTGTCTCAAACTCCTGGCCTCAAGTGATCCTCCTGCCACAGGCTCCCAACGTGTTGGAATTACAGATGTGAGCCACTGCGCCTGGCCAGAACCCTCTATCTTATACCACCCTTGTTGAGTGGGTACTACATTTATCCCCATTTTATAGATGAGAATGCTGAGGCTTCCAAAGTTTAAGCAGGTAGACCAAAATCCTGAAGCCAATGAGTAGCTCCACAGCACTTTGAATCCACTTCTCTTGAGCCCAGAGCCCTTGCTCACACAATTCCTTTGGGATGAAGGATTACGCATTAGTGCATATTTACTTTAATATTTACTATCAGCTGGGCACACTGACTCACGCCTGTAATCCGAGCAATTTGGGAGACTGAGGTGGGCGGATCACCTGAGGTCAGCAGTTTGAGACCAGCCTGGCCAACATGGCAAAACCCCATCTCTACTGAAAAAACAAAAATTATCCGGCGCTGGTGGCAGGTGCCTGTAGTCCCAGCTGCTTGAGGGAGGCTGAGGCATGAGAATCACTTGAACCCGGGTGGTGGAGGTTTAAGTGAACCGAGATCACACCACTGTACTCCAGCCTGAGAGATAGAGTGAGACTGTTTCCAAAAAAAAAAAAAAAATTTACTATCCTGTTTTCTTTCATTGGCTGCCTGCAGGGGTAGGGTGGAAACTAAGTGGAAACTCACGCCTACTGGTGTGAGTTGGGGCATGGGGCACAGCTAAAAGGACATACCAGTGCTGGGGACAGTGGGGGGAAGCCAGAGGAAAGGATGACGATAAAGTGTTGAAGGGGAAGGTAATGAGGGATGAAGAAAATCAGGTGTGTCAGCACCCAGACTTAGTGTTATATATGCTATAGACAGAATCATAGATTTCAGCAGAAAGTTAGCTTCCCTGAGCCAGCACTGTTCTCTGTCCATACCACCAACTCTTAGAAAATTCCTGGTACCCCCACAGATGCTCAGAAGATATAAGTTGAATGAATGAAAATCTTGGGTGACGGATAACAAACCCACATGCCTACAGAATCCTAGTGCTTATGAAAATGAATGATGCTGGCCAGATTAAAAACAAACATGAAAACGAACAGCACAGAAGTGACAAATGCTAATAGGGACAATGGCATGGAGAATGTGTTTGTGACTTCCCAAAGTCACAAAGCTGATGGGTAGCAGAACTGTTAATAGCACCTGGGTCTTCCAACTTTCTGTCCAGTATTTTTTCCATTACTGCTGCTACAAAAGCTTATCAAATGTGTTCTTCTTGCATCCATAATTACAGAGTTATTGACTTTGAGCCATTGTCTTCAATTTATAATAAAGAAACTAAGGCCCAGAGAGAAAAAGGGATCTGGCCAGGATTATACAGCAGGTAAGTGGCACAGCCAGGTCTCCTGGCTAGGGCTACTTCTACCCATCCACAGGGCCTCATATATACGCAGAAATTACCCTGGCTTTGTGGGCAGCCAAAACACGGTGAAAGTGCAGTGGATTGTTCTCCTACCTGAAAATTAGGACACATTTTAAAATATAACTTGAGAAGTAAAACATTGTTATGCCAAAACTTACATTTAAAGATGATTCCCCCACAGCATCAGAGAATGTTAGATCTGGAAGGGCCGTTAGATAGCAAAGGAGCTACCACCCTCATATTAAAGATAAGAAACTGAGGCCCAGAGAGATTAATGCAATATTAGTGTCACTTGCATTATACTACTGTCTCATCAGTGTTATTTGGAAACCAGGGAATAGCAGAAGACTAGTAGACAAAAGCAAGTTCTTGGCCCTTGTAATGAGCAATTCTTTCCCACTCACAAATGCTCTTTTTCTTGGAGCACTTAGGGCACAGATAGAATGAAGTTTCATAAAGGGACACAAGCAGGAGTAAATAATGCCCATTATCAGAAGGAGGAAAGACTTGGTCTTTGTAGAGGATGCTCTTCAATACTTGAGGGAAAGGATTCATACCAGGAAGGGAAAGCCTTGAGCTAAACTTTGAAAAAGAAAAGCAGGGAAGAGGCAAGTTTGTGGACAGTGCTCCTGCAAGCTCTCTTAACCATATCACAGTCATTGGGAAGTCTTCAATGGTGACACCCAGGCTGGAAACTCAGAAGCCTACAGAACCAGCAGGAACATAAAAGAAGGAAATGGAGAGTGTCTCATCTCATCATCATATCCAGGGACTGTAGCACTATTGGCTCTATTTTTTTTTAAGACATGCTAGACACCTAATTTTTAAAAATTAGAAATTAAATATATTTATTTAAAATGCAGTGTAGGGCAAAACCCACAAACAAAATTCCACATCTGAGGTCAGAGTTGACTGCTGGCCTGCCTCCATGTAACCTCAGTTTTGGAACTTAGCTGAGATGACCAATCAGATCAGAGACTGAGTCCTCAGTAGCTAAGGTAGGGCCAAAGAGCAAGGCATGTGTCAGGTTCGTTTGGAGTCTCTGTAGAGAGTCAAATTGTTTTGAAGATCCAATTCCTCTTTCCCACCAGGAAGAAAATGCAATATCTAGGTGATAGTCAGTGGTGTTATAAAGAAAGAGCACTGGCTTGGGAGACAGGTGTTCCATTCCTGGTGCCTTGTTTTTGGCTTAGTGACCGTATTAGTCCATTTTCATACTGCTATAAAGAATTGCCTGAGACTGGGTAATGTATAAGGGAAAGAGGTTTAATTGGCTCACAGTTCACAGGCTGGGGAGACCTCAGGAAACTTACAATCATGGCAGAAGGTGAAGAGGAAGCAAGGCACCTTCTTCACAAGGCAGCAGGAAGGAGGAGCGCTGAGCAAAGGGGGAAGAGCCACCTATAAAACCATCAGATCTCATGAGAACTCACTCATTATCATGAAAACAGCATAGGGGAAACCATGTTGTTTACCTCCACATTATTGGAGGTAATAATCCAATTACCTCCACCTGGTCTCTCTCTTTACCTATGGGGATTATGGGGATTATAATTCAAGATGAGATTTTGGTGGGGACACAAAGCCTAACAATATCAGTAACCTTGGGAGAATCATTTCTCTGTTTGACCCTCCAGTCTATAAAGTGAGGACCCTCTCCCTGCATTAACTACCTCACAGGTTTATTGGTGATCAAGTAAGATAATGCTGTAAGAGTACTTTATAATCTGTAACATGCTATACAAATAAGGAGTCTTAAAAATCTGATGAATCTATTTTTAATATGAGAAAATGGTGATTATAACAAAAAAAGCACAGATTTTGAGTCAGAGAACATAAAGTCAAGTTTTGGACTTCCCACCAACTAGCTGTACAACCTTGAGCAACAGTTCTTTGTTTTCAGGCACAATTTCCTTATCAACAAAATGAGATAATACTGCTTTTCTATATAATATTATTGTGAGGATTAGAGGAAACTATGCATGTGAATAATGCACATAGTACAATAGTAGGTGCTCAATAAGTGTCATTTTCTTTCTAAATATATAATTAGAAGTCATTGACTCAGAAGGCATGACATTACAAAAGAGAACTAGTAATTAGTATTTTCCTCCTGTTTCTGAGAGGATAGGATAGTGAACAAAGGAGAAAAAGAGATTTAGCAAGTTAACTTGGTCTCTTGAGCATGAGAAGGTACTCAGGCTTACCATGGGCTATGGGAATGAACCTGCTGATATGGTTTGGATTTGTGTCCCCATTCAAATCTCATGTTGAATTGTAATCCTCAATGTTGGAGGTGGGGCGTGATGGGAGGTGATTGGATCATGGGGGCAGATTTCCCCCTTTGGTGCTGTTCTCATGATAGAGTTCTCATTGTTTAAAAGTGTGTGGCACCTCCCCACTCTCTCTCTCTTGCTCCTGTTCTAGCCATGTAAGACGTGCCTGCTTTCCTTTCCCCTTCCATCATGATTGTAAGTTTCCTGAGGCTTCCCCAGAAGCAGAAACTGCTATGTTTCCTGTGTAGCCTGCAGAACTGTGAGCCAGTTAAGCCTCTTTATAAATTACCCAGTGCCCCATATTTCTTCGTAGCAATGCAAGAACAGACTAATACATTATCCAAGTGGGACAGCATGGGCAAGGTGCTGGAAGAGAGATAGAGTAGGCTGCATCCAGGAAAGGGTGGGGTGGGACACTCAAGGTGTTAAAAGCATACATCCTGGGGTGATGGAAGAGAGTAGGGACAGCTATAAAGGTAGGCAAGCTTGGTTTGCTTTTCTCAGGAGTTTGCTTTATTCTGTAGACCATAGGATGCCATCCAAAGGTTTGACATAGGGAGGAAACATAATCGAACTCATTTTACAGGGAGAACTTTCTGGCTGAAGCATGGAGACTGGATGGGAGAAGAGTAATATTAGAGGTGCAGTAACCCATTAAGAAGCAGTTGAACTAGGGGAAGTGAGAAGAGTGTAGTCAGGAAAGACCCTATAGACATCTTAGAGACTGATGCTGGATTTGGCTTGTACCCTTGTAACACAGAGAAATGTTGGTGTATTACTTCTGGAGGATGCATTTCCTTTTCCCAACTGAACTGCTTTTTTAAACCATTATTATTCTGGCCAATGAAGGAGACTGTAGGAGGCTTTAATTGGCTTTCTGAGCAGACAAATTTTTAGAGGATTGACTAGGGAGACGAGTGATAATAGATTCCATCTTACTAACTTGTATCTGTGTCTCTTTTTCTGGTAGCCTTTTTTGAAATAATAATATGTGATTTCAACGTGTTCTCTCATTCTAAAATAAAGTCAAAATGATGCTTATTGTATTCTAAAACTTAGAGCAATCAGGCATCATTAGTAATATCAAAAAGGATTATATTAAAGTTTAATATTAAGATGTTAATGTCTGGTCTCAGAGTTTATTGAACTTTTCAAACTTTTAGATGAAGTTTTAGATAAAGAAATATCAAACTTAAGTGAAAGTACCTTGAATGAATAAAATAACTTTGTCCTCCTGACAATGCTGGAAGAGAATCTTCACAGAGAGATAAAAAAGAACACAGTTAAAGAGATATTTTGCACTGAGCATCTGAAGGGATCCATTTAGGATTGGTCTGTGCCACATACGTTAATTTTGTTTTAAATTAACAAAAGAAGGAAATAACTTTGCCTACCAAGTTCTTAGGTTCCATTTCCCAAGCTGTAGCAATCAGTTTCCCAATACAAAACAGATGGCCACTCAAATGAGGGTATTTCAGGAGGGCTTAGTGAAAGGATTATTACAAAGGTGTGGGCAAGATGAAGGAAAACCAACAAGAGATGAGGAAGCACCTTGCTTCTATTAACAGCCTGAGGATTTAGAGTCGTTACCACCTGCAGGTCCAAAGGAGCAGGAATGGGGTAATTAATGGAACCCAGAAAAAGCAGTAACTCCAGGAGAGAGCCATCTGATAAGAGCCATCCATGGCTTTGGTAAAGAAACATGGCCACTGCTAAGCCATGATCTGATAGGATATGAACCGGGGAAATGATTACTCTGACCTCACTCTGCTCTCTTCCATCCTACCTCGCCTAGTCTCCTGTGGGTATTTCTATTGGCCAAATCCAACTGGAAGTCAGTGTACAGGGCAGCCTGATGATACAGTTCATGAACGTCAGCATCTCTGAGCACAAGAAGGGTGGAGAAGGGTAGAGAGTGGCTCTGGAAGGACAAATGTGGAATACCTGGTGTAGAGGGCCCATAAGTTGTTGATACCAGATGTGCTGAGGAGGTAGTTGATGTGGTAATAATCTTGGGTTTCGAATTATCCACCATGCATTTCTCAGTTTTGACATTCATTATCTATTAGCCATGGACAATTTTCTCAGGTATGAAATTGTTAGGTAGAACCCATCTCTTAGTGTTAGAGTTTTTAATTCTCCAATTATGATTTTCCCATCTTGAAGAAGTCATTAGCCCTTCTGCTTGTCTTCTATGTAATAGGATACAAATATCTACCCAACAGGATTGTTAAAAGGATTGAACCAAATAGTATGCTGGAAAGCATTCAGCCCAGTGCCTGGATCAAATGCTAGAGAGAGAAAATAATAGATCCAAAACTTCCTTGAGTTCAGACAAGATTAGTTTTTCAGAAGGAGGCTAAGATTTTAGTATTTGAATGACTTCTCCCATAGACACAGTGGGTTGGTGTAATTGACTGATACTTCTGGGGTAAAAATCTTTCTAGGTTCTAGAGTCTGGAAATTCATTTAGGCTCATTCTATATTGTTTTATTATTATTCTTTAGAGCCAATAGAATATTTACTTTGGATGTTCACCTCAATTTTTTTTCTAGCCAAGAGCTGAGGGAAAAATAGAGTGAATCTATATTTTCCCCAATAGGATGTAAGCTTCCCAAGGGCATGGACTTTGTCTTGTGTTCTACCCTATCTCCAGCTTCTAGCTCAAAATTGACACTCTGTATGGATTGCTTTATGGTGGATGAATAAAAAACTATTAAAAATATATTGAGAAATCAAGACATCTCTGTGAACCACCGCAATTTCCCAGAAATACATGTTAATTTTTTGTCCTCTTTTGGAGAGTTCAAGGAGCTAGAGAATAGTGTTCAAAGATATTGGGTTTTTCTGAAATTGTCTCCAAAGCTTTGACTCTTATCGCTATTGAAGGGCACAAAATTCAGGGATCATTCCAAGGCCTCCAGTGAAGCCTTCCACAGACCTCCTTGTTACAACACAACTGTGAAGCCTTAGGTAGAAGGCCCTCCAGGGTTTTCTGGGGAATGTGGCTCTTCCTCCCTACAAGAGGTGCTTATGTATGTACCATCCAGGAGGCAGAGACTTAGGCCTTAGATCTAGGAGCCATGGCTCCCCAGGAGAGGAGAGCTGAGCTCTGTGCAATGTGTAAGAATGCCAGTGTCTCTGTTGGCTCTAGCCCTGGGGATGTGTCTAGCTTTATGGTTGGGTCACTCTTATTTCTGGGCTCTCAAACTCTCTCCTTTATGTTGTTATGTTTTAAGGGTTACCAAAGATTAAATTCTGTGTTTCACCTGAATTTATTGATAAATTAAAAACTTACTGCTGTTTTTAGTCTAGTCTATGATGAAAACAGTGATTGGATTCAGCTAGATGGATTTGGTTACCTACTCATCAAATTACAGGTATTGATTGCAAGTTACTACACCTTAGCATCTGATACCCTAAGGATGTTTAAATAGGCACTATCTCATTTCTTCAGGGGGCTAGCATTCCATAGCAAATGTATTTTCTAACTAGTTGCTTCCCAGATAAACAGCATTGGAAGCATATTTAATGAGGGTCTACTAAAGAAAATTCTTTTCATACAGCATTCTATTTCTTTCCCATAAACTCTTTTTATAGTTTTTGGTGAACATTATTATAAACACCTAAGTGTGATGCTAGTTCACCTTGCGGGTTAGATAATTCCCTTTAACTGCATACAAATTTCCAGCCTGTTCCCTTCCCTGAAATCTATACTCGTATATCCAACAGCTGACCTAATATTTTGACTTAAATATGTAACAGGTATTTTGAACTCAACATGTCAATAATTGGACTCCACTTTTCCCATTTCAATAAATGACAACTCCGCTCTTCCATTTGTTCATGTTGGAAAACTTGGAGTCATATTTGACTCTATTCTTCCCCTCACACCCATATTCAATTCCATAGCAAATTCTCTCAGCTTTTGCTTCAGAATGTAACCAGAATCTGCCCACTCATCACTACCACTGCTACTATACTAGGCCAAATGTGATTACTTCTCACCTAGGATGGCCTCCAAAGGTAACTCTTTGTTTTCATTCTTGAGTACCCCTGACTCTATTCTCAACAGAATGACCAGAGTCATCCTTCAAAAATCTAAATCAGATCAGCAACTCTTCCCTCAAAATCCTCTACCAGCTTTCCACTTCCCTTTGATTTAAAGGAAAATCCTTAGAGGGGAAGGAGGCATCATCTGTCTCCTTCTCTCATCTCTTAGTTCATTTATGCCTGAGGTTGCAGTTTTTTGAATTTTTGCAATGAGACCTTGACAATGACCTTGAGCAGTAGTATATAAGTAACTCCCACATGCTTCATGGTCCAATAATGGGACACTAGGCATAAATGGGCTATTAGACATCTCCTTCTTCCTTCTTCATTAATTATACCTCTCTTGCTATGTTTTCCTCCCTGCAGTTCTGTGAACATTCCAAGGAAGACTCTGTCTCAAGACTTTCTACTCTTGCTTTTTCCTTTGGCCTTTCTTATTCCAGATATATTCCTTCATTTTTAAAAAGACTTATTATGATAGAGGCCTTCTCTAGCCATTCTTACAGTCCATATGCTGCATATCCTACTTTATTTTTATCCCTGGCACTTAACACTACTCGATTCAATCTGTCTCCTTCATTAGATTGTCAGCTCCGTGTGGGCAAGAACTTTGTTTTGTTCACTAGCTGTTGTATACAGTGAGTGCTCAGTAAAGATTTTAGGAGAAAAAAGAATGATTGGATACACTAAAATTCTTCTGTTAAAAAACTACTTCCTGGAGCTCTTAATCAAGTCACCAAGTGAGAATTGGAGAAATTGCTAAGAAAGCATATTCATAGCCATCTATCCATACAGTGACAATGATTAAATGACTGAAGGAACGTTGGAAAGGCAACTAAAAGTCCTTGAGTTACAATATAACTAGAAAGGGCATATATATGACATGAATGAGTGAATGAATCAATGCACAACTTACTATCAACTGGTTTGTTGAATGACTGTTTCTTTCAAATGAGGAATGTCTATGATGTTTTAAATCCCTCAGTGATGACAAAAGATCCTCGTTTTCTTCCCCACTCAACCATTCATCCTCCAAAAGAATATTCTCTTTTACCCTCCCAGCATATGTTTCTGCTCTTTAACCTGACTGACACTCATAATTTCCTTTCTATCTCACTTCTACTTATAGGAGCTGAGCCTTCCTATATCAGGTCTCAGCTTAGACATCATTTCCTGGGTCCTTAGGAGGACTGACCATCCTGATCCTCTCCTGGTGAGGTGGGGCTGGAACCAATTTAGCCAATGAGTTGTGACCAGAAGTGACATGTGTCACTTCCAGGCTATGGCATTTCACTGGTAATTTTAGACCCCCCTAAGCTATATTACCTCTATAATTGCTGGTTACTCCATTAGTGTGGGTTCCCTGACAACCTGCAGTGGGCCTCTAGCATGGGGAGAAACAAGCCTATGTTATTGTAAGCCAGTGATGTTTGGGGATCATTTTTTAACATAGCATAGTCTGGCCTACTCTGACTGAGTCACAGGACTATGTGCTCATCCTATGTCCCTCCACAGCATTGTGGACTTTTCCAGTTCTTTATATTTACAACCTATTTACTGACCAGGTATGTGTTATGTCTGTCATATTCACCATCATATTCTCAGTAGTTGGGACAAAATGTGCTTAATAAGTATTTGTCAAGTTGACTTTTATAGTTTTCCCTAAACAGCTCTGAGGTTTGAGCTTATAAAGGAGTCGCAATGCTTTAAAATTCATAGATAATGCAAAACTTCACTTTGATCCTTTACTTGAACTCATTCTTCACACATCCTATTAACCAAAACCAAATCGACCAGAATCAGATTCTTCTTCTCTCCTCTCCAAGCCACCTCTAGCTTTAGGGGAAAAAAACGGCAATCCCAGTACTGAAGGAAAGACCTAGAGGGGAAGATTGATATCTACTACTGTTTAGAAAGAGTTGAATGACCATAGACAGCCTGCAGAAGTAATAGGCAGAGCATGGACTTTGCAGGAAAGTCCTCCTCATTTGAAGATTTAGGAAGAATAAATATTACACCTAGCCTGTATCATCTGGCAAAATCTCAGCATCTTCTCAAGAAGCAAAAGGAGCAAAAACAAAGTGGAGAAATTAGCTGCCAGCTCATCTGAGGGACAGCATCGTTAATAACCTCAAGGAGATGCACAAATGAAATGGCTCATTTGATAAAGCTTGGTTTATAAAACCAGAGATGACAAATGGAAGGATTGGGACAGGTTAATTAGCTGAAATGTGTCCTTTCCTTTCTTCTCTTTCCTTCCTTTCTTCATTAAGTCGACAAATACGTACTAAACAGACACTGTGATGGACACTTTGTATATAGAGAGGAAATAATCCACAGTTTAATAAGGGAGACAAACAGGAAGCGTCACATCAGATTTGATAAGAGCAATTAAGAGGAATCTACAGAAAATGAAGCCACACAGGAAGGGTCCCCAACTCTGCCTAGTGGGTCTTGGCTTTCCCTGAGTGTTCTGTGTAGGGAACCATTTTCATCATGATCTTCACACCTCTACAGCCCCATGACCTGGCTGTTCACATGTCAAGCTCTTTTCCTTTGTACTTGGTGTTCTCTCCTTGCACATCCCTGATTATTTATTTATCACAAGCAATCTAAATTTTATCATTTGTTTATTAATTGTTCCCTAGTCTTGAGTTTAAGGTCCTGAGGGCAGGAAACATGCCAATTTTGGTCACTCTCACAGGCCTGGTGCCTGGAATAGACCTTGATAGCTGAAAAGCCCTCAGTAAATAGGTACTGTGACTGACTGAAGAAATGAATGATCAGCTCAAGCTAGAACAGAAACAGGAGTCTGGTTAGATGGACATGGATCAAGTTAATCAAGGTCAGGTAAAGCAGAGAAGGGTGGGCAGTAGCCCAGGCATGGCAAAGATTATCAGATTCTGGGAGGGCAATAGTAGGGATTAGGGATCCAGGCAAAGATGAGAGAGATCAAAAACTGAGACTGAATGCTAAACAATGAATGGTCCAGACCTCATCAGAAAGCTGAATTCATAGGTCCAGGTACCCAGTAGCAAAAATGAGCTGGCTAGAACCAAAAGCCTTCTGTGTAGGGCCTGAGTTCATCTAAAGCACACAAGCTGAAGCTGGCAGGACCCCTGGAGTGTGATGCCTGACAAGCCTGGAGCAAAGAACTTCTGAGTATGCAGACACATTTACTCTCAACACCTTTGGATTCTTAGGCAAAACACCAACAGCCTCAGCTGGGCCAACTGTGGCTGGCTTCTTACTGTACTAGAATGGCAAGAAGGGATGATGCTGTGATTTGTATCTATGTATATAAAAAGCAAACAAATTTTTGCAGGAACACTAATCTTGGATTTAATCCTAGCTCCACTACTTACTTGCTCAATAACTTAGGAGAATTTACTCATACTCTCTGAGCCTTAGTTTGTTCATTTGTAACATGGGGGTGTGAATGCCCAGCTCTCTCAGTTTTTGTAGGGAGAAAAGAGACAATGATATAACCCACTTAGCATAGTGCCTTGCCTGTGGCAAGCACTCAACAAATGGTAGCTATGTAAGATGAAAGTATACTTACATAAGGGAATGTGGTCATTTGCTTGTTTATAGTGGGGACGCATAACCCAATCCACACCCTTGTGTAGGATTCACATTCTGTGTAGTCCTCTCCCTGAATATGGGTTAGCCCTATGACTTTAATCAGTAGAATGCAGAAATGACACTGTGCCAATTCTGAACCAACACCTTAAGAACTGATAGCTTCTACTTTCAGGAGCCCTGGACCACCACATAAGAAGTACAGCTACCCTATTGAGGAGATCACATAGAGACTCCATGTGGGAAGGGAGAGGGCTACCTGATTTAGAGTCCCAGCTAAGCTCAGTCTTCCAGCTGTCCCTGCCAAGCTGGACATTTCCATGTCCCAGCATGGAAATCAGTTATCTTGGATATTCCAGATGATTTCAGTCCATGCCACCTTTTGATTTCAACAGCATGAGCAGCCCCAAACAAGACAGCAGATGAACTGCCTTGCTGAACCTAGTAGACATACAAGTGTGAGAGATAATAAAATAGTTGTTGTTTTATATCATTAAGTGTTGGGGTGGTCTGTTTTGGTTCCCTGCAATAGATAAGCAAAAGGCTGAGGTACCTAATATTTAATTATCAGGAACTGGTTTTCTCTTGACTCTTTGCCTGACCTACGGCTAAGGCCTGTTTTATGGGGGCACTTTCCACATTGGATCCACGCTGGCCAACTGTATTAGCAGGCATGATTAATTAGCCAAAGTCTCCACATGGTCTGCAAACTCAAACACAGAACAAATTGAGCCAGTTGCCTCTCCACGTTCAGTAGGTGATGGCTTAACAAAATGTGTTTCAGCTGAAGTTTGCAGCTTCTGTTCTCAGCCTGAAAAGTAATCCTGTGATCCTATCCTGAGTGGGATGTGAGAAACAGAAGAGGGGTTAGGGGGATGTCACAGATTGCTCCTGTCTAGCAACTGGTCAGTAAACCTGAGACTAAGGGACCCTGTGGAGATGAAAACAAAGTTGTAAACTAGGACCATCCGGCCGATATTAGATTTCAGCCTGCAGACAGTAGGGTGAGTGTTATTGGAGTTCAGCCCTTTCTGAATGGCTTCAGAAGCCCATGTTGCTGAAAAGATAGTCAGGAAGCTATTATATTCATTGGGCAGCAATTAGACTAAAAGTGCCAGGGAACCAGACATCCATAGTTTGCTCCTGTTGGGGCAGGTTTAATTTCATCAGGCATCACAGGGTCGCTGCGAGAAAGGATGGAGGGAGGATGGTGCCAGTAGCAGGGATGGGAGACAAGTTGGAAGGCTCCCTAGTCAGCCCTCTTGCAGTTTTCCTTTCTTGTCCTCTGAAACCTGCCCCTTTCAATAGATGTCCCCACTAGCCCCGCTACTGCCCAGCACAGTAGTTGTCAGCCAATGAGACAAGCTCAACAAGTAGAGACAGGCTGATGGACAGGCTCTGTATATGGGTAGGTGTCAGGTTCAAGAGGGCCAAACTCTAAAGTGAGAAAAGATGCCTTCAATATGGGTGGGTCAGAGAAACAGTCACATACAGCTTGATGATTTAAAATATTTATCTGACATCAAACATCATGCATTCAAGTCCCACTTCTGTAGGCTTCTACGGCTGTATGGCTTTAGGTGAGTTATTTAACTTCTCTGGGTTTCTATTTCTTATATGTCCAATGGGACTAATAGTAACAGTGCCAACTTAATGGAATTACTATTGAGAGAATTAAATGAGACAGCCCACAGGCCAGGCAAGGTGGCTCATACCTGTAATCCCAGCAATTTGGGAGGCTGATGCCCGAGGATCACTTGAGCCCAAGAGCTTGGGACCAGCCTGGGAAACATAGCAAGACCCCATCTCTACCATAAAAGTATAAATAAATAAAGACTGAGATAGTCCACATTGAGCACAAGCACAGGGCCTGCAAACAGTAGGTGCCCAATAGATGGTAGTGGGTTTTTTTGTAGTTGTAACAATAGTAACATCTGCTCTCATTCTGCCACCTCCCGGGGAAAATCCTAGTCATACTGCTAAACCCAAGAAGCCTTCCCTTACCTTCATTGCCCTGGAAAGAATTCACCATTCCCTCCTCCAAGCCTTGGATTTGTCTATTACTGTACTTCTCACCCTGCCATGTAATGGTTTCATGGTAGCTCTTACCATGTGTTAGAGATTGTTCTTACCATATGTTAGAGATTGTTCTAGATGCTTTGCATTTATTATTTAATCCTTGCAACAATAACACATAAGGTCAAAACTAATATTATCTCTTCCACTTTATAGATTAAGCAACTAAGGCACAGAGAGGATAAGACATTTGCCCAAGGTCATACAGCAAAGGTCAGAGCAGATTCCATTCAGGCTGTCTGACTCCAGAGCCTCTAGCACTTGCATTTCTTCATGCCCATTTTCCCTATTAGACTGAGGGTGGGCATGGTCTTAATTCATTTTTGTGCTGTCAGTGTTTAACGCAGTACTTGACTAAGAGATAGCATTGTGTAAAGGTTTGTTGAATTTAGTGGCATTCAGTCTGAACTGAGGAGCATCTTTAGGAACTTTTTTCAGTGCAGCCTGGACCTTAAAATTCAGCTGTGAGATGTTAATGTTGATTTTCCCAAAAGTTCCTTATTTGTTTTCCTAACCCCACATCTTGACAAGAAGGAAGAGTATTAATCCTCTCATTAAATGCATAAATTAAAGGATGAAAATTAAATGAATCCATTACTGAAGTAGCTTCGGGGGATCAATTCTGACAGAGTTTATGCAATAATGGAAGTAATGCCCCAGAACATAGGAGGTGATCAGTGAAACCAGTTCTTCCTTTTCTTCTGCAGGCTGTCCTCTTCTCAGAGCCCAATGCACAGGTAGTTGCTTTGCATAAATAGGTAGAACCTTCAAGTCTCAGCTCAGGGGTTTCTGTAAGTACGTGTTGAACAGAGAAATGATCTGGCTTTGGACCCAACTCTTCCACTTTTAATCTAGGTAACTTTGGGAGAGTTCACTGGCAAATGTAATGGGTCCCTACCCTGAGGGGATTTTAAGTCTACTAGGGCTCTGAGTTTGTTTATAAAATGGGGTGATAATGCCTACTTCCTAAGGCCATTGGGAAGATTGAATGCTATGGTATGAATGAAATATATTTGCATGTGGTACTTTCTATGTGCTTCCTATCACTGGTACAAAGAGCATCTGGCCAGGAGTTGGCAGATCTGGGTCTCAACAGAGCCTCTCACTTGGGGATTACGTGCATGCCACATAATATCCCTGTACCTCAGTTTTCTCATTTGCAAAATCAATATGATGATCTCCAATATTTGTTCTTCATAAGATGGCTGTAATGATTGACAGGTTACCTATATGAATGTAAAAAGCAGAGTACTACACAAATAAAAAAGATAATCGTTGAATGCTTCAAACAGTTCAGCTTGACTGTTTTTACTTTGAGCAGGTGCATCTCTGTATTTGCAGTACTCATTTTCCTGGCTGGAGGACAAATTAATACGATGACAAACACTGACTTCTGAGAGTAGCTGAGGCCATAATACTTGAGGCTGCATGAAAGAGCACCCAGAAAGGCTTCTAACAAGGCAAGTCTCCTTCCTTTAGTTCCTGAATTTTCCCTGGTGGAGGTGGGGATGGGATAGAGAAAAGAATGATGCCCAAAGGGATCTTAGAAGTCACAGGGCTTTACCAAAGCACTAGCAGAGGCCTGGAGAATTGAAGTGACTTGCTCAAGGCCACAAGCAAGTTAGAGGCAGAGCCAGGAATTTTTTGTCTGCACTGTGTTCTCCCCTAGAACCAGCATCTATTTTATTATTTTTTCTTTTTTTTTTTTTATTTTTTTTGAGACAGAGTTTCACTCTGTCTCCCAGGCAGGAGTGCAGTGGTGCAATCTCGGCTCACTGCAAGCTCTGCCTCCCAGGTTCAAGCGATTCTTGTGCCTCAGCCTCCCAAGTAGCTTGGATCACAGGCACCCACCACCATGCCCAGCTAATTTTTATATTTTTAGTAGAGACAGGGTTTCACCATGTTGGCCAGGCTGGTCTCGAACTCCTGACCTCAAGTGATCCTCCCACCTTGGCCTCCCAAAGTGCTGGGATTACAGGCATGAGCCACCACACCCAGCACCCATTTTAAAAATGAAGAAATGGTGTAGGGTTGGGGGATGGGTGAGACGGAGCGTGCATCAAAACTGTGAAATGCCCCGGTCATGCTATGTTATGAGGTGTGGTAATGGACAGTATCCCAAACAAAGCAGGAGAGGTGGACCTTGACAGATGAACTTGGATCCAGGTGAAGAAATTTCAAATCTGCCTAAGGCAGCTGAAAAAGAAATGCTAATTATCATTACAGCTAATAATCACGAGGCCTTACTATATAGTAGGCATACTTTTAAGTGTTTTAACCTATTTAATGCCCATAATAATACTCTGAGAATGGATACTATTACCTTCATTTTACAGATGAGTAAACTGAGGCACAGAGCGATTAAGTAACTTGTTAGATGTCACACAGTGCTAAGATAGAATCACAATTTGAACTCTGGGCATAACCTTGGTGTTATACTGCTTTCAATTGCCCTCCCATCTCCCCTGACCATACTTTGAGAAAGAAAAATAGCACAGGGACTGGCATCAGGAAGCCTTATCAGACCTAGTAACCTCTTTAACCTCACCATAAAAGAGGAAATTATGCCTTCCTAACAAAGTCCTTTTATAGAGATAAGAAGTACAATGTGCTTCACATAGGGCCTGGTGAGCTGGAACCAAGCAATATCCAGTGACTCCTTCCCTGTTCTTTGCATGCTTCTCTCACTGTTGGGACCAGGATTTTCTATGGAAAAACAAAGAGCTAACCTTTTCCATGGGGCACAAAATTCAACCATATACCAACTTGTTTTCCAAGTAGAAAAAAAATGGCCTAAACACTCCCCCATTTATTTTCCTTCTCAGGAAATATTTGGAAACATTATTGTTGGGACAATGAATTTTCTTTTTATTATTATTATTATTATTATTATTATACTTTAAGTTTTAGGGTACATGTGCACAATGTGCAGGTTAGTTACATATGTATACATGTGCCATGCTGGTGTGCTGCACCCATTAACTCGTCATTTAGCATTAGGTATATCTCCTAATGCTATCCCTCCCCTCTCCCCCAACCACACAACAGTCCCCAGAGTGTGATGTTCCCCTTCCTGTGTCCATGTGTTCTCATTGTTCAATTCCCACCTATGAGTGAGAATATGCGGTGTTTGGTTGTTTGTTCTTGCAATAGTTTACTGAGAATGATGATTTCCAGTTTCATCCATGTCCCTACAAAGGACATGAACTCATCATTTTTTATGGCTGCATAGTATTTCATGGTGTATATGTGCCACATTTTCTTAATCCAGTCTATCATTGATGGACATTTGGGTTGGTTCCAAGTCTTTGCTATTGTGAATAGTGCCGCAATAAACATACGTGTGCATGTGTCTTTATAGCAGCATGATTTATAGTCCTTTGGGTATATACCCAGTAATGGGATGGCTGGGTCAAATGGTATTTCTAGTTCTAGATCCCTGAGGAATCGCCACACTGACTTCCACAATGGTTGAACTAGTTTACAGTCCCACCAACAGTGTAAAAGTGTTCCTATTTCTCTACATCCTCTCCAGCACCTGTTGTTTCCTGACTTTTTAATGATTGCCATTCTAACTGGTGTGAGATGGTATCTCATTGTGATTTTGATTTGCATTTCTCTGATGGCCAGTGATGGTGAGCATTTTTTCATGTGTTTTTTGGCTGCATAAATGTCTTCTTTTGAGAAGTGTCTGTTCATGTCCTTCACCCACTTTTTGATGGGGTTGTTTGTTTTTTTCTTGTAAATTTGTTTGAGTTCATTGTAGATTCTGGATATTAGCCCTTTGTCAGATGAGTAGGTTGTGAAAATTTTCTCCCATTTTGTAGGTTGCCTGTTCACTCTGATGGTAGTTTCTTTTGCTGTGCAGAAGCTCTTTAGTTTAATTAGATCTCATTTGTCAATTTTGGCTTTTGTTGCCATTGCTTTTGGTGTTTCAGACATGAAGTCCTTGCCCATGCCTATGTCCTGAATGGTAATGCCTAGGTTTTCTTCTAGGGTTTTTATGGTTTTAGGTCTAACGTTTAAGTCTTTAATCCATCTTGAATTAATTTTTGTATAAGGTGTAAGGAAGGGATCCAGTTTCAGCTTTCTACATGTGGCTAGCCAGTTTTCCCAGCACCATTTATTAGATAGGGAATCCTTTCCCCATTGCTTGTTTTTCTCAGGTTTGTCAAAGATCAGATGGTTGTAGATATGTGGCGTGATTTCTGAGGGCTCTGTTCTGTTCCGTTGATCTATATCTCTGTTTTGGTACCAGTACCATGCTGTTTTGGTTACTGTAGCCTTGTAGTATGGTTTGAAGTCAGGTAGCGTGATGCCTCCAGCTTTGTTCTTTTGGCTTAGGATTGACTTGGCGATGCGGGCTCTTTTTTGGTTCCATATGAACTTTAAAGTAGTTTTTTCCAATTCTGTGAAGAAAGTCATTGGTAGCTTGATGGGGTTGGCATTGAATCTATAAATTACCTTGGGTGGTATGGCCATTTTCACGATATTAATTCTTCCTACCCATGAGCATGGAATGTTCTTCTATTTCTTTGTATCTTCTTTTATTTCATTGAGCAGTGGTTTGTAGTTCTCCTTGAAGAGGTCCTTCACGTCCCTTGTAAGTTGGATTCCTAGGTATTTTATTCTCTTTGAAGCAATTGTGAATGGGAGTTCACTCATGATTTGGCTCGCTGTTTGTCTGTTATTGGTGTATAAGAATGCTTGTGAGTTTTGTACATTGATTTTGTATCCTGAGACTTTGCTGAAGTTGCTTATCAGCTTAAGGAGATTTTGGGCTGAGACAATGGGATTTTCTAGATATACAATCATGTCATCTGCAAACAGGGACAATTTGACTTCCTCATTTCCTAACTGAATACCCTTTATTTCCTTCTCCTGACTGATTGCCCTGGCCAGAACTTCCAACACTATGTTGAATAGGAGTGGTGAGAGAGGGCATCCCTGTCTTGTGCCAGTTTTCAAAGGGAATGCTTCCAGTTTTTGCACATTCAGTATGAAATTGGCTGTGGGTTTGTCACAGATAGCTCTTATTATTTTGAGATACGTCCCATCAATACCTAATTTATTGAGAGTCTTTAGCATGAAGGGCTATTGAATTTTGTCAAAGGCCTTTTCTGCATCTATTGAGATAATCATGTGGTTTTTGTCTTTGGTTCTGTTTATATGCTGGATTACATTTATTGATTTGCGTATATTGAAGCAGCCTTGCATCCCAGGGATGAAGCCCACTTGATCATGGTGGATAAGCTTTTTGATGTGTTGCTGGATTCGGTTTGCCAGTATTTTATTGAGGATTTTTGCATCAATGTTCATCAAGGATATTGGTCTAAAATTCTCTTTTTTGGTTGTGTCTCTGCCCGGCTTTGGTATCAGGATGATGCTGGCCTCATAAAATGAGTTAGGGAGGATTCCCTCTTTTTCTATTGATTGGAATAGCTTCAGAAGGAGTGGTACCAGTTCCTCCTTGTACCTCTGGTAGAATTCGGCTATGAATCCATCTGGTCCTGTACTCTTTCTGGTTGGTAAGCTATTGATTATTGCCACAATTTCAGAGCCTGTTATTGGTCTATTCAGAGATTCAACTTCTTCCTGGTTTAGTCTTGGGAGGGTGTATGTGTCCAGGAATTTATCCATTTCTTCTAGATTTTCTAGTTTATTTGCGTAGAGGTGTTTGTAGTATTCTCTGATGGTAGTTTGTATTTCTGTGGGATCTGTGGTGATATACCCTTTATCATTTTTTATTGCATCTATTTGATTCTTCTCTCTTTTCTTCTTTATTAGTCTTGCTAGCAGTCTATCAATTTTGTTGATCCTTTCAAAAAACCAGCTCCTGGTTTCATTAATTTTTGGAAGGGTTTTTTGTGTCTCTATTTCCTTCAGTTCTGCTCTGATTTTAGTTATTTCTTGCCTTCTGCTAGCTTTTGAATGTGTTTGCTCTTGCTTTTCTAGTTCTTTTAATTGTGATGTTAGTGTGTCAATTTTGGATCTTTCCTGCTTTCTCTTGTGGGCATTTAGTGCTAAAATTTCCCTCTACACACTGCTTTGAATGTGTCCCAGAGATTCTGGTATGTTGTGTCTTTGTTCTTGTTGGTTTCAAAGAACATCTTTATTTCTGCCTTCATTTCATTATGTACCCAGTAGTCATTCAGGAGCAGGTTGTTCAGTTTCCATGTAGTTGAGTGGTTTTGAGTGAGTTTCTTAATCCCGAGTTCTAGTTTGATTACACTGTGGTCTGAGAGACAGTTTGTTATAATTTCTGTTCTTTTACATTTGCTGAGGAATGCTTTACTTCCAACTATGTGTTCAATTTTGGAATAGGTGTGGTGTGGTGCTGATAAAAATGTATATTCTGTTGATTTGGGGTGGAGAGTTCTGTAGATGTCTATTAGGTCTGCTTGGTGCAGAGCTGAGTTCAATTGCTGGATATCCTTGTTAACTTTCTGTCTCGTTGATCTGTCTAATGTTGACAGTGGGGTGTTAAAGTCTCCCATTATTAATGTGTGGGAGTCTAAGTCTCTTTGTAGGTCACTCAGGACTTGCTTTATGAATCTGGGTGCTCCTGTATTGGGTCCATATATATTTAGGATAGTTAGCTCTTCTTGTTGAATTGATCCCTTTACCATTATGTAATGGCCTTCTTTGTCTCTTTTGATCTTTGTTGGTTTAAAGTCTCTTTTATCAGAGATGAGAATTGCAACCCCTGCCTTTTTTTGTTTTCCATTTGCTTGGTAGATCTTCCTCCATCCCTTTATTTTGAGCCTATGTGTGTCTCTGCATGTGAGATGGGTTTCCTGAATACAGCACACTGATGGATCTTGACTCTTTATCCAATTTGCCAGTCTGTGTCTTTTAATTGGATCATTTAGTCCATTTACATTTAAAGTTAATATTGTTATGTGTGAATTTGATCCTGTCATTATGAGGTTAGCTGGTTATTTTGCTCATTAGTTGATGCAGTTTCTTCGTAGTCTCGATGGTCTTTACATTTTGGCATGTTTTTGCAGCAGCTGGTACCGGTTGTGCCTTTCCATGTTTAGTGCTTCCTTCAGGAGCTCTTTTAGGGCAGGCCTGGTGTTGACAGAATCTCTCAGCATTTGCTTGTCTGTAAAGTATTTTATTTCTCCTTCACTTACGAAGCTTAGTTTGGCTGGATATGAAATTCTGGGTTGAAAATTCTTTTCTTTAAGAATGTTGAATATTGGCCCCCCCTCTCTTCTGGCTTGTAGAGTTTCTGCTGAGAGATCTGCTGTTAGTCTGATGGGCTTCCCTTTGTGGGTAACCCCACCTTTCTCTCTTGTTGCCCTTAACATTTTTTCCTTCCTTTCAACTTTGATGAATCTGACAATTATGTGTCTTGGAGTTGCTCTTCTCGGGGAGTATCTTTGTGGCGTTCTCTGTATTTCCTGAATCTGAATGTTGGCCTGCCTTGCTAGATTGGGGAAGTTCTCCTGGATAATATCCTGCAGAGTGTTTTCCAACTTCGTTCCATTCTCCCCATCACTTTCAGGTACACCAATCAGAAGTAGATTTGGTCTTTTCACATAGTCCCATATTTCTTGGAGGCTTTGTTCGTTTCTTTTTATTCTTTTTTCTCTAAACTTCCCTTCTCGCTTCATTTCATTCATTTCATCTTCCATCACTGATACCCTTTCTTCCAGTTGATCGCATCGGCTCCTGAGGCTTCTGCATTCTTCATGTAGTTCTCAAGCCTTGGCTTTCAGCTCCATCAGCTCCTTTAAGCACTTCTCTGTATTGGTTATTCTAGTTATACATTTGTCTAAATTTTTTTCAAAGTTTTTAACTTCTTTGTCTTTGGTTTGAATTTCCTCCTGTAGCTCGGAGTGGTTTGATCATCTGAAGACTTCTTCTCTCAACTCGTCAAAGTCATTCTCCATCCAGCTTTGTTCCATCGCTGGTGAGGAGCTGCATTCCTTTGGAGGAGGAGAGGTGCTCTGCTTTTTAGAGTTTCCAGTTTTTCTGCTCTGTTTTTTCCCCATCTTTGTGGTTTTATCTACTTTTGGTCTTTGATGATCGTGACGTACAGATGGGTTTTTGGTGTGGATGTCCTTTCTGTTTGTTAGTTTTCCTTCTAACAGACAGGACCCTCAGCTGCAGGTCTGTTGGAGTTTGCTAGAGATCCACTCCAGACCCTGTTTGCCTGGGTATCAGCAGCGGTGGCTGCAGAACCGCGGATTTTCGTGATCCACGAATGCTGCTGTCTGATCGTTCCTCTGGAAGTTTTGTCTCAGAGGAGTACCTGGCTGTGTGAGGTGTCAGTCTGCCCCTACTGGGGGGTGCTTCCTAGTTAGGCTACTCGGGGATCAGGGGTCAGGGACCCACTTGAGGAGGCAGTCTGCCCGTTCTCAGATCTCCAGCTGCATGCTGGGAGAACTGCTGCTCTCTTCAAAGCTGTCAGACAGGGACATTTAAGTCTGCAGAGGTTACTGCTGTCTTTTTGTTTGTCTGTGCCCTGCCCCCAGAGGTGGAGCCTACAGAGGCAGGCAGGCCTCCTTGAGCTGTGGTGGGCTCCACCCAGTTCGAGCTTCCTGGCTGCTTTGTTTACCTAAGCAAGCCTGGGCAATGGCGGGCACCCCTCCCCCAGCCTGGCTGCCGCCTTGCAGTTTGATCTCAGACTGCTGTGCTAACAATTAGCGAGACTCCGTGGGCATAGGACCCTCCGAGCCAAGTGCGGGATATAATCTCCTGGTGTGCCATTTTTAAACCCGTCAGAAAAGCGCAGTATTGGGCTGGGAGTGACCCGATTTTTCCAGGTGCCATCTGTCACCCCTTTCTTTGACTAGGAAAGGGAACTCCCTGACCCCTTGTGCTTCCCGAGTGAGGCAATGCCTCGCCCTGCTTCAGCTCGTGCATGGTGCGCTGCACCCACTGTCCTGCACCCACTGTCTTGCACTCCCTAGTGAGATGAACCTGGTACCTCAGATGGAAATGCAGAAATCACCCATCTTCTGCATTGCTTACGCTGGGAGCTGCAGATGGGAGCTGTTCCTAATTGGCCATCTTGGCTCGAATCCGCGACAATGAATTTTCTATTTCCAGTTTTCTTGTTCATATCTAAGGACTTTCATTACAATACAAAATTTAACTGCAAGACAAAACATAATTTATATCATAGTGGTTCTCAAAGGAGGCAATTTTGTACCATGGGGGCATTTTGGAAATTTGTCGGGATGTTTTGGTTGTCAAATTACTGCAAGAGGCACTACTGGCATTTAGTGTGGGCTGGGACCAGGGATTCAAAGTGAATTTTAATATGTGGGCCACTTAGGAAGAATTGTTCTCTGTCTTGTAGGACTTTTGAATGTCCCACTAAGCCATCATATAGGTAAATCAATCAAACAGTCTACTTAGAGTTAATTGAGTTTAAAATTGAGCTGAATTTTACATATTAACATAGGGTGTACACCGAATTTTCCAGCAAGGCAACTACCATGTGAATAAAAAAGACTTCTGTATCCTGTGTAGAACTTTACCAAGAGTAGTTCACCCTTTGAGAAAAATCACATCATTGATAGCAACACACCTTAGGGAATTTGAGTTATCAATACCACACCTTCTTATCGGTCTGCATTTGTTGCTGTCACATTCCTAGATATTTAATGTATAAGTTATAAGTGCAAGTGTGTGATTACTTCAGTAGATGTTCTGGTGTAGTGGTAGCTAAGCGTTTACATATTGAGATAGATGTTAATTTATTTTAAATTATTTTACTTTTATTTTATTTCTGTTATAGTTAAGGTATAATATGAATCTTTTTTGAAATTTTATGGGTAGGTAGCCTACATTATCTATGACCTTCATTTTAGGATGATAAAGGAAATGTTATGAAATGTTGTTTATAGAAAAGAATCACTCTGTCTGATATGCTTGGAATGCTCTGACGTAGTGGAGCTAGTTGTGGACTCCTATTTTCTGTACAAAACACTACTAATTGAGACTGTGCCTGCTAAAAGTTGAAATCGTTTGATTTGGCTGAAGTTTACTACTAATTGCTAATAAAAAATAATTTGCTGATGAATTGAATGGTATAGCATTTCCTCCGACGAGTTTTGTAGGACTCTAGTTCCAAGTGAATGGATAGTTATAGCCAAGGAGAATATAAGACAATTTCATAGTAAAATTACTTTGGGAAATGGTTGGAAAAATAAGCTAAACAGGGTTCTTTGCTTCAGGAACTTCTCGTAGCCTTTAATATGAATACACTGATCTGCAGTATATGTCTCCAAGTGGACAATCAGCATGGTATGTTCATTTGACCAAGGAATATTTGGAATTATGGCATATTCTTTAAAAAGCAAACTTCCTAAAGGACTTTAACACATTTTTGTTTTAAAGTTAACAGGTATTGCTAATTACCAATGGATCTTTATATTGAGGAAATTATGTGTAACAGTGTTTTCACAATGATACAGTTCTACAAATGCAAAGTGTTATATACAGAGAGCCTGTGGTGAACATGGGCTGTTTTTGTCTGGCCAGTGCTCTTCCTTTTCTTCTGGTAACTGTGTCCAGTCCCCATCTTTTTGCTTTAGGGAGCTGCATCTTCCTCTTTTCTACCTGTAATTCTGATGGGACTTCATGGTTAGGCACATGACCCTAGTCTGACCAGTTGCAGTTTCAACCCCTTTGGCTATAGAGGTAGGTCTAGATTTTTGGCATGTTTCAACTGTGGACCAATCAGAATCCATTCCCTGGGATGTTTTTTATACTAAAATTGGGTAGAAGAAAATCCCTCCACCTAAGCCACAATACTTCAAGATGGAAGGTTGAAGTTACCAACGGATGGACTTCCCACCATGGGGAAAATGCCTTCTGCAATAAGTGAAAGTCTTGGCAGCACTGGCCTGGTTGCTGTGAGTTGATCACTCAAGCTAGTGTGATCTTCACAAGCCCCTCTAAGACTCAAGCACTTTGTTCATTAATAAAATGGTACAAGATACCTGATCTGCTTATCCCTCAGACTGTTGGAGGGTACAAATGAGACCCATCCTAATTTGCCCCCAGCATATACTGTAATACCTGTTTTGCCAGTAAAGCAAGTCCATTCCGAGCATTTATTTGTCAAAATCACATATGCAGATGTGTTTCACTGGAGCCAGTTGGAGTTTCTGAAGTTTGTATGTCAGAATGGATTACTTCTATCCAAATGAAGGAAGGACTTATACTGGCAAGATACAAAGAGGAAGACTAGACTTTGTTTCCAAATTAGTATGGTCCCAAAATCACTACCATCTCTACTCCCCTAGAGAAAAAAAATATGTGTTCATAAAAAAAAAAAATCTAAATTCTGACAAACCTTTTCAATAAGAATCTATAGATCAGACAAATTCTAAAATCCTTGGTAGCTAAGAATATGTTTTGGGTTTTGTTGTTGTTGTTGTTTGTTTGTTTGCTTTTGAGACAGAGTCTTGCTCTGTCACCCAGGCTGGATTGCAGTGGCGCGATCTCGGCTCACTGCAACCTCTGCCTCCTGGGTTCAAGTGATTCTCGTGCCTCAGCCTCCCAAATAGCTGGGATTACAGGCCCCTGCTACCATGCCCGGCTAATTTTTGTGTGTGTGTGTGTGTGTGTGTTTAATAGAGAAGGGGTTTTGTCATGTTGGTCAGGCTTGTTTCTAACTTCTGACCTCAGGTGATCCCCCTGGCTCAGCCTCTCAAAGTGTTGGGATTACAGGCGTGAGCCACTGCACCTAGCCAGTAGTTTAATGCACTCCCCAAATGATACTCATGATTGCTGAATTTTTAGGTCCACCATGTTAAGGGAAAGAGCACCAGCAGTAAATTGAGATACCTGATGTCCATTTATAAGGAATCAGTTAACTAAGAGTACACAGAAAGTTCGAAGTCAAACTCAAATGTATAGTTCATAAAATTGTGTGATATATTATTAAGAAAAAACCTTGCAGAACAGTATGTATAATACACTTCCATTAAAAATTATGTTGGCATAATTATGCATGCCAACAAAAATTATGCATGGCATAAGCATAGAAAAATTGGACGGCTCTACACCTAACAGTAACAATTATTGTAGAGTGCTTACAAGGCACTATCATCTCATATATGTCTATGGTGCTTGAGTGTTTATGGTAAGACTGTGTTACACATGTCATCGTGAGACATTTATAAAGAGTCTATCATCAATCTATCCATCTACTTACCTATCTACCTACTTACCTACCTACCTATTGCTGCAACCATCCGTCTCTGTGAAAGAACACCAAATTGGATTTCAGATTTAAGTCCTCGTTGGGCTTTCAACTAATAGGGCTACAGGAAAGCAATGTGATGGTTAAGAACTTGATCTCTAGATTCAGAAAGACTTGGGTTCCAAACCTGACTTCATTACTTATATTAGTGACATGACTTAATTCTCCTTATTTCACTAAGTGTTTGTTTTCTCATTTGCAAAGGAGGATAAAAATACCTACCTCACCTTCCAAAAGCCTGTAACCCCAGTCCAATCATGGAGAAGAAGATCAGACAAATTCCAATAAAGTGGCATTCTAAAAAAATACCTAATTGGAGCTCTTCAAAACTGTCAAGGTTATCAAAAACAAGGAAAGTCTGAGAAACTGTCACAGAAGAGCTTAGGTAAACATGACAACTAAATGTAATGTGGTAACCTGGATGAGCTCCTGACATAGAAAAAGGACATTAGGTAAAAGCTAAGGAAATCATTGGAATGAAGCATGAACTTTAGTTAATAATAAGGTAACAATAGTGGTTCATATATTATAATAAAAGTACTACACCAATGTGAACTATTAATAATAAGATAAACTGGTTATGGAGTATATGGAAACTTTCTGCACTATCTTCTCCATTTCTCTGTAAATATAAATCTGTTTAAAAACATAAAAAAGACAATTTCCTAGAATTGCCATGGGGCTTAATCAATACAAATGTTACAAATTAGTACCTTGAAGGCACAGAATGGGGGCCTAATAAACAGTAGCGATTACTATTATAATCTCATGTCTCTGTTTTCCTCATTTCCTATCTCTAGCCCATGGGGATTGGACTCAACACGCTGTAAGATCTCTTCCAGCTCGAAGATTCTGGGCCTCTGTAGCTTAAATTCCTGAGGCATGATTCGCTGAATGTGAGTCATATTCACCATCCTTCCGGCTTCTGTGGATTTGTCTCAGTGATGCCGTACCTTGCTATTTACTTTCTTCATTCTCTGGCTGTATGAGGGACTTACAATCATTCCGCAGTTTCTTTCATAAAATGATTGAGACTCAGAATGACTAGCCACACACATTCCCCACAAAAGACCTCCAAGAGTTTCCAACCAGATCCAGATTCTGACATCAGAGGGGCTTCTACTGTCCCTACCACAAGCGTCTGTGTATCTATGACTGTGATAAGGCCCCAGAGAGGACAGAGAGAGAGAGAGGGAAAGGGCCACCAAAAAGTGTTCCAAGAAAGAAAGAACTCCCCCTTCTCCTCTAACTAAACCCAGTATCCTCAGGCAGGGTTCCTATCTGTGTGTTTTAGGACTGCTTCACATCCCATCAGCTCTCTTGGAACCTAATCGTTTGCAGGGCCCCATCAGCTCTATCCAAGCAGAGAAATTACGCGCAAGCTGAAGTGTGCATGCTCTTCTGTGTGGCCCCAGAATGACTTGAGTCTACTGAATGGAATTTCATACATGTGTTGGGTGAGGTGATTTATTATAGGCGGTAATGGAAATTAATTTCACTTTGAACCCTGTGGCACCAGAAAATGCCTAAGTGCTGAGCCATTTTCTTTAAGTAGGCCGTAAAGCTGCTACTTGCTTCTGACTGGGCAGCGAAGTGGCGATGATCACTTGTAAAACAATGAGCTTGAATAGGAGGTTAATGGGCCCTGGCCGACCTCGTGCAGCCTGCAGTGCTCATCCTACCAGCCCCTGCAGTCACGGGACTCAGTCTTCCTGGCGCCACAGAAAACAGAGATGCTGGAGCAGTATTTGTATGCTAAAGCAGAGCCAAAGAAGGGGAGAGGGAAACATTCCTGGGGAGCCAATGACCGTGCTTTGACCATGAGTGTTTGGCTGAAAGTGGTGGCCTTGTCCCTAGAAGTTCCCTTAGTAGGAAGCAGAATGGCTCAGAGCTATAAATGGGCCTGAGGAGATCCTGTTTCTAAAGACGGCCTCAGTAAAGGCTCTTACTGCTTAATTTGAGATACAGAGTATTTTCCAAGACAGCTTCTGGATTCTAAGGCTTGCCATCATGGTCTTCTGATTTAAAGTTTTATAAAGGCATTTTAGTCACTATTGAAGGGCACAAAATTCAGGGACCGTTCTAAGGCCTCCAGTGAAGCCATTCCACAGAACTTGTTGTTACACCACAATTACAAATTTAGGTAGAAGATCCTTCAGGGAGACGATCCTTCTGGGAGATGGGGCTCCTCTTGTAATTCATACAAAAGCCACACATGTGCTCACAATATTGAAGGAGCTATTGCTGTGTAACGTCATGTATTAATATAAATACATATATGTAAAAATTAGTTATTGCTTATTTCCTCATTAGAATTTTTTGTTTAATACCATATTAGATTTGTTTGCTACTATAGAACTTAGATGGCTGGCACATAATAGACCTTCAATACATTTTTTTTAAATGAATGAACTATAGAAAGTATTTTAGTGACTATAAAAATGGACAGGGCACTGAACGGGTCTTTAAATAATTTCCAACTTATTAGAGAAAGGAAGCATTCATTTTATTTATTCATTTATTAATTTTTTCAACAAATACTTAATGCATGTTATACTAAGTACCAGGTGATATTCTGGGATTTAGACAATGAATGAGATCCATTCTGGGTTCCACCTAATGACTACTAAATTGGATTATCCAGCTGTAAGTCTCAGGAATCAGTATTTTCTAAATATCCCCAACCCCCAACAAACAATTATATAGAACAGCTGGTTTGAGGAGTCTCAACCCAATATCACATAGGACTGTCAGAGGTGTTTAAACCAGAGCAACTCCATCTTGAATAGAAGCTGAGTAAAGCAAGGCAAAGACCTACAGGACTGAATTCCCAAATGGTTAGGCATTCTAAGTCACAGGATGAGATAGGAAGTTGACACAAGATACAGATCATAAAGACCTTGCTGACAAAAGAAGTTGCAGTAAAGAAGCCATCTAAAACCCACCAAAAGCAAAATGGTAATGAGAGTGACCTCTGGTCATCCTCACTGCTACACTCCCACCAGCGCTCCCACAGTTTACAAATGCCATGGCAACATCAGGAAGTTAACCTATATTGTCTAAAAAAGGGAGACATGAATAATCCACCACTTGTTTAGCATATTATCAAGAAATAACCATAGAAATGGGCAACCAACAGCCCTCAGGGCTGCTCTGCCTATTCTTTTATCCCCCTACTTTCCTAATAAACTTGGCTTCACTTTATGGATTCACCTCAAATACTTTCTTGTATGAAAGCCAAGAACCCTCCCTTGGGATCTGGATTGGGACCCCTTTCTGTATCATCTTTCTCATGAACCCCAAAGAGATAAAACTGAAGAAACCCCCGATCCAAAGGAAAATCATCTGCACACACAGATTGGCTGACTTTGGGTAAGTGGGGTGCATTTACTGGGGTAAAAGGGGTTGGGTTAGAGGCCCAACTTAGAGGAGTTAGAGTCCCTCCTAAAACAGACAGGATTAGAGGCCCCTCTTAATAAAAGACAATGATGCCTGACCAAACCTGGGTTGGAAGCCCAACTTAGAAAGGTTAGAGTCCTTGCTAAGATTTAAGGGGTTAGATGCCCCATTCAGTAAGGTCCCTTTTAGCTAAGAATGGGTTTGGCACCAGGGGATGTTAACTGCTATGCTCTTTGTATTAACCTGCCTTGTCCTTTTTGCTACATGAATCAATTTCTTGGTTGCTGTCTCCGTTTCACTGTCATTTTCTGGAGACTTCATTTAACTAGCCAGTTATGTCCTTGGGAGCTTGACCTCGTAACCATGTGGTGGTGCTTTCTCTTGATTTCTGCCATCTGGAGGACAGGAATTTTGGGGTTCATGTGAGTAACCCTAAAAATTATCTTGAGCAGTTAAAGGCCTTTGAAAGCTCAAAATTAGCTGCTGTAGGCTCCTGGGAAGGGCAATGGAAACTGCCCAGTGCTGTGGCTCAGTGGTTAAGACTTCACCATTTTATAGTGGCAGCCTGGGTTCAATTCCTGGCTTAGAGAATAACTCCTTTCCTATTTGATATCTGTTTGACCCTTACCATTTGATGATTCTCTTCCCCTCCATGAACCATCTTGAATTTTTCTTTCTCTGAGCACAGAAATATTGGCTGTTTGGCCTGGCTAAAGTTGGGTAATAAGAAATTTAAAAGGACTTTTTAAAAAGAGTGCTATGGTTAAAAGTCAGCTTAATGAAAAGTGGATATTCAAGTTCTAACAGCGTGGGACACCCTGGGAAAAACAGGAGGTGCTACAGACCCCGTTTTGGGAAAAACCTCTGTTTTCCTCATGAAACCACAGAAATCAGAAGTGGATAGATCCCTTTCAAAATCCTAAGGCTTTCTTCTGTTTTGCATTGTGTTATCTGATGTTTTTGAGTTTTGGGGGTGTCAGAAATTACTTCGCATTGTGAGAGAGCTTTGGTGTGTAATAACTAGGTAGGAAATATGCTTTTGGGGACAGCTAACAGCAGTTATGGGGGATACTCAACTTTTCACACGTTTGGATCAGAGAAGCATGTTCTTGGCCACCTAGAAATATGGAGATGTCCCCACCCCTCACTGAGAGATAAGTCTTCCATGGGATGGGCTGATTCCCTCTTTCTGGGATCCAAGATTTGATATAAATATGGAACCCTTCATTGGGGGGATCTGTTTTGCCTTTCAGCTGGGCCTGCTTGCTGTAGAAACTGCATGCTTTCCTGGCTCTGTTCCTCCTAGGGCTCCACCCTGAAACCAGTAATCCAATTAAGAAACTGGCAAATGAAATATCTTACGAGTACTAGATCTCCTTCTGTCTTTGTATTGTTTATATATGAAAGAGATTTGATTGGCTTAAAAATAATAAGTGCTTAAATCACATATTTTGTCAGAAAAGTAAAAATTGTTATGCTTTTTAGTCCATGTGACTTAAATAATCTTTGGGAAAGAAAAGCAATTTTATATGCAAGGAGTGTAAGGACAATGAAATGTGTTTTTGGTAAAAGATTATAAGAAGTCATGGGAATGTGGACTTTTTTGCCTAGTTTAAAGAGGATTGCTTTAAGTTAAAAAAGACAAAGCTGAAGGTTTAAGCAAGTTGTGGAAGGTTTGTGAAAAATTAATTGTAAAAGCAATTCTGCGTGTGGACATATTGGCTAAAATTAAAGGGGTATTATTCAGTTTTTTTCCATTAATTGAAAATTGGAATAAAAGTACAACAGGTTTTTCTTAGCACTGATCTCTTTAACAAAAACTTGTAAAGGATTATAAAAGGCTTATGAAGAAGAACATTAAAATTGGGTAGATATGTCTACAAAGTTTTATTAAGGATAAGATTTAACATTAATAGTATACTAATCTAAAAATAACATTTGGCTTATTTGGTATAAAAGTCATACAGGAAGTATAGTCAAATATAAAATGGTGCTTGGCTTTCTTTGGGGTTTATTTGTATAAATGTGTTCCAAAATTATGAGAAACTCCTATATTTCTAATATGTGTTTTTAATAGTTACAATTGTTACATAAAATCTTTTTGGTTTTTTTGCTTAAAATGTTGCAGATCCTTTGTTTTTCAGAGTCAAGAAAACTTTTATTTTTAGTTATTTACAGCTTGTAGCAATTGAGTAAAATATACTCCTATAAACAAAATTTGGAGCATTTGTATTTCTCTCCACCTGATTTCTCCAGAATTTGGTAACTAGTTGTGAGTATTCTTAGCTTATGGCAATATAATTATTTGCATAAGTGTAATAAGGGTCTGTTTTCATTTGTCACAGGACACAATTGGAGAAACTGATTATTTTACCAAGGCCTTGACTGGAATGGTATGCTTCCCTTTAAGGAATCAAACTTGACTTGTAGAGCCAATAGAAGCCCCTTGGGAAAACTGACCTCATACCTTGTCGACACAATCCCTGTGCAGGGTTCCCGATCTGGTAAGTCAAGAATGTCACTTTCTAACAGGTCCAGGAGCCCAAGTTACCTTTAATTTACCCAAGAGGAGAGGAATTTACCCAACTCATATAGGTATTTGAGGGTAGAAACCCATGGCTGGGCCTGGCTTTAAAAACAGTCTTATCTGAGGTTCCTTATGGAACAAAAGTTCAATCAAAGCCAATTAAAAGAAGCCTGTGTGGCAAATAATTATTCTTGCTGCACTTCATACAAATAATCAGGCCAAGTATAATAAAACAAATTGGTCTTACCATTATTTGTCTTTAGTAAACATGGGAGACTGGGGAGAGAAAAATTATGTTTCAAAAACTATGTTACACCTGTTATTAGATTCTAGTCTCAGTTGTTTTTTAGTTTTTGTCTGCAGTTTAGACTAACCCTGCTTATTTCTGTGAAACAACCAGTAATCTCTGGCTGCTGCTCAGAGGTAACAAGAGGGTTGGGTAATGTAAAAATCTAAACCAATATTCTAATTCTGGGCTCATTTTGGAATCAGCTAGTGACTCCATATCAGCTTGGTTCCAACAGTTGCCCAGTTCACGGAAAGCTTTTTAATTTCATTTACTTGGGATAATTTTACTTATTTTGCTTTACTGTTGTGGAATGTATTGTGGTTGTACATTTTGTGTAGGAATGCAGCATACGCTTACTAAATGTTTTCTTAAATACTTATTATTCTTCCAGATATTACCTTTTGTTGGAACTTAAGAGTTATGAATGGCCCTCACCATACTGATGCTTTCTGACTGAGCTGCTCTCTTCCCTGAATACAAGAGACTCTAATAGTTAGGCAGGAATATCATTACCCCTATTCAGCATGAAGAAGTTATAGAAGATGGATCTGTGTCCCTCTGCAGCCCTTAGGATTAAGCGTTCTCCTATAAAAGGGAGGGGGGTAATAATCAGAGGCATTTAAACCAGAGCAACTCCATCTTGAATAGGAGCTGAATAAAGTAAGGCTAAGATCTACTGGGCTGCATTCCCAGATAGTTAGGCATTCTAAGTCACAGGATGAGATAGGAGTTTGGCACAAAATACAGGTTATAAAAACCTTGCTGATAAAACAGGTTTCAATAAAGAAGCTTGCTAAAACCCACCAAAAGCAAAATGGCATTGAGAGTGACCTCTGGTTGTCCTCACTGCTACACTCCCACCAGCGCCATGACAGTTTACAAATGCCATGGCAACATCAGGAAGCTACCCTGTATGGTCTAAAAAAGGGAGGCATGAATAATCCACCCCTTGTTTAGCATGCAATCAAGAAATAACCATAGAAATGGGCAACCAGCAGCCCTCAGGGCTGCTCTGCCTATGGAGTAGCCATTTTTTTATTTTTTGACTTTCCTAATAAACTTGCCTCCACTTTATAGATTCACACTGAATTCTTCCTTGCGTGAAATCTAAGAACCCTCTCTTGGGGGTCTGGTAAAAATCATGCTTGCATTTTTATGTATGAATTTTCTCTTTCAACCATTCTACATCAACTTTTGTTTTTCTCTGAGTTGTAGTTTCCATTGTCTGTTTTACTTTTTTATTTGTAAAAGAAAAACATAAAAAATATGTATAATCATAAACTACCTCAAATCCTTTAGGGAAAGATACAAGGCATAAAATTGTACAAATAAAAGTGCATTTTTGGGCGGTGGCTCACGCCTGTAATCCCAGCAGTTTGGGAGGCTGAGGCCAGCGGATCATGAGGTCAAGAGATCAAGACCATCTTGGCCAACATGGTGGAACCCCGTTTCTACTAAAAATACAAAAAAAATTAGCTGGGCTTGGTGGCATGCACCTGTAGTCCCAGGTACTCGGGAGGCTGAGGCAGGAGAATCACTTGAACCTGGGAGGCGGAGGTTGCAGTGAGCAGAGATTGTGCCACTGCACTCTAGCCTGGTGACAGAGTGAGACTCTCAAAAAAAAAAAAATGCATTTTTGGTCTATTTGTAATTACATCACATGAAAACAGGTGACCAAATTTTCACCAAATTTGGAGAATCCATTTGTGATCACTAGATCTCAAATAGAAGCATTATGCTTGTTTTACATGGAATTTACTTCAGAGGATCATAAGGAGTACTTCAAAGAGATGGACAGTTATCCTCCTGAGGAGCTAAAACAGAGGTGCATGAGCCTAAATTATTGACCGACCATAAAAGATGTACCATGGATATTAAGATGTCATGGTCAGAGGTAACAAACCTTAGTTTCAAATTTAAGTCCCAGATTGAAAGTCAGAAGCACAAGACCCTTCCAATGGCTACTTCTCCCACAGGCAATTCTCTGTAATAAGTATTAAGTTAAATAGCAGGAATTAATTACTTAAATGAAAATTAAATCACTAATGATCTATTTCACAAACCTAGGAATTAAAAAATAAAATAAAAAACATATTTTGGCAACTTTAAAGGCACAAAGAACACTGACAAAAAAATGGACCATGTAGAGTAAGAAGTTCATACACACTAAATGCAAGGCAGAGACAGATGGGTGAAACTAATGGAGCTTAAGCTTCAGGGCTCGTTTGCATTAGTCCCTTCCAAGTCTCTGGGGAGAGCTCTAGGAATGTGTTTATGTGGTCATATGTCTTGTTAATCTGCAATACTTTACACTCAACTGCACTCAGTCAAGACCACTCTGTCCCCCTCCAAAGTTCCTGTTCCCGTACTCCGCTGCATGTCTGGTATTATTGGTAACTGGTAAAGCCACAGGCATTCTAGGGACCTTAAGGGCAAGTTGAACTGGGGGCACAATAAACTTGAGATTGATGGTGGATCTTCATGTGGTTTACAGTCACTTCCCTATATGGTTGAGTTACAGTTAGCTATCCTGGTCTAGAGATAGCTTCCAGGAATAACCCTATTGCCTTCTGTGCTGACTCATCTGGTGTGGTAAAATGAAGGCATAAGGCCTGAGGCCATATCGTGACATAAATGTTTCCTGTGGCACTCAGCATCAGCAGTATGTGGGGAGTGGTGGAGAAACAAGGTTTGGAATGTATAGAGCCAGGAGCTGGTCTGTGGAAAAACCTTCCAAATTTAACAACTTGATAAAATTTTTTCTAAATTTGACAATTCTAAAAATTTACATGATGAAAGCTAAAATGAGTTGCAAAACTGAAGGAAACTTGCCTAAACTATCAATATTTTTGAGATGTTTATATTAACTGTGCTCCACAAAAACCACATCCAACCTTAACAATGGGGTGAAGCCACTGGTAGAGACGTTAGTGCCCCTTACCCTGCATAGAAGGGGAAGGCTGGAAGAGCCTAGACTTGGAGGAACCAGGCTCTCAAGTGTCTGACAGCCCCTAGGGAATGCCGCAGCAGCAAAGGAGAAGAGACTAGACAGCATTTTTGCAAAAGTGGACTCTGTATTTGGGAACTGGGCTTTTTGAAAAGTGAGGGCCTGGGAGTGTCTTGACTCTAACTTACCATGTGAACATTTGAGGATGAAAAGTTTAGTGTGTAGCTTTCTAGTAGAGAAGAACAAGAAAAAATGTGAAACATTGGGTGGAGGGAGAAGGAGGCACTGTGCTTTCTTTGTAACATCTTCTGTATTCTGGGAGAAAATGATTCTCTCAGCACTAAGACGTGGTCACCTCTACTTCTTTAGCAGAAAATTATATGTAAACCGAAGAAGGGAAAGCCTATGTTTCCCAGGCATATTTGGATCTATAATTATTTGAGGTCATGAACCCACTTATGAAAATAAATGGCCAGTGGTTCTTCCTTAACATAATTGGGTTAAGAAAAGAAAGAAGCTTCTGGTAGAATTGCTCTTCCAGCTTAAAACTACATCTGGAGCTGTTAGGATACTGAAAGCCAGCCCTCTCTAGCTGCTTTTGCCAGAAGGTAACTGTATTAGTCAGGGTTCTCCAGAGACACAGTACCAATTATATATATATATATATATATATATATATACACACACACACACACACACACACACACACATATATATACATGTAATATATAAAGAGATATATATATATATATCTCTAAAGAGAGAGATTTGTGTATTTATCTATTATAAGGTATTGGCTCATATAATAAAGGAGACAGAAGTTTCATGATCTGTTGTGTGCAAGCTGGAAACCCAGGGCAGCCAGTGATGTAGTTCATATGCCTGAGAGCCACAGAATCAATGGTATAGATTCCAGACTGAATCTGAAGGCCTAAGAACCAGGAGTATAGAGGGTGGGAGAAGATCGATGTCCTAGCTCAAGCAGTCAAAGTTAATTCAGCCTTCCTCCATCTTTTTATCCTATTCAGTCCCTCAGTGGATTGGATGCCTGATGGCCATTCACACTGGGGAGGGCAATCTGACCTACTCAGTGCACCTCTTCAAATATTAATCTCTTCTGGAAACACCTTCACAGATGCACCCACGATAATGTTTAACTAGCTATCTGGGGAACCAATGGCCCAGTCTAGTTGACATCAAATTAACCATAATAGTAATCCAGCTGGCAGGCTTCTTCCCTCTTTGCATTGGAAGCCGAGGAATGCTCAGAAGGGCCTTTCTGGTCTTCTTAGTCCAAAAAGACTTCCATTCTGGAATGTCTGGGCAGGAGTTCCAATCATAGATCTTCATCTCAGAAATCACCTGTGGCTTTCAGAAATGAAGCTGTAGTACAAAATGATCAGCTCTGGAGCCAGGCAACCCGGTGGGGGCCCCGCCTCTGCTACTTTCTAGCTGTACAACCTTAAGCAAGTTATTAACTTCCTTGAACCACATTTTCCTCATCTGAAAGTTGCAGAACTCTTATGCAGAAGGTGGTGCCTGGCACTTGAAAGCATTCAAACATTTGTTAGTTCTGCATTACCTCATCTACATCTCCCTCCTCAGTTTTTTTTTTTGGATGGAGTCTCGCTCTGTTGCCCAGTCTGGAATGCAGTGGCACGATCTCGGCTCACTGCAACCTCCGCCTCCTGGGTTCAAGCGATTCTCCTGCCTCAGCCTCCTGAGTAGCTGGGACTACAGACACATGCCACCATGCCCGACTATTTTTTATATTTTTAGTAGAGACAGGGTTTCATCATGTTGGCCAGGATAGTCTCGATCTCCTGACCTCATGATCCTCCTGCCTCGGCCTCCTAAAGTGCTGGGATTACAAGCATGAGCCACCACGCCCAGCCCTCACTTTTCTTTTATCATAGGTACTTAGACTCTTCAAAATGTACCTTCTCCCAATTTCATACTTTGGATTTTAAATATGGTGGCTGAGCCTCCCTGATGGTTTGGATCTGTGTTTGGACCCACATCTCATGTTGAAATGTAATTCCCAAGCTGGAGATGGGCCCTGATGCGGGGTGATTGGATCAATGGGGTGGTTTCTTGTGGTTTAACACCATTTCCCCTTGGTGCTGTCATTGCAATAATGAGTGAAATCTGGTTGTTTAAAAGTGTGTGGCAACTCCTCCCTCTCTCTCTTCCTCCTCCTCCAGCCATGTGAAGTGCTGGCTTCCCTTTGCCTTCCACCATGATTGTAAGTTTCCTGAGACATCCCCAGATGCCAAGCAGATGCCACCATCACATTTCCTGTACAGCCTGTGGAACTGTGAGTCAATTAAACCTTTTTTCTTTATAAATTACCCAGTCTCAGGTATTTCTTTATAGCAGTGCGAAAGCAGACTAATACACTGGTCTTTGGTATAAATGGCCTCTTTTGTGCTTTGCCCATTTAGAATTACCACTAGAGATAGTGCTTCATTAGGAAAAGAAGTGGCCTCACTATATCATATAGCTCAAATTTGAAAAATGTATGGACCGACTTTAAAGGGAAAAATGATCTCATGAACTTCCAATGTTGACAAATTACTTTTGGTAGCACGTTATTTAAATATGTACAATATGAAACTAAACATAAACTCCACATGCTTCTACTTCTCAATGATGTATAAATAGAAGCACAATTTGTTTAAATATAAGCAAACTATAAACGTAGTAAAATGTAAGTCAACACTAACATTAATATGACAAATTAAGTTATTTTGCTGAAACTAAACGGCCACTCTTTATGTTGTGGTGTATGCTTATGTGGTGTATGCTAATTTTATGTGCCATATAATTACTTCATTCTCTCACCACTTTTTGCTATTACAAGTACTACTAATCCTTTGTATGATGTGCTGTGGTGGTGTTTACCCTTCACATGGTACATAATGATTAATGTACATATTAAGTCTGCAAGCCTTTGTTAATAGCTGGCTATAATTAAATTAGTACTATTTAATGACACTACCAAACATTTATATATTTACTTATTATGAACTAAGCATTGTTTCAATATATTAATTTATTTAATCCTCCTAACATTCCTATAAATAAGATATTTTAATTTCTTCATTTTACAGATGAGGAAATGGAGGCATAGAAAGACAAAGTAATTTGCCCAAAGTCACACATACAGTAAATTGCTGACTTGGGATTCCAAACCAGATGACATGAATCCAGTATTCTTATTCTTAACATACACTATTCTTTTGAATACACTATAACATAGACATAAAGTGAACATGGACATTTAAAATACATGGTTGAAAATACGTGGTAGTATTCTGTTGTAAGTACTCCGTGACCACGGAAATCATCTAGAATATGTCATATTGCTTTTACTTAAGAACGCTATGGAAATAAACATTTTTTTCTAATTTCCCTATAGAACCCATGGAATCCTGAGAATATATCCATAGGAGTTTATAAGGTTAAAAAAAAAAGAGGAAAACCATTGAAAGAGATTGACCTATAAATAATGACCTTCAGCACTGCTCAGGAAAACTACATCTCCAACTGTAACAGCACCTCCACTTAATCTGCTTTATTTTCTTAACTTCTTTTGTTTGAGAAAGCAGGATGTACTGGGTTTCTTGTTTCAAGGGGTCTCAAGCTAAGGATGGATGACAATTTAACAGAGATATCGTAGCAAGGATTCATGCATTGGCAGGAAGGTTACCCTAAATAATCTCTAAAGTATCTCCGTCTATGAGAAGCCATGATTTTATGAAAGCGTGATGGGCCCTAGGGCTAGGAAGAGAAAACAAGGAGGTGAAATTAGCAGAAACTAGTTGCTCAGAAAATTGACAATGAGTAGTTGATCCTCAGACCTTCTGAGCTGTAGACAACAGGGTCTCAGAGGAAAGGCCCTGTAGAGCTGGTGCTCAGACTTCTGAGGAAGAGGCTCCACTTAGCTGTTGCTGGTACCTCTGTCGGGGCAGCACAAGGCTAGTCTGGAACTACCAACAGAAGCTGGGTTTATCTTAAAAATTCAAATTTGGTTTTACATTTGAAAATCAATCAAATTTATTCATCACATTAGTGAACTAAAGAGAAGAAGCCATTTGATTATCTCAATAGACAAAAAAGCATTCAACAAAATCCAACACCTATTTGAATATATAAAAATATTAGGCTAACATCAAAATTAATATTGAAACAGTAAATTATTTCACATTCAGAGCAGGAATAAAGCAAGGATGTTCTCACCATTTCTATTCAACAGTGTACTGGAAGTCTTAGCATGTGCAATAAGAAAAGAAAAAGAAATAAAGAGTTTACAGCTTGGGGGAAAAAGTAGTAAAACAAAACTGCCTTTATTCACAGACAACATGATTGTGTGCATAGAAAATCCTAAAAATCTACAACAGAGCTGCTAGGACTAATGAGGGTTTTAATGAGGTCTTAGGAAATAATATCAATATATAAAATTCAACTATAATTCTATATACTAACAAAAAATATTAGGCAATAAAAATTTTAGATGGTATGTACAGTAGTATCAACAAATATTAAATGCTTCTAGATAAATTTAACAAAATATGTAGAAGACATGTACAATGAAAACAGAAATACATTGCTGAGAAATTAAAGACCAAAATAATTGGAGAAAAAACATGTGTTTATGTGTTGGAATAATTCATTATTATTAAAATGCTCATTCTCTCCAAATTGAATCATAGATTTAACACAAATTTAACCAAAATACTAGCAAGGTTTTGGGAAATGGATATGCTGATTTTAAAATGTATATGAAAATGTAAAGGACCTAGGATAGCAAAAGCAATTTTGAAATAGAAGAACAAAATTGGACCTGAAGTCTTACTTAATTACTGTAAAGCAACAGTAATCAGGACAGTGTGGTATTGACATAAGAATAGACATATAGAAAAATGGAACAACAGAAATTCAGAAATAGAACAACACAAATATGGTCAATAAATTGTTGACAAAGTGCCAAGGGACTTTTCAGTGGGAAAAGCTTTTATGACTAATGATGGTGAAACAATTGAATAGCCACATGCACATGCAAAGCAAACCCAATGGTGTGAGGACTCTTACCTCACACCATACACAGAAAATAACTTCAAATTAATCATAGACTTAAATGTAAAAACTAAAACTGTGAAACTTTTTGAATAAAACATAGGAGGAAATGTTTTCAACTTTGAAATTTCTTAGAATGGAAAAATTAATAAATATGGACATCATTAAAAGTAAAATCTTCTGCTCATCCAAAAATCCAAAATCAGCAAGAGGAAAAGAGAAGCCATGGACGAGAAAAAAAAGTTAATACATGTATCAGACAAGAGACTTATATTCAGAATATATAAAGAATATTGATAACTCAATGATAAATAACCCAATTAAAAATGGGCAAAATATTTGACCAGACATTTCTCCAAGGAATACACACAAATATTCAGTAAGCACATGAGAAGATGCTTAACATCATTAGTCCATCAGGGAACAGTGAAATTCAAACCACAGTGAGAGACTACTATATACCCATCTGAATGGCTAAAATATCTAAAAACCCATAATATTAGGGTTAGCAAGGATATAGAATGACTTGAACTCTCATTCATTATTGGTGGAAAAGTAAAATGGTAAGTCCATGATTTAAGAACATAAAAATTCGTGCATAAGTAAAATGCTTGAAAAAAAGTTTGCTAGGTTTTTTTCTTTCTTTTTTTTTAACAAATTAAGAATACGCTTACCATACAACCCAGCAATTCTACTCCTAGGTATTTATCCAAGAGAAATAAAAACAGATATCCATACAAAGACTTTTACACTAATGATCATAACAGCTTTACTTACAGACAAAAACTGGAAATAAACTAAATGTCCATCAACAGGCAAATGAATAAACAAATTGTGGTTATTTAAATAATGGAATGCAATTTAGTGATAAAAAGGAACAAACCGTATATGCATAACATGGATTACTCTCAAAAACATTACGCTGGCCAGGCACAGCGTCTCACACCTGTAATCCCAGCACTTTGGGAAGCCAAGGCAGGTGGATCACTTGAGCCCAGGGTTCAAGACCAGCCTGGGCAACATGGTGAAACCCCATCTCTACAGAAGATAGAAAATAAAAAAATTATGTTGAACAACAGAAATTTGGCACAAAGGAGTGCATATTGTATGATGCTACTCACATGCAACTTTAGAACTAGCAAAATTAATCTCTTGTAACAGAAAGCAAATCAGTTTTTGCTTGTAAATAGGGAGTAGAGACTGACTGCAAAGGGACATGAAAGAACTTTTTGGGTTGCAAGAATTGTTTTATATTCTTCCCTGTGTATCTGTGTCCTAATCGCCTCTTATTATAAGGACAATAGACATATTGAATTAGGGCCCACCCTAATGACCTCATTTTATCCTAATTATACCTATAAAGCCCCTATCTCCAAATATAGTCACATTTTGAGGTACTAGGGTAAGGACTTCAACATCGATTTTGAGGGGACACAATTCAGTTCATAACACTTATACAACCCCAAATTTATTTGTATGTAATGAATTTATAGAGGCTATAATATTGGTGAGGCCTGACTGGGATGTCACAGGAGTCTCAAAGAATTATTGGCCAAAAAACTGTTTCAGACCAGTCATGGTGGCTCACACCTGTAATCCCAGCAATTTGGGAAGCCAAGGCGGGAGGATCACTTGAGCTCAGGAAGTTGGGACCAGCCTGGGAAACATAGGGAGACTCCTTCTCTACAAAAAATTTAAAAAATTAGCTAGGTATGGTGGCATGCACCTATCGTCCTAGTAACTTGGGAGGCTGAGGCAGGAGGCTCACTTGATCCCAGGAGGTTGAGGCTGGAGAGACCATGATTATGCCACTCCATTCCAGCCTGGGAGACAGAAGGAGACCCTGTCTCAAATAAACAAGCAAAAAAAACCTTGCCTCCATGCTGTGGATCATAGCTTAAATTTAAAAAATTGAGCAGATAGAATGGGGAGGCTGGGTTTGGGGGAGAGATGGGTGAGAAGATAGTTGCTTGAATGGCAAACTTTCAAAAAAACTATCAAGTGATAAAAAAATCTTTACTTGTTTATTTGTGTCAAGAATTTGGGTACTGTATTATTTAGATTTTGAGAGTTTAAGAGTAGTCTTTCTATGATTACCCTGTTGTAAGAAGATTTGGAGAACACACCTTTCTGAACTGCAGCTTTCTCAAATGTTTAAGGCTGACACTGCTGAAGTTACACCTGCTTGAACGGTTTTTTTCCGAAAAGGAACTAAAAAGGTTACACTTATATTTCATGGCATAAATAGAACCTTTCAAAAAGGTGTTTCTTCTTCAAGAGAAATAATATAAAGATAAAAATCATCTCAGATGTCAAATGAGAAACCCAATGAGTTGATTTCCTGTGACAACATTCCCATGGAGGGAAGAGGGAATGCATCTGAGGAAAAAAAATGGGGCATAGCAGTATAAAGGAAATCTCTCTTTTATTGATAGTCTCTTCAGAAATGGGTACAGATAAATTCACCCTCTTAGAAGAATAGTTTGGGCTGAGCAATTACCTTTACAGCAAGGTTAAGCAATGGTGAACTCTACCTTTAGAATGAAATCATTAACAAAATCCTCTCTGAACCCTGAAGTATGCTATTTAAGACCAATTAAGATTTCTCAGCCAGTGATATTAATCCTCTAGTAACTTTGAAAGAGCATTAGCAAACATGCATGTGTATGTGGGGATGTTCGATGCTTCCCAATAGCTGTTGGAAAGTAGAGAAAAATCAGTCCATTCTGAGACACAGCAAGAATACAGAAGACACCTTCACCCTCATTCCCACCACAAATCCTAGAGTCCCAGTGCAGCTTGCTAGGAAGCATACTTGAATAAATGACCTGCTAGGCTTCCTGACAGAGAAAAAAACAGGGTGTACAGTGAGATGCCTGTGAGTATCTGCACCCACTTGGTGGGAATTTCCATGCTTAGAGGAGCACAACATTAAATAGCAAACAAAAAGTACCATGACAGATTGAGAGGGAGAACATAAGACAGAAAAAAGAAAAAAGAGTTACAGTTTAGTACATTTTGTGATGCTTTTTTTTTTTTTTTTTTTTTTTTTTGGATGGGGTCTCTCTTTCTCATGCAGGCTGAAGTGCAGTGGTTCAATCTCGGCTCACTGCAACCTCTGCCTCCAGGGCTCAAGTGATCCTCCTGCCTCAGCCTCCCGAGTAGCTGGGACTAGAGGCACATGCCACCACACCCAGCTATTTTTGTATTTTTTTTTGTAGAGATGTGGTTTGCCTTGTTGCCCAGGCTGGTCTCACACTCCTGGGCTCAAGCAATCAGCCTGCCTTGGCCTCCCAAAATGCTGGGATTACAAGTGTGAACAACTATACCTAGCCAGTTTAATATATTTAACAATGCTTTTTTTCCTGCTTCTTGGACAAGAGGCCCTTTCATTTTGCACTGGGATCCTCAAATTACATAGCCATTCCTGCATATTTCCCTGAAGAAGCCAAGGTGGTAAGTGCCTTTCAGAGAACAACCTGAATTCCCTGGCTGACAGGCAAGTGCTCGCTCACCTGTTGGTCCTGGGACTTCTCTCTGAGGTGGATCCTGCGTCTGAATCCAGACCCCTTACCCAAACTCCTACATCTGTATGCATTTCTGTAATCCTCCTCTACATCTTTACTGCCTGCCTGGCTCTAGCCCCTTTACATTTACTGTCACTCTGGTTTGTTCAGTTGGTTCATATTTGTCTTTTAATCTGGGAGCTCACCATTCTCCTTTCTCTTCAGACATTTGTAAAACATTTGGTGTAATGGAAAGGATGTTATATTTAGAGTCACATGTCCTGAATTTAATCCTGGCTCTGTTATTCACTAGATGTATGAACTTGGGTGATTTATTTAAGCTTCCTGAGCCTCAGTTTTGTGATCTGTGAAATGGGAAGATAAATCCTGATCTCCAGTTCCTTGATTACCCAGCCAGGTGGGGCATCTAGAATTAAATCCTGGCATCTTTGCAAATCAAGTCAGTACTTCTATATCTGCTTTACTAGACATGATCAAAGCCTTTGTCACCATGTTCTTTAGGTCAGAAAGTGTATCTGAGCTTCCCATTCTCTCTTCAAATTCTGGTATTCCTAACCATTCTCCTACTCTGCCTCCCGTGGTCAGCATGTAGAATCTCCCACTCATTATATTCCTACCCAAATGACCCATGGTAAGGACAGTCTGGTAGTATATTGATTTTGGTTTGTCCATAAGACGTCTCTCCTTAGATAGCCATTCAGTTCCATGAAGTGGAAGAGGCAAAAAGCAAATGATGTTTCCCCTGGATTCACTTTTCCCATCCCAAATCCTTGCCTAGCTCAGATTCCCAGGCCCTGCCAGGAACTCAGACCCCAAGCCTCTTCTTTTCATGAAGAGACACTCAATGTCATTACTGTGTTTTCCTTTTGCACTTTCTGCCCAACCTCCTTGTTACCCTTGGCCTGTGTAGACAAAAGACATGATGTTTAATTATATCATCATCTTCATCTTTGTAAAAGTAAAAATTTTGAAACAAGTATTTCACCAGAAGACATATATCCAAGAAGCACCCTCTCCTAATGAGCTCAGTGCTAGAGATGGTGGCGGCATCTTTCTCCTCCCCTGGGAATAGAAGCCACAGCCAGGAGGCTGTACCCATGGTTTTATAGGTGGGGAACCACAGGCATCAAGATGCTGAGTGAAGCTCCTGGAGATCAGAGAGATTTTGTGAATGAGGCTCCAAACGTAGGCTGGCTTACTTCTCTCATGGTTTTACAATGGAGGGGATTTATGTCTTGGCTTTTCCTGTCAGAAGCCTCCAAGTCATAATATGATGATGGGTCTAATCCCCGGGGATCTGCGTATGAAGAGAGAATGGTTTTGGCCATCCTCCTCCCCAATCACATCTCTGCTTTACAGAAAAGGCAGTGTTCTCAAGTTAGGCAGGATTCGGAAATGAGGTGTGCACCTGGTTGCAAAACCAGCTAGGGGAAATCCGCCTGATTATGGGTTTTAAGAAATGACCTTCTTGTGGTTTTGGCTCTCAGCTGAAAAATCCCACAAGTTAATGGGTCAAGATTATGTGTAGTCTTTTGACTATATACAATAAGATGATTCTAGGAGAGAATAATCACAATCTTCACTTTTCTTGCCTCACACAGGGCCTGCCACATTGTAGGTACTTACTCAAGAAATCTGAGTTCAAAGAATGAATCTGTTCAGTCTGGTCTGAGAGACAAGACAGGGAGACACTTGCAGTGAGGAACAAAGGGCCCTGCCAGGGACTGAAGAATCCAAGAGTATTCAGCTACTTGGAAGCTTTTATTACCTACTTTATCCACCTATTCTGCCATAAAGGCTGTGCCCCCTCCTTTCCATCTCCATTACCACTTCCTTAAATAAGGCCCAAATAATCCCTTGCCTGGGTCATTGCAGCATTCGTCTATTCATCTATTTTCTTCCAGCACTGACCAGCGTCTTCTGCCATTCCTATGCTCCCTTCAAACTGCCACAAAAGTGATGCTTCTGAAATGCAAGGCTAATCCTTATTCTCATCTGATTGCAACCCTTCAGTGACTTCCTATTTCCCATTACAGGGTTCTTAGTCTTTTATCGTAATACCCAGCTCCTCATATGACCTGCTTTTTAAAATCTCAAGCCTGCCACAGTTTGAATATGCTCCATAGGGCGGTCTCCTCTCTCCTTTTTCTGAAATGGCAGATCGTCAGTTCCCTGAAGACAGAGAACAAGCATCAAGAAGAATTTGCTTGTCTTTATGTTAGCTAGTGTGCATTATCAAAACAATGGGAATTTACGATATCAAAAGTGCTTTGAAAAAAATATACTGCCTGATATGATTTGGCGCTGTGTCCCCACAGAAATCTCATGTTGAATGATGATCCCGAGTGTTGGAGCGGGTGCTGGTGAGAGGTGATTAGATCATGGGGGCAGTTTCTAATGGTTTAGCACCAGCACCATCCACCTAGTGCTGTCTCATGATAGAATTCTCATAAGATCTGGTTGTTTGAAAGTGTGTAGCACCTGGCTGGGCATGGTGGGTCATGCCTGTAATCCCAGCACTTTGGGAGGCTGAGGTGGGCAGATCACCTAGGGTCAGGATTTCAAGACCAGCCTGCCCAACATGGTGAAACCCCATCTCTACTAAAAATACAAAAAAATTAGCCAGGTGTGGTGGCAGGTGCCTGTAATCCCAGCTACGAGGGAGGCTGAGGCAGGAGAATTGCTTGAACTTGGGAGTTAGAGGTTTTAGTGAGCTGAGATTGTGCCATTGCACTCCAGCCTGGGCGACAGAGCGAGACTCCCTCTCAAACAAACAAACAAACAAAACATGTGTAGCACCTCCCACTTGGCTCTCTCTCTCCCGCTCTGCTATGTGAAGGTGCTTGGTTCCCCTTAGTCCTTCAGCCATGATTGTAAGTTTCCTGAGGCATCCTAGTCATGCTTCCTGTACAGCCTGCAGAACTGGGAATCAAATAAACCCCTTTTCTTCATAAATTTCCCAGTCTCAGGAATTTCTTTATAGCCATGTGAAAACAGACTAATACACTGCCCAAGCAGTGACTCTGCTATTTCCTCCTAGGAATTCATCGTGGTGAAGTATAACTGCCCTGGAAGGTAGAATCCACACATTGCATATAAGGTTTTTCATAATCTGGTCCCTGTTGACCACTCTAACTCCTTGCCAGCTTACTCCATCCCTGTGTCCCCATCAACTCCTTGTGCTAGTCACTGTGAACTGCTAGTCATTCACCATGCTGTTTCTTGCCCTTATACCTTTGCACATGTTATTTTCTCTGTAAGAGCCAACATTGACTGCATGTTTGCAATGTACTGGACTCTATTTTTATTGCTTTACATATTTTAATGTGTTTGACCCTCAGAACAACTCTTATAAGTTACAATTGTTAATATTATTATAAAAAATGAAACTGAGGCTCAAAGAGGTTAAGTAACTTATCCTAGTCTATAAAGTCAATGGTGATAGAGCCAGAAATTGGGTACTCCCAGATTGCATGTATTTAATTACTGTGCTGTAGCTGCCTCTCCTATGGCTTCCTGGTAAACTCCTATTCATTCTTCAATACTTAACATTAGCACCACCTCCCCCATGAATTTGTTCCTGAGCTCTTGAGGTAGAGTTGAATATATGCTCTCTTGCACTCCACTGAACTCTAGACTTAACCTCTGGGATAGCTCTTAACAGAATGGGAGGGAATTATTGGTCCCACCCCTCCACCCATGCACCCATGGGAATTTCACCTGTGCATCTCTGGTACCTAGGCTGTACATCATAGATGCTCAATAAAGTTTTGTTGAATGGAATTTTGCATCCTTCACATATGAATCATTTCCTTTTTTAGCCTTAGCTTTGTGAATCAGCTCTGCCTCCCAGTTATACTCAGCATCCCTCTTCCAGAATATGTTTTTAGCTTTAGCAAACACAAAAGCATCTTTACAGCAATGGGAGAAATATTGAGGTTCAGCTCTAGTTAGATCAGCAACATACAGGCAGACAGCTGAATTGCTGAAGCCAGCTTTACCCAGCTTCATGGAATATAAACCATTTTTTCATGATGACATACATGTGCTGTTTGACATATGACTCTACTCTACCAATAAGCCTTTCCTGGACTCAGTTTATGCATTCTTCTTCCATTATCTATTGCTACCAAATAAACTTCCCTCAATCTTACTACTTTCTCTTGCTCATGAATCTGCAGTTGAGGCCAGGCTGGGCAGGGATGACTCATCCTGCTCTACTTGATGCCTGGAGTATCAGTTTGAGAGAATGGTCGAGAGTGGGAGTGTTTGGGAGCTGCCAGGCCAATCTTTCCTCATGCAGTCTCAAGAGCTTGCCATGTGGTCCCTCCATGTGCTTTTTCTAGCATCATGGCCTCAGGGTGGTTAGACTTCTTTCAAGGAAATTGGCTTCCCCAGAGTGCATCCTCGATGCCCAGGCAGAAACTCCAAGACTTCTTATCAGCTCGCATCTCCATTTTAGGACATTATTTCTACTGTATATTTTTGCTCAAGCAAGATGCTAAGCAAAGACACTAAGTAAGACACTACTATATTCTTTTGCTCTAGCAAAAGGCTAAGCTTAGCCCAGAGTCAAAAGAATAGAAATCAGATTCTACATCTCAATAAGATGAGTAGAAAAGAATTTGAAGCCATTTTACATTTACATTAATACCCAAAGCCAAATAACAAGTAAAGCGTGAATTAAAAGAGACATTGGTATACAGAATGTGATAATTTAGAAACCAAGAACAACAGGAGACCCAAACAATAGGAGAAGACCTGAAACCCAGAAGAATGAACACACCATGAGCCCAGAGAAAGAAGAGTTTAAGGACCACTCCTCAAAGCTTTGTGTTGATCTGAGGAATTTTCTCATAATGAGAAAAACAATAAGAGCTAACATGTATTAAGTGCTTGTTATATATTATTTTCTCTTTTAAGAGGTTTAAATCTATTCACTTATTTAATCCTCTTAACGGAAAACCGAGGCCTTAGGGGGTTAAATGACTCATCCAAGGCCACATAACTGGCAAGTAGCTGAGCTAGAATTCCACCCCTGACAGTCCACTTCCATTGCCAGTATGCCAAAGTCCCATTCCATACACAGCTCCAGCTCTAAAATATAGGGCTTTTTGTTGTTGTTGTTGTTCTAGTTTATGGGCAGATGTGTGAGGAGGTAGAGCATCTTCCCAGTCTTTGGTTCATCTCTAAGTCTCTTAGTCTTTAGCTTAAACAGAGATTTTTAAATTACGTTTATCAGGAACGAGCATATACACTCCTAGATGACACTAATGGGCAACCAGGGTAGAGGAAAACTGGGCTAAACTGTGCTGAGCTGCCACATTCCAAAAGTTAGCCCTGGTTTTTATTTGACTTGACTATGACACCTAGGATCCTAACTTAGGTCCCGGTTTACTGAGTGGATTAGAGAATGCTGTAAGTTCCACATGAGTGGGCAAGTCTGTCTCCCCATCCTGCCCTGCATCAGTTCATCTCTGTACCACACCTTCTCCAGAGGCTGGAAGCCCCATGATAACAGAAACTGTGCCTGACTTGTTCTCCACTTTATCCACAGCATCTTGCAATGTTTCTGGCATATTACAGACATCGAATAAAGAGGTGTTGAAGTAATGGGCCGATGAATCACAAGCACTTGTCTACAAGGGTCTACGTGGCAGAAAAAGCAAGGACTTTAGAGTCAGGAAGACCCAGGTCATAATCTCAGTCCTACCTTCTAAGAGAGTTGCAGCTTATATGGCAGTGATGTTCTTAAGTGTATTACACAAAAATAACACAATCAGAATCACCTTTGAAAATCTTTATAAGGTTGCCTCCACTAACACAGCCAGAATGTCTCCCAGAACCAGATCTCTATTTCTCCAATCGAGCACCAGACCAACATGTCATAAGAAAAATATTTACCTTTAAACTTTGCAGCTTGTCAAGTTGCTGTCTCTCTCAGCAGCATACAGGAATGGAGACCGCCATCCCCATCCTCCCCCAACATCAACATTATAGCTCCCTGAGTGCAATGGTGGGCACAATTAATGGCTCACACTACTTACATTTTTATATGTATGCCATTTTATGATACATATTTTATATTAATGTATAATTTTAATATAACACGTACTTATTATTTTTAAATTATCTTATTTTGTTTTATTTGCATTCCTACAAGTTAAATGCTCATATAAAGCCCCAGTTTGCTTCTTTGTCAAGCAATATGACGGCTTTGGTCTGTCAACAAAACAAGGAAGGAATACGGGGAAAGGGAATCATACAAAAGATCAAAGAAACCAGCATGACACAAGAGAGCAGAGACATGCTTTGTACAGTACATGGTCTCCTTTCTTACTTGCTCCAACAAAATCCCTCTGGGAATTCTACCCTATCCTCTCCATTTAATTAACCAAATGCTCTTGCAGTGTTAATATGTACCAGGCACTATTCTAAGCGCTTTATAAATAATGTCTCCCATGAGCACATTACTCTCATTGTACAGAGGAGGAGACTGAGGCATGGAGAGGTGAAGCCATTTGTCCACGGTCGTTAACTAGTAGGGAGCAAAGCTAGGGTTTGGGTTCAAACCCAGAAGGTGTGGCTGCAGAGTCCCTGCTATTATCTGCTGCTCTAAGCCACCTCCCCTCTTCCTACTGGCAGTGCCCTGGACATTCAGCATCTGTCAAAAGCACCACTGCACTGGCCTCTATTCTGCTATTCTGGTCTCCTACCTTCAGTCTTGACACCTGCAATCCATCCTTCAAACCTCCATTCTTCACATTGTTTAATTAATCTCTTAAATGGTGCTCTGAACATGCAACCTCTACTCTCTTACCTGTAGTAGCATTTGCTTGACAGGATTTATCAGAACTCACCATCGAGGTTGTGGGACAAACTTTTCCAAAAAATGTTCTATACTCTTCTCCTTCTCATGGGGAGAGACCCCTTAGTCTGTTAAAGGTGTGCAAGAGTCTGCGAGTAAAGAGCTCACCTTAGCTCAACCCAGCACTTCCCAAATTTACTGGTGTGCTGGTTTTGTTCATGAAGCGGCGCCTTACATCTTCCACGGTGAATGCTTTACAGAACAGGTCTTGGGAAAAGTTGTCCTGCAGGACAAAGTCTAAACTCGTATTTTGTCAAGAAATGCTTCCCTTATGGCCTGGCCTGATGTACCCTTCCCTCTCTCCCTTGCTGCCTCAATGAATTTCCCTTATTTGAACATGCCATCTCCTTTCTTTCCTCTGTGCCTTTGCTTCTGCTGTTTTCTCTCCTTGGAACGCCCTTCCTTTCTCTCCTGGTTGACTCTTAATCATTTTTAAAACCAGTTCCAATATCCCTTCCTCTCTGCAGCCTTTGCTACTCAGATTCATTTCCCCCACCTCATAGTGGGATGCCTTCCCACCCCTTTTGCTCGCATAGCTCTTTATTCATACCACTGTTTCTTTTAAAGCTGTCATGTTTTCTATCACTTTATATCACTTTTCTTTTATCTATCATAGCACTTTTAAGCTATAATTGAGTGTATATTATGCATCAAGCTCTGTATTAAGCATCTTATGTGAATTTTCTCATTTATGCTTTATCAAAACCTTATGAAGTAGATGTTGTTGTTGTTATTATTTGCAGTTTTTTTTTTTTTTGAGACAGGGTCTCACTCTGTTGCCGAGGCTGGAATGCGGTGATGCGATCTTGACTCACTGCAACCTCTGCCTCCCAGGCTCAAACAATCCTGCTACCTCAGCCTCTTGAGTAGCTGGGACTACAGGCATGTGTCACCATGCCTGAGTAATTTTTTTTTTTTTGTAATTTTTGTGGAGATAGGGTTTTGTCATATTGCCTAGGCTGGTATTGAACTCCTGGGCTTAAGCAATGTGCCCACCTCAGCCTCCTAAAGTGCTAGGATTATAGGTGTAAACCACTGTATCTGGGTATTATTTGTATTTTAAAGAAAAAAATCTGAGATATAGAGAAGTTATAAACCTAAGGTTACTCAACTCCTCAATAGTTGGAGCCAGGGTTTGAACCCAGATATTCTTGGGAACTCATTATATTCATGTTAATTCTACATGTCTGTTTTCTTCCCTAAAATGTAATGATTTCAACATGGACCTTTCTTACTCATTTCTCTACACTTAGCTGCTAAGCAGCACAGGATCTGTGAGGAAGAATGTAAATAACTACCTGTGTTCAGTAAATGAACTATTACATATATGGATGGAATGACTAGATATATTTCCAAATGATGAAAATGAGGACTCTTTAGGTTTAACAGTGCTTTCACCCTGACTTCTAACCCATCAAGTGAGACCCTTCTCTCTGCCATGTAACCTCTGATAGCAGGAAAAAATAACCTACAGAATCTTGGCACTGCAGTCCTCATCAGAGATGGGATGAGCTCTGGATCTCATACATTTTGCTGAGACTCATATTTTGCAGTTAGTATTTACCAAGTACTCCCAATATGCCAGGCACTGTTCTAAGTGTTTTACAAACATTTTCATCACAATAACCTGAAGGAGGTGCTATTATTACCCCCGCCTTAAAGATGAGGAAACTGAAGTACAGGGAGATTAAGAAACCTATCCTAGCTCCCACGGCCAGGGAGCAGTACAGCCAGAATTCTGTACAGTACAGCAGTACAGCCAGACCATCTGGACCCAGAGCCCACACTCCCACTCCCCACTCAATACCATGTCCCCAACAGACCATGCAAAGAGAAAATCATAAGTCCTATTCCAGAGAGTGAGAAAAATGAGGTTTCTGTTTTGTTTTGGAATTTGAGTGACCAGTTATCTGATGTCCTCAACAAACCTGTTGCTGGCTTAACTACATTTCCCCAGGAATCTCACTGAGGTGAGTGCCCTGCCTAGCATCTCTTCATTGCTCTCTTTTCCCCACTCCCTTCCCAATCCCACAAAGACATATCAACATATGCCTTTAATAACTTGAGAGGTTCACTCCTTTAATAAAAAATAGAGTTCAGGCTTTACAAGCAAACTTATTTTGATAGAGGTGGGGGGCAGGGGAGGAAATCTGCCTCTGTTTACAGAGAGATTGTGTTGGAAGGACAGAAGCAGGAGCCACATCAGGTGAACCAAAGACTCCTGAACCGGAATGAGCCTATAGCCAATTGGATAATAATTGTATCATTTATTACCTTATTGTCTAAATCATGTCTTGAGTTTCCTGACTCTTAATCCAAGAAATCTCCTCTCAGTGCTCAGGTGGTAAATTATTTATCTGCCTTTCTTCCTCTTTCTTTAACCTTGTCTCCCTATGGGAATGCAGCAGTTACTAGCAACTTGCCCCAGACAGAGCACGGTGGAGCAGAGCCAGGAGAGGTTAACCCCGAGCCCTCCCAGGGATTTCAAGGCATGGTGATGAGTTTCAGGGAGGCAGTGCTGAATGGGAGGTCAGAGCCCAGCTTTCAGAACCAGAATGTGTAGGTTCAGATCCTAACTCTGCCCCTTACAAACCATGGGTGCTTGAATAAATTATTTCATCTTGCTTTGGCTCAGTTTCCTCATCTGTAAAATCAAGATGATAATATCCACCCCATAAGGCCGTGAAGATTGTGTGCATTATGCATTTATAACATTTAGAAGGCAGGTTTGGTTTTGTTGTTGTTGTTGACATTTTGATTACTGTTGGTAGATGAGTAGTTGTTGGCAAGAGGGGCTGGTTAAAAGGGAAGAAATTGATTGAAAGCCTTCCATTTATTTTCATTGACTCTCCTTGGTTTTACTCTATCAAACATTTCTTGATCAGTGTCTGGCCTAATGCTGAGAATTCCAAAAGAAATAAGATGATAAATAAATGAATGAATAACCAGATGATAGATAGATAAGGCTGTCCTAATACCCAGAGGCGTAAATCCTCCTTGGGAAGTTAGATACAATAACACAAAACTTCTATAAAATGTGTTACCTGCTTAGATAGACAAATGTAAAGCATTTAGGGAGACCTCATCAAGAGGAGAACATCGAGTTTCAAACAACACCAAGGATGAGTAAGATTGAATAGGTAAGAATGGGATTGAGGGGGAGACCACAGCATGAGCATAGCATGGGGCAGTAAAACAGGCCACCTGTCAGTGAGGCACAGAAGCTATGAGGTTTTGCCACATTACAGCAGAAAGCTTAGGGGATGAGGCAGGTAAGAAGGGGGCCAAGTTAAGGATGGCGTGCCAAGTATCCTTGGATTTTTACTTTGTTTTTTCAGTGGAAGTATACTCTACCTCTTAACGGAAGAGTGAAAAGAATGCATTTTAGAATAGTATGTGGAATGGAAGATACAGCTGCAAACAACTCTGGAAAAATAAAATCTATGTGACACAAGGACACTCCCAACAAATGTTTTCAGAATATACACTAGTCCCCGTTATCTATGGTTTTGCTTTACATGGTTTCAGTTACTTGTGGTCAACCACATTCCAAAAATATTACATGCAATAAAATATTTGAAAAAAAAGAGACCACATTCATGTAACTTTTATTATGGTATGTTAATAGTAATTATTGTTAAGCTTTTAGTGTCCCTAATTTACAAATTAAACTTTATCATAGGTAGGATGTATAGGAAGAAAACACAGTATATACGGTTTGGTAGTATCGTGGTTTCTGGCATTCACTGGAAGTCTTGGAAGAATCCCCCATGGATAAGGGGGTACTGCTGTATTCTCATTAAGAATATTTGCTCTGAGTGGCCCTGGTGTTTCAGACAGGCAGAAGAGCCCTGAGATCACACTGAAAGAGAATCCATACTTCTGAGGGCTATTTCATGCAGGAAAGAGCACTAGAGTAGGAGACCAGAGACTTGGATTTGAGCCCAGCTCTTCTACTTATCAGAGGCGTGGTCTCGGGCTTGTCATTGCTTTCTAGACCTCAGTTTTCTCTTCTGCACATTGAAGACACAAAAAACACTTCTTTTTTTTTATTTTGAGAGAAAACTGGAATTTCAATAAGATACTATAAGGGGTTTCACTACAACTGTGTCCAGCCTCCTTAATTCCTTTGCCAACTGACTCTTCTTATGGAGGTAGTGTTACTCTAAATGGCCCTGGGTTATCCAGCACAGTCTTGGATCAAGCTGGTAGTTTTAGCACAATTATGAATAGCACCACTCTTTACTCTCAAAAATGTTGCAATTTAGATAATTTATATATGATCTATAAGCTAGATCATATATAATTTTATATGATTTATATATGGTAACTTATATGATCACTATCATGACAGGACACATGGCTTCTTCTTAAGGAGAGAGTTACTAGCTATCTTTTGTCGTTATATGTTAACATTTGGCTTATTTTGTGGCTAAAGCTTCATTAGGTCTGAGAGCTGACTCTCAGTCTAGATCCTTCTGATTGCAAGCAACAGAATTCAATTTAAAATAGCTTAAGCCCAAAATAGAATGTATTGGATAGGTTCTAAAGTATCTTGCAGAAGCTAAGGACAGCCAGACATCTGGGTACCTAGAACAAAGGACAGTAATGTTATCAGGTGCTCAGGGAGTACTATCTTTAGGTCTCTGCAGTTTATGTCTCTTTTTTCTTTCTTTCTTTCTTTCTTTCCTGCCTGTCTGCCTGCCTGCCTGCCTGCCTGCCTGCCTTCTTTCTTTCTTTCTTTCTTTCTTTCTTTCTTTCTTTCTTTCTTTCTTTCTTTCTTTCTTTCTTTCTCTCTCTCTCTCTCTTTCCTTCTTTCTTTCTTTCTTTCCAGACTGGCTTTCTCTGCATCTCCAAATACATCATGGTCAGAAGATGGCTGCGTATGGCTACCATTTGTTTTCCTCAGTTAGAGCCATGCACATAGACTAACTTATTACCTATGACTCCTAGTTTCAAATTCCTTGGAGATAAAATGTGATGAATCTACCCTAGTCCAAATTGTTAAGAGTAGAGTGAAAGACAAACAAGACACTTGAGGCCCATTCAGTGGGTGTAGAGGATATTCTCATAGAAAGTGGTTGTGTCAGCCCAGGTCCTCCAAAAAGCAGATGTGAAGAGAAGATAAAAGTAGATAAAATATGTTCAGGGAAATGCCTATGAAATAGATGTTAAAAGGGAGCCAGTGGATTACATTGGCTGTAAATCTGACCCCAAGTGAAGGAAAGAGGAGGGTGGGAAGAAGGAAGGAAGGAAGGAAGGGAGGTTGGATGCATCTTAGACTAGTTCTAAGTTCCAAGGAGAGTTCAGCAAGGCCATTAGAGAATCCTCAAGCCAAGGTTTCTCATCAGATGATCCATGTCTCCTAGGAACAGGTCTGCCCTAGTACCCCTGGTAGACTCAGTCACTGACTGGAAGTAGTCACTGGAAGGAGTGCCTTGGAGCAAACATGGCAATGAACTTCAGAGCTCAGCAGTTTAGGCCCTCAGTTGATTATACTCTCATAGTTGGACATTTGAGAGGCACATTCTCATAGCCACAACAATAGACTCATTTTGGTCTCATTCAGAGACCAAAAGGTGTCTAAGTAGCTGGTTCCCCAAAATGGCTTGAAGGTTACTCAAAGCTCAGGTAGGAATTTTTATTCTAGACAAAAGGAGAAAGCAGAGGAAATAATAGTGGAGAAATGAGACTGAAAACTGGAATGGTAATACTCTAAGATAACTCATGCTTTCTTTCAACAAATGTCTATTGACTACTTGCTATATGCAGACAATGTTCCAGGTTCTAGGAATACAGTGCTGAATAAGGCAGTGATTCTGCCTATAGTATTTGAAGGGCTTATAGACCAGTGAGGCCATGATGAGATTTGGTGATAAGTGTCATTAAAGAGATAAACACAAAATGTTAAGGTTGCACAGAGGATAGATACTTAGCCTTGTTGAGTACTGGGCTGTCAAGGAAGGCTGGTTGGGACTTTAACACTGTCTAGCATAATTCTATCCTCATGCCGAATCTAAGCAAACAAAAACCCAGTTTGGTAAGGTGCCTTGCTCAAGGTCAGGTCTCCTGTTCATTATTGAAAGATGGGTTTTAGAACTCGGGGTTCTTGAACTTCACTTTGGTTCTAGGCTTTGTGCTGATGGCAACTTAATTATTGCTGGTCCTAGGTAAGCATCCATTGCTCCCAGAAGAGCCAGGGGTTGTTATTATTTGCTTTGAACCTATTAACAACAAGACCAAAAATATGGATGATTAAAAAATCAAGTTGATGATGCTGCCTTTTAGAACTCTTTGAGGGTTTCTGAATAATCAGGAAACTTTAGCCCGTATTTTCAGAATATGCTGTCAGGGAAGGTCATCTGAATCATATCCATCAAATGTTGGAGATGACTCACTGTCAAACAAATCTCACTTTTAAAAAACTTGTCTTTATAAATACACAAGAAGAAATCACTTCTGTTGCTTTTGAGAGGGTTCTTCATTTCCTTTACCTTCCCTCTGGCCCCCACCCTGAGCCCCTCAAACAAAAGGTCCTGCAAAAGAGGTACATGCTCCCTAGCTGCCCATAGTCTGACTGGCTTTGGGTGCCCAGTATCCCCCAGAGCAGCTTCCCTCCCCTCATTTTGTTCTTCTCTGGCCCTACTGGGGCTGACTCACTGAAGCCTGAGGCTTTGCCACTTCAGAGTTATGGCCCGTGGGGAAGGGAAAGAGCTGTTTGCTGGAGCCAGTGGGTAATTTAAGATATGCATGCAGCCCAATAAGATGCTGTTACTCAGAAGAGGCTTCCAGCAAATTTACGCCAAGAGTGAATGTTCCAAAAGAGAAGCCTGAGGCTATATTTCTCTTTATTGGGTCATCAGTGGGAAGGGGTCTTCCAAGCCATGTCCCGAGTACCTTTTCTCCCAGCTTCTTCTTCTGGATGTGTTCCTTATCCCAACTCCTCCTTGATAGAAGAAGTTGTTTACAAGCACAGCCCAATTTGCCCATTCTCCAGCCTTTAAACAAGCTTTATTCAATTTTGCCAGAAAAACCCACACACTAAGTTTCTCAAGGAGCTGCAGCAAAGGTCAAATTATGGCACCTCTTTGGCGTATAACTTCAGGACCAAAAACAGACAAACATAAATAAACCAACCCCATCCTTTTGACCTAGAAGTAGCAAATCCCTCTCCCCGCATATCCACCTTTTAAAAAAATCATGTATGCTTGTAGAAAATACAGAAACGAAAGATGGCTAAAAGTCTGTCATTCTTCCCACACTCCCCTCACCTCCAAGATTTTTACTGCGAACATTTTGGTGTACATCCTCTCATGCTTTTTTGCCAAGTCCAAATATATACACATAGATACACATACATGCTTTTTTTTCAATTATTCTGGAGCATATTTTCATGTTAATATAGTTTTATAGAATAATTTTTAATGGCTACATAATATTTTATTATTTAAATGTACCATGATTGATTTGATCAATATTCCCTTGAATATTTAGGTTGTTTCCTATTTTCAGAAAAACCCCTTTAATCTTTACCCCAAGTCCCTCCTAGAACCATGGAAGTTTAGTTTAACAAAATGGTAATATGTTGGCTACCTCTCTCAAAATCACTAGTTCTCGACTAGGGGTGATTTTGCTCTCCAGGGGACATTTAGCAATGTCTGTAGACATTTTTGGTTGTTAAAACTAGGGGACTGCTACTAGCTTCTAATGGGTAAAGACTAGAGATGCCGCTAAACATTCTGCAGTGCTCAGAACAGCTTCCCGCAACTGAAAATTATCTAGTCTAAAATGTCAATCATGCTGAGGTTGAGACACTTTGCTCTAAATATTGATCTAATTGTTGTTATAAATTCAAGTGAGCTGTCCATCAGAAGCTCTCCACGCTGGACCCCTTTCTCAGAGTTCCTTGTTGCCACTTTTTCACTTCCATTCATCAAACACAAATAGAGCACTGTGCTGGACACAGAAGTGATAAAAATTCAATTCCTTCCCTGCACTGAATCACACCTTGTGTTGCAAAAGCTCTTTTTCCAGATCAGTAAAAACTGTGCTTTTCCTTGTCCATGTTGCTCTTAGCAACCAAACTCTCAGTCTTTATTCAATTACTCAGTCTGTAGTCACACGCTTTTGAGTTACAGGATCCCTCTTACAGCCACACCATTCTCTTTTCTGGCCTCACAGATAATTTAAAGGAATTCATTTTACTTACTGGTTGCTCCATTCCCCATTAATTTAGTTCTCCTCCCCTCCAAAAGGCTGTATAACTTCCTCCCTCCCTTCCACCTATGAAGGTGTCAATGGTCACATGCATCCTTGCCACCTCCCCTTCTTCTAAGAATTCAGAATCCATTCTCCTGTCATAGGCTAATCCTTCCACACGTCTTACGTAGCGCCCCTTAATGCTTCCTTTAGTCACTACCGCAATGCTACAATGTTGCACATTGCAGTATCCTCAAGAGGCCTCTGCTAGAGCAAAGCTCTACTTTCCCTCCCAGTCCATGACGCGCTGTGTGTTTGGTCAACTTGGCTAAGGCTGGAAGCCATGTTTCCCAGGACACTCTTCCCTGTATGGCTGGGTCATTGTTTGCCAGTAGAGGAACTGGTGTGAAATTTGGAGGGCGGAGATGAAACAGAAGACATTGTTTTCAGAAGGTCATCACAGTTAGACATGGTGACAAAGGAACAGATGCAGGAGTGCTAAGTGGGTGCCAGCTTGTTCTTGCTTGCCTCCACTTTGTGTCTAGCTCATCTTCATGACTGCTAGGCCTGCTGACCAACAACTGCCCCAGGTCCACCAGCAGACCCACAGAGGCAGCAACTATGCAGAGCCAACAGCTACCCCAGAAGCAGCAGTTTCCACAGACACCTCCCTGCAAGCTCCCACTTTGTGGTCCCACTTAAGCAGCCAGACCTGCTTGTAGGATTATCCTGCAAGCTCCAAGTGGCCATTTGCACCAGGTCTTTAGAAACAGTCTGCACTAGACTGTTTCTCTGAGCCTCCCTCTCTCCAGACCTTCACTTCCCCAGCTCCTTCCACATTTGTATAGGAACCAGTTTCTATAATGAATCTCTAATTTCTGTATTACTTACAGTAGCTGTGTTTCCCTGAGTGAACCCTGTCTTATACACCTTAACTAATCATCTTATCCAAAGAACTGTATTGGGCCTTCACATGGTTAATTCATGCCAAGATAATGAAGCTTTAACTGCAGGTACAATCATATTCCCACCTCCTGGCCCTAGGTCACCTGGGATAATCCACCTCAAAAGGAAATGACCTTGGGCAAATTTCTTAACCTCATTGGTTTTAATTTCATTACCTGTAAAATGATTATAATAGCACCTCCCTCAAAGGTTTGTTGTGAACATTAGAATAGTGCCTAGCTTATAGTGAGTACTATGAAATTGTTTGCGCTCATGATTATTATTAATATTATTATTATATATTTTCAAATGACACTGCTCTTTCATGTCTACTGACATTGCCATAGTTTAGGCTTTTGGTATTTTTGACTATTGCAAGAGCCTCCTAACTGATCTTAACTCCAGCTTTACCTCCATAAAATTCATCTTCCACAGTGTTGCCAGAGCAAGCTTCCCAAGATAAATCTTTTCTGTACAAAACTCTTCAATGGCTATTTATGATCTAAAGAAAAAAGTACACAGTCCTTTGCTTGCCTTACATAACTCTACATGTTCCACTCCAATCTCTCTACCCTTATCTTCCCCATGTATAATTTATGCATGGTTTGTCGACAATGCTCTGGGTCTCTCTTAAAGGCATCTCCTCTTACAGCATCCCCTACTCTTCACTAACACACCCCAATTTGAAGTTTGGTTCAACAATCTCCTCCCTGAAAAACTTTCCTTAAAAACCTCAATCCATTTCCCTAGGCCTGTCACAGCCACCCCTTCTTCAATGTTACCAGACCTTTAGTGTATAGTTTTAATAATAATGACCTGTTTACTTATCTCTCTCCCACATTAGACTGTGAGCTCCTCCAGGGAAAGGACAGTGTCTCAATGATCCCTAGATACCCCAGTGCCAACCCAACACCTTAATAAATGTCTGAACAAATGGTTGAATGAAAGCTCTTTGGAAATTTAGATAGTGCTATTTGACTTTAAGAGCGAGGACTGAGACTTAGCAGGGAAAGTTCCCGTTATAATAATGCTTGATGGAATTTGTTTCAACACCATGTAAGACCAGGAGGATTTTGTCTTGTTTTCTACTTGCATTATCCAGCTTTAGCATTTCCCAGTTGTCAGTATTTGCCTGAGCAATGTTCATGGGAAATTCTCTGGAAATGCCCCCATGTAACCCCAAAGGCAATCTGACTTCTACAACAAAATCCACAGGGCTATTTATTGCTTGCTTATCTGTTTCCACAGGTAATATAACATTGACAACTGAGATTGGGACGTTCCAAAAATAAAAAACTGCTGTGGCTTGAGGTTCCCAGAGATGAACTCAGAAATTAGCTCCCTTTTCCTACTTCTAGGCCCATCCCTCCACTCCTAGTTATACTTGCCAAGCACTTGTCCAATTGGTTACCTAATTATGGTCCCGTTCCATCTCTCAGGCCCCCTGCAGACCAAGTCTCAGGCAGCGTAAGCATGACCAGCCTTCTTCCTAGTCATCGCAGGGTAAAAGTGGAAAGGTCTGGAGTATGAGTGGAAGGGCCTAGAAAGCATAATTTGCAAACCCCATGGTGCCTCTCATTTGAAATATTCTGTCTCTAGAAGGTCCTTGCTAACAATACAGAAATGTATTCCCTGGAGATGGTGGATTCTTTCAAGGGAAAGGGATACAATAGTATCTTCGAAGGGAATGAACCTTGCAAACTGTTTTAAGGGAAGAAGTGTGGAGAAAGACCCTGGCATGGAGGAGGTGGCAAGATAGACAGGTGGGTGTAAATTGTGAGCAGGATCAGAAGTAGTTGGGATAAGAACTGGAAATTAGAAGACAATTTTCTTTTCTCTTTTTTTATTCACATATTTTTTACAACTTTATTTCATTTTATTTTTTTCATTCTCTTATTTTAAGTTCTGGGGTACATGTGCAGGATGTGCAGGTTTGTTACACAGGTAAATGTGTGCCATGGTGGTTTGCTGCAGCTATCAACCCATCACCTAGGTATTAAGCACAGCATGCATTAGCTATTTTTCCTGATGCTGCCCCCCCGCCAGACCCTCCTGACAGGCCCCAGTGTCAGTATTGCTCCCCTCCTTGTGTTTATGTGTTCACATTGTTCAGTTCCCACTTATAAGTGAGAACATGCAGTGTTTGGTTTTCTGTTCTTATGTTAGTTTGCTGAGGATAATGGTTCCAGCTCCATCCACGTCCCTGCAAAGGACATGATCTTGTTCCTTTTTATGGTTATATAGTATTCCATGGTGTATATGTACCACATTTTCTTTATCCAGTCTATCACTGATGGGCATTTGGGTTGATTCCATATCTTTGCCATTGCATATAGTGCTGCAATGAACATACAAGTGCATTTATCTTTGTGATAGAATAATTTATATTCCTTTGGGTATATACCCAGTAATGGGATTGCTGGGTCAATGGTATTTCTGGTTCTAGATCTTTAAGGAATTACCACACTGTCTTCCACAATGGTTGAACTAATTTAGATTTCCACCAACAGTGTAAAAGTCTTTCTATTTCTCCACAGCCTCGCCAGCATCTGTTGTTTCTTGTTTTTTTTTCAATAATCACCATCTGACTGGTGTGAGATGTTATCTCATTATTGTGGTTTTGATTTGCATTTCTCTAGTGATCAGTGATGTTGAGCTTTTTTTCATATGTTTGTTGGTTGCATAAATTAGAAGACCATTGATTAATACGGAATGACTTTAGTGCCTAGGTAGTAAATGCAAATGACCACAGACCCCATTCAGCCTATTGTTGCTTCCAGGTTAGGAGTGATTGTATTAATAACAACAGTTAACATTTTGGGAGCTGATAGGTGTCAGGCATTATACATACAAGCATTATCTCATTCAATACTCATTATAACTTTATATGGTGGGATTACAATTATTTCCACTTTAAAGATGAGGACATTTAAGCAAAGAGGTCAGGGAACTTGCCCCAGGTCACTTAGCCAGAGAGTGGTGAGCCAAGTTGTAAATCCAGGTCATCAGATGCCCAATTCAACAGCTTTCAACTGCTGAGTTCTACTGTAAATTAAGTCTGGAGTCCAGTTATGAAATAGTGCTCTCTCCCTCTAGCAGCAGCCAGCAAATCTTTGCCTCCTCAAATAAGGTTAAAAGAAGAGCACAGGCTCTTTTTTCAGGTTTCTGTCCTGCTCACTCTGTTTTTGCTGGCTTTCTGAATTTTTGAAACCTGCCTCAACCTCTTCCCTCTTCTCCTGCATGGTAGGGGGACCAACTTGTCCCATTTTGCTCAGGGCTTTCCCAGTTTTAGCACTGAAATCCCTGGTTCCAGAAAACTGCTCTGTCCAGGGAGAACAAGAACAATTGGCCACCCTGCCCTCATGCTTCATTCCAATCCCTTGCCCTTCCTTGTATTTAATTTTATCTGATTTCTTATCCTCTGACTTGCCCATGTGTTTGGCAAAACTTAGTTCTACCTACACTGCCCACTTTGAAAGTAATGTATTTCCAAAATTTTACACACAAAATGCCAAACTCTCTTAGTATTCCTATAAGTATATTTCCAAGACGATTGTGACCTCCCCAACGTATGTGTGTGTGTGTGTGTGTGTGTGTATCCATACTTTTTTTATACAGCTACAAATCCTATGTATATGCCTTGTGGTTTTCTTTTGTTCTTAATTAGCATTCTTTCCTATTGTGTCCACAGACTTATATGTATTTAATGTGTCATATGTATTGATGTTTCAATTTGCTTAACTGTTGAGAGTTTAGGCATACTATTGTGCTATTCTCTCATGGGGCAGTGGGGAGAGTACTGGCCCTAGAGGAAGAAGACCTGGTGATTAATGCCAGTTTTGCTCCTTACTAACTCTGTCCATTTTCTTGTGAGTAAGAGTAGATGGTGATAGTATTTTCCCTCTTGAACTCCCTGCAGTGTTACACAGCTCAAATGGCATCATGAGTATGAAAGCTCTGGGTCAACTCTAAGTCTAAACTATTGAAAAAGGTATTATTATCATAAAAGGTGCCACTGTGAAACACAATCAAAAAGAAGAAAATGAACATCAAGCTTGATATGGCTTGGCTCTATGTTCCCACCCAAATCTCACCTTGAATTATAATAATCCCCACATGTCAAGGGCAGGACCAGGTGGAGATAACTGAATCATGGGGACAGTTTCCCCCATGTTGTTCTCATGATAGTGAGTGAGTTCTCATGAGACCTGATGGTTTTCTAAGAGGCTTCCCCCTTCACTTGGCCCTCATTCTCTCTCCTGCCATCCTGTGAAGAGGTGCCTTCTGCCATGATTATAATTTTCCTGAGGCCTCCCCAGCCATGTGGAACTGTGAGTCAATTAAACCTCTTTTCTTTATAAATTACCCAATGTTGGGTATTTCTTCATAGCAGTGTGAGAACGAACTAATGCAAAGCTTATTACTGAAAGAAAAACATATCACTTAATACCATGGTCTGAACCCTTCCCCACATTTTTTTTCTATGTATATAGAGATATATGTTAATTTATAACAACTCAGTACACTTGCTTTGCATCTTGCTATTTCTTATGCCATTATGAATGTCTTTGCTTTTGATGCTAATAAAATGCTAACTTACATTATAATGGATAATGACTACATACAATTCTGAAGTATGAAAGTAGCATGATTTACTGTAACAATATTATAATTTGGAACATTTTGATTATTTTAATATTATTCATGCTAGAATAAATACTTTAAATTATATTCTTAATTATTTCTTTAGGAAACATTCCTAAAAGTGGAATTTTGAGGTTAAAAGTTAAAGTACATTATGTAAATCATGGTTTTTGGCAAATGTTGTCAAATTTCCCTTCTAGAAATATTGTAACAATATATATACACACCAGGAGTTTATTTCTCCATACTCTAGGTAACATTGGACATTAACATTTTTGTTTGTTTGTTTTTTTGCTTGTAAATTCAGTAGGGCAAACATGTCAATCTTGTTATTGATTTGATATCATTGCTCTTTTCATTGAAGGAGTCTTCATATTTCTGTTTGTGTTTCTCTAATGGGGAGCTATATACTATCAAAAGGTCTAAAACTCTTTTACTTTTGTTTTACTGTACTTATTTGAAAAGTATACATTTTATGTCCATCTTTCTACTGGTTATCTTGAACATTTTACCGTACCTACTCAAATACACGTTTCTAATGTGTAGAATTAATACATTTCGATCTCCCCCTGACAAGCTAAGGATTTTAGCTCACTTTTACATCCCTCTGATTTCCCTGCCCTCATGCCCCAGGTCAGCTGTTTGTTTTCTAACTATAGCTATTAAGTCTGTATAGCCCATTAGGCTAAATGAAATTCTTCCTGTCCAGGATGAAAGCCGAGCAGGAGAGACCATGCACTATGCAAATTATCTCTAAGGAGGCAACTTAAGCAAAATAAAGAAGACTTTATTGTCTCATTATCTCATGTATCCAAAGGTAGGAAGAAAGTCAGGCATCTATAGGGAATGGAACCAATAAATCAAAAACAATGGAGAACTCAGCATGCACTTCTCATCTCCCATCTCCTCTTCTTTCAGTGCATCAACTTTTTTCTGAAACTTTTCTCTGTTACTCAGTGTTACAATGCAGAAATCTCCCTTGAGACTCATGGGAATGACTAGAGTGAGACTGGAATTTCTTTATCCCACTTCCAAATTTCTAGGAAAGTGGCTATAATTGACCTATTTTGAGTCAGGTGACAACTCCCAGACAAATTGGCTACAACAAAGGGTGAGATTTGCAGGGCAGAAATTTGGCTTCCTATCTCTGTGGGATATGGCCATTTCCCAGAGAAAGACCCAGCCCAATGAGTATCAACCACAGAGTGAAACTCCCAGAAAAACAAAAGCATTAAAGCATTACAGTAAGAACCTTGGTGTGTGAATGAGATACAGAGGTCAACAAGCACAGTGATTCCTGCTTGAGTAGCTTTTTAAAAATGTACCTGCCTAGGCTATACCCAGATCTACTAAGTCAGAATGTATGTGGCAAAGAAGAGGGTGTATAATACCAACTGAATAAATTGAGGCCCATGGAAAGAAAATAATTTGCCTTGGGTCATTCAGCAACTATAGATGCAACTGGGATTAGAACCCAGGACTTTTTCCAATAAAGACCTGTCTGTGTCAACTGTGCTAAACCCATACAAGCAAGAGCCAGGGACTGGAAGAGGTAGAGGGATGCGAAGTTCACATGTGTTCTTGCAAGAGGGAAATGAAGTTGGAAAAATGCAAATGTTCTGGGGATACAAAATTGCTCCAGGAAGGAGATAAATTTTCCTATATTTTATTATGAAAATATTCTAAGCTTTAGTAGCTTTGTTGACTCTGTACAGTCATTCTCTGGGCTCATACCAGTTAGCCATGACCCAGAAAGTAGAAAAGTATGGTTGGGGCTGGGGACAGTGGTTATTGGAGTGATTTTAGAAGTTCTTCTCTTTCACTCTCTGGTATCTCTACACTACCAACCTATCAAACAATCTGTTCAGTTTTGTTATTAGACCCTAAGCACATAGAATTAATCATAATCCATGGTTCTCAAGTCACTCTTGCATTGGTCCAAGCATGGCCTTCTTTTCTTTTTTACCTTGTCGATTTTTAAACAATATATGAATTCACCACCCAACATAGACACCAGGAACTTTGGAATAACTTGCATATACTCATGTATTCCTTCTTCCTTCTTCATACCTCCTTCCATGTGATGTATTTGCCAACGTGAATTCTGTGTTTGTCATTCCTTTGCTTTTCTATGTGGTTTTATCTCATGTATATTTATTCCTAATAAGCATTTTTTAAAAATTAGTTATTTTTAACTTCATAAAAGGGTTATAATCTCTGGGCTTCCTACTTTTATTTAAAATCATATTGCTAAAGGGGAAAAGGGTAACTTCACAGTAGAGAAGGCTGGCAGACACCATTTTAATCAAGGGAGCAAAGTGAACCTCATCAGTAATGGGACAAATCAAAATCATGTGCTCGATAGGATGCAATGAAAAGAACACAGCATTGCTTCTGGGATATCCTTGGCAAAAATACGTAACTTCAATCTAATCATGAGACTCAGCAGACCAAAGTCCCACACTGAGGGACAGTCTATGAAATAACTCTTGTGTAATCTCCAAAAAATGTAAAGGTCATGAAAGTCAAAGAAAAATTGAAGAACTGCTCCAAATGAAGGAGACTAAAAGGACATGACAAGCAAATGCAAAGTGCAATTCTGAACCAGACTCTTATGCTCTGAAAGGTATTTTTGGAACAACTGACAAAACTTAAATGAAGTTTGAGAGTTACGTAGTGGTTGAATATTAACGCAATTTCCTGATTTTGACGGTTGTATTGTGGTTATGTAAGAGAATGCCCTTGTATGTAGAAAATATATCCTAAAGTATTCATGGGTGATGGAGCAGCAGATTGGCAACTTATTCTCAAATGGGTCAGAAAAAAATGGCATTTGTACCGTACTTGCAACTTTTCTGTAAGTTTGAGATGGTTTCAAAATAAACAAAACAAAAATAAACATAAAAATATATTGCTAAGATTCATCCAATTTTTTTCATATTACTATAGTTCATATATTTTGACTGCCAAGTAATATTTTATTAGAGTTCATTCATTCACTCTCTCAGTGATGGATTTTGAGTTTTCTTCATTATTGCTATTGTGGCCAGTGCATCTGTGAATGTTACCCTATGTCTCCTGGCATGGATCTGAAACAGTTTATCTTAGTTATGTACCTAGGAGTTAAATGGCTAGGTCATAGGGCATATTAGTTTCCTATGGCTGCTGTAACGATTAACCACAAACATAGTGGCTTAATGTAACAAAAATTTACTCCTTTATAATCCTGGAGGCCAGCAGTCAGAAATGAATTTTACAGGGGTAAAATCAATGTGTTGGCAGGGCTGGTTCCTTCTGGAGATTCTAGAGGAATATCCATTTCTTTGCATTTTTAGGTGTCTAGAGGCTGCCTGTGTTCGTTAGCTTGTGGTCCCTTCCTTGATCTTCAAAGTGCATCAGTCTAGTCCCTGCTTCCATCATCACATCATAGTCTCCTATTACTCTGACTCCCTTGCATCTCTCTTATAAGGTCAGATGTGATTACATCAAGCCCATCCAGATAGTCCAAGATTATCCCTAATACAGACAAGTCCTTTTTGCCATATAAAGTAACATTCACAGGTTCTGTGGATCAGGATATGTACGCTTTTGGGAGGCCATTATTCAGTTTACCATGTAAGGTATATGAATATTTAAGTCTATTTGAAATTCTGCCATTATGGATCATTTTCTTTGAATTGTTAAGTGCCTAATTTTAAATGACAAGTACCCTGGGAAAGAGAAAAATGATAATCCATTACATATGTAAAATATTTGAAGCATCTCAATGACATCCCTCATGCTCACTGTTTCCTTTACTCCTCACAATTCTCTATGTAGTGAATAGGGCAGGCACCATTAGGTTGAACCATATAAGTTGCTGATATTAGGTTATCTTTGACCTGCAAAAATAGGATTTTCATATTTTCTAACTTAATATTATATTCTCATTTTATAGAGGAGGAAACAGCCCTGAGAGCTTAGGTGACTGTCTTCAGGTCATGCAACTAGTAAACATCAGAGCAAAACTTTAGACCAAGCCTCTTGACTCCCCAAATCAGTGCTTCTTCCACCAGGTCATACGGAAAAAATGGTTGTAGGTGTGACTATTATCACTAGATAAACTTTATGGTAAACTGTGGTAAACTACTGATTAACCAAGATATGGGGAGTAGAGAGGGAAGGAGATCATCATGGAAATCTGAGAAGAATTGAAGAATTATCAATAGTTCTAAGTCAGGCTTAAAGCAATTCCACTGTTAAACTTCTATTATGTGAGATGGGAAGGGCTAGGGGATTAAACATGAGGCAGAATAAGGTGGAGATCTGGATCCTGTTCCTTTTCAACTAGAGCAGCAACTCCAAATTTTCTAAAGCCCTTTGGGGAGATAATCTCATTTCAGGTTCCTATTGCACCTACGCCAGGGTTCATCCACATCTAGACAACCAAATTTTGACTACAAATGCACTGACAAATTGACCTAACATTTGTCAGGGTCTAAAAAAGAAATACAGGTTCTGCTGGTATAGGAAGGCAGGTTAGCCAAGATCATGTAGGGTCAGAGGATGGGAATGTGTAGGGTCAAAAGGACCAGTGTATATGCTGTAGGTGACATAGTATCTGGCAAGTGACAAAGTGGAATTTGGGACAGAATAGGAGGGTGTTGCCTATTGCTGCTGCCTAGGAAGCTCTGCTGAGGGAAGCCCTGGACATCCATCAATATAAGCCAGAACCTATACTCTGCCCAACCTCGGTAGGTCACTTTCTCTCTCTGGTCATCTATTTTCTCATCATTTGCATCAGAGGATTCAATAGCTTGATCTTTTAGCAATCTTCCAGTTTGAATATTCTACGAGTGCTTCTATACATTGCAGAATGGGATCGAAATGACCCAATTCTTCCAAAGGCAAAAGGGGAGCCTTCTTCCTCCCTTTTGTATAGGGTCTCTGACTGCTCTGTGGAAATGTCATTTCCCCTCCTAGGACACACATTATTTGGAGTACAGGGGATGCACAAAGTCAAGTAGAATTTCCCAAAATGGTCCCACAGATCATTAGTCCCAAAAGACTTCCTTCAAAAAACATTTTATATTGTAGCAGAAAATATCCCATTTATAATAGCAACAAAAGATGAAATATCTAGAAATAAATTTAACAAGAAATATATGAGATCTACAAGATAAAAAGTTTAAAACTCTTGAGGGATTCAAAAAAAATTTAAACAAATGGACAAAGTATGTTTTATTGTGGGAAAGGAAGCTAAAACCTCAAAAAGATGTCAATTCTCAGTAGGTAATATATAAGATAAAAAATAATCCCATAAATATATCAACTATATATTTTTTGAAATAGATAAGCTAGTTTTAAAATTCATTTGGAAAAATAAACAAAAATGTGTATCCAGGAAAAGTCAGAAAAAGAATGACAAGAGAATAAGACCTATCAGATGCTAAAGCATACTATAAAGTTTTAATAATTAAAACAGTATGCTACTGATGAATGGAAAATGATCCACATGATAATTAAAAGTTTTAAAATAGACCTAAATATGCATAGGAACTTAATAAATAATTAAATTGGCGGTATCTCAAATCATTGGAAACAAGATGAATTATCTAATAATTGTTGCTAGTATAACAGAGTGATTATCTGGGGGGAAAAAGGATGTATAAACCACACCTTGCCCTAGTATAAATTTCAAAATAACCAACTACTTAAATGTAAAAATGTAGACAGCACTTTGGGAGGCCAAGGCGGGCAGATCACCTGAGGTCAGGAGTTCGAGACAAGCCTGGCCAACATAGTGAAACCCTGTCTCTACTAAAAATACAAAAATTCGCTGGCCATGGTGGCAGGCACCTGTAATCCCAGCTACATCGGAGGCTGAGGTAGGAGAATCGCTTGAACGTGGGAGGCGGAGGTTGCAGTGAGCCTAGATTGTGCCATTGCACTGCAACCTGGAGCACAAGAATGACACTTCGTCTACAAAAAAAAATGTAAACAAAAGTACTAAAAAAATGGTGAGAGAATTATTTTATAACTTCAGATCAGAAAAAGATTACTAGCTATAATTTTTAAAATTTAAAAGCCTAAAACAATTAATTTTGATTACATTTAAAATTCTATATGGCAAAAATACCATAATTAAAGATAAAAGGCAAAGAACAAATTGGGAAAAATATTTTTCAACATATATAACCAAGGGCTAATTTCTCTAACACCTAAAAAGTTCTTATAAATCAATAAAAAGAAAACCAACATCTCAATGGAAAAAGAACAAAGCTCATAAAGAGTTCACAGAAAAAGGATATACAAATGGCTTTAAACATGTGAAAGAATGTTCAACTTCACTCACAATAAGAAAAAATACAAATTATGAGTTGCTTCAGCATCCTGGTGTTGCTGTGCCGTGGGTCCTGTGCGGTCACTTAGCCAAGATGCCTGAGGAAACCCAGACCCAAGACCAACCGATGGAGGAGGAGGAGGTTGAGACATTCGCCTTTCAGGCAGAAATTGCCCAGTTGATGTCATTGATCATCAATACTTTCTACTCGAACAAAGAGATCTTTCTGAGAGAGCTCATTTCAAATTCATCAGATGCATTGGACAAAATCTGGTATGAAAGCTTGACAGATCCCAGTAAATTAGACTCTGGGAAAGAGCTGCATATTAACCTTATACCAAACAAACAAGATCAAACTCTCACTATTGTGGATACTGGAATTGGAATGACCAAGGCTGACTTGATCAATAACCTTGGTACTATCGCCAAGTCTGGGACCAAAGCGTTCATGGAAGCTTTGCAGGCTGGTGCAGATATCTCTATGATTGGCCAGTTCGGTGTTAGTTTTTATTCTGCTTATTTGGTTGCTGAGAAAGTAACTGTGATCACCAAACATAATGATGATGAGCAGTACGCCTGGGAGTCCTCAGCAGGGGGATCATTCACAGTGAGGACAGACACAGGTGAACGTATGGGTCGTGGAACAAAGGTTATCCTACACCTGAAAGAAGACCAAACTGAGTACTTGGAGGAACAAAGAATAAAGGAGATTGTGAAGAAACATTCTCAGCTTATTGGATATCCCATTACTCTTTTTGTGGAGAAGGAATGTGATAAAGAAGTCAGCGACGATGAGACTGAAGAAAAGGAAGACAAAGAAGAAGAAAAAGAAAAAGAAGAGAAAGAGTCCAAAGACAAACCTGAAATTGAAGATGTTGGTTCTGATGAGGAAGAAGAAAAGAAGGATGGTGACAAGAAGAAGAAGAAGACTAAGGAAAAGTACATCGACCAAGAAGAACTCAACAAAACAAAGCCCATCTGGACCAGAAATCCCGACGATATTACTAATGAGGAGTACGGAGAATTCTGCAAGAACTTGACCAATGACTGGGAAGATCACTTGGCAGTGAAGCATTTTTCAGTTGAAGGACAGTTGGAATTCAGAGCCCTTCTATTTGTCCCATGACGTGCTCCTTTTGACCTGTTTGAAAACAGAAAGAAAAAGAACAACATCAAATTGTATGTACGCAGAGATTTCATCATGGATAACTGTGAGGAGCTAATCCCTGAATATCTGAACTTCATTAGAGGGGTGGTAGACTCGGAGGATCTCCCTCTAAACATTTCCCGTGAGATGTTGCAACAAAGTAAAATTTTGAAAGTTATCAGGAAAAATTTGGTCAAAAAATGCTTAGAACTCTTTACAGAACTGGCGGAAGATAAAGAGAACTGCAAGAAATTCTATGAGCAGTTCTCTAAAAACATAAAGCTTGGAATACAAGAAGACTCTCAAAATCGGAAGAAGCTTTCAGAGCTGTTAAGGTACTACACGTCTGCCTCTGGTGATGAGATGGTTTCTCTCAAGGACTACTGCACCAGAATGAAGGAAAAACAGAAACATATCTATTATATCACAGGTGAGACCAAGGACCAGGTAGCTAACTCAGCCTTTGTGGAACGTCTTGGGAAACATGGCTTAGAAGTGATCTATATGATTGAGCCCATTGATGAGTACTGTGTCCAACAGCTGAAGGAATTTGAGGGGAAGACTTTAGTGCCAGTCACCAAAGAAGGCCTGGAACTTCCAGAGGATGAAGAAAAGAAAAAGAAATAGGAAGAGAAAAAACAATGTTTGAGAACCTCTGCAAAACCATGAAAGACATATTGGAGAAAAAAGTTGAAAAGGTGGTTGTGTCAAACCGATTGGTGACGTCTCCATGCTGTATTGTCACAAGCACATATGGCTGGACAGAAAACATGGAGAGAATCATGAAAGCTCAAGCCCTAAGAGACAACTCAACAATGGGTTATATGGCAGCCAAGAAACACCTGGAGATAAATCCTGATGATTCCATTATTGAGACCTTAAGGCAAAAGGCAGAGGCTGATAAGAATGACAAGTCTGTGAAGGATCTGCTCATCTTGCTTTACGAAACTGCACTCCTGTCTTCTGGCTTCAGTCTGGAAGATCCCCAGACACATGCTAACAGGACCTACAGGATGATCAAACTTGGTCTGGGTATTGATGAAGATGATCCTGCTGCTGATGATACCAGTGCTGCTGTAACTGAAGAAATGCCGCCCCTCGAAGGAGATGACGACACATCATGCATGGAAGAAGTAGACTAACCTCTGGCTAAGGGATGACTTAACTGTTCAATACTCTACAATTCCTCCGATAATATATATTCAAGGATGTTTTTCTTTATTTTTGTTAATATTAAAAAGTCTGTACGGCATGACAACAACTACTTTAAGGGGAAGATAAGATTTCTGTCTACTAAGTGATGCTGTGATACCTTAGGCACTAAAGCAGAGCTAGTAATGCTTTTTGAGTTTCACGTCGGTTTATTTTCACAGATTGGGGTAACGTGCGTTGTAAGATGTATGTAACATGATGTTAACTTTGTGGTCTAAAGTGTTTAGCTGTCAAGCCGGATTCCTAAGTAGACCAAATCTTGTTATCGAAGTGTTCCTGAGCTATACCTTGATGTTTAGAAAAGTATTTGTTACATCTTGTAGGATCTACTTTTTGAACTTTTCATCCCCTATAGTTGACAATTCTGCATGTACTAGTCCTCTAGAAATAGGTTAAACTGAAGCAACTTGATGGAAGGATCTCTCCACAGGGCTTGTTTTCCAAAGAAAAGTATTGTTTGGAGGAGCAAAGTTATAAGCCTACCTAAGCATATCATAAAGCTGTTTAAAAATAACTCAGACCCGGTCTTGTGGATGGAAATGTAGTGCTCGAGTCACATTCTTCTTATAGTTGTAACAAATACAGATGAGTTAAAAGAAAAAAAAAGAAAAAATACAAATTATGGCTACACTGAAGAAAACATTGTTCACCTACCATTTTGGCAAAGCTCCAAAAATTTGATATGGGACTCACACACTTCATATATATATACCTTAAAGTGTCTGTATTTTTGCTGTGTTGCCCCATTCTTTTCAAGATGGTAAAGGCATGCACCTTGGAGTCAAACAGACATGAGTTTAAATTCTGATTGTGCTGCTCCCAGCTTGTCATTTTGGGTAAATGATATCATTTCTTTAAGCCTCAGTTTTCCTCATCTGCAGAATGGATAAGACAGTTTTGTGGGTCTGTTTTGGACAGCAAAAATTCTGACAGGAGCTACCACTTTCTGACTACCTGCCAAGTGTTCCACATACATGATTATCTCAATTCATTCTTGAAACCACACATTGGGATGAATATCTTTTCCCAATTTTCACTGATTAGGAAACAGCCCCAGATGGGCTAAGAAATTAGCCCAAGGTAAGTGGCAGAATCAGGATTTTCAAAGTCAGGTTGAATCTAGCCCCAGTGTCTACACCGTTACCACTACGTAGCACTGTCTTTCACAATATCTGATACAATGTCTGAGAGGAGGTGCCTGTGCCGTTCAAGCTTTCTTTTTCCTTCTTTCCTGCAATTCCCTTCCCTTTATCCTCACAGTCTGGCTGAAATTCCACCCCCTTCCAGGTCACACTTGTCCAAAGTAATGTCCTTTGCTCTTCCAACAATGATGATCTACACCACTCATGATCCGTTTTTTGATTCCTCATCTACAGCCCATCTACTGTAGTCAGGTACATCTACTTGAACCTCTACTGTGTATGCCGTTTCTCAAGTATATGCCTCTTTTTTACCCGTCAGCTTGTAGACTTTTCATTTCTGTATTCTCTATCCCTGGGGCTTCTCTGGTGCCTTGCACATTCTGGTCAACTAAATCTGTTTGGCTCCTCCTCATCTTCTGTATTGAACCGTAGGTGGGAGGACTTGGAACCTCTCCAGCTGCCTGGCTCAGGAGTTCTTGGTCCTCCTCCATAGTCTCTGCTTTTTCTGCCTGGAGGCCCACAGTGACAGATCCCCTCACTTGTTCTCTGCCTCACAGGATTCACGGCTCAGACATACCCAGTAATAAATAACAACTTAGATGATTGTGTCTGGTAGCTAATTGACTATGTAACATAGGCTACCAGCCTCTGGGGCAGCACAGCATGCCGCTTGTAATTAATCACCCTCATCCCAGCCTGACTACCCAGCTATGTTGAATCACAGAGCAACTAGGCATTTTCTGAGTGGGTTTCCCACCTAGGTTGAGAAGGTGGAAAACATCCTATTAATGTAGCATTCTGTAGGTTCTCAGAACCATATTGATTCTATGAGAAGTCAACACTGTGCTGGCACTGTGTTAAATGCTGCAGGACTTGGCAATATGAGGAAAAAATAATCTGTGCCCTCCAGGACTACATAACTAAGTTGGAAATATAAGACAAAATTTTAGTAAGAATAATTTTCCACATGTCATATGAGAGGTACAAATACATTCCTATGAAATAGAAGGTACATTTTGACTAAGATATGGGGAAGTTAGCAACATGAAGTGCAGAATCATAATATAGTATGATGGTTCATACTAGGATCATCCATGAGAACAGTTCAAAGATATAGATTCCCAAACTCTACCCAGTACCTACTAAATCAGAATCTCTGAAGAGGCAAAAAAAAAAAAAAATCTCTATCTAGGTATCTGAGAAATCCTAATGCCAAATACGTTTAGTGCAGCTACCCAGCCCACATTTATGCTCTAAAAGCTTTGGCTCAGTCCTGTAAGTGTGGGTTGCTACAGCTCTCTGAACCATGTAATCCCTCCATCCCAGCCTGTCCTTGCCATAGCTCATTGTTCTAAGGGTGTGTACCAAACTGAAGCTGAGTCTTTTAGGAGTTGAAAGTCAGTTCTGATTGATGAGTTGAGTGTGCTGGATCTAGAAGGTGAATTGTATTCTGAGCCTAAAGGAGCCATTTGAAAGCTGTACACAATAAGAAAGAGACAGAAATTACTTCTATCCTTGAAAACTCTTTGGTCTCCAGTCCCTGTCCCTCATGTGACACTTATACTTTCTGTAATAAGTTTTACAAGAATCTTTGTTTTCTTGTAGGATGCCTCCATTAGTTAAATGTGCTTGTGTGAGTTTCAACCTTTTCTGATAGACAATATAATTTATAGGAGAGTGACCTTCTCAAAATAAAAGACATTTCAGAGGCCAGCTATTCCAACCTCCCACTTAAGGCAGGATCTGTCCTGTCCACCTGACTCAAAGTTAAATTGCTTATCACTGTGTTTAGCAAAGTAGACGCTCAAAAAAGCCCCTGGGCCTTACACATTCTGAGATAGGAAACTTGGTACCTCCAATTTGGATGCTTTGACTGCTAGAAACTCCTTGTTATTGGGCCTAAATCTCCTGTCCTATAAATTTGTATCATTGGATCTTCTCTCTGAAACCAAAAAGACTAACTCCATCCCCCTTTCATCATAATAGTAAACAAATTTTTTAAGACAGTTTTCTCAATTTTCCCTCCCCATCTTTTCTTCTTCAAGGTAAGTATCTTGACTTACTCAAGATATTTACTGTTCTTTCAATGATCTCTACTCCAGACCCTTCATCATTCTATTTCCCCGAAAATTGGTTACTCCAAGTTGTCAATGTTCTAACATTAAAGTATGATGCCCAAAATGAGACAAGGATTCTAAGGGATGTCATCATCCCTGTTTCTATTGTAGTCTTGAGAGGCAAAATAAATTTGCAGTTCAAATGTAGTGTAGTAGTTTCATCTCCTTTACCTTTTCCAATAATCCTTTGAGGTAGGTCTTACTCTTGTTCAATTTTACAGATCAAGGGAAAATAAATACTGGAGCAGTTATATGTATTGTCTAAAGTCATACAACTAAAAAGTGATGGAGCCAAGTTGTTAGGAGGTGAATTGTGCCCCAACCCCCCGCCATAATTCATGTTGAAGTCCTAACCTCAGAACCTTAGAGAATGTGGCATATTTGGATACAGGGACTTTAAATAAGTAATTAAAGTAAAATTAGGTCATTATCATGGGCCCTAATCCAATATGACTGGTGTTCTTACAGCAAGAAGAAATTTAGACATAGACATGCACAGGCAGAAGACCACATGAAGACAGAGGGAGAAGCCACTCAGCTAAAGGCCAAGGAAAGAGTCCTCAGAAGAAACCAACCCTGCAAATACCTGGATCTTGATCTTGGGCTTCTAGCGTCAAGAACTATAAGGAAGTCAATTCCTGCTGTTTAAGCCATCCAGTCTATGGAACCCTGTTATGGCAGCCCTAGAAGACTAATACACAAGTATTAAACCTCATCCTTAGATTCCAACTGCCATGTCTTCTCCCCTTTATTACAGACTCTTCTGCCCAGATTTTCTTCCTAGACTAGCCTCATCTCAGGGCATGCTGAAGATATTAAAAAGGCTCAGCTGCAAACTATCATGAGTGAGTTCTCTCACTGTTATAGAAATGAATGCCTCAGAGTAATGACAAAGATGGAGCCCTTTGATTCAGGTCCAGGCATCCAGACATAGGACAAGTCCAGATGGGACATAGGAGAGTGAGCTGGATCTGAGACTTGGGGACCATTTTGAGTTTTCTGATGGAACATGCGCTCAGGCAGAGCTATAGCACCAAGGTGGGCACCATCTCTGATTTTTTTTCAACGACAACAACAAAAAAAACCGATTTATTTGCAACAAACCCTGTCTCATCATTTAGCTATAGCACAGGAGTAGAAAGGAGTCACACTGCAAGCACCATTTATTTCAAGGCACAGTTCCATGTCTCCCAAAGACAACAAGCCCATCTCCCTCAGAGACCCATGTCCAGATCCAAACTGAATACATGAAACAGGCAAGCCCAGAATAAAGTCAGATCCAGGCCTTAGCAGGTTTCACCCTTATCCCATAGTCCTTCCTTCACAGCCCTCTACTCCCCTGTACCCCCAGTCAGGCCAACTTCTAGCCTCTGAGCCACCAGGGAGCTGTTTTTGAGGGGTAGTTGATAGGGATTTAAGCATCACATAAGGAAAATACTCTGAACTCTATTGTTCAGAGTATTGTTTGGCTCTGTGTCCCCACTCAGATCTCACCTTGAATTGTAATAATCGCCATGTGTCAAGGGCAGGACAAGGTGGAGATAATTGAATCATGAGGGTGGTTTCCCCCACACTGTTCTCATGATAGTGAGTTCTCATGAGATCTGATGGTTTTATATGAGGCTTCCCTCTTTACTCAGTTCTCATTCTCCTTCCTGCCACCATGGGTTTACTTCCCCTTCCACCATGAGTGTAAGTTTCCTGAGGCCTCCCAGCCATGCTGAACTGGGAGTCAATTAAACCTCTTTCCTTTATGAATTACCCAGTCTTGGTTATGTCTTTATTAACAGCGTGAGAATGGACTAATACAATCTCATGAAACATCTAGATCATGAGAATTAGAAACAGACAGACTTCGATTACTCACTAGGTGTAGAGGCATTACCTGCGATGCTGTTAAGAGTGTCAGCTTTGGAGTTAAGCTATTTGCATCTGACCCTTGGCACTACCACTTAATATAATTGCTTGTTTGTTTGGGGCCTTCATTTACAAAATGAAAGGTTTTCATTTGTAAAATGGAGGAAATACTTATCTTACAGGTTTATTGTTAGGATGAAGTGAATAATGCACATATAGGACCCTGCCTAGCACATAGCTTTTGTTTGTTCGTTTTTTTCTCTGATGGAGTCTTGCTCTGTCGCCCAGGCTGGAGTGCAGTGGTATGATCTCGGCTCACTGCAACCTCTACCTGCTGGGTTCAAGCAATTCTCCTGCCTCAGCCTCCCGAGTAGCTGGGATTACTGGTGTCTAACACCACGCCCGGCCAATTTTTGTATTCTTAGTAGAGATGGGGTTTCACCATGTTGGCCAGGCTGGTCTCGAACTCTTGACCTCGTGATCCACCTGCCTTGGCCTCCCAAAGTGCTGGGATTACAAGCATGAGCTACCGGACCCGGCTAGCATATAGTTTTGACTTAAACACTGATATTGTACTCACTATGTGCCAGACAGTGTTGTAAGCACTGTACAAATTAACTCATTTACTTCTCATGTCTACCCTATGATGCGGGTGGAATTGTCATCTCTACTTTCCAGGTAAATCAAATGAACCATGGAGATGTTAAGTGATTTACTCAAGGTAAATGACAGAGTTGAGATATAAACCCTGAGGTCTCAGTTCGAGTTGATTCTAAATCACTACACTGTGCAGCACTCAGTAAGCCTTTCTTATTGTTATTATTAGGGGTGTAACCTTGAGCAAGTCCTTTGGTCTCTGTAAGCCTCAATTTTCTCACCTGTAAATTAGAGATAGCACCAATGTATGTTGTGAGGACATAATGCATGAGAACAATATAGCGTAACCTGCAAAATACACGGTAGTATTCAAAAGATGTGTTTCTCTCTCTCTCTCCTCTAGATCTTCTTAAACTTCTTTCTGTGGTTATAAGAACATCTCCAGCCTGAGGAGGCAGATACTGATCTAGCACAAAACCTGACTTGGTTCCAGTTTTTCAGTACTGTACTGAGGCTGTTTAGTCTGTTCTTTAGACCTTAGGACACCTTGCTTCAACTTCAGGGCATGTTAAATTTTATCGTTCCCCTCTCCAAAACTGGAATGGCCCCAAGGCTGAACTTTGGCAGAAAGACTTTTCAAGCTCTGAAGGGTGTGTCTGTCCATTTACTGCATTTCTGTTTAGATGTGAAACTTCTGAAATGACTGGAATGCTCCTTATAAACATTCTTAATTCTCACTTGTTTGCTCAAATTTTTTAACCCGTGGCCACACCCAAATCTTTCAAAGTGCTTTTAAAGTTGGCAATTTACAAAGGATCCTAGATTCATTTGTTGCCACTTTTATGATTGTCCAGGCTTTGATAGGAAGTTTAGAGGTGAAACCAAAGTGTTAGTCATACAGTTTGTTCTCGATTTTGCTACTCTGACATGGTCAGAGAGAAGGCTAGCTGCAGATTTGGAGTGTAACTGTATCATACATACAAATGCACTTAGAATCATCATTCCTCATTTCCTTTCCCACCTATTCCCTCCAAGCAATTGACAGTAGGAAGACCAGGATTCTAGTTCCCTCATTACCCTAACTAGTTCAGTGATCAATTAAATCAAGGGTCAGCAAACTTTTTCTATAAAGGGCTAGATAGTAAATCTTTTAGAGTTAATGGGCCATATGACTTTTGTCTCAACTACTCAAATCTGCCCTTGTAGCTAGAGCAGCTAATTAACATGTAAACAAGTAGGCATTTGGTGTGTTCTAATCAAACTTTATTTGCAGAAGTAGGTGACAGGTTGGACTTAGCTGGCAGGCCATAGTTAGATGACAGCTAATTTAAATCATATTGAAAAACATCTTCATTGCAGAAAGTTCAGGAAAGAATAGAAATAAATAATAAAAAGAAATAGGCAGTTTATTGTAGCCGTCAAATACAAAGACTCTGGAGGCAGCCTGCCTGGATCAGGGTTGTGGGACCTTGAGCAAGTAAATGCCAGCTTCTTTTTCTGTACAATAGGAATAATTACAGTATATTCCTTATAGTTAATGGGAGAATAAAATGAAATGATGCAGGTAAGAACTGGAAACCTAGTCTCTTAGTCAATTCAGGCTGCTATGACAAGATAGAAGATTGGTAGCTTAAAAAACAAATATTTATTTTTCACAGTTCTGGAGTCAGGTAGATCTGGTGTCTGATGAGGGCTCGCCTCCTGGTTTGTAGACAGCCATCTTCTGCTTGTAATCTCACATGGCAAAGAGGGAGAGAGAGGAAGCAAGCTCTCTCCTGTCTCTTCTAGTAGGGTATTCATCCTATTATCAGGGCTTCACCCTCATGACCTAATGACCTCTTAAGGGCCCTACCTCCTAATCCCATCACATTTGGGGTTAGGATTTCAACATATGAATTTTGTTGGGGGTACTTAGGAGTGTAGTGGGCACAAATATGTCTTCATAACACCTGGTAAGCACTCTGTGCTTGTTAGCCGTGACAGAAAGAGGCAGCCGGGTATTGTGGGCAAATGTAGAGTCAGAGACCAGAAAGCCTGGGTTTGCAGCCCAGCTCTGGCTGGCATTTACTAACTGTGTGACTGTGGGCAATTACTTAACCTCTCTGTGTCTTAGCATCCTCTGCAGCAGCAGTCCCTGTCTTATGGAGGTGTTATGTTAGATGAATGAATACATTCAAACTGCTTAGAACAGTACCTGACATTTTGTAATTATTTCAGATGCTACTTTCAAAATTATCATCATTATTATTAATAATAAGTCAACATCACATGCCGTGAGGCAATCACTATTAACACATTGGACCCTTTCCTTTCAGTAACTTTATATGGTGTGACCACACTACTGATGTATACATAATTTATTTTTTATTTGACATTTTATGTGATTACGTACCCCTCTTATTAAAAATCTTTTGCTAAAAGACCATTTTATTTGCTCTGTAACAATGTATGGAGTAAGCGTGCCATAATTTATTCAATCTTTGCCCTTGTCATGGACATGTTGTAGATTACAGCTATTGTTATTTGAAATAATATTGCTATAAATATCTGTGGGCACATAGCTATTTGTATATTTTTTTTTATTCTCTCCTTAGGACAATTTCTCCAAAGTGGAATTACTCGGGCGAAAGAGTATGCATATTTTTAGGTTGTTATATATGTGTGCTCAAATTACTTTCTGTCTTAGTTCATTGTGTGCTGCTATAACAGAATGCATCAGTCTGGGTAATTTATAAAGAACAGCATGTGTATGTGTGCATGAGAGAAAGAAGGAAAGAGGGAGGGAGTTGGTCCCTTTTACCAATAAGGGACCCACTTCCTCCTACTCCCTCAATAACAGCATTAACCCGTTTATTAGGGCAGAGCCTTCATGACCTAATCACTTCCTAAAGGTCCCACTCCCAACACTGTTGCATTGGAGATTAAGTTTCCAACACATGAACTTTGGTGGGACAGATTCAAATCATAGCACCTTCCAGCATGGATGTACCCATTTACAGTACTTCCATCACATTCCCATTCACCACGTTAATTTCCTCCTCTGTCAAGTGAGGCTAATAAAGCCAGGTTGAGGCTAACAAAGCCAGCTTGATCTTCTTTATGCAGTTATTGTAAGAATCAATATGTATGTAGACATACTTTGGAAAAGACCATGTGATATAGCATTGTAGTCATTTCTTTTGGATAAAAGCATCTGATTAGGCCAAGTGGCATCCAGAGGTTGGAATGTTGTACTAAATGTGACTCCTCCACATTGAGTCTACCTGTGGTGTAAACAGCCAACACATCTAATTCAATTAAGATTATAGGTACATTATGGTCCTGACCAGTTTTTTAGACTAACCACAGTAAGCAATCATTGTCATGATTTCATGACTTAAGTAACTACTATCTTAATTTGGGCTTCCCAAAGAAGAGCACTGCTCACTGATGATGTGGAGCTTTTTCCGGAATGGGAAATAAACACACGGTGGCCTATGAACAAGCACCGTCTTCATTTCCGTATGTATCAATGGCTATGAGTTTTTCATACTTTATTGATGTATCAACATATAAATTCCCTACAAGCCAGCCAAGGTATCATGGAGAAAGCACTAAACACTGAACACAGAGACCTGTGCTTAAATCCCAGGATTGCGACTTATTTGTTTGATCTTAGATGAATCACTTCTCTTGCCTGAGCTTCATTTTCTTGACATTTAAAATAAAGATACCAGTACTAATCTTACCAACATTTTGAAATTTGGAGGAGGCTTAAGTAAGATTATATATGTGAAAGCACAAATTAAAAATCTAGTCAACTGCCACATAGTAGGTGTTCCTTAAAGGAAAGTAAAAATACAAGTATGTCAAAACACCTAGTATATTGCATGTCACTTAGCAGTTGATCAAAATTATTTGTCAACTCTATTTCTGGAATAACCATTTGTTTATTGGCCCAAGACTTTGGTTACTTGGCAACTTTTCCAGGAAGTATTTCTGGAGCCTTTTCAAACTCCTACCTTAGATAGAATTGACCTGATTGAGTAGAGGCACCATTATTTTTTAAGCAATTTAGGTTGTTTTCCAGTTGGAAAGGGGGGGTTGTAATAAATAATGTCATGATAAAATCTTTTTGCATAAAGCTTTCTCCACATTCAGGAATTTATTTTCCCCCCATCATTTAGGTTAGATTTCCCAAAGTAGAATCACTGGGTCAATGGGTCCACACTGTTAAAGCTTTAGTTATATTTTCAAATTGCTTTCCAAAAAGTTTATACTAATTTTCACTTATATATCAGTTGTATGCCTTGAATTTTACCTAACCCTCATATAGGTACCTCCTACACACATCATTTATAATACCAGCAACACAATGTCATAATTTTCACATATGTATTAACCCTTGTAAATTGGGAGCTCGCCGGGCCAGATTTGTTGACACTTGTTGAAGCATGAATGAAAAGGGAGAAAAGAAAGAAGGAAGGAGAAGGAAAGAAATAAGGAAAGAAGAAAAGAAGAAGAGAAAGAAATAGAGACAGAGAGAAAAAAAGAAAGGGGAGAAGAATATATAGATATAGAAGACCTGCAGGACCAGATAAATGAAGCATGGAGAGGAAAGAGTTTATGGTTTTTAGCTGCCAGCACTAATTAAAGCCTCCTATGGAGCACTTTTCCTCGAAGAGAGGAAGGGCAGCATGTCACATACTATAAGGTGCATATACATGAGTAAATAAATTGCCAACCAATACATTTTTAAAGGGAGCCCATTATGCTTATTTATTGAAGCTTTCAAGTGTTACATCGGATCCTGCAATGAAGTAAATTATTAAGCATCTCTGTATCTACTCTGGAAAATATCATGGCTGCTTCTTTTGAGCCTTATTTCTATTTCCACTCTGAGTCTTTCTTTTGGGGCACTTGGAGTAATTCTTTGTGATATGCATCACTAGAGTGCCTCTTAAGAAAATGTCAGAGACCACCCACTCCCAGTTTTTACAGAAGTCTGGTAGACAGAAATTATCTGTGACTGATTAATATGGATATTGAAAATCAAAGTAATGTTTATCATGTTTGTTTTTCTGTGATCCCTTTCTCCCTTCTCCAAGTTCACCTGATTTCTACCACTTTTTCTTAATCTTGCCTCAAAGAAATGTGTTCGTTTGTTGTTTTCTTTCAGAAACTAGAAATTGGAAATAGTTGACCTTGAGTTTGACTGTAACCGAAGTTGTCAGTCATTTGACTGCCTCCAAAACCTGCAGAGATTTTACTTTCAAAGTGAAGGCAAAAATAACTATACAACTCAGTCAAATGAAAGCAAATGCAGGGGCCAGTAAATTAGAAAAGAGTTTCAATCCTATTTTTGTGAAAGCTCTAGCTCATTGATTTCAGTGAATTCAAGCTTCCTTTCCAATTTTATCACCCTCAGCTCCTCTGCATGGAACCAGGTGGGGAGAGAGCGAACCTCAAAGTCATGCAAAGGGCTTCTTAGCCTGGCTTGACCACTTTGGAACAGGCTGTCTGTGGGCAAAGGATTCAACCTCACTGAACCTCAATTTTCTCAAATGCAAAAAGGGTATGCAGCAGTACTTATTAGATTGTTATGAGGATGAACTAAAAATAAGATATTCATGTCAAATATCAGCATAGTTCCTCAATTTTCCCTATGGCTTACACTTTCTCCGTATGGAATTCTATCCATTTTTCAAGACACAATTCAAATACCACCTTCCAAGTGAATCATTCCTGGACCCGCCTCTGATATCTTATATATACCATCAGTCACACACACATCTCATATGACTTGTCACTTTTACTGCCTGGGGTTCTTTGAGACAGCCCTAGACCCCAAAACTTTTTGTTTTTAATCCAGAGTGATGGGAATGTAGGTCCGTCCCAATAAATCGGTATTTTTAGCCCAACCAACTCATTTAGCAGGGCAACAGTACTTAAGAATGGAAATGGCAAAGCAATCAAAATCTCTTGCAGGGAGGCAGATTCCGATTTTATCAAACATGAGACCTGTCATTTCATTTTCTCTTCCTGCATGACATCTTTTTGGTGGGTGTAGGCCTTATTCCCTCAACTAGAGTTTAAGTTGTTGAGGGCAGACAGTAAGTCATATGCTACTTTCCTTCTCTCCTTCGTATCTGGCATAGCATTTGCAGTAGATTTATTCCAACTGAATTTTTACAGTTGTCTGGAATGTCAGAAAAAAAGTACTTATTAAGCAAGGGGACAAACTTGAATGCAATGTATGGGATTTATTTGGGAAGACAATCACAGTACTTACCATATTAGGAAAGCAACCCCAGGAAAACTCTTCCATGGGAACATTACATTGCTTTTCCTTCATGCCTTCATCCAGCAAATACAAAGTGAGAGCCTGCTACTATACAGGTCTCTGTTCTCAAAAAACTTACATCCAAATTGAGGAAATAAGTCTCTAAACCCATAAAAATGATCCTGGCAGCAGTCCCTAGATTAATGAAAATGAGATGCCAGCTCCCATGCTTGATAAATGATATGACTCATCTCAGATTAGGTTGGATTCTCATTAACTGGTCACAAATCTGTGTCCCTCATTTATCTAGGAGCTATTCAAGGGCAAGAGCCATGCATTAATCATCTTTTTATCCCAATGTGTAGAACAGTGCTCAACATTCATTCATTCATGCATTCATTCACTCAATGCATTTTTAATGAGCATCTACTATGCGCAGGCCATAGTAGATGTTCCTCTTGTCTCAAATCTTTCAAGACCCCTGTCCTTCTAAAGTACATCAAAATCGATCTCAAAGGATGTCATCCTTTTAATTCAGTTAAACAACACATTTTTAAAAAGCTCTTACTATGTGCTAGGCATTGAGGAAACAGCAAATCAGATGGACACAATTCTTGCTCTCCAAAGGCTCTCAGTCTAGCATGAAAAGACAGATTATTCTGAACAAATATCATATGCCCTGAGGGACATCTGCATCTATGCTTTCATATCTAACTGCCTCCCCTCTCCTCCCCCATTACCTGTTTTATTCTTACAGCTTTCTCTGCTACGTGACTCATCTCAGTTTGTGCCCCTCCTAGTCCTTCCAATCCAACCTACCTCCTGCCCACAACCCAGCTTCACACACAGGCTCCTGGCTCTGGCTCCCTGTTGGTTTGTAAACCATAAACCATCTTTGGGGTAATGCAAGTCAGCTCAACTGGGCTCTGGAGACCTCACCCACTCATTTACCTTCAGGGTGTAGCCCCCAAGGCTGCCTAGGAAATAGTGTACAGTAGCAGACACTCATTTTATATTTGCCAAATGAAGGCATGAATGAAGAGGCAACATAACTTTTCTTTCAGCGAAAAGGTTTGCCAGGGGTCAGCCTTCATGTTATGATAAGTATAAGTGCTGCAATTGTCTTCCTGGCAATGGAGCCTTTCTAGCACTCGTGGTCGAGGGGGAGGAGTGCTTTAAAAACCATTTTTAATTAGGCAATTATGACAATTAAATATTTGAGACTCGGGGTTCCTAATCCTTATTTGATTTCCACTTCAATTTCCTAATAATGCACATCTCTGTTCTCATTGTAATCTTTCCCTTTGAATCTGTGTGGGATTCATTTGCTCGAGATAATTGCTTCTCTATAAGGCTCTCTCTTGTCACATTCACAGTGATCTAATTAAGTGGGGGAGGAGCACATATTATTTACTGTCATGAGAAAAATTTTTAGAAGAGTGGTGAATACCGGCTTTCTCATTTTATTCCATTAGAGACAATGAAATAAAGAGGTGACAAGAGGAAAGCAGCTCTGACAGTTCTGATAAGAAATTACATCAACGTGTTTCCTCTTTGCCAGGGTTCCTGAACTCAAGATAGAACTAGAAGGGGCCCAAAAGAGGAGACACAGCAGCAACTATTTATTGAGTGCCTACTAAGTGTCAAACTCTGTGCTAGACATTTTAAAGACACAGCTCATTGGGTTGTGATCACAGTGAGAGAGGTAGCTATTGTTTTCCTTATTCTATAGACAAGGCTCCAAGAGTACATTCATTGCCTAGTTTAAATAATCAGCAAATTAGTGACCAGGCTGTAATCTAGGTGCTCCTGAGCCCGTAGTCTATGTCCTTTTCACCCCACTGTGCTACCTTCATTGACCTTGACTTCAGAAACTATGTGACCTTGACCAAGTTTTTATTTAACCCCTCTGAGCCTCAGTTTCTTCATCTGGAAAATGGGAGATGGAGGAACCTTCTCTGTGAGAATGAAACAAAATATGCAAAATCCTTGGCACTAGATACACAATAGCTTTACAATTCAAATAACTGTTATTATTATCCTTTATAGAAGAGGAGCGTGCAGCTCCGTAGACACCTGAAGCATTAGTGGGTAACAATACGATATGACTATTGAGACTTAGTGTAGGCATCTATAGGGCTGGGGCCTCAGACCAGGCAGCAGGTTCAGTGTCCTTGCCCCTCACACTGTACAGACTCAACATGTGCTCTCTGTGTTTGCTTTATGGCATAGGCTGGGAAGCAGAGGCAGGACCTCACCCTCTGCTGAAACTGGTAGGAGTCAGGGAGGGCACTGTCTGGCACCCAGCAGAAAAACCTGGGGTCCCAGATAGGTCACTAAGCAGGGACACCAGCAAAGGGGGCAGGGTTACCCCAGAAGGTAGGAATCTGAGTATTAAAGCTCTAGGCTTCCAGGAAAGGTTTGGTTAGAGGAGTAAGGCCCTAATTCAGAACCGATTTGACCTGCTGACTGGTCATCACTTGTATTCCAGGTACGGGGCTAGGGACTGAGAACACAGCAGTAAACAAGATAGAGTTATTGCCCTCAGACAGCTCCAGGACTAAGAGGCAGGAGAGTCAGGCACATTAACAAATTTCTGTAAGAGAACATGACAAACAACTCTCATCGAAACATATATATATATCAAAAGCCTCAGGAAGAATGAGAGAGACGATAAGTTGCTGGAATCACCAGCAATTAGTTGTTAGACTAGGACATTAAAGTCAGACTGATGAGTAGCCAAGTCACCAAACACTGTGCAGAGCTTTTTAAAATCACCCCTCCCTACTTCAGCTGGAAATAGTCCCAACAGAGAGAGACTCAAAGCCCAAAGCTGGAGGGATGAGAGCGATGGGAAGGCGGCTAGTCTTGGCTGGTGATTCTCTGTCCCCCACACCCTTCTCTGATATTGTTTCTACAAATACCCTCACACCTACTTGGCTGTATCCTTTCCTCTTACAAATACCATGGCAGACGGGAAGCCTTTGATCTTCACAGAGCTCTCAATGCCCATTGTGACTGGAACACAAAATATTTACCAAGTCGCCAGGTTGATGGCTCCATGTCAGGTCTCGCTCAGATCAAATATGAGATATTGGCTTTGTAAATCACCATGCGTAACACCAAGAATGGACAAGAAGTTTGCACAATATCAAAGATGCTTCCTGCCTCTGCAAATCTGTGTGTTTTCTGTAGTACAGGATGTGATGGTAGCAATGAACATATAACAGATGTGTGTGTTCACGTATTTCATAGGCACACAACCATGCATTTGGGGCCACAGGTAGACACTTGCACTCATGTATTCATTATTTCAGATGCACACCCTCACATGCACACACATCAGTAAACACAGTCACAGCAATCCCAGTTGCTGTTGAGGCATTTGCCTGGTATGGCAGATGGAAGCCCATCCTAAACCCAATAGCCATCTTCACTCAAATACTGTGTTCAGTGCAACCTTAAAAGCACAGTGGGCTCATTAGGATGCTATTACCTGCATTTGTACAGAGATGGTGTGATTAGCCCATCCACAGAGGCAGTGGAGCCTGTCTGCCTGCCTGTTGCGGCCTGCCCAACACATCCTTAGAGGAAACGGGCAGCACCGTGTATCTACACCTGAGATAAATCTGTCCCCAGCTGCCCTCCTGTTTTCACATCTGAACTCCACTAATAAATCTGGGACCTCGGGACAAGAGCCTTAAAAACTCAGTGCCAGGACTCTTGAGTGTGTCTTTCCTTTGTCCCCACCTTGCTTTGTGCCTTAAAGGGCCACTTCCCTTCTCAGCATTGTCTGATCTGTAAAATGAAAATGTTTTTCTAGATTCAAAACTATCTATTCATCAATAGCTACTAGAGAACTTAAAACATGTAAATTATCAGGTTCCAGACCTCATGAATCCAAATTTCCCTGGGTAGGACCCCACAATATGTATTTCACAAGTTCCCAAAGAGATTCCAATAAATATCTGTGATCCGGGGTTGGGAACACATATTAAATGTTTCTAAAGTCGCCTTTTGGCTGCCTTTCTGATTCTTTAAATGTAACCCCTTCAATACCAAGTGCTTTCCACTAACATAGGAATATATACGTGGAGTTTTCTAAAGCTATTCCATATCAGTTATCTATTGCTGTGTAACAAATGATTCCAAGGCTTAGTGGTTTAAAACTACAATAAACATTTATTATCTCTCATAGTTTCTATGGGCTAGGAATTTGAGAGTGGCTTGGGTGGACAATTCTGGCTCAAGGACTGTTATGAAGTTGCAGTCAAGATGTGGGCTACAATCATCTGAAGGCTTGACTGGGGCTAGAGAATTTACTTTCAACATGGCTCACTCACATAGCTGCCAAGTTAGTGCTGGCTCTTGGCAGAAATTCTTAGCTTCTCTCCACAAAGGCCTCTCAACAGTGTGCTTGAGTATTCTTACAATATGGCCAGTGACTTCCCCCACAACAAATTATCCAAGAGATGAAGATGGAAGTGATGATGTCTTTTATAGCCTAGCCTTAAAAGTCAGACCTCTTCCCGTGTAATAATCTATTGCTCATACATATCATCCCTGATTCAGTGTGGGAAAAGACTACACAAAAGTGTGAATACCAGGAGGTGAGGATCACTGGCGGTCATTGTGGGAAGTTTTTTGAAGGCCAAGCCTTGGAGAGAAGACATGCAGATATCAGTGCACTAAAGGCACCAAAAAGATGAGACTGGGGCAAGCTACCCATGCCGTTTTCTGAGCCTGAAAATCCCCATCTTTCACTGGTCTGCTTAGGAGATCACAGATAAGCCCCTATACTGTGTTTATCAGCCCTCTGATTTACATACATATCCAAGAGGGCAGGGGGTTTCTTCTGCAAACACAGACATTGTTGGGGTGAGTGAGAAGTTCATTCCATACCCTCCCATAGGCATCAACACTGAATCTAAGATACTGCCCCAGCTCTCCTTAGCAGAGAGAGAAACCGAATACAACCTCTATTTCTCCTAGTATTTTGGTAGTCTTTTGCTCACCCCTGATCTTATCTACAGATTTTGCTCTGGATTCATTATGCACAATACTTGATTTAACCCTTATATTAACCTTGACAGCTTCATATCTGTATCCCCATTTATGAACAAAGAAACTAAGACTCAGAGAGAGTAAGTGACTTTGTAAAGTCACACAGCCTTTCAGAGGTAGAACTCCAGGCAGCTTGGCTCCAAGCCACAGGCAAAAGGGACTGTGTCTGAAACAGGCTTTCAGCTGCCTCAACATCAGCAGACCACCTACCCAGCATCCGACAAGAGTACTGATGTCTATCCAGCAGAGAGGTCCACCCAGAAGTCTCTCCAGCATAACGGGTCATAGGTGAGCAAGGGGTTTAGAGTTCCTCTAAGGCAACGGGACCTCCCCACATAGCCTGGCCTCAGACCTGGTGGCTGGAATGTCCTCAGTTGCCCAGCTTTGAGGGGCCAGGTCAGAGGTCAAGCTCTCTTGTAACCAGAGAGCCCTGCTCTGCTGGGGCCACGCATGTCAACGTGCTAATGTTTCATGATTGCGACTCAGTCCCTCACTTCCACACAACCTCCCAGAGCAATCATTGCAAAGTGATACCTGCCGGCTGCCCTCTGATTATTTTACAGCCCTCCCCGGCTCCAGCTGCACCAGCCTCTCCTCTCTGGTTTCTTTTCCTTCCTTGTTCCTGGCAGGTGGGGAGGGGGTTTAGCACAGAGGGATAGGAAAGGGGAAAGAAATGACTATCTTTTTCCTACTGCCCTCTAACCACTCCAGCCTGGGATCCCTCAGAGAGGGACATCTGAGCTGCAGCAGCTCTGGTGGGAAAAGAAGACTAGTATCTCCCCAGCACCTATGCTGTGCCAGGCATTGTGCTGGGTACTTTATATATATGATATGCCAAATCCCAACAGTAGCCCTGGAAAATTGGGGAACTTTCCTGCTGCTGGTTGCTGACCACATGATCTGGAGAGAAGGAGGATCCAGGGTGGCAGAGTTGAAAGAAGCTCCAGAGACCACGCTTGTCCAGGGATCTCATTTTTCAGTGGTGGCTGGGAGCCTCCTCTCCCAAAGTCGAATGGCTTTGTAGCTACACAGTCAGGCCAAGAAGCCAGCTTTTCCTTCCTCTGGTTTCAGATCTTTCCAATACCCCAGGCTGTCTATCATCATCCCTGTCATTAGAATTATATCTGTGAAGAACGATGAGAAAAGCTAAGAGCATCACTAGCACCTGGATAAATGTATGAATAATCGATTTGAACATATATTAGAAAAATCAACTGGTATATCAAACCTGTGATTTTCTTATATTTTGTAATTCAGGATGAGGCAAGATATATTAAAGTAAAAAGTATTAAAAGTGGGTTGTTTGAAAGAAAAATATTAAATTATAAGGCTAACATAATGAGACTATTGCAAAAAAAAAATCATGAAAATAGCAAAGAGATAACCAGAGTTAGGAAAATGCCTGTGCAGGGCATGAGATGGAAGCCATATCATTTGTGTTCAAATTCCAAATGTTTACCAGCTGCCTGATTTGGGGAAAGTCTAACCTCCATTTCCAAGCCTGTAAAATGAGGACAAAAGAAGGATTATTGTGAGACACAGATTGTGTAAGGCATGTCAGGCCCCACAGACTTGCTCTCCCTTCAGGGGTGTTCTAAGAGGTGAAGGCCAAGCTGAGGTGGATACTCAAGGTCCAGGCTGTGGTGGGTCTGGAAGGCCAAGCTTGCACTTGGTATAACATGAGCTGTGGGGGCCAAAGAGGTGGCCCTGGCTCTGGTCCTGAGCTGGGTTGACCTGTTTGCCATGGACCTCTTGGAAATGAATCAGAGAGTGTGCACTGGATAGAGCAGGCTGGGTCCCAGCAAGCCAGCAAGCAGGCTGTGGTTCTCATCCAGAGAGAGAAGGCCAGGGTCTGGACTGTGGTCTGGAGGCTGGGAAAAGGAGTCAGCCAAGAGGTAGGGTGAAGAAGGCAGCAATGGGGCAGCAGGTGGATGTAGAAATCTATATGGGCAAGTGAGGCAGGGATACCAGGAGCCCAGCCAGACCTTGGAAAAGAAGGCCCTGCTGGCAGCCCATGCCTTGGACAAGAGCAGATGATGCAGTGTACTGCTGAAGAGCAGGAGCTCTGCAGTCTGGATGCAACCCTAGTCCACCTTTTCTGAGCATTCATTTCTTTACCTATAATATGGGGGTAATAATTATATCTACTTTGTAGGATTGTTTTAAGGATTAAATGAGGTGATGCGTGTGAAACACTCGCTAGGCATGTGATAAATACTTCGCAAGCGTCATCTTTGCTAGGTACCTAGCATAGTACCTGGAAAATAGGAGACATTTAGGAAATTTCATTTAACAAATGTCTAAGTGACCTTTTTACCATTGACCACATCCAGCTGCAACCTTGTTTAAGTAGAAGTGCCCATTGTGCTGCAGTTTAATGTCAGAGAAGAGAACAAAACTGTCCAGGCTGACCTAGAGTGTGAGACAAAATGTACCCTCCTGCCCCAACCATAGCTTGTCTGGGATGCCTCCCAGATGGTCTAACATCCAACATTTCTAGGATCACAGGCTCTTGAAGAGGGGCAGGAGGCTTCATACTGTTGTTGGTGAACCCCTTATGGTGCAGATGGACCACATAGAGGCCAGGGACTTGCTGGAAGTCAGCAGCAGAGCAAGGAGTAGAACCTGGATCTCTCATTCCCAGCCAGAACTCTTTCTCCGATGCTGACACCTGCTCTTTTCCAGGTGTCATTTGCTCCAGAGAGCTGGGTCAAGGCCTGAATCCCTCCCTCTAGCAGCCACAGACAGCTGGAGTCCCTCCCTCCCTGGATCCTTATAGCTGGGAGCCTTGTTTGTTTTCTGATTTTGAATAGAATAGACACCCTATTCAGAGATGTCAGAGGGTTTAGGGAGGAGAAAAAGTGTTTTGCAAATGGAAAATACCAATCCAGGCCCAGAAGGAAGCAAGGGCTTGTTGCTAGTCCTTATTCTGTGGGGAAGGAGAGGGGAGTAAAAGTCCTGGGAATGCACCTGCAGGAAAGAGGCTAGTTTGAGGCTTGGCAGGTCCTGTGGCTGGAGAAACCTGACTGGGGAGGGAAGGTGTTGGGAAGGGAAAAGCTGTAGCAATAAGGTAAGAAATTATGACAAGAGGTTGTGATATTTGATGTAATAAGAAATATATATGTCTTCATCCGCAGATCCTGGCACAAAGCTCCTAAAAGCCTTGTAAATAGGGGTGCTAGGAGTGTCTTTTATTCTAATATTTGGTCTTAGACCTTGGTTCTTGACCCAAAGCTCCTAAATCCCTTGGAATTTCCTGAGTGATAGGAGCTTCTGACCCAGAGCTCCTAAATCCCTTGGAATTTCCTGGGTGATAGGAACAGCTTTTGCTCTAATGAGGCCACACTTGGAGTGCTCCTGGATGAGGACTGATCACCAGAAAGGCCAAGCCATGATTAGAAGCTTGGAACTCAGCCCCACCTCTCATCCTCCAGGGAGAAGAGAGGAGTTGAGTTAATCACCAATGGCCAGTGATTTAACCAATCATGCCTACATAATGAAACTTTCATTAAAACACAAAAGGACAGGTTTCAGAGAGCTTCTGTGTTAGTAGAAGGTGGAGGTTCTGGGAAGTGGCACATGGAAGCTACATGTCTCTTCTCCCATATCTTTCCCTGTGCCTCTCTTCCATCTGGTTGTTCCTGACTTATGTTCTTTTATGATAAATAAGTAACTTAAGAAAAGTGTTTCTCTGAGTTCTGAGAACCATTCTAGCAAATGATCAAACCTGAGAAGGAGGTCGTGGGAACCTCTAATTTATAGTCCATCAGTCAGAACTACAGGTGACAATGTGGACTTACAACTGGCATCTGAAGCAGGGGCAATCTTGTGGGACTGACCCCTTAACTTGTGGAATCTGATGGTGTGTTCAGGTACATAGTGTCAGAATTCAGTTGCAGGACACCCTGTTGGTGTCCACAGAAATTGGAGAATTGCTGATGTGGGTACAAAAACTCTACACATTTGGTCACATAACTGTGCTGTGTTGAGTCTAAGTACAGAGGAAAATAGTTTGTTTGTACAAACAAACAGAGGTTTGGGCATTTTAATGTTTACTAAGATTCCTCAGCTCCACTCCTCGTAATAACTTGGTCTAGGGTGGACCATGAATTTGCATTGTATCAAGCACCCCTGATTAGTTCGGATCATTGAACTCTGCAGATCACTCCGGAAGAAACACGAACATTTGAAACCTGGGTCTGACTTCGTACTTATTAGCCATATGATCTTAGGCATAATCTTTCTGAGATTTAATCTCTCTGAGCCTAAAATTTCTCATCTGTAAAATTAGTATATCAGTAATACATTTCTAGGAGGGCTATTGTAAAGATACAATTAAATACTGTCATGCATCACTTAACAAAGGGGATATGTTCTGAGTCATTTTTCATTAGGTAATTTTGTTGCTGTGTGAACATCATAGAGTGTACTCACACAATCCTTATGGTATAGCCTACTACACACCCAGGTTATATGGTATAGCCTATTGTTCATAGACTACAAACCTGTACAGCTTTTCCTGTACTGAATACTATAGGCAACCGTAACACAATGGTATCTGTGCATCTAAACATATCTAAGCATAGAAAAGAATACAGTATTGTGAATTTGTGGAACCACTGCCTTGTATGCAGCCCATTGTTGACTGAAACCTTATTATATGGCACATGACTATAGCAAACTTGAAGGACTTAGCACTGGGACTGCCATGTTGGAGATCCTGACATATGATATTTATTAATGTAACAAGCAAGAATTTTGTTTTCTAGAAATTTTCCAGGAGTATTCCTCATAAAGAAATAGTCAAAGCAAGAAAAGAACTAAACTTCCTGGAAGGTACTGTGTCTTCTACAGGGTTTGTACAAAGAACAGAGGACCCAAAGCTGCCTAATCCTTTAATAGCCGTAGGAGGTTTATCTCCAGATGCCACTTCTGGGAGGAGAATGGCATGGGTTTTGAGGAGAATATGAACAGGGGAAGAGAGAGGCACTAGAACAGTTTGGGGGTAAGAATAAATTAAGGAAGAGAGACAAAAGGATTTTTAAAAGTCTGTGCGATTTATGAAATGCATCCCATTTATTGTTTTTTGAAAGCAGCAAAAATTCCTTGAAGCATTTACCTTGTCTCCCTCATTTGGTTATGGATCTACTGGAGAGCTCTATTTTGAAGTTTCTTGGACAAAGTACTTCTGAAAGCCTGCCCATGAGCTCCACAGAAACCCTGACAGAGATGGCCTAGGCTTAGCTCAAATACTTCCTCCAAATATATGAAGGGTTTTTATAAAGAATCTACTGTGTAGGTGTTTTTGCCAATCCTTCAGGCCAATCTAGAGGAAAATAACTGTATTAAGCTGTAAGAGTAGAACAGTGAGCTCAAGATACAATTCGGTGTAGAGGTTAAATGCACAGTTCCGGAGATAGTTCATTGGGATTTCTATCCATTCTCTGCCACTCACTAATCATATGACCTTGAGAAAATTCCTTACCCTCTCTGTACCTCAGTTATCTCATCTGTAAAACAGCATAATATTAGCACCTACCTCATAGTATTGCTGTAATGATTAAATGAGTAAATGTCTCTATGGTACTTTGAACAGTACCCATAACACAGTAAGCATTATATTAGTATTAGCTATTAATTTTATTGATTGCCCAGGTGAGAAAAACAGGAGACAAACCATCAGTGGAGACCACAGTTTATGAATGCCCCTTTGCTCTCCAAGAAATCAAGAGCATGTTTTAGACTAGGGTTTGACAAACTGTCGTCCACATGCCTGAGCATGAAACTATTATTGGTGCATCATGGCCAGAGAGGGACCTGAATAACCACAGCTTTATGTGCACAGTTTAGGGAACGAGGTATTTGCATTTTGTGTGTATTGTGTCTATGTTTACCCCCTATTTCATTTCTTTAAATTAAGCTGATGATGTGTTAATGGTGTCATGCTCTAATCAGGAAGCCAGGAAAAACCAGTTAGGAGCCCCCAGGCTCAGTTTTTGCTCTTGGTCTCACTCCACATTCTGTTCCTATTCCACCTGATTTTTTTTTTTTTTTTTTTTTTTGAGACTGAGTCTCACTCTGTCACCCACGCTGGAGTGCAGAGGCATGATCACTACAACCTCCACCTCCTGGGCTTAAGTGATTCTCCTGCCTCAGCCTCCCAAGTAGCTTGGATTACAGGCACATGCCACCACACCAGGCTAATTTTTATATTTTTAGTAGGGACAGGGTTTTGCCATGTTGGCCAGGATGGTCTCAAACTCCTGACCTCAAGTGATCTGCCTGCCTCGGCTTCCCAAAGTGCTGGAATTACAGGCATGAGCCACTGTGCCCATCTTCCACCAGATTTTTGATTGTTTGCTTTCTCTCGTTTCCAGCCCTGCTCACTCCTCTTAGAATTCAGCCCCTACCATTCAGCGCCACCCAAAGGAATCAGCTTTTGCTCACTCAACATTTCCTCCTGCCCCTTGCTGCCTTGATTAACATGCCCTCTTAGTCCCTGAGCATCAAAGTTTGTCTGTGTCTACACAGTCCCCCTAAGTGGAGGTCAAATGTTCACTACCACCTCCCTCACCCCCCTACCAAGTAATGAATAAAAATGAGAACCACTTTGGAAAGCTGTCTCCTCCCTGATGGAGATGTCCACCAGCCTTAAAGTTCTAGGTTGGGCCAGATGTGCCCTAGCAGCTCCAGGGTTTGGTGGAATACACTCCCAGACATCATCCCCATTGCCTAGCATTGAGACTTTCCTACATGCCTTCCACACCAAAGAGCCAGCCAGACACACCATGAAGACAGTCCACAAACTGCAGTGCCTGCCTTCTGGGGCTCAGGTTCAGGGATTTGTGATCCTAGCAGTCTTCATGCCAAGTGGTTTTGGACAAGCCACAGAAGCTCTTGGCACCTAACATTCCCCCAGGTGGTCAGTTCTCACAGCTTGGCTGTTGTTGCCAAAGGGAATTGCCAAAACTGGTGTCTCCCATAAATGCCTCTTTGAGGCGAACACCTGGCATAACAGGATTGTGAAGGGCATCTTGGTTCATTCCAGAGTTGAGTGGAATCCAAGGCCTCATTAACTCTTTTTTAGGTGAATTTACAGATGCTGGAAACATCCTCTAATTTAACCGAGGCTGACATCTAGCCACAGCCACCCCAGACGGTTGTTTCCTCCCCCTCCTCTAGCTTTGGCTTTGCAACCAGCTCTAGGAGACTCAGGAGTGGTCTTCTTTAGCAGTACTGATGGTAGGAGCTGGGAGGGAGTAGAAAAGTTGCTAACAAGCCGTCCACCTGGCCCCATTCCAAATCCTGGAACTCCAAAAGGGAAAGCTGAAAGGGGCAGGTTGTTTCCTCTCTTACAGAAAGAAAATACTGTAGCTAAGGCCTATTCTTCATGGCAGTTACAACTTGTTTGACATTTGAGTTAGTGGTGCTGAAAAGAGGTAAATCCACCCTCCAGGAAGGAATGCTCTTTCTGTGGCTAATTGACTGGATGACACCTCCCTTCCTTGTTCCCTCCCTCCCGGGCCCGCCAGGCAGCCTAGCTGGGTTATTTGCCACGGATGATGGCCTCAGCAATTTATTGCACCAGGCCAGAGGAAAGCTGGGCTGCCAATTCTGCAGTGTGTTTGCTTTGGTTTACCGGAGCCATTCTCCAGCTCACGGTGGACACATTTGTTCCCCATCAAAAGATTGTCTAATTGCAGAACTGGGATCACCTGAAATAGGCTTTTCAGGAACTGCCATCCCAAACTGGGGCTTGAGAATTTGCAAAAGAAAGGTATGGCAAGGCAGTTCTTGAGGCTGTCCCTTCCCCTTCTTTGTGGGGGAAATGAAATCAGAGGATTTGTTGGCCCAAGAGACAGGCTACCATGCAAGCCTGTCTTCTGCCCATAGAGGCATCGGCACATTCTCCTCTCCTGTGGCTGGGCTTGCTCAATATAATCCCCTACTGATTAGAAGGCCCAGCGGAAATTCCAGTAAAAAGGTAAGTTCCCTAGCTTCTCAAACTTTGTCTACATTCAAATTACCTAAGAGAAGATCTTATTAAAGTGCAGATTCCAATCAGTAGTTCTGGGGTGGGGGCTGAGATTCTGCATTTCTAACAACCTCCTAGGTGCTGCAGAGGCTGCTGGGTCTCAGACCCCAGTCTCTGAGTAGCCAGGGTCTAGAGCAGTTTTCCAAATCTACCCTATCATTGCAGACACTTGGGCCACCCCACCTCTAAGATTCTAATTTAATTAATCTGGAATTAAGCCAGAGGAAAGTTTTTGTTTTAAATCTCTTCAGTATTTACTAGGGAGACACTCATATATTATAGGTTTAAATATACTTAAACTATTTCTGGAAAGATGCACAAGAAATAGCAACAGTAGTTGTTCCAGGCCAGGTAAAAGAAACTGGAAAGCTAGTGTGATTATTCACTGTATACCATTCTGAACTGCTTGCACTTCTTTTGAACAAGTGCATATGTTACTATTTCAAATGTATTGAAACAAAGAAAAAAAAGAACTCTCTAGATGGTCTCTACAATCGCCAGGTATTAAGGGCTGGATTGTGATTGTGTGTTCCCGTCACGCCCCCAAAATTTGTGTGTTAAAGTCCTAACCCACAGTTACTTCAGAAAGAGGCTGTATTTGGAGATAGGGCCTCTAAAGAGGTAATTAAGATTAAATGGGCTTTTATGGATGGGCCCTAATCTAATATAACTGGTGTCCTTAGAAGAAGAGGCAATTAGGGTACAGACACTCACAGAGGAAAGACCATGGGGGGAAAAGAAGGGTGGTGAGGAGGAGATGACAAGCCAAAGAGAGAAATCTCAGAATGAAACCAACCCTGCCAGCACCTTGATCTTGTACTTCTAGCCTCCAGAACTGTAAGGACACAAACTTTTGTTGTTTAAGCCACCCAGTCTATGGTATCAGTTATGGCAGCCCTAACAAACTAATATACTGTTTCACCATCACTGATTTGGTAGAGGAAGCAATTGACCCATAATAATCAAAAGACTAAACTTGCTCAGTCACCACCTTGGCATGAGGTCCTGGGCAGGTCTCTTCTGCTTCTGGTCCTCAGTTTCCTCAGATGTCAAGGAAAGGAAGTTACCTAAGTGATCCCTAGAATTCCTTCATATTCAGAAAGGTAGATTCTCGAATTATGTAAAAGGAGGCAGAAAGGGGCAGCATTGTTAAGTATCAGTGATCATCTGTTATAGTCCAATGAGCTTCCAATTTTTTTAAAGCATGAATCTATTTTTAAACATAAACCATTATGCAAAAGTCCAATATATAAATAATGTTATTGAAATGAAGCTACTCTGGCTGAAGCAGCTAATGTCCAAATTTGCCTTTGCTTTTGTGGTGGACTCTGCCTCCCTTCTCCCTGAACCATCAGGGAACCTTGGGTTATAGTCTGAAAACAACTTATCTGGTCTCATCCTGTAATATTCCAGGCATGGAAACTGAAGCTCAGTAATGTTGAGTAACTCAGCTCAGCTCAGAGTCATCCAGTGAGTCAGTGTGAAAACTGGGCTCTATTCCTGACCGTCTGGCTCATTAATCTTTTCTCTGTATTTTGTGAGGCATTAAGAATAATTTGGTATTGCTAACAGCAAACTATAACTTCTGTTTTTTTCCTGTAAAATGCACTCAACATTATTTGTATAAGAGGCAATATTCTACCAGAGGAGCCAATTATATTCACCCAGGTGTAGACACAGGTGAGGTTGTATACATCAAGAATAGCAAAGTTTACCCGTATTAAAATTTCTCTTTCTCTTCTGAAACTCAGCAGGCTACCCTAACTTCTAAGGCTAACCTTCGTCAGCATCATGTGACTGCGTTGAGCTAGACAAAAGTGGGGAGAAAGAGGCAACAGGCCAGATAAAAATGCTCAAATAGATTTGAAAGAAGGAAAAGTAACCAAAATATATCACAAAAAACAAAGAGAACTTGAAGAAAGAAAACATCACATAATATGGACTCTGTGATTCTTGGCTCCAGCATCCACTTTCATACCTTGTTTCCTTCAAGAAAACCTAATTTTCCCCCAAGCTGTCTCCTGATTGACTTTCACTTGATACGGTTACTTGATAGCACCGATCAGTTAATCCTTCCATATGGTTAAAATTAAACCACCAATCCATGCTCATTTTCCCCCTTATGCTTGCTAATTTCTTGTGAAGATTATCCTTCCAGCTAAATTACCCTCATTCCTTTATCATCACATCCATATTTCCCCTGGAAATTGTAAGAGTTCTCAGGGAATGGGAGACTTGTTTGTTGGAGCACTTCCTCTGTCTTGATGTCCTGAACACTTTTGTGTCTTTCCCAGATTAGGTGACAGCATGGCCTGGGGTAGGGGCTTTGCATCCAGTGACCTCTTAAATTTCCTGTAACCTAGGGACTGGTTATGTGAGACCTTTGCTATGATGGGGATCTTACTCTCAGAATTCTTCACTTCTCCCCTCTTCTCTGAAGCTTAAAGCAAGACAAATAGTCTTCTGTGTCATCTTGACCCTGAAGGCCAATGCCCTGAAATTATTTCCTTTCCATGGTCACGGATTTTGATTCCTAATACCTCACTGCAGTTGTCCTGAAAGAATCTGATCTGGTCCTGTGGTCTAGCTTTCATTTTTAGAATAAGAACTTGTCATAAACTAAGATTATCAAGCAAGATTTGAACATAGGTGCAGGAATAAGTTACCCAAACCTTTCTGATATCTAACCCAACGCCTTGCCTAATGACAGTTGTATTAGTCAGTTTTCACATTGCTGATAAAGACATACCTGAGATTGAGTAATTTATAAAGAAAAAGAGGTTTAATGTACTCACAGTTCCACATGGCTGGGGAGGCCTCACAATCATGGTGGAAGGCAAAAGACACATCTTATATGGCAACAGAAAAGACAGAACTTGTGCAAGGTAAACTCCCCTTTATAAAACCGTCAGATCTCATGACTTATTCACTATCACGAGAACAGCACAGGAAACACCCACCCCCATGATTCAATTACCTCTTCCAGGGTCCCTCCCATGATAAGATGAGAGTTGGGTGGGAACACAGCCAAACCATATCAACAGTTTTACCAACCAAAGTGACTAGCTTTTTGATGGAAAACACACAATTTATGAGCTTTCAGGCCTAGCTTGAGTCCTACAAGGCCCTTGACCCTGAACAGTCACAGTAGACACAGTGCTGCTGAATCTCCAGGTGGAGTAAGCTTTGGGCCCTAATGAGTGTAGATCTTGAGCACTAGTTTCAATATTCTGTTCCCAGGGTTGTTTTCCATTCAGGCAAAACACCCATTGGCATCAACAGGAGCAGCCCATTATTTTTGTTCCTTTTATGACTCTTGTTGTTGTTTCTTTCTGCCCAACTTGGCTGCACACGAGCCCAGTCCCACACAGTGCAAGCAAAGATAGGATTCCTGCCCCAAGGGTTCAGCAACCTCATATTTTCCTCTCTGCTGCCTCTATTTTTGTTCCACTGTACCATGAGTTCTGAAGCCTTGGCGGTCCTAAAACACTTTACTGTGTTTTGTTTTGTAGGAAAGACTTGAGTTTTACGGCTGTGGGTTATAAAAGGTTTTCTCCCCCCTTCAACTGCTTCTCCCGGGAAATTCGATGGGTGTGACCATTACCAATGAGCCCTGCTGGGAAAGTCCAGGCCATGGTCAGCTTTCAGTCTGAGCCATGACTCTTTCCTTTTTGACCACGGCCTGGTCCTAATTTTGTCCCTCTCTGGCTGGTTTTGTTTATTGGCATTAATGTTTCATATTAAAATTTAATATTTAACTTTTGCTTTCAATATTTAATGTTCTGCACTGCATCTTACATTTGGACGTCTCCCTTCTGGGAGCGGTCAGCTGCACTGCATGATGCAAGAGCTAATCCCTTTGACTTCCAGTAAAATGACTCCCCCTCCTTTCTTTCATTGTTCACCATCACTCTGCATTCAAATCCATCATGGTAACTACCTGGAGAACACTTCTTTCTCCCATGCATTAATTCAACACATATTTATTGAATGCCAACTCTGTCAGATATTATAAAAGGTGCTGCTAGGGATGCCCCAAAAGGAATAAGACCCAAGTCTTACCTTGAGGTAGTCAGAGAGAGAATATCATATAGTTGAGGTGACTAGTGTTTAACAAAGCTTTGTGGGAGCACACAGAAAGGACAGACTAGCTCGGTCTCAGGATCTAAGGAAGGTTTTTCTGGAAGAGAAGTCATCTGAAATGGGTCTTGGAGGCAGCAGAAGAGCTTGTCAGGTTGGGTAGGGGAAGGAAAGACATTCTATACACAACAGGCAAAGTCATCAACATATAAAACCATAATGAATAATGATGATTACTAGTGATGGTGATGCTTTATTTGTGGAATGGTGAAGAAATTAATTATGACTGGAAACTGGGCTGCGTGTGTAGGAGAAGCAAACAGGATGCAAGATGAACCTGGTGACATAGTTTCGTACTCAATTATGAAGGACTTTGTAAACCATGATAAATAGTTTGAGCCTAATCACTTATCATATAAACCTGTGATAGAGATTCTCAGCAAGTGAGAGTTCTGGGAAATGTCTTTTGCAAAATACTGTTGGGAAACGCCCTTTACCAGGGAGAGAATCTGGGTCCAGGGCATAGAAAACATATTTAGCTCCTTCTAGGTAAGATAAAGAAAACTATTACTTAAGATATCTGCCTTTGAGGAATTTAAAATGCAGTTGGAAAAATAAGGCAAATACCAAGAACCGATGAGAGAACTGTTGGGTATTTAACCTAATGCCTAAGGGTGTGGCAAGAATATGAATTCCTATGGAGTCAGAGCAGGGAGCTTTATATACCAACCATCTTTCCTTTGGGACCTAAATGCCTGGATCTTCCCCATTTGATGAAGTTCACCTTCAAAGATCATTGGCCCGTTGACCAGAAAGGGAGTTCTAGGACCTCAAGGAGGTATGAGCAAAGGGAGAAGAACAAAAATAAACAAGCTGAGAGATCAAAACTAGAGTTGGTAACTTGAAGGAACCGCTCAGTGAGCAAAGCAAGAAGTGGACAAGTGAATGGGGTGAAACAATTCAAGACAATTTGTGAATTCTAGTTGTCTGCTGAGGCATTTTCATAAGTCTCACTGAGCTGATGACAAAAATCTTTTTGTAAAAATCTCTATGAAATTATCTTTGTTTTTGCTAATTATAAAAGTAATAACCTTTGTCAAAAAATTTTTTTATTTCACTAACACATAAAGTAGAAACTGAAATCCTCTCTTACCCCAACTTTGGACAACTACTGTCAAATCCTATGCTATATATATATATATTCCAAAGGGCTGACTATAGCAGACTTCATGAAGAAATGACACTATAGCACTGGGTCTGGAGTTGACCGAAGGATTGGTAGTCCTAGCACAGTCAGGCATGGGTAAGAGAATGTGCTGGACCTGGAAGCCAGGAGTAGAGCTCGGCAGTCTTCCATATTGGCAAATTAAAGATCAGGTTGGTATCTGAAGCTGAGGCAGGGATGGAGCCTGAAATAAGCAAAACCCACACCTTGAGTCAAGAAGACACTATGAAGAACATCAGAGTGTGAGCTCCACTTGGAGAAAGCATCTGTCTCCACACAGGGGCTTCTCAGACAGACTGCCACTGAGGGGCTTCAAACACAGTTGGGAAAATAAACATGGAGTTAAGCAGGGGTTTTTAGAAAGACGATGGATTTAGAGACTAAGATTAAGGTCTGCTTCTTAGCTTTGCTGCCTTTCAGCTCCCTGACTCGAGATATTTATGGCTCTGAGCCTCCTTCACTTTTTGTTATAGATGTTGATGACCAGAATAACACCTGCTCCACCGAAGTCTCAGAGCAGCAGTGGGAATCACGTGACACAGTCATTCACTCAGCAAGTGTGTGTGGAGTGCCCATGACATGCCAGCCCCTCTTCCAGGAGCCAGAGATAGAGAATGGAGTTCCAAGTATGTGAGTGTTTTGTGCACTGCAAATTACTGATTTAACCTGAGCTGCTGTGCCCCGGGCTTAAGAGGGTTCCTGTATTCTGCTGAGTAGCTTGCTGCACCTGAACAGTGAGTAAATTGGTATGTAAGATCTCACTGGGGCTTTGAATGGACAGGAGCTGAGTACCCAGAAAGGAGGAAGAAGGATTTCTGATAAGTTGGCCAAATGGATGTAACCATAGGAATCAATAGAAAAAAAAATCTAGAAAAAAATACTGGCTTTGAATAGGGTGAGCCATCTCTTCACAAAATTAGTTCAGCAGTTTACCCAGGTACCTGCTCTTAATCTTCTCATAGGAGGCTGGGATCCCTGGACATGAGGCTGGATTTCCCGTAATAGCTGGTATATTAGATGGCCAGGTGCAATGAGCAGTGTGGCACTGCAGGAAGGAAGCCGTGCAGATTTGGGAAAGAATCCACTACCATCTAGGGCACTGTGCCAATCTCAGTTCCGTTTTTCTCATATTCATTGGACAGATTGATTTTACATTGAGTTACAATTTTGACTAATTTTAAGCTGTGGATGGAGGTTAAAGCTAGATAAGACGGTTTTGAAGAGTCATTCTCAGAGCTGGAAAAGGAAGGAAGGTGGGGGAAATCTAACACTGAGTAAGCAACAGCTAATGCACTGTTAATTTACATGTTATTCCATTCACTCACTCCTGTTATCTGATAATAATAGCTAATATTTTTGAATGATTATTATGTGCCAAGCATTAGGCTTAGCTTTTTGTATACATTATCATCTGGAATCCTTTCAACCACCCTCATTCATTCAACAAATATTTATTGGGCCTTTACTATCCAAGTCAGATACTGCTACTATCTCCATTTGACAAACAAGAAAACTAGAGCTCAGAAGAGTTTGTTTTTCCAGGTTTGCTTAACTATTTAGTCACAGAGTTGGAACTCAAATCCACATAGACAATCTATGCACACAACTTTTATCCATAATACTAGCTAATATATTATGTTTCTGGCATATGTCAGTGTGCCAAAACATCAGCTATCATATTTTATTAGCATCCTTATTTGACAGATGATGCAATTAAGGCCCAAATAGGTGACATAACTGGAAACTGGCTGAGATGGGATTTGAACCCAGGTCTTTCTGGGTCAGCTCTTTTTGTTACACAATAGTGCCTTCCGTAGGCTAGAGCACACCCAACACAACCACCAATTCAGGAATCTTTTCCTTTTTTTCATTTATTCCCTCAGTACATCTGTAGATGTAGTCATAGCCTCTCCTGTACAATTGTAAACACTGTGGCCAATGATAGTCAAGGATGCCTACCCTCTGTGCCAGCCTTATCCTTCTCATTCACAGAGTGTCTTTCTTCACACCCTTTCTTCCAGACTTGCACTTGGTTCCCACTGGTGGAAGCACTAGGCGTGCATTGAGGTCACACTGACTTTGCTGTCCCCAGTGGAGACTGAGGCTGATATATGATTGGTCCTGACTTGCTTACCAGCCTGTAGCTTGTCCTCAGGCCAAGCAATACCTGTGTCCAGTGGGTTTCCTCTTCATTCTTTCTCTCTCCCCAAACTACTCCCTCTTACCCACCCTGTACCCCAACTCCAGTCTTTCCCAGTGTGTTTGCTGTGGTGGGGCTGAACCACAGAGAAAGAGAAGCAGGAAAAGGTGCCTTGAGGTCAATTGACCCCGCAAGTCATACCACCAGGCTGGCTCCACTGTCAGCTAAGCCAGCCTACTGCAGGGCAGCAGACACTCTGAAGTTCTGAATTCCCTCTGGATTATTCATGAGTGCACACCATCCCTTCTGACAGTCACAGGTAAATCCCAGATCAAATTTTTCTCTTCCCCTGAAAAGGACCCTATCAGTATCCCCGGGGTCAGGCAGATCCTCCATCTAGCCTTTCTTACCTGGGCTGGGGGGTACTTGAAGGCCACTTGGAACTTACCAGCCCTGATTAGGTTACCTCCTACTCATTGTGTCCTGGTGAGTGAGATCCGGTGGTGGGAGGTGGGGCTCACAGAATTACCTAATGGTTTGGGGCAACTCTAAGGTAGTTTCTGTGCTTTTCCAACATATTCCATTGCTATACAGCCCACCCTGCACCCAGACCCTGGCCCTCCAATCTTTCATGCTATACTCATCTTCCTTGAATGCCTTTGCATGCATCACCCCACACCTAATGCCTTGGTAGCTCTGCATTGCCTCCAGGTTTATTCCAGTACACTGATGTATTCCAATCCCAATTAGGCATCAGATATGTCTCTAGTAATTTATGCTTTAAATAGTAAGAGTAGCCACATTGGAAATAATTAAATTATTTAAATTAATTAAGACAAATTTAGGGTCATCCCTATTGCCTCATGCTTACATAATTGCATTTTGATTTCATTCCTTATCACACTGTTTTTAACCAAAAATCTGTGTGTGATTACTGTATACAATTTGCTGAGTTTGGAGATACTGATACACCTGTAATACCATTGCCACAATCAAGGTAATAAACATATCCATCACACATTTTAATATGGCATCATATCACGTGTCGTAGCCATGCGATCCTAGGAAAAGGACTAAGTCTCGGTTTCCTCATTTGCCAAATGAAGATTAAAAGGGTACACAACTCGGCCGGGCGCGGTGGCTCATGCCTGTAATCCCAGCACTTTGGGAGGCCGAGGCGGGCGGATCATGAGGTCAGGAGATCGAGACCATCCTGGCTAACACAGTGAAACCCCGTCTCTACTAAAAATACAAAAAATTAGCCGGGCGTGGTGGCGGGCACCTGTAGTCCCAGCTACTCGGGAGGCTGAGGCAGGAGAATAGCGTGAACCCGGGAGGCTGAGCTTGCAGTGAGCCAGGATCGCGCCACTGCATTCCAGCCTGGGCGACAGAGTGAGACTCCCTCTCAAATAAAAAAAAAAAAAAAAGAGTATACAACTCATGAGATTAATTTATTGAATAAATATTTATTAAGCTTCTACTATGTGCCAGTCACTGCTGCTTATAACTTTTTGCATAATTGTGCCTGTTACAGTGAACAAAACAAACATCCCTGGATTCATAGAGCTGTCTCCCGATAGATTTCAGTAAAGATTAAATGGGATAATGAGAGCTAATGCTTGCTGAGGGCTCAGAACAGAGCCTGGCAAGTGGTAAAACCTCAATGAGTGTTGTACTTGCTTAATCCTTAAAATAATCTTGTGAAGTAGGTGCTATAGTTATCCTTATTTTGTAGTTGAGCCTAAATGGAGAACAATGGTTTAAATAATTTGTCCAAGTTTAACACCTAGCAAATGCCAGACAGGATTTGAATCCAGGAAACCACTATATATACGTTCCTGCATCTGGGTCTTAGCTTAAAACACCTACGATAACGGCCGCCACAAAATAAGTATTTAGTCAAAGCTATTATTCTCAGGCTCATTTTCATTATTATGTCTCAAACTCAGAGAAGTGTTTATAACTCACTTAATCTGTTGCTTATATTCTTTTGCATAATCATGCCAATTACCAATTACGGTAATGCAAATGCCCTATGCTACTATTTGTTTACTTTCATGCAAAGTATTGTTTTTCATCAAAATCTGAGTGCACCATGAGAATGTACTGTGCATATGAGTGTCTTTTGCCACATTTGTTATGGTAGGAGAGAGAGAAAAAAACTGCTTCAAATAAAATCTTAAGAAGGAATCTGCCTTTCAAGGTCACAGTGAAGAATTGTGATAAAATGGAAAAGACATTGGTTTTGGCATTAAATAAGTTGGTGTTCAAGTTTCCAACTCTGCCACTTAGCTGTGTGTGCTTCCGTAAATGGCTTACCTTCTCTGAGCCTTCGTTCCCGTGTTCTGCAGAATCACAGGGTTGCCTCAGGTTATCACTCTGGTCCTTTCCAGCCCTCAAGTGTGTGATTTGAGATGTAAGTATGGAGTCTCATAAAGCTTTTCCATAATCCAATTTTCCTGAGACAAGTTGTTATAGAAAGACTATTAGGCTATGGGAAAAGAACATTCAGTGACAACAGCTCTGAATTCCGTTACTAATAGAAAACCAATAATGACCATTTAACATTTTCAGGTACCATAAAAATAATTGATCATGGATTTTCCTTTAAAATGCAAGAATTTAACCTCATACCTTGTGTATTAGTGTTTGAAGTTATTTTCAAGTGGAAGGTGTATAATACAGGATCGTTCATTTCCATAGACTCCTCCCAAAGATCCGGCACACTGAGATGAGAATGAAAAGAAGTAAAAGGTAGTTTATCTGAAAGTAGGATTGAGATTCAAATGTGTGATGGAGCTTTGAGACTTCACTTTCTTTCTTTGAGTTATGGGTAAACAAAAAAAAAATGAGTCTTTTCAAATAGAAAGACATCATTATCTTAGAACTTATGAGGGGGAAAGAGGGCTTGGGATTATTTGGCCACAACCTTTTCATTTGGCAGATGATGAAATTCAGCCTCAATAAACCTCATCCATAAAAGAAAGCCAGTAATAGTACCTGCTGTGAGGATTAAATGAGTTATGCTTCTGAATTACTTAGCACAATACCTGACATGAAATTAGTGCTCAGTCAATTATAACATCTATTTATTATCATTTCTCCTTAATAGTTTATACTTGCTTAAAGCCACATAGGTTGTCTTGACATAGTCAAATAAGAAGGTAGGACTCCTCAAACTCAGACTAGTGCTCTTTTCAAAATATCATTCACTCAACACTTATTATCTACTAAGTTCTATGTACTTTTATAAGTACTGGGCCTACAGCAGTGAGAAAAACAGATCACCAAAAATATCCTGGCCTCATGAAGTGCAAAATCTAATAGTGGAAGGTAGATAATAAACAACATAAACATATTTAATATATAAGATGAGAAAAGAAAGAGGAGAAGCAGTATGAAGTTTTTGGCAAGTAAGAATGCAATTTTAAACAGGATGGTCAAGAAAGACAGGAGGTGAAGAAAGAAGCCATATGGATTTCTGGAGGAAAAGCATTGCAGGCAAAGGGAACATCAGGCATAAACATCTTGGAAGGGTATAGTGGCTCACATGTGTAATCTCAGCACTTTGGGAGGCTGAGGCTTGAGAATTGCTTGAACCTGGGTGGTTGAGGCTGCAGTGAACCATGATCATGGCACTGCACTCCAGCCTTGTCAACAGAGCAATACCCTGTCTGTTTTTTTTTTTAAACTTAAATAAATATCTTGATGCTGGAGTGGGCTACCCATATGGGGTCCATCAAGAAGGCCAGTGAGGCTAAAGGACGGTGAGCAGCTGTGTGGTAGGAAGATGTGCACAGTAAATGTGCAGGACTTTGCAGACCATCATCAGCACTTTTTCTTTTATTCCTAAAGATCTGGGAAACCATGAAAGGGTTTGAGCAGAAGAGTTACTGAAGGAGGCAGACTTGTTGAAACTGCTTCTGAAACAGAATACCTGGGTTCCTTGGGTTGGCAAACAATATTAAAGAATATGAGACCGAAGAGGGGGAGTGGGAAAAAAAGAGTATGAGACTGAGATTATGTGTGTTCTGAAAAGCCTGAAATATTTATTATTTGGTCTTTTTCAAGCCAGATAATCTACTCTGATCTGATCAGGCTAGATGAAGGAAGGAAGGAAGGAAGGAAGGAAGGAAGGAAGGAAGGAAGGAAGGAAGGAAGGAAAGAGAGGAGAGGAGAGGGGAGGGGAGGGGAAGGGAGGGGAAGGGAGGGGAAGGGAGGGGAAGGGAGGGGAAGGGAGGGGAAGGGAGGGGAAGGGAAGGAAGGGAGGAAGGAGGGAGGGGAGGGAGGGAGGGAGGAAGAAGGAAGGAGGGAAGAAAGAGGGAGGGAGGGAAGGAAGGAAAGGAAAGGAAGGAAGGAAGGAAGGAAAGAAGGAAGGAAGGAGAAGGAAAAGGAAGGAAGGGAAGGAATGAAGGAAGGAAGGGAAGAAAGAAAAAGGAAGGACAGAAAGAAGAAGAGAAAGAAAGGAAAAAGGAAAGAAGGTAGGTAGGAAGAAAGGAAGAAATCTGTATTGGTTATCTATTGCTGTGTAACAAATTATCCCAAAACCTAAGGGCTTAAAAACACATTTTTTTCTCCCCTTATCTTGCAGCCTCTATTATCCTGCAGCTATTTGCACAGCTTGGCTGGGTGTCCCTGGTTCAGGGTCTCACAAGGCTACAGTCAGTGGGTCAACCAGGGCTGCAGTCATCTCACAGCTGCTCTCGGGTGTGATCTACTTCTATGCTAACTCACCTGACTGTTGGCAGGCCTAGGGTACTCCCCAGCTACTCACCAGCAATATTAGTTCCTTGGCTCAAGAGACTCTCCATAGGGCAGCTCACAACTTAGAAGCTGACCTCTGTCAGAGCACGAGAGAGAGAGAGAAAGAGAAGACACCCAAAACCGAAGCCACAGTCTTTTATAAGCAAATATTGGGGATAACATCCATTGCTTCTGCCATATTCTACTCATTAGAAGGAAGTGGATAAATTTATCCTCCCATCAAGGGGAGACGATTATGTAGGACATGAATTCCAGGAGATGGGAATCACTGGGGGCCATCTTCAAGATGGGTCACACCACAAGTTCAGGAAACAACCACTTTTCACAAAAAGAGGATAAATAACAGGTAAAAATTGCAGGAATTCCAAGATCAGTCTCTTCTGATTTCTGAAAATAATCAATTTGGAGAGTGGGCCAGGGTTCTATGACCAGGAGTAGCTGCAAGGGCTTCACTTAGTGACTCACAGACAGGGTGATTCCAAAGCACACACTTAACTCCGTGTCACAGGCAGCCAGTCAGTTGAATATGATAAGGTGACCATCGTAGGCAGAATAGTGACCCCCAAAGATGTCCACATCCTGATCTCCAGAACTTGTGAATATATGACTTTACAGGGCAAAGAGACTTTGTAGATGTAATCAAGCTAGGGGTCTTAAGATGAGGCAGCGATCTTGGATTATCCAAGTAGGCTGGATGCAATCATGAGGGTCCTTATATGTGAAAGAGGGAGGTAAGAGTCAGAGAAGGAGACATGATGACAGAAGCAGACGTCAGAGGGTGTGATTGCTGGCTCTGAAGGTGGATGGAAGCTATGAGCCAAGGAATGTGGGCAGTCTCTAGAAGCCAGAAAAGGCAAAAAAAAAAAAAAATAGATAAATTGGATTTTCACCTAGAGCCTCCAGAAAGACAGTGGCTCTGCTGCCATCTTGGTTTTAGGCCTTTGAGACCCATTTCAGATTTCCAATCTTCAGAACTGTAAGATAAATTTTGTTTTTGTAAGCCACTAAGTTTATAGTAATTTGTTACAGCAGCAATCGGAAACTAACATCATAGCCTGGTTCTTTTCTATTTTAATTCTTCCTGATCTTTGCCACCAGTTTTTCTGTTTATAAATAGTCACTATCTTCTTTTTTATATTTAAAATATTTTTATTTTTCATTATACAAGTAATATCGAAATACATATAAAAATGAAAACGTATGTGAAAAGTGAAAACATAACACATACAAATGAAATTTCTTATGATCGCTCCCTCCAACCCATCATTCCACCAAGTAATCATGGTTGTAATTTTGGTGTATATCTTTCTAGACCATGTTCTACGTTCTTTCATTCCTAGATAAAATGCACACCCATTCAATAATTAGCTCTTTCAGCAAATATTTGTTGTGTCACTAATACACGTGAAGTACTATTCTAGATGCCGGAGATATACCCCCAAAGCCCTGGCTTCATGGAACTTACATGCATAAAAAATACACACTAGATGAGGAAAATCCTGCAATGGAAAACAAGGGGTTTTGAGCAAGGACCGTCAGTTGCATCTGTACTGTCCATTATGGTAGCCACTGGACACATGTGGCTATCAAACACTTGAAATGTGCCTAGACCTCATTGAGGTGTGTTGTAAGTGTAGGTACATACTGGATTTCAAAGACTGTATAAAAAAACAGAATGCAAAAATCTCATTGATTTTTATATTGATTACATATTGCAGTAATAATATTGTGGATATATTAATGGGTTGTAGAAAAGATATTATTAAAATGAATTTCCCATGTTTCTTTTTACTTTTACTAATGTAACTGTTAGAACACTTAAACTTACACATGTGCCTCGCATTATGGTTCTGCTGGGCAGCGCTGTGGTACATGTTTTGTAAAGAGGGCTCTGGCAGCTGGTGAATAGACAGCAGGAAGCAAGAGCAGATGTGTGGGAACCTGCGCTGGAGGCTCATGAGTCGCCCATACAGTGCCAGGTGAGGCAAAATGTTGGAGGAAGCCCCAGAGAAGTCCATTCGATAAATTTTGCCCTCCAATTCTTCTTGAACAAATTGGAGACAGAAAAGAAACACAAGTCCAAAAACTGAAAAATGGTGCTAAATGACATATGATCTATTGCCCTGTTTGAATGTCAGAAATGCATGAAAGACAATAGACTCTAAGTTTCTTCCGTCTCCTAATCCTATCAGAATTTCAGTGGAGTAAGGAGAGGAAGGAGTCTAGTCTAGAACTTCTTAATACATTTTCTTGATCATTAGTTAGAGCCCAGAAATTAGAGGCATTGAGCAGGTGGGGCCCCTTTCTTCACTTTGATTGGGTCCATCCAAGGTAAATTCCTTAGCAATACTGGGCTCTCCATCAAATTTAGGCTCCTCTCCTCCACCTATAATGCCTTTTATAAGAGTTCCAGCATTCATTACCCTGATCCCTGAAAATCTGGGGCTTCTGACTGCAACAGATTTTTAGCCACCTTCACCCGAAACCCAGGCAATCTCCAGGCTCTTTCAGGGGCCATGTGCAAAGCCCCTCACAACTCTTCACCACCTACGTAGATGATTCCATGACCTCAGAACCAGTTCTTCCTGCCTCTTAAAACAATACAAAATTACTATACTGTGAAATTCACAACAAACATTTGCAAAGATCAAATTTTTATAATAACTCTCTGAAGTGGGCAGTGAAAGAGGAAAGAAAGAAGGCATTGAAGGAATGACTTTTTCTTAAGCCTTCAGTATTTTCCAGTACATTTCAGATCTGATTTGGCAGCAGATTATTCAGTTAATCATTTTACAATTCACCTATTGATTTTTCTGTGATACAATCACCAGCTTCCTTGCACTGGAACACCTGGGCAGGTATGTGAATCTCTAGCACAAACACACACAGCCTCCTGGTGTTGGATATGTAAATCCATCCCAGCCCTCTGGTCTCTCTCTTAGTTTCTATTCTTTAAGAAACTAAAGAGACTTTAAGCCATAACCCTCCAATGAAGAAATTGAATATAAACTTAACTATATGGGCTTCATTTAAGAAAGGAATAGCCCTTTGAGCCCCAGTTGGGAGACATAAAACTGCTGTTCCCTTTGTAGTCTCAGTTCCCTCTGGCCTTTCATAGTGTGGGCACCTTGCCTTGCTAATTTTTATTCTAACCAAGATATATATTTTTCATTCACTGCTGTCTTTATTACATGCTACTGCACATTACCAAATACATTATACATTTATAAAGACATATACATACATACACAGGGTTGTCCACAGCAAACTATGTGCATTGTTTTACATCAATTATTTAAGGATTCTTTTGAGAACACTTTTGACCACATGCAATTTTGCCTTAGGTGTTAACTTTGGAAACTAGCTTGACATAAAATGCAATGCCACTAACTTTTCTCCAATATTCCCCAGGTCTAATACAGACCCAGGTATACAGCAAGAAACTGCATGATGAGTGCCATGCCTTTTGGACCACAAAATCTTCAGAGCTCCCCTAATACCAGTGCCCTCTGGCCTGATGGGTCAATCAGACCTTTGCCTGTTTCCTTTTCAGGGGGGCCTGAGAAACCTACGACTTCCCTTTTAGTGTCTCTGAATTCTGGGGTAAATAGAAGAAATTATCTAAAACAGGGTCCAAGAGAGCAATGAATGTTCTTTTGATACACTTGGAAAATGAATTGATCCCCTATCTCCAGAGGAAAAACACATGATGTTTTCCATCTGGCAAGGCTGTGGAAGAATAATGTTGTGGAAACAAGAGCCTATTCACTGAAGCCATTGTGGCACAGTCCTGCAGCTGGGAGTGGTGAGTTTACATCACCCCAACCACTTACAAAAACTGAAATGTGGAATTCTGTTTACTGGCAAGTGTTTTCAAACTCCCTCCTCCTCATCCCTTTGAGTAACTTTTGTCTAATAAATGACTAGATGTCATTATGTTATCTCAAAGTTAGAAGGGCAGTCAGAGGTCCTGTGGCCCTCAGACCATACAGTGTTTGATAAAGAGCTAACGCCCTTCCCCAGGTCCTAACTGTGATGCTTTGGGATACATGTAACATTATGCCCTGACTTAGACCTAAATATTAGAGGAAATTGCCTCCCACAGCCAGGAGCAGGAGATGAGTCTTAGGCATGGTACAACAGCAGTTCCACGATGTCATCAAAGACCCTTCCTCCTCCCAGTTCTCTGCTCTGCAACAGCTTCTTTCTAGGGCTGATTCCTCGTTTAGTCACAAGATACTTGTGTAGTTTCAGATGCCATGGCCAGGATCCAGAGATAGGAGAGGAATGGTTTATTCTCATGTTTTTTAAAATAAAAAATATTTTCCCAAGCCCCTTACCAACCCCCAGCAGAGCTCCCTGCTCATCTCTTTGACAAGAACTAAGTTATGTGTCCACTACAAAATCAATCACTGCTGGGGGAAGTGGGACACCCCATGACTGGTTTGACTAGTCTGAATCCAGTTGAGCTGGGAGTGGGGGCAACTGCCATTGAGGCATATGAGTTGTGGAGGAGGGAATGGATCTCTGGGTGGGGAAAGAGGGAGGAGATGTTCTATCAGTAAGAGAAAAAGAGAAGAAATGAATTTTTGAGTAGACAACAATATCTTCTATATTCATCCACTTGTAGAACACAGATGGTGGGATAACCAAGTATATAAGATTGTCATTACAAACATAAATAGAGGTTTATGTCACTTGATGTTGAAATTATCAAGATTCTTTATTTGACTTTTTATCCCACTTCTCTCACTCTTGGATCTCAAATTATAGGCTTTCACAATCACTATTATTATTTAAAATCACTGAGCACTTAATACATGCCAGGCACTGTGCAAACTTCCTCTCATGAAATTCTCCTTTAATTTCTCACAACAGCCATGTAAAATACATGCTGTCATCCTCATTTTACAGTCAGGCAAACTAAGGATGTGAAAGGTAAGTCGCCCAAATTTGTACAATTAGTAAAGTGGAGGAGCCCGACCTGGAATCACGTTACTAAAATTCCAAGTGAATAATCATTCCTTCAGTAGATAAGTCTCCATGCTAGGTTCTGGGGATAGTGGTAAACCAAACAGACACAGTTCTTGCCTTTGTGGAAGCTACAGTCTAGCGGAATAGAAAAATAGGAAACAAATACATTACACAAATGCTACAAAATTCTGGTAGGTATTACCAAAGAAAAAGAGTGAAGGATTGAACAAGGGCCCTTGTTTATACTGTGGTGATCAGAAAAATCCTTTCTGGAAGGTGACTTTATCCTAGCTCCTAAGCGGTAAAAGCCATATGAAAAGAGAGATTGAAACATTCCAGGGAAAGGATCTGAGCTGGAAAAAGGCTGGCACATTTAACACACTGACCAAAACCATCGTGACTGAGTGAAAGGAGAACAGGGAGAGCAGTGCAGGGGAAAGGAATGGGAGGTACCAGGCAGGTCATTTGGGCCTCTATGTCCCTTAAGAATATCGGATTTTATTCTAGATGCATTCTGAAACTACTGAGGAGTTTTAACCAGAAAACTAAAGTGATTAGATTTGCATCTTAAAACTTGATCACTCAAACTATTGTTTTGAGAAGAGATGAGTTGGAGAAAAAGATGTGAAGAAATTAGTTGGGAGGATGTTGTATATACCAGGAAAGCAGTGATGGTAAGTGACTGTGGAGATTGAGAGAAAAAGGTGGATTCAAGAGATGTACAACAGGTAGAAGTGACAGGATTAGATGGGCTCACATACGACAATAAGGGGAAGAGAGGAGCTAAAGATGATTCTTAGCTTTGGATCCTACAACTGGGTGCTAAAAAGGGGGGTCACTGAACTAAAATGAAAGATCAAGGTTTAGTTTGAGACATGTTAAGTTTGAAAGGTGAGGTGTCAAGTAGGTTATTGCATGTAATATCTGGAGCTGAGAAATTTGCTACAAATGTGTTTGAGCATAGTTGGCATATAGATGGTATTTAAAGCCTTGAGAGGAAAGACTATATTGATGGTATTTAAAGCCATTTAAGGGATATTGATGGTAATTAAAGCTTATGAAAGTTCTTCTAAGACAAAAGAAAACAGAGAGCCCAGAATCATCATTTAGAATACTAGTATCAAAGGAGGTTGGAGTCGGCAGAGAGCTGGGAGGAAAACTAGAAGAGTGAGACATTAGCCAAGTCAAATACAGGAGTGTTTCAGGAAGAGAGTGGTCAGTTACATTGCTTGCCACTGAGAGTCAAGTATAAAGCCTGAGTTTATGTATGGAAAGGATCCATCTGTTGGTCAATACTCTGAATTTAAAAGGACGCACACCAAGGCACATCCTTATGAAATTCCATTACATTGCAGACTAAAAATAAGATTCTAAAATCTTCAGAAGTGGTGACAGTGAGACAATGGGAACAAGCCACATACAAAGAGTTGGGTTTAGGATAGCATAAGACTTCTCTAGGGGAATAAAAGCTAAAATACAAATATACGATGTCTTCAAAATTCCAAGAGAAAATTATTTACAACATATAATTATACTCAAGTAAAATTGGGAGAAAAATCTATTTAGACATGCAAGATTTCAAAAAACCTCCCATATGTCCTTTTTCAGGAAGCTACTGAAGGAGGCTGTCCTGCAGAACGAGAGTATAATCACATAATCCAAAAAATGGGATAAGAAAAAAAGAAGTGAAGGAAATTCAGAGTAGTGATAAGAGAAGTTCCAGGATGACATCTCTGTAGCAGCCTTAGAGGATATTCGTTCCCAACTGCAGTAGCAGAATTGAGGGCTCTAGGAGAGATGTCTTGTGGGGAAAATATGGTTGATAAACTACTTGATATGATTTACATATTGAATGGAGTTTTAGAAAGAAAAAAAAATTTGAGGCTGAATGAATAACAGGCACACAGAGGATAACACAAATGGAAAAAAAAATGTTCATTTCAGTGTTAAAGACTAACTTTAAGAAAAGATAAAGCCTACTATAATATAAAAAGAACATGTACCGAAGATTTTATTAACTCATCACTTTAGAAAGGAACTAATAAAATTCTACAACCAGTGCAAAGGGTGAATTCAAAGAGCAGAAGCACAGATAGGGAACAAGGACTTCTGGAATCAATTTGGTCTATTCAGCAAAATGGTCTATTCAGAAAGCAATAATCAATTGAGTCCTACTAGTTTTCTGTTGCTGTCTAACAAATTTCCACAAATTTCACAGCTTAAAACAACACACATTTATTATCTCACAGTTCTGTAGGTCAGTAGTCTAGATGAGCTCAGTTGAGTTCTCTGTTTAGAATCTCTTGAGGTCAAGATCAAGGTGTCAGCCTGGTTGGGCTCTATCTGGAGGCTCTGGGAAAGAATCAGCTTCTAGGTGCATTCAGGTTGCTGGTTGAATTGTTTCTCATGTGGGTATAGGACTAAGGACACCGTTTTCCTTGTTTGTTGCTCACTGAGATTGCTGTCAACTCCTAGAAACCCCTCTCTGGCCCTTGCACACACCCCCCTCACCTTCAAAGCCAGCAACTGCCTGTCAAATACTTCTGGTGCTTTGAATCACTCTGATTCCCTCTTCTGCCACCAGCCGGAGAAAACCCTTTACTTTAAAGGGCTCATGTGATTAGGGATTATGTGCTTAGATTAGGCCCACTGGGATAATCTCCCTTTTGCCCTATAATATAACATAATCATAGGAATGATATCTTCACAAGTTCTGCCCACACTCAAGGGGAAGAGATTATTCTAAGATGTGGGTCACTGGGAGGTCATTTCAGAATTCTGCCTACCCCAGCATTCCACCATACACAATCAATTCGCATTTCAATCGATAACAGTAACTTGCATTCATACTGGTTTTCTATAACTTACAGAATTGTTAAATAGGCCAAAGAGAAAAAAAAAAGGCAAAGACAGCCTGGATGGGTGAGCCATTAATTCTTGTTTTCCCATTTGAAAGTTTTTCATAATTTTTTGACACTTGTTATGCAAGAAAAGAAATATAATCCATAACACAGCACATGGCTCACTTTGATCGATATTTAGGTAACCACTGAATATCTATGTAACCAAAACTTGTGGTGTAGCTATATGTGGAGAATGAGAATGAGGGACTCAAGATGGTGGGGGCAGGCTGGTGGGGCAAAAGTGAAAATCTTCCTCTTTCATAGTAGCAAGTCAACAGGTAATGCCTAAACTGGAAAAATAGAATTCGGACATAAAGTGAAGAACGTATTGTTTGGAAATATGATGGTGAATACAAAGAAATAGCTTTAAGACTTGCCTCTGAAAAGTGGGAATGGGGGCAATGAGTGGTAGGGCAGAGGACTGCTATATTTCATGTGTAGACAATGCATAAGTAAAGCCTGGATGTGAAGAAGCAGAGAGAGTGAGAACGATGTTTTACCTACCTTATACTTTACCATACTTTACCTTTGTTTCTGACATTTCTATGCAGAGCTGAAGGGACCTTTATCATCATGGCTGGGAAATCCCAAGCCATGGGTAGAATTATCAGTTGGTTAGGGACACAGCTACTACAGTTGTCCTTATTTCAGACAAGATGCAATGACATATCTCCTTTGCATTTTCAGTGATCCTCTTGAGGATATGACTCAGGGAAAAGAAGAGAAATGACAACGAAGGAGGTAGAAATACTTATCGCACAACTATATGTTGGGCATTTTATGATGATATCTCATTTAATGCTGTTAGCAATCCTGTGAGGTAGAAAATATTGTCATCATTTTGCAGAGGAAGAATCTGAGGTTCAGAAAAGTGAATAATTAATAATATGAACAACAATATTAGTTAACATTTATTAAGTACTTACTAAGTGCCAGGTACTGTGCTAAGCAGCTTGGATTACAAGGATTATTTCAAATCATCCCCATAGGAACCTCTGAGATGGGTACTAGTTCCCATTGGGCAGAGGGGAAAATTGGAGCTCAGAAAGCTCTCAGCTCACATAGCTGAGAGCATCAGAGTCAGATGGTCCTCACCTTTCACTTTTCACTTTTCATATGAGACACAGAAGAAGGTTGCTTTCTGTCAGGCAAATGAGCCTCCCTTAAGAGTGGGGAAAACAACCTGTCTAACCCTACTGTATATGGTCTTCCCATTTCATTTCTAGCTATGTGTCTTGGCCTCAATGACTACTTGTTAGTTGGTTTTGCAGAATAACCAAAGAGCTGCAAAGACTAGGCATAGTCCTTATAAGGACATTTCTTGTTTTCCTCCTCCTGGAATCCCTACCCCTTTCTCCTAGTAATAGCACCCTGATTTCCAGTTGAAGACTCACTCTTCTTCTATTAAGGAGGGTGTTGCATAACCTAGACTTTTCCAGTCCAAATTTTCTAACCTTCTGGCTACAAGGATTGATTCAGAAATGGTCACTATGACCAGGGACTTTACTGGAAACATTGAGAATAAGATGCTGTCTTTCTGCTGGTCTTAAAAAGATCACTAGATGTGGTTGGAATCAAGCCTGGGAATCTGGGGACCAGAATATGCAGAAAATTGCCTGAGAATAAAAACCTGGGAATCTGGAGGCCAGAATATGAAGAAAATTGCCTGAGAATAAAAACCTACCTGGGGAAAAACAGAGGCAAGAAGATTAAGTTCTTAAGATCTAGTTGAAGTATCTGGTTTCAGCTTTGTCTAATGATTCCATTGATAAACTTCCTTCTATTATGTGGGGTGGTTATTTGTTCCCCAGCCATAATCTGGGAAGCTCTTTGAGCTTGGGATTACCAAGGAATGTAATCCTTGGTAAGGGAGAAGGAAGCTACATAGATCAAGACAAGGAAACTGGGGATTAGTAGGAAGAGAAAGGAAACCCTAAGGTGTGCTTTGTTTTCTACAAAGGTAAAAATTTTAATTTTCCTTAAAATATTCTTAGCTGCCTAGAAGAAGCTGAGAATGTGGTGGCTCCCCAGAGTCATCACTATATTTTTTCCTTTTTTTCAGCCATATTTATTGCATGGAGGTTCCTCAACAAACTGAAAATAGGATTACCATGTGATCTAGCAATTCCACTTCTGGATATATATTCAAAAGATTTAAAACCAGTGCATTGAAGAGATATCTGCACTCCTATGTACAATTTAGGCATTATTCACAATAGCCAAGTTATAGAATCAACCTAAGTGTTTATCAACAAATGAATGGAGAAAATGTGGCATATATACACAAAGATATACTTCTCAACCTTAAAAAAAGAAGGAAATTCTATCATTTTCAACAAGATGGGTGGATCTGAAGGACATTATGCTAAGTGAACACTATGCTAAACCAGGAACAGAAAGTCAAATAATGCATGTTCTCACTTACAGAGGAAATCTAAAACAATCAAACTCACAGTAGCAGAGTAGAATAGTGGTATATTCCTTTCTACATGTTATATGTATACAATGTATCCACATTGTATACATATAACATCACTTTGTACCTTATAAATATACACAATTATTTGTCAATATATAGTAGGGAATTTTTTAAAATTAAAATTTGCATTTCTAACAAGTTCTTAAGTAAGACTGCTACTACTGCTCAAGGGACCATATTTTGAATTACACTGTGCTAGGTAGGAGTAATCAACAACGTAGGGCAATCTGGGACTAGTTCTTTGCTTCCAAACCTAAACAGTCACAGTAATAACCTGGTGTGGTAATTGGCAGATCACCCAGGGATGGAACCACTAAGTGAGGAAGCTGGCTTGGGGAAAATCTCACCATAGCTGATGGGTAGAAATTCAATATCTGTTTGAAATGAAATCAGTCTGAGTCTTGCTTCTCTATACATCAAGAGGGAGCAAAAAGCTAATAACCTGGGAAAACTGTGCATAGAAAGTATACATGAAAAATATATACCTCTACATATATATGTATACATATAGGTACATGTGAATTGATTCTTTGGTATCACCAGAAAGAAACCCTTAATAACCAAAATACTTTTTGTTTTTATGGTAGTCTTTCCTGAAGAATTTGAAAGTTGCTGACAGAACCCATTAATCTTTCAAAACCTCTAAGGGGCTTCTGAGTGTTGCTTGATTCATCTTTCCAATTTTTTTTTTAAACATACAGATACTAGGTTTTTCTCTTCGGTTCTATAAGACAGAAAACTTTTTGCTGTGTCTCCTACACTGTATGTTTCCTTTTGCTTTCAAATGACCCAGCTTGAAAGCCTACAAACCATAGTTTGCAGATCCTAATTTAAATATTTATTTCAGATTTTTTTCCATGAATTGAAATTTGATTTCTTCACATTCCCAGTTCTCATTTCCACATAATTCTGCCTACTGAATGCATAATAAAAATGCATTTTACAAAAGCTTCTTTTTGAGAGTTAAAAAATCTTGACACCTATTAGACGTCTATCTTGTAGACTAAGAAGAGAGTGACTGTCCATCAGAAGCTGCCAGCTTCATCCTCTTTGGAAAAGTTTGAACTATAATATTTCAAAACTCAAGAGTGTTGAGTGTGGACAGACAATAAAAAGACCCAGGACCCAAGAGTTGGCAAGAGAATAAAATCTACGCAACAGAGCAATTCCTTATGATGAGTTGTAAAAATAATACAATGGATCAAATGCTTTGTACCACAAGGTTTTTTCACACCCTCCAGGGAAATTGCCAAACTTACTTAAAAACATGGTAAATTGAAGTTGGTTATATCCATCCCCTTCACAAACATTTCTCTCACTGCTTCTAATCTCACACAGATGTGGCAAGAGCATCAAAGATTGGGTTTGACACATTTGGACCTACTTAAAAAGAAAGCTGAAATTTAAAATATTTTTGAATTTGTGCCACCTACTGGCAACTGGAAGTGATAGAATTGAGCACCGTGTAATCACACTTCCTGGTTGAGGCTGGTTGTGGTCTTCATCTGGGGGATAGCTAATTAACACATGCTTTAACTGGTCTTTAGCACATGTAGCTGATTTAGTGAGAAAACTGTGGATTGAATTATTTGGAGGCTAGTTTCCAGGCCTTGGAGCAACTCTTAACGATTCCTGCCTGGTAAACCTGATTACAAAGTGAACTTGGCATTTTGGGATTCCCTTCCTTGTTGATGTGAATCATAAGGCTTCAGTGTTGTTGAGAGCTGGTGTTCAGATGGCCCTGTTGTTTGTCCACTGTTGCATAAACTTCACAGGCAAGACCCATGTGTTTGTAGGTGTAATTCTAGAAGGCAGATAGTGTATATTTGTGGACTGTGCAAAATGAATCTGAGTATTGATTTGTATGGCATCTGGAATACATTCTGGAAAGTTCTTACGGGGACAATGTGTAATGATTTGGAATTGCCACCCTGGTGCACACAGCCAGGATAGTGGGGGAAGATCTTTCAGCTTGAATTATTAACTAGTTTCTGATGATAATTTTGACAGCCTAAACCTAAACTAGGTTCTTGGATAATCTCTCCAAATCCATACTTTAACAAAATAACCTACATGCAGCATCATCCTTGTCTTAACCTTGTAACTCCCCTGGCCCTGTTTTGTCATTTCTTAGTGTGCCGAACTTTACTTCAAAAGGTTCATTTCATTCCAAGGGGCAACCAGAGAGGGATCAAAGACTTTACTTCATTTTGCAAAGGCCAGCCTGGAAAGTTTATTACGCTGGGTCAATCTCTCTTTGAAGATTGCTATCTGTGGGTGTGAAACCTGAGTCCCTTGAAAGACAGATGAGAAAAGCTCTGGGGCAGCCACCAGACAAGAAGGTGTCATTTATACCAAGATTGGAAAGCAACGTCAGAGACGTTGGAGAAGATCAAAAAGTTGAAGGTGCGTTGGACATATGGCAAAGAGTAGCGACCATCTGGAAAAGTGGATATTGTAATGGGACAGGCAGCAATCAAAGGAGAGTTGAAATTTTAAAAAGGAATGAAATGAAAGAAAAGAGAAAAGAAAGAAGAAGGAAGGAAGGAAGGAAAAGAAAGAAAGAGAAGGAAAAGAAAGAAAGAAAGAGAAAGAAAAGAAAGAAAGAGAGGAAAGAAAGAGAAAGATGGAAGGAAGGAAGGAAGGAAGGAAGGAAGCGGGGGAGGGAGGGAGGGAAGGGAGGGAGGATGGAAAGAAGGAAGGAAGGGAATTAAAGGCCAAGAAATACATTGAGTGATAGACCAGTAAGCATGTTGAAAAATGAGGGCTGTTATAGTGACAGAACCAGCTCTAGGGTTAAGCCATACTCAGTTTCTTTTACTTCTGCAAACGTGGTATGCTCTCTGGTTTCTATGCCTTCATGCATGCCCTTCTCCCAGCTGGAATATTGTTCTGTTCCTGACCTCTCTGCATTTTCTTTTCACTGAACCAACTCCTCCAACTTATGTTGAGATGTCAGCTTAAGTCTTTCTTTCTCTGGACAGTCCAGGAAAGTCCCCTTTAGACCTGAGTTACTCCAGCTCTCATGGTAGAGTGCTTACTTCCTTTGTCATAGGACTTTTCATACTTCCTCTTATTGTTTAACACCTTTCTTTCCTGAGAGCCCTATGCTCAATGACAGTGGGAACTTGTCTGCCTTGTTCTCCTCACCACTACAACCTCAGCACCCAGCATGATACCTGTAGTATGGTAGGTTGTTACTTCTCATTTCTGGAATAAATGAATAAAAACAGCTCAAGGGGACCGGCCAAGGTATTCCTTGTGAAAGAGCATTCTATCAGTTTACCATTTCTGGAACAAGTTCCTTTCCATTGGGTGGGCAGAGATGAAGACTGACACCATCTTGATGCCTCACATTTTGTAACTGCAGTAGAACACGAGGTCAAAGACACTGGCGATTTTAACAAATCATGACTGCCCTCTCTTCCTTCCAGCTGGAACAAGGCTATTCCTTCAAATATGTCAAACTTTGCTGTTTTTGCGTATGTTTGGAAGTGTATGGCATCAAATCCTATCATGTACCAATCAGAGTAGATAAGCATGGTCTCAGTCATCTTCTCCAGAAAATATACTCTATTTTCAAGTGAAATCTCTCCTTAGAGCTCCAACAAAGGGATGAGATATTTTGCTAGTATAGCTTTATATTAAAAATTTAGATCAGATCATTTACCAGATTTAAGGTCAACAAGAGGAAGGCAAGTTGAGGCACTGGTGTTTTGCTGTGTGTTAATGTTGATATGGGACAGTTTTGAGTGTGTATCCTTTTGTAAATTGCAGTTTTTAATATAGTTTAGAGTATATTTAAAATTAAATACATACCAAATTTTGGGGAACCTCTGTAGTACTGATTTGAAAAACACCTCTAAGCAAGACACAATTCTAAATGTTTTGCCCATATCAACTCTTCTACTCTCCAGAACAACCCCATTAGGCCCATATTAGTACCTGACTTTATAGATAAGGACACCGAGGCACAGAGAGGCTGAGTAATTTACTAACTCACAGCTGGTAAGTGGTGTAACCAGGATTCGAATGCAAAAGTCTGACTCCATTTATTCATTCTTTTAACTAATATTTAATGTGTGTCTACTATGTGCCATGCACTGTTCTGGGCTGTAGGCACACAGCAATGAACAAAACACAAAAATCCCTGCCCATGGAGCTTCCTGTTCTGGTGGAGCTCCATTCCAGCATCCTCGTTCTTACTCATTACTACTGCACTCCTTCTGTCACTGGTTGCCTTCGACTCTATGGGAGAAAGGCAGGGTGATATGAGGGTGAGAGTCAGGAAGAGACAATTAGGCTGAGACTAGGAAGGTGAATAGGAGTTGGCAAAGAAGGCAGGGTGGGGAAGGCCTTGTAGGCACAGGAAACAGGTGAATTGTGGAGCTGAGTGGCATCCTCAGCATCATACCACCCTCCTCCTCATTGTCCTAGCCCAGAAAAGGGGTCAAAACCTTTGGTGAAATGGATTGCTGGGGAGCTTCTTATTTGACAAAGATTAATCAACCCGCCCCAATTTCTTTCCTCCTCAGTGTCCTTGCTGCTGTCCACCATTGTCCCTCGCCTTGCCTCCTACATCCTGCCTGTTCTACTTTGATGTCTAACTAAATCAATTTCCCCAACTCTTAGTTTTCCTGCTTCCTTCCCCAGCCCCAACCCCAATTCCTATCCCACATACTCTCCACACAAGTAGTATGCAACTCTCTACATACTCACCCATGTGTTCTCAGATTAGATGTGTCTTCACTCATTCCTGTAACATTTATTGAGTGCCTGCAATGTGCCAGGCACTGATTCTAGTGCTGGGTCCGTGTGGGAGGCTGAAAAATAGCTCCCCCAAATATATCCATGTGCTAACCCCTGGAATCTATAAATGTTACCTTACATGGCAAAAATACTAGAGATGTGATTAAGTTAAGGTTGCTGAGATGGGGAGATTAGCCTAGATTCTCCAGGTGGGCCTTAAATGCAATGATACGTATCCTTATAAGAGAGAGACAGAGGGGGAGATTTGACACACATGGAGGAGAAGGAAAGGAGAAGACAGAGCAGAGAGAAACCTGAAGATCCTGGCCTTGAAACCTGGAAAGTGACACAGCCACAAGCCAAGGATTTCTGGCAGTCCTCAGAAACCGGAAGAGGCAAGGTACAGATTCCACCTTAGAGCCTCAGGAGAGAGTGTGGCCCTGGCTGTTACCTTGATTTTAAATCCAGTGATATGGATTTTGGATTTCTGGCCTCCAGAACCATGAAATAATAATTTTCTGTTGTTTAAAGCCTCCAGTTTGTGGTCATTTGCTACAGCAATGTCAGGAAACTAATACAGTAACCTTTTTAGGTACATCCTGGAATTCCCAAGGTATTCCAGTCAATTCCCACAGCATCCTGTATTTTCCCTACTCTACGACTTACCACATTGTATATTAACAGCATGTTTCTGCATTCTCTATTAGACCAGAAACTCCGTGAAGGCAGAGACTACACCTCATTTATCTTTATATATCCCCAGCACTTATTTCACATTGTTCTTTACATATAATAAATGCTCAATAAATTTTTGTTACATGAGGCCAGGTGCTGTGGCTCATGCCTGTAATTCCAGCTCTTTGGGAGGCCGAGGTCGGGGGATTACTTGAGGCCAGGAGTTGAGACCAGCTGGGCCAACATTACAAAACCCTGTCTCTACTAAAAATACAAAAATTAGCCGGGCGTTGTGGCACACCCTGTAATCCCAGCTACTAGGGAGGCTGAGGCAGAGAATCGCCTGAACCCGGGAGGTGGAGGCTGCAGTGAGCCAAGATCGCACCATTGCATTCCAACCTGGGTGACAGAGGAGACTCCATAAAAAATAAATAAATAAATTAATTAATTAATTAAATGTTACATGAATAAATAAACTATGATGAGGGATTTTACTGTTACTTCATGTTATTTCATTTTTTAAATGTGAAATCGTTTTCTTTTCAATTAGACTGTGAAAACCAAGGTGCGTTGCTCCTAGCTGAAGGAGGGCACACAGGTTTGATCTCTCATGATTAGTAATGGCTGCCTGGACACTCATGGAAATAGGACACCTTGAGCAAATAATGATGTCTGTCATAGACGTGATCATAGGAAGGGGTGATCTACGTATACCTACTTGGCCATCCCTGACACAGTTTTTTTCCATGAATAAGGGTTTTTATATCAAGACATAAAATGAATGATGTTGCTGCCTGCAGAATCTTAGAACTGAAGTTTGGCATTTATAATTTATCCATGGTAACAGTGTCTTCTCATATTCTTAGTTCCTGCTGTGAAAACTGACCAGTATGTATGTTCTTCTTTCATCCAACATTTTCAACATCAGACACTGTTCTAGGTGCTAGAGCTATACAGTCCCTACCCTCAAAAAGTTTAAAGACTGATAGTGAAGATGAAACGTTTTTGGTGAATCCAGGTCAGTAGTGTGAAATGGGCTATAGTGGTGGTCTGTGAATGGTGTAGTGTGGCTGTGGTGGAGTGAGTGTCTTAGGAGGGAGGGAAGAGGAAAATCTTCAGGCAAAGACCTTGGATTAAATTTGGAAACTGGCTCTTGAGGCACTGACTAAAGAGAGGGGGAAAATTTGCCCACTGTGGATCAGGAGGAAGTGTGTGACTCAGTGGCTCTCCACCTTTAGCTCTGGGTCCCAAAGGAGGCCTGGGCTGTCTGGCTGATTTTGCAGTGAACCTGATAAAAATTTAGCATTTTGGTCACTCCCTGTCCCCTGAGCAGAGCTCCGGAAGCAGGATCAATAGGGAAACATCGTCAGCAGCTAAAGGATGCTATAAATCTTTTCAACCCTGAACAGAACAGAACAGGACTGGCTGAGGCTCTGGGAGGGACTAAGGCAAAGTTTGGGTATCCATTCTAATGAGCACTTTCTGCTACTGAAAGCTGTGCTGTTGGAGAAAGAGAGCAGGGAGATGGTGTCAGTGATTTTCTGTTTTCTATAGACCATGGAGTGGAAACAAATGACTTCACAGCTGTAAAAATGCCCTCTTTTTCAGCAGGTATTTGCCAAAAACATAATATGCATATGTCAAGGTGCTAGTTACCTCCACAAAGGTAAATGCAACCTACCCACTCACCACACAAACATAGTGATGTGGTGAAGAGGACATGGGCTGTGGAGCAAAAACAATCTGTGGTGGAGTCTAGCCTGCATTTCAAAAGCTGCGTGATCTTAGGCAAGTTCCATCATTGCTCTGAGCTTCAGTTTCCTCCATCTGTAAAATGAGAATAATATTACTGCCTATATTACTGAGTGCATGTTAGCATATAGGAACTTAGACATAGAATATAATTAATGTTAATTACACATAACTTTTACAGGGGATCTAAGGCTTGCCCTGGAGTCTAAGATGCAAAATCCTAGCTTTGTCTGAGGGACTCTCTTAGGGGCTGAGAGTTGATCCACTTATGGTAAGAGTGGAAAGCAATAGTGTGATTAATATCTGCTACACCTCATTCATTTATTCAGCAGACATTTGCTGAACTCCTAGAGTGAGCCAGCCATTCCCTAGGTCCTGGAGGTACAGAGATGATCAAGTATTTCCAGCTGTATCTTAAGTTCTGTGACAGCAAGGATCATTTCTACATGGTTCATTGTTGTAGCTCTAACACCCAGTATAGATAAGCAGAGGTGGGTTAGTAGGTGTTATTTCTCTTTTTTGTTGATATATAATATTTTACATATTTATGGGATGCATGTGATTTTTTTTACATCTATAGAATGTGTAATGATCCAGTCAAGATATCTGGGGTATTCATCACCCTGAGTATTTCTCAGTTCTATGTAATGAGAACATTTCAAGTTCTATCTTCTGGCTGCTTTGAAATGTACAATACATTTTTGTTTGTTTGTTTGTTTGTTTGAGATGGAATCTTGCTCTGTTGCCCAGGCTGGAGTGCAGTGGCACAATCTTGGCTCACTGCAACCTCCGTCTCCCAGGTTCAAGCAATTCTCCTGCCTCAGCCTCCCAAGTAGCTAGGATTAAAGGTGCATGCCACCATGCCCGGCTAATTTTTGTATTTTTAGTAGAGATGGGGTTTCACCATCTTGGCCAGGCTGGTCTTGAACTCCTGACCTCATGATCCACCGACCTTGACCTCCCAAAGTCCTAGAATTACATGCATGAGCCACTGCACCTGGCCAAAAAATTATTTCTTAATGAGAAATGATATTTAAGAATTATTTTTAATTAGAAAAATCATTAATAATAATATATATGAAAAACTATGCATGCAAAATTTGGCTAAATACTGTCAGATAGCTCTCCTGAAGCACTGTGCTACCACCACTCCCCATCAGCAGTGGATGGTCCTACATCCCTCATCTTCATTTATACTTGGCACTTTCCAGCTTTCTAATTACCACCAGTATAAAATGGGTGATGCGACAACTCATTTGTTTTAATTCATTTTTTAAAATTACTAATATATGTGAGCAAAACTTCAAATACGGATATTTTGGGTTTTCTTTTCCAGAAATTGCCTGTTCATGTCCTTTGCCCAATTCTATTCCTGGGTATATGTTCCAAATAGATTCTCAAATGTGAACATAAAGAGTAGTGCCTAAGAGTAGTCATTGCTGTTATTTGTAGTGGCAGGGAGCTGGAGACAGCATACAAATCCTTCACTCAGAGAATTAAGTGGTAAAGGTGGCGAATTCATATCCTGAGATACTGTGCAGCAGTTCTAAGAGATGAACTAGATATATGAGTAGTGCACAGATGATTCTTAAAAATATAGAGATGTATGCTAAAAGAAACAATACTATTCATATGTAAGTTACACTTCTGTGCATGTAAAACACTTGTGTGTGTGAGCATGTGTATATTTTTTAAAGAATATATTAAACACATTACAGTGATTAATAGAAGCAGGTAGTGTTGGCAGGGAATAGAGGTAAAGAAAGGGAACCAAAAAGAATAAAGAAGTAAATTAAATAAGAGAAAGGACCTTGCACAGTCTAGTGATGATAACATGTAAAGAATGGAGAAGTAAAAGAAATTCAATCCTATGTACCTGAGATCTGAAAATAATAACAGTTGTTAATAATCATAAATATAATGATATAATGCTTTCTATTTCTATGGTTTTTTGAATCTTTCAAAGCATTTTATAGCTATTTTATTTGGTGGTGGAAATAGAGAAGACATCCTTCTCCCCGGTGTAGATAGAGAGAAGGAAACCAGAGTTTGATTTTTCCAGGGAAGACGCTAGGACCCAGGAGCTTCCCCTGCAAACCTGTCTTTTTTCTGCTACAGTGGATTGGTCAGCTGCTGTCACCAGGCTCCCTAAAGGCTAGTGAAATTTGAATAAAACCCTTCATTTATCTTTCTTCATGTTCCTTCCTGCCAGATAAAAATGCATGTGCTTTAGTGGGCATCCCATTTTCCTACTACATCTCAGCTATTAATGCTGTTCACACATAGGGCTCCCATTGACCCTGGCTCTCTCCCTAATTGAACCTGAGGACTAAAACATCCTTTACAATAAGCACTTCTTTGCAACAGACAGATTTCCTGGACCCATAAAACAGCTTTTAGAAAAGGCGAGCCATATTTAAGGAAGACATTAATATAGTGCCACAAAATGAGGTTTGCTGACATATGACTCTCTGAATAATTTACTTTAAATAAATTAACACTAGAATTTACATTTACCTTTGAAAGTCCAATTTACTGGAGACACTGAGGATGTGTTCCCTGGAGAATGGAAACAGTGAAAAACACCAGCCTTTGTTTGACTGCTTTGCTAAGAACCATAATGATAAAATGACTTATTTTTCTGGAGAAATCTCCCTTTTGTCAACACTTAGACCCATCTACTGAAGGGGCTCCCCATTTCCCCCAGCAAACCTTTTGTAGCCAACAAGGTGAATTTAGCACCCAGGTGGGGGCAAGAAACTGGGGATGGTATGGAGTAAAAAAAATTCAGTATAATTGAAATGTTAAGAATCATCATCATAATAAAATAGCCAGAAGTTACTGCTAAATTATTTGCATGTATTATCTCATTTAATTCTTGTAAAAACTTGACAAAGTTGGATCTCATATTAACTCCTTTTGACAGATGAGGAAATCATGACTTAAATAGTTTGCTCACAATCACATAGCTAGTAAGTTGTGGATGTAGTATTCAAATGTAGGGAATCTTACTTCAGAGTCCACACTTAGACTTTTCTTTTAAATGATTGTCAAATTATCAATAATTATTAACAGTAATTTAAGTAGTTATCAAATTTAGATAATCATTATGAAAATTGGAAAAGACAGAAAAAAAAGAAACAGAAAAAAAAAGCACCCATCCTCTTAAAATCTAGGGTTAATTATTACCCGGGACCCTCAAGGTTAATTATTTTGGCATATTCTTTTCTTATGAGAAGACTTGATTTCTGTTTTTCGGAGACTGAGAACATTTCTCTGTGCTTTGGGGTCAAGGGTGAGTAAGGAGTATCTTTTGTAGAGTAGAAAGGTAAAGCAGCGACCTTTTGGCCTGTGAACATGAGGACATGAATTTATCTGTCCTTTCCAACTGGCTTCCAATCAGAGAGGCTGATGAGCATAGCAGGATGCCTGGACACATGTGGCTCCAGCATATGGAGCTGCAGTGCTGCCCTGGGCCTGGGAATGACGTCTCCTCCTCATCACTCAGGGGCATGGAACAGACCTGGCCAACATGAGAACAGGGACAAGGAAGCCGCCTGAATCCCTGGCCTAGAAGTGGTGCCTGTGGTCAGCAGATTCACCCTTAGTGGTTTCTGGCCCCCAGCCAGTCCTTTGCAGGCCATGTCAAGGGAGTTCGTATCTGACACCATCCATATTCACACATATGTGATCCAACAGCACAGCATTAGGTGAGGAGCTTGGGCTTTGGAATCAGAGATGGGGTCCAATTCTGGCTTTGCCCAATTAGATCTATGTGAATCATGGCAGGTTATTCAACCTCCTAAATTTCAATGTTGTCAACTATAAAACTAGGCAGTAGAGTGCAACAGTTAAGCATGTGGGCACTGGAATCAGACTCTGTATTTTCCAATCCTAGCTCCATTACTTACTAGCTGAGTGACTGTGGGAAAACTATTTAACTTCTCTGTGTTTCCATTTTTTCATGTATTAAAATTAAATAGGAATAATGACAACACCTACTACACAGGTGAAGATGAAACAAGATAGTACATGCAAAGTGCCTGATATAAATACTCAGAAAACATTAGTTGTTTTTATTATTATTGAAATTAGGTGATTAAGGTACATGCCTTATAATATTGTTGTGAGAATTCTTGAAGTAATATAAATGAAGCACTTTAGAAAATGTATTCTGTTGGAAATATAGTTGCTTAGGTCAAACACCTTGAAGTCACTCTTAATTCCATTTTTTCCCTCCTAAAATTATTCTATCAGCAAATATTGCCAGCTGTACCACAAACAAATTTCCAGAATCCAACCACTTCTCATCTCCCCCCTGCTATGCCCTTGTCCAAACCACCATCGTTCTCACCTGGATTATTTCCATAATAGCCTCCTAACTGGTTTTCTGGCTTCTGTCCTTGCCCCTATACAGTCTATTCCCAATACAGCAATCTTTAGTCGAAGTTGTTTTTAGTTTTTTATCATTTACATGTTTAACTTTTTATTTTGGAATACTGACTTTTAGAAAAATTCCAAAAAGACTTTACAGAGAGCTCACATATACCCTTCACCCAGCTTTCCCACAAATTACATGATAGTGCAATGATCAAAACCAAGACACTAACAAATATGCATACAATACTATTAACTGGAGTTCTATTTCAAAATTCACAATTTCCTCCATATTGAGTGTGTTTGTTTCTGGTCCTAGATGCAATCTGGGATCCTATGTTGCGTTAAATTGTCACTCTTTCATCCTCCAGTCTTTGAAAATTTCTGTTTTTTTCTTGCCTTTAATAATCTTTTGATGATTACTGGTTAGTTATTTTGTAGAACGCCATCAATTTGGGTTTGTCTGTTTTCCCATGATGAAATTGAGGTTATGCTTTTTTTTTTTTATCCTTTTTTTAGATGGAGTTTCGCTCTTGTTGCCCAGGCTGGAGTGCAATGGCACGATCTCAGCTCACTGCAACCTCCGCCTCCCGGGTTCAAGCGATTCTCCCAAGTACTGAGGTAGTGCTTCTTTCAGTGCCTTATCCACATGATACGTAATGTTGTCTTATTGGTGATGTTGGCCTTGATCACTTGATTTAAAGTGGCACTTACCAGGTTTCTTCACTATAACATTACAGTTTTGTTCCTTTGTAACTGGTTCATGTTTTGGAAGGACTTCTTTGAAAATGAGGTAATATTCTATTCTGTTCAAATTTTTACCTTCCAAATTTAGTATTCATTGGTGGATCTTACCTGCAGCAATTACTACTGCAATGTTCTAAATGTGATTTTTTTTTATTCATTCTACATTACTAATTTAGATTCTTCTGTAAGGAAGAACTATACTTCCTCCCCTATTTATTTATTTATTTATTTATTTATTCAATTGTATATTTATATCACTATACTTATCTTATTCTATGGATTTAATCAAATTTATTTATTTCACACCTTAAATTTTCCTAGATTGATCTTCAGGTTGACTTCTATCTTTTTGCAACATGTTCCCATCTTTCTGGGGGACATTTGGGGACACTTCCTTTGTTTCTGGCACCATAAGATATTGTATGTTCATCTTATATTTGTCCTGCCCCAGCCCTGGAAAAAACTTTTCTAAAAAGCCTTTGTTTCTTAATTGAAATACGGTCCCGCAGTCCAAATCATCCAAGGCAAGATGGTGCTAGATATGCTTGTTAGAAAGAGGGTGTGATTGCACCTAAGCCCCATCAGTGGAGAGAACTGGGAATCATATGTTTATACACTAACACATACAAAGCAGCTTTTAGAATGTAAGTCAGCTCAAGTCATTCCTCTGATAAAAATCCACCTTTGACTTCTCACTCATCCTGCACAATGGCTTACAAGACCATCCCTACTTGATCTTGGCCCCTCTTCTTCTCTGACCCCATTTTCTTCTATTTTCACCTCACTCTAGCCACATTGTTTTCTTTGCTTTTTCTCCAGTGCCAAGCATGTTCCCATCTCAGGGACTTTCCTCTAATTCTCCCTCACTGCAACTCTCCTCACCTAAATGGCTCACTCCCTTAATTTAGGTCTCTGCTTAGATCTGTTCTGAGGGATAACCTTCCTTACAACCCAATATAAAATGACAACTTATCCTCCCTCCATCCCAATATTTCCTATGCTCCCTATCTTGCTTAAGTTTTTATCCTACACTTGTCAGCATCTGGAATACTATAGTTTCACAAGTTCACGGGGTTTTGTCTGTCTCTCTGTTAGAACATAAGCTCTGTCCTGTTCAATCCTACATTCCTTGTACCTAGAAGACTGCTTGTCACACAGCAATAAATATTGGTTTCATGAATGAATGAATAAATGGTCAAGAGTATGAGCTTTAGAATTAGAAAAAAATCTGTGTACCAAGTGTACCAACTACACTACAAAAACCAGCTGAGGGAAACTGGGTAAGTTTTGTAAGTGCTCTCCCGTCAGTTTTATCATCTGGACAAAATAATATTTAAATCATAAAGGCTAGTTGTGAGAATTAAGACAATGTGAAGTGATCTTTATTGAATAAATGACTGTTAAGTGCTTGGCAAATAATATACTCAATAAACTGTAGCTGTTAACATCATCATCATCATGATTAGCTTTTAATGAATCCAGAATTGGGTTCACCGTGGGCTCTCCCTGATCCATTCTTGTGAGCCATGTGTCCTCCTCCAACCAAGGGGCTTCAGAGGCAAGTTCTTGGTCTCACCTCCTGCAACTGTTCCAGAGAGTGTTTTTCCAGAGGGCCTGGGACCACTGGGACATTCTCCAGAGCCCTCAGGCATGTTTTAATGTGCTGACCTGTAGGAGGAAACTCAAAAGTTATAATTAATTTGTTTAGCAAAAATATCAAACAGGCCCCTTCTAGTTACATCTGGAGGGAACAAGCAGGGAACAAAGAGGGGCCCAAGGTTTGCCAGGATGACACCAAGTCCCTGCCAAGAACAGCTCCATGTGAGCCTCCCCTAGAGGGACTAGGCTGGGTTGGGGGACCCTAACCTCACCCCCAATGCCACTCTATGCACTAATTCCCAGACAGTCCTTCAGGGTCTCTGAGGGCAGCTGAAAACCAGGAGGGGTTTGGCGTTTTCAGCTGTTACCTGGATCAGGGGCTCTCCAGGGCACCCTCCAGACAGGTTCCTATCCAGGCTTCCCTGTGGGCTTGGGTTTGCTTCCCTCTCTCCTGGCGCTGACACAAGGAGAGTGTTTCCATTCGCCAAATTCTCCTTCATGCCGTTTCCCAGTCTAATAGTCTAATGCTGAAACGTGTGTGTAGGCTCTGTCACAGCAGCTGTGTGCCGGGAGATGGGCCGAGACACCTGGAGGAGGCCTCCCAGCCATCCAGCCTCAGAAACTAAGAACACTGGCTCCTTGCCATGCAGTGTTGATCCATCTCATTGCAGGCTTAGAAATGTGTGGCATGAACCCTGGGTGGTATCTGGACCCCGAGCTTGAATGAGGGGCCATACGATATACTAGGTGCACAGGACCCAAAGTAGTGATTTTAAAGAATTTCTAGAAGATTTAAGGCAGGAGAGGAGACTGGAGGGAGTGTGTGGCTGATTTCCTAAAGCAGCAATCCAGTGGTAGAAAGAGCTGTAAGTTGACATGAGATGCCCAGTGTTCCCCTACCACTAGGCCACTTGGTTAGCAGTAATAGTACCTAACTTGAATAAATTATTATGAGGATCAAATGATATTAATGTATAAGAAGTCTCTTTATAAAGTACTATATGAATGCAAAAGTCCATCACTACCACCTCCCCATCTCTAATATATTCTAATCTGTCTGTTCTCTGTTACAGCTCTTTCTCTGTCTCTCTGCACATACACACACACACACACACACTCATCCCATTTTTCCAGTTAGGTTGTAAAATGGACTGTTCTAAGAACTGAAAACCCAGAAATAAAGCCAACTACATAGAGCCAACTGATCTTTGACAAGGCATACAGAAACATAAATTGGGGAATGGACACCCTATTTAATAAATGGTGCTGGGAAAACTGGCAAACCACACGTAGAAGAATGAAACTGGATTCCTATCTCTCACCTTATATAAAAATCAACTCAAGATGGATCAAAGACTTACATAAAAGACCTGAAACTATAAAAATTCTAGAAGACAATGTTGAAAAAACTCTTCTAGACATCAGCCTGGGCAAAGAATTCATTACTAAGACCCCAAAAGCAAATACAACAAAAACAAAAATAAATAAATGGGACCTAGTTAAACTAAAAAGCTTCTGCACAGCAAAAGAAATAATCCACAGAGTAAACAGACAACCCACAGAATGGGAGAAAATATTTGCAAACTATGCATCTGACAAAGGACTAGTATCCACAATCTTTAAGGAACACAAACAAATCAGCAAGAAAAAAACCAAATAATCCCATTAAAAAGTGGGCAAAGGACATAAATAGACAATTTTCAAAAGAAGATATACAAAAGGCAAAAAAAAAAAAAAGAAAAAAGAAAAATGCTCAACGTCACTAATCATCAGGGAAATGCAAATTAAAACCACAAAGAGATACCAAAGATGTGGAACCAACCTAAGTACCCACTGACTAATAAGTGGATAAAGAAAATATGGTATATGTATATGATGGAATATTACTCAGCCATTAAAAGTAACAAAATAATATCTTTTACAGCAACTTGGATGGAACTGGAGGCCATTATTCTATGTGAAGTAACACAGAAGTGGAAAACTAAAACAGTATGTTCTCACTTATAAGTGGGAGCTAAGCTATGAGTGTGCAAATGCATACAGAGTGATATAATGGACTTTAGAGACTCAGAAAGGGCAGGGTGGAAGTGGGGCTAGAGATAAAAAACAAACATAAAAAACTACACATTAAGTACAATGTACGCTGCTCGGGTGACAGATGCACTAAAATCTCAGAATTCACCACTATATAATTCATCCATGTAACAAGAAACTGCTTGTACCCCAAAAGTTATTGAAATAAAAAAAATTTAAATGGACTGTTCTAGAGGATTCATCCATTCAGGATTAGTGGTGATGTTAGTAAACATGTGGGCTTGGTGCTGGACTCTCTGGTTCAAAGCACAGTTTTGCTGCATTCCAGCTGAGTGACTTCTGACACATTACTTAACCTCATTGTGCCTCAGTTTCCTCATCTTAAAATGATGATGGCAATGATAATAGCCCCTAGCTCCACTAAGAAGTTGTGGTTTTTGAACCATGTTTGTACGTATAAATACTCAATGAATATAAGCACCAATTTTCTCATATACAAAGCAGTGATTTTCAAAAAACGTAAATGTAATCTCACATTTACTTTATGCTAAAGCTACACTGTACGAATCTGAATCTTTCTGTTTTGGTTGAGAAGCCATCCTAAGGTCTTAGAGAGCCCCAATTAACATTATGAACATAAATTACCGTTGTGTGAGATGGAGAAAGAGTTGGTTATTTGAGCTCTTGTATTGTGTGGATTCTGGCTGCTGAGATGAACCTTTCGGGTCACACTCAGTGATTTTAATCTGAAGCTAAAAGGGCCAAATAAGAACAATATTATTGCTAAACTGAAGTCACTAGACAGTCCCTCTTTTGAATGCCTGAGGCTGACATTCAAAAATCTTGTCATTACTTGCATTATGACCTCTTATGTAGCTGGACGCCTTGTTTCAAAAAACAGAATTCCACTGGTACACTGCATTTCCCAACGCCAGTTACATGAAACACTTGTTTCTTAGGATGTTAATAGACATTGTATGAAAAATAGGCCCATGTTGCATGTTTAACTACAGGACTTCTCAGGCCTTTAACATGCTAATTCATGCTATGAATCTTCAAGATTGGACCATTGTACAAAACATGCCTCAGATATCCTTGACCCCAAGCATTTCTATTGTGGAGTTTATAGGGCCTTGAGAAATAGTATGGAAGAATATGGATTTGGAGTCAAACAGAACTGAAAAAGTGAACTCTCAGCTCCATTACTACCTGCTATAGTAATTTGTAAGGCAAAATATTTCCTTTCTCCTAGCCTCGGTTCTCTCACCTATAAAACTGGGATAAAGTACATACTTCCTGATTTGTTACATAGATAAACCATATTTTGTAAAGCAAAATGATGCGTATATGTATTATCCAGGGATAAAAATTAATGCTGATATTTCTTGCCAAAAGGCTCTGGAGGTAACAAGTTTCTCCCAACTCTCCACATCTGTTCTGTCTTATGTGGTGACCACTAACCATGTGTGCATGTGTGGCTATTAAGTACTTGAAGTGTGGCTAGTTTGTAAATTATTAAAATATGTGCCAAATTTTGAAGACCTAGTTTAAGTATACACACACACGCACACACACACACACACACACACACACACATCAAATCTTTTACACTGATTACATGTTCAAATGATAATATTTGGTTACAGTAAATTAAATAAAATATACTATCAAAATTAGTTTTCATAATACTAATTATCAAACTAATTAGTTTTGATAAACTGTTCCTGTTTGCTTTTAAAAATAAGTACATTTCTAAATAATTTTAACTCATATAGTGGCTTGCATTTGTGGGTCACATTAAATTTTTATATTGGAGAGCATGGTCCAAATGGTTGAATGGGGCTTAGAATTGTTCCACTTTCTAGCGTTGTTACCACCTCTTAACTCATTATCCAGAAGCTGCATAGAGCCACTGAGTGCTTTCTACGCTGCCCAGGTGGTCCTTTGAGGGGCAAGTGGCCTGACTGAATTTCCAGGATGTGGCCAGCATGTTTCCTGCCACTTAAATGCTCAGCTGGGTTTAGAAAGAGTTAATGAATTTGCCCAAGAAAATGAACAAGCTGTTAATGATAGAGATAGATTTTAAAGTCAAGTTGGGAGACAGCATGATTTGGTCTAGAGTCCACTGTTTTGGTCTGGACTTGATATTATACAGCTCTACGCTTTATCGGCACCTCACAGACAGGCCAGCACAGCCAATTTAATCACCAATTAAGAGTATCTGTGTCAACTGGATCTTTTCTAAGGGCTGTTACAGAGGTGAGTTAAGCAGATCATTGGCCTCAGGGACTTCAAATAGGTATTTGCTTTAAGACAAAGAGTTTCTGGGTCCACTAATGTCAACCCATCCAAGAGGATCAGGCTTCAAGTTGTATTAAGTACCTGAATATAGGCCAGGTCATTGGACAGAGTGGGAGATGTGGGAATAGCCAAGATGAGGGCAGAGAAAGGAATAAAAAATTGCCCTAGGGCTTTGACTGTGTCTGTTTAAAGACACATACCACTCTCTGCCCTCTGTATTTGTATGTGTGAATATATCTGATCTCTAGAACATAGCACTGAGAAAGTTTCCAGTGAAGACTCATACTCGTATCTGATTCATCTTTGTGTTATCATCTATAATACAGAACCTTAAACTTGAATTCTCTATAAATGTATAAGGAAGTAAGTGAGAAAAAGAGGAAGGGATGAATGGAAGGAAAGAAGAAAGAAAGGAAAGGAGAGAGGGAAGGAGAAAGGGAATAAAAAGAGGAAGGAAGGAAGAACCAAGAAACACATTATGTTAGAAAATATTAGTCTGAGAGCTCCAGATAGTCCCCCAGGCTACTTCAGGCTCCCTGAGCTTCTCAACTAAAATTAACCATTAAACTTCCGGAGTTGCTCTTACAGCAAGCAGTCTTAGTATTTCCTCAAAGGAGGTCATCCATGTGGGATCTGTAAACATCAAATAAATCCCCTTTTAAATTGTGCTACACACACACACTCACACCAGTTTCTCACCATCATATCATTAAGCTTTGGTTTTTATTTCAACTCAAAGAATTGCAATTTTGTTTTTCATATTTGTACCTAATCTCATTCCACAAAGACCTGAGAAGATTTACCACAGACAGTGACACCTATAATGAAATAATATACCTATCAAATGAGAATCAGACTTTGGGAAACTAGAAACAGAAAAGGTATGCCAGGTAGCGATCAACGTGCGAGCTAGACCGTGTGTCACCTGGGGGCTAGAGGGGAGCCTTAAATTTGGGTCTGAGCTCAGTCAGGTAGTGTTCTGGCTACAGAACTATTTCTGCAAGCCTTTTCTTTATCAGGCATTGAGGCCTTTAAGCCTCCTCAAGACAATTCTCTTTTCTTCCCTGGCCAGCCCCAAAGGACAGACTGGTCTCCCGGTACTACTGGTACTACACTGCAGTGGACAAAGTCAGGAGGAGGGGCAGGAGACAGAGCAGGAGCAGCAATTAAGAAATACCGATTACTGCCTTAATTGAGCTGAGGGGAAGCGTGGGACAGCCAGCAGTGTGGTTTGCGCCAGCATCCTTCCAATAAGCAGTGTCTGTGTGGGGAGGAAGTCTGGGCCTTCCCCTCATCCATTCTCAGCATTCCCATCAGAAGTCCCGGAAGCACAAGCCCAGAGCTGTTGGCAGGGCCAGGCTTGTGTGGGTAGATGGTGTTCTCTGCTACTTACTCCCTGCCAGTCTTGTCTTTCCCTACCAAAGCCCAGGCCTCAGCACGTCTCCTCTTTCCTGTAAAGCTGGTGGCATTCTGGTTGGCAGTGTTTCCTAAGGAACCCATGGCACTGTTGGGGGCCTAATTAAGGCCTTCAAGCACAGTGGCCATGGAGGTGGCTGAGGATGTCCAGAACTGCTCAAGGCAGCTGGCTGCAGCTGCCCCCGGGAGCCCCACCACAGCGTTCCCAGCCCTGCCCTCCCAGCCCACATTCCTGTTAAGAGGGGTCTGAACCGTAGCCCACTGCCTGATTGGAGATGATGATGCTATTTTTAACAACCATTCCTCCCTAATGAGCGTATACGTCCCTGTTTCCAGTCAGAGCCCACGCAAGGTAGGCGCTAGGCAGGGCCTGTGTCCGTAGCAGCTGGCTCAGCCCAGAGGCCCTCAGCAGCCTCATTATCACAATTCCCAGAACCCATGCAGCCCTTTGTCTAGGAGCTTATAATGTGTTAGTGGCTTAAGGTTGATTCATATCTTTCCTGCCTAGATGGGAATGGCACAGGCCCCAGATAAGCATTTATCTGGCTCCATATATGTCAGGTACTAGGCACTGGAGAAGCTGAGACCTTGTTTTCAAAGATCTCACACTTGGGGTAGGGGTAGCTGAGAGGAAGACTGTATGGATACCCACAGTTATGATCCAACATAATTCACACTGTCAAGCATGTAGCACACCCAGTCTAGAATAAGACAAGTATAACCCAGAGGTCATAGTTGGGGGATTCTTCTTGTTCCTTGAGATACAGATAATATTGGTCCGAAACTCCCCATTCCGTGGCCCCATAGAATTCCAAGACCTGCCCTAGATTTCTGCAGATACATGGAGGGCTTACATTATGACTGTCACCTCTGGGCTCCTATATCCATGCAGGGTGCCTGTATCTTACAACATGGACCCAGGGACAAATTCAGATATCTTCCTAGAATTTTACACTGAAACAAACACACAGGCATACCTCAGAAATATTCTGGGTCTAGTTCCAACCCACTGAAATAAAGCAAATATTGCAATAATGTGAGTCACATGAATGTGTTGGCTTCCCAGTGCATATAAAAGTTATGTTTATACTACACCATAGTCCATCAAGTCTGTAATAGCATCATGTCTAAGAAGACAATGTACATACCTTAATTTAAACATACTTTATTGAAAAAAAAGCTATTATCTGAGCCTTCAGCAAATTGTAATCTTTTTGCTGGTGGAGGCACTTGCCTCAGTGTTGATGGCTGCTGACCAATCAGGGTGATGGTTGCTGAATGTTGGGGTGGCTGTGGAAATGTCTTAAAATGAGACAACAATGACATTTGCCACACGAATTGAGTTTTTCTTTAATGAAATATTTCTCTGTAGAATGCCACACTGTTTGATAGCATTTTACTCACAGTAGAATTTCTTTCAAAATGGGAGGAAATCCTCTCAACACCTGCCATTGGTTTATCAATTATATTTATATAATATTCTAGATTGTTTGCTGTAATTTCAATAATTTTAATAGCATCTTCACCGGGAGTAGATTCTATCTGAAGAAACCACTTTCTTTGCTCATCCATAAGAAGCAACTCCTCATTTGTTCAAGTTTGATCATGAGATTGCAGCAATTCAGTGGCATTTTCAGGCTCCACTTCTCATTCTGTCCTCTTACTATTTATACCACCTCTGCATTTACTTCCTCCACTAAAGTCTTGAATCCCTCAAAGTCACCCATGAGGGTTGAATTCAACTTTTTCCAAACTCCTGTTAATGTTGATACTTTAACCTCCTCCCACAAATCACAAATGTTCATAATATCATCTAGGATGGTGAATCCTTTTCAGAAAATTTTCAGTTTACTTTGCCTAAATCCATCAGAGGAATCACTATGTATGGCAGCGATAACCTTACAAAATGTATTTCTTAAATAATAAGACTCGAAACTGCAAATTGCTCCTTGATCCAGAATGCAAAAGGGATGTTGTGTTATCAGGCATGAAAACCAGATTCATCTAACTGTACATCTCTGTCAGAGCACTTGGGTGACCAGCGCATTGTCAATGAGCAGTAATTTTTTGAAATGAATCTTTTTTCCCAAGCAGTGGCTCTTAATAGTTTAAAATATTTAGTAAACCATGCTGGAATTTAGGCTTTGTTATTCTATTATTAGAGCACAGACAGAGTAGATTTAGCATAATTCTTAAGGGCCCTAGGATTTTAAGATGGTAAATGAGCATTGGCTTCACCAGCTTTATTAACCCCTAACAAGAGAATCAGCCCATCCCTTGAAGCTTTGAAACCAAGCATTGACTTCTCCTCTCTAACTATGAAAATACCAGATGGCATCTTTCTCCAATAAAAGGCAATTTTGTCAACATTGAAAATCTGTTGTTTAATGTAGCCACTTTCACCAATGGTCTTAGGTAGATCTTCTGGATAACTTTCTACAGCTTCTCCATCAGCACTTGCTGCTTCACTTTGCACTTTTATGTTATGAAGATAGCTTCTTTCCTTAAACCTCATGAACCAAGCTCTGCTAACCTCAAACTTTTCTTCTACAGCTTCCTCACCTTTTTCTCATTCTGTCCTCTTACTATTTATACCATTCATAGACAGGAAGAGAGTTAGGGCCTTGTGCTGAATTAGGCTTTGGCTTAAGAGAATGTTTTTCTATCCAGACTGCTAAAGCTTTCTCCATGTCAGCATTAAGGCTGTTTTACTTTCCTATGATTCATGTATTCACTGGAGTAGCACTTTTAATTAACTTCAAGGACTTTTTCTTTGCATTCACAACTTGGCTAATTGTTTAATTCGAGAGATGTCTCCACAATCCACTTCTCTGACTCCTCTCTTCTATCTGAGGCTCTCATCTCCCTGCTGTCTCTCAACTTTTGAGAAACAGACCCAAAATAAAACATAATTTATCTTATTGAATCTTGAAAATAAAGCTTAACTGTGTCATTTTATCACAAAGCCTCCTGTTCCCTCCTATGGTCTCAGTACCTAACAGTCTTTCTTGAAGTTTTTGAGATATTTTCTCAGAGACAGTTCCCTCCCTAAGATGAATTCTGTGCTTACTATTCAGGTAATAATATTTTCATTTTATTACATTTGTTAAGGTGCCCTTCTACAAGGAAGGTTGCTTGCTAATTCTCCTACTAAGCCCTAGAATTCATTGTTTTAGCAGATATTTTGGAGGGCTATTTACTCATGGACTGAATAAGAAGAATCAGCATTGGACAAGACAGAAAAAAAGATTGCTCTCCTCATGTAGCTAACACTCTATTGAGGGAAGACAGAAAAGAAATAAGTAAACTAATTCTTTATTTTGAAAACACTAAACTGTAGTAAGTATCACAAAGAAAATTAAGCAGAGAAATGTGTTTGAGAATTTCTAGCTGAGACTCCCTAGATGCAGTGATCAGGGAAGTCTTCTCTGAAAAGGTAACATGTGAGCTGAAACCTGAATGACACAGAAAAGACAACCATGCACAAGTCCAGAGAAAGTGCAGACCAGGGAGAGGGAAGAGCAAGTGCAAAGGTTTCCAGGGAGAAAGAGAGAATGAGGAGAGAGTCACAGTGAGTAAAGGGGAAAATGGTAAAAACTGACGCCAGAAAGGAAGACAGAGGGCCGGTCCCACAGATGTCATAGGCTAGTTGTAATAGGAAGGCTTTGAAGAACTTTAAGCAAAGAAATGAAATGATCTAATTTATTTATTTATTATTTTGTATTTTTGTTGTTGTTGTTTTTGAGATGGAGTCTCGCTCTGTCACTCAAGCTGAAGTGCAGTGGTGCTATCTCTGCTCACTGCAACCTCCACCTCCTGGGTTCAAGAGATTCTCCTGCCTCAGCTCCTGAGTAACTGGGATTATAGGCGTGTGCCACCATGCCTGGCTGATTTTTGTATTTTTAGTAGAGACGGGGTTTCGCCGTGTTCGCCAGGCTGTTCTCAAACTCCTGACCTCAAGTGATCTACCCACCTTGGCCTCCCAAAGTGCTGGGATTACAGGCGTGAGACACCACACCCAGCCTAGTTTATATATTTAAAAGATTACTCTGGCTACTGCTTGAAGAATTTATATTAGATGGAGAGACCAAGAGTGGAAGCAAAGAACCAGGTGGGAGGCTATTACTATTGTCCAGGCAAGAGGTGATTGTGGCTTTGACCAGGTTGGAAATGAGATGAGGACAGGAAGACAAATGTGGGGTAAGTTTTAGAGATAGAACTGAGTTTTTGCTATTATTGGGTTGTTGGGGGGTGGTCAGCTAGATCTACCCAATCCACGAACATTTTTATTTCAACATCTTGAAGTGATGTTATACATTTATTGAAGGAGGTGTAAATGTGATTTGCTGAGTAGCTAAACAAGCATAACATTACGCAGAGAAAACTAAAAGCACTACAGTAGGGCTCTGGAATTAGCTTCTAATAGCTCCTTCCTAGGAATCGGTTAAAGATATTATGTGAGTTTTTTCTTTTGTTTGTTTTTTCTGGTTTCTACTAAAATGTAAGCTCCTTGAGGGCCAGGACTTCTATGTTCTAGTCAGTAATGTATGTCCAGCATCTAGTATAGGCTGCCTAGCACAAGAAGGTGTTCAATAACTATTTCTTGATTGCCTTTTTTACTCAGTACCATACTGTATTCTCCTTGTAACAGACCAATCAGCATGACACTAAGATTACTACTAGTAATAATAAGAATATTTGCTGAGTGCTTACTACATACCAAGCATTGTTTTTAGCCCTTTGCATTTATTAAACCTTGTGAAATAAGTGCTATTTTCTTGATTTTAAATATGAAGAAACTGAGGCACAAAACAATTAAATAACTTGCCCAAGATTGTTCTGCTAGAAAGTGGTAGAGATGGGATTTTATTCTAGATCCTCTTTGGCTTGCATTTACTACACTAGACATTCCCTTTCTTCCTCAATGCTTTTAATACAAATTACAGGGCATTCTTAGTTTCTTGGGTGCCACAGTTAAAAGTCTAAGCTCTGTGAAGTATGGGTATTGATTGTTAATGAGGCTCACTTTCCTCTGGTTCTGTCACTGTTGGGGTTTTTTTGAATGAATTATTGCTGTGTCAGCTCCCTATTAGCCTTTTCTGTTCTGCTCTAGTGGGATGGAGATTTTATCCATCTCTAAGTCTTGACAGGACTCAAAACTTCCAGATTGAGGTTGAGCTTGAGGAAAATCTCCCGAATGTGCAGAAAAAAGGCTTGCTGGAGATTTCCTATGCATCATTCTCAAACATCCTCTTGGGCTCCAGCTCTGTGGGGTTTTGCTCTGGAACCACATCAGAACAACTAGCCCAGGTCACAAGTGCTCAGAGGGGCAATAGCAACCCATGACTGGGGAGATATTGATGAAAGATGTAGGGAGAAAGAAACGGAAGCTGGGCCTTCAGGGATGCTGAGGGAAACACTGGTCCCTCTCTCTCAGTTCCAGATGTCACCAATCCCTGTTTGCTTTTTATCTGTTTCATGAGCAAAGAGGGTTGTGTTAAAAAATGTCTTTCTTCTTCAAGGACATAGCAAAGGACTGGAACTAGTTGCAGGGTAGTGAGTATTAATGACTAAAGCATGGGACACATTAAGCATGTTGCCTGACACATAATAAATGCTAGATAAATGTTAGCAATTATTGTTATTGTTAATATTTGTTAGAATATCATGTTAAAATGATATATTACATTTTTAAGCATAAGTGTGCACCATCTGTGATAGATAAAACTCTGCCTCAAAGCAGGGTTTGACCCTAGTTCCTGTGGAAAGCCCATTATCCTGGGAACTGATTCTGCCATCCATGATAGTGGCTTGCTCTTGGATCCCAGTTACAGGCTTCACAAGAAATGTTTTCTTACTTCATGTTTAGAATCATAATTTTACAAGATTGCAGCAGATGTTAGAAGTCATTTCTGTCTAAGTTAGGTGGCCTCTGATATGCTTACCTTGTACTTAGACCTGCTTTGCCGCTCACATTACTGGGATAGAATTAACATGTTAGTTAGCAGTATCCCCACTAGACTGTCAGTTCTTTGAGACCTGGGACTGCATATTGTTTACCAATATGCACAGGTATTATACCTGGCCCATTTCAGGAGCTCAAAAAGTATTGACTGAGTAAATAAATATGTGAATACCAGCCACCACTTATCTAGAAACTAAATTTCTCCATAAAACATCCTTAATTTGTAACTATGCAGCTATTTCTGGAATCCTCCAGAAACAGGGAAATCATAGTTTTCTTGCTGCTAGAAAGTTCTTTTTGTTTAATCAATACCAAACCTACTACAACTTCTATCCATTGGCACCCATAGTCTGATGGGAGCCGAATAAGTTGCATTCCATTCTATTAACAGCTCCTCAAATACTTGCAACAGCTCCTTTCCTCCTCTGGGTCTTCCCACATGTTTCTCTTTCTATCAAGGAGACTTTGTCACCACTTTTGGCTTCACAAAAGTCTATTCCACTTTTATGTTCTAACTTTAATGTCACTTTTCTAACAACCTTATATGAGCCATGTTCTCACTGTTATTCTCTTTCATAGTCTTTTGTTCATTTCCCTCTCTGTACTTTTCACTATTTATAATTATTTATGTGTCAATCAGGACAGAAATCCAATACAAATTAACTTAATCCATAGAAAGAAATCTGCTGCCCTATCTAACCTGAAAGCCCTCTCTAGATCCAGAAGTTAGCTTGCAAAACCAGGACTCTTTCTCTTTTCATCTCCTAAATTCTGCCTTATTCTATGTTACCATCATTTATTTTTAAGCAGCTTTTTTTCCTATGAGATGGCAAAAATGATCATTGTCTCTTCCAGTGTTATACCTCTTTATAGACCATGATTCCTAAGAAAAGAGTGCAATTGTCTGCCCAGTGACTTATGCAGAACTTCTGGGCATGAACTAAATGGCATATCTTAGATCACATGGCCGTGGTTAAACCAATCACTGAAAGCAGAGGTCACGGATGGACCAGGTCTGGACCACCTGGCCATTTTGGGCTCAGTGGATGTGTAGGGAAATTTGTGAGACCAGGACTTTAGGAAACCATGTGCTCCTTTATGAAAAGTAATGGACCATTTCTCAAAGGAAGAGATCCTGGGCAAGCACAAAATATGGGGTTTTTATAATAACCCCCTTTTGTTGTTGTTCTTGTTAAATACCCACTTCCCCTCAACTAACACATGCTATATTAGCAGGAGCCATTTCTGTTTTCTTTCATTAGCCAGAGAACCTAGCACATAGTGGACACTCAATTTATTGAGTGAATTAATATTTGAAATGTGACTTCTCTTCTTTAGACTAAAGCCCACTCCCACTCTGTTCTTGAAACCTTCCTTCAGATCACCTGGTTTTCATCATTGCCTGAAATTACTATCAAATTCTGGATCAACTGATACCATGAATGAGGTCTTGGACTTTGGGAAAACAACTCGGAGCCAGAGATTCCTTATCTGTCAAGTGGGAAAAATGATCTCGACATAAGCTTTGGAGAAGATTCAATGAGATAATAAAAGTGCTTTGTAGATTCCTCCATGTGAGAATTAAGGTAAAAGTAGTACGACCTGCTAATGGGCTCTCCCAAGAGGTGCTTTCAGATTTGGTCTTCCAAAGAATGCATGAAAATCAGAGGTTGAAGATTCTTTACGCTGAGCTCAAATTTAGTACCTCTGGAAAGCTTTCCAAACTCTTTTCTAGTGTTGGCATTGTATTTTTCAAGATCCCACTGCCTACTGCAGATTCCCAGCTCTGACCCAGAGATCTGAAAGAAAGGACCATGCTCACTTCTGCAACATGCAGCACCATGGAAAGAATGGGAAGCCCATGACACAGATTGGCAGGGATACCACTGCACATCTACTGCTTCATAGTCTAGTTCTTTGCTTTAGCCTTCTCTCTGTTATAAATGATGTCTAATCCATGTAATGAAAGAAAAAAAAGCCTGCAAATCTTAAGACATCTGGTTTTTTTCTTGGTATGAAAATAAAAACCCTAATGCAAGAGAGGTTCGCCTTCTGATGTAAACATGTTGATTAAATATGTTCAAGTCTGTAAACACTTTACAAAAGCTTTCCTAACTTGATTCAAACATCTTTTATCACTCTCTTGAAGGTTCTGGTCTAGCCTTGGTGAAATACTTGCAGTTCCTCAAACTTATCTTCTATATCTCTGTTCTTTCTGGGTTTTAATGTTCCCTCTGCTGTGCCTTTTTCCTCACTATCTCTTCTTTTTTCTGTAGCTCATTTCTTCCGGGAAGTCTTCCTTGGTCATCACCACAAAGGATAGGTTATGTGGCCTCCCATGTGCTGCCTGTACTTACCATCTTGTCAATGAGGGCAGGACTCTTATCTGTCTATATTTTTCATTGCTCCATTTTCAATACAAAAAGTGTATGGCACATAGTAGTTACTCAGGTATTGTTTTTCCAATAAGTGAGCTCCCAACTCCAGATAACAAGAAGATACATCTTCTACTCAGAAATAAAATATGAAGCATAACCCATTGTCTGTCCCTCTATCAATCTGGGTCTTTTCAATAAGGTCATTTAAGAGTCATCATTTTCCACCCACACACATGGAATTTGAACAGTGGCTTGTGACATTTGGAATGGATTTAGAGATCTTGGTGATTATTTGGATGGATTTGTATCATATTGCAGTCCCCATAGCATGTCAAGCCTTTGATCAATATACAGAGTAGATGTGGGCCAACCAACTGATAGGAGCTAGCAATGGACCCAGAGCATCCTTTCCTAGGAACTAAGATACATGTGGCCTTTTCTATACTACTTTGGCCACATTCTTGAGAGCTCATGTTCTCTATAATCAGGGCCATGACTTTTTCAGGGATGCTGACAAATACAAACTCACCAGGAGAATTCTAATCATCCCTAAGCTAGCTGGAGCTCTCTAACCATGAGTCGTAACCTTAATAAGTATAAGTACATGCCATCTGTCCATCCACCTCCGCATGGCTGCACTAGCCCCTTCTTTATCTGCTCAGTCTGGGAGAGTTGCCAACTTCCTATTAGGGGCCTTTCTTAGAGCAAGGAGAGGGCCCCATGTTTCTCACTAGGTCCAGGTCTTGACCTTCAAATGAATCAAAAAGCAACAATGTGTCTCACTGATTTAAGGGTACTTCCCAATCTATCCCCTTTTCCAGGGATTCAAAGATTTACACTTTCGAAATCATTCCCTTGGGTTATAGTAGTATTCTACCCAAAGATCCCTGAAAATGTGTTCATCAAATAGCACTCTTTTACTTTCAAGTGATTGAAAACCTAAATCAAACTGCCCTGAGACAAAATGGAAATACATTGGTTCATATCACTGAAAAGACTGGGGGTAGTGCTGGCTTCAGACAGAGCTTGATTTAAGGGATCTAACAATGTTTTCAGGAACCAGATTTCTTTCTACATCTCTTCCTTTAGCTGCTCTGTATTAACTTCTTCTCACCCAGCCTCCTTGGGGGACTCTAGCAGCAACTTTCTGTTTCTCCCAGTTCCACGTGTAGCTCTTGTGCCCCTGTGCTCAAGCAAAAGTGGCATAATTGGCCTTGATTGGAGGTAAATATCTCATCTTGGGTCATACGCCCATCGCTAAATGAATCACTGTGATTGGGGAAATAAGATGCCCTACTGGGCTAGGCCTGAGGTCATATACCAAAGGGCAGAGTTAGTACCACAAATGTGCATGGAGTGGGAGTGTGGCACTAATTGTTCCTCAGAGGAAATTCAGAATGCTACTTCTAGAAATAAAGCAAAATAAAATAGATACTGTGCAGCAAAAAATGGCAAAATTCTACCACTAAATGAACTCATGCATCAGAAACCTCAAAAATGTTTATTCTCTCTCCCAACTTCACATTCTCTCTCATAGATAATATTATATGTGTATGAATGTATACATATACATACACACATATGTCAATGTCAGATATACAAACATTTATGCTCAAAGACACAGAGATGATCATTGCATTATTATCTAAACAAGAGGGAGTTGGCTACCTATATTATGAGAAAGTCAAATAATGAATTGCTAAAATGGTATTTCTTAAGAACATTTCATGGCATAAAAAAGTGATCATAATATAAAAAGAGATAAATTAAATGAATATACATAGTATGTGTAAATTATGTTTTTAAATACTTATTCATAAAAATATAGACGTTAAGAGCAAAATGTTAGCAATGGTTATCTATGTTTTTAGGGGGTTTTTTCTTTATATTTTCTTAATTTCTTTTACAATCAGAAAAAATAAGTTAGTTCATTTTTAAGGTAAAGCAACCATGTTACCTGTGGTTGTACAGTCACATTGCTCAGATTACCAACACCAAGCACGGTTTTGAGGTCAGATAAATTTTGATGAAGAGAACATTTCAGGGAAGATTTGCTATATGGAGGTCTTCCCTGAAAGAATCTACAGAAAAATATTCTGTGAGCCAACTAAAAGAAAGAAGAACCAAAAACCTGAAGCAGGAACCAAGAAGCACTGCAAAAAGGAATAGCTTTATGCTAGGTGGGCTCAAATTAGTTCTGGGTGGGCCCGTATTATCTTTGCCAAAATTATTTCACTTCAAACAGAGGCTTCTACAGAGGTGCAATCATCCTTAGCTCATTAGAAAAAGTGATATGTAAAGCATGACTGAGACTAATAAGTCCTGTAATTCAAGGCATGTGAGGACAGTAGTATTGTCCCATGAGCTTTGGGCATGGGAGAGACTTCTCACAACTTTCCCCAAACCTGCCATTACTTTGAGGAACAGCTTGAACAATTACAGAAACCACAATAATTAAATGCCTTATGCATGTGTTATAAGGCATTCTATACTTTTCAAAAGTATCCTACCTCTTCTGATCTTTAAAATCTCTGTGACCTAGGAAGTACCGATGTTCCCATTTATCAGATAAGGAAGGCAAGGCTTAGGAAGAGAAGAAAGTTTAGTTGGAGAGAATTTTAATAAAAGGTGTTGGATTTGCATTCAACTGATTTGGGGGTATGTTGTGAGAAGAGAGCAGACAATTCTGTGGACCCCACAAGGTTAGGAGCTGAAGTATAGCCATGCCTCATGGAGCCTACAAAATAAAGGATCAGGTACTCAAGCTCTTCTCGGGAGCAACATTATACGCTTTCTCCTCTCTGCTCCTCTCTGCCAGTGGGTCTCATTCTTCTTCAGATCTTCCTCTACTTCATCATCTTGCACATGGCCCAGCGTGGTCCACCTGCCCTAAAAACTTGATGGCCTTACAAATCCAGGGGCCACCACAAACCAACCTCTGTGCATCTTAGTCCAAACTCTCAAGGGCGAGAACCTTGCTGGCTCAATACAGCCTTTGAATAGGACCAAGATTAAAGTAAGATATTCTGAGGCCCAAAATACTGAAAAGATCATACTGCCCGCCTCCATGAATAATTGAAAATAAAGACAAGACTATTTCATAAAATACTATTTTGTATACTATTACATGTGGCAACATTTTGACACACACACACACACACACACACACACAAGCCTTTAGGACAGGGGTCCCCAACGTCTTGGCCACAGACTGATACTGGTCCGTGGCCTGTTAGGAACTGGGCCATACAGCAGAAGGTGAGCGACAGGCAAGTGAGTGGTTTTTCTTTTCTTTTCTTTCTTTTTTTTTTTTTTTTTTTTTTTTTGTTGAGACAAGGTCTTACTTCATCACACAGGCTGGAGTGCAGTGGTGCAATGTTGGCTCACTGCAACCTCTGCCTCCCCGGTTCAAGCAATTCTCCCGCCACGGCCTCCCGAGTAGCTTGGATTATAGGCATGTGCCACTACATCTGGCTAATTTTTGTATTTTTTGGTAGAGTCAGGGTTTTGCCATGTTGGCCAGGATGGTCTTGAACTCCTAACATCAAGTGATCCACCCGCCTCAGTCTCCCAAAGTGCTGGGATGACAGGTGTGAGCCACTATGCCTGGCCAAAGCTTCATCTGTATTTATAGCCACTCCCCATTGCTGGCATTATCCCCTGAGCCCCACTTCCTGTCAGATCACTGATGGCATTAGACTTTCATGGAAGCACAAACCCTAGTGTGAACTGTGCATGCAAGGGATGTAGGTTCACACTTCTTATGAGAAACCAATGCCTGATGATCTGTCACTGTCTTCCATCACTTCAAGATGGGGCGGTCTAGTTGCAGGAAAACAAGATCAGGACTCCCACTGATTCTGCATTATGGTGAGTTGTATAATTATTTCATTATGTATTACGATGTAATAATAATAGAAATAAAGTGCGCAATAAATGCAATGTACTTGAATCATCCCTTCTCCACCCAACCCCAGTCTGTGGAATAATTTCCTTCTGTGAAACTGGCCCCTGGTACCAAAAAGGCTAGGGACCATTGCTTTAGGACAGAGGGAGTTTTTATATATTCAAGGTCTTTCAAAATGCCTCATATTATGGAACAGCCTCTCAATTTCATTTTGAACAAAAGAGGACTGTTTAGGGAAGGTATGTTAGCCTATAACTGCCTAAGTTTAATGCTGGTATGGGATAACTCAGAGGTTCCTGGCAGAATTGATAAAAAAGGAGACAAATTCAACACAGGTTTACTACTCATTATGATTATGAACCGATAATTATTATGAATATGAGTCCATAATTGTAAATGTTGAATATTGTTGTAAACAAGCTTCTTAAAAGTCATTTTAATGTGCAACAGAGTAAGTGCTAACATTGTAGAAATTGTAAATATACACATATGAAAACCTCAAAGATCTTGATATTATGAAAATAGGTCCTTGTATGCTTAAGATCAAATATCCAGTGACCCGTTATATGAGGATTCAGTAAATGCTCTATCACTAACAAAACATGCAGAAATGTAAATGATGTTCTCTAAAAATGAACTTTTTGAGTTAAATGCAAAGGAGATTCAAAAAGTAGTTCTAGTGAAAACAAAAGTATTGATGTCAAAGATACTTTTTTGCATAAAGGAACATAAAACTATTGACCACTGTTCACAAGTATTTACAATAAGGTAAACAATATACAGTTGGATAACATTCTGATTACTGCCAAGTGGTTTTTCCTGGCTTTTGCTGAACCGGTAAAGCAAATACTGAAAAGACTGAGCCTACATGTAAGGAATGAGTTGGCGTAAAAAAAAAATCAACAACAACAACAAAAAAACATGCAGGTTGGCTGGGTGCAGTGGCTCACGCCTGTAATCCCAGCACTTTGGGAGGTCAAGGCGGATGGATCACGAGGTCAAGAGATCAAGACCATCCTGGCCAACATGGTGAAACACCGTCTCTACTAAAAATACAAAAGTTAGCTGGGCGTGGTGGCATGCACCTGTAGTCTCAACTACTTGGGAGGCCGAGGCAGGAGAATCACTTGAACCTGGGAGGCAGAGGTTGCAGTGAGCCAAGATCGCACCACTACTCCAGCCTGGCAACAGAGCAAGACTCCATCTCGAAAACAAAAACAAAAAACAAAACAAAACAAAACAAAACTCATGAAGGTCAATATGTTAGATTACAAAAGGTTGCTCACACATTTATGGCAGAAGGTCCTAAACTAGCAACATCTCTAACCATCTGATTAGGTTTCTATAAGCCAGATCTTAGATATTCCATGAATCATGACCTTTTAGTCAATGTAGCAACAGGGATTTCGACATTTTGTTAAGGAATGGCCCGCTAGAGAAATTTTTTAAATGTTTATTTAACTTAGTTGTGTTTAGCTCATTAAAACACACTGGGATTTGTCTAGTTTCCTCATCTGGATGGGGAAACCTCCTGTGATGACAGTGATAAAATTTTTGCTTTTAGGAATTTTGCAAACAAACCACTGCATTTGTAGATATAGATGCTTTAAAATTATCCAATTTAAATTGTGCTATTACTTAGAATCACTTATTTCACTTGAAATGTAGGCTTCAGGAAAATTTTCAGTTTAACTTGAAGTGATTACCTCTTATTTTGCTCAGAATAAGGGCATCTCAGAAACATGGGTTTACCTGTGATTTTTTGTTCTGGTGAATGTTTAAAAAAATTTGCGTGCGCATTTTATGTATACACAAACAAAAAACAAATAAAAAACCTAGAATGGTCCTTAGACTTATGAGAACACAAGTTCTGATTGAGTAATGACTATGGACATAACCCCAAACATTTAGAAAAGCTGTTCTCTAATGCAGAGGAAATGATATACCATGGTAACAAATGTTCTTTTCTGATAAAGGAAGCAACTACAGAAAGCTTTTATTTATTTGTTCAAAGTAACCAGTGCTACGGATGAAAAAAAAAAAACCCAACAACTCTTCCAACGCTACTTTCAAAATGAACATATCAAATTTGATTCCCATTAGAATGTACTTATTTTGTCACACTAGTATATAAAAAACCAAGATCCAAATTTTATATATATATACATATGAGAATCCATATACGAATATACATACACACACATATATATACATACATAAACAATGTGAACAATTATTGAGCTTCATCTTCCGGACAAGCATGCCAAGTTAGTCTCTCTTCATAAAAAGCAATTATAATTTGAAGATACTTCATATTCGCCTCTTTTGAGGCCAGCACTGAGTCTGCCTCATCTGAATCTTTCCATTTCATGAGAAACATCAATTCCCCACTGCCGTCTGTGGCACCAATTACTCTTTCAGGATCACGACCTCTGGCAAATCCTCTTGGTTTGTCAGCAGCTTCTCTTTTCTTCTTTGATTTGCTGTCATCAGATTCACTGTCAGATAAAGATTTTCTTTTTGTACCAACTTTTTCTTTGCCAGCTTTTTGAGAATTAAGAAATGCTTCAATCAACTCTGGACAATGTAAATTTTCTTCAGATTCCCAAGTATTGTCAGCATCTGTAAATCCCTTCCACTTCAGAAAATATTCCACTTTCCCATTCACTACACGTCGATCTAGTACTTTTTCCACCACAAATTATTCAGGCTCTGCCTCTTCAACTTTTTATTCTTTCCATTCTGTTTCTTTCTCATTTTTTGCCATGTAGTTTTATTGGAGGCTATTTTATTCACCACCTCCGAGTTGCTATGGGTCTCAGGTCTGCGGTGTCTCAGGCCCTTCGCCACTCCAGGTCCCGCCACATCCGAGGCAGGAGGGAGGCACGGAGCGGCGTGCGGGGCGGGGCGGGGCGGGGCGGGGGAGAGGTGGCTCCGCCCACGCCGGGCGGCCGAGGGTCCGGGCCTGATGTTAAAAATACTTTTGAAGAGTTTGAACAAGAGTGTTATGTGATCTATGAGAAAGAGGAACATACTTCTAAATTGATATATTTTGTATATAATTTATAGTATGTAAATATAACTACTTAATGAATTAGATACAATATGCATGCTTTTAATTATTTCATCTACATACCTAAAAGTTTATCACTCACATTGGCAAACAAAACTTTCTTCTTGACTTTCTCAATGGGAGAGCAGGGAATGACTTCATATTAGGGTACTCATATTCATGCATATATGACAAATATAAAGAATTCAAGAAAACTTCTGATTTTTGTCATGATTACTATTTTAATTTTTTTGAAATATCAAATATCAAAATATTTCAAAAAGCTTTTGGGAGTATGTTTGTCTTTGATTCTGCTAGTGCACTATGTGTATGCTTGACCTACTCGTTAGCTCATCGTGGTCTCCTTGGGTCTGTTGTCCAAATATTATCCAGTAGCTGAAATCTAGGAGGGATAGGATCATGTGGTACAAAAGCAGCCACATAGACTTCCCTTTCAGGGTCTGGGACAGATCCTAATTCCCTCTATCTCTCTCTGTAGGGATTAGAATCCCTTTATCCCGGTTTTTGGCCTCCTGTCTACTTAGGGAGTGCAATAATAGCAAAATCTCATTAACCCCTCTAATTAGTGTTCTAGTACAAACACTTGATGGCTTAAAACAACAGGAATTTCTTTTCTGTTAGTTCTGGAATCCAGAAGTCTGAAATCAAGGTGTCGGCAGGGTTACTTCCTTCTGAAAGCTTTGGGGGAAAATCCATTCCATGCCTCTCCTAACTTATGGCAACTGCAGGCAATCCTTGGCATTTCTTGGCCTGTAGGCACATGGCTCCACTTTTTGCCTTTGTCTTCACATGGCCTTCTCCCTTGTGTAACTACATTTCAAGTGCCCCTTTCCTTTCTCGTATAAGAACACCAGTCATTGGATTTAGGGCCCACCCTAAATCCAGGATGATCTCATGATCATTCTTAATTTAATTGCCCTAAATTAAGAATCTACGAGATTCTTTTTCTGACTAAGATAATCTTCACAAGTTCTAGGTGTTAGCACTTGGACATATTTTGAGGACCACCATCCAACCCACTCTACCTCCCTTATTTCCTAGACAGTAATCAACTATTCTTTGGTAATGATAGTTTTGAAAACAACACTCAGAAAGCTGCATTTCTACAGCACTTGACTGTTGGGGCAGGCACCTTTTTGATTCATTATGGAAGTCCGAGTAGTTCCTGGACAAGATAGATAGAGAAAAGGACCGGTATGGAATTTTATCCAGATTTTTTAACATTATTCCTAGTCTGCACTGGGGTTAGATGGGGATCATGGAAATGAGCAGCTGAAAAAGTGAATTTAACTTAAAAATAAACCACAGGCCTGGATTGGATGCCCCTTCCCTGTACTTTTCCTATAATTTACTTGTATTCTTCACAAGACTGAGGTCTGAGGGGGCAGAGGCTGTCTTGTTCACCATTGTATCCCTAACACAGGTCTGATATAAAGTAGGCACTCCACAAATATTTGTTAAATGGAAAAACCAATGAATGAAAGAAGGGAAACTTCTTTAGCACATTGAGCCATGTATCTGAGACTTCGCTTTCACATGGGGTCCTGTCTGCCCAGTCCACACTTCCTCTCACTTGAAGTTCTAGATACTCAAGTTTTAAACACTCCCCAAGAGATTGGCTGTCTATAAGACTGAGGCACCCAACTCTCCATTTTTCTACTGTTTTTTTTTTTTTAAATATGCTTTCCATAAAACAAGAATTAAAATGGGGCTAAGTCAAGAAGTCTCCTCATTAATGAAGTCCTAGATTCCCAGATACAGATACAAAGAAGAGTCAAACATAAAGCGCCTCTGTAAAACATCTAACAGAAATAAACAATTTTATTAAGGAAGCTGACCTGGGGAGTGTGTGTGGATGTGTGTGTGTGTGTGTGTGCGCGTGTGTGTGTGTGTATGCGGAGTGAGGGGTGTATTCCCAAATATCAAAACTGAGAGGCCATAGGAGAGATGTGTTTTCTAGAAAATCAAACTAGAAGTTCAGCTCCCAGAAGATAAGATCAAAGTTCTAATGCTGGATAACCTGGACTCCCATGGGATTATAGCATAGGCTCTGAAAAGGTACAGTTAAGTAAATCCCCCATTCCCATCTTCCTTCCTGACCCTACTATGAATATTTCACTCTTCAATATCACTGGCCTCCCTCCCTCTTCTGTGACCCATTCCTCCATGGCCTTGACATGCCTTTGCTATTAATTAATGTAATAATTAATACCCGAGCAGTTATTGGATAAGATAGGTAAACTATCCATCCCTCCTGGAAGTATTCAAAATTTGATAGGATAGATCAATGAAGGCCCCATAGCCTTCCAGCTGCAAAGGAATCACTCCTTGTCATTCCTCTGAGTAGCAGTGGAAGTGGGGGTGAGAAATATATTTTCCACACCATCTGGGCAGACATAGACTCTGCCAATTTGTAGGATCTGGGCAGATATGGATTCTGCCAATTTGTAGGGCCAGCGTTGGGAAACAATATTCTCTCTCTTCTTTTTTCTATCTCCTTCCTTCTATATCTAAATCAACAGTCGCTAGTTTCTACTATGCTTCTTAATGACATTTTATTCTATAAATACTTCCTGCTTAGTCCAAAAATGATTAGACAAATCAAACATGACTTACCTTTCTGGCTAATCTCATTAGAACTCATTCCAAATTGAGCAATTAAAAAATGGCACCCAAATTTTATCTCAGTTGTCTTCTTCCCTATAACCTAGTATAGTTCTGGGCAGAAAGGAGATTCTCAATTTATTCTTAATATATTGTAAGAAATTAGATTAACTGTCTCTAGGATAAGGAATGAGTTTAATTTAAGTAAATTGTAATTAAAGTACAGAAAAAGAACATATTAGTTGAAGAAGGATGATTGTAGGTTCAATTTGGAACCACAAAATAATCTGTCATTTTGGGGCAAATTATATAAATTGATTTTCTCATCTGCAAAATGGGGGTGTTAATAAGTAACTCACAGGGTTGTGGCAGGTCTTGAAAGAAAAAAAAATATGGGTCTGGGTGCAGTGGCCTGTAATCCCAGCACTTTGGGAGGCCGAGGCGGGCAGATCACGAGGTCAGGAGTTTGAGTCCAGCCTAGCCAACATGGTGAAACTCATCTCTACTAAAAATACAAAAATTAGCTGGGAGTGGTGGCACACGCCTATAGTCCCAGCTACTCAGGAGGTTGAGGCAAGGGAATCACTTGAACCTGGGAGGCAGAGGTTGCAGTGAACCAAAATCATGCCACTGCACTCCAGCCTGGGTGGCAGAGTGAGACTTCATCTCAAAAAATACACATATATATATATATATTTTTTAAATGCCTGGCACATAAAAGCTGTTCATTAAATATAAGCTATCTTTCCTCCTAAGCCCTAAAACTGTTTTGATATTGAGTAAGAGGTGTTTTTTCCCCCATAATAAATGTTATATCTAGACACATTTACTCCAAATTTCAATACAGCTGTATTCAGACCCAGACTTGTTTAAAATATCGTAAAAGAAGCATATATGATTTTCAATATGGGCTTACGCTGTACACATAAGACTTGGGCATTTGACTGTATGTAAATTATGTCTAAAAAATTTTTTTCTACTCTCTCACCTCCCCAAATAGTGGGATCATGTTTCTATTCTCTGGAAGGCCCTCTGACATCCTATCCGAGCCTCCAGCTGCAGATATGCCCCAGCTGGGAAAGGTGAAGACAAGGTGCTTAAATGTTTATGTACTGCATTTCCTCAATTATAAACCCACATTTTCTCATTTTAGTATTTCCGGAGAAGCAACTTATATTCAATGTACATTTGATACAGTGTTTCTTTTCTCCACTGCAGCCTCGAGCCACTCACCCCTCTATTCTCTGGAAAGTTACTCTTAAATTAACAGTGTATCTCTGGAATTTGTAAAACATCTTGGAAACAAGTTGCATTTGCCCTCAAGGAGCCAGTGAGATAGTTATCTGCTACCTGAATGTAGATAATCTAAGTATAAATAATAATGAATACATTTTGAGCGTTTTCTAGCTTCCAGGAACTGTTCTAAGGTGTTATGCATATGAATTCACTTAAGGCTCAAGACAAAACCTATTGTAACGGTAAGATCATTAACCCCATATTATGGATGAGGAAAGTGAGACTCAGAGAAATTAAGGAGCTTCCATAAATTCAAAATGTGTTAGTAGAGCCCTCGCAACATGGTGAAACCCTGTCGCTACAAAAACAATACAAAACAAACAAACAAAAATTAGCCAGGCATGGTGGTACATGCCTGTAGTACCAGCTACTCAGGAGGCTGAGGCAAGAGAATCACTTGAGCTTGGGAAGCAAGGCTACAGTGAGCCAAGATCATGCCACTGCCCTCCAGCCTGGAGGACAGAATCTCAAACAAAATAAAACAAAATGAAAACAAAAACAAACTAACTAAAAACCAAAGTGTGTAAATGGGAGAGCTGGGATTTGAATTCAGGCAATCTGGCTCCAGAGGCTATGCCTTTTACCACTACATCTCACTGCCTCTCTACATGAGATAATATCAATAATAGGAAAATTTAAGTGCATTTATCAAAGCCTGTAAACCAAAAATTCTGAATTCTAAGACCCCCCAACCATCTGAATGGACCCCTCCTCTCAGCCAAGGGCATTCCAAAGTTAACCTGCAAAACTTGTTCAGGCCATGATGGGAAAGGGGGAGTCAAACATGCCTCATTATACCCTCCTCCCTTTTGGAATTTAGGAAAAGCCAACCAGCATTAACATCAACACAGACCTTAAATCTGATAAGAAACATTTAGAATCTATTCTCTCTGAAGCCTGCTACGTGGAGGCTTTATCTGCATGATAAAACCTTGGTCTTCACAACCCCTTATCTTAACCCCGACATTCCTTTTTATTGAAAATAACACTTTCAACCAATTGCCAATCAGAAAAATTTTAAGTCTACCTATGACCTGAAAGTCCCCTCACACTTTGTCTCGCCCTTCCAGATTAAATCAATGTAAATCTTACATGTATTTGATTGATGTCTTCTGTCTCCATAAAATGTATAAAACTAGGCTGTGACTCAACACCTTGGACACATGTTCTTAGGATATCTCGAGGGCTATGTCTTGGGCCATTGGTCACTCATATTTGGCTCAGAATAAATCTCTTCAAATATTTTACAGAGTTTAACTGTTTTCATCAACAAGTCCATTGAGTGCACTGAGAACAAGGGGGTGGCATGTCATCATTCTGACCCCTGGGGGTGAATTGTCTTGGAATACACACACATGAAACCTAAACATAAAAATGTGGGGCTCGGCCGGGCGCGGTGGCTCACGCCTGTAATCCCAGCTACTCGGGAGGCTGAGGCAGGAGAATGGCGTGAACCCGGGAAGCGGAGCTTGCAGTGAGCCGAGATTGCGCCACTGCAGTCCGCAGTCCCACCTGGGCGACAGAGCGAGACTCCGTCTCAAAAAAAAAAAAAAAAAAAAAAAAAAAAAAAATGCGGGGCTCAGGAAGCACCTTCCATATTACAGTATAACTCTAGTGTGATTGAGACAAGAGAGGCCCTATGGAGGACTCCATTCATGGACTGGTCACATTACTAGAAAGGGGCCTTGAGGGCCACTTCTGAGTTAAGAGGTAGGTGTGTGTGTGTGTCTGTGTGTGTAGAGCAGATAGTACTCAGTTGGCTCCAGCAACCTGCTCCCACCACCACTAGCAGAACCCAGTCACATCCCAATCTGACTTGAACCAGAGAGGCCCCAGTTTTAGTTGACCTACTCTTGTCAAACTCAGCAAAGACTTTCATGCTGTCAAGTCAATTCTCAGTCCTTTCCTTAACTTGTCTTTTAGCCCAGGCCTCTATCCTTGACCATCCCAGCTGGGAGTGACTATGTTTGGAGCTTCCATGGCTATTTTGTATAGTATTGTGGTACTTATCACAATTACCAGCTCTGTGTATATGTGTCTTACCAGTAAAAGTCCCCCACTGGACCATAAATTATTTCAGGGCAGTAATACCATTCACATCTGTGCCCCCAAAGCCTGGCACTCAACTGCTGCTCAAATGCTCAATGACAGTGGTTGGACACCTGGCGTATTAGTCCCTTCTCACACTGCTATAAAGAACTACCAGAGACTGAGTACATTTATGAAGAAAAGAGGTTTAATTTACTCACAGTTCTGCAGGCTGAACAGGAAGTGTGGCTGGGAGGCCTCAGGAAACTTACAATCATGGTGGAATGCAAAGGGGAAGCAAGCACATCTTAACCATGGCAGAGAAGGAGAGACAGAAAGAGCAAAGGGAGAAATGCCACACACTTTCAAACAACCAGATCTTGTGAGAACTCACTATCATGAGAACAGCAAGGGGGAAATCCATCACAACGATTAAGTTACCTCCCACCAGGCCCCTCCTCCAACACTGAAGATCATAATTCAACTTGAGATTTGGGTGGGCACAGAGAGCCAAACCATGTCATTCTGTCCCTCCCAAATCTCATGTCATTCTTACATTTCAAAACACAATCATGCCCTTCCAACAGTCCTCCGAAGTCAACTCATTCCAGCATTAATCCAAAAGTCCAAGTCCATAGTCTCATCTGAGACAAGGCAAGTCTCTGCTGCCTATGAGCCTGTAAAATCAAAACCAGGTTAGTTACTTCCAAGATACAATGGGAGTGCAGGCATTGGTTAAATGCTTCCATTTCAAAATAAAGAAATTGTCTAAAACAGAGTGGTTACAGGCCCCATGCAAGTCCAAAACCCAGCAGGGCAGCCATTAAATCTTAAAGCTCCAAAATAATCTCCTTTGACTCCATGTCTCACATCCAGGATGCCCTGATGCGGGGGGTAGGCTCCCAGAGGCTTGGGCAGCTCTAGCCCTGTGGCTCTGCAGGGTACAGCCCCTGCAGCTGCTCTCGTGGGCTGGTGTTGAGTGCCTGCAGGTTTTCCAAAAACACAGTGAAATTCGTCAGTGGTTCTACAATTCTGGGGTCTGGAGGATGGTGACCCACTTCTCACAGATCTACTAGGCAGTGCCCCAAGGGATCCGGGGGAAGCAGGAATGTCTTACCATGGCAGAGCAGGACAGAGCAAAGGCAGAAGTGCTACACACTTTTTTTTTTTTTGAGATGGAGTCTCACTTTGTCACCAGGCTGGAGTGCAGTGGCGTGATCTCGGCTCCCTGCAACCTCCGCCTCCCGGGTTCAAGCAATTCTCCTGCCTCAGCCTCCCGAGTAGCTAGGACTGCAGGTGTGTGCCACCACGCCCAGCTAATTTTTGTATTTTTAGTAGAGACAGGGTTTTACCATGTTGGCCATGGTGGTCTCAATCTCTTGACCTTGTGATCTGCCTGCCTTGGCCTCCCAAAGTGCTGGGATTACAGGCGTGATCCCCAACACCCAGTCTGTGCTACTTACTTTTAATCAACCAGATCTCACAGAAAACTCACTATCATGAGAACAGCAAGGCGGAAATCCACCCCCAAGTTCCAATCACGTCCCACCAGGCCTCTCCTCCAACCCTGAAAATTATAATTCAACAAGAGGTTTGGGTGGGAACACCAAGTCAAACCATATCACCTGAGTTCTCATCATCTTCTGCCACTAAACCTTAGGCAAGTCACTGGACTTCCATGCCTCAGTTTCTCCATCTGTCAGGTGACTAGAAACAGTGTCTAGCATATAATAGGTACCCAACAAATACTTTTGGATATATAAATGAATGAATAAATGAGTGACTATAAATACATATCTATATCTACCTGCTTACAAATTGAAGATTAGGCTACTGTGATCAAAAGCCTGCTGGAGAACTAATAACTATGCAGTAAATATCAAATATTTTTTAATTTCAGAGTGTAGTAGGCATGACTAAGATGCCTAACAGAATGGCTATTGCAGTATCCTAATATGACTCCCTGTGATCTCCATCTCCTTGTATTCATACTTTTGTGACTCTGGGATGAACTGTGTGATTAACAGAATACTGCAGAAGTTACAGTGTGTGATGTGGGACTGCCAAGGCTAGATTAAAAAAAAAAAAAAGCATGGTCACCTCTACCTTGGGTTTTGCATTGCTTCTTCTGGGAAAAGCCAGCCACCATGTCAGGAGAAGACTCAGCTCTGTGGAGAGGCCTAGAAGAAGAGAAACTAAGACCTCCCACCAACAGCCAGCACCAGCTTGCCAGCCACGTGAGGAGCCACGTTAGAAGTAGATCCTCTGGCCTCCATCAGGTCTTAGAGCAACTGCAGTCCCAGCTGACATCTTGAGTGTCATCTCATGACAGACCCTAAGGAAGAGCCATGCACCTAAACTGCTCCTCAACTCCTGACCCACAGAAACTGTGAAATAGGATAATTTTTTTTTTTTTTTGAGACGGAGTCTCACTCTGTCGCCCAGACTGGAGTGCAGTAGTGCAATCTCTGCTCACTGCAAGCTCCACCTCCCGGGTTCACACCATTCTCCTACCTCAGCCTCCCGAGTAGCTGGGACTACAGGCGCCTGCCACCATGCCCGGCTAATTTTTTGTTATTTTTAGTAGAGACGGGGTTTCACCGTGTTAGCCAGGATGGTCTCGATCTGACCTCGTGATCCGCCCACCTCGGCCTCCCAAAATGCTGGGATTACAGGCCTGAGCCACCGCGCTTGGCTGAAATAGGATAAATTTTAATTGCTGTTTTAAGCCACTAAGTCTTGGGGTAATCTGTCATGCAACAATAGGTAACTATTACAAAGAAAAAACACAACCACCCCCAAAATGGTAAGAATATGAAATGAAGCACACAGAGGTCTTAATATATGGTAGTCTATTTTACCATCAGAGAATCTTCACAAGTATGAGAGAAATCATCCATGTCAGCTGCTGGATACAGGTGGCCCAGGAAGCTTCACAGTGAGTACAGGTTCAATCAGAGGTAGAGAAGCCTGACTGAGCTGGGAGAATATGGTCTGGGCATGCGCTTTCTGCCTCCACTGCCTCTCCCACAAGCCCCCACTGGAGAATAATGACCTCACAAAGTGATCTGAAGAAATAGAGGATACAGTACCAGCCCCTCAGAAAGCTGAGCCAAATTTCTTGCATTGGCCACAGGACTGAGATAGTCCATATAGCAACTTAATGAAAATAAAGGAAAGGTACCCCTTCCTTCCAGCAGGTACAGCCCCACTTCAGGGCACTGGCACAAAGAACAAAATATGGCCTGGGTTTCACTCCCTGTGGCCCTCCTGGTTGGCATCCTTCTGCAGGGCACAGCCAGCCCCTAGACTGATTATATTGATTGACTGGTGTACCCAATTTTGATGCTTTATCTCCAAGCCCTTCTCCCCTACGCCACCATCTCCTACAGAGCTAGGGAGTGATCCACAGACAGCTCCCAGACCTTATGTCAGTACTTGGGGAAGGGTGGAGGCACGTTCTGCCCACACTAGAAGCAGAGTAGGCACTGCAAAGCAGAGAACACAGCCTCGTGCTGCCTGGGACTATGCCAGATGTGTGAGCCCTGGCTCCGAGGGGCAGCCTTTATTTTTAGCAGGTAATCAGCCCTCATTTTGTTCCTTTAGGCGAAGCCCCACCCTTGTCTAAATGGCCCATGTAATTAGTACCTCTCTAGCTCTAATTCCCTCCCTAACTGCCTGTAATTATCATCCAGCTGACCTTTGTTCCCTTAATTGCTGTTTGACTCCTGATCCCTGAATACCACTCTGCCTTCTCGCCCTCCCCTCCCTTCTGACTCAAGGACCTATTGTATACAGTACAGTATTTGTTTTTCCTCACCCTAGGGAGTCTTTGGAATCCCCACTTCTCTGCTATTTGAAACACCTCTTCCTGAAAACAACTCTCATTTGCAGAACACTACTTTAAACTACTTTCTCCTGCTTAGCCTTGCCGGCTTCTTAGAAATCATGTTTCAAACCAAGAGAATGAGTATTACCAGACTCCTTTTATAGGAGAGAAAATGGAGGCATAAAGTGACTCAGGGACTTGCTTATTATTGTGCAGCTAGTTACTGACGGAGAGAGACCATATTACGAGGCAAAAGCTATTTGCACTTGACACTGTAGCCTGTTGCTTCCCTGCTTCTCCCAGTTGGAGAAATTGAACTGCCTCAATGATCCTAGTTTCTGACTTGTGCTTTCTTATCACCAGTCATGCCACTTACACTTGTTTCTAATCTCAACTTTGAGTTTTCTGAATTTGAGGAGTCCTTTTACCCTCTCACCTGCCCCAAGTTACTATATAATAATAGTAAAAGGTATCATTTTCTGACCAACTGTCATGCATCAGGTATCATTCTGAGGTCTTACACAGAGCATTTCATTATAGCCTCCCCTCAACTCTATGAAGCATTACTATTTCCATCCCCTCTTCATACTCAGAGTCTTTACTCCAGCTATTGCTATTGCTTCTCCATCTCTGCATTTTCAACTTTTCTCACTCTAATGGGTCATGCCCATCAGCACGCAAATGTGACTATCTCCCATCTTCAAAAAGTGACCTTTTGACATACATCCCTCCAGTGATGACCTATTATTCTCTCCACTTACAGGGCAATTTCTCAGAAAAAGTCGTCTGTATTTTGTATGCCAATTTCTTCCCTCCATTTTCCACTGAAGCCATTCCAATTCGTCTTTTCTGCCTACCACCCTTTTGTCAAGGTCACCAATGGCTCCCATGTGGCTAAAGCCAATGGTCAATTCTCACTCTTCCTCTTACTTATTAGCATAATTGGACACAGTTGATCTCTCTCTCCTTTTTGACACACTCCCAGACTTCCAGGCTTTCAAGACATCACTCTCTTGCTTCTCCTACCTCTGTGGTCATTCCGTTTTTTTTTTTTTTTTTTTTTTTTTTAGACAAAAATCAGTTTTAATTCTATATACTAAATATAATTAGAAAGTGAAATTTGAGACACAATGCCACTTACAACAATCATCTAAAAACAAAAAATAAATGTAAGAAAAAATATCCCATATGTACAAAAAGCTGCAACACATTATTGAAAAAAAGTTAATTTTTTTTTTTTTCGTTTTTAACATCCTGTGCTGAATCCTCCTCATCTCCCTAGCTCAAGATTTAGATATCAGTTTTTCCCTTTCTATCAATGCTGACTCCCCAAGTCACTCCAAGTCTCGTGGTTTTATATACCATCCACATGCTGATAATTACCAAATTTTCGTTTCCAGCATTGACCTTACCTATGAACTTCTACAACGTGCCCCCTTCCACTTCAACTTTCACCATGAGTAAAGCTACCTGAGACCTCCCCAGAAGCCTAGCAGATGCTGGTGCCATCCTTGTATAGCCTGCAGAACTGTGAGCCAATTAAACTTCTTTTCCTTATAAATTATCCAGTCTCAGGTATTTCTTTATAGCAATGCAAGAACAGCCTAACACACTGGTGGACATTCCTTTATAAGTATATCTGTGATCTGATTATTTTTCAGGCTGACTGATACTTTTACTATCCTGGTCTAAAAAGCCACCACTGTTGCCTCTATCATTAAATAGAATCCTAACTGCTCTCTCTCCTTTTCTTTGCCACCTCTTCACATAGTTTATACACCACAGGACAGCCAAATCATGACAGCCGTCTGCTTTAAACACTTTAATCATCCCATCTCACTCAAATTCCAAAGTTCTTATCAAGTCCTACACAGCCCTGTATGACCTGGCTCTGCAGTATCCCTCTGAGCTCACCTCGTATTACTCTCTCCTCTGCTCAATCTGCTCCAGCCAATTTTTTTTCCTTGACTTACCAAGCAAGTTTGGTCTCAGGGTCTTTAAATTTACCATTCTCTCTGCTTGCATGTATCTTTCACCAGGTATCTATATGGTTTTCTCTCTTGCTTCATTTAGGTCATGGCTTTAATATTCCCTTATTCTGGCCTTCTTTGGCCACTGTGACAGACATGAGGTGGGCCCTCATGATGCCCACTTTCTAGTGTCCATGCCTTTGTCTAATCCTTCCTGTAGAGTGTGGGTGGGACCTGTGACATGCCTATAGAAAATGGAATATGGCACTCCTGTGATTATGTTGCATTAAATAAGACCCCATCTTGCTATCAGACTCACTTCAGAGACTAGTTCCTTTGCTGGCTTTGAAGAAATAAGCATCTGTGTTAGAAAGTCCAGTGGCAAACAGCTAAGGGCAGCTTCTAGGAATTTGAAGGAGACCTCTGACCAGATCAACAAGAAAACAGAAGTCTCAGCTCTGGAGCAATAAGTAAATAAATTTTACCAAAAATCTGAATGACTTTAGAAATAAATTATTCCTCAGTTGGGCCTCCAGATGAGAACACAACTTGGCTGGTACCTTGATTGCAACATTACAAGGCTCTAAGTAATGGACTCATCTAAGTCATGTGTGGATCTTTACACATAGAATCCATAAGATAATAAGTGTGTATTTTTTAAGCAATCAACTTGTTGCTAATTTGTTGTGCAGCAACAGACAACAAATACAACCATCCTATGAAACCTCCTTCTCCATCATCTCTTTTCTCTTCCCTTATTTTTCTCTATATTTACCTCCATCTGATACTGAAAATTTTTTTTATTTGAATATTGGCTTATCATCTTTCCCCTCCACTAAAATCCAAAAGGATTCATAACTGAATCTCCAAACTTGATGCCTGATTTATAACAGAAATTCAATAAGCATTTTTAAATGAGTGTGTGAACAATGAATGGTTTTCCATTTTAATAATAGTTACAGTTTTATGTGTACCATAGCTCAGTGCTTCTGTGGTAAATGACCCAAGCTTTTTTCCTAATACCTCATAGAGCAATTCTTTTGTAAAGTGCAGTTAAAACAAATTACTACAAAAATGAAATAAAATGAAGCCAATTTTAAAATTATTAGATTCAATGGACATAAAATTACTGTCAAATTGCTGTACAAATTTCTAAATGCTTACTATCAATTTCTGTATTTATCTCATTGCAGATCTGTAACAATCCTTGGACAGGCACTGGTCCAGGGAAAATACTTTGTCACTACTGAGCAAATAGCCAATGCTTTGACCAAGTCTTCTCAGATTGTTTTTGCCATTTTTGTGTGTTCTTTCTCTTAACTTGGGTGTGCTCTTTCTCCAAGAGCCTGTACCCATGACTCTTCTGAGACTATTGGAACCCAGTTCCTCTGCAGCAGACTGGGATGAGGCAAAATCCAGAAATCTCCTATGAGATCAGACTGAAGCTACATGTTCTGAAACTGTGCCTGAAGTTATAATCTTGCTAGGCTACTTCTCCTTCCCTGTTCAGCTTCTCTCCTTCCTTTATTGTTTCTTCTGGGAATACTTTGTTAATAAATCACTTGCACACAAATTCTCATCTCAGGGTCTAGCAGACCTATGACAGGCATTGTACTATTACACAATGATTATAATGAGACAAGTCTCTCATTGACCATTTATAGATGGTGTAACTAAAGTACCAGTGTGGAAAACATTTCAAATTTGTCATATTATGTATAGTCTACTTTAAAACGCATCAGCATAAACATGGTGACAAGTATGTAGGTAATTAGCCAACTAGGAGTGGTCAATTAAACAAATGAAGTGCCCTAAAGAGAATTCATAGTCTAGAATTGGTTAGTTTGCATTTGAAGGAAGCAAATCAATAGTACTAGAAAGGTAACTGTAGAGGATTTGTTAATTAGCATGAGAAGTGTTAGAAATAATTTGTCACCGGTGAAATGAGTGTTGTTTAAAATTTATATTTAGCTAATACAGTCAGCCCTTCTTATGCAAGGATTCTACACCCATGTATTCAAACAACTACAGATTGAAATTTTTTTTTTAAATGGATGGTTGTGTCTGTACTAAACATGTATAGACTTTTTTCCTTGTCACTACTTCCTAAACAATACAGTATAACAATAGTAGACAGCATTTACATTGTTTCATGTGCTATAAATAATCTGGAGACTATTTAAATTATATGGAAGGATGTGCATAGGTTACGTGCATAGGTTGTATGCATCATTTTATAAAAGAACTTGAGCATCCATGGACTTTGGTATCCTTGGAGAGTCCCGGAATCAATCCCCGATGGACACCAAAGGACAACTGTGTGATAGTTGTGCACAGGCATCTCTATTTGTGAATGAATGTGATATAAGAATTGGCAAGCCCATCTTGCTATTCAAAAAGCATTGCGTTTCTCAGCGTGATTTTTTTTCATGAGAGGTGGCTGTTGGAGTCCACTAAGTGTAGCACATGTTTTCAGCTGAGTCATTTTATCAGTCTTGTGTCTTGCGTGTAGACCTTTTGGAAGTCCAATAGCCTTTGTTTATTTTATCTTCCTTCTGCCCCTTTCAGTCCAAACTGGAAGTATTACTGCTGCTATAACATTCTCAAAAATCTTGTGTATCTCCCTTCTATCCCACAGGGATTTATGCTATTAGGCCAGAGGGCCCTCAACAGATATTCCCTGAATAATCACATTTTCAGTCTCTTTAGCCTTTACAAAAAATTGTCCTGTTACACCCTTGGCCTTCTCTCCAGAGTGCTCTTTCCTAACAGTAAATCTCCTAATTTTAGCATCTTTTGTAATCTGAATAGACTGAGAATTTTTAAAAGCAACAAATCCTGGTTCATTTTTGCCTAACAATTCTTTATCAAGTATCTCTTTCTTCTCATATTATGCTATAAGCACCAAGACGAAATCAGGCCACACGTTAAACACTTTGCTTGGAAATCCCCTCAGGTAAATATCCAAGTTTATTGCTTACAAATTCTTTTCACACAACAGTAGCACACAATTTAGTGAATTTTCTACCACTGTACAAGAATCACCTTTTTTCCAGCTTCCAATACTTGTTCCTCTTTTTCTTCTCAGTTCACACCAGAAGCACCTTTAATGTTCATATTCTATAAATTTTTTTTAAATGATAATACATTTATCCTCTAAGATGATATGGGCTTTCTCTACCATGCACCTCACTTCCTTCTCAATTCTCACCAGAAATGCTGTTAATATCCACATTTATACTCTGTTTAAGGAAATATAGGCTTTTTCCAGCATGTACCTTAAAATTTATTATTCAACTCCAAAGTCACTTCCATATGTTTAGGTATTTGTTAAGGCAGCTCCTCCTTCCCAGTGCCGTAATCTGTATTAGTTTCCTAGTCTGCTGTAACACAATACCACATACTGGATGGCTTCAAACAACAGAAATTTATTCCATAATATTTCTGGAAGCCAAAAGTCAAAACTCAGTACCACTGGAACAAAATAAAAATATCTACAGGGCCACACTCTCACTCTGGTGGCTCTACGGAAGACTCTGTTCTTCGCCTCTTCCAGTTTCTAGTGGCTGCCAGCATTTTTTGACTTGAGGCCTCATCGTTCTAATCTTTGCCTCAATCTTCACATCACCTTCTCTTTGCTATGCACGGCTTCTCTTCCTCTGGTTGTCTCCTATAAGGACAGCTGTGATTGCATTTAGGGCCCACCTGGGTGATGCAGAATAATCTTCCTATCTCAAGATTTGTAATTTAACTACATCTTCGAAAACTATTTTTCCTCTTAAGATAACATTTACAGGTTCCAGAACATCTGTTTAGGACCTGATATCTTCAGAGAGTTTTTATTCAGGCTAGTACCCTCAGAGAGGTCAAATAACTAGTCTTAGATTTTGCCTGGATTTTTACAGTTGCCTCCTAACTTGTCATCACACATCAGCTACAATAATTCTTTTAAATCATAAGCCAGAGTGTGTCACTCCTCTGGTAAAAACCCTACAACAGTTTCCTATCTCACTCGAGCTAAAATCCAAAGTCTTTGTAATGGCCTTCTGCCTTCTCTGATTCCAAGTTCATGTTCTTTAATTAGGGCCCTATTTAGCTTTTAAAACCTTTTAAATGGGGGTGGATGGGGTGACTGTATCTACTGTTGCGGAATCCAGAGCACAGCCATTCCCTAAAGGAATGTCCCAGCTTTCTTCACTTTACTGGAAATGAGTGGGGAGGGGCTCCCCATATTGCTGCAAGGGACTCTGGGAAGGAGGGAACTGAGGGTGGTAGGAAGATGGCCATAAACTAAAAACCTGGCAGTGCTTATCACTCCTGTGAGGTTATATAGTATTCGTATTTCCTCCCCTCTGCTTTTCTGTATCCAAGGTTTCTGTGATGAATATGTATTAGATTTGAAATAGAAAAGAAAAGATATTATTTGAGGAGAAGGAGAAAATGGTTGCCATATAAATAACAAATAGCACAAAGAGTGGAACTGTATTTCTTTCTCCTATTTTACCCCACACATCTTCAATCTTGACTTCCCTCATAATGCCTATTGCTTTTTGTAGTTGCCGTCAAGTTTTTTCCTTTATGGCTGGCTTTAACATTTCCAGGATCTAACACATAGTAGGTATTTAATTATCACTGTTGAAAGAATGAATGAATGTGTTAGTTGATCAATGATATGGATTTCAAACCAGATGCAAAGTGCATGACTGAGAATGTCCCTACTTCAAATGGGCTCAACCTTGACCCTGGTGCCCCATACCCTATACTATCTCATAGCTGACTCTATTCACAGTAGCTTAGGGAAAGAATTTTGGGAGAAAATCTGGCTTTCCAGAGTCCTAAATGTTGTTTCACTCAAGTGGCCTCTATCTGGTTGTTGACTGGAGTCTTTCCATCCAATCTCTGTGGAAGAGATATTGGTAATATTGGAGATATTGGATGAACCCTTCCCCATCAGCTCTCTTCTCTGCCCTGAGAAACTCAGGAGAGCCTGGTCTAGATGTCATCAATGACAGCCATACTCTGGGGGCCCATAGAGGGAGACCCAGCATGAGCTTGGCTCCTGGCTCTGGATCTCTGAGATGATGAGGTCAGCCTGATTGTTTTAAGAGCTTAGTTTAATTTATCTAACCTCATCCCTAGAATGAAGAGTTTCTAATCATTAAAGAAGCCCGTATGACCTTTGCTTCCTCCTAATACAGATCCCTGATAATGATTACTCCAAAAATTGCTACAAGATGGATTTAATTGAGAGGCAATTGGCCAAGGGGTCACTTTTCTGTCTTCATGTCCTAACTGTTTAGCATCTAACCTATTTCAGATGGAATAGGTGAGAGAAAATGGATAGAAGCAGTAAGAATTACATGCATTAGTCTGTCGCTGGTCTAAGCCCTGACTCCTTTTAGCTTTCATACATATCATCCAACATCTATGAAATCAGGGGGAATGGAGCAAGAGGGAGAACTGGCACCCACCATGCACAAGGTATTTTACATGCATAATTATACTTATTTCCATCAATTGGGCACCTACTATATGCTAGGTACTTGGACATACATATATTCTTTAATCCTCTTAAATCCTAATGAAGCAGATAATATTAGCCCCATTTATTAATTAAGACATGAAGGGCCAAAGAGCCACTTATTGTGGCTATGATGGTTAATTGTGGCCCAATGTCTGCCCTCCTCTTCCTTCCCAGTAATAGAACACCCACTTCTTAACTAGAAAAATGACTAGCCAGAATAATGACTACATTTCTCAGCTTCCCTTGTAGGTATGTGTATGCACGTGACCAAGTTCTGACCAATGAGATAGAAACAAAATAAGTATGTTTCTACTTCCGGATAATGTTCTTATATGGAGGAAAGCAATTTCTTCTCCTTCTTGTCCTGCCTTACTGCTGATTGGGATGTTAGTTGTGATGACTGTAACTAGAGCAATTAATCTGCACTTTGAAATGGAAGTCACATGTGAGAATGGTAGAACAGCAACAAGATAGATGGGATTGGTGTTCCTGATGAGTATAGCTAATATACTAGTCCTAGGTGGCATGCCCTTACATGAGAGAGAAATACATTTTTATTTTGTTTAAGCAGTGGTTATTTGGGCATTTTCCTAAATCACAGACCCAAGATCCCATAGCTAGGAAGAGGCAGAACATGCATCTCAACCCATGTGTGATACCAGACCTTCTGATTTCTCCAGTCTATTCTGCTACTTCCTGGAACTCTGAGTGCCTGATAGTAATAGTGAGAAATATGGCTGGGTGGGCACTGGGAACATAGCTTCTCCTTGAGACTAAGCCATTGCTTGGCTTTTTCTCATGCTGATTAGAGGGAGAGGCAAACAACCAACCAATCAGTAATGTAACAGAATCCACATTTCCAAATCTAGTGCTCTTCCCAAATTGCCAACCATTAAGTCATCAGTCCAAAGGACTTGCGAGTAAGTGGCAGAAATCAAATCAGAGGCTTAGTTTCCTGAATTTCAGTCTCACATTCTTTCCACCACACAAAGTTGCTTTGGTGGTGTCTGGGCCAAATCTGAGAATATATTATCTTCTATCATCTCCAAGGAAAACACAAAGAGATCATGAACAGACTAGAGAGAAAGTTAGAAGGCAAATATCACTATCTGATTCCTCAAAGGCAAGGATTGCATTTTATTTATTTAGTCATCCTCAAGGCCTCATGCAGGACACAGCATACACCTAGTATTTAATATAAGATTTGGGGGAGGAGAAAAGGGGAGGTGGATTAAAAATCTCAAATTAATTACCCAAACTTACTTGAGTCTATTGTTTGCTACAGCATCTGGGTGGCAACAACAATAGCTCTGATTAGGCTCTAAGCAGTACACTTTTTTGGGCCAGAAACCAAGACTAGGGATTTAATAAAACATCTAAATTGACATATTGATTTCTCTTTCTTAGGCTCCTTGCTTTCAGGCTGTTCTAGGCAAAGCAATCCTGAGAGAGTACCATCCAGCTCTCACTTGTGTCTCTTGCTGACTACTTGACGTGTTAGCCATAGAGCCCAGGACAGTTAGGGTTAATGTCTACTGGGTCAAACACAGTATATGCTGAGCATGGCCCACTGACAGAGGGACAACAAAGCAATTAAATACCAACTTACTTTCCTGTCTCCTGGCTGAGCCACTCTGCATTGATCTTGGTGAGGGTGCTTAACCCATCTGCAGCTCAGTTTGCTTCATCTGCAGAATGGGACACTAAATAGCACTTGCTTCATAGCGTTGTTGAAAAGATTTAATGACTTAATATATGTAAACCACTTGGTACAGTGTCTGCTCTATAATAAGTACTCAATGAGTATTAGCCACCATTGTCATCATCATATCATTGTCATCATTATCATCATCATCATCATCATCATCATCACAAAGTCTGTTGAATTTTATTGTTCAAGGAAGGACAAATCAATTTCAGAGTCTTTCCCTGTGGGTTCTCATTCTCCATTACCTATGAGCTCACAATTGAGACACCATGAACGTCCAGACACCTGAAGTGATCCAAGATTATACCCATTTAAAAATTTCACATGCCTTACCAACATGTCAGATATTCTTTTTATTTCATTTTGCAATTTACAATTTGTCTCTTCATCCAGCTTACACTGCTCTTCATCATTAAGCTAATCCTTACTTCTGCCCCTTTTTTCATCATACTTTTTCTGTTTCTCAAAATCTTACCGTTCCCTGTGGAATTTACCACCATATTCTCTCATACTGTTCTTCCATCTACTCTTAAAGTCTGAATCTTCTGGCTTCTCCCTCACCACTTCCTTGAGGTTAACTCATTTTTAAGGACTCAGCTCAAAAAGCGCTTCTTCTAAGAAAGCTTTTCTTACCCTCTAAATCTGAGTCAGTGTGGCTGACACTCTAAGTTGCCAACCCAACAAACATTTCCAAACCTCTCTTCTTGCCAGAGAACCTCTCACTCAAAAGAATGAAAAAGCCAGATACTTGCTTTCCTGGCCTGTCTTTCAACTGGAGTAATCATATGACCTAACTTTGATATAGGAAATTCACAGGGAAATCTCCTCAGAGTACTTTATGGCAAGATTTTCCTTCCTGACCAAAGCAGAGAACATGCAAGGAGAAGTATATTTTTTCATTCTGCCCCATGTTCTGCCATTGAAAGTGATCATGTGAGGATACTCAGAACTGCAACAATTAACTTGTGACCATGAGAAGAAAACCTGCAGAACAGCCAAGACATAGATCCATGGACCCATAGACCATGGAACTACGGTATCAACCCTGGATCTACCTGTGAGTATCTTCAGAACTTTTGTTAAGTAAATGGTAAATGTCTTATGGTTTAAGCCACAGCTAATTGATTTTTCTATTACTTGTAGCAGAACATATCTTAATTGACTTAGCCACCTACCTAGTAGTGTCGCTTCATCTGTGGCCAAAGGCACGGGATCAAGACTTTTAATTTCCAGGTCAAGCTGTATTTAACAAGCTTTGTGCCCTGAATTGGGCTGTATTATCCACCCACCCCCCCCCCCCGATTAGAATAAGATTTAGAATTAGAAAAGACACCCTTTCCAATTCTTGTAAAAGCACCATATAGGCTAATGGAGACATAGTACACCCTGTCCTCAGGTGTTCCTATAACCCTACCCTGTATTTCTCATCATAGCCCCTATCTCACACTATTATTGCTGACTTATTTTCTGAATTCCTGACAAGAATGAGTTTCACAAAGACAAGAAACATCTCTTATTCATCCTACACCCTCAAAGCTTAGCAAAGCACCTCACATGGAATAGCTAATAATATTTTTAGACTAACTTGAATTCAGGTGACAAATTAATTTTTGGTTGGTTGGACTTTGTTCTTATTTTTAGCTTAGGAAATTTGGTCCCATATTTAGTTTAGGTAATATGAAGATAAGGGCCCAGGAACGGGTCATGCAGAGCCTGTTCAAGTGAGTCTCCTGTTACACAGAGTACATCTTGGTGTGGCAGGAGCATGTGCAACTCAGTAGCAAAAGCTTGACTTCAGTCCCCATCATAACGTACTACTCTTCTTTCATTTATTCACTAAAAATGTTTTGAGTGCCTACATGCCAAGTGTGTGCTTTCCATCCTCAATCCATCCAATTTTAGACCTCCCCACCCTACCCCTGTAGAAGAAATGCTATCTTTGACTTATCTTGGGCATTTAATAGAGAATCCATCTTCTAAACTTATTTATTTGATTCCTCTCCTTGAAGTATTTGCATTTTTCAAAGAAGCCCAAGAGAAAGAAGCCCAATGCAGAGAGTCACAAGTTCAAATGCCTGCAGAGACCACAAATGCAAATAAGCATAATGCAATAGGTAGTGACGGAAATTGGGTGATTGGAGATCTCCCATCCCCAATCAGATTCAGCCAACAATTGATGGATAGGAGAAGACCCCATGTAGCCAAATTTTCTCATATTTCAAGACAAGTCAAAACTGTATTTTTTGTGAAACTCCTCAATGTTAGGTGCTGGTAACTAATTCAAACTTTTAAATAGATACCTCATTAGCCAGACAAATAGTCATAGTCCAGACCTGCTCTGTGGGCCACCATTTGGGGATCTCTGACTTAAAAGGATGAATGGAGGCCTTCCTCATGACCCTATGGTTCTGACTGGAAAAGATCTGGGATAGGGCGTGAGTACAAACAGTGGTATGGCAGAGAAGGACAAAAAACAAACAAAGGTTTGCTTGAGGTCAGGCAAGAAGACAATGGTGGCTTGTGAAAACAACTAGCTCCTGCTGAACACTGGATATTGAGCTGCTCTCTCCTATAAATAATCTTGCTTTAATTTTCACATCACCCTCAAAGTAAATGTAATCTCTCCATTGGACAGATGTATGAGTAGAGAAGCTAGGACTGCAACTCAAGTCTCCTGACTTTCAGTTCAGGCTCTTTCCAATTGATACCATTGACCTCGCGATTAACATCTCCCATTCTTTCCTCCATCCCTTCTTTTGTTCTCATTTACTCTTCTCTAAGCCTGTGTAAGGTGGTTCATCTCCATGAGGTTTAACTTGAGATAGCAGTTTTCTCATCCATGAAATGGGCATAGGGTTGTTGTGCCTGGACATACTATGCACTTAATAAATATTAGCTTCCTTCTTTATTATTTTTATTATTTCCTTTACTTTTCCATTTTTTCAAAGAAAGATTTTTTTAGAAAAATTATTCTTCTCTGCTGCTATTATTCCTGGTAAAGAGTATACTTTCTGGGTCTTCCTCATTTAGAAATGATTTATTGGTAATGTTGTCAAGATTCCCAATAGAAAAAAAGAAGGGAGGGAAAGAGGGACGGAGGGAGGGAGGGAGGAAGGAAGGAAGGAAGGAAGGAAAGAAGGAAGGAAGGAAGGAAGGAAGGAAGGAAGGAAGGGAGGGAGGAAGGGAGGGAGGGAGGGAGGGAGGGAATAAGAAAGTAAATGTCCATTTCCAAAACAGAACGTAGCTTTCAGGAGAGTGCCAAATTCTTGTGCTCGCATCTCTCTCCTTAACAGCCTAGGGTGTTATGCAAGAGCCAGAAATGACCCTGAGAGCTTAATAGAAGCAAGCAATAGTGATGCCTTCCTCTAAGAAAGCTCATTCTTATGCAATAAGACCCAGATTAAAATAATAGTATCGAAAATGATACATTTTGCTTTGGGAAATAATTCCACTACATGTTTATTTTAAAATTCACCACGGGGTCCCCCTAGTGTATTTGAAATACAATTTTATTTGCAGAATTTAATTAAAAATCTGTAATTCTAGAGCCAGGATGAATTGCTGAGATAAACTTCTTCACTTTATGGATGAGGGGAAATGAGTCCCAGAAAGAAGGGACTAGCCCCTGTGTAATGTAGCCAGATGTGGCAAACTCAGAAATAAATTTCTTGTTATTTCTCTTTTTGGTGGTGGGGGGTGTTGTTATCACAAGGAGATTGAGCCAAAGTACTAGAGTTTTGGGATGGGAAGGAATCATACCTATCAGCTAATAATGAAAGCAACAATAATAGCTTCCATTGGGCACTCACCATTGCCAGATACTGTGTGCTGGGTGCTGGAGAGACAGCAGGTAACAATTCAGACACAATGTCTTCTCTTATGGAGTGTACAGTCTGTTTTCATATTATGGAAACACACCCAGCCTGATGGATGATTTGCCTGAGGTCACTCAGCCTATTATCAAGGGACATCAGAACTAGCATCCAGGTTTCCAAATGTCCAGTCCCGAGATTTTTGCAGTATACTATGTTGTCTCCTAGGAGTCTAGGATGTACTTATTGAGTTAAAGAAGAAACACAGGCATCTCCTACCTACTTCCCAATTCTATTAGGAATTAAGGGACCCAGCATTATGAGACCCACTTCACTGGGCCCAAACATTTTGCGATGAGGACTCTGGTTAAGTGAATATTGTTGCCATTCAAATCTCAGCTCCTAGGTCACCATCTCAGACACAAATGATCCCTGACAATGCAGTAGACATCCTCACTGATCACCCCAGACAGATAGCTTCCTATCTGCGCTTCCAGTCACCCATCAGCACATTACACTGCTTTATTCTTTTCTTAATACTTTTCACTATAGATATTGACATATATGTTGACCTATTTATATACTTATTTTGTGTTATGGAAATGCCTATAAGCAGAACTCTATGTACCTTATTTAATATTATAACTTAGCAGCTAAACAGTGCCTGGCTCATAGTGGGTGTTCTGTAAATATGTACAGGGTAAGTGAGTAAATCATGGTTTTTTATTTCAGCCATTGGGTTTATGCTGGCTGCTGTGACAGGGCCACCCTGTTACCCAGCACTCTATCCCTTAGCAGCATTCCCTAGTTGAGAGCCAGTGTCAAACCCAGAGGTGGAAAGAGTTTGCTGGGAATATTCTTAACATAAATGTTCACTGCCTGTCAACCTTCCTGCTGAATCCAGCAACCTGTTTCCATGTCACTATGGTTGTAGAGTTTTGTTTGTTTGTCTGTTTAAGACTACATCTGTAGAACTGAGAAGTGTTAGAGTGATTTCCATATTAGCCAGTTTCTTACCCCACTCTTGCCAGTTTACATGAAGTGACGGTGTTTATTGTGTAGGATAGGTACATTATGGCTCCAAAGTCATTTCTTGGATGTCACCCACTCTGCTTTGTTTCTGCTTGTTGCTCCAGCAGAATGATTCTCTCAGGAGAAAAACTAGGATTTTCAATAAAAACACAACCCAGTAAAAACTGTCTTAAGGGAAAGTCATTTTTTATGAGCTCTGTTAACTGCCAAACTGCTGAATACATTCCATTTCTTTTTCAATACTTTGTCCCTTCCTGGTGTAACTGCCGTGTGGGAAGCCTGTTGTATGTCACTGTGGATCCCGCAGCCTCAGCATAGACCTCATGGCTAGGAGATGCTTAATTCATGTTGGCAGAACAAGAGAAAATAAACATGTCTCCCTATTTACACCTGGTAAAAGATGGCAGCTGCCCATATTTGCTGTCCTAGCCTGATCTCTTCAACTTGGACTTAGCAAAGAAATCTATTCATTGTACTAGCATCATGGAAATTACTGTTTTATGAAAATTTACTTTTTGTATCCCATTCATTCACGAGATTTTTTAAACCTTGCTACTATATGCAAAGTAAAAATTTAAACCTTTCAGTGATATGAAATCATGCTTTATGTCAATAGTTTTCAATAGAAGCAGTCCCACCCCTGGGGTAATGTTTTGGAAAATTGTGGGGACATTTTTTATTGATTTGAGAGAGCAATATCAACATTTATTAGACAAGGGTCAGGGATGCCAGGTACTTTGAAAAGTATAATATAATCTTGCCAAGTAAAAAACTGTTAGTGTTCCACATAATTTTCTAATGTTCCACTCATTATTCATATACGTGAGAAAGAAACATAGCTATATTTATCTGAGTCTAACATCAAATTCCATTTTGCATATATAAAAATTCATTTATTTTCAAGGTTTTAATATACACTAAATGTTCCAGGAACACAATTTCCATGTAAATCAAAAGTTGTTTGTAATTTAAAAGAATAACTCTACTAAAAGTTGTTTACCATTTAAAAAAAATTACGTGATGGAAGGTGACATAACTCGTGGAATTTAAGAATGGCACCTGTGTCAGTCTGCATGTGTTACATTCCTGGATATTCTTTGTGTCATTGCAAGTATCTGACTCCTTCATAATGTCTTCTAGGGTGCTTACCTACTAGCAATCTCATACTAAAATATGTACCATGTTATCATTTACTTTTCTTTTAATTAGTCTTTTCCTCACACTTAAAACATCACAATTGATTTTTTTTGAAACTGTGAGTATAGGCAGATTATTTTATCCATGATTTTCATTTCAGGATAGGAAAGTTTGTACTACAAAATACTTGTTATAAGAAGGGCATGTTGAGTGTTATTGGTTGAGACTAAAAACCTTACAGAAACTTCTTATACATCCCAGATCCTCTACTGGGAGGATACTGAGTTCAGAGCTATTTACAACTATCAGATCTTATATATCCAGATCCTCTACTGGGAGGATCTGGGATATATAAGATCTGATAGTTGTAAATAGCTCTGAACTCAGTATCTGTTCAACACTTACTGAGCACCAACCAAGTTCTAGGGACTCAAAGATAGCAAATAGTTTTCATCTATACTTGAAGCCATTGCTTCCCACTGGTGTCCTTTTTTCCACATGAGACCACCGGCTATGTAGATTGCCTTATCACTTATTAAAATTTTGCCCATCCTTCATCACACATCTCCTGAGCCTGCTTCTTGGTGAAGCCCTCCCTGATCATTCTAGCCAGCTGTGTTCCCTTGCCTTGTGAGGTCTCATGGTATTGAGTGATGGCATCTCACAAACTTGTTATCTGAGGTCTAGCTTGTTGGCCATTTGTAGACAAGTCTTTGGTACCTCTGTCCCGAAATCATTAGTGATTATAACTTCCTGGAAGACAGGAAACATATTGCAACAAATTTGGTATAGAAAAAGAACTTGGGACTTTGTAATCAGGAAGTCTGAACTTCCCACCTGATCAGTATTATCCTTAATGGTGAAAATAAGGAGTCATTTAATTTATCTGAATCTCATTTTTTTCTCATCTGAAGTGCTGCTGTGAAGTTAAATGTGGCCACCATGTAACTCACTAGCTCTGCCAAACTGGCTCACCCGGTGTGTTTGCCATTTCATTGATCAGCACCCTATTCAGTGGCTCACGACAAAATCCAGGAAACATTTTTGACAACTACCTCTCCTTGCTTTCATATCTAATCAGTCACAAAGTTCCATTGATTTTGTCTCCCAAATGGGTTTCAAAGCCAACTATTTCTTTCCACCATGCTAAATTACCATTTTCAAGACCCTGCTATCTCTCATGTGGAATATTCTGAGTCTATTAACTGGTCATCCACTCTTGCCTACCTCTGATCGATTCTCCACTCTATATTCAGAGTGACTGTTCTAAAACACAAAGCTGAACAGGTCGCTATCTTCCAAATCTTCCAGAGGTTTCCAGTTGTTCCAGTCTTTAAAACAACTTCAAGGCCTCTGGTTAACGTAACACATGTGCTCTTTCATCTCACATCACACTTTCCCTCACTAACTCTTTAGGTTTGAGTCACACCAGCTTTCTGTCTGCTTCTTGAATACCTCAGGGCCTTCACACATGATGTCCTATCAGCCTGGAAAGCTCTATCCCACCTGAATTCTTCCAGATAGCTTGTATCTTTTAAGACTCAGCTGAAACCACCATTTCCTTAAAGAAACCACCGACTTTACGAGCCAAATTAGGCTCCTCTATAATCTGTTCCCATTGCACCTGCATCTTCCTTCCTGACACCACATATGGAATCAAGTGATCTTCACTAGAGCAATTGTAGCCTACTATCCTCACCACTAGACTGTAAACACAATGAAGACCGACCTTTGTGTTGTTCATCCTTGTATCTCCAACACTGGGACTCCAAAGTTCCAAGTTCTTTTTCTATACCAAATTTGTTGCAATATGTTTCCTGTCTTCCAGGAAGTTATAATCACTAATGATTTTGGGACAGAGGTACCAAAGACATGTCTACAAATAGCCAACAAGCTAGACCTCAGATAACAAGTTTGTGAGATGCCATCACTCAATACCATGAGACCTCACAAGGCAAGGGAACACAGCTGGCTAGAATGATCAGGGAGGGCTTCACCAAGAAGCAGGCTCAGGAGATGTGTGATGAAGGATGGGCAAAATTTTAATAAGTGATAAGGCAATCTACATAGCCGGTGGTCTCATGTGGAAAAGAGGACACCAGTGGGAAGCAATGGCTTCAAGTATAGATGAAAACTATTTGCTATCTTTGATTCCCTAGAACTTGGTTGGTGCTCAGTAAGTGTTTGTTGAACAGATACTGAGTTCAGAACTATGTACAACTATCAGAAAACATCTTTTAAAAAAGTATATAGATTAGCCTCTTGAAATGACTTCAACAAAAATGCTTTCAAGAAACAAGAATTCCAAGCTGGGTGTGGTGGCTCATGCCTGTATTCCCAGCACTTTGGGAGGCCAAGATGGGAGGATTGCTTGAGGCCAGGAGTTCAAGACCAGCCTGGGCAACATGGTGAGACACCATCTCTAAAAAGAAAAAGTTAAATTAAATTAAAAAGAAGGAAAAAACCCACAAATATTCCCTAACTCACCCATTGTTTTTTTCAGATTCTTTGTTCTTTATCAAAGCATCACTACTGACCTGTCCACTCCCTGAACCCATTGATGTTCCAGCCACCTGCTCCCTGTTGGATTGTCTTCCTCTTCCTTTTGAATGCACTTCTGAAGTAACCCAGCTCTATTTTATAGTTTAAATATTTGTTCTTGGATCTGCTTTACAATCCTAGCCGTTCTTTCCCTCTAGTTTACGTTCAGTGACTCGTTTAAAATTTTGCCTAATTGGATAAATGAACATTTATGCTTCTGAGAAAATGGTGTAGGATGGTGAGTGCATTTGCTCACTAGAGAATTTTGATCTATACAGATCCATTTTTCTAAATCTAGTGGCAATAACATCTGAAGCTGCCCCTTTTTGCAGCTTGTTGTACAATTTTGACCGCTACCGTTTTGTGCATTGGAGGACACAAATTACCTAAAAGGATCAGAAAAAGGAATGGGGTGTCTAGTTAATTTGATATCCTAGTTATCTTAGGATAAATTCCAAATACACTTTTGTTTTCTAAAAAATGTTTAAACTTTTTAAAAATAAAATCTTGAGTCTTGCTTTCTACTTTAACAATAGCATACAGTTATCCTAATTGAGTCTTAGAAACTCAGATGATTGAGCAGTTCCCAGGAACCCAAGTTATCCTTTTGAATGTCAATGCACCTTGCCCAAGGAGATGACCTAAGTAAGTATTTGCCCTAGGACTTAGCTTGGAGATATCTTCCATCATCAGTTAGCAATATTTCTCACGAAATCCCCAATGTCTGCCTAATTTTTTGCCACCTATGAGAGAAAAATCTTCCCACAACTTGAAATTTCTATAGTCTGCTTTTTAATTTTCATATTCATAATTGCATTCCTGTTTTAAGGAGTTAATATTGAAGTTACTAAATATCAGTCCATGAACTCTGTCACTCTTATCCTAAATACCATAGTGGATATTCTTAACATCTACCTTCTTCCCAATCTAAAGATGGTGCCAGTCCAAATTGGCATCTGTTGTTCTTGTTACAAATATAGACATTCATGTATGTATACTGCCTACAAGATTGTCTTGCAACAAAAAGGCAACTTGGAAGCATTTAATGTGAATTCTGGCAATGTCAGCATAGCTGGTAGCAAAAGCAATAGTTTCGCCACTGTTCTTCAGCTAAGATAATGGAGCAGAAGAATCTAGACATCTATTGTCAAATCTAAGCCCTACCATGAACTAGGTGTGTGACCTTGGGCCAATCACCTTGATTCTCTTTGAGTCACTTCTCATGTCTATAAAATAAGGGGGTTGGATTAGATCACTTTTAAGGCCTTTACTTGTTGGCAGATTCTAAATCTGAACTGCCTTATCCCTAATTTGGGGAACAATTTCTCATTGCCTCTTTCATTTCAGCACCATCGTCTAAGGCACCCTATATAAAGACTGATAGTATTTTGTTGTTGTTATTTTTTCCACGCTTTAGAGCTATTAAGTGGGGTGACTTCCAGCTAGGGGTTCAAAAGTTATTCATTTCTAAGTGGGGGAGCTCTGAGACTGTGAGGGAGGAAGAAAAACAAGGAGCATTAGTTTGCCACTCCCATCTGTTTGCCTCCTCTCCTGATTCCCATGAAACGCACAACAGGCAAAAATAAGACCCTCTGAGCAAAAAGACCCCCATCTCCAAGGTTCCAGACCTTCCTGAGAAATAAGGACCTTTACCCCCAGGGAGTAAAGTGGCACAGTAAAAAAGCGTTCTTTGGAGAAATATTTAAGTGGTATTTGTCTTGTTGTTTGCTATTGGGTACATATTACAAATCCTCTTTTACTTGCACTCTACTAATGAATTTGTGCCATATTTACCCTGCAGGAGTCACTTTGCAATGACCGTCTCCTAATGTTTACTTATAATAGTTTTTCTGATTATAATAATAGTACATATTTAATGTGGAAAAACAAGAAAGGTTTAAAACAAATTTTAAAAAATTATCCACAATGTCACCAGCAAGCATTTTGGTGTATTTTATTACAGTTTTTTTTTTCATATGCATAATTGTAACCCAGGCATTGGCTGTTTCTTCTTACTCTTTTTGAGCCTGAAATAGGCCACACAAAAGCTTTCTGTGTTTGTCAGAACTCTTCTAAGTAACAGAAAACTCACCTCAAACTGGTGTAGCAGAAAATGAAATTTATTGGATCATAGAAAATTTCAGTGTAATAACCTAAATATCCATCCACAGGAGAAGGAATAAATACACTATAGTATATGCATACAAAGAAATACTATAAAGCAGAGAAAATGAGTGAATTAAAATTATACATTGGAATATAAACAATTATACAAATATAACATTGAATGAAATAAAGCAAATTGCAAAATAATGCATATACTCTAACATCATTGTACATATAATTGTTTAAGGATATATACAAATGTAGCTCCCGAATACATATATATCTGGAAAAAAAAAAAAAAGGAAAAAGGGAGATTGGAAGAAATAAAACTCAATTTGAAAAGGCAGGGACATGATTGTGACTAGTAAGAAGTGAAAAGAATGCTTTAACCATGTTGGTGATATTTTATATCCTAGTTGGGTGGTGAGGCACATCTAGGCTTTGTTATACTCATTCTATGCATTTTTAAAAATCTGATTTTTTTATTATACTTTAAGTTTTAGGGTACATGTGCATAACGTGCAGGTTTGTTACATAGGTATACATGTGCCATGTTGGTGTGCTGCACCCATCAGCTCGTCATTTACATTAGGTATTTCTCCTTTTTTTTTTTTTTTTTTTTTTTTTTTTTTTGAGACGGAGTCCCGCTGTTTAGCCCAGGCCGGATTGCAGTGGCGCAATCTCGGCTCACTGCAAGCTCCGCCTCCCAGGTTCACGCCATTCTCCTGCCTCAGCCTCCCGAGTAGCTGGGACTACAGGCGCCCGCCACCGCGCCCGGCTAATTTTTTGTATTTTTAGTAGAGACGGGGTTTCACCGTGTTAGCCAAGATGGTCTCAATCTCCTGACCTTGTGATCCGCCCGCCTCGGCCTCCCAAAGTGCTGGGATTACAGGCGTGAGCCACCGCGCCCAGCCGGTATTTCTCCTAATGCTGTCCCTCCCCCAGCCCCCCACCCTCGACAGGCCCCAGTGTGTGATGTTCCCCGCACTGTGTCCAAGTGTTCTCATTGTTCAGTTCCCACCTATGAGTGAGAACATGCAGTGTTTGGTTTTCTGTCCTTGTGACAGTTTGCTGAGAATGATGGTTTCCAGCTTCATCCATGTCCCTGCAAAGAACATGAACTCATCCTTTTTTATGGCTGCCTAGTATTCTATGGTGTATATGTGCCACATTTTCTTTATCCAGTCTATCATTGATGGACATTTGTGTTGGTTCCAAGTCTTTTCTATTGTGAATAGTGCCACAATAAATATACGTGTGCATGTGTCTTTATAGTAGCATGATTTATAATCCTTTGGGTATATACCCAGTAATGGGATCACTGGATCAAATGGTATTTCTAGTTCTAGATCCTTGAGGAATCACCACACTGCCTTCCACAATGGTCGAACTAATTTCGACTCCCACCAACGGTGTAAAAGCATTCCTATTTCTCCACATCCTCTCCAGCATCTGTTGTTTCCTGACTTTAATGATCGCCATTCTAACTGGTGTGAGATGGTATCTCATTGTGGTTTTGATTTGCATTTCTCTGATGACCAGTGATGATGAGCATTTTTTCATGGGTCTGTTGGCTGCATAAATGTCTTCTTTTGAGAAGTGTCTGTTCATATCCTTTGCCCACTTTTTGATGGGGTTGTTTGTTTTTTTCTTCAAAATTTGTTTAAGTTCTTTGTAGAGTCTGGATATTAGCCCTTTGTCAGATTATTTCATAGTATATTTTTAAAAACCATTGCCCTCTCCTGCACACACACATCACATTCCAAAAAAGGTCCAGTGATAATGCCAGCATATGGCATGGCTCTATCCCTGTCTCAGTTTATCTCTCAGCTCCATCTTCCTCCAGGTTAACTTCATTTATAGGCAAGCTCTCCTCTTGTGGTGGTGAGAGGGGTAACAAAAAGCTTTAGGTTGATATTCTCACAATTCTGGCTGATAAACTCATACTTTCCCCTCAAAAATCCAGGGAGAGAGCGAGAGAGAGAGCATACCACTCTTTCAACAGTCTCGAAGAGAATGGCATGGTTCCATTTCGTGGGATCCCATGCCCATCCTTGAATTGATCACCTTAAGGGAGAGACATGTGATGTTCTCATTAGCCTGGTCTGTGTCATTGTACCCATCCCTGGATTTGGGGGTGAGGGGGTGGGTCAGTAACACCAAAACCATGTGGACTGGGAGGGAAGGATGGGAGGTTGCCCAGAAGAAAACCAAGGCGTTGTTAGCAGAAGATGAAATACATTGTGGATGGGCATAAACAACAGATGTCCAATCTAATTAGTGAAAAACAGATAATTTACTGAAGATACCTTAAGGGACATGGAAGAGAGGATGTACAACAAAAAGCTTACAGCAAACAACCTGACAACACCACTTAAACATTTTGCCAAAGTTCCCTTCTCACTGTGATCCCTCACCCAACCACCACCTTCCAGATGTCCTTTCTCTCTCTCCTTCCTCTCTCCTATGTGACATGGTAGATTTCCTAACTGCCCTCTCTCACTTATGCAAAACAATGCTGTGCTACCGGCAGATGTGCATATTTTCTCTATCTTCTGCTCAGCAAATCCTACAATCAATAGAATGCACCTCTTTAGAAAGCAGAAGAGTTTAGGGATTATGGTTTATTACTTGAGTATAACCTTGGGGGTCTTACACCCATCCAAGCAACTTATCAAAGCACAGCTTCTAAATGTCTGCAGTACTTTAACCCAGAGAAATAGTAATACCAGCTGGTAAGATGATAGGTTTTTTTTCCCTATTCTCACCTATATGCTTATTTACAGAATAGAGATCATTTTATAGTTCTGTACTCTGCTTTTGCATTTCTCATCATTAATTATTCCACTAAAATTTCATTTTTGTAACAGTTATCTAATATAACATGAATATATGACAATTTTTCAGGCAATCATCTATTGTTGGGCATTTAGGATGTTTCCATTTGTTCTCATAAGTAATGTTGACATTAACATATGTTCTTAATAGTTATGCTTTTCTCTAAGTGTTGTCTTAGGATCTATTCCATGAATTGAATTTCTTAGCCAATGAGATGTAAACACTTTTATAGCTTTTGATATCGTTTGCCAAATAGCTCTTCAGAAATACTATAACCATGTACTTTACCTTAGCAGTGTATGAGAATGGAATAAGGTCATTCTTATTTCTAGCATTTCCTTCTGTGCTCTTTCATGCAATACCTCCTGGGCTCTGAAAAAACCATAAAGATTCCTTGTAAAACAAGAACGGTGACATGGCACTTCTCGCACTGTATTAAATGTTAAACCCATCCAGGGTAAAACATAGTATACATAGTATAGAGGTAGTAATTATGCTCTTCTTTGCCTTTTTTTCTTTTCATCCACCTAGTTTCTCAATCCATACTTACAAATTAATCTTGATTCCTCTTTTTCCTTGCCACTCCCATGTTTAATTTTGAATCTACTCCAATCACTTCTACTTCCAGCATATATCCTGAATTTGCATGCTTCTCTTCATCTCCTTGGTTACCATGTTAGGTCAAGCCACCATCAGCTCTAGACTAGACTATTAAGATAGCCTCCTAACTGATTTCTAGTCTATTCTTTTCAAAACATAAAGCAATGAAGGCATCCTGCTGCTGAACAGTCTTGGATAGTTCAGAATAACTGGAACCCTGTTATCTCCAGCCTCACCCATATCACCTTCCTTTTACTCCCCAGGCTTCAGCCACTCTGGATCTTTTCTGCTCTGAAAGCTCTTTAAGTGTCTTCCACCTTAAGGCCTTTGACTCCCTAGATTTTTGCATGGCTAGTTTCTTCATACGATTCAGATCTCAGCCCAAATATCCCCTCCACAGTCAGTCTTCTCTGGTTTTCCAATCTTGTCTTGTCTCCTCCAGGCACTTCCTTAGCACTTCACCCTGTTTTATTTTCTTCATTACACTTATCTCTGTCTTAATTAATCCTAATCTTTCAGTTGTTGTTTACTATTTATTACTTGTATCATCCATGGAAACTACATGAGGGCCAGGGATTTTTATCTGTCAGGTTCACCACTATATCCCAGAATCTTGAATAATGCCAGGCACATGATAGATACATGTTAAATACTTGGCTTCCTCCATCCCTTCCTTGTTTCCTTCCTTCCTTCCCTCTTTCCTTCCTTTTTTCCCAACTGCCACTGTTTTGATTCAGACCTTTATTTTCTGTTATCTAGAATTTTTGAAATACTTACACCTCGTGGAACCCTCTCTCACCTTTTCTGCACTGTACTGCCAGAAGTGCTATTCTAGAACACATCTCAACATGATGCTTTATAACTTATGAAAGAAAGAATAGCTATCTTAACATGATTTTCAAGGCCCTCTGTACTTTAATCCAACTTAACTTCTCTTTTTTTCCTAAGGACTACAATTCCCATCCCCTATCCTAACACACAAACACTCATACCAGATTACTCGTCATTCCTAAGTTCTTCTCCCTCCTGGCCTCCCTAACTTTGCTTATGCTGTCCCCTTAGGATGACCATTCCCTACCCACTACCATACTGCTCATTTCTCAAGATCTTTCTCAAATACACCCTCTTCCAAGAAAATTGTGTTACTTCTTTGAGGTGAAATGAATAGCTTCTCTGTAAGACAGGAATGGTGAAGAAATGAATAGCTTCTCTGTCAGACAGAATGATAAAGAGATTCCAAATTAATTGGTGCCTGCTTCCTGAGGAGGATTTGAGAATTCTGAGGCTGCACTCAGGTTATGGGAGAAGGAGTTCTGTGATCAATTAATCATGTCTGTTTTGAGCTTAGGAGTAGGAGTTGTGGTATACACTATTTACTATTCTTGCTCAAAGAATTTGCATTGTAAAATATAATACTTCCCCTTGGGCATGTTTCTTTCATGCTTTATATAATATTTATTGATTCACATTCTTCCTTTGCCTTTGCATTGTCAGAAACTTAAGTTTAGTCTGCATGACACAGGATTGTCAGAAACTTAAGTTTAGTCTGCATGATACAGATTGAATATATTCTTATTGGATTTGGTCTTTTCCATAATGATCTTCCAGTATGGACCAAGGGAGGCAATGGAGCTGGAAAATAGGTAAAACGGGTAGTGTTGTAAGGAATTGGCTGAAAGGTAAGTCTATCCCCTGACTCTTGGCTGAACATATGATGCTGACATGAAAGTGTGGTTTTCTCAAAAAAAAAAAACTTTGAAATCAGATGTATCTTGGTTCAAATACCAGGTTTGCCACCTCTTAGCTGCCTGAACTTTGGCAAACTCCTTAATCTCCCTGAACCTTAGTTTCCTCAACTGAAATGGGAACTACCGCACCCATCCCATAGGATATTGTGAAGATTAAGGAGAGAAAGTGTGTAAATCAACAAGCCTAGTGTGTGGTGCCTCACTGGCTCTTAATAGGTCTTAGATCCCTTCTTTTCTCACTGGTCACACTAGTGTTTGATGGCTCTCTGACCTAATGTGTAGAAGCCTGCAGTACCTCAAATGAGACAGAAAGAAAGCATGCTGGCCAGATCCCCAGACACAAAAGATGCCCAGCACAGACCCAGATAATGTTCCAGAGCTTAGACCTTCAGAGACAGAATTTGGCAATGAAGGATTACGTTTTTCTGAGTTCTGCTTCCATCCTACCAGGCACCCTTTGCTTGGCTCCTCCACCTCTCTTTTCATGACATAACTAGGCTACAAAGCGACATCAGCACATTCGATACCTCAAGGAAATTCCCCACCTGCCCATGAGTAAGGCTCACTTGAGGCTCTGGACAGCCAGGGAGGAAGGGAGGCAGTAAAAATAGCACACATGCCAATCTATTTCCTGAGTGCTCTCCTCTGGAGCTTGCGTTACCTGTGAATTAGTCATAACTCTGTCACACTTAACTTTCTGATCATAAGAATAAAGCCATTTCCATTTCCCATCTCTCTGTTGGACTTCTAATTTAAAATACATGCACACACATCCCCCCACACAAAAAAAGTCTACTCTTGAATCAGATGTTCTTATGTCTCCCATGCTTCAAACACAGGCCCTCCCTTGCCCCCACCACTCATGCATTTGCTCAAGGGAGAGGCTAAGAAAATAGGCAGCTTTTAGTGCTGATCAGCATGTATAACTAACTCTAATTCTTCGAATACTATTCCCAATGGCTTGCTGCATCGCTAAAAACTGGGGCATAAAATGTAAGTTACAGAAGGACCTCAGGGAGCCTTCATTTTACAGATGGGAATACTAAGGCCTGAAATAAAAGAGATTTTCCCTAGGTGAGACAGAAAGGCAACAACAGAGTAGATTTCTAGTCCAGTGCTTTTTTATTATCCCATATGCAAAATCACATAGGCTTCAATATATTTCCCATTTTCATCTCACACTACTTGGGAAAGGAAAATGAGTTGTTAATTGCATGTTACCAATGGCTAACATTTACTGAGCACTTGCTATAGCACCAATTGCTTTATGTGTGTTATTTTATTTGGTCATCTCCAGAACCCCAGGTGTCTTAGTTATTATCCCTATTTTATAGCTGAGAGAGTGGAAGATTAAAAAGGGTAGATAACTTGCCAAGGGTTCTGTAGCTATAAGGATAAAGTGGGATTTAAAACCAAAAAGTTTAACCAAGTAGTTTAAAGCAGTACTACCTAATCCTGCTTCCTTACTAAAAGACCTTTTCTAATGGCTTAACCTTCAGGATCTTCAGACATCTAGTAGAAACCAGATTGGTACAATGGAAAATGCACAGTGCTGGAGGTCAAGGCCAGTGAACAAGCTAGGTCAATGCAACTGGTGCATTGCCAAGGGATGTGGGGAGGTGAGAGGCTCACCTAGGCTCAGTACTGCTAGCATTGGAAACAGTGGGAAGCACAAGCCTATACCATTGCCCTTCATCTGTTCCATTGTCTGATCTACAAGAACAGACAGCTGACTACCAGAGCAGGGCTCAAGCAGTTACAGGGTTTCCTTGGTCATCAAGGATAGCTGCTATGGTTATGCCCAGGGCTATGAAAACGTCCTTACCCAAGATGCTGAGGCAACTGTTTTCTTTGATCTGGGTATTCTCTCTAAGGAAAGAAACATTTTATCCCTCCCACCCTTTCTGCACCCTGCCATTGGACCTCATCGTTGCTTCTAACTATTTCCCCTGCTTTCATTAGAAAAGAAAGAAGTTCTTCTGGATAAATATAAGGAAACAGAGTCCTGTTTTGGCCTTGACAGTGCAGACCAGTTTTGCTGGGTTAGCTGATTTAACCACTGATCAGGGAGCCTGCAATTTAATTTCATTCTGTCATTTATTTCTCTCTCCATTCTACTACTTCTCTCTGGCCCTGTTCCCCATCATCCTGAAGCAGCTGGATTGATAGAACAGTAGAATGGCCTATCAGTCCTAAGATTGCCACCTGGACACTTTGGACTCCTCCTACCTTTAAGTCAGCAGGCTAAGAAGGGAGTTACAGTGTTGGCTGGAGTGACTGACCCAGACTATTAAGATGAAATCAGTCTAATACTCCACAGTTGAGGTAAGGAAGAGTATGCATGGAATACAGGAGATCCCTTGAGGCGTCTCTTAATATTACCATGCCCTGTTGATTAAGGTCAATGGGAAATTACAACGGCTCAATCCAGGCAGAACTACAAATGACCCAGACCCTTCAGGAATGAAAGTTTGGGTCACTCTACCAGGAAAAATCCATGACGTACTGAGGTGCTTACTGAAGGCAAAGGTAATACAGAATAGGTAGTAGAAGAAGGTAGTCATCAATACCAGCTAAGACCACGTGACCAGCTGCAGAAATGAGGACTGTAATTATCATGAGTCTTTCCTCCTTCTTTTGTTAAAAAGATGTTTGTGCATGTATACAGTTGTATTAAGAAAAAATCTTCATTTTATTTCCTTTTTCCATTATCATGTGGCATAAGATTTATTGACTTCATATCAGCATTTAAGTGTTGTTAACTTTATGTGATAGCATTTGGATTGGGGATAGATGCATTTCCAATTGTGCAAAGGATAGTTGTATTATGTTAGGCATAATTATGACCTATGATTATCTTTATTTGAATATTATGTATGATCTCAGGAGATGTGTATGGGTTCAAGTTGATAAGGGGTAGACTTATTATGGTTAATAATGAGTGTCAATTTGATTGGATTGAAGGATGCAAAGTATTGATCCTGGGTGTGTCTGTGAGGGTGTTGCCAAAGGAGATTAACATTTGAGTCAGTGGGCTGGGAAAGGCAGACCCACTTCAATCTGGGTGGGCACAATTAATCAGCTGCCAGCACTGCCAGAATAAAAAGCAGGCAGCACTTTGGGAGGCCGAGACGGGCGGATCACGAGGTCAGGAGATCGAGACCATCCTGGCTAACACGGTGAAACCCCGTCTCTACTAAAAATACAAAAATTAGCCGGGCATGGTGGCGCATGCCTATAGTCCCAGCTACACGGGAGGCTGAGGCAGGAGAATGGCGTGAACCCGGGAGGCGGAGCTTGCAGTGAGTCGAGATCGCGCCACTGCACTCCAGCCTGGGCGACAGAGCGAAACTCCGACTCAAAAAAAAAAAAAAAAAAAAAAAAAAAAAAAAAAAAAAAGCAGGCAGAAGAACATGAAAAGACTAGACTGGCTTAGCCTCCCAGCCTACATCTTTCTGCCATGCTGGATGCTTCCTGCCCTCAAACGTGATTCCAAGTTCTTCAGCTTTGCGACTCGGACTGGCTTCCTTGCTCCTGAGCTTGCAGACAGCCTATTGTGGGACCTTGTGATTGTGTGAGTTAATACTCCTTAATAACTCCCCTTTACATATATATAAATATATAATATATAATATATCCCCTATTAGTTCTGTCTCTCTAGAGAACCCTGACTAATACAGGCCCTCACCTTTCCCATTTGTTAAAAGGTAAGTGTGGGCTCTAATGAAGCTGCATTTACTGTAGACATGTCTGGCTGTCCTGTTCTACCTTCCTCAAGCTCTTGGTTTTGATGGTAGTGTAGGAGCTGTCATGGAGGCAGTGACCCAGACACTGTGCTGGTGGCAAGGAAAGGACTAGTGGAGAAGGGTGAAGCAGTCAGGGAGCAGCCCTCCGGAAAGATGCCAAAGAGGAGAGGGGTCGCAGAGGACCATGGAGAACACAGAAGGGCAGATTTTGTCATAAAAAGTTCTCTTTGCTAAATTTCAGGGAAGGTGCAAACAGGGCTTGGGTGCTTAGATTTTTAGCCCCACCCATTCCCTGACATCTTATATTCTCAGAATCACCAGGAACGCTTCTTCATTGTCAGCATTGAGAAGAATGAGGAGGGAATGTCAAATCCTGCTTTGCTAGAGACAGGTAGTTTTCAATTCTGAAAACCACACAGACACATACACACTTGTCTTTAATGGTGCTTCAGTAGGAAATTTACCTAATAGTTCTGTAGTCTAAGATGGCCTCTAGAAAACTTCCTGGAGCAATGGAGATGCAATTCCTATCATGAGGTTAAGGAAGCAGGTTTATTCACCAAATTAGGATTCAAAACTACCTAGACAAGCTCAAACAGATGGCATGAAGGAAAGGTAGCAGAGATAAACATCAAGTCCAGCATTTGGATCCAAAAATTAAATTTCTCACCATACAGAATCCTTGCAGCAGATCCTAGGAAACAGGCTCCAAGGTGGACAACAGCCAGCAGTTCCACACACCAGCTTGGGCTGAGCTAATGGAAGAATGTTTGTGTTTGTGAATCAGGCTGGCACAAAAGTGTTCAAGAGTGGAATTCTCTGCTTTACAGAAGACTAAAGTTAGATTCTCAGATATATACTCATACATATTATGTACAAAGGCAGCCCAGAGTGTAGTGGAAAGGAGCTGGACAGATCTAGATTCAAAGCCAAGTCCAACTTACTACCTTGGAGAACTCGGGCAAACTACTTCTGAGCCTGTGTTCTTGAGCTGTCCCCAAATAGGCTTCTCTTGCCTGGTTGTTGTAAGTAATAAAGATAATGTATGGCCACACTTCTCAGATTAGGTTGGCAAATTCCTAGGAGTATTTGGCAGTATGATTGGGAGTATGGGAGGCCATGGCATAAACACAAGGCATGTTCCCAGTGTTTCTATTTTACTCAATGGCAAATCATTTACAACCTATTTTTACATTAAGCCAAACAGGGAGCTATTACTGAGTAGAAAGAAAAATCCGATGCCATTTTTAAAGCTCAAAATGGTATAGAACTTTCAAGACAGCAAACAACTTCTGCATGGTCTATGCCCTTTGTTTCTTAGGAATACACATTCACTTTTTCTGTCTTCAGGGCATGTCAGTAGAAAATTTGAGAAGCTTTGGTGTGCATACAACACCTCTCATGGGGTTTAGCACAAGTAAGTGGTCATTAATTAGTAAATGTCTCTATTTGGAATTTGTGAGATGTGATTATCCCACTGGCTCTTCACTGATCAGACCACATGTGTATTTAGTGTTATGTCCAGTGAGAAGCATCCCTTTTTAAAAAGAGACAGAAATAAACTAGAGTGTGTCTAGACTAAAGGGTAATGGTAAGTGGTCTGAAAACCCCAATATCTGAGGAACGATTCTAGTAATTGTTTCTGAGGTGTCCTTTAGCCTGGAGAAGAGAAGAAAAACAAGAGAGATTCTTCCAATATTTGAAGAGCTAACAGGAGGAAGACAGAAGAAACATTCTGAATAAGCAGACCACCAACCAAGGTGAAATAAATAAGGGGGAAGATTAAGCATCTGTAAAAAGAAGCACTTTTTAACATTTGAACTCTGGCAGTGGGAAGCAGATTATAATGCTCAAGAACTCAGGCTCCGGAGTCAGACCACTGGGTTCAAATTGTGGCTTTGACCTGTAATAGCTCTATGATTTCAGGCAAGTTAAGTCTCTTTGGCTCAGTTTCCCCACCTGTAAAATAATGATAATAATAAGACATTCATTTTAGGATTGTGGCAAAGATGAATTAAAACATGTAATGTGTCGAGAATAGCGCCTGATACATAGTAATTACTTAATACCTTACTTCATGCAGAAATTGGCTGGAGTTACACATTTGGAAGTCATCAGGGTACAGGGGATAATTTAAGCCAGGGATGTTAGGATGCATTCAGCTGCAAGTAGCCAAAAATCCAACCAACAATAGCTTAATGTATTAATAAAGCCCTGTAATGATCTTGCATAGTTGGAATCATGGAGTTAGTTGGTTCTGAGGTTAGTCCAGAGTTCAATGATGTCATCAAGGACTCAGCCTCCTTCTATTTTTTATTCTGCCATTTTCTGCGTGTTGACTTTTTGCCCCCAGGCTTGTTGCTTCATGGTCTCAAGATGGCTGCCATAGCCTGAACTCCATGCCCTCACCCAGCCAGGTTCAAGGAAAGAATATTAAGCACAGAAAAAATTTTTACTTTGTGAGATTCTGTCTGATCATATGAAAAAATAATTCACTAGTGAAGGAAACTGGGATTAATATTCCTTCTTAGACCTATCATGATGTTACCTCAGATCTGAGGTAGGAACCTGCCTTCTCTAAAATCAATAGATCTCTATTCCTAAGAGCTGAACAAAATTTAGCTGTCACTTGTCACATTTGGGCAACATATTTAAGGGGGCTAGGAAAAGGAAAATAGACAGACAGTGCAAGATAATGAGAAAGCATATCATGGAAGTTGGAGGAAAAGAAGGAGGAAGTGTCAAGGAAATGATAAAAAGAAGAAAGTTTTAAGGAGGAGAGAAAGGTCACCACACTCAAATGCTTCAGTCTTCACTAGGATTGGAACTGAAAGGATCAACTGAACTGGTGATTGATAAACTGAGGAAGTGTAGTTTCAATGAGGTGGTAGAAAAGTGGGAGCCAGAGAGAACAGTCATAAAAAGCTGAATGAAGTGAGGGAGTATGACAGGGAGTGGAGGTAACTCTCAGTTGCTTGACTGTAAAGGAAAGCTAAAGTGATGGGAGCTAGAAGGGAACACAGGGTCAAGAGAAAGGTGATTTTTAAGACAAAAGAACCTTGCAGTGAATTTATAGTTTGTGGAGATAGAGGCAAAATAAAGGAAGATATTAAAGAGTTAGAAAAGCAGGGAAGAAAGGAGATGAAGATAGGACACGTAGGAAATGATAGAGTCAAGACCAAGGGCAATGGTCAGCCCTTGATAAGAAGAATAACATCTTTACCTCTGAGATGTCACAGTGAGAAGGTGTCATAGAATTAGGAGAAGGAAGAAAGGACAGGTATGGAAACAGATACATATTGTATTTTAGTTTCTGGAAGGTACTCAGAAGGATCTGCAGCCCGAAAGGCATGGGGAAAGTGCATAGCTCAAAAGAGCTTTCCATAAACAGAAAATCCAGTTATTCCCTGCTCTGGACATGGAGGGAATAAGGAAAAGGCCAAACTTCCCTATCTTTCTTGGGAGAGCTTAATATCAGTCCCTTAGATTCTAAATGAAAAATGGCCATCATAGCACCAGCCAGGCATACAGCAGGATTGTTTCTCCAGAAAAGGCCTCTTTGCCCAGAAAGGCATTTCCTCCCTTCAGTATCAAGGGAAGAGCCCAACACTCCTCTGCTGCCCATTAAGCCCTTGGCATTTCATCTAGGGGGAGCTTCTGGAGCCCTCACCATTGACAAGTATTCTAAGTGATAGCTTCATTGTTTCTGGTAGGTCAGGCCTCATGAGCCTTCCAATTAAAAGAGATCATTTTTCTTCCCACTCCCAACATGTTTTAGGGAAAATGCCCAAACCACTGGAGTCAGTACTGGCTCATCTTTCTCAGAAGAGATGCCTTCAGCCCAGTGTTCCTGTAAAATAGCCATAACTCAGATAAAATACTCTATCAGGGACCCCCAAAATGAACCATCAACAGAACTGGAATCAAAATGCAGTTGAAAACCAATTTTGTTGAAAATCAATTTTTACATGTTGGCTTGAATGTCCTCTAGGATGGGAGGGTTTTCAGGCTGTAATTTTCATCCCTTTGAAATACAGTGAATTTAAAGTGAATTAAAATGCACAGGGTTATCTGGGGGATAAAGTCACAGTGATAATAATAACTTTTATTTAAGATATGTTTTATAACATTTAGATTATTTTTGCCATACATTTCATCCTCCCAGCAACCCTGGGAAATAAGTGATCACTGTCTTCCTTTCAAAGACAAGCAAATGAAGACTGAGAGAGGTAATAAGATTCTCCTAAAATCCCAGAGAGAAGTATCACAATAAGGATCTGAACACAGGTGTTCTTACTTATTTCTAATAGCTCCAGTTTCCTCATCTTTGAAAACTGAAGTTATGGTGATAGATGCCTCACAAATAAAGACATACTATAATGAAGCACTTTAAAATGACCTCTTCAGTGCATTGTTGTTAGGGAAAATGTCGGAATAAGTTAAACAGAAAATTGTTGAGAAATTCTAGCAGGGAGCCAGTAGGGAGCCATGTGTGGAAAGGCACATGGGCCAAGATTCTTTGTTGCAAAGGATATAAACTGATTCTGGCTAAGTGAAGCAGTGAAGAAAATTTTTGGCCGGCCATTGAGTGGCTCCCAGACTTAGTGAGGAGGCTGGAGAGCCTGGTTTGAGCAAGGGGCAGGAGCTGAGGGAAACTAAGTGGCCATGTCCACAGCCGAGGGTGCATCACAGAAATAGCCTGCTTAGACACTGGACACAACCTCTGCCCACTGCTGGACCTTGGATGCCTGACTTCAGTCACCCAATTGAATTCCAAATATCAGTTGATTAGATGTACAATCTGGTTGGGAGTATCTAATTGTCCACCATGTCTATATACCAGCTTCCAAACGCAAAGAGTGAAAGTATCTATAAAGCCTCTTCCACTTCCATAGATTAACACAGAGCAAAATCACCAAATATGGAAAGGCACTTCAGATTCTGGGCAGTAAACAAAATGGTAAGTCCTCACGGCAATTCTTCTCTCTCTTTCTGAAAATACCCCGTATTTTATTCACAATTCTGCAACTCTCCAAATCTTACTTATTGAGAATGAAGATCCTGGAATGTTAATTTAACATTGGTGAATGTAGGTCTATCCCATCCAAGAACCTTCCCTAATGAATCTAGTCCTCACTAATATCCCAGTACCCTCTCCCTGAAAATAAGGCAAGGCACATCCTCTAGTTCACAGAATTAATGACTTGGCCACCTATCTTGCTGGTTCATTAATCGATTGATGGACATGGTAATACGAGAAGATGACCAAGGATCAAGTTCTGGTTTACCATCAAATTGATGTACTTCTGTAGGCAAAGTGCTATTATTTTAAGCTGCTGCTTTTTAAGAAACAGGATAGATGAGACCAAAGTTTTCCAACTTAGGTTTGATTAGAATCACCTGAGGGCGGGGGATTCAATAAATTTAAATTTCCAGGGTCCAACATAAACCTTCTAAACAAGCATCTTTTTTGCTTTGTTTCATTTTTTAGTTTTGCTTTAAGCTCACCAAGTTATTCTGATAATAAGCCAGGTTTGGGACTCCTGAACTGAAAGATTTCTTGTCCCTCTTAGCTTTTGGTATTGGTGAAATAGTAGTGACCAGCTGTTAAGAATTCCATCTCTGGGGTTAGAAAGCATCTGATTCTGATTCTGGCTGTGTAACTCTCTGGCTCTGAAACTACACACCATCTCTAAGCATTAGTTTCCTCATTTCAAAAATGGGAATGCACCTACCCACATGAGATATTTGCAATAATTAAATGAGATAAAGCACTGGATGCTCTGGGCTCAGTGTCTGGCCTGTGAACAACTCCCAGTAATTCTAAATGGATTATTATGAGGACAAAGGGAGGAGAACTAACTCATCCGGCTGGTGAGCGTGTGTTGGGGGAGGCTCAAGGAAAGCTGGTGGAAACATGACTTTCTTTTTTTTCTGTTTTTGTACTTGATTTAACTGTATAAAAATATAACCGATGAACTTAAAATGTTCAGGATGTTGGCGTTTTTCCCCCTTTTTTTGGCTGCAGCTTCTCAGAAGATGCGTTCCCAATGAAGAACCATCTCAGCGGCCCTAACCAGTAACTGACTCGCTGCTGTGTCTTGGCTCAGGCCTGAATGTGGTCCATAGTAAGCTGCTTTGCCTTAGTGACTCAGCATAGTAGGCCCTTTTTAATTTCTCTCTCATTCCTCAGCCAAGAAACTCTCCCACCTCTCTCTGCCGTATGCTACTGAGATTGCATTTTGTACCATCTACTGGGAGATAACACAGTTAAATTGATGCTAGGAACCTTATAAGGGTATAAACACTTCTTTGCAGGATGGACGTCATAATAACAAATCAAGGGCGAGTGCCAATAATAGATTTCTTTGGGTTTCTTTTTTCCTCTGCACATTCTTCAGGGCTCTTTGAGGGGGACTGAAATGACATGGCAGCCTCGAAATAGTCCAGGGAGTCAGACTGAGGAAGGAGTCTTGAACAGGCAGGCAAACCAAATACAGCCCACACCTTCTCGGCCCAAACTTGTCTCTTGGGCCTTTTTTGTAGCCCTTAGCTGGAGCAGCAGAAAGATGTCTTTGGTATCGGGCAGCTCTGCCTGACCTGGGGAAAACTATCTACTTGAGCTTCCTGTTCCTTATCTTTATGATGAGTGAGAGTGTCATGATAAAATGAGACAATATTGTAAGGCTACCTGACACACAGTAGTACCTGACACTCAGAATGTGTTCTCCCCTTTTGCATTCTTTCTGTCCTAAAGATGCCCCAAGGTGGCAGAATCAGTACATTTCAAATGTACAGCTACCACAAAGGAGAGATTCTAGATTGTTCCAACAGGAACGAATTCACTCCCCACAGAGAGTCTTGAGATAGGCTGTATGATGGAGTAAAAAACAGACTTGGCTCCGAGTCAGACTCTAACTCTAGTCCTCTTTTGTAACTTACCATAGTTTTGTCCTTGAACATATTATTCAGTTTCTGCATTTGCTGAGGACTTTCTATGTGCCAACACTGTACTGAATGCTTAACATGGCTTATTTTATTTAATCTTGCAGTGATCCATATAGACTAGAAATTACTATCCTCACTATACAGAAAATGGAACTGAAGAGCAGAGGAATCTGTTAACTTGCAGAAGGTCACATCGGCAATAAAGGGTAAAGCTCCCATTTGAACCCAGTTCTGCCAGACCCTGGAGACTATGTTACTAATCACCATGGCACCTGGCTCCCACTTGCTATTTCTGAGCTCATCTTCCCCATCTGAAAAAAAAAAATAACCCATGCCTACCTTCCAGGATTTCTAGAGAGGAGCATATGAAACCGTGGATCGAAGGGGCTTTGTACATTAAAAGAAATGTAAAAAATTTTTACTTATGATCACAAAAGCTGTAATGGTCCCTTTGGTCCCTAGAAAACAATCTTTATCCCAAGAAAAATCGGAACTGTAAGGCTGACGGTTCTTGTCTGCACCCAGCAATGTGAGACTGAGAACAAGGTGGCTTTTGCAGATACACGATCGTATATTGAGTAGGGTAGAGTACACACTAAATCTGTATTTATACTTGGGAAACCACGCTGTGCTTAAATTAGCATTTGAAGAATAAAAGCTTCTCTAAGATAGGCTGCCCTTCTAAGCAACACAGACTAACATTTCTATCACTACAGACAACAGTGTTTTGAAAGCAGTTGCTGGATGCCTTGAATTCATCCTACAACCTTATCCACCCTTCTCCAATCACATCTCCCAACCCCACACCATTGGTAGCCAGCATCCATCTTAAATGGAAGCTCTTTTCCAACATTTGTGGCCCAAATAAGCTATACATAATAAGGACCATCACAAACTTTTTTCAAGATCCTCTAGTTTATTCAATGGTATGTTACACAGAAGTCCACAAGATGAGTCACAATAGTGGCCTAGAGGGGTTTAATTAATCAGAGATGCCCAAGGCATCATCACACTGGCAAAGAAATCAATTTTCCAAATTCAGGAAAACTACAGAAATAGCATCCAACCTTGGCCCTCAGCTGTGTCCTAATTTACAAAGGTCACTTCCCCTACTGCCTAGTGACCCCAAAATTCCACCTGGCCACTTTTTTGGGCTTTGCACAGATCAGCATTTGCTCTGGGGAGTCATCCTTCTCTGGCCTTTTTTTCCCCCAGACACCCACACATGCATTCCCCCACAAGCCCCCCCACCACACACACACCATGCACTCCACCAATTCCCATGGCAATGAAACAAGAGGGAAAAAATAAAAAAGCAGTCCAGAAACTGCAGAAGAGCCCTCTGACTCAGTTCCCCGATTCTTCCCAGATCTACAGCTCTTATATCTCTCCCAGCCCTTAGATTTCTGTAGTTCTGAGAACATTCTATACATTTAATTGACAGATGAAGGGTGATTTGAGTTGAGAATAATTAACCAAATAATTGAGCCCCACAGTGAATAACTAAAAGAGATGCTAATTTTAAAGCAACCATGTGGCCTCCGGAGTAAACAGAAGCCACTTCTGACTTTCAATCCAAAAATCACCTTTGCAATAAAATAGTACAGATGTGGGAAAAAAAAATTAGCCAGGCATGGTGGCAGGCACCTGTAGTCCCAGCTACTCAGGAGGCTGAGGCAGGAGAATGGCATGAACCCGGGAGGTGGAGCTTGCAGTGAGCCGACATCACGCACGCCACTGCACTCCAGCCTGGGCGACAGAGTGAAGACTCTGTCTCAAAAAAAAAAAAAAAAAGTATAGATTGTGGGAAGCAAAAAAAGAAGAGGGAAAATGAGGGGAAATATAAATATTAAATATTTTTCTCACTTCCTGAATAGCTGTTATTGGGGCTGAATAAATAAATTAAAGTACACCCATAAAATGGAAAATTGTGCGGCCTGTAAAGAATGAGAGAGAGCTCTAGGTAGTGACAGGGAAAAATGTGTAAGATACATCGTTATGAAAAAAGGATTTCAGAGCCACACTATTGTATTAGTTCACTTAGGTAAAATATCGCATGTAGAAAAAGCATGCTTTTACTTATATTAGCATACACGTATAGAAAAAATGTTGAAAGAATATAAACTAAATGACTTCCAGTGGTTATATCTGTGGAATAAGATTATGGAGAAGTCATTTGTTTTTGTAAAGTTTCTTTTTTAAGAGTGAGAATCTACTACATTTATAATCATAAAAAAAGATAAGGCAAGTAAAAGTATCTTCCTCTGATCTAGGGGAACTGATAGCATTGAGATTTGGAGGACAACTGTAATGACATCTACAATAGCATGCCCTGGGGCCTTCATCTCCCTGTATAAGCAGATATATCTGGAAACCCAGACATGCCACATTCTAGCCACATCTCTTTTCTTCTATTTTTGAAAAACCCAAAAAAACCACAGTGACTTATGTTCATTATTTCTAGTCCAGTACTGGCCAAGTGGGTGGGTGGCAGAATTCCAGGACCTGATGGATGACAAGACTTTGGATGGCCAAAATGTTAAAGACCTTATCCTTCGTCTTCTCCTTTTGTGGTATTTTTTTCCCCTTTTATGCTGGCAAAACACATGTATAGAGTTGTAATAATGAGTCATCCGTCATCAGTCTGTAACATTGCCAAGGACCAGTCCTCCTGTCTAGTGTGGACTCTGGGCCCTTCTCAAAAGAGAATGGCATCTGAAACATATGAAATATTTTGACTGAGAAGAAACGTGAGGGGGAACACTTGATCTGAGGTTTTTGTTAACCCAATTTCTTGGCAGAACTTCTGATTAAAGAAGGAAAGCCTCCCTCTTCTTTGGACAGCCAAGAAGCTATTTAAATGTTTGAAGAAATTATTTAAATGGGTTTAAAAATATGACAACAAGGAGCCATATTGTATGTTAAAGTCTTTTGTTGTGAACACCTTTTTGGTGGATCTACAAAAAACTCAAGGACCTCCTTTTTCTGAAGTCCACCATATCTACTTTGGGCAGCCATGTTTGTTCCCTTTGGCCATCACACAGCCTCCTGGCCCAGTTTCACAGAGGATGGGCAGCTGACCCACCAGGGACAATCAGATTTTCCTGGGAATTTGTGATGGGAATTCAGATTCAGCAAGTTAGTGTTTGAGGCTAGAGTGAACAAGCACAAAACTCAGGAGCTGTGGCCATATCATGTACAACAACCAGCGAAGTAAGCCAATCTTCAGAAAGGATGAAAACAGAGCAGATGCCCAGAGAGAAGAGATATCACAATAAGATACCATAGGGCCCCAGACCCAAATACACACTACCTGGCTGTATCTTATTCCAGGGTTCTTTAAGAGCTCCCTCCCCTGCCACGTATCCCTAAGATACATTCCCCATTTTGCTTACACCTGTTTGAGCAGGCTTCTCTTACTAGAAACCAAAAGAATCTCAGCTAAGGCAACACGTGACAAAACTGTGATATCTGAATAAATTCTGTGCCTCAAGATAGATACCTTCAGGGACTAAACACTCAATATCACTGTTCATCAAGCCAGTTTGAAATTTCTCTCTGAGAATGGCTTTCAAAATCAGTATCTGGGCCCATCCCATTATTAATTATTATTATCATATGATTTAATTACTACATTTATTGGACGTTTACTTTGTCATGCCCAGCCATGAGAACTTTACCTGCACTATCCTATTAATTTCCACAGTCACCGGAGAGGTAGGTTCTATTATTATCCCCATCTTATAGGTGACAAAACTGAGACTCAGTGAGGTAGAGCAATTTGCCAAAGGCCATACAGTAATAGCAACAGCATTTGGAATCTAGGCCCATGTGGCTTAGGCCATGAACTCTAAATCTCTATGCTGATCTGCCTTACATCTTTTTTACTGAAAGCTGTCATCATAGGCTTGATCAACTGTAATAGACATGAACCAACATGACACCCTGGAGGATGCATGTGATGTTGAAATCATACCCATGCTCTGTTCTCACTCATAAGTGGGAGCTGAACAATGAGAACACATGGACACGGGGAGGGGAACGTCACACACCGGGGCCTGTCGGGGGTTGGGGGCAAGGGGAGGGGGAGCATTAGGACAAATACCTAATGTATGTGGGGCTTAAAACCTGGATGACGGGTTGATGGGTGCAACAAACCACCATCGCACATGTATACCTATGTAACAAACCTGCACATTCTGCACATTATCCCAGAGCTTAAGGCATAATAAAAAAATAATAAAAAATCATACCCATGCTGCAGGTTCTGAGATTTATTGCCACTGGTACAAGTCAAAAGAATGTGCCAATGGTGTAGCCACTGTGGGAAACAATATGGCAACCCCTCAAAAAATAAACATAGAATTGTCATATGATTTATCAGTTCTACTTTTGGTTAAATATACAAAAGAGTTGAAAACAGAGACTTGAACACAGATTTGTATGCCGGCGTTTAAGCAGCATTATTCACAATAATCAAAAGATGGAAGCAACCCAAATGTCCATCAATGGATGAATGGAAAAGCAAAATGTGGTACTTGCATACAATGGAATATGAGCCTTAAAAAGAAATAGAATTCTAACACATGCTACAACATGGATGAACCTTGAGGACCAACTGCCATGTAAAATAAACTAGATACTGAAGGACAAATATTGTATTATTCCGCTTATATGAGGTATCTGGAGTAGTCAAATTCATAGAGACAGAACATAGTATGGTGGTTGCCAGAGGCTGTGGAGAGGGATAAATGGAAAGTTATTACTTAATGGGTACAGGATTTCAGTTTGGGAAATTTTTTAAGTTCTGGAGATAGATGGTGGTAATGGTTGTACAACAATGGGAATGTATTTAATGCTATTGAACTATATATCTAAAAATGGCTAAAATGGTAAATTTTATGTTGTGTCTATTACAATTGAAAAAAGGATGTACCACATGCTTTGGCCAATATTGGAGCTCCAGGATAATAGCTTTGAACAAAATTCATTCAATTCAATTCTAAGGCTATTTACTGAGTGTCTATTGTGTGTAAGGCCCACTAGAGGTTATTCAAAGAAATGAGGAATCAATGAGACCTGTGTAATCCTCAAGGAGCTCAAACTCTAGAGAAATCTCAGAAAGTACACAAACACAAGACAAAGCATGATTAAAGCCATAAATAAGAAACAAATACCCTGGAGGATTGAGAAATCAAGGAAAACATTATTGTAGATTTGACAATTGAGATGAGCTTTTGGGTATTGGTAGCATTGCAATAGGAAAAGAGCATGCTAAGCAGAGAGAATATGGGTTAAGGCTATGAGCCAATTGGAGGAATAGCAAGTGCAAGATGGGATGAAAATCAGAACAGAAAAGATAACGATTAACATTTATTTGAAATTTATGATCTGCCAGAAACCAGGCATGGTGTTTTACACATATCTCATTTAATCTTCACAGCAGTCTTAGGTAACATTATCGAAGACACTTCTGGTCGCCTACCCAACAGCTTTTTTCGTCCTCCTCCCTTGCCACCAAGACCTGATTTAATTTTGGCTATTCCCCGTGGACAGACCTGTCCTGGTAGAAGAGCACCTCCTCAGTTCCAGGAGATGTCTTTATTCATCTAAGCCTGTAACACTAATTCTAATCCTGCTGGCGTAGATTGTTTGAGCTAAGGGCAAGTTGAGATTTGACCAAAAAAGAAATTATCACCCTCCCCACTTGGATGTTGGCCAGAGGACTTGTGGAAAGGCTTTATTCCCTGATTAAAAAAACAAAAACTTCACAAAGAGAATGACCCCTCTTTCTGCATCTGTTTAAGAATGTGAAGCCTGCGGCTGGCTGTGGTAGCCTTCTTGGGACCATAATCATATGAGTCTAAAGATGAAACTAACTCACTAAAGATGAGAGAAAGGTGAAGGGAAGCCGCTGACTTTAAGCCTCGGAGTTAATCAACCCTGAAACCACTTTCCTCTCTATTTCTTCTTATTTAAGATTATATATATATATATTTACATTTAAGCCACCTTAAGTTGGTCTTCTGTTAATTGCAGGCAAAATTTTACATATGAGTTTCCAAGTAGGTAGGGGATATATTGCCTATAAGTTAATGGTCAATATGTCTGTCTCTGGATTAGAAGAATACTGAGCAGGGTGAGGGCGGGGGCAGGAGTTAAAACAGTAGTTTGGAACCTCAAACCACAGGGTGAAGTGGGTGTGGGGCAAATTGGTGGGTGAAGGGGGACAATTCTCTGGCTATGTGAGCAGCTAAGGAATGCAAAGCATCAGTTGCATTATTTTAGAGTCACATCTCAGTTGTCTACACCCTGGGGGAGGGAAAGTGACGGTGTTTCCGTGGTGACTCAGCCCTTCCCCTCGAAAACCCAAGGAAACATCAAGTGTGTCCTTGTAGGCAACCTTCCCTCTGCCACGGCTGTGTTTATACAGGGCAGTGCTTGGAAGGCCTCGTTCTTCCTTTACGCTTGACTTGTTGCAATGTCTCCCACCTCCTCAACTCTCACGGTGTGGGGGACCAAATGTCATTCCAACCCTCTCCCTCTGCCTCCCACACGTTTCCAGGCCTTTGAAGCAGCCGCCAAGGTGGAGTGACCTCTCTCACCAGTATTTTTACCACCTATTGAGAGGAGACTAAAATTGTCTTATATAAAAATACAGCTCCCCAGGCTGGGGGAGGATAGACAAAGGTTTTAACATGAGGCAGCCAAGGGAGTTAGAAAAACCTCTATTTGCATTCCAGCTCAGACACCATGAGCTGCATGACCTTGGGCAAGTCACTTGACTTTCCTGAAACTCAGTGTTATTGTCTGAGGAATGGGAGTAACATCACGTGTTCTGCTTATGTCAAGGAGTTAATGTGAAGTTTTTTTTTTCTTTTTTTGCCTCTTTTTTTTCTTCCTTTTTGTGGAGAACAGGGTCTCACAATCACTCTCGAATACAACTGTTGTGCCATCCAGGGAACTGGACCTTGAGGGGCTAGGATTAAACAGAAATGTTCGTGTGGGTCAGTGGGAAAAAGGCCAGAAACAAGAATTTAGTACACCCAAGTGGGGTGGATCCCTAAAAGGAACCTGGGAAAACAGAGGGGCACATACTCCCTGGGAAAGGAGAGGGTATATCTAATTGGCTGAATTTCTTCTGCAAGGATGGACCACAGGCCTGGGGTGAGCATTATTTCATCCGACTATTCCATCAACATTGTGAGAAGAGCATTTTCATATCCATTTTATAAATAAGAAAAGTCACACCAAGAAAGCAAAGGTACCAGTTGAAGATTGATTCTGGCCTCCTCACAACTCAGGTTATGAGGTATTTTTTTCTGGAAGGCTTAAAGGTTTCTGAAGCCCTTTTTGGCTCCTTAAGAGGAATGAAAGAGAACATGACCTTGGAAAGTGATCTTTTAGCATTATGGGAATTTTCGTGCCTATGGTGGCAGCCCTATTCTAAGCAGAGGGTTCTAGAGCGTACATAGAAATAGTGCCAAAAGTGACTGAAATGTGGATGTTCTATAAATAGTGATGAATGATGAATAAAATGAACCCACATTACAGTTCAAGCAACTTTCAAACTGCATAGCCTCAGACAAGTTATTGAAAAGATACAAGCTTCATTTCAACTGGAAAATGAGAGCTGACTTATGTCTCCCTTAGGTCTATCTAATGGGGTCTGTGTTATAGCCATAGGGTGAGAACAATCAATTTTGAGAGGTAAGTCAGGACCACAGCTGGAAAATGGAACAATCACTGGATGTGAGTATCAGGAGACCTTGAGTCCTCACTCTTCTCATTTGTAAAATGGAAGATTTTACTAATCCATGGTTTTCATTTTTTGTTGTTGTTCTTAGGCAGCAGCTGAAAGGTGTTGCTACCTGCAATCTGACATAGAGCCCCAAATTATTAGGTAAGTAAGTATGCTACACAGATGAAAATGCACAGGAATACAGAGCTCTTCCAATGGGACCAAAGCCTTGTTGCCCTTCCATCTCTCCTACCAAGGCCACTTTGCAAGATATGGAAGCCCACGATCTCTGTGCAGTCTCCCAGACTTGACTTTTTTTCCTAAGGAAAGATAGATTTCCTGGGGACTTCCAATGAACCTTTCTGTGTGCTTTCCATACCATTACTCCTTATCCTCACAATAACCGTATGCAACAGGTATTATTATTAACCTTTTTTTACAGAAGAAACTGAGGCACAAAGAGCTTGATTAACAAACCCAAGAATGAAGACTTCTTGCAATGAGTGCCTCCTTCCAGAATGACAAGAGATTTCAGATACTCAGCGATATCTAGTCTCCTAACCCAAAGGGAACTAAAATCAAGCAGAGAATAGTGTCTTGGTTTTGAAGGAAATGCCAGTCACAGGTGAAATGTTGTTTTTCAGAAAAGCTTTTCCATAATAGTCCGTTTTGAGAGCTAAGCCAAGTTGGTTACATGGCCTTGGTGTCTGGGTAGCACAGAGAGATGTCTAGAAAAACCCATGACATCACAGGCTCGTGACATCAAATGTGTCAGAACTCTGCCATGTGGACTGACACAAAGGATCTATGTGCACGAACAGAGCCACTCTTTAAGCATTTGGGGGGAGAACGACTTTCCTGGTGGCTCTAATGAGTGTGGACGTGTCAGAAGCCTGGACCATACCCTTGTCTTAATGTGCGAACTTGGATAAATGAGTGTCTGTGTGCCTCCGAGAAGTAGTGAGAAAAGAAACAAAGCTGTTACAGCACAAATGAACAGCCCAAGTTTCTGTTAATCCTATGGAATACACAGAGACTTACTTAGAAAGATATGTTCCAAGCATAAGGATTCTGCTCTCGAGAAGTAGCCCAGTGTCTTTCCATTATACTCTGAGGACAGCATTTTTGTGGCAGAAAATATGACTGATTGTTCATTCTGGTGTCGTTTTTCGACCACCTGCCATGTGCCAAGCATTTGTTCAAACCTTCACTTAGTATTCACTGAGGATCTCAGTAGTACTTTCTTAATCAAGAAATGTTTGTTGAATGCTTATCTTATAGCAGATATAGTGAGAGTCTTTCCCTGGTTCCTTCTTTTATCCAATCAAAAACTATTTGTTGAGTTCCCATTGTATGTTCAACTTCTAAATATTCACTCCATAGAGATTTTTTAGGTCTCTACTATGTGCTAGGTATTGCACATTAGGGCTGGAGACACACATGATTCAGACAGTGTCCCCTTTCTCTGACAACTCAAAGCCTATTGTCTTTGCTTTCTATAAGTCCAATTGTCCCATGGCCAATAGCCACCTAAAAGCAAAACTTCAACGGTAATATTAACACCTTGGATCCTTGAGATATCCTCCATGCATAAATGCACATCTGTAAAGATATCAACTTTAAGCAGAAACTAATACAACTGTGATTTTGTCTACATTAGAGACTTAAAGCATATTTGTCTCATGAATGCTTGCCTCCCTATTATAAGGGAACTAAAAAATAAGAAATGAATTGATGTTGCCATAAAAACCAAAACAGAAAGGAATAAGGAGGAATTGGAAAGGCCAGTTGACGTAATTTCCCCATCAATATTCATGGTTAAATTGACCAGATTGCTATAGCATAATTTTAGGAGTTTGCTGTTTGGGGTTTTGTCTGTATGTGCTCAGGGTGTACAGTTCCAAGAACAGCTGTGACTCGACTTCAGAAGTATATGTATTTATATATTTCCATCATCGTCTACTCCATCACCATCAAATGTCAGTTCTCTTCCATGAAGGCAGTGGGGCTCATGTGATTTGCTGAGCCCACAATTATTCATCCTTCCTGATGTCCAAGCCAGGCTTTTGACAGCCCACATCCAAAGTCCACGAAGCTGCTATTTCCAAGGTAGAAAAAGATGGGGCTCATCAAGGTCAGCTAGAGCCAGTATCTCTGAGTTGAAGCCACCAGAATGAAAGAGCATCTACTTCCCCTTTTGAGGGTACCCTTGATGTCAAGACCCACCATTCATCATTTCCAAATGTGGAAACTTGGCATTTGTTTCAGAAAATGCCAAATGTGTTTTCCTTGCATATCTGCTGGCACATCAGTGATCTGTCCTTAGTTAGATCTCTTCGAAAAAAGGAAAGATGCAAACAGATCTTTCTGTCTCTTTTTTGCTAGATGATTTTGGATAAATTACTTAAATGTCTGTGCCTCAATAAATGTATATAAACAATAGAAGCAATGATACTGAACAGAATTATTATGAAGATTAAATACAGCATCTGGCATAGTAGGTAACAATACAATTACAAATACTATTATTAATACTATTTATAGGGTGCTTATAATGTGATATTTGGCAATAAATGTTAGTTCTTTCTATCTGAACTATGTTACCTTTCTAAAATGTAACTTTCTTATCTGTACAACAAGCCTAATAATATTTTACGTGTTTGTTTTAATGCAGTGGTTCTCAACCTTGAGCATGCATCAGAATTTCCTGGAGAGCGTCTTAAAACATCAATTGGTGGGTTCCACTCCTAATGTTTTTGATTACGTATTGATAGGTCTAAGTTAGAAACTGAGAATTTGCATTTCTAACAATTTCACAGTTGTTTCTGATGCTAACAGTCCAGGGTCACACTCTGAGAACCCCTACTCTAAGGATTAAATGTATTAAGCATATTTAACACACATTTATTTAGTGCCTACTGTGTACTAGGAACTGTTTTCAGTATGAAAGAAAAAGCAGTGAACAAAACAAAGCCCCTGCCTTCATGAAGCTTTCATTCTAGTGGTGGCGATAGACAATAAATAAACCCATAAATAAACAATAACATTTCAGATTATGCTAAGTTCTTTGAAGAAAATAAAGCAGGTTAGGGAATAGTGAGTGACTGAGTCGCACTGAGAAATATTATTTCGGATTCAGCAGTAGTTGGGGAAGGCATCTCTGAGGAGGTCATATCTGATCAAAAACGATAAAAAGAGAAGACATCTGATTTCGGGGAAGTGTACTCCAAGAGGAAAGAACAACAAGTGCAAAGATCCCAAGGAAAAAGAAAATATAATTGGACTTACACTGTTCAAAGAACATTCCAGCTACAGAGCAGAACAGGAATGGAAGCAGGTGATAAGTTAGGTGACTGCTGAGATCTTGCAGGTGAGGGATGATGGAGGTGTGACCTGAGGTAGTGGCAGAGGAGGTGCTGAGAAGTGATCAGATTCACATTGTACTTTAAAAGTCAAGCTGACAGGACTTGCTGTTGGGTTGGAGGTAAGGCGAGGGGAAGAGAAAAATCAAGAATGGGTCCTGAGATTTTTGGCCTGACTTAATAAACTATGATAATCTCTAAGAAAGTATTCGGCACATAAGGGTTCAATACTCATCTATGTATGTTGGAATCAGAAAGTTTTCAGTTTAGAAATTCCAATGATGCCCTAAATGGTCACACAACCCATGCCCTGCACAACTCTAGGGGGCACTATTATATAGACTGTGATATGAATGGGGTTGTGTAAAGAGGTTCTTTTGGAAAAGGTTTGACTTTCACAACTCTCTGACTCTGTATCAATATTATCCTTAGATTTTTTTCATCTTTCTTCAGCCAAATATCACTCCAATAAACTGAGTTGAACATTCATCATGAAAGCCACTGTGCCAGAGGCTGAGCATGTGTCATTCATTTGGGAGTATTTTAGAACTCAAAGACTTACATTTGGAGTATGAGCTTATACCAAGAAAGAGAGTCATCATGTCATCAGTGATCAATATTAATGTTGAAGGGTTCTTTCTTGACATTTCCCCAAGATTCCTTGCTCAAGAATATTGGGTCAGTTGCACCCCCTTGATTATGGGGGTAGCATTAGAATGATCGTGATATGTAACCTAGTCAAGTACCACCACCCTGGATGTCCACCCCCTCCTGAGTGGAGCTGGCAAGCTTGACACTGCACCAGCAGAGATAAAGATGCATGCATTCTGTGGGAGCAATCACGTCTGGACCCTAAATCTCTCCAAATATCATCAAGAAAGAAATATGACTCATGGAAATTCAGTTGTATTTTTTAAGTTTATTCTTGTTGATTATAGCTTAGGAGATTCAGTTTGTGTTTTTCATGCATCAAAATTATAAAGAGAGCAGAGTTTGTCACCACCAGCTTCCTTAGCCCACGTTGCTCTCTGTGCCTGCTTATTGAATTTACTCTGCATCAGTTCCCCATTCCTCTGCCCCCTGATCTTACCCAGTTGCCCATGCTCCAGATCTGAATTTAGCAACCCCATCAGCAGTTATTCATTGAGAAAGTATTATAGATCATTATAACACATACAGTGTTTCACACAGCACACATGCTGGGTACTGCCCTAGTCTATAATAGCCAATATTTATTGAGTCCTTATTATTTGTCAGGCACTGTGCCAACTGCTTTCAGTAAATTATCTCATTTAATCCTCATGGTAATCCTATAGTTTTAGTTCTATTATTATCTCCATGTACAAATGAGAAACCTGAGAAGAGGTGAAATAATGCCTAAGATTACCCAGGAGGCTTATAGCAGGATGGGATGAAAACCCAAACCTTTCTGACTCATAGTCCATGTTTGTTGTTGTTGTTGTTTGTTTTTGTTTTTTGTTTGTTTGTTTGTTTGTTTTTTGATATGGAGTCTTGCTCTGTCACCCAGGCTGGAGTACAGTGGCACGATCTCAGCTCACTGCAACCTCCTGCCTCCTGGGTTCAAGCAATTCTTCTGCCTCAGCCTCCCGAGTAGCTGGGACTACAGGCACGCACCACCACACCTGGATAATTTTTTGTATTTTTAGTAGAGGTGGGGTTTCACCATATTGGCCAGTCTGGTCTTGAACTCCTGACATTGTGATCCACCTGCCTCGGCCTCCCAAAATGTTGGGATTACAGGCATAAGCCTCCGTGCCTGGCCAAGCCCATGGTCTTAAACACTACCATACTGCCTTGCAAGACAGGAGCAAACTAACATTTATGAAGCACCTATCATATACCATGTTCTTTACAAATACCATCTTATTTTATCCTCACAGTACCTCTTCAAGATGGATATCATTACCACATATATGGAAACAAGTATCTCAGAAAGGTTAAGAATCTTACGTGAGATGCACAATGACTTTGCCAGTGACTGAGGCAGGATACAAAACCAAGTTTCCTGGATGCCAATGCCCATGGGCTTTTCATGCACCAAACAGCCAAACTTCATAGCTTCATCAAGGAGCTATGGTTTCTGAAGGCTTCTCTGAAGGTTGGATAGGATTTCAACAGGTGCAGATAGAGAGACTGTCTCTGAATACAAATAACAGCATGAGTAGGCCGGGTGCAGGGGCTCACGCCTATAATGTCAGCATTCTGGGAGGCTGAGGCCAGCACATCACCTGAGGTCAGGAGTTTGAGACCAACCTGGCCAACATGGTGAAACTCCATCTCTACTACAAATAAAAAAATTAGCCAGGCATGGTGGCATGCTTCTGTAATCCCAGCTACTTGGGAGGCTGAGGCACGAGAATCGCTTGAGCCCGGGAGGAGGAGGTTTTAGTGAACCAAGGTGATGCCACTGCACTTCAGCCTGGGTGACAGAGGGAGACTCAGTCTCAAAAAAATAAATAAATAAACAAACAACAGCATGTGTAGACAAAGCAGCCAAAACGTGAATCCCTTTGCTAGGATACACGTAGGAACAATCAATGGTCTTGTTTCTCAGAAATGCTAAACCAAGGAGAAGACATCCTCACTTTCTATACCTCTATACATCTTGTCTACGCTCACCATTTGAAATCCTTCAATGACTTTTTATAGTACAGTGCTTGCATGATAGGTTTCCTGTCTGCTTCTCTTTCTTCATGGAATTTGTTTACTCACTCTACTCCAGCCCCACTGACTTCCTTCTGATCTTCAAATTTATCTTTTGCCTTGTAGGCCTCTTGCATTTGTTCTTCACTGTGCCAGTAACTTCTTTTTTCCTCATCTTCCCATGACAGGGTTTAGCTCAAACATCATGTCTTCTGAGAGGCCTTCTCTGGCCATATGTCACTATGATATGTCATTATGACTTTCTGCTTAAGTGTTACTTGAATAAAGAGGTCCATACATTCTCATCCATGTTTGCAATTTAAGAGAAAAAAAATACAGTTATAGGCCTTTTTCCAAAGTTGGCTTATCTGCAGATAGATCAGTTCTGCCCAAGTACTGAAATCAGCATTCAGCTGAATCTTCAGACACTTTCAAAGCAGCTTCTTGACATATGAAGTGTGAAACTGAGAGCAATTTTGGTGAAAAATCAAAAATCAAGTAACAAATCCCATTAGAAGAAAGTGATTTTAAGTATTCAGGCTATAAAATCTTGTTTTGACAGTTTACAAAGACAAAAGAACTGCTGTTCTTTAACCTAAAACGTTGGTCCTGCTGACCTGAAATCATACCCACATCCCAAAGGTTTGGAACAGCCCCCAGTACTCCCATAAGGACAGAATTCATGAATCCCTTTGCTAGGATACAGAAGGGTCTCTTTTCTGTAGGTGGTTCACACTGCAACACACTCTAACATTCTCTGGACCTGAATTCTTTCACTTATTACAAGCCTCTTCCTTATTTTTGGATTACAGGGGATAGGGGGACATTTTCTTGTACAAAAAAAAACAGAGAGAGAGAGATTACTATTGGCCAAAAGACATCCCCAATTTCTCAAGGCTATATTATTTTTCTGTAAAATGCAATACAGTATCAAGTCTCTTTCATTTGAAAGTGATTGAGACCCAACTAAAAATGACCTCAGCTATATATATATAATTTATTGACTTGTATAATTCAGAGGTGCACAAATATTTTGGCTCCAAAATCCCTTTACACTCTTAAAAATTACTGATGACCTCCCAAAGACCTTTTGCCTATATGGGTAATATTGATCAGTATTTACCAGATTAGAAATTCATACTGATAATCATTTCTAAATATTTACTTATTCACTTAAAAATAGCAACTATACACCCATTATATGCTTATCTAATAGCATATTTTATTTTTAAAGTAGCTATATATTCCAAAGTAAAAATATATCATGAGAAGAATGCCATCATTTTACATTTTTGTAAATCTCTGTAATGTCTAGCTTAATAGAAGACAGCTACATTCTTCTATCTGCTTCTACATTCCATCAACTGCACTGTCACATACAACTTAGCCTGTAAAGCTCCACCATATGCTCCTGAGGGGATGGCAGTGAAAAATATAAATAACATCTTATTATTGTGAAAATAATTTTAACCCTTTAGACACCTAAGAGGCTCTCAGGGATCCCCAGGGTTTCTCGGACAACAATTTTTAGTTACATGCCAGTGTGTATTTTTCAGAGATAGATCTTGGGTTCAGGTATAGCTGAATCCAAGGGCTTAGGAGGTATCATCAAACATCTGTCTATATCTTTTGGCTCTTCTTTGCTCTGAGTTGGCTTTGTTCCCAGGCTAATTCTCTCCCATCAGCAGCAAACATGGCCATTCACAGCCCCAGGCTTATATCTGAGTAAATTAGTAAACCCGTGGTAAATACTACCTCTTTTCTGGGAGTGCCAACCAAAGTCCTAAGTCTGACTCTCATTGGACCACTTGAGTCATGTCCTTATCCTCCAAGCACAATGTCACAATAGGGAATAAGACATGCTAAGCAACCATGTCTAGATTGCCTGCTCAACCTCGAGCTGAGGAAATGGGTTCAGTACCCTTTGAACCGCATGCACAAAGAGAGATGGCTTTCCAAAAAAAAAAAGAGTTGTCATCATAAAAAGGGAGATGAGCTGGAAGTGGTGGCTCACACCTGTAATTACAGCACTTTGGGAAGCCAAGGTGGGAGGATTGCTTGAGCCCAGGAGTTCAAGACCAGCCTGGGAAGGTGAGACCCTGTCTCTACAAATAAAAAATTGAAAAATTAGCCAGATGTATTGGCATGCACTTGTAGTCCTAGCTACTGGGAGGCTGATATCTGGGGATTCCTTCAGCCCAGGAGTTCAAGGAGGCTGCAGTAAAGGGGTTGTGAATCTGTCACTGCACTGTAGCTTGGGCAACAGCCTGGACAACAGAGGGAGAGTCTCAGAAAAATAATTTTAAAAAGGAGATGAAAATAAGTGGTCAATTGCACTATTTGTTTCTAAGATGATAAGCTACTATAATGAGAAGAAAGGTGTGCATATTTTCCCTCTTCCCATTTCTCATTCATTCAGCCTATATTGAGTACTTGCTCTATACAAGTCCCTGTGCTGGGCACTAATGATAATAAAAAACTAATGACATAGCTGATGCTCATGGAGCATTTCCTATGTGCTAGGTACTTTTTTAGGAGCTCTGCAGGTATTAACTCACTTAATCCTCACAACAACTTCTGAGGAGATACTATTTTAATCCCTAGGGACAGAGTAATGAATAAGGCAGTGCCTATCTCTGGAGCAGCTGACAGAATTTGGGGCAAGTTATTGATTTCCAAAACAGGGAGAGAAGTCTTACTAGAGTGATAAGAACAAAAAGGCTGAGGGTGCCTGGAGAAAGAAGAAACTAACTCTGAAAGAGTTTGGGAAGGCTTCATGGTAGAATAAAAAGAATATGCAATAATATTGGGGCTTGAAGATAGGTTCTGGAAATGGAGAATTTAGTGTCACTGAAGGGAAATCAAACCAAACTCTTATTTATTTATTTATTTATTTATTTGATAGGGTCTAGCTCCATCGCCCAGGATAGAGTGCAGTGGTGTGATCATGGTTCACTGTAGCCTCTACCTCCTAGGCTTAAGCTATCTTCCTGCCTCAGCTCCCCCTGTAGCTAGGACTACAGGCACATGCCACCTTGCCTGGCTAATTTTTAAATATTTTGTAGAGATGGAGTCTCACCTTCTTGCCCAGGCTGGTCTCAAACTCCTGGGCTCAAGCAATCATCCCACCTCTGCCTAACAAAGTGCTGGGATTACAGGTATGAGCCACCATGCCCAGCAGCTTTTTTGTCTTAACCAGGAACCATGCCGAACATTTGGCATACATTATCTCAGTTAATTTCCCCCATTTCATATTATTAGCCTTTACAGCAGAAGAGTGAAAATTCAAACAGCAGAGCTAATAAGAAAGTGAGCCAAAATTGAATCCAGGTCTGTCTGAAAAGAGGGGTATATATGAAGAGTATGGGCATCCAAGATGGGAGGAAAGATTGTAAAGAGGCTGAGGAAACGTTGTTCCCTTTACATGACTATTGGAGAAAGATGGAGCTTCTATATACACAGCCACAGGATTTGCCAAACCAGAGAGATACAGTTATTTATAGTTACATAGCTTGACAAAGGGTTTTTGAAAAGTTTGTGAATTTACTTATACCTTTACAAGTTCTAAAAATGAATTTCCATTTAGGGACGCATTTAACACAATGCCAATGTAGAAAATATAAAATTACATGAAATTCTAACTCTACTGGAAAATCTGGGATCGGCCTAGAGCAAACACATTGATATGCTAGCTTCCTCTCAATTAAGCCTGGGAAATGTGATTGACTGTGACTCTATGCTTACAAAAAGATTCTTTCCCCCTTATTCAATTCAGTAAAGACATAGACATGGGTAGCACATGGGCGCAGTGATTAACAAGAGTGGTTGCCTCCAGAAATTAAACTCAGAAGTAGTAACGAAAGAGAATATCTTAAAATTTTTTAACTAAATCCACCTTGAAAACATCACACCTCTCTACTCTTTTGTCTATAATGATTTGCAAAGAACATATGCTTAATTCTAATCGCAATATGGATCCAACATAAAAAGCCAAGATATCTTTCTAATGTATCGACCCAATAATAAAGATACTTAATAGATGGCTAAGAAGTAACCACGAATGGCTAAAATAAAGCATCCTTGAGAAAGAATGGTCCAGAGGACAGAGGAATAAGACCCCAAGAGGTGGACTGTTGATTAAATAGTAGGCTAAATTTGGACTTTATCCTAAAAGCAATGGCAAGTCACTGAGCAATTTTAAGAAACATGATATGAGTTTTGACCATGGAGATCAAGGGTACCATGAGAGTACATGGTTAAGATTTCTAAATCAAGTGAGGAAATCAGGGAAGGCCTCACAGAGCAAGTGACATTGAGGAACCAAAGGAAGAGAAGAGCTAATGGATGAAGAAGAGGATGATAGTGTTCTAGGCAGAGAAAATGTAAGAATTGCACATTCAAGGAACTGAACAAAGTTCAAAAATGGCTGAAGCATGACTGAGGAGATGAGGGAGAGGGATGCGATGAGAGAAGTAAGCAGTGCACAGATCGTACTTCCTGCTGCCTTGGAAGTAGTTTTCAGAGTTTAGACAAAACAAAAAACAAACAAAAAAAACCTTATGTTTAAAAGAAAGATGATCTAGCTACAACATGGGGAAGGGCCGAAAGCCTCTGGATGTGGTCCTTATGAAAACAAGTACATACTTCCGTGGAATATCTTATCTTTGCATAAACTTACTTAGCTGGAAAAATATCTTTTGCCCACTGATTTTTCTTGGTTGACAAAGTGGAACGTGGGATTAAAATAACAGGGGTCTCTCAAAGCTTGCAAAGAAAGAAACAATATTTTCTGAAGATTTAATTGTATGTTCCAGGCAAGCCGGATGAGAGCAGAGATGGAGAAAGTTACCAAAAATTGAAAGGAATCTGGCCAGAGTATGCATTTGTCTAGATGCAAAAACCTATCTAAAGAGAGAACTGATTGTCCCTGTGACAACAAACAAACAAACAAACAAAGCAAATGTTGGTGCTGTGATTCTACATACTATCCAAGAGGGAGAGAATCTTGCCCAGTGGACTTTGAATAATATGGCACCATTGCAAAATCATTCCTGTAGTGGAGACAAATGCTTCAGACCAATTATCTCAACCCTGATAACCAAGAGAATCACATATGGTTTTTAAGAGAAAACAAATACAAATGTCTTGCCCTAATCGTAGGTCTGAAATGGATCCCAAGCTTCTGAAAATTTTGTAGACTCCAATAGTCCCAGAGACATAGCCAGAGTGGAGAATCACCACTGTGTCAGGTAATCTTAGCCTGACATTGGAATAAATTTAATCTCTTTATACAGATTCTATGATCATGCTACAATCTTCTGCTTATAATTTGGTTTCACCTGTAGGTCTTCACGGAGGGAAAGAATGTGCTGATTCCTGCTACACAATTATTCCAGGGCAAATGATAACTACATTTCTTTTTAAAAATTGATCAACTAATATTGGCAATTTATATAACAATCTTGATATGCCCAGTTAATATAAATCTGACTTTGAGAGAATAATACTTCTCTCTATGTAATGACAAATCGGGTTTCAGAGGCTGTAAGTCTCAAAGCTCAGATTCTGGATCATCTAACTTCACCAAGATAATGTCATCATTTGAAGCTTTGTAGGGGTTAGCTAGCAGGAGTTACTAACTGATTTTTATTAACCTTACACAAATGCTTTATTTCCCTCCAGAAATTATCAATCAACAGTATTTTAAACTGAAGCACAAATAGTAGTGGTTTAGAAGTGAGATTCCAGGTACTGGGACATTGAACACATTCTTTAATGAGTCCTCTGGTTATACTTAAACTATTAGCCCCACTTACCTTAAAAATATTGTTTTCATCATCAAGGGAAAGTGTTCCCTGCAGTGTATTAAGCTGTTCTAGGGTGAGAGGGAAAATATTATAATTTAAAAGTGGAAATGAATATAAAAGATGCATCATAAACTTCACAGACGCAGCAGCAGGTACTAAAAGAGGTCTTTATTTTATTAAAATATTAAACGACTATTCAACTGAGTAAGCTCAGCTTCAGTGGGTATTGTTCTGGCTTTGTAACAGCAGTCGTTACCCTTTTTCAAATGTAAATGGGGGGTATCTTTTGTCATCAAGAAAAGTTGCAAGAAACAATGGAGAACGGAAGAAATGTCATAAAAGCAAATGGAAGAAGCACAGAGGTGGATAATTCAGCTGCAACATCCTTGAAAACGTGCCAAAAATCTTTATCTACTGAGGGAGCTGCAGTGGGGAATGAGAAATCTCTTATCCCAGAAAGGAAGGCTTCTTGTTTTCCTGCAGAGCTGGCAATGGGCCAGAGTAGCCATCCAGAGGAAAATGGAAGAATAGAGTTTGCTAGAAGGAGTCCCAGGTGAAAGCAAAGAGACTTGTGAGTGAAAGGGAAGAAAACAATCGCTTGCTGTTTTCCACCGCTTTCTAAGGAAGGACAGTGCTAGATGCAGGCTGGGTACCTGCAGGTCCTTAGGACTTCCATAGGAGATACCCCCAGAAGATAAAAGAAAAGCTGACACCTCTGTAATGGCTCAGATAGCAAAAAGAAGCTTGACCTCTTAACATTCCAGCTATATGTGTACCCTTACCACATAGTCCAGGTCTAAGCCGAAAAGAATGGTCACCCCACAGCACCAATTTGTATGAGACCTCCATTTAAACTGGTGTTAGAAATATAGAAATAAAGTAAGGGAGAGGACATGGCATTTTTTTTTTCTCAAAATGCATCTCTCTGGGCTCACAATATGGCTAGTGAATGAGTGGTCATGCAAACAGATCTGGGAATTAGAAAGCCCTGACTTTGAACACCAGGTCTGCTGCCTACTGGTTGTATGATCTTGTATACATTACTTAACCTCTCTGGGTTTCCTTTGCCTCATTTATTAAATCAGAAAACAATATATTTTCCACAGAGTTGTTATAAAAGTTAAATAAGGTGCCCGATACACGGTTTGGCATAGAGCATCCTAACCAGGAATGAAATGGTAGTAGGGCAAGAGAATATTTTGAACTGTGATCCACTGTCTTCCCCACTCCACCTCCACCACTTCCACCTCAACTCCCCATTTCATTTCTTCACATAGACTCTGTGACACTTTCCTCAGCCCTGGCAGCTGCAGTAAATTCCCCCTTTGCCTTAGAGAAGGTTGTGAGCATGGAACTAAGGAAGAAAGTAACTGATTGGCTCTCGAGTTTCAAGAACTGTGATCTAAGTGTTACTCAACAAAATATTTATAAGAATAAATGATTACATTTTATTTTCTTTCTCCACACCAAGTAAATATTCCAGGACTGAGAAGAGAGGATGACTGTTGAGACAGACAGGATTCGAACAGAATAGGGAGAGACAGCTGAAGGTGGCCAAAGTACCATTTGTTGTCAGCCCAAAGCAGTCACCAGCAGAGAACTGGCTCAGTGCCCACATATAGTTCCCTTTCCATTCCTGGACCCCTGTGCATCACCTGACTTGAGCAGCTATATTAGCTTTCTTCTCATCAGCTAGTGAGGTCCACCCAATGACAGCAGCCAACATGTCATCCAAGGATCACCCAATGATTGTCTGAAAGTGATCCCCATTTTTTCCCTCAAGACTTTGTTCAGAACTATCCAACCCATTCTGCAATTCCCCTCAGTGACCAGAACACTCATTGGTCCAGGCAACTTAGATGGGTGATAGTGGTTCAAATAGAAGTCCTTCATATCTAGCCAAGATATTATTTGGTGGAACCAGATGGAAAACTAGCACTGAAGGAGGACAGTGTGGCACTCCTGCACTTCCTATATTATAACAACTATTGTCATTTTAATTTATACCCATAAAATCCCCAGGCAAATTCTGACCATCCTCTATTATGAATTTAATCTCAAGAAGCAAAATAAATCTACTCAGTATTCTATGATTGTAGGAAAAACCCACTAGCTAATAAACAAATAAATAAATAAATAAATGGTCTATTTTCTGACTCCTTGAGCCATACAGCTGGAAATAAAAAGGCCCATTTCCACAGTAGCAAAATAATCAATTACTGTCCTAAGCCATCCCTAAAATGTCAATGAGTCTTTAAAGGATCCTGAAGCTTACCTTTGCCCCTCTACTTAGCAAGGCTCCTACAATGGCTTCTTCACAGTTCAAAGTGGCTGGAGAACTGTCCATAGATTAAGAAGGGAAAATCCAGCTGGCCACGGTGGCTCATGCCTGTAATCCCAACACTTTAGGAGGCCCAGGTAGGCAGATCACCTGAGGTCAGGAGTTCAAAACTAGCCTGGCCGACATGGTGAAACCCTGTCTCTACTAAAAATACAAAAATTAGCTGGGCATGGTGGCATGTGCCTGTAGTCCCAGCTACTTGGGAGGCTGAGGCACGAGAATCACTTGAAGCCAGGAGGCAGAGTTTGCAGTGAGCCGATATCGTGCCACTGCACTCCAGCCTGGATGACAGAGCGAGAACCTGTCTCAAAAAAAAAAAAAGGAAAATCCATTATCACTAAACCAGCTTTAAAAAGTTATGCAGAGCCAAGTGCAGTGGCTCACACCTGTAATCTCAGCACTTTGGGAGGCTGAGGTGGGCAGATCACCTGAGGTCAGGAGTTTGAGACCAGCTTGGCCAACATGGCGAAACCCCATCTCTACTAAAAACACAAAAATTAGCGGGGCTTGGTGGTGCACAGCTGTAATGCCAGCTACTTGGGAGGCTGAGGCATGAGAATTACTTAAACCTAGGAGGCAGAGTTTGCAGTGAGCCGAGATCGTGCCACTTCACTACAGCCTAGGCAACAGAGCCAGACCTTGTCAAAAAAAAAAAAAAAAAAAAAAAGGCAGAAGAAGAAGGTCAAGGATGGCTCAAGAATTTTCTATGGGGACATGGAAAATAATTTTCAAAATTTCCAACTTGCCCCTGAGAATTCAGGTAGCCTGTGATGCTCCTGGGTTTTGCTGCACATGAAACACTGGACATATGAATAAGCCAGAAAAAGCAAGTAGGTATTCAGTGAAACAAAGCAAGTAATAAGGTGTGAGTTTTCCATGCAGAATGTGCTCTAAGAATAATGTTGGGTAAAGGAAGCATTTGTGAAGAATGCCTGTGAGATAAAACATCGTCAAGCAGTTTGGCTTGACTTCTATCTTCCTTCCCTTGATGGGTATTATAAAGAGAGTCCACAGGGCAAATTTTGGAACAGGATGTATCTGAAGCCTTCCTAAATGAACTCCAGTATTTATGACACTAATATAGTACAGAAAGTGTTGAAACTCTGTAACACATTGTACATTAAAATCTTGACCCTCCTCTTTCCTTAACCAGTATCATACTGTACCACTGTATCTTTCCCCCACTTTTTCTTCATTCTGTTTTCAACTGATTGTAAAGGGAATTTGAGCTACATTTTAGAGAAAATAAGAATGCCAATAACTGGTAGAGTGTGAGCATCATAAAGCCAGTAGCCAGGTCTGTCTTTTTCACTGCTCTAACCATAGCAGTGTCTAGTTCATAGTCAATCTCTACTCATTTATTCACTCACTCATTCATTCATTCATCAGTCACTCTGCAAGCATTTATGGGGTACCAACTAGACACAAGATACGTTCCAAGAGATTAATACATAACAGGGAACAAAATAGATGAAGTCCCTGCCTTCACAGGGCTTGTAGTCTGATAGAGTGATTCAAACAATAAACAAAGATACAAAATGTCAATCATTGATAAATACTTTAGAAGAAAATAAAGTAGAATACCATTCTAGGAAATGCCAAGGGGTGCAGGGCAAGAGGAGAGGACAGACAGTGGGGATAAGGTGCATTTGAGGTGGTCAAAGAAGACTTCTCTGACAAAGTGACCTTTAACCAAAAATGTGAGAGAGTAAGAAAATGAGACATGTAGTTGTCAGAAGCAAGTCTCTAGCAGGCTGAGAAGGGAACTCATAGGTACTGAAGAGGGACATGATTAAAGAATTGTAAGACAGTCAGTGTGGTTGGAACAAAATGAGCGATGGTGAGAGTTGAAGGAGATATAGTCAGAGAAGTAGTGGGAGCCTTGAGGAGGAGGAAAATAATGCAGAGCCTCACAGATCCCATAAGAACCAAGCTGTAAGTCTTATAAGAATGCCAGCTTTGTGCCAAATGAGGTTGGAAGCCCCTGGAGAGTTTGAACAGAGGAGCCACTTGACCTGGCTTCTGTTCGGAAATGATCTGAGTGCTGTGCTTTGGGATACTGTAGACACACTACTGAAAATGGGCCAGGGTGGGAGCAGGTAGGCTGATGGAGAGCTGATAAAATAACTCAGGTGAAAGCTAACGGCTGGCGCAGTGGCTCACGCTTGCAATCCTAGCACTGAAAGACTGAGGTGGGCTGATCACTTGAGGCCAGGAGTTCAAGACCAGCCTGGGCAACATGGTGAAACCCCATCTCTACTAAAAATAAAAAATTATCCAGGCATGGTGACACAGGCCAGTAGCCCCAGTGACCTGGAAGGCTGAGGCACGAGGATCGCTTGAACTCGGAAGCAGAGGTTGCAGTGAGCTGAGATCATGCCACTGCACTCCAGCCTGGGTGATAGAATGAGACCCTGTCAAAAAAAAAAAAAAAAAAAAGAGAGAGAAAAAGAAGGAAAGGTAATGACAGCAAGGACCAAGTGAGTATGGGGGTAGAAAGTTGTTGGTTCAAAGATAGAGGGCTGGCAGGGTTTGTTGATGGATTGGACATGGGGTGTGAGAGGAAGAGAGGAGCCAGGATGACACCAAGGCACTTGGTGGTCAGCAACTGATTAAAAAAAAAAAAAAATTAAGCCCAGAATTCCCTCAAAGGAAAAAAATGAGCTAGAAAACAATGAGGCTCAAAATTGTCTGCTTAGTAGTACATATGCCTACTTTATTTTTTAACAAACACCATACCTATGGCCCTTTTGCTGATGCAGTATTTCTCTTTGCATTGTGTGGATATCCATTGCATTTTAAAAAAATTTTAGGGGTTCTAAGGAAAGTCCTTGCTAAATTGAAATGCCTCACTTTTAAAAATACTCTTCTATGATTTGTTTAACTATTAAGGATTAGATGTTCTTTAAAAAGCTGATCTAAAAGACAATCAGATTTCTTTCCATTAAGGTAGAAGAGGAAAATCAATATTATTTTTTCCCACATCAAGTGGAGGGGAGAGTCATATAGTAATTTTAATTTCCATATTCTTCCCATTCATTCCCAGTGGGTGCTTTAATTTTATTTGTTTTTTTTACTTTCAAATGCTTTTTCTTGAAAAACCACTCCTTTCTCTTGTCCTGCTTCATCTCATACTCCAGTGAAGGCTCCCTAACTATAAATAAAATGGTCACAAGATTAGGAGAATTTTCACTAACTATAATAATAATAATAATGTACTTAAGGTCATAACAGGAAGCTCCCTGTCTGGAGTGACATGGCTGAGCAATGCATAAAACTCTGGCACAAGGTCAATAACCACATGGGAAATCTTTCAAGGGGCACATTGCGTGCTTTGTGTGGCCACTTGAATGCTTCCTCAACTTCATCCAAATGTACTGTTATGGAGCTGGGTTGCTTGGAGGGGCTTCTGTGAGTCTGTAAATATGCCAAAATTCTAAGCAAAATTTGGAAAGTGCATATGTTTTTTAGAAAAGAGATTCCAGAAGTCCAAAAATAGTTAAGAAGACCTCCTACAGGAACTTTACTTTCTAATTCATGACCATACCTTTCTTCCTTTCCTTTCCTTTCCTCCACGTCCCATTTTTATTTATTTTAACTCCAGATATAATTTATGAAATTGTTACTTTTTTCCAAGGTATACACTATCCATGTCAAGAAGCAGCAAAGTAAGAGGGTCATATTGGTATAGCAAGTTTTTTAACACCTGTATTTGGCCAAAGGAAGTACTCAGTAAACATTTGGTGATGGAAGGAATGAACCGTCTATTTAAAACAGCAGGGTCATTCAGCTGTTAAGCAAACCTCAGGTTTGGGTTTGATTTGCTGTCATTGTATTCACAACCTGGCTTTTTAAAGAGCTACAGATGAAGGAAGGAATTCATTTTAATTCTGAAGTTAAATATTACAATAGATAGCAATTGGCACAGACATCAAAGGAGTGGAAAAAATTTCATCATTATGAGGAAAAGGATGTTATTATTATAACCAAAGTAAAATTATTAGATGCAAACCTATTATAGCAGCTTCTAATAAAATAAAGCCCAGTAAAATGGGTTAAATTACCTCCCTAATATTAAACAAATGATTTTACAGAGCTTTCTTGCTGTAAATGGGTATGAGGGCAAGTCATGGCACATTAGTGTTCTGTTACTGCATTCCATAGCAAAGGCAGAAAATAAACAAATAAATGTCATTGTGATCCCACAAGTATTTATGGAGCTGCCTCACTTTCCAATACCTTTCACACAGGTTCTCATTCCTTTATTAGACTGAAAGTTATATCAAGTCAGGTTGGGGATGTTTGAGTCTCCAGTGTACAACCCACTGGAATCTGTATTTATTCTACTGACTAGATAACACGTGTGGCCCTTGAAAACTTTTAGAGCCAAGATGGTGTACCTATGAGAAAGAGTATTTGAATTTTTATCTCATTTCATTCTCCTCCTATAAACACTGAGATCATTCACTATGAAGGAGTTTTCATATCATTCAAAGTAACTGTCGTCAGCACTGGAGAACAAATTATAAGGCCCTAAAATAGTTTGGAGATAGTTTGCAGGAACAGCCTTTCATCCAAAGGAATTATGTGAAATTATACGATGCCTTAAGTGTTAAAAATTATTGAACCTCAGCAAAGGTACATAACCCTTTATAAGAAAGAATAAAACAGCTTACAAATGAGGTGACATCTCTGTTTAAAGGCCAAGGACAGCAGTGTAAAATAATTTGGGATGGGAAGCGAAGCTTACCTTATTCAATTGAAGAGTTCAGGGGAACTCAAAGTTGTCAGAATGCAATTATCCCTGCTGAAATTTGGTCAGGCCAACATCTGACACTTCCAAGGAATGCTGAAGGCTTTTTTAATGAACATGAGGCTTCCAGATTGGATTTCACCTCAATTCAAGGCATAAAACCTGCACTCTGAGAATATAGAGTTCAGAGATGTTAATTAGTTCACTACTGTCAGGTTCACAATTGCCCTTCTAGGGATCAATAGATTTAATGCCTTCATTTCACAGAAGAAAACTGAGATCTGGAAAACATCATGCAATAAAGAAATGAGTTAGTAACTTTGCTTTTGTGCACTCTTTTATGTTCCTAAATCCATGGGTTCCTCAATTCAATTCAATTCAACAACTACTTATTGGTTCCTGGTTTGCAACAGGCCCCTTGCTGAAGTCTTGGTACAGAGATGAAGGATACCTGGTTTCTGCTTTCTGACAATTGCTACTCTGGGTGGAGGGATTGATATGGACATTAGTAATTTTTCAGAAGGCAGAATGTATAATGAGCTAAAGAACACTTACAGGGCGATTGGAATATGCCAGAAGGAAAGAGTCCCTCTCTGGAGGAAACTGGGAGAGATCCCTGGGGGAGGTCTGTCTTTATGTGTTTCCAGAACCCCACCATAGCTTCCTTCTGGGTTTGTCCTCTTGGTCAGGGTCTCTGCTCTGCCATTTCTGAGACCTAAATCTTAGTCAAAATTTAAGATAAGTCTCAAATTCATTCTTTCAAAATTTGCTGAATTTTGGCTTGGCAGTAGGGGTGGATCCAGGTTTTGTGAGAGCTGAAGTATATACAATTTGGGGGGAGCCTCTTTAAGAAAAGAATACACTGTTACAGATACAACTGTAGGTCCAAACACAAATCTCGCAAATATTTATTTAGAATAAGAAAAGAGGCCAAACGTGGTGGCTCACACCTGTAATCCTAACAATTTTGGAGCCTAGTCGGGAGGATCACTTGAGCCTAGGAGTTCGAGATTAGCCTGGGCAACATGGTGAGACCCCCATCTCTACAAAAAATAAAAAAAAAAAAAAAAAACACAATTAGCCAGGTGTTGTGGTGTGTTCCAATAGACCCAGATACTTGGGAGGCTGAGGTGGGAGGATCACTTGAGCCTTGGGAGGTTGAAGCTGCAGTGAGCCATGATCTTGCCACTGCACTCTAACCTGGGTGACAGAGCTAGACCAAGTCTCAAAAAGAAAAAAAAAAAAGACAAGAAAAGAAATCACAAAAAATTGTTGTAGACTTAGAGGTTACGTCTCTTTCTTCTTCAGTCTCTTTGTCAATCTGCAAGAAAGGCTTACATAGAAATACTTCCTGAATGCTCCCTGGCTTCTAACCCTCCACCCCACCCTCAATACTCTGCAGCTCCTGGACACTCCTATCTCTTCAGGAGTCTGTGCAAGTGAGATGTTTCATTAGCTTCACGGTAAAGCTGCCTTTGCTTGGGCAGATGACTGGCTCAATGTCACATAGTCAGTAAAGTCGTCAAGCCAGGACTGAAACTAGGGTCGTTTTAGAGAAACGAGTATGCATTTTGGATCACATAGACCTGGATCCAATCCTAGCCCAGGCACTAACTACCTGTGTGACTTTATGAAAATCATTTCTCAGTTTCACTTTCTTTCTCTCTTATATAGGGATGATAATAATAAGCTCACAGGCCAGGTGCGGTGGTTCACGCCTGTAATCCCAACACTTTGGGAGGCCAAGCTAGGTGGATCACCTGAGGCTAGGAGTTTGAGACCAGCCTGGCCAATATGGCAAAACCCCGTGTCTACTAAAAATACAAAAATTAGTCGGGCGTGGTGGTTGGTGCCTGTAATCCCAGCTACTCAGGAGGCTGAGGGAGGAGAATCACTTGAACCTGGGAGGCGAAGGCTGCAATGAGCCGAGATCGTGCCTTTGCACTCCAGCCTGTGCAACAAGAGCGAAACTCCATCTAAAATAAAATAAAATAAAATAAAATAAAATAAAATAAAATAAAATAAAATAAAATAATAAAATAAAAGGCTCACAGGGCTGCAAAGTACCTGAATTGCCTACCACCACTCCTGACTTGAAATAGTGCTCAAGAAATTGTTAACTGTCACAAAGATTACTTCTTTTCCCCAGTAAGCATCTCTTCTTCCTTGATAATAGAATTAACGTACTAGGCACATGCATGTCAAGTTCACATTTCCCACCCTATGTAGGAGCTAGATTTGGCCTTATGACTAAGTTTTGGGCAACAATGTATAAGCAAGAGCAATTTGTCCAACTTCTGAGAAGTGTCCTTAAAGTAATAGGGTGCATCCTTCCCAACCAGTCTTCTTTCCTGATAGTGAAGAAGCAGCAGTCATGTTATACCATGAGACGACATGCAGAATAAAACTACATACAGCAGAAGATAGACAGAAGACAGAAAGAGCTTGGGTCTCTGACACTATAGAACATCATATGGCTCCAGACCTACTTGTAATTTACATGGAAGTCAAATTTCTAACACATTTAATCCACTGTTAGTTTAGATCTGGAAGGACTTGTAACCAAAACTAGTTCTAAAATTTTTTAAATCACATGCTTTTTTTCACTTTGCTGTTCTGTTTCCAGTTTGTAATGTTTTTGCCTGTGTTAACCTTGCCAGGTGTAACTGGAAATTTAAAGGATATCGAGTCCTTAAACTGAAATGCCATAACTTGAAAAAGCCAATGGTGAGATTTTAGCCTTCTGGCAGACCGAGGAGGGCTGCTTGTTTGGAAGGGGCATTTCATCCAACTCCACTGGCAGTCATAGGCAAGATGACCTGGTTTCATCATGATTATCAGCAGCAGCAGTGGCATCACTATTGCAGTGAGAGTGGTTACCATTTATAGGATGCTATCTGCCTAGCAATAAAATATCTAATTAACACATTAAGTCCTCACAAAACTCCACACAGCAGGTGTGATTATCCCTATTTTACAGATAAGGAAAGTGAGACTCAGAGATGTCAAATTATTTGTCTGAAGAAACCAAGTGACTTGTTAATGGCAGAGCTTACCTGAATCCAAATCTCAGTCCAAACCCCAATCCCTTCATAATGGCACCTTACTTTCTCCGTGAGCACAAAACAAGACCTGGTAAGAATGAGCCTGTACAGAATTAATGTGGTCACAAATGTCTAGTAAATCAGTTCAGAAACTTTTATTACATCATTGTAACACGTTAACAAGCACTGTAACAAAACTTAGTGGCTTACTCAACAACCATATTATAGCTGATGAATAAGAATTCTGGCAGGTCTTGGCTAGGCAATTCTTTCATTTCACATGGCACTGACTGGAGTCACTTAGTGACCTTCAGCTGGTGGCTGGTCTGGTCTGGAGTGTCCAAGTGAGTTGTACTCACATGCCCAGCATCTCAGCAGGGCAAAGTGGAAGGCTGGGCTCAGTTGGGCCTTTCACTCTCTCCATGTAATCTCATCACTGCTTCACATTGCATCTCCAGCAGGGTAGTTGGACTTTTTACATGGTGGTCCAGGGCTCCAAGAGCAGGCATTCCATGACACAGGAAGAGTAAGTGAAGAGTCTCCTAAGGCTTGGAACCAGGAAACTAGAAGTGTAACTTTTGCCTTATTCTATTGGTCAAAGCAGTCACTGAGCCCACCCGAAAGCAGGGGAGGAGCAGATACAACCCCATTTCTTGATGAAAGAACTATCAAAGAATTTGCAGTCAACTGCAATCCCTCCCAATACTAAACTTGTTGAAGGAAGTTTCACAGAAATTGGAAGGCAGATAATTGGGCCATTTGAAATCTGTATTTGTTTGCTGTAGCTGCCAAAACAAAAAGCCACACACTTGATGTCAATAACAGAAACTCACTTTCTCACAGTTCTGGAGACTGGAAGTCCAAGATCAAGGTGCCAACCAGGTTGATTTTTTCTGAGGCCTCTCTTCTTGGCTTGCAGATGGATGTCCTCTTGCTGTGTCCTCACATGGTCTTTCCTCTGTGCGTGTGCATCCCTGGTGTCTCTCTCTTCTTCTACTTTTTTTTTTTTGAGACAGAGTTTTACTCTCGTTGCCCAGGCTGGAGTACAATGGCACAATCTCGGCTCACCGCAACCTCAAGCAATTCTCCTGCCTCAGCCTCCCAAGTAGCTGGGATTACAGGCATGTGCCACCACGCCCAGCTAATTTTGTATTTTTAGTAGAGATGGAGTTTCTCCATGTTGGTCAGGCTGGTCTCGAACTCCCGACCTCAGGTGATCCGCCCGCCTCGGCATCCCAAAGTGCTGGGATTACAGGCGTGAGCCACTGTGCCTGGCCAGTTTCTCTCTTCTTATAAAAAAATTAGGTATATTGGATTGGAGCCCCACCCTAATGCCTCATTTTAAGTTAATCACCTCTTTAAAGACCCAGCTCCCAATACGGTTACTTTCTGAGGTACTGGAGGTTGAGACTTCAATATATTAATTCAGAGAGGACACAATTCAACCCACAACAAATGTCAAATCTAAGGCCACTATATAAGTGGAAAAACTGAGGCCCAGAGAAAGAAAATGGTTTGCCAGCGTCAGACGATCCAGCTTGTAACACAGTCAGCATCAATGCTCTTTCCCTCCCAGCCCCCTTCCAACACATCAGATGATTCCAAGAGATGTCCTGTCTTACAGGAGGTAGGAAATAGAGTACAGAGACAGGGAACACCAAGAAAGGCCCAGCATTAGGGCCAGAGATTCCTCTTTTTCTCTTGAAATTTCAGGCTTCTCCCAATTGTCTTTATTCCAAGTCACTGGGTTCATAGGCTTCTCAACAGGCCCAGATCTCTGGACTGCCCATTCCTTTTCCCATTTCTTGGCTGACATTTCTGGCATTCAGGTCACTATTTAGATTCTGAATCACAGTAATATTGGAGAATATGATGTCCTTGTTTCTGCCTTAACATAGATCTGTCAAGACTTTGGGAACATCTCCACAGTGATCTGCACACTCAGGCCCATTCTGGGACTTTGAGTCATCGCATTAGTGCCCCCTAATTTGCAGTGTATACCCCATCTTCGATTTGCTGCTTGTAGATTTCAAGAATAACCTGCATCTTAGAAGCGAATTGGCCTAGGTTCTGTCGAGGCCTCTTCAAGGATGCATCTGCTACCTTCTAGGATGGAGGTGGGGGAAAAGGAGGCTCCAGAAGTGGTTTAAGCCTCCCCAGAACATACGGCAATTGGTGATCACCATTGTTCTTCAGTCTCTCCTTGCATTGCAATCTATGCTGCTGTGCTGGATAAAGTTAGAAAACAAGTCTTCCCAGAGATAAACAGAAGCAGTTTGATTCTAATTCATATAGGAAAATTATATTAAGTTTCTATTACATAGCAGTCAAAGTATTGGGAGAGAGGGAAGCAGTATAGTTAAGTGAGACTGGCTTGTCCCAATACTGTAACACAAGCAAACTGCAACAAAAGCAAAAATGTATGTATTCAGAAAGGAAGAAAGCAAGAGGGGTAAATATGGTCCAGTGCTTAAAAGCATGAACTTTAGATCTGAAAATCCTGAATTTTAATTCCTCCTCTACTACTTACAAGCAGTGTGACTATGGAAAAGTTGCTTAACCCACCTAAAGTTAGTTAACCAACTTTCCTACATTTTGGGGAAGTTTGGGTCAACTACCTAAAGCAGTGGACATAGAGCAACTCCCCTCAAAGGCTGTCCAAGTAAAAAGACACAGAGCTGAATATCAATTTTGACAGAGGACCAGAGTAGTGAGCTAACTCATGGAATAATTGACATTTTCCACATAGCTCACTGGTGAATTTTCAGTTTCCCGAAAGCATATATGCTCCAGTACCATACACGTAAAATCTGTATGATTATCAACTCTATGAGCTTTATATTCCCCTGCTGTAAAATTATGGGGTAGCCCAGGATGGTCGGCAAGTCCTTTCATCTCTGAGATTCAGGGATCAAATGAAGATGTTGAGGTCTCATATGCGAAGTCATGGACAGTGCTTTTCTACCAACTGAAAAGAGAATCAGCCCTGGCACAGTGGCTCATGCCTGTAATCCCAGCAGTTTGAGAGGCTGAGGCAGGCTGATCATTTGAGTGCCAGAGTTCAAGACCAGACTGGGCAACACGGCGAAACCCTGTCTCTACAAAAAATGTAAAAATGATCCGGGTGTAGTGGCATGCACCTGTGTTCCCAGCTACTCGGGAGGTTGAGGTGGGAGAATTGTTGGAGCTCAGGAAGCAGAGGTTGCAGTGAGCCAAGATCGAGCCACTGAACTTTAGCCTGGGTGACACAGCAAGACCCTGTCTCTAAAAATAAATAAATAAAATAAAAAGAGAATGTTTTCCAGGATTGATGAAGAGGAAAAAGTAATTTAGAGGGAAAACCCTGCATATTATAACTATTTACATTTCTTTGCTGAATTGATGGACAAAATGCCATTTTGGGATGAAGAGGAAGCAGAGATGTGATGTGTTACAGAAGCAGAACCCTTGAGCTTGGGGAATGTTGGTAAAGTTCACCATATGCCTTGAGTGCAGGGCTTCTATAGGATTAATAAATGCCTGTTTGAAAATGTTCTCAATGAAAAACGACATAAGATCCCCTCTGCCTCCTCATTTTCTCTCTCTCACTTATTTCCTGATCCCAATCTAGTGTTTACCCCTCCTTTTGCGAGTAGTGGAGTTCTGCCAGTAGGAACACTGCTAACTGAGGGCCTTTAGAAAAGCTAGAGCCATTCTTCTGGCCTTCATTCCTTGCCAGAATCCTTCTACTCTTGTTTCCATAAGGCACTCTTGTCTCATCCTATTACTTCCACTACTTTTAGAATGATATCACCTCAGTGAGGTACCATCTTTTCTCTCCTTACAAAAGAAAACAGACCTAGTTTCCTTAACCTTTCAGCAGAAGCAAATTCCCCAAATCCCTCTGTCATTCTGGTTGCCTTCTGCTGTGCTTTCTCTAGTTCCAAAATATCCTATTTATAGAAAGAAACCCAGAATGAGCTCAGGACTCAGAATATGACCTAACCAATCCTCTTTACATGACTAGAATAATTTTCCCTGACTTTTCCATTGTGCAATGTGCCCAATATATTCCAAATGGATTCTCTTTTCTTTTACTCCAATAGGTACAAAATGATAAATGTTCAAACTATAGCCAATGTTACTGATAATAAGAGGTTGATGTCCACTGTGCTTAAGAACTTTCTAGAATTAATGGGTTCAGGAGCAAATTAGAGTCTGTGGTTTGTGTAACATTAGAGTTAAAGGAACAGGTCTTTTCCTTGAATTATTTTTTGTTATATAGCATTCACTTCAGTTACTAATGAAGTGTATTAATGAAGCCATAATGCAAATGAAACCATAGGCTGGGGCAGCAAGCTTTAGTATTTTGCTGTGCAAAATGTGGCACAACTTCATATCACCTGGGAATCTGTTGAAAATGCCAACTGTTGATGCTGTCCCCAGACTTAGAATCTGCTTTCTAAAGAGTTGCCCAGGAGATTCATGTGCACATTAAATTATAAGAAGCACAGTTTAGCATCTGTGAAAGTTTCCTTCCAGATGTTCTAGGCAGATTAGATGTCAAGCACACCTTGGTAGGCCCTATCATGATATAAAATTGGCTCTTTTTACTAATTTTCACTTGCCTTTCCATGATCCTAAGTTTTGTGACTCCTTGGAGTTTTTATTTCTCATTTTATCCAATTCCTAATATGAACTTACATTTAGTTAAGTACATCTTGCAAGTCCTGACCTGACATGCTCTTGACCCATCTTAATCTCCCTGTCAACTTTTCATATTAACAATGTCACTTCTCTCTTACTTGCTACCCATACTTCCTCTTATTCATCTCTTTTCTGTAAGATGGTTTAGAAAGAGTCATTCAGTTCTTCCTCAGTATTCCATGTGGTCTTGCTTCAGCCTCATTATAGGGTTGTCTGGTGTTCTGAAATTGAGTTAAGTCATGTCCAGATCTTCTGTCTCATGCTTGCTTGTCAGGCTCAGAAATGCACAGAGGTTATTGCAAACTAAATCATGACTTTCCCAAGGCTTTCTCTTGCTTACTTCTTTTTGAAGTTTTGATTGTTTCCTTTATAACTAGGTTTGGTAGATTGAGGATTCTTTGAGTTCTTTTTAAATATGAGCTCAATACCAGGTTCTTGGCAATCATTGCCTATTCTTGCTTTCAGAAGGCTTTCCAAATTGTGTGTCGTGATTCTTTGCCTCTCCTTCTATTACCTGTGGAGAACCATTAGAGATCAGGAAGTGACTAAGAGAGCCAATCTTTCTTCCTACCTGGTCAGAAGCTCTTCTTATATCATAAACAGAAGGCTTTTGCTACCTGTTTTTTGTTTTTTAGGCTCCAAGATAGCAATTATATCACCATCAGGAGCTTCTCTGTGACTACTCTTCTGCATTGATTGTAACAAGTGATCCTGAGGTAATGAAGGGGAAGGCACTGTTGACCTCTCAGCTATTATTAACCAAGCACTCTTTAACTTCTGAGATACTTTAGGTAGAGAATTGTTAACATGTGGATCACCAGTCCCATCAGAGTCCCTGGCACAGAATAAGTACTGAAAAGGAAGGAGAAGTAAGAGTGGGAAGGAAGGATGGAAATAATCTATCCAACTCCAGGTGAGATGGAGAGCCTGGAAATTAACTACAACCAAATAGATTTGGAAAGACAAGTTGGGAGAAAAGAATGGAAGTACTATCTCATCTTTGTCTTCCTTGATATATAGTAAGGAATACACAAACCATCCTATTAAAAGTGACTTACTGAATTTCCTTTTAGAAATAAAGACAGTGGACTTTGTCTTAAGAGGTACTCCAATTATTTCTTAGTTTTCTAAGAAAAAGGAGTTCTCTTTCATTTCTGACTTTGTAGACTCCTGCTTTGTTACCCATCTCCCACCAATTCCAAGACTACACATCTACTGAGTGAAGTTTTTGTGCCTCCTAATACTGATGAGCCTCGTATTAATTTTTGAACCTATCTTCATAAAGATGTGGGCAAAGAACAAGCTTTATAACTGTGGCATAGGTAGAAAACTGTGAATATTAAACAGCTCATCTATAAGGAGTGCAATACCCATATTTTGAAAGCAAAAATCCTTCCTTCTAGGTTGTATTAATACATTTTGCTTTAAGTTTGGTCATGTTGTTAGGTAGTGATCCTTAAGGAATAAGATTTGTTCACTATTCAGTCTGAAATGTTCTTGCCATTACTAAATATAAATGGGGTCAAATGAGCCAGAGAAGTGTGATATTCATATCACAGCTGATTGGGGTTGTATGAAAAAATAAGATAACCCCAGGAATAAGTGCTACTGAGATGAAAATTGTGACACATACAGTGCTTGGCATCTATCTTAACAAATGAAATTATGGCAATCTTTACTTACATTAGACACTGGATTTCTGCAGATGGAAAAAAATTATGTAAGTGAGTGGATGGAGATAAAAGGTTGGAGAGTTGATAGTGCACCAAGAGAAGAGAATTGTCTATCAGATCACTGAGAAATCCAAAGTGGGAATAGGTATATATAGATATATGGCAAACACCATATCTTCACCACTCTCCCTAGCTCCCTATATCAACCCTTATTATTTAGCAACTCTTGTCCATCATTTTGGTCCCTGAGTTGGAGGTTTTAGTAATGGTTCCAAGAAATAAGAGCACTGGTTAAACATATTTCTTGGGAAATATCTTCAGTACAATCATGTGTCTAAATGATTTCAAACTAATCAGTCATTCATGTTCTGAATCCTCAGGCACCTACACCAACAATTCAGGGTATCCCACTGTAAGATATAATTTTCAGAATAAAGATCCAGCAGAGGAGTAGCTGATAGTTTCTATACAGACCACAAACTGTTGACAAAAGAGTCAGAAAAATATATCACATTGATGGCAATGGGGAATAATATGTTCATATACAGTGGTCATCTCCTTATGTCTTTTCAAGATTGCAGATCTGTGCTAGTCATTGAATTTGTCAGTAGGCAAGGAAAGTTATTAACAGCATTATGGATTCCATTCTCAAAAAACCAGTTTTGTCCACAAAGCCTGTACCCCAAGACCTCTGAGAATGGTATGTACCAGCTGTCCCAGTCTTAGGGCAGCATCTGCTGGCTAATTCATGGATGGACAAAAAGTGGCAGTTTGTGGGCAATTTGAGCAGTCCTTTCATTTGGCGAGAACTGTTGTGTTGATGACTGTGAGGGTTTCTGAAATCCTTTCATAAGGACCCATCTCAGGTCTCCAGGAGCCTGGCAAATCTAGAACTACTCCTAATGAGAACCAGGAAGCTTTTGTATACAGATATTTTATCTGGAGCCTAAGATAAGCCTGTTTGACTTTGGAAACATTTCTAGAGAAGCATGAACTCAACACTAGACTTACTGCTAATAATAATAACCCAGTACCAATGGGGGCTGCAATGAACAGAGGTCCATGCACATAATTGGGAAGTAAAACTTATTTTCCATAAGGAAGGCATTTCTGGGATGGGAGAGGGAGGACCTTGAAGCAGCCACTGAATGCTTATGTTCTGTTGCTTCTAATCATCCTATCGTGTAAGTAAGATTTTTCTACATAAGCAAGCAAGAATGATATTCAAACAAAGCACTTTTGACTGGAATAAAGAAACTGGAAATTGGAAAGGGCTGGGTGGTCTGAAACTTAAGAGCTATCCACCATCTTCTGCAGCATCGCTGTGCCTCATCCCTGCAGTCAATAGCGCCACGGCCAGGGCCTGTGACGCCGTTGGTGGGCTCCCCTTGGTGGGAACTCAGAGCGAGTAAAATCATGGTGTCAGTGCCAAAACGACGAAACCTGAAATGCGTCTGGGGACTTCCCAGGGCACTAGCGCTCCTCAGAGCGACGGACATCTCCATAACAACTGGTCTACATTCATCCCTGGTTCTTCTGCTCTGCTGTGCTAGCGATGGCTGAGGGTAGGCAAAGGGCAGCTTCAGTGGAAAGATACCTTGCGTTAGCGCCTCCCTAGGCTGGGGGACGTTGCCAAAGCTCGAGTTATTGCCTATTTCCCGAGATTTCCGGAGTCGTCCCCACATCTCCCGCGGAGAGCGGCGCCCCTCCGCCCCCCCTCCCGCCTCCCCCTCTATTAGACACTCCAAGGGGGTAGTTTGTTTCATTGTGCTTTTTTTCCTCTTCTCAAAGTTCATCCTTTCGCCTCCAAGTTACTTTCCGCCAACACGTGACCTCTTCGCTTCCCAGCTTGCGCAGCCACTGGTGGGGAAGCGCGGGCGCTAACCGCAGGGCTTCCTGGGAGAGCCCCCTCCGAGGTTCGCCACCCCAGCCCTGGCTCCCGCCGCGCTCACCCCGGCACCCCGGCGGCGGGGCAGCCCCCGCAGGATGAGGAAGCGGCTCCGGGGAAGCAGCACCGAGCAGCAGCGGAGCGCCCAACCTGCCGCCTCCCCTCCCGTCCCTGCCTTGGCCCGCGGCTCCGCTCTCCGCGGCTCGCCTTCCGACCTAGCTGCGCACCGGGGCTGTTAACTCACATTTGGGAAGCCATAACCCATTAGAGCAAACGCAGTCATAACTTCATTCAACTCAGCCGCTCGAGAGCTCGGCTTACACAGGTTCCTGTGGGCAACTAGTGGCTCGCCTTGGTGCCTCTCGCCTAGTCATCAGTACCTAAGAGGAAAAGGGAAAGTTGTTGGGCTGGTTCGCGCTTCGACGCATGCAGATGTTCCCAAGGACAAGTCACTTACTCGCCCCCCTCCCCCCAGTCCCCATTTGATCATCACTCACGACCTCATCGGCTGGAGACCCTTAGTCATGATGGGGGAGGGGGAGGGGCACGAACTTTTCTAAGAAGTTTCCTTTTTTTACCCAGAGAGTCACAGTGAGTCGGTCACGTAAACAGCGAGGTTAGTCGTCGCCGTTGCCGCCCCCCACCCCCTCCCTGCTGCGCTTTTCTGGTATTATTATTAAAGCGGTAGTCTGCCGGCGCTGATAAGCAACAAGTTCCCCAGCGGTCTTCCCGCCCTAGCCTGACAAGGCGAAGGTTTTCTTACCTGGCGACAGGGAAATCTCCCGAGCCGAATTCAGCTTCGCCGGAGCCCCAGGTGTGACCTGCGTAGTGGGCAAGGGAGCGGTGTGCAGGCTGAGTTTTTTTTTTTACAGGGGTACCCTGAAACTCCTCACTTTCTCTGGGAACTTTCAGTGCCAGGACCCAGTAACGGGCGGTTAGAAGGCAGCCCTAGGAAACACCTGCTACATAGCAGGGCAGTTGGGCAATCATTGGTAACCTCGCTCATTCATTAGAATCACGTAAGAACTCAAAAGGAAACGTGTCTCTCGGAGTGAGGGCGTTTGCGTAAATCTATAGGTTTTTCGACATCGATGCCAGTTGCTTTGTCTTCTGTAGTCGCCAAGGTGGTTGAGAGTTTAAGCTTGCGGATATTGCAAAGGGTTATTAGATTCATAAGTCACACCAAGTGGTGGGCGATCCACTGAGCAAAGCCGAACTTCTCACATGATGACTTCAAACAAGACACATTACCTTCCAGCATCTGTTGGGGAGACGAGATTTTAAGACACTTGAGTCTCCAGGACAGCAAAGGCACAATGGTGAGTAGCAATAAAACCTGCATTATAATTGAAAAATCTTGACATGTTGCTTAACAACGGGCATATCACGGCTCTTCCTAGCACTTCACACGCCAAAGAACAGCAGCTACTCAGGCCAGGGGAATCGGGTTTTTACACAGTGCAACTTTAATTGGAATCATTTGAGATTTGACACAGCTATGTGGAACTGCGTGGAACAAACTTGGAGCTGGGTGGGGGGGTGTGTGTTATATTGGTTGTTCAAGGCTGATGCTTGTCTCTCAGCAGTCTTGCATTCTATTCTTTTCCTTAATGTGTATGGTGTATGATCATATTCTATGATTTATATGTGGGCATGTAATTGACATTTGCAAGGGGGTTAATTTCCATCTAAAAACAATAATGCTGTTAGAGGTTGGGGTTAGGGGGTGGAGTGGGGGTAAGGGTGGGGTAAAGACTGGGAGTTTAGGTGTAGATGGGGGGTGGGGTTGGGGGGAGAGAAATAAGTCAGAAGTGCATATCACCGGTAATGGGTAATCCTCTCGTAGAAGAAAAGGTTCTCATCAACATGTGATCAACTATTAACAGGATGGCTTTGGCAAAGCCATCCGCACGTGACAAACCGTAAGGAAGTGGAAGAAACCGTCTAGAGCAATATCAAGTATCACTTAATTAGAGATTTTTAAGCCTTTTCCTCCTGCTGTGCCGGGTGTGTAATCCGGGCGATAGGAGTCCATTCAGCACCTTGGACAGAGCCAACGGATTTGTCCGAGGTGGCGGTACCCCCAGGTAGTCTTCTTGGCCCCGCTGTAAAGCCAACCCTGTGTCGCCCTTAAAAAGCGTCTTTTCTGAGGTTCGGCTCACACTGAGATCGGGGCTGGAGAGAGAGTCAGATTTTGGAGCGGAGCGTTTGGAAAGCGAGCCCCAGTTTGGTCCCCTCATTGAGCTCGCTGAAGTTGGCTTCCTAGCGGTGTAGGCTGGAATAGACTCTTGGCAAGCTCCGGGTTGGTATACTGGGTTAACTTTGGGAAATGCAAGTGTTTATCTCCAGGATCTAGCCACCGGGGTGGTGTAAGCCGCAAAGAAGGTAAGCACCAGGGCGGGGACCCCTTGCATCCCCAATTCTTGAGCTATTTTGATACTGTCTTCCGGAGAGGACGCGTGGTGGAGGGGAGGAGGTAGAGGGAGAGCATGAGAGGGGGTTGTTTCTTGGTATTTGCCCAGTTTGAATTGCCCTAGGTGAGAACCCTGGGGCAAAGGGAGAAAGAAAAAAAAGAAACTCAGTCTTCCTGCGGATATAATGAGTTTAGTTAACTTGGACCTGCAAATGTCTGATTCAAATGTAAGATTTATCTCTCTTTTTCTCCTCTTCACCTCCCTCTTTTCCGTTCTCTTTGCTGGTGTGTGTGTGTGTGTGTACAGTAGATTCATTACTAATTATGAAGCTTTTGCAAAACATTCGAATTCCTAAAATTTGACTTTGTAGCATTTAGAATCAGGCGGTGGAGGTGGTGTGCGGTGGGGAGAGGAGGTGGAGGTTGGGAAGAGGGAAGGAGGTAAAGCTAAACCTCCAACACAAAAAAATGAATCAAGGTAATTTCAGCTCTTCTAGTGAGAAGGATTCATTCTCTCTGTATCCCTCCCTCCCTCTCTTTCCCCCTCCCTCCCTCCTTCCCGCCCCCCTTCTTCCACCCCGCCCCCTCCTCCAGCCTCCATCCCTCCCTCATTCTATCTCTTCCTCTCCGTCGCCCTCGCTCCTCGCTGGATGCTTCTTTCTGGGTTTTCTTTTTTTTTTCCCTTCTGTCCTCCCTCCCCGCGAGTTTCGGGCGCTGGCTTAGAGGGTTCCCGCTTTCTCAAGGGAAGGGGAGCTGCCGAGACCGCGCTCCGCTCCCCAGCCGGGCCGGATGCCTCACTGAGCCCAGGTCCGAGTCAGTCGGGGTAACTCAGGGAAAGGGGAGCCTCCGCCTGGGAGTAGAAGGTCCTTTCCGGACCGAAGAGCCAGAGAGCGGGCCGGGCGAGGGGGCCTGGGCGGCTGGAGGCGGTGGAGAAGAACACTTTTAGCTCCGTGCGGCGGCTGGACAGAGCCACCAATCAGCTGGACGCGCAGACCGCCCTGCCAGGGCGAGGTTGCGTCCGGAGGCGCCGGTGGAGGGCGGCCGGCTAGTCGCTGAGCCGCCGCCGCCACCCGGGTGGGCAGGGGACTGGCGGTGGGTGGAGGTGAGGGGCTTGGCGGGTGAGATAGAAGCGGCGCGGAGCCGCCCAGACCTGTGTTCTACCTCTCCCGCCCCCGCCTGCACCCCCGGGGGACAGCGAACTGCCGGAACGCGCGGCTGCGTTATCCTCTTGCCACTCTTCAGGGAGCTCAGGGACTTAGGCGCCCCTGGGCGGGGGCCACCAGGCTCTCCACACTCCTATAACCCTCACCCCCACCCCCTTCTCAGGCCTTTTGTTCCGGCCACAGAGCCAAGCCCGGTGGCAGTTTTCGCCCCAGGGTTTGGTCGTTCTGGACTCCTCCCCCGATCAGCTCTTCTTAATTAAAAGGCAAGAGCTTGGGGTAGGGGTGAGGGGAACGTAGGAAAAATCTGTTTCCGAAACTCAAGACCACTGTTTTAACGAACGAAAGAAAGAATCCCAACTCTGCGCAGGTGGATTCATAGGCGAAGCGAGGATATTGTGGAAATTCAGAAGGAAAAGATAAAAAACAGGCGCTAGGATCAGATGACGGTGATAGGCTGCTCGGCACACAAAGGGAGCGTAGGGCAGGGTTTACGGAGCAAGCCTGCAGCGAATGGGGCACAGATTGTTCCGAGATCCAGTCGTTTTCTCAGTCAGATCTACGCGAAGGGAGGGGAGGGGAGGGGCGGGCAGGGGAGCGTGGCGGGAGGGGCTGAGCTTGGGGGCGGGGGGATTTCTGATCAGTCTGATGCAATTCCAAGCGTGCTGCAAAGGAACTCCAAGGCGCCCGCATCACCATCGCCACCCACCCTTCCCAGATGGTGCTGTTTTAAATACGGATCTGCAGGGCTGAACGCAGAACTGGGAGATTTATTGCAAAATCCCGGGAGGGGCGGGGGGGGGTGGTGTGCGGAACGGGGAATGGAGGAGCAGAATTTAAAGGTGCAACGCTTGCTTTTTCCAATCAGGCGGCAACCGGCCGGAATTATTATTTTTTTCTTTCTGTCTGCTTGTCTCTGGATTCTAATTCACCAAGAAAGAGGTGTAAATATTGTGACATTTTGAGGCAGCTTGATGGATGGGAAAGAAATCATCTGTCACTCTAAATTGCAGAGTTCCCTCTCCCCGCGCCATCCCTTGCTAGCGAATACTCGCTGCTGCCTAATACAGTTGCTAGGGCTTCAAATGAATGCATCGTTAAGGGAATATTATCCTTTTAGTTGACTTGCCAATTTAGTTGACAGTTGAATCGAGAAAATTGTAGATTTCGTGTCTCTGGGAGGAAAAATGCTTAACAGTCTAAGTCTTGTAACCTTGAGGTCTTTAACAACTTAAATAAACCTCAAAAGTGTCACGTCATCCTCTACACACACACACACACACACACACACACACACTCAACTTGTAAGATGACATGGTTTCACCTAAACTGTTGTGGAAATGAATAGCACTTTAAAAATGGTGCACCTGATATTCACTGTTTATGTGTATTTACAAAGAGCTCTTCAGCATGAAGGCAAGACATTTCAATTGTCCTGTTTGGAATCAGTCAGAAGACTAGAAGGTGATGGAGAGAAGAAGGGAAGAAAGAGGAAAGAGAGAGAATTTTAACCTAGATGCTATTAAATTAACAGTAACCTAGCCTACTTTTATACCCCTTGGTCTTGCATATTAATATTTCTGTATGTGAGATTTTAGCTTGGTCTAGCTCCCCCAATGGAGTATACCAGTATTGATTCAGATGAGAATATGAGCATCCTGCCAGTAGCTTTTTCAGTGTCATTGATAGTAAGACCTACAACACAGCAATTTTTGGAGGATAGAAGAGAATATATATAAGGGCTTTGCAAACTGGGAAGCAGGCACTCCATAAATGGGAGGTATCATTATGACATTCTCTTTGCACATATCATTTTCATTTCACTGAACCAGAGTACTAGTTATTTTAAAACATAATCTAATGTATATGCTCAAGGTAGTAAGTGGGGATTTTAAAAGCAAGTGATTAGTTGGCTTATAAAATATTATTTTTCAATTGTCTATTAATGTACATTGGAAAGAAGGCTTTTAAAGATCTAAAATCAACATAAATAAGCTTCCCCTTTCATTTGCCAGACTCTTTCCCTATCAGATTTCTGATCTAAATTCTTAATAAGAAGAGAAGCTGGTGAATTTAGTTTCTTTCCTTTTCCTGGCCTGTCCTCTAGGGGAAGCTTTAGTAAGAAACAACATTCCAAAATCAGGCAGTGAGCGAGAGAGAAGGCAAGGGACTGGATGACCACAAAATAGATAATCAGCCAAGAAACAGAAATGAGGGAAAACCAGCATTAAAGCATGACTTACAAAGGGTTTTTATTTTGTAATTCTGTAATTTTGGGACCAGGCTCAAACTTGCTCAAGTAACATTCACTCGATCATATTGCTTACAATCTGTCAGTTAAAATGATGTCTAACTGAGCATATTTTTTATTAAATATACTTCTCTCAAAGGCCAGTAAAGCTACTCTTTGGTTTTAATTAGACAAACTAGTCTAACCACTTAAATAACTCTAATGAATATGAACTGATATCATCAGATTTAAAAGCTCTGCTGAAAACTAAATTTATTCTGAAAAGCACTGACTTGCCAGAAAAATATCTATTTTTGCAGCTTTCTTTTCACTCTATGGATAATTTAATGAGTTGCTTATTTTAATTTTACAACTGCTACCTCAGAAGTATCTCAAATTATCTTTCTTTGGCTGGTGTCTTTCTCTGCTGATCTGCTACTGCTGTGTGTGTGTGTGTGTGTGTGTGTGTGTCTGTGTGTGTGTGTGTATGGGCGTGTGTGTCTCTGTGTGTGTTTTCTAGTGGGAATTTAACAAGCAGTGAGTCTCTTAAATTTACATGCCATAATCTATGTCAAGAACATTGCGTACTACTTAGCAATAAAAATAAACATTAGCATCTAGTGAAAGCTTACCATCATTGAGTGCTATGGAAATAGAGGTCTTAAAGAAAGATTAAATTTTTCAACAAAAAAATTTTTCCCCTTTTTGGCTTAAAGGTGATTATAATTTCAAAAATATGACATCTTTCCTCTTTTACTTTGGAATGTAGAGCTGCTGCTTTAACAAGTGTCTTTTGAGAAAGATACACGTGTTTCATAAAGATTAATACCCTTAAAACACTATGGTGCAGAGAGGGAAGGATGAATTCTTTAACCCTGCCTCTAATCTCATTTGGCAATTTTTGGAGTATTCATTCTGACTTTTTAAAAATTCAGGTGGATTTTTTTTCTGCTTTCTTTCCAACATTATAAAACAATCCTATAAGAGATTTTTCTGCTATAGTGCAGACTTTATTTGTATTTCCTAGTAATAACACTTTAGATTCATATAGTACTTTGACAGCTCTCTATAGGTTTCATTTGATTTCCTTATCAGTCATGTAAGGTAGGAATCACCAATCACCTTTTACAGATGAGGAAAGTAAGGTGCAGAATTATCTAACACTACACTGCCAGTAAGATGTAAAGACTAACTCAGAGTCTTTCTTCAAATTTTAAGGAAATTTGTGTTTGTTCCTCTCTAGACCATGCTGCCTTAAACTCCACTAGGGCATCAGAGGGAGCTGTAGGCATTATTTTCTCCTATTTTGATTTATTTAATTAAATTAAAAACATTTTTTACAAATAGTTTTCAAAATTTCAGGCCTAATGGAAAGTTTTAACTAGTCTTCCTAAGACAGTATTTCCCTCTCCCACAGTTAGACACTCAAAGAAAGCAGGACTCTTCCTCTAGTTGACATACCATCTAAGTCATAGTTGCTAATTCCCCAAAAAACAAATACAAAGAATAAGAAGAACCAAAGCCAAGATGTACATTACCTTTACTTGTGAATCATAGAATCTGGGTTCTGGGAAGGTTCTCAGAGGTCACTTAGCCCAGCTCATATCTGATACATGAATTCATGCTGGCTTGTTTTGTTTCAATCCTCTGGAATTTCATCCCAGTCTTGGACACTGGGTACTTGTTTATCTTGGTAGATGTTCTGATACTTATGTGGATCATGAGCTTGGCTGATCATTTCCCATTTTGCCCAAAAGGTATACTTTCTATAGAGACTCTAGCATTCATAATTTTATTTTGTAAGTATTAATTGGCAACACATAATTTGCCATTATGTGCCAGGAACTGTATTACAATCTGGAGATTCAAGAACAAGCAAGACCAAATGGTCCCTATCTTGGTGGATCTTGTGGCCTAGAGACAAAGACTGGTCTCTTTATTTGCTCCAATCCTTAGAAGGGGACAGACCTCTGGACTCATAAGATTCCTTTTTTCAAGAGAACACAGTGAATAAGATTAAAAGCCTGAGTTTAGGCTTTACTTCCAACCGCTTGTCAGTACCCAAAAAAGTCAATCAGTCACTCTTGATCTCTGCTTCCTCACACATAAAACAAAAGAGATGTTCTCAGAATAAACTCTAAATTCCACTTCCGTTCCAAGTTTGAGTGATATAAAAGATATAGTCTATAACTATTTCTTGCAGTGTAGGGGAAATTAAGGCCTAAGTTACCCTAACCTTTGGTGATTTACAATTCTGGGTGGGTACCGCAAATTTTTAACTTGTTAAGAAGTATATCATGAAAAAAATCAAAGTAACATATTTGAACCCAGAATAGAAGGAATCTAGGTGTTGAACCTGTTCATTTATGGAATGATGGCTAGGAAAGTTTTAATTTAGAGAATGATCTCAAATTTCTGCGGATTATTTTTAAAAGCAGGTGGTGCGATGGAAGACCTGCTATCAAATTTACTGCTTATTTTCTTTGTGCAAGCAGAAGTTATAATTTTTCAGGTCATTTCCTTTTAAAATCAAAAATATTACATCCTGAAATTGCCTGGGTCTCATGAATAATGCATTATATACACATGATAATAGATAATTAGATGGACAAGCCAAAAGAAACATGAAAGGAAGCAGGTAGCCCAAGGATTGCAGAAGGTGTGTGGGCATTTTGACATCCAGGAAATGCTATAGATCTGTCCTTAACTAACTCAGCCTGGTGGAGATAATTAAGAAAAAAAATGTGGGTGTAGAAAGACTGCAAGCCATTCCCTGGGATTGGCTAGATTGCTGCAGTAGTTCAAAAACAATTGGCACAGCCACCCACACTAGACATGATTGCCCTTTGATGAGGCAGCTATTGACTTTTATAAAGATGTCATATTTAAAATAACTTCTGATGCACTAGGCATAACAGACATCATTCTTGAATTCTATTTTAGACAAATGGCAAAATGTATTACAAAGTATTAATTTAAAAATAAAAAATCTTTAAAGTCTAGTGTCTAAAAACCAGCAGTTTAGTAACATGCAACCTCTGGATTTAAGAATTCAGCCTGAAGCTGGGAGAAAGCTGTAGCTTGTATAGGACATTTTGATCCACTCTGGGCATTTCCCAGACCACTACAGGAAGTAAAATGTACTTTGTCAAAGTTTTTAACCTTTGAGTGAATGTTAAATCCACTCCAAAATCTTCGCAACCTGGGAAAGGTGATCCAACAATTTTCCTAAATAGCGGCAGAAAATGCTCTGAGATCTTTGTTCCCAGAGTGAATGTTATAATGTTATGCTATCTAGAAATTTCCTTGTAGCACCATGCTCATCAGTACCAAAAGGAGTTAGAATTGATTCCTCCCGCTTCAAGGAAATATATCAACCACCTCCTGTCTCTAAGTAACAAGGTTACTGTGGGGAAAAAATACACAAATTAGGTGATTGCAGAAAGGTGTCACAAACATCCAAAGCCTTTGGGATAGGGCATTGCAGTGTGAGTGAATAGAGAAAAGAAAGAGAATGTGGGAAAAAATTGAGAAATAAAAAGGGAAGTCACAGTGGAGTTCTAATTATACAGGGGCTCTTGAATTGACTGTTCTCTACCTTCCATGCTCATTGTTGTTCTGGCTACTTTAGTAGGAAACAATGATTTCTTCTGCTTTCACCTTCCTCCTCCGCTAAGGACTTCTTACTTGCCAATAACTTCCATAATCAATGTTTAAGAATTGCTCTGATGCCCAGTGTGGTGGCTAACGCCTGTAATCCCAACACTTTGGGAGGCCGAGGTGAGTGGATCACTTGAGGTCAGGAGTTCCAGACCAGCCTGGCCAACATGGCAAAACCCTGTCTCTACTAAAAATACAAAAAATTAGTGGTTCATGCCTGTAATCTCAGCTACTTGGGAGGCTGAGGTAGGAGACTAACTTGAACCATGGAGACAGAGGCTGTAGTAAGCCGAGATCATGCCATTGCACTCCAGCCTGGCAAAAAAAAAAAAAAAAAAAAGAAAGAAAGAAAGAAAGAATTGCTCACTGTAATGACTTTCATGCCATGGACTCAACTCTCTTGGCAGTCTGGTAAAGCTTATGTAAACCCTTCTCATAAAAATGTCTAAATGGGGCCAGGCGCGACGGCTCACACCTGTAATCTCAGCACTTTGGGAGGCCAAGGCGGGTGGATCACTTGAGGTCAGGAGTTCCAGACCAGCCTGGCCAACATGGCAAAACCCTGTCTTTACCAAAAAAAAAAAATTAGCTGGGCGTGGTGGCATGTACCTTTAATCCCAGCTACTTGGAAGGCTGAGGCACGAGAATCACTTGAATCTGGGAGGTGGAGGTTGCAGTGAGCCGAGATTAGCCACTGCACTCCAGCCTGGATGACACAGTGAGACTTTGTCTCAAAAAAAAAAAAAAATTCTAAGTGAATGAAATAAATGTATAAGATTACAAAGGAAGCCAGTGGCATTGATGTACAGTTATAAAAACATTTAAAATAATATATTGTGTGATATAGTAATATATATGCTTTTTAATACATTAAATAAGATCTAACAGCAAGGTAAATATTATAATTTTGAAATAATGATAAGTATCAATGTATTTTGAAATATCTATAAAACTGACGTGATATGAAGGTGTCTGTGATGTATACTGGTGAGAAAGCATGCAAGTACTACTGTGTAACATTTCCCACACATATTTAACAACAGAACACTTGAGAAGCACTTATTAACACAGCATAGATTCAGAAATATTAATTTAGTAAATGTCAACATTAGCCATTGTTGTTTCCTTCCTGGCAAAAGGAAATCAGCATTGGGAGAAAACTTTTAAAATTCACATTTGCCATTAGACAAGCTGTCAAGTGGGGAAAGGACCAAATACTGAGAAGGCCAGGGTATGGTAAGCATGTTTCTATTGACTGAGCTTGCTATTACTCTAACGTTTATCTTTAGCATCACCAGCACAACCCCATTACCCTAGCAATCCATCACTCCATTGAAAAAGATAAAAAGTTCAGATTCTGGTCATTAACTCAGCATTGCTTAAGATACCTGTTCTGACCTCACTAACCCAAGAGATTACTGAAACTCTTCCTGTTTGTCATTACTACACCATGGGAAATTATAATGATGTGGGATGACATTTACTCTGCATTCATCCAGTGCTGTTATTTGTTTTGTATTTGGCATATATTACTTAACTCTTAAAGTAACTCTCAGAGATAGATTAAGAAAACTAGAGCTCAGAGAATTTAAGTAACTTGCCCAAACTAACACAGAAAATCTGAAGTGGAGAAGCTAAACTTCAAACCCAAAGTTTTCTGGTTCCAAAGTCCATTATGAAGTTGTGCCTCCCCATCTTATAGCTACCACCCAGATTTAATCTGGGTCTCCCATTATCAGATGGTTTACATACACATTTTCTTACAAGATCTTGACCACAACTCTTTGAGATGGCCATGAGTCTCACAATTCATTTCCAGGAGTGCTACTTTAGAATCATTTTGATCTTTGCTAACCGATGAGAGATTTTCAAATAGCTAATTGTCACCTACCCTTTTTGAAGCCCAGTTTTCATAATCATAAAATGGAAACAGTATTACAATGTTTTGTTAGGATCATATACATTAATAATAAAATCTAACTTTGTTGAGCTCACTATGGTGAGCATTCTGCATTTCCTTAGTTCATTGAATCCTCACAACAATCTTTCTAGGCTAAGACGATTATTTTTCTTTTAAAGATAAGGAAACTGAGGCATCAGTAATTAATTAACTATCTTAAATTAGCAGAGCCAATAAGTGGCAAAGCTGGGTTCAAACCTAGGTCTGTCTAATGTCAAAGCCCTTTTTTTAATCACTAATCTGCAAATCACTATTCAATCTTAGCTTTTATTATTATAATTATCATCACACTTAAAACACTATCAAGATACAGAATGATCCAGACATAAGTATATAGTCACTGAAGAGATTAGAATCTGAAACTTTTCACCTGCATGTTCTTCCTTCCACTTTAGTTTATTAACCCAATGGATGATGTCTGACTCCTTTCTTAACTTGTTTAGGGCAGTTCCAAGTTAGTTGACTTCTGAGAGTTATTGAGTAAGAAATGTTATAAATTGTTTGGATTAGGATTTAGTATGTTTAGAAGCTATTTCATAAGTTTGCCTTTGCGAACTGTTACTGGCTATAATACTGCAGATGCTGTGATGAGGAACACCCTCTCCAAAGACACACAGTGGATGACAAACCTCCAAAGCTAACATGTTGTTTACAGATATGGAGAAGAAGAGGATGGACAAGCACAGTCTAAAACGTAATTACAAGGCTTATAGTCCCTGTTGGGGACTAGAATGTTTATTGGCTTTCCTTGTGCAATTCAATGCTCTTCCTCCAAAGGATCCACTCCAAACTTGGAACTTTCCTGAAAATAGCATCTCATTTGGGAGCATGCCAGGAATTGGTGTCTGGGTCCTTTGTGTCTTTGCACCAACTCAGAACTCTGGATACTAGCTCTAGAAACTAAGCTGGGATATATTCTGGGTAAGGGAGTAGCATATCTACTTGGGCATCTTCCTGATACATTTATTTCATCCATCTTCCTCCTAGAGAGCACCTCCTAGAAAGATGTGGTTTTAAATGAGGGATTGGATGCATACTGGTATGTCTTAGCACACAAGTCAGTGGTCTTTGCAGAGCTGCCAAAGGCATATAAGTAATCAAAGATGCGGAAGTCTATGAAGAGACTTCATCCCACCTCCACTCTGATTTATTCAGGGAAGGACCCCATGAACACATAATGGATTTGATACGTCCCAGAGCTCTGAAAGCAGCCTAGCAAAAAAGGATAATCTTGAAGGACATTTTGATGTATGAAAAAGTCCACCTAAAGCTTTGTCAGAGATAACTAAGTAATATGATGGCTGGTAGACTGTAAGTCCTTACCTTGGCTCAGGAACTGTATATCATTTGGTAAACTAAACTTGTCGTTCAAATTTAGATAGAAAAAGTACCTTACAAATGATCTAGTTCACTGATTCCCTTCATGCATTGAAATCACCTAAATCATCTCTTCTTTCTGAGATAAGGTCTGAATGTGTTGCCAGCTTTAGCAAACTCAGTTTGTAGCCCACTGACCTCATTTGATTGATTGGGCAACTGAGGTGCACAGTGGTAGATCTCTCAATTTATTCAATAAACAATTATATGGCCCTTACGATATCTATCTGAACAATCTTGGGCTAGTGAAGTTGCTTGCCCAGGTTACATGGCCAGAAACTGACAGTTTTAAATTAGGACCAAAGTTCTTTTGACTACTATCTGGGCCTTAAAATAATATCATATGACAAAGATATTTCTTCTGTTTCCTAATAGTCACATCAAAAGGAAACAATGGACAGTTTGTGCAAGATTTTAGTTACTTTAATGTTCAAAATAAAATTAAAAACAGATTATTACTAAAACATAAGCATAACAACACTTTAATAGCATTCTAATCAGATATTATTAATTTCAAAATGGTAGGACAAAACTAATTATACTTTATACTTCTTAAATATCCTATAGTTACTTTATGACTATTGAGACACTAGCTAAAACTTGAAACTTCAAGTTTTCATTGATTCCTATATTATTACTTATTTCAGAGTTACTTCATTTGGTTCTTTTATCTGAGATTGGACAACAGCTTTATTTGATTTTCAGCGACAAAATTCTTTTCACTCCTGATCCTCCACCCCAAGAAAACAACAGCTACTAATATATTTTCCCTAAAGTGATCAAGAAATAAAAGAGGAATTCTAGCCAGGCGCGGTGGCTCATGCCTGTAATCCCAGCTCTTTGGGAGGCTGAGGCGGGTGGATCACCTGAGGTCAGGAGTTCGAGACCAGCCTGGCCAACATGGTGAAACTCCGTCTCTACTAAAACTTAAAAAATGAGCCAAGTGTGGTGGCGCATGCCTGTAATCCCAGCTACTTGGGAGGCTGAGGCAGGAGAATTGCTTGAACCCAGGAGGCAGAGGTTGCAGTGAGCCAAGATTGCGCCATTGCACTCCAGTCTGGGTGACAGAGTGAGACTCTGTATCAAAAAAAAAAAAAAAAAAAAAGAGGAATTCTAAAATTAATTATATCTATTAATATCCCTACTCTTAAAACGTTAGAAAATGTTTGCTCATTTAAAATTTTTATTTTTAAAACCACCTTATATTCCAACTAAATACTCTTTGGAGCAATTTCTTTGTTCCTCATATAATATCCATACATATAATTCTGCTTTTGTGATTAACTTTTATTACTACTCTTCTAAAATTGTGCTCTTATAAACATCAGTTAATTAAGAGTAAATCTGATGTTTTATAAATTCTTTCTAGAAACAGAGAGCAAAATCATATAAATAACAATATGAATTTCCAAAAGTACAATAATAAAAAAAAATTAGAAAAAAATTAATCTAGGAAATAGTCAAGAATATGTCAAACTTGTACATACTTTTGAGATAAATTGGCATCATGTAGATTAGCATGATTCTTCTTTATGGAATTCAACTTATTTTTACTCACTTTGCTCTAATTAGTTTTTGTGTGCGGACAAGATGGAAGGTAATGGAAATTTGGCTTGCAAAGTAGTTCTAACATGATCTACATCCACAATCTGGTTATAATGCTATAAGAATATTATGTGGGAATAGTAGTTCAAATCAGTATTTAGTATGAACATAAAGGGACAAACAATGCAAAGCTAACTTAAGTTGTTTACACTTGGAACTTATTTAAATTAAAAAGGCCAGTGGATGGTCATATGTTTGGCTCATTCTTCTCAAGGCCTTCAGGAAAACATGCCTATGAAATAAAAGATCCTCAATATTAAACATTTTACTGCATTTGGGGGACACATGAAATCTGGTAATAAAGGAAGTGTTGGTCTTCATTTTTCTAATTCAGCATGGAAACTATCTTGAGGAAAACTGACTATGGTCTTAGTTTGTGTCTCAGAAATATATTTAGTCTGAATCATGGCGTCGACATCTGACTTCCAAAATTGGATATCTAGCCGTATAGTACCTCACCTCCCACACACACCACCCCCCATTCCCAGGTCATGACTACTGTCCAAGCAGCAAAAAAAGAAGTAATTTCCCAGAGTACATACATGGCAGTGACAACCAACCAAACAAAAAACAATTATAGGGGCTGGAATTTAAATTAATGGCTGTACTCTCACCAATTCATTCCCCATTCCACCCCATCTCTCTGTCTTCAACTTTTATGAAACATTATATTTGTCCTATTCTTCTGTATCAGCATCAGCCTTTCCTATATCCAACTAGACTTATAACTTCTTGGTGCCTCTCACTGGCTGACTAAGGTTTCAGAAGTACCTACTTACAGCAAACACTTGCAGCAGTCTCTTTTTGGTTACAAAGTCCCTGGACAATTTCTCAAGGCGATATTATGAAGAGGAAGTAAACATTCTCCTCTGCTACCCCATTTCTTTTTAGAGTGCTAACTTTATTCTATATCTGGTTTAATGTCTTCTTAGGCCAATTGGACTGATTTTACAGACACCATAGAATATCTCCTGAGTAATGGGAACAATATTTCTGCTGATCCCATGATTTGGTCTCATTGGGTTGTTAGGCCATAATGGAGACATACTTGATGAATTTATGAAGACTTGATTCTAGGTATCATGTAGGTTAGCATAATTCTCTTTTACTGAATTCAACTTAGTTTTATTCACTTTATTCTAACTGGATTTTGTGTGCAGACCAAATGAAAAGAAATGGTTCAATTTAGGTGAAAGGTAAAGCTTCAAAAGTAGTGTAGTATTTCATAGACCTTACCTTTGAGAGAAATTATATCAGTATATAATAAGCACCTGAGAATATGAAAGCACAAATCCAATTTAAATGTGAAAGGTCTACAACTTGGGATTTTAAATGGAGTACAGAAAAGCCACTGTTTCTTAAACAATTTTGTTGAGGGGGAAAACAGTGAAAGCTAAATGTTCTATTCAAGAGTTGTTTCTTTTGAAAATAATGCTTCATTTAAAAGCTAAGGACAGAAGACGTAGCTTTGTTATGAAGGCTCATCTTTTTATTAAACAACCACTACTTTGTCTCCAAGTTGCAAAGGGAAGATTTGTCAATCTGATTGAATCTTCCCTTTAGTTTTTCCCAACAGCTGTGTCCAGATAATTCATGACTCCTGTGTTTCCTGAGCCCTGGATAATTTCACACACATGTCTGGTTTGGGGCTCCACATTTTCAGAAAAATATAGAAATCTTGGAGGAGGTCCAGGGTAGACCAAGGGAAATGATTAATGGGTTGAAAGTTGGAGTTTATGAAGAAAGGTTGTGAGATCTGATCTTTTGCTACGAGAAAAGTCTGAGTGGTGACTTAATAACATAAGGAGGTTAGTAAGCAGCTGTTCTCCATCTTCACTAAGGTTGAATGAAATGAAATAAGATATAAATTGCAACAGGAACAAAAATGCATTACAAGTGAGGACTTCCAAGCACCAGCATTGCTGGATTCTAGATAGCTCCCCAAAAGAAGGATGTGTAGTCTACTTCCCTGGTCTGCAATGACAGGCCTATAAATAGTGAGAAAGATGAGATAATCTCTTAAGATCCCTTCTGGACCTATCTTTTATAGGTCTATCTATCATATTTAGAAAAATTATTTGCCTCAAACAAAAATTATCTGATTTCCTCCCTCTCACCCTATCCACTCCTTCTCTTTTGTCTACCTTTTGTAAAACACTGCTAACCGAAATAACTGGGGACTGATTAACCGTGGTGGGCCCTCCCCCGCCTCTAAGTGCCACTCCAGCTTTGGGAGCAAGTTTCTTGTCCATCACTACCACCCCCTGGCCACTAGGGGCATGTTTACCATCATCTTTCTACACACCAAACCTACGGCAAGGGAAAATAAAACAAAACAAAACTTCCTAGACTTAACAAATTTGCAAGTGTCACCATGGATTAAAATACAACTCTTATGTCCTAGAATATGAGCATGTAAAGGGCTAAAATGTATTTTATGCATCTGCCTGTATCAGCCCATAGAATAGCCTCCTGACAGATAGTAGATACTCAGCAATCTTTCATCAACTGAATGACTGTAACTATGAAGTGAAAGGCAACTAAAGTTGAGAAAGTCAGGAGTTTCGGATGTTTCCAAATGATTCTGTATGCCAGACTAATCTAAAGCCTAACCCATTCTTCACAACCATGCACTATTAAGGATTTCATTCTCACCATGCCTGTGCTATCTGGAGGTAGAAAGAGGGCCAGTTGCACATCCTGCTCAAGTCCTTGGTCAAAAAGACCACTAAAGAGTGCTTTGTAGATTCATGTATCAGAATCACATGAAAGTAGGCCAAATTCTTAGTGTGTGTTTTTAAAATAAGACTTTAGGAAGTTCACTTATTTTTTTCTAAATTATTTTTGCATATTCTTCTTTTTCATTTTTTTCATGAAGAATTTAAAATTTGGCTGTAGAAAATCTCTCACTCCAAACATCACACAGCCTAAATAGGTGAGTCTCAAAAATAAGCTAATGTTCATCTTTCATCTGATTCAATGTCCTGAAACCCTTTGGTTTAAATTTGTTAATTCTTCTCATGGCTTTTCTCCTAGCAAAACCAACTAATACCACAGCTATTTATTACTGTCAGCTCTAACTTATGCCCACAATCTCACATCCCTTTTGACCACGCTTATAGAACTATTACAACAAGTAAACCAAATTTATTCTTCATTATTAATTTTTAAATGTTCTCAGCACAAATCTGGTAACTTGGAGGGCTACAAGTTGATATTTCTCATATGTTTGGGGGTTTAGTCTCAACAGTTTCTTAATGGTTTCTATGCCGTTTTTCTTGATCCAACTAAATATTATTCCCAGATGGGATCAGCTTTTGACCCTCTTGTTCTACTCTCCTAGTCTTGGCCCTTCTAAAAGTTTCTTGCTGTGGTTCCTTTCTTTTGTCTGCCACTAATGGCTATGCCTGGTTACATAACTCCTGTAACAGGTGTTGACCAATTTGAACACATTTTGGTATGGTATTGAGCTATTCTTATGGTTCATAAAAAGCTTAGTGAGAACGTAACATCTCATGAATAGGGAAATTACTTCTCCCTTAAGGTTTTTCTCAGGACAGGCCTCATACAAGAATTTCAAGGATTGCGAGTGACATAGTTTAACATTGGACCAGGCCTTTCAAATTATCCAGGATGAGTTTGAAAACACCTGTGCCACTCTGCTCAACAGCAGAGTTTTCTGTTTACTAAGTATTTTCCCTATGCTAATTACGGAAAGTTTCAACAGTTTTTTTAGGCCAACTTATTTGATGCTAGACTAGACAACTTATTTTTTTTTTCTTGCAAGGAATACTGAAGGTAGGAGTAACTAGGAAGCTTAAATAAACATAAATATAAAATGCTTATAGTGATAGAATTGACCTCAGCCAATTAAAATTATTAATAGAAAAAACATGTCAATGTCAAGCCTACTACCTCTGTTCTCACTTGAGTAATGAGGATTAGTTTATATTTCCCGACAAGAATAGATGGGAATTCAAATTTCTTCCTGACCTTTGTTCCCCCTGGAACATTGGGTTAGGATCATATTAGAACATAACCAAAAAGAAATAAAGATTCAGACGAATTCACAATTAATTTTTAAGCCCCACAAAAGTGAAATAGGTAGCATTATTTTTTCAAGCTGTGAAACTTTCCCTCATTTTAGTAATAGAGAAAATGTTCAGATTATAAACTTGGAAACTTTGCTCCTAACATATCAATTATGCCAGAGGCCAATTTTTAAGAAGAAGAGAAATGCATGCTCTATATTCTCAGCATCATCCTTGCCCACAATAGGGAAATAATTTTGTAAAATGTTTGATTTTAGACCTCCAAAATTATCTCTATATGCTACCTGAATTAAGCAAATAAAAAATAATATTTAGAATTCCATGCAAGGCACTGGTACAATTTTGTTTATCTTGGCTTCATTGTTTTTGAATGTAAGATGTACTTTTAAGGCAAATAAGTACATGTTTTAAGCTGGTCGCATACAGTATTGGCAATGCTATAATCACAAATCAGAAAGTTTGGAAATGCTTACAAGTGTTAAGAGGTGTGATTCATCATGGTTATCTGAATTGGCATCTGATCTTCTTTTCTTTCTAAATATCCCTGACATTTCTGACTCCTCTGTCTTTTCCTCAGTAAAACTGCACCACACACTGGAAAGCGAAGATACACACATTTATTTATATAATGTCAAGGGAGAGTAGGAATAAGAAGATTGGCCATAGACCCACCCAATCAGAGTCTGGGAAATGAGAACACTTTTTCCTTCAGCAGAAATGCTGACGTGCCAATGTGAATTTAGCAGAAAAAAGATTTGCCATAACTTCTAAGTGAGCAGCCTTCAGAATGCTAGCTTAGATTCCTGGCATTAACTTGCCAGGTATTTTTTCAGGAAGGAAATAAATTACAATTGAGCTTAAAAACCTGAGGGTAGAACTCATTTTCAAGCAAATGTGAAGCATCAGTTTGAAGTTAACAAAGTTAAAGTTTGGAGTAGGGTTCCTCCAGTCCTTTATAATGTAGTACAAGTATTTTTTTTAAATGTATAACACTAGCCTTTTAAATTGTATTGTGCTACTAAAAGAAATTGTGCCTGCATTCATCTTACAACCTGGGAACCAACGCAGAGGGTCTGTGGGGTAGCGGTATCCAGCTTCATGCCCTCTGTCCTTTATTGCTTTCTGGTTAGCCTGCGTATTTCACATACATTAAATATTCCACAATAAACTCTGCCATCTGTGCTGTAGGGTAGTTTGTATTGGTCATGTGCTCTGTCAAGTTGACAGAGGTGCAAAGCTAAATGTGTGACACTCGAAGAATATGCATATATTTGAATAATTTGACTATTTAGTCCAACAATTTGCAAAGGCGCTCTGAATGATCACACATTCTGATAACACTTCCAAGGAACAGATAGCTTCACTTAGGGGGTGGGGGAGATGGAAGCAGGGTTATTTCTAGCAGGAATTCTTGAGTTCACTGAAGTCTTGTCCCTGGTACTTCACTGTGTGAACGTGGGTAAATTATTTCCTGGCAGAGGATCGGATTCTTCTTTTATAAAACGGGTAAATAATTTCTGTCACTAGTCTTTAGAAGTTCTAAAATAGCTAATGTTAGTGAATTCATTTTGCTAACTGTAAACCCTTAGGTAAATTGAACTGAGTATGTAATAATATTATATATTCAGTTCAACAGCACATTCTTGGTAACCACAAGAGGGTCCAGGAAAGGAAACTGTTTATAAATCTTTCCCTTTAGCAAAATTAATGTTGGAGTCTTTAGGGAAATTCTTACAGCAATAGTCTTCGCAATTATTAGGTCAAACCCCTTTGAGATTACAGAAAAACGCACACACACAGAAAGCTGCCTGCAGAATTTGGGTGTGGGCTTGGTGGGAGATTCCTCTGATACCCAGTGTTGTACCCCCAAGAGAGTGTTTCTCAAAGTGTGACTTCAGATTGTCTGCATTCGAATTGCTTGTGGTATTTATTAAAATTATAACTCCTGGGCCCTGCCCCACCCCTACTAAATCACAATTTCAGGAGGAGGGACCTTCATTTTAACACTCACCCAGGTGATTTTTATGCTCCGAGGAGGTCCAGGGACTCCAAGTTAAGTACGGTACTGCTGTCTTATTCTTTATTCTAAATTTTAAGGTCTGCACAAATTGGTTGAACTAATGAGAAGAAAATTCAGCTTTAAAGCAGAAACACAGGTAGACGGTTGACAGAGTTCATCAAATGGATAATTGAAAATGTCCTCTGGACCCTAGCCATATAAGTTCTCTTCAAGGGTCTTGGCTACAGGCAAATGAGAACCCGAAAGGCTATTTGCTCTTTTGCTGCGGGCAGTGGTGGGGGTGGAGGGCGGGGGAGGATTAACTGAGCCAGTTCTGCCCCCACCCTCGAATCACCTACCCCCACTCTGGTTAAAGCAGAAGACTTTTTATTTATCTTGGCTGCCCTGGTTCGTTATTAAAAGGGTTAGCTTATACGTGTGTTTGCTGGGGCTGGAAGTGAAAACATCTGCAAAAGCATGCAATGCCCTGGAACGGAACTCTTCTAATAAAAGATGTATCATTTTAAATGCGCTGAATTTTGATTCTGGTAATTCGTGCACTAGAGTGTCTATTTCGAGGCAGCGGAGGTATCATATGACAGCGCACGTCAAGGCACCGTGGAGCCCTCTCGTGGACTCCCACCCACTTTCCCATTCACCGCGGAGAGGGCTGCTCTCGCTGCCGCTCCCCCCGGCGAACTAGCATGAAATCTCCCTGCCTCTGCCGAGATCAAATGGAGCTTCTCGCTGATGGGGTGCGAGTATTACCTCCGCCATGCAATTTCCACTATCAATAATTTAACTTCTTTGCTGCAGAACAGAAGGAGTACATACCGGGCACCAAAGACTCGCGCCCCCTCCCCCCTTTAATTAAGCGAAGGGAACGTGAAAAAATAATAGAGTGTGGGAGTTTTGGGGCCGAAGTCTTTCCCGGAGCAGCTGCCTTGATGGTTACTTTGACAAGTAGTGACTGAAAAGGTGGGTTTGTTTTCTTTCTTTCTCTTTCCGTTTTTCTGTTTGGTCGGCTAGAAAGCGTGTGGCTTTAGCGAGGTCTGTCATTGCCTGGGCTTCCTGGCTGGAACAAGTAACTTGGTGTAACGTTATCTGGGGGCGTTCATCAATAAAAAATGCTGTTATTATCTTGATTGAATTCCTATTAGGCAAACTCTAGAGAGGTCAGTGCGCGAACTCTGTTTAAGCCGGCGTGTTTAAGGCAGCAGAGTAAACCAATAGCCCCCATGCTCTGTGCGATTTCATTGTGTGCTCGCGTTCGCAAGCTCCGTAGTGCAGGAAGGTGCGGGAAGGTGTGTCTGTGGCCCGGGAAACGCACGCCCTCTCCCAGAGAACTTGGGTGCTGGGATGGGGAGGAAGGGGAGAGTTGAAAGCTAGGGGAGCGAGACCTCGGGGCGTGCGATTCTCACTCGCTCCCTCCCGCCCCAGCGCCCACAGCCGGGGTTTCTGCAGAGGGCGCGGGACGCGGGGTTCCCCGGGGCTGAGGCTGGGGCTGGAACACCCCTCGAAGCCGCGGGCGTCCTGTCCAAGGCGCCCCAGGAGGGCGCAGGACTCGCAGGGCGATGTCGCGGGGCCCTAGGGGAGGAGGTGAGGACAGGCCCCGGGGGAGCGGGGAGTTCCGGGCGCCCCTCGGTTCCCCGCGCGAGGAAAAGACGCGGCGTTCCCTTTAAGCGGCCGCCTCGAACGGGTATCGGTAGCGCGGGCGAGCGGGGAGCGGGGGGCGGGGGGCGGGGGGGGGGGGGCGGCGCCGTTTGACCAATCGAAGCTCAACCGAAGAGCTAAATAATGTCTGACCCGGGCGCAAGGCGCAGCCTGGAGCTCCGGGTCCCCGACGCTGCCGCCGCCGCGCCCGGGCGCACCCGCCCGCTCGCTGTCCCGCGCACCCCGTAGCGCCTCGGGCTCCCGGGCCGGACAGAGGAGCCAGCCCGGTGCGCCCCTCCACCTCCTGCTCGGGGGGCTTTAATGAGACACCCACCGCTGCTGTGGGGCCGGCGGGGAGCAGCACCGCGACGGGGACCGGGGCTGGGCGCTGGAGCCAGAATCGGAACCACGATGTGACTCCGCCGCCGGGGACCCGTGAGGTTTGTGTGGACCCCGAGGTAGGCAAGCGCTGGGAATGGGGCTTGGTGCAGGAGCTGCCCGTCCGCGGGAGAGAGTTGACTGGGGGATCCCCCACCCCAAAGTTGTGGGACGAGGCCAGTCTCCTTCTTTCCTCCCCTCCGGTAGAAGGGACGATTTGGAGTTACTCTTGGGGAGTTTTCTCCCCCATCCCACAACCCAGAAGGTCAGCCGGCACCACCAGGGAAAAAGGGACCCGGGGAAGTCACGAAGTAGAGGAGGGAAGGCCTGGAGGAGACCCAGAGCTGCGTGATGGGAGCAAAGACGGCGACCCGGGGATCCCTCGCAGCCCTCCCCCAGCCCAGGAGTAGTCGAGAGAGACTTAGGGGGCCAGAGCTGTCGAGGGTCCTGACTGAGGGGAGGGTGCTGGGGCTAGGCTAGGAATCCTTCCAGGGGGTGGGTGGTCCCCGCGCCGACTTGCGGGGGGAGTGGGAGGGAAGCTTGCGCCTTCAGCCCGCATCCCTTCCCCGGAGCTGCACACGGCTACCTGCTCCCCAGGAATTGAGACTGAAGTGGACTTACAAGTCCGAAGCCAATGTAGCTTGGAAAACTTGGGAGGCGGAATTCCTACCGCTGGGAACTGAAAGGGTCTGCGACACTCTCGGGCAGGCCGAACCCACATCTCTACCCATCCTGCGCCCCTCTTCTGAAGCGCCCTCCAGGGAAGTTAAGAGTTTTGACTTTCGGGGAGTGGTTGGGATGTACGTGGGGGATTCTTGACTCGGGTTAGTCTCTGGGGATGCAGAGCCGGGAAGAGGAATGGGTGAGTGAGTTACTCCTGGAAAGAAATAGCTGAGGATTGGGGGCTCTGTGCCTGACGGGCAAGAAGAAGGGGAGATTACAGACTAGGGGCATCCCTAAGGAAGAAGCCTCGGGGCTGCGAGGGTGAACTGGAGGATGCAGTGTTTGTGTGTTGGGGGTAGAGCGGGGATGAGGGACCGGGGTGGAGGGGAGGCGAGGAGGAGGAGGGGACCCAGAGAACGAAGCTAGGGAAGGTAGAGGGTGCCCTCTGCCGGCCATGCTGCCAAGAGCAGCTACTGGGGGCGGGAGGCTGGGGGTGGGGAAGTGGTAAAGGAAGGTTTTGCGGGATCCCTTAGAGAGCTGGTAGGAGGGACTTGTTGAATGGTGCTGCTGACTCCAGCTCGGTGGGGCGTGCGACTCGTCGTCGGTGGATTTTGACTCCTCGTTCTTGTTTGGCTTCTATGCAAGTTTTCCTCGCGCTGGGGGAGCTTTGATAAGCCTCGATTGGCGGTGTGTTAGGGCTTCTTGGATCTTATTTTAGGGTCCTCTAGTTATCCTGCACTTACTCCTTAATGTCAGTAGCAACCAAAGAACATTTTCCGACAAGCACGCAGGAATGTTCTTGGCCAGAAGCAAAGAAAGGCATATTTCTGAGTGTTTATTAATCCTCCTAGTAATCTTTTAAAGCAAAGTAATATGTAATTGGGAACGTTGATTTTCTAACTGCATATAAAAGGCGACATGATATTAAATGAGACCCCTCCCTACTGACTCAATATCCTGCAAAATCTCTCTCTCCCCTTTATTATTATGGAAAAATCTATTTTTATATGAGTTTGTTGTAAGGTCAAAAGCCATTTTGGTCTTACAATTTGATATGTCTTTACATTTTAACTTATTGAGGCATAATTACAGATTTAATTTGTATGAACGTGTGTGCCTTCAATGCTTATCTCATGCAACATAATTTTTAGGTTGGAGATTTCTGATGTTATGGCATGTAGCGTTTCAAGGCATTACACATAATAGGTAACATAGCATGTTGAAATTACACCACAAAGTTTTGACCCTGGGAACAGCACCTTTTAAAAACAATCACTAAACTCCTGTTCCTGTTTTCTGATTTTGCAAATGCCTTGCTTAAGACTTTTTTTTTTTTTTTTTTTTTTTTTTTTTTGGGAAATTTACCTCTGGGTTAGCAGGAGAGGTAAAAAAAAGGAAAGAGACACTTGTTGAAATGTAACCATAACCTTTACTGGAATTTAAAACATGTTGGTCACCATTACTGGAATTCCAGGGCCATAAAGTCGTTGTCTTTTTTTTCTTCTACTTCATTTTGTAAAATGTGATAAATGTTGGTAAATATAGACCAGTAGTAAGTATTATGACACTAAAAGCATTATGTATGTGGAACTATTTTAAGTTATTACAGAACATTTTCTATTTATAAATGATATAAGCAGAAAGAAATGATTTCCAGATAAACAAGGCTTACGTACATGTTTTGAAGCATTAGAACATTGCAGACACTCTTAGACATCACATTTTTTAAAGCAAAATAACAGTAATTTTTCACATACCTTTGGAGCCTTTCATAGCCCATTCAGAGCTGAGTTAGTAGCTGGAAGTTTCCTTTATTTTAAGGTGATATTTTAAAACCATTTAACATGTATAGTAGGTCAACATTGGTGCATCCAGAAAATGAAGCATTTAGGAAATCTGTTTCAGTGTCTTTTCAATGTGTGTAACTTTTACTTGCAAACCAATGGAACCAAGAAAGTCATCATTTGCCTAAAATGCAGTCATCACCTCAAATGATTCATTTATACTATGTGAGTTAATTGCCTTCATCTCATTAATGGCCAAGGAGGGAAGGGAGGTCCTGGGGTATTTCTTGTTCATTTTGACTCACCAGGAGGGAAAATCCTGTAAAAAAAGAAATGCAAATTTCTAAAATCCTGGCTCAAAGTCCGTGGGTTTCCTGTTTAAAAGGGGCGCCATGAAAATGTAAGCTATTCCCTTTTTCCTGGAATCTTTAAGAGTCCCAGCTTTTCAATAGTCAAAATGTAGATGATTGATATCATTTCTTATATGAATAGCACTGGTTTGTAGTTCAGCACGCACAGTGAGCTGGGCACGCCCACCTGATAGTATAGCAGAGAACTTGTTTACATTCTTTTTACATTCATCTTCTAAAACCTGGGGTGCTCTCTCTCTCTCTCTCTCTCTCTCTCTCTCTGTGTGTGTGTGTGTGTGTGTGCGTGCACGTGCGCGTGTGTGTAGAGGGGGAGAGAGAGAGAGAGAGAACTGTGAACTGTGAAATATAACACAGCCAGCAGCTTTGGGTCTCAATCGTAGACTTACTCTTAAGGAAATTTACAGAATGGAAAGGTCATGTTCAAGTAGTTTATTAACATTTTGAGATGTAGGAAATTAATCCCGGAGTACAGAAGAACAATTTCAGACTTCCTGAATAAAAACAGACAGCATAGAGAGTGGATGATAGCTAAACTCTGAATATCTTTTGAGAAGAAAGGCACTCCCATTTCAGGTGCCCATAATATGGATTTGATTTTAGTGATTAAAACATTAATTTTCAACTTGCATCTCCCTGTGTGGAAGAGTTCAATTTGTGTGAGGGGTCTCGCCTATCCAACAAAAGTGAATATGTCCCTTTTATAGGGTAATTGCTAACTTGTCTCAACTTGTTTTCAAACAATTGTTATAGAGCACTCAGTTTCCACTAATTGCAAAATTGTTGCTTAATTGAAGGACTCTCAGCCATCTAGTGCAGCCATTCAGCCACTGGCAGGCTCTGTGATCTCAAACTGTGAATTGCATTTTAAAGAGGAATCGAGGAGAGAATTCTGTGGAATTCTAGGTTTTAAGTGCTGGCTGTTGTTCAATGGAAGAGGAAATCATTTGAACAAGAATCGCATCAAGTTGTGTTGTGATAAATTTTCTTTATTAGGATGAATAACATGCACAGATGAGCTTCAAAAGTGAATGAGCAAACTTACTGGTTACACTCTGCATCCATTTACTCTGTTTAGTATGGAGTAATGTTAGGCAATAAATGATGCTGGCAAATGAAATCCGTATGTTATTTGCATGTGGTATTTAAACCTAGGAAACATAGAGTGGCTTTGGTATTTGTAGGCTTAGTCATGTGTGTCCTAAACGTCCTCTTAAACTTCTACTTAAGGCATAGAATTATTTAATCCTAAATAATTTTATACTTAAGTGCCTCACTGGATTTCCAGAATATTTACACTGTAAAGATTTAGAAAGGTCATGAACCCAATTATTGACTATATGGAATCATTATTGATGGCAGATGCAAAATGGAGCTCACTAATGTACTGACATTGAAAACCTTTTGCAGGGGAGAGGAGGGGGAGTGGTAAATGTGTGTGTTCTTTAAGTGGAACAGGAAGGTATTCTCTTTTCTGTAGAAAAATTTGAGTATCTGGTCAGATAAGTGTGGAAGCTTTCATTTAAATTAAGTATTTAAGTTCAAGTAGAAGCTCTAGGGCACTTATCCTCTTGATGAGACAAATCTTATCAAATATACTAGATGCTAAGAAGTGGCTCATTGCCCTGATGTCTCATTTATAGATTGATGTTTGAGGATGGGTTGCATTAAGTGAGTTAGGGGGCTGAGTGTGGGACAGGAGAACGATTGGAAGGAAGCAAAGTAAATTTACAAGCTTTAGTGACAGCCATAATAAAGTAAAAGTTTATTTCCAGAGAGCCTAGAGAGTAAGGAACGTTATATAGTTTTCCCCAAAGGTTCACTTGAAAGAACTTTTCATTGGTTGTCATGGTAGTAATGTCCTGATTTTGAAATCTCCCAGAACCTAGTAGCTCTTAAACATGCTTTCATCTTGGTTCCTTTGGTCTGACGGAAACTTTATGACGACCCTCTGTGTTTTTGACATGCCTCTGCATTTTTGGAGAGAGGAGGTCAGGCAAGGGAGGATTTCTTAAAACTAAGACAGTATAGTAAGGAAACATAAAATTATATGATAAAAAATCACTGAACTTCAAATTGACTTACTGAAATAAAACCTAGAAGGCAACCTGTCGTTTAATTACAACTAGCTTGTATAAAATTAAAATTTATAAAATGGGAATTCAAAGAAAATAAACGGGCAGTTCCAAGTAATTTAAGCAACTCACCAAAAATTGAAGTAATAGTGCCACCTAGAGAACAAAATCACCAGCTTTACTAGCCAAATGGCTTATTTCCATATGAACCATTTTTCCAACGCTACAGTTACTAGGATTTCCTTGTTACCATATTCAGATCTTGTGAGTGTGTATGGGGGTGGGGGTTGCATGTGGAATTACAGATGAAATTTTAAAACAAGCAGATCCACAATTTGATATATGCACTAAATCCTTTTAACGTTGTAATGTAGCCAAATGTAGAATAGCATGCCAGGAATCAACGGCTAGCATCCTTTTTAACATTTATTATTTTCATGGATATGTACCAAACCGAACCATTGAGTATAAAGGTTCTGATTTTATTTATTTGCTACAGGCAATTCATTATACTTTCTGAGATACAATAACACCAAATAATTTGAGTAGAGAGACCTTTAAGAATGTTTTCGATTTATGATCTACCTTTAACTTTAATGTACTCAGAAGATGTGAGAATAAAATAAAGTCAAATATAAGCAAGATTTTAAACACACACACAAAAAACAAACAAACAAGAAAAAGGAAGAAAATTATAAGGATTGCCTTAACCTTAGAATAGATGAAGGTATACATCTGAGCCAGCACCAAAAAAAAAAAAAAAAAAAGTTATGGAACCAGGAACCAATAATTACAAATTGACTTAAAATTCTTGGATGACAAAAATCTATATTTAGTTCATTTTTGCATGCGCCCACAACAGCATCCAAAACAGTTCTGGGGAGGCACTTTGATAAATGTTGCTGAATGCACTAATAGATTGATTAATGGCTGCTTCAGATTATCACTAGTGATGTAGACAGAAACTTCATGAAAATGGTTTGTCTTGCTGGAAGAAAGGCAGAAATTGGAGGAAAAGGTTTAATAATATTTTTCCCCAGTACCTATTATAAAAGTCATTTAGTTGGCTTAGTTCTATAATTTCTTATGTGTAATTTGATTCACTTATGAAATTGTGAATATATGAAATGTTAAAGTTGATTTAGACAGCAACTATAAGCTTGTGGATTTTCTTTTAAATGTCTTCAAATTTTTAAATGCCAGTGGAGATGCCAGCGACTGTGCTTCAGGGAGTAGAATATAGTATATCTTAAATTTGTGCCAATTTCTGGTAAGCAGAGAAAAAATTGCATGATAACCAAAGAAAGTCATATTGTTTGTGCTTTGTGTTATTCATGGAAGCAATCAGGTGCAGAAAACTTTCTTTTTCAGAAAAAAAAAATTACTAAAATAAAGGTGCGTGTGTGTGTATGCACATATATCTAAAGGGAGAGAGGGAGAAGGAAACTTACTAAATAAAATTTTTGCCACATGGGATTTAGTCTAATCAGTCTTGGTTTTGGAGTTGCTATCATCAGTAGTTCCATTTTGTGATTCTTTCTTTCTGCCTTCATGTGCCTTTGAAAACTGAAACTATGCCCAAATTAAAACAAGTTTTTCTGTCTTTTCACATGTTCACTTATTTCTTGAATGTGTTTTTAAACACAGACAAACTTCTTTTACATCATGTAGAATCTGAAGGTCGAGAAATTTGCAGTCATTTTGCTGGAGAGAGATGCTTGGCGGAGTCCCAGGCCACATTCCTAGGCCAAACTCTCGAAGGTATTCCTCTTATGCAACATTGGGAAAATACATCCAGCACCGACATGTTGGCTGATAATGTGTCTGAAGGCACAGACGATATGCTTATCATATGAAACATAAAGCCAGCAGATATTGCAGACATTCTGTTGAATGATAGAATCTGGATCATTTACATTTACTTAAATGTAAAATACTATGATTAAGTACAAAAAAATCAATTTAGGAGAGAATAGAGAGTTGCGGGCACGGTTTTAGGGGATGACTTATCAGCAGATTGTAGAAAGGAAGCTTGAATGTTTTAAATTAACTGCAAGTTCAGTATAAGCCAGTGGTGTGACAAGAGGCTGTTATCATAGCTACTGAAATTTTGGGCTGCACTGCTAGAAATATAATACTGAAATGGAGAAGCTAATAATTCTTCACTTTTTAAATAGACTGTATCTAGAATATTATCATCAGTTCAAGGAAATGAAATAAGTTGTTTTAGGTACATCATCGATAAATTAGTGTACATTCAAATCACTGTGACCAGGATGCATAGGGAATTTGAAAGCATTGCATGTGAGCAATGGTTGAGGGGACTTGGAATGCATGACTTAGGGACAAGAAAACTTAGGCTGGAATGGCAAGTGGTTTTTGAATGTTGGGTTGAGAAGAATTCTAAAACTGTGAAGGATTAGTAAAAATAACATTCAGATTGCTAATGCCTACTGTGGCTGGGAGATTAGAGTGTCAACATGTGTGATGTATTTTTGACATCCTTATTTTGAGGATGGGCTTCAAAGATTTGACGAACTGTCATAAGTGTAATTTGTGTTGCTTCAGACAGCAGTTCTAGAACCAATGATGTAAATTTAGATACTCTACATGGTAGTTAGAAAACTTTCCATTAATTTAATTTAGCAAATATTGAATGCTCACTGCATACAGAGCACTTTATTAGAGGAATATATAATAAAGAAAAAAGAGGTCTGGTGTGGTGGCTCATGCCTGTAATCCCAGCACTCTGGGAGGCTGAGGTGGGAGGATCACTTGAGCCCAGGAGATCATTACGAGTCTGGACAACATAGCAAGACCCCATCTTTACAAAAGACAAAAAAAATTATCCAAGCCTGGTGACAGGCACTTGTAGTCCCAGCTACTTGGGAGGCTGAGGCAGTAGGATCGTTTGAGCCCAGGAGGTTGGGGCTGCAGTGAGCCGTGATTGTCCCACTGCTCTTCAGCCTGGGTGACAGAGTGAGACCCCGTTGGAGGGAAGGAAGGGAAGGAAGGAAGAAAGGTAGGAAGGCTGAAATGAAACCCTTTTAGAAATGACACTAAAATGGGAGGTTGGAGTAAGGTATTTTCTGAAGTGCCTTTGTACTTGTTTTTTTCTAATGCATTGGCCATAAGTCTGCTCCTTATTTATAGTCCATAAACAATCCTAATGAGAACAGTTATATATTTCTGCCTTTGAATCATCTACTTGAAGTGTTTAGCATCATGAATTGAGTATCAGAAATCCCTCCCATTTCTTTGCAAAGCGCTGTATTTTACTTTTCCTTATTTGTATACAGATTCTCAAAATTGGCTATTTTTCCTTTGGGTTAGACAGAACAGAATGTCTGGAAAAAAAAGTTCTTATCAAATTCAGGTGCCCAAATTGCTTAAGAAATTAACTTTTGAGGTTATATTTTTTTAGGGTTCAGTAGCTAAACTAAGAAAACTTCTCACCGTTCACCTTCACTTTTGGAAACCACAAAATCTTCAGATATTACAGTTTTCCAAAGAGTTTCTCTTTTTAAATATAAACTAAAAGGAATTGACTCCTCCCCCAACTCCCTCAGGCCTCAGCATGGATAGAGTTACTTTTTTTCTTTAATAATTTATTTATAACTTATTTTGCTCTTCTGTAGAACAGCTGGAGATTAAGCAACATGGCCATGACATAAAATGCAAGTTAGACCATAAGATGAGCAGCCCACTCCAAGTATGAATGAGTACTTATTCTTTGTGATCTCTCATACTGCTTTTAGGTATTAATAGTGTCAGTCAGCAAAGCAAACAGTTTAATATTTACATCTCCTTTAGGATATCATATAGTTTATAGTTTGTATGTGTTCTTGCGTGTATGTTTTCTTCTGTTTCAAATTCTTTTTTCTTAAAGTAAGAATGTTATATGTAGCAAATGGTTCTTTCATTAATTCATTTGTTAATTCACCGTGCATTAATTGAGTGCCCAGTGAGTGTCAGGCACTGGGCTACTTGGATTTCTTTTCCCTGTATTGATCCATATATCTTCAGGTGCTCCTTGATATGGCTCTCCATTGACTCTCTCATATAAGGCTTTCATTACCTATTCACATACTCCCTCCCAAAGAGGACTGGTCCAAAAGTAAAATCTTGAGCAAGTTCTCTGAGTTATTTCAGAACTTCTTGCCCCCAAACTGTATTTTTAATTATTGACTGGTAGCATTTTGGAATAACTTACCTCTCTTTTTTAAAGATTGAAGTTCTTTATCCTCTCTGATTTTCAGGTGTCAGTTTGTGTACAAATTGAGACAATAAAAATGTTTGTTAGACATTTTCTTAAAGCATTTTGCTATGTGAGAATCTTTCATGAAGAACTCTTTTTAACAATGACTCTATAGCAGAAGCCACAGTAGAGGGAGAACTACTGAATCAAAGATGGTGTTTGAGTCTATGATTTTATGATGGATTTTTTTTTTTTTTACATACAAGGATATGCATGGGTCTTTTAGTATTCAGGAATCTGTTCTTCACTTGACAGTATTTATAAATTGTGTGTTTCCCCCTAAAAAAACTTAAATTGTGAGAATGCTTCCATTTACTAGAAGTTGGTTAATGATTATGCCAAATAAGGAAAATAAGACAGAAAAATCAGTTTAGTGAATACTATTTTGCCTTTAAATTTAGTAATTTAGTAACAGTATCTCTTTGGGGTTTACTAGAAACCACTTTTTAATCCAATAGGTCTCTTTCATTGTGAAGTCAGGAGGTGATTTTGCTTAAATGTGTAGTATAGGAATCTATATGTGGTGTTCAAGGATCATGTAAATATGCTGATATAATCGGAGCACAGTTTGGCATCATTAACTCAGAAATATTTAAACTCTTGCTATACAACATGGAAGCAAACTTGTGCATAGTTTGTGTGTGTGTGTGTGTGTGAATCTCAAAAAAAGAAAAAAATCACAGGATCAGGAAGTCGGAATAGGTCCCACTTTTCTTCTAGTACCAAACCTACAGCCATGTTCCTAGCCTTCTCTTTTACTCCCAAGCAAGACAGACAGGCAAATGACCATCCTGCTGCCCATTTCTGTGTATATTCACTTGCATTGAGAGTTGTATTCACCTGCTTGTTGAGAGTATTCACAAATGGTACCTGATAAAGTAGATACTTCTTTAAACATGTGAATTTTTTTGCATTGTATAATGTTTAGAAATAATCATGTATAAATGGTTGAATATTAATACAGGATTGCCTTATCAAGTATTTTATTAATCATTAAAATGTGGTGTCATTAATACAATTTATTTTAAGTGCTTTTCCTAAAATACCAGATTATTTTTCTGATTTTCACATCCCTGACAATGACTTTCTTAAACTTGGTAGCCAGGAACAGAAAACCTAACACTGCATGTTCTCACTCATAAGTGGGAGCTGAACAGAGAGAACACATGGACTCAGGGAGGGGAACCACACACACTGGGGCCTGGAGCAGGGGGCAGGGGAAGGGAGAGAGTGCGTCAGGACAAACAGACAAATAGCTAATGCATGCGAGCCTTAATACCTAGGTGATGGGTTGATAGGTGCAGCAAACCACCATGACACATATTTACCTATGTAACAAACCTGCACATTCTGCACATGTATCCCGGAACTTAAAGTAAAATAAAAAATAATAATAAAATAAAATAAACTTAGTAGCATCTATTGTTCCAGAGCCTGTAATTGCTCTTCAGGCAGTCTCACATAAAAACCTAGGAGAACCTTCACTGTCACTGTTCCATGAGGTGTTAGGAAAACTTGCTCTACTGCAGTGCCCCAGTAGGCATTGGTACTGAGACCAAAATTCAGCTGGTTTGTTGTTACTACGATTCCTACGTGATTTCACTTGTCATGTAGACAAGATTGCACACTTCAATAATAATCTTGTCCAAATGTGTGGTATTCCATACATTTTTAAAATGCATTCACATATCTCATTCCATTTGATCCTACAAATAACTCTATAAAAAAGATTGGCAGACATTATTTCTATATAACAGAGGAGGAAACTGGAGCTTAGAGAAGCTAAATAGCAATCCAAAATGCACAGCTGTAGAACCAGAGCAAGGATGATAGCCCAGTGACTTCACCTAACCTAGTCCCCTTACCACCACTCCAGCTGTCTATAACCAAAACCTGCAGTATTCAAGTAAGAAACCATATCTTGCCCTTGATGCATTAATGTGAGACCTGGAGCAGGAACAGGCTGATATTGTCACCCTGGCCTACTGTCCACCTTTGTCTCCAGCAGAGACTGGTACCCTTCTGTGTGCCAAGGAATAAAGTGGTAATGGGAAGATTAAAAATGTTTTTTCCAAGGAGTTTTTTAATTTAATTTTTTTAAAAAAGAAAAAACTCTTAGAGGGAAAAATGAATATATGACTTTTGATGTATTGTTCCTTAGTAACTTAGTTATAATTTTACTTAAACCTGAGACTCTTGCTAAGTGAATGATTAGAAATATTAGGTGGCTGGCCAGATGGCAAATAGGAACAGCTGCAGTCTGCAGCTCCCAGAGAGATCAATGCAGAAGGTGGGTGATTTCTGCATTTCCAACTGAGGTACCGGGCTCATCTCATTGGGACTGGTTAGACAGTGGGTGCAGCCCATGGAGGGTGAGCCAAAGCAGGGTGGAGCATTGCCTCACTCAGGAAGCGCAAGGGGTCAGGGGAACTCCCTCCCCTAGCCAAGGGAAGCCCTGAGGGACTGTGCCATGAGGGACAGTGCTATCTGGCCCAGATACTACACATTTCCTACAGTCTTTGCAGCCGGCAGACCAGGAGATTCCCTTGGGTGCCTACACCACCAGGGCCCTGGGTTTCAAGTACAAAACTGGGTGGCCATTTGGGCAGACACCCAGTTAGCTGCAGGAGTTTTTTCTCATACCCCAGTGGCACCTGAAATTCCAGTGAGACAGAACCATTCACTCCCCCGGAAAGGGGCTGAAGGCCAGGCAGCCAAGTGATCTAGCTCAGCAGATCCCACCCCCATGGAGCACGGCAAGGTAAGATCTGCTGGTTTGAAATTCTCACTGCCAGCACAGCTGCCTGAAGTCAACCTGGGATGCTCCAGCTTGGTCGGGGGAGGGGCATCCGCCATTACTGAGGCTTGAGTAGGCTGTTTTCCTCTCACAATGTAAACAAAGCCACTGGGAAGTTTGAACTGGGTGGAGCCTACCACAGCTCAGCAAAGCCCCTGTAGCCAGATTGCCTCTCTAGATTCTCCCTCTCTGGGCAGGGCATCTGGGAAAGAAAGGCAGCAGCCCCAGTCAGGGGCTTATAGATAAAACTCCCATCTCATGGGACAGAGCACCTGGGAGAGGGGGTGGCTGTGGGCCCAGCTTCAGCAGACTTAAATGTTCTTTGCCTGTTGGCTGTGAAGAGAGCAGTGGATCTCCCAGCACAGCACTTGAGCTCTGCTAAGGGACAGACTGCCTTCTTAAGCAGGTCCCTGACCCTCGTGATTCCTGAGTGGGAGACACCTCCCAGCAGGGGTCGACAGACACTTCATACAGGAGAGCTCTGGCTGGCATCTGGTGGGTGCCCCTCTGGGACAAACCTTCCAGAGGAAGGAACAGGCAGCAGTCTTTGCTGTTCTGCAGCTTCTGCTGGTGATACCCAGGCAAACAGGGTCTGGAGTGGACCTCCACCAAATTCCAGCAGACCTGCAGCAGAGGGGCCTGACTGTTAGAAGGAAAACTAACAAACAGGAATAGCATCAACATCAACAAAAAGGATGTCCACACGAAAACCCCGTACAAAGGTCGCCAACATCAAAGATCAAACATAGATAAATCCACAAGGATGAGGAAAATCCAGCACAAAAAGGCTGAAAATTCCAAAAACCAGAATGCCTCTTCTCCTCCAAGGGAGCACAACTCTTTGCCAGCAAGGGAACAAAACTGGATGGAGAATGAGTTTGATGAATTGACAGAAGTATGCTTCAGAAAGTGGGTAAAAACAGACTCCTCCAAGCTAAAGGAGCATGCTCTAACCCAATGCAAAGAAGCTAAGAACCTTGAAAAAAGGTTGGAGGAATTGCTAACTAGAATAACTAGTTTAGAGAAGAACATAAATGACCTAATGGAGCTGAAAAACACAGCACGAGAACTCTGTGAAGCATACACAAGCTTCAATAACTGAATCGATAAAGCAGAGGAAAGGATATCAGAGATTGAAGATCAATTTAATGAAATAAAGCATGAAGACAAGATTAGAGAAAAAAAGAATGAAAAGGAAGGAACAAAGCCTCCAAGAAATGTGGGACTATGTGAAAAGACCAAACCTACATTTCATTGGTGTACCTGAAAGTGGCGGGGACAATGGAACCAAGTTGGAAAACACTCCTTAGGATATTATCCAGGAGAACTTCCCCAAACTAGCAAGACAAGCCAACATTCAAATTCAGGAAATACAGAGAACACCACAAAGATACCCCTCAAGAAGAGCAAACCCAAGACATGTAATTGTCAGATTCACCAAGGTTGAAATGCAGGAAAAAAAGTTAAGGGCAGCGAGAGAGAAAGGTCGGGTTACCCAAAAAGGGAAGCCCATCAGACTAACAGTGGATCTCTCAGCAGAAACCCTACAAGCCTACAAGCCAGAAGAGAGTGGGGGCCAATATTCAACATTCTTAAAGAAAAGAATTTTCAACCCAGAATTTCATATCCAGCCAACTAAGCTTCAGAAGTGAAGTAGAAATAAAATCCTTTACAGACGAGCAAATGCTGAGAGATTTTGTCACCACCAGGCATGCCTTACAAGAGCTCCTGAAGGAAGTACTAAATAAGGAAAGGAAAAACCGGTACCAGCCACTGCAGAAACATACCAAATTGTAAAGACCATTGAAACTATGAAGAAACTGCATCAACTAATGGGCAAAATAACCAGCTAACATCATAATGACAGGATCAAATTCACACATAACAATATTAACCTTAAATATAAATGGGCTAAATGCCCCAATTAAAAGACCACAGACTGGCAAATTGGATAAAGAGTCAAGACCCATCAGTGTGCTGTGTTCTGGAGACCCATCTCACATGCAAAGACACACATAGGCTGAAAATAAAGGGATGGAGGAAGATCTACCAAGCAAATGGAAAGCAAAAAAAAAGCAGGGGTTGCAATCCTAGTCTCTGATAAAACAGACTTTAAACCAACAAAGATCAAAAGAGACAAAGAAGGCCATTACATAATGATAAAGGGATCAATTCAACAAGAAGAGCTAACTATCCTAAACATATATGCACCCAATACAGGAGCACCCAGATTCATAAAGCAAGTTCTTAGAGACCCACAAAGAGACCAAGACTCCCACACAATAATAGTGTGAGACTTTAACACCCCAATGTCAATATTAGGTCAACGAGACAGAAAATTAACAAGCATATTCAGGATTTGAACTCAGCTCTGGACCCAGTGGAACTAATAGACATCTACAGAACTCTCCACCCCATATCAACAGAATATACATTCTTCTCAGCACCACATCACACTTATTCTAAAATTGACCACATAATTGGAAGTAAAACACTCCTCAGCAAATGCAAAAGAATGGAAATCATAACAAACAGTCTCTCAGACCAAAGTGCAATTAAATTAGAACTCAGGATTAAGAAACTAACTCAAAACCATACAACTACAGTGGAAACTGAACAACCTGCTCCTGAATGACTACTGAGTAAATAACAAAAAGAAGGCAGAAATAAATACATTATTTGAGACCAATGAGAATAAAGATACAACATACCAGAATCTCTGGGACACAGCTAAAACAGTGTTTAGGGGAAATTCATAGCAATAAATGCCCACAGGAGAAAGCAGGAAAGAGCTAAAATCAACACTCTAACATCACAATTAAAGGAACTAGAGAAGCAAGAGCAAACACATTCAAAAGCTAGCAGAAGACAAGAAATAACTAAGATCAGAGCAGAACTGAAGGAGATTAGAGACACAAAAAACCCTTCAAAAAAATCAGTGAATCCAGAAGCTGGTTTTTTGAAAAGATTAACAAAATAGATAGAATGCTAGCCAGATTGATAAAGAAGAAAAGAGAGAAGAATCAAATAGACGCAATAAAAGATGATAAAGAGGATATCACCACTGATCCCACAAAAATACAATCTACCATCAGAGAACACTATAAACACCTCTATGCAAATAAACTAGAAAATCTAGAAGAAATGAATAAATTCCTGGACACATACACCCTCCTAAGACTAAAGGAAGAAGTCAAATTCCTGAATAGACCAATAATAAGTTCTGAAATCGAGGCAGTAATTAACAGCCTACCAACCAAAAAAAGCCCAGGACCAGACGGATTCACAGCTGAATTCTACCAGAAGTACAAAGAAGAGCTGGTACCATTCCTTCTGAAACTATTCCAATCAATAGAAAAGGAGGGAATCCTCCCTAACTCATTTTATGAGTCCGGCATCATCCTGATACAAAAACCTGGCAGAGACACAGCAAAAAAATAAAATTGTAGGCCAATATCCCTGATGAACATTGATGCAAAAATCTTCAATAAAAAACTGGTAAACTGAATCCAGCAGCACATCAAAAAGCTTATCTACCATGATAATTTGGCTTCATCCCTGGGATGCAAGGCTGGTTCAACATATGCAAATCAATAAAGATAATCCATCACATAAAGAGAACCAATGACAAAAACCACATGATTATTTCAATAGATGCAGAAAAGGCCTTTCATAAAATTCAACAGCCCTTCATGCTAAAAACTCTCAATAAACTAGGTATTGATGGAACATATCTCAAAATAATAAGAGCTATTTATGAGAAACCCACAGCCAATATCATACTGAATGGGCAAAAGCTGGAAGCATTCATTTGAAAACCGGCACAAAACAAGGATGCCCTCTGTCACCACTCCTATTCAACATAGTATTGGACGTTCTAGCCAGGGCAATCAGGCAATAGAAAGAAATAAAGCATATTCAAATAGGAAGAGAGGAAGTCAAATTGTCTCTGTTTGCAGATGACATGATTGTATATTTAGAAAACCCCATCATCTCAGCCCAAAATCTCCTTAAGCTGATAAGCAACTTCAGCAAAGTCTCAGGATACAAAATCAATGTGCAAAAATCACGAGCATTCCTATACACCAATAATGACAAACAGCCAAGTCATGAGTGAACTCCCATTCACAATTGCTACAAAGAGAATAAAATGCCTAGGAATACAACTTACAAGGGATGTGAAGGACCTCTTTAAAGAGAACTACAAACCACTGCTCAATGAAATAAGAGAGGACACAAACAAATGGAAGAACATTCCATTCTCATGGATAGGAAGAATCAATATCGTGAAAATGGCCATACTGCCCAAAGTAATTTATAGATCCAATGCTATCCCCATCAAGCTACCATTGACTTTCTTCATAGAATTAGAAAAAACTACTTTAAATTTCATATGGAACCAAAAAACAGCCCGTATAGCCAAGACAATCCTAAGCAAAATGAACAAGCTGGAGGCATCATGCTACCTGACTTCAAACTATACTACAAGGCTACAGTAACCAAAACATCATGGTACTGGTACATAAACAGATAGATAGACCAATGGAACAGAACAGAGGCCTCAGAAATAACGCCACACATCTACAACCATCTGATCTTTGACAAACATGACAAAAACAAGCAATGCAGAAAGGATTCCCTATTTAATAAATGGTGTCGGGAAAACTGGCTAGCCATTTGCAGAAAACTGAAACTGGACCCCTTCCTTACACGTTATACAAAAATTAACTCAAGATGGATTAAAGACTTAAACATAAAACATAAAACCATAAAAACCCTAGAAGAAAACCTAGGCAATACCATTCAGGACATAGGCATGGCAAAGACTTCATGACTAAAATACCAAAAGCAATGGCAACAAAAGCCAAAATTGACAAATGGGATCTAATTAAACTAAAGAGCTTCTGCACAGCAAAAGAAACTAACATCAGAGTGAACAGGCAACCGACAGAATGGGTGAAATTTTTTGCAACGTATCCATCTGACAAAAGGCTAATATCCAGAATCTACAAGGAACCTAAACAAGTTTACAAGAAAAAAAACAACCCCATCAAAAAGTGGGCGAAGGGTATGAACAGATGCTTCTCAAAAGAAGAAATTTATGCTGCCAACAAACATACGAAGAAAAGCTCATCATCACTGGTCATTAGAGAAATGCAAATCAAAACCACAGTGAGATACCATCTTATGCCAGTTAGAATGGCGATCATTAAAAAGTCAGGAAACAACAGATGCAGGAGAGGATGTAGAGAAATAGGAACACTTTTACACTGTTGGTGGGAGTGTAAATTAGTTCAACCATTGTGGAAGACAGTGTGGTGATTCCTCAAGGATCTAGAACCAGAAATATCTTTTGACCCAGCCATCCCATTACTGGGTATATACTCAAAGGATTATAAATCATGCTACTATAAAGACACATGCACATGTATGTTTATTGTGGCACTATTCACAATAGCAAAGACTTGGAACCAATCCGAATGCCCATCAATGATAGACTGGATAAAGAAAATGTGACACACATACACCATGGAATACTATGCAGCCATAAAAAAGGATGAGTTCATGTCCTTTGCAGGGACATGGATGAAGCTGGAAACCATCATTCTTGGCAAGGTAACACAGGAACAGAAAACCAAACACCACATGTTCTCACTCATAAGTGGGAGTTGAACAGTGAGAACACATGGACACTGGGAGGAGAACATCACACACTGGGGCCTGTCAGGGTGTAGGAGGCTAGGGGAGGGATAGCATTAGGAGAAATACCTAATGTAGATGACAAGTTGATGAGTGCAGCAAACCACCATGGCATCTGTATACCTAGGTAACAAACCTGCACGTTCTGCACATGTACCCCAGAACTTAAAAGTATTATTATTATTATTATAATAATAATAATAAAAGAAATACAATAAAATAGAATGCAGCATACAGCAGTGATTCTCAAACACATTCAGCATCAGAATTACCCTTGAATCTTTAAAATATATATACATATGAGATCTTAGTCTCCAAGATTTGTAAGTTTGGTATTGGGTCCCTGGGCCTATGTTGGGTTTAGAAACTTCTACAGATGGTTTGGATGTATGGGACAGTTTAAGAATCGCTGAACTAAAATCAAATAAACTGAATATCCTGTGATTTAGAGAGACTTATCGTTTATTTCACTATCCAAGTACTTGCATTAGAGCGTGGCTAGAAGGGATTTGCAGCCTTGTAAATAATCAGAAATTCAGACATTTTGAGATGAGAGAACTGCTGAAGATTTTATTCTGACTTGAAATAAATTTTCTAATTAGAAACTTCCAGGTGAGAGCAAAGGCCTGGAACAATATTCCTGAGCCAGAGGAGGATCGAGTTTGACTCCAGGCCTAACACTTACTAGGTCTATGACCTTGGGTCAGTAATTTAAATTCTCTGTATCTCAACCTCTCAACAGGGTATTGGTAGGGATTAAATGTGTTAGTGTCTGTGAAGTGCTTAGAGCAGTGCTTGGCATAGTAAATGCTTAATGAATTTCAGCCACTGTTTTTATTTTTAGTACTTTCCAGCTCCCCCAAAAAGATACTTTTTTTAGACTTGTATTAAGACAATAAAAAGTTTAATCAGCATGCTTCATACCTAAATATGCTTCACTTTATAGCAAAGTTTACAAGACTAAAACTGTTTTGTTGTAATTCTCTGAGTCTCATGTGTTTATTAATGATTTTTTCTGCTGTTTATTCATCTGAATTCTACTCATTCTTCAAGACCTAGCTGGAATCCTGTTTCTAGAAAGACTCTTGCCCATAATAATAAACCTGCCCTATCTGAGTTCCTAGGTGGTCTGTACCTCATAATTTGGTAATTAATTGTATATGCACTTATATAACAAAACATTATTGTGTGTCTTTGCTGTATCAGATTCTAGGCTGGAAGTTGTAGATATGATGTTTTTGTCTAGAAAAATGTTCTAGAATGTCCTACTCAGGACAGTCTGTTGACTTTAAAGACACATTTCCTAAACAGACACTTCATGAGGCAGCCCCAGCCTGTACCTGTGTTCCTGGACCTGATGATCAAGTTTGATTTAAGCCTCACCACTTACTAGCTCTGTGATTTTGGGCAAGTTACTTGAATTCTCTGTGTGTAGATAGAACAATGTTGAGGGAAATCCCTTTCCCCCATCCTTGTGTTTCCACAAGGGAACTTGCTTCCTAATAAGTAACACTTTCAGGGGAATATTCTAGGCCCTTCTCTTATCCCCATTACTTGTTCTTTCTGTGAAAAGAGGAGAGGTTAATCTGATGGATGAAATCCTTAATCTTTCATCTTCTGGACTGTAGAGCCTGTGAACCAAAGCAATGGACCACTTGCACTGAAATTGAGGCTGACCCTGTATTTTGATTCTTATTTGGCAACTTATTTCTATTCTGTTCCCAATTCAAAATCCCAAGGGGAGAAGGAAGATAATTGATTACCAGAAGTATGTAATGGTGGTAGGAAGTTGAATAAATGGTAACTTTTTAAAAGTTGCATGAGATATAGTCCTTATCCCAGAGAAGCTAAGTTTGCTTTTCTTTCCTCTCATGTATTTTAGTATTATTTCTACAATTAGATTGTAAACCCTTTAAAAGCAAGAATATTTCTACATTTTCTTACTCCTGATAGCACACAGTAGACTGCTGGGCACATACATAGTAGGTGGCTCTGTAGGTACTTGCTAAATGATTCAACATGTTTTTCCCTCATGGAAAAGAAAGATTTCAGTATTGTTCTTATCAGCTAGGAAGGCACTCTGAATAGGAAATCAGTTCTAGGCAGGTATCCATAAATGGGTTATGATTTCCAACTTACTTGCCCCAGAGGCTCGCTAATGTTGAACTCTTCATGGGTACTTTGTCTTGCTTCATGAGCTATACATGCTAAGGGGTTAGCAGATCATATAATCTTTTGATCTACAAAATATGATCTTTATTGAACAAAAACTTGGGCCAAAGGCCTTTCTCCTTTGCCACCTTCCTCCCTCTTTTCATTCTCTTTTTTGGGAATGCCCTTTGTGCATGTTAGTTACAGCATGTACCACATTGCACTGTATTGTTGGTTTTTGGGTCTAACCCACCCTTAACACTGCAGTCCCCAAGGGCAGAAATTCAGTCTCATTCATTTTGATGTCCTCAGTGCCTGTGCTCAGAGAATATCTATTATTTGAAAAAATAGTGCAAAAGTAAATTTTAGGAGACTACATCACACTCATCTAAACTGCAAGTTTGACAAGTTGACATCCAAAAGAAAGGCTCTCCTAAATAACCTCGCCACAGAAATTTGGGTGACCTTTGTAGCTCTGGAGAAAGCAGAGGCAAAAATGAAACCTAAAAATTATTTGTGGGTTTTTAAAAAATGTTTTCTCATGGAGTAAAGGTCTACAGCTGAGTTCTTTTCATATGAGGGAATGACAGAAACACAGCTGGTTCTGACTTTCAGCTTCAACTGAGCGACCAGAGCTCTGCTGGTGAAACAGGAACTTGTATTGTGCCCCTGACGTGCACCTTGAAGGTGTCAGCTCATTGTCCCTTTGTTCACATAAATAGTTTTTTAAGAATTGTTTTTGATCTTGTGAGCCTCTAACTAAATGATTAACCATGCAAAGTTGGCCATTTGGGGTAATACTGAAGCACTTCTCTTGAGGGCTATTGACAGGTGGGAATGTGCCCACCTCCTTGGGTCTCTGGTTTTCATGTCATACTTGCAAATCAGTGACAGTTTAAACTTGGGGCAATCACTTAGCAAGTCTATTGAGTTACCAAGTTAATTATTCCCACTTTGCATGAAGCAACCTTGAAAATGATTTTCCTAAAGCAAAGTACATCCAAACTCAGTACCTTCTTAATAACCTTTGCTGAATGAATAAATGACTAATTCATAAAAAATGTAACATATCTTTAATTCTTACTTACGGGCAGTTTAAGCCTCTTGTGTAAGAGGAGGCCTCGGCTTGAGATAACATAGGATAGTAAGCCTCCTAGAGAAATTTCTATATGGAAACATGGTCTGCTATGAAGCTAGAAGTGAGAGGACATTATATTTGACCATTATATTTGGCTTCAGAGCTTCTCAACATGGGGCCCAAAGTCAAGGTCCCTTGTTTCATTAAGAGGAGGTCCAGGAGTGCATGACACCCATCAGACTACTGAGACCCAGCTGGAACTAGGCACCTTGCACAGGGGCCTTGCCTAATCAAAATAGTTCTTATTTTTTCTGAGTTCCAAGTAACTAGTTTCCTAACCCAGTGTCTGGATAGTAGTGCCAAGTGGGAGTACCTTCAATGAACTTCCTCATGAGGTTATTTCTAGCCTATTGGAATGTTTCGTTTTAGGAGGGTGAGGAAGGGAAGTCTTGAATTTTTGTGCTTAGTTTAATGTTGTGATACAGCTTTGACCATCCGTTTAATGGGAGATCTGTTTTCCAGATGACTATACATGTGGAAAGGAGAAGTTTTTTGAGTGTTTTTTTTAACCCCTTTTAAAGAATGGTTTTTCATTTAGTCTCTACATTTGGGGGTAAAAGGTCCTCTAGGGAGACTTTTCAAAAGTATTTGAAGTTTGCATCTGATTTCAGAGGTGAGTTGGAGGCCTATCTGTGTATGACAGACACATGTCTCCAACAACTATATGTTCACAAGGACTAAGAGCCATCCTTTTGGGTCCATCATTCAACATTGATCTCACATTCGTGTTCGTATCAGTATCTTTACAGTGCGCTCCCAGTTACATCTCCCTAATTTCCCTTAGTAGGCTTCACAGAATTTGCAGTGTATGCAATGGCAGATGACCACATGTGGAGTCATTTAACCACATCTTCCACTGCAAGTCAGCCCGCTCTTGATGTCTGTTTATGTTTAGATTCCATCTTTTGGAAGATTTCATTCCTCTGCACTATCTCAGTATCTCAGATGCTTTTGAGACTGGGTCCTTTTCCCCTCCTATGTTTGGCCATGGCCACCCCCTCAGGGTTGTGTTGTGTTTCACAGCTGCTGTTTGTAGGGTTGACCTTTACAATGTACAAAGCTCTTTCCCATATGTTGACAATCCCTGGTGTGATGCTGTGAGTTAGGCAGGGTGTGTATACGTGTCCTCATCATATTACAGTGGTAAGGCAACAGGGTTTTTGAATTTGATCACCCATGAATTTGTCTAATTTGTTGGTAAAAAATGGTCATGTATCAGCCGTTTCACAGGGTCAGCTTAATAGAAAGTGGGAGTTAGGCAGGACCAGAATTCAGGACTTCAGCCCCCGGTCCCAGGGACTATTCTCTATACCCAATTGTCCCACCTTGAATCAGTTTCTTCTAGGGAAATATCTCCAAAACTGAGATGGCACCCACAGGACTTCTTAATTGTAGTCATTACCAGGAAAAACAAGCAAAGGAACTGGTGTAAATCTCTGTTTTTGGTGATTGGTGGAGATTTGGAGATTGTCTTGTGTCAAAAGTAAAGCCACTAGATTAAATGTTTTGTTAATAAATTGGTTATTTTTAATTTAATTATTTGACAGTTAATTTACATTATTCAAAAATCAAAATAAAATTTAAAAGAAGTTTACACTGAAAAGTCTTGCCCCACTTATACCCTGCTCACCTCAGTATCCCCCAATACATACCATCTATAAGGTGATCATTTGTATTAGTTTCTTGTGAATCCTTGATAGTGTGTTTTATATAGATACAGGTAAATATGAGTATGTACTATTATTTCCCCCCCACCCCACCCTGTTTTTTTTTTGAGACGGAGTCTCGCTCTGTCGCCCAGGCTGGAGTGCAGTGGCACGATCTCGGCTCACCGCAAGCTCCACCATTTTCCCCCATTTTTAAAACAAAAGGTAGTAGCCATATATACACTATTTTACACCTTGTTTTATCACTTACTAATATATACCAGAGAGCTTTCCATCATTTTGTACATATGCACCTATATCTGTCAATTATTCCCAGAAGTGGAATTGCTGGGTCAGCAGGAAAAATCATGTATAATTTTGATAGGTATTGCCTAATTGTCCTGCACAGGGCTTGAATTGTTTGTACTCCCACCTTTAGTGTATGAGAAGACCTGTTTCTCCATAGCCTCATCAAACAGAGTGTGTGAGATTAGATGAGAAATAGGAGGTGAGCAGTCTTTTACCCCATCCGTAGTTTGCAGTGGGAACACTGCACAGTTGCAAGAGCTGGTGCAGGTATCAGATTAGTTCCAGTGGAAACGCTGCCTCACCATGGCCATGGGCTTGCGCCAGCTCTAGTGACACACACGGAATGGACCCACGTTGCCACTTGCAGAATTTCCTGTAGCAGAAAGTTGAACATGCATTCATTATTCATCTAACTAGCCATGCTGGATCTAAAGAGCACAACAGTGTTTTTTAGAACCAAAAAGAAAATTGTTTCACTACAACACACTGTGTATAAGGCTTTCAATGCTCTTTTCTCAGCTATTAACATTATTTTCAGGACTGAGTTCAAGAGATGTATCCCAAATCACAGGGATGTCTTGCTAAGCTTGGAACTTTCATACTCAAGGGATGCTTTTTTGAGGAATGATTTTACACTTACTCAACATTTGTAATTAAATAATTAGTACTTTATAAGATAAATTTAAACTGTCCAAGTACAATATAAACATTGAACTATGATGCATTATTGCTAGACTTTTTCCTTAAAGTTGCCAAGTGGTTTCCTGCATTAGGCAAATAGGGGATCATATAAAAATGCCATGATTTACGGCCTAGATAACATCTCCACCATTTGAGCAGCATATATTCCAGGTCATCCCCACATAACTCCTTACCATTCTCATTAGAAAGGTTGATTCTTAGTCTTATTTTTCTCTGAGGACAGCAAAAAAAAAAATCCCCTTCAGTTCCACTGCATAGAAAAGTGTGGTAAATGGAGCCGGGCACAGTGGTTATTTAATTTAAATGGACAATATTTTTTATAGAATTTTGACAGGGCCACTGTATAGGGGAAAGTCACTCCTCTTCCCCTTTATAGAAGAGTTGCACCTGGACAGTTGCATTGATGACTGTATCCAGTCTACACAAGAGGTCATTCCTGGGCATAAGAATGGACTGCCAAAATCTAGCTGAAACACCATTGACAAATAGACATTTTCTTTTGTTAATAATACCTGTGAAGGCTTTCATAACAGACATTTCCAGTTTTGTTCTCAGGCTCCTTGCAGCTGCTCCTCTAAAAGTGTGCTCTCTTCCAAGAGCTGACAATGGCCAGAAGCAAGGTGTTCTGTCTTTTGTGCCATCATCATCTAACTTGCCACACACATTTGGGATGTCAGCCTAGGTATAGGTTTTGTATCCACTCAGTATGGCTTGTGGGTCTGGTTGCCTTTGTTATTCATGCTGAGGGCCTCTGGGCATCAGTTTGGTGTGAGAGAACCCATTCCATGACCCTCCTTCCTTTGGCTGTTTTGACTCGATGGCTCTTGTTGGCACAGTCTGTGAGTGTCTGATGCTCTATCCATGCCGGACCATCTGTTCTGCTGTCTCTGTGGTCTGAAGTCGTTTTCTGAACTATTCCTTGATAATAAATTTGAGATGATCTTGTTCTACCTTTCTTTTCAAGTCACATCTTAGCCCCTTAGCCACATTCCCGAAGAACATGACAAATGGATGGGTCACAAGTCACGTAGCATAGGGTGTCAGACCACGAGGCTTTGAAGGGATTCTGTTGGGTGCTAAAAAGAAAGATTTTGTGTCACCACGATTTTTTTTAAAGGCATGTTGACACTTAGGCCTTAATTGAAAGCGTTCTTACTCAAGTAGAGTTGACAGAGGAGTATTTGGTAGTCGCGGTTGCTGGTCTGAAGAGCATGTGGTTCTGTTTCAATGCCCAATGAGATCTTCTCACGGGAAAATGTTCTGACATCTCAAACAAATGACCTTCATGCATAGTTTTGACAAAATACCCTATTAAGTATGCATATATGGTTGGTACCTTGTGGTAATAATTCAATACTGGAAACAGAGTAGCAACAAAGAAACATTAGGGTTATATTTAACCTCTGTGGAATTAGTGTGTAAACAAACTGCTTATCAGAAATGCTCATATGGGGCTTTGTTTAAATAAATAAGAAACTGGCATATAGGGTCTGCAGGATATTTCTGCCAAGTAGACCTCCCTCACATTATAAGACACCACATCTATGTCTGACCCCATATGGAAAGAGGCATAGCAAGCCAGCACTGGTTCATATTCCCTCTCCACCACATAATGGGTATGTGATCTTAGGGAATCCACCGAAACTCTCTGGGCCTCAGTTTCCTCAGCTATAAATGGTGGATAATCAAATTATTTACCTCACCATTAATAAATGTTAGCTATTATTTTTTATCAAGTTTAATACAAAGAGAAACATTTTACTTATTTTTCCAGCTATCCAGAGCATCTTCCAAAATCCTATCACCAACAAATACTGTATTGTATTTATTATAGCAACTATGTAAAAATGGAGTCCCTGTCCTATGCTTAGATGAAATATGTTGGTATTTGAGTTTGCATGTCTTCTATAGGAATCAGTGTTTAGTGAAAACGGGTGGAGATAAACAGATGTTTTCACAGTCCTGTTGTTCACAGTACCGCCAAATTGAATGTTTCCATATAGGTGCATTCTAATGGCTTAAATGATGCAGATATTTTCTGGCCAGCCATATGGATCTTTTGTCATCTAAGATGTTAATATTTTCCTTATATTTTATAGTAGTTCTGGAGTACAGCCAGTTTCTTGAATAGGGTCCACATGGCTCATTATGCACAGGGCCTGGAAACTGCCTTACTCGTGCTGTTGAAATGAACCGTGACACTTCAGAAGAGCTGGGAGCTGGGGTAGAGCAGTGGCTAGGAGAACATATTCAATTATATTTCCTCCTGCATTAAGCTACAAGTAATGAGCACTTTCCTGTGCTTTACAGTTAAGTAATTAAAAGAAATTATAGAGTGGGATGCAAAAATAACCCGAAGGACAACTGGATGTGTGGAGCCACCAGTTTTCTCCATGAGTGCACAAGGTTAATCCTTGTTACTACTCAGAATGCTGAGTTTCTACAGAAAGGGTTGCAGGTCCACACATGTTTTGGCGTCTACCCACACGCTTCTGTATGGCATGACTGTGCATCCCAGAAGAAGGGCTGTGCTGTGTACCTCCACGTTTCAGTGGAATTTAACAAACTGATCCCTGAAAATGGTTTCATAAAGGTGAGTAACAGAGAGCTAATAGCCTTCTCTTGCTAATTTTATCTTTCCCCCAAGATTTCTTGATAATAGTTTGAAAAGGAGTGTTATTCTTTGGTCTCTAGAGGCAACTTACCTTTCCAGTTTCTTCCATCACCTGTTTTCATCTCTCTTGTTTTTTTAAATTTAATGCTCTATGTATTTCAGAGGATAGGATCTAATCTAGTGCGGTCCCTTCATCAGGTGAGAATTATTCATCTCATTTTCATTTTAGCCCTTCTGAATTAATGACATTGAAGCCCGGCAGTTTGGTCCTAAGATGGGTTTAATTATGTACAGATACTCTTTCTATAATGGAAATTGCTCAGATAACTAATTAACCACAAGAATACACTGTCTATGGAAAATTTCAGGAGCACCGTCTGTGGAAAAACTGGGAAGGGCATGCTGTCACCACAGCTCTGGGGTCTATTAAAAGTGTGGTTATGCAGCACTGGTGTCTAGTGGGGTGTTGGCTCTCAACTGCCAGAATTCCCATAGCATTTCATGGCAGAAAGTCAAGGTGTCCAGCAATACTCTGAAAGTGACCTGTTGATTAAAGTCGTCAATTCTGAAGAAAGAGACTGAAATAAGACAAATGGGTCTTAACTTTTTTTCTCTTTCTCTCTCTTGTAAAAATGTGTGATTGTTCTGGCATGTTCCCAATCCCCACATAATGCCAACATCTTTTCTTAAAGGGGGATTCCCTTTATCCTTGGATCTGAGAATTATTGCATGTTCTCCCTTTAGGGACAATGAATGCAGTTGCATCACCCTTGCTTTTTTTTTTTTTTTTGTACACAGCATGCTTATTCTTGGATGCAGGGACTTGAAAGACAAAGCCCCACCTGGCTTTCACAACATCTCCTATTAGTAGGTGTGCCTTGTGTGTAATTTGAAGGAGGCGGTCCCTTAGCTGTGTTTACACTGTACTTTTAAATGTGGGGCTGAAGGTAGAATCAACCATACTTAAGATGCCACCTGGGAAAATAGGGTTCTGTGTCATCTCAGCCCCACCCATTTGCAAATGACTTAACAGCAGCACTATTAGGGTTCCTAGTGTGAGTCATTTGCATTTGGACTGGTGAACTTGGTGACTTCTTGGTGTTTGGAAACAAACAACCTTTGCAGTCTTTCGTAAAAAGCCTGAACAGTGGACCAGTCTCCAGTTCTACTTGCAAAGCTGCCCCCATCAAATCCCTCATAATGTTCAACTTAAAAAATGTTACACTTTTCTCTGGAAATCTAACCTTTTTTCCTTTTTTAAAAGCCATTTTAAGTACTTCAGTCTTGAATCAAATGATCCCAAATATTGGACACCAACCTAGAAATTGGGTTACCTCCTGGGAACTTTATCGAAGAAGAGAGATTTTGGTTGGAGAGGGGGTTTTGATGTTTGATACTTATATTTACTATTTTAATATTTCATTGTTGTTGTTGCTGCTGCTGCTGTATTATTTTGCGAGTTTCGTTTGTTTAAATTTCATGGTATTTGGTAGGAGAGAGCTGGATCTGTTGGTTTCAGGACAAGTCTAGAAATAAGAAATCTGCCTTGAGTGAGTGAGTTGGTTCCCTCTGTTGCTATTTCACCATTAAGGACGAAAGGAACTCACAAGGACCAGAGACATCTGGCTGAAAGCAATACTAGTGTGACTGGACATCTACTACCTGCCATAGTTGGTCATATCGTTTCCAGTATGATTCTGATTGAGTGAGTGATATTAGGCTATGTTCAGGGATCAGGGAGGCTAATTATGCTTATATTGCCTTGTAGCATTTTGGTAAGAATTAATGATTGTGTAGATGTCCAGATTTAGGTCAGCAATATTCTAAAAGTTCTCATTGAACTAATCATGTTTATAAGTAGCCTGTACTTTCTATCATAATAACAATAGTGGAAAAGCTAGTTGACATAAAAGGAGCCCAGATTTTACTTAAGTAAAAACACAAAAGCAAAGATATTTTCCCACATAAATTACAAAAGCAAAGATATTTTCCCACATAAATGTCCCCATAAAACAAGTTGAACCAAAGAGGAAAGATGACAGGTAACCGTATGACACGCTAAGAAAGTATCATAATACTTAAGTTAACTTCAACCTTTTATTTCCTTATCCTAAGCAGCCTCTTTTCTCTTTATCATTTAGTCCTGTGCTTCTCAACTTTGATAAGTAAAAAAGTTATTGCACTAAATAAATCTTATTGAAATGCAGGATCTGATTGAGTGGGTGGGGTAGGTGGAATGAGGGTGGGGAAGTTGAGATTCTGCATTTCTTAGAAGTTTCTACTTTATGTTAAAATGGCTAATCCATCTCAACATTGAGAAGTAAGGTTTCACTTAATTTCAGCCTGTGTAAGTTTATCCCATATGTACATTTCCTAAAACTCTAATCTCAGGCCCCAGGAATTTCTCCTTTAGTTAAAATATTTTTAGGAATAAATTTGAATTGCATTAATACACAATTTATAAATTTAACACAAAAAATTATTTGAAGTTTGAGACTTTAGGTTGCATGAAATCAATTTCATACTTGAAAATTTTCTATAAATTCAAAAGTCTGTGTATTTAAATACAATTTAAATACCTGTGTTACAGTGACATTTGTTTTTCTGTCTCTCTCTCCACCATTTCCAGAGTCATCATCCCTGTACAGAAAAATTTTTCCCACATGATTTCACCATAAATTCATTAAATATGATGCTTACTTGATAATTTCTCCAGGTTCTTTTTTTTTTTAATTATACTTTAAGTTCTAGGGTACATGTGCACAACCTGCAGGTTTGTTACATATGTATACATGTGCCATGTTGGTGTGCTGCACCCATTAACTCGTCATTTACATTAGGTATATCTCCTAATGCTATCCCTCCCCCCTACCCCTACTCCATGACAGGTCCCAGTGTGTGATGTTCCCCACCCTGTGTCCAAGTGTTCTCATTGTTCAGTTCCCACCTATGAGTGAGAACATGCGGTGTTTGGTTTTCTGTCCTTGCGATAGTTTGCTCAGAATGATGTCCTTGCTCACTGATGGACATTTGGTTGGCTCCAAGTATTTGCTATTGTAAATAGTGCCGCAATAAACATACGTGTGCATGTGTCTTTATAGTAGCATGATTTATAATCCTCTGGGTATATACCCAGTAATGGGATGGCTGGCTCAAATGGTATTTCTAGTTCTAGATCCTAGAGGAATCGCCACACTGTCTTCCACAATGTTTGAACTAGTTTACAGTCCCATCAACAGTGTAAAAGTGTTCCTATTTCTCTACATCCTTTCCAGCACCTGTTGTTTCCGGACTTTAATGATCGCCATTCTAACTGGTGTGAGATGGTATCTCATTGTGGTTTTGATTTGCATTTCTCTGATGGCCAGTGATGATGAGCATTTTTTCATGTGTCTTTTGGCTACATAAATGTCTTCTTTTGAGAAGTGTCTGTTCATATCCTTCACCCACTTTTTGATGGGGTCATTTGATTTTTTCTTGTAAATTTGTTTAAGTTCTTTTAGATTCTGGATATTAGCCCTTTGTCAGATGGGTAGATTGTAAAAATTTTCTCCCATTCCGTAGGTTTCCTATTCACTCTGATGGTAGTTTCTTTTGCTGTGCAGAAGCTCTTTAGTTTAATTAGATCCCATTTGTCAATTTTGGCTTTTGTTGCCATTGCTTTTGGTGTTTTAGTCATGAAGTCCTTGTCCATGCCTATGTCCTGAATGGTATTGCCTAGGTTTTCTTCTAGGGTTTTTATGGTTTTAGGTCTAACGTGTAAGTCTTTAATTCATCTTGAATTAATTTTTGTATAAGGTGTAAAGAAGGGATCCAGTTTCAGCTTTCTACATATGGCTAGCCAGTTTTCCCAGCACCATTTATTAAATAGAGAATCCTTTCCCCATTTCTTGTTTTTGTCAGGTTTGTCAAAGATCAGATGGTTGTAGATGTGTGGTATTGTTTCTGAGGGCTCTGTTCTGTTCCATTGGTCTATATCTCTGTTTTGGTACCAGTACCATGCTGTTTTGGTTACTGTAGCCTTGTAATATAGTTTGAAGTCAGGTAGCGTGATGCCTCCAGCTTTGTTCTTTTGGTTTAGGATTGTCTTGGCGATGCGGGCTCTTTTTTGGTTCCATATGAACTTTAAAGTAGTTTTTTTCCAATTCTGTGGAGAAAGTCATTGGTAGCTTGATGGGGATGGCATTGAATCTATAAATTACCTTGGGTAGTATGGCCATTTTCATGATATTGATTCTTCCTACCCATGAGAATGGAATGTTCTTCCATTTGTTTGCGTCCTCTTTTATTTCCTTGAGCAGTGGTTTGTAGTTCTCCTTGAAGAGGTCTTCCACATCCCTTGTAAGTTGGATTCCTAAGTATTTTATTCTCTTTGAAACAATTGTGAATGGGAGTTCACTCATGATTTGGCTCTCTGTTTGTCTGTTATTGGTGTATAGGAATGCTTGTGATTTTTGCACATTGATTTTGTATCCTGAGACTTTGCTGAAGTTGCTTATCAGCTTAAGGAGATTTTGGGCTGAGATGATGGGGTTTTCTAAATATACAATCATGTCATCTGCAAACAGAGACAATTTGACTTCCTCTCTTCCTATTTGAATATCCTTTATTTCTTTCTATTGCCTGATTGCCCTGGCTAGAACGTCCAATACTATGTTGAATAGGAGTGGTGACAGAGGACATCCTTGTTTTGTGCCAGTTTTCAAAGGGAATGCTTCCAGCTTTTGCCCATTCAGTATGACATTGGCTGTGGGTTTGTCGTGAATAGCTCTTATTATTTTGAGATATGTCCCATCAATACCTAGTTTATTTAGAGTTTTTAGCACAAAGGCTGTTGAATTTTGTCAAAGGCCTTTTCTGCATCTATTGAGATAATCATGGTTTTTGTCTTTGATTCTGTTTATATGATGGATTATATTTATTGATTTGCATATGTTGAACCAGCCTTGCATCCCAGGGATGAAGCCAACTTGATCATGGTGGATAAGCTTTTTGATGTTCTGCTGGATTCGGTTTGCCAGTATTTTACTGAGGATTTTTCCATCGATCTTCATCAGGGATATTGGCCTGAAATTCTCTTTTTTTGTTGTGTCTCTGTCAGGCTGTGGTATCAGGATGATGCTGGCCTCATAAAATGAGTTAGGGAGGATTCCCTCTTTTTCTATTGATTAGAATAGTTTCAGAATGGTACCAGCTCCTCCTTATACCTCTGGTAGAATTCAGCTGTGAATCCATCTGGTCCTGATGGATTTTTTTGGTTGGTAGGCTATTAATTATTGCCTCAATTTCAGAGCCTGTTATTGGTCTATTAAGAGATTCAACTTCTTCCTGGTTTAGTCCTGGGAGGGTGTGTGTGTCCAGGAATTTATAAATTTCTTTTAGGTTTTCTAGTTTATTTGCATAGAAGTGTTTATAGTGTTCTCTGATGGTAGTTTGTATTTCTGTGGGATTGGTGGTGATATCCCCTTTATCACCTTTTATTGCATCTATTTGATTCTTTTCTCTTTTCTTCTTTATTAGTCTTGCTAGTGATCTATCAATTTTGTTGATCTTTTTAAAAAACCAGCTCCTGGGTTCATTGATTTTTTGAAGGAGTTTTTCTGTCTCTATCTCCTTCAGTTCTACTCTGATCTTAGTTATTTCTTGTCTTCTGCTAGCTTTTGAATGTGTTTGCTCTTGCTTCTCTAAATTGTGATGTTAGGGTGTCAATTTTAGATCTTTCCTGCTTTCTCTTGTGGGCATTTAGTGCTATAAATTTCCCTCTACACACTGCTTTAAATGTGTCCCAGAGATTCTGGTATGTTGTGTCTTTGTTCTCATTGGTTTCAAAGAACATCTTTATTTCTGCCTTCACTTCGTTAAGTACCCAGTAGTCACTCAGGAGCAGGTTGCTCAGTTTCCATGTAGTTGAGTGGTTCTGAGTGAGTTTCTTAATCCTGAGTTCTAGTTTGAAAGCACTGTAGTCTGAGAGGCAGTTTGTTATAATTTCTGTTCTTTTACATTTGCTGAGGAGTGCTTTACTTCCAACTATGTAGTCAATTTTTGGAATAAGTGTGATGTGGTGCCGAGAAGAATGTATATTCTGTTGATTTGGAGTGGAGAGTTCTGTAGATGTCTATTAGGTCCGCTTGGTGCAGAGCTGAGTTCAATTTCTGGATATCTTTGTTAATTTTCTGTCTTGTTGATCTGTCTAATATTGACCGTGGGGTGATAAAGTCTCCCATTATTATTGTGTGGGAGTCTAAGTCTCTTTGTAGGTCTCTAAGGACTTGCTTTGTGAATCTGGTGCTCCTGTATTAGGTGCATATATTTTTAGGATAGTTAGCTCTTCTTGTTGAATTGATCCCTTTATCATTATGTAATGGCCTTCTTTGTCTCTTTTGATCTTTGTTGGTTTAAAGTCTGTTTTATCAGAGACTAGGATTGCAACTCCTGCTTTTTTTTGCTTTCCATTTCCTTGGTAGATCTTCCTCCATCCCTTTATTTTGAGCCTATGTGCGTCTCTGCACATGAGATGGGTCTGCTGAATACAGCACACTGATGGGTCTTGACTCTTTATCCAATTTGCCAGTCCATGTCTTTTAACTGGAGCATTTAGCCCATTTACATTTAAGGTTAATATTGTTATGTGTGAATTTGATCCTGTCATTATGATGTTAGCTGGTTATTTTGCTCGTTAGTTGATGCAGTTTCTTCCTAGCCTCAATGATCTTTACAATTTGGCATGTTTTTGCAGTGGCTGGTACTGGTTGTTCCTTTCCATGTTTAGTGCTTCCTTCAGGAGCTCTTGTAAGGCAGGCCTGGTGGTGACAAAATCTCTCAGCATTTGCTTGTCTGTAAAGGATTTTATTTCTCCTTCACTTATGAAGCTTAGTTTGGCTGGATATGAAATTCTGGGTTGAAAATTCTTTTCTTTAAGAATGTTGAATATTGGCCCCCACTCTCTTCTGGCTTGTAGAGTTTCTGCCGAAAGATGCTGTTAGTCTGATGGACTTCCCTTTGTGGGTAACCTGCCCTTTCTCTCTCGCTGCACTTAATGTTTTTTCCTTCATTTCAACTTTGGTGAATCTGACAATTATGTGTCTTTGAGTTACTCTTCTTGAGGAGTATCTTTGCGGCATTCTCTGTATTTCCTGAATTTGAATGCTGGCCTGCCTCACTAGATTGGGGAAGTTCTCCTGGATAATATCCTGCAGAGCGTTTTCCAACTTGGTTCCATTCTCCCCATCACTTTCAGGTACACCAATCAGATGTAGATTTGGTCTTTTCACATAGTCCCATATTTCTTGGAGGCTTTGTTCATTTCTTTTTACTCTTTTTTCTCTAAACTTCTCTTCTTGCTTCATTTCATTCATTTGATCTTCAATCCCTTTCTTCCACTTGATTGAATCAGCTACTGAAGCTTGTGCATGTGTCACATAGTTCTCGTGCCATGGTTTTCAGCTCCATCAGGTCATTTAAGGTCTTCTCTATGCTGTTTTTTCTAGTTAGCCATTCGTCTAATGTTTTTTCAAGGTTTTTAGCTTCTTTGCTAAAAGGTTCAAACATCCTCCTTTAGCTCGGAGGAGTTTGTTATTACTGATCATCTGAAGCCTTCTTCTCTCAACTTGTGAAAGTCATTCTCTGTCCAGCTTTGTTCCATTGCTGGCGAGGAGCTGCATTCCTTTGGAGGAGAAGACGTGCTCTGATTTTTAGAATTTTCAGCTTCTCTGCTCTGGTTTCTCCCCATCTTATTGGTTTTATCTACCTTTGGTCTTTGATGATGGTGACGTACAGATGGGGTTTTGGTGTGGATGTTCTTTCTCTTTGTTAGTTTTCCTTCTAACAGTCAGGACCCTCAGCTGCAGGTCTGTTGGAGTTTGCTGGAGGTCCACTCCAGACCCTGTTTGCTTGGGTATCACCAGCAGAGGCTGCAGAACAGCAAATATTGCAGAACGGCAAATGTTGCTCCCTGATTGTTCCTCTGGAAGCTTCGTCTCAGAGGGGCACCTGGCCGTATGAGGTGTCAGTCGGCCCCTACTGGGAGGTGCCTCCCAGTTAGGCTACTCAGGGGTCAGGAACCCACTTGAAGAGGCAGACTGTCCATTCTCAGATATCATATTCCATGCTGGGAGGACCCCTACTCTTTTCAAAGCTGTCAGACAGGGACATTTAAGTCTGCAGAAGTTTCTGCTGTCTTTTGTTCAGCTGTGCCCTGCCCCTAGAGGTGGAGTCTACAGAGGCAGGCAGGCCTCCTTGAGCTGCGGTGGGCTCCACCCATTTCGAGCTTCCTGGCTGCTTTGTTTACCTACTCAAGTCTCAGCAATGGTGGACACCCCTCCCCCAGCCTCGCTGCTGCTTTGCAGTTCGATCTCAGACTGCTGTGCTAGCAGTGAGCCAGGCTCCGTGGGCATGGGACCCTCCGAGCCAGGCCTGGGACATAATCTCCTGGTGTGCCGTTTGCTAAGACCATTGGAAAAGCACAGTATTAGGGTGGGGAGTGTCCTGATTTTCCAGGTACCGTCAGTCATGGCTTCCCTTGGCTAGGAAAGGGAATTCCCCAACCCCTTGTGCTTCCTGGGTGAGGTGATGCCCCACCCTGCTTTGGCTCATGCTCCGTGGGTTGTACCCACTGTCTGACAAGCCCCAGTGAGATGAACCCGGTACCTCAGTTGGAAATGCAGAAATCACCCGTCTTCTGCATCACTCACGCTGGGGGCTGTAGACTGGAGCTGTTCATATTTGGCCATCTTGGAACCTCCCTTTCCAAGTTCTTTATTACAGAGTGGGTCACTGAAACTTCATGGAACAAATTGGAAATTATCTTCTTAATTAATGTCACTGTCTACCATGTATGGGAATTTGGTAAATATTATATGGTTTCAATAACATAGTAGATAGAACATTGTCAAATCTAAACTTCAGTGAATTGTAACAGATCCCACCTGAAATTCTAAAGAAAACAGAATTCTAATTGAAGAGGTTAAACTTTTACAGGGAATGTCAACTGCCATTTGGGTCCTGTAAACAAAAAACTGTTTTTTAAAAAAGTAAACTTTAAAAGTATTTTCAGATGACCTCATTTGCTATCCAAGTGGCTTGAGTATGCTTGATGCTAAGACTTCTTTGTTACAGACTGGAGATGTGTGCTACTGGGGCAGTGTTGCTCTGTGACAAGGAGGCAGAGGATGAGGGCAAGGTTCGATGTGACTGTGAATTCTGGGTGGCTCTGGCTATCGGGAGCCTTCATTGATTACAGCAAAACAGTTGCTTTCCTAGGGCAATAGTGTCTCTGTCACCCAGGCTGGAGTTCAGTGGCATGATCAATCGCTCACTGTAGCCTCAACTTCTTAGACTCAAGTAATCCTCCCACCTCAGCCTCCCAAGTAGCTGAAACTACAGGTGTGCACCACCACACCTAATTTTTTTAATTTTTAAGTTTTTGTAGAGACATGGTCTCACTGTGTTGCCCAGGTTGATCTCGAATTCCTGGGCTCTAGTGATCCTCCCGCCTCGGCCTCCCAAAGTGTTGGGATTACAAATGTGAGCCACTGCACCTGGCCCTTTGCAACCTTCTTGACAATGCATTCCTTTATTCCCTAACTGGAAGTAACTTCTTTCTCTTTATAAAATTGTATCTGTACCTTTTCTGGGTCATTTCTACCTTTATATTCTAGTTACGTATGTCCTACCTCCCTCCTAGGGAGGGAGGTAAGTAAGACTGGAAAGTAGACTTCATGTGTGATGAATGAATGAACAAAAGGAAGTCTAACATATGGATATAGTCAACTGGATGCAAATTAAAAATTTTTAAATATTGATTTGCAAGATTTCATTAAGGTCAACTCTTAATAGTTTGTATCATATATGTTAGGAACCAAATATTAATAACTTCTTCAGCATTACCATTATCTTTATAGGACTGTCTAAAATGAGCAGCCATATCTTTAAACTGTGTTTTCTCTGATTACACGCTCACAGGTAAAACCCAAAGGGGCTGGGAACAAACAAGACTTTTTTTTTTTTCTGTATGCCTGAATTATCTGTACTGTTGCTTGTTTTCCCACCTTTGGCCATAGAAACTTAGTTCTAACATGCTACAATTTTTGCAGTTCTTTCTCTTAGAAAAAGACCACATTGTCTGAAATTTCATCCATTTAAGTAATCAAGCCTTAAAGTTGAAGGATCTTGGTCATGATTAATCTAGACCTACAAAGTAGTATCTTAATGGCACTCCTTTTAGAAAGTTAGGTTCCAGGACACACATAGCTGCAGTGTCCACATTTTGTAAGCTCCTTCGTTGTCACAGCCACTCTCTTCTCTGTGGCTGATATTCTAAAACTGGCAACACATCCTGATGGTAAAAGCTTGGTTCAGGAGACAGGTGACCTACTAGCTTTATGGCATTTGACAGGTTACCTAACCTCTCTGACGCATAATTGCCTCATCTATATAATGGGGATAATAATACCCATCCTGTCTCCTTGTAAAAATCAAATTAGATGACGCCTGTGAATGTTCTATAGTCTCTTAGACAAATGTAAGTTATGACTACAGCAAGAGTAAAAGAGCATGTTGTTATGGACATTCTTTCAGTGAAATGTCTAAGACTTGTGAGTCACACTTAAAGCTAAACTTGATATCTACTTCATTGATTTTCTTTTTAGTTCTATGTACTATATTGAATTTCCTGACAGTGGGGCTATGAAAGCCTTCCTAGCATTTTATAGATGTGGTTGAATTAATGGCTGTAAGCCTTAAAGCAGAATTAGACAGCATCAATGAATTTATTAAGTATAAATAAATATATAATCTGCTTAGCAATATTACACAGCCTCTTTATCTTATGTGTGATAAAGAGTCATCCGAAGGTTGAAAATGAAGAATTGTCCTGGAAGCTCTTACTTAATCTTTTATTATTTCCTAATACAGTATATAAAATTACTCATTGAAAGCTTAGCAGAATAAGAAACAAGAAGTTAAAAGGCTGAAAACTACAAATTTTGCTATTATTATTGTTATTACTTCCCAAGTCTCTTATTGATCTGTTAGAAATAGAGCTACACAGGAAATTGTAGGACAGTTAGTATGTGGTAGTGTTATCTGCTTTTTAATTATTCAAGTAAGGTTTTATTCCATTAGAGGAACTCAAGAAGTTGGTCATGGCTGATAATTGCTATCTGTCAAATTCCTTAGAGCAGGGATCCGCAACACCCAGGCCATGGATTGTTACCAGTCCCTGGCCTGTTAGGAACCAGGCTGCACAGTAGGAAGTGAGCGGCGGGTGAGCAAACATTGCCATCTGAGCTCTGTCTCCTTTCAGATCAGCAGCAGCATTAGATTCTCATAGAAGCATGAGCCCTGTTGTGAACTGCACATGCAAGGGATCTAGGTTGTGTGCTCCTTATGAGAATCCAATTCCTTATGATAATTTAACTGATGATCTAAGGTGGAACCATTTCATCCCAAAACCATCCACCCTGCTACTCCCAGACCGTGGAAAAATTGTCTTCCACAAAACTGGTTCCTGCTGCCAAAAAGGTTGGGACCACTGCCTTAGAGTTTATAATTTGGGGTTAGCACAGCCTATATTTACCTGAGAATTTCAATGGGTTCACTGATCTTTCCAAATGAAAAGGCTTCTTACGAAAATTATATCCAAACTGTCTTTTCTCTTAGTTTAATAAACCTATCAGTAAGTTTTTACTGAGTACTGCTATTACATTTTTCTCTGTTAAGCATTATGGGGGCTCAGACATGATCCATTCCCTCAAAGAACTTACCTTTCAGCTGAAGACTGACTAGAATGAGCAAATACGGTTAACAATTAACAAGTGAGTAGGCCAGCTCGGCCAACATGGTGAAACCCTGTCTCTACTAAAAATACAAAAATTAGCCGGGCATGGTGGTGGGCGCCTGTAATCCCAGCTACCTCCTGCTGAGGCAGGAGAATTGCTTGAACCCAGGAGGTGGAGATTGCAGTGAGCCGAGATTGCACCATTGCACTCCAGCCTGGGCGACAGAGCAAGACTCTGTCTTGGGAAAAAAACAAAACAAAACAAGTGAGAAGGGAATCAAGTACTACGTAAGATGTAATGTGGAATTTTAGGGAAGGAAGGCAGTGTATGCTGGAGTAATTAGAGAAAGGGGCATGCATGATTTGATGCTTGAACTGGATCATGAAGGATAAGCAAGATTTTGGCAGCAAGTGAGAGGGAGAGAGGAGTTTGTCAGAGGAATGGAACAAGTCAGGAGGCAGTAATGTGTACGGCACTCCAAGGACTCTGTCCTGATCGGAGCAGAAGTGATGAAGCATTGAGTAGTTTGAGAAAGTTAGCTAAGAAGGGTGAGGGCAGATGTTGGAGAGAGTTGAGTATCAGAGAGAAGACATTAGATTTGAGCAGATAGAACAAAAATGCCATTGCCAGTTTTTGTGTAAGAGAATAGTATTAGGGTGGTTACCCAGGAAGTGGTCATCAGAGTTGAATGGAGCAGAAAGAGTGTCTGATACAGCATCGGGACGTTGTGGTCACAAAATGAGGTGGTGAGGGCTGAGCCAAGATGGTGGCAGTGGGATGGATAAAAAGGGATGGCCAGGACAAATATTTTAAAGGAAAAATTAACAGGACATCTTTACTGACTGGATTGGAAGGCTATGCAGGAAATATATTGTCAAACTTGATTCCAGGATTTCTATCCTATGCCTGGGTTGCCCAAAATATCAGGGAACCATTGTTAGAAAAGGTAGGAGATACCACTGTTCCAACAAAAAGTATTGAGTTTGGTGTTGCACCCACTTAACTTCAAGGCCTTACAAGTGAGTAGACAGTTAGTTAGAATTGCAGAAGTGCCACTCAGAGAGCAGGGCTTGCAATGTGGGGTTGGACTTTGTCACCATTGTGTTAATTCCTAATTCTATGCAGATGCTCAGCTTGAGGAATACCCATGTTTGGGCTTCAGAATGAAAGCCAAGTAATATTTACTCAGATGCCAATTTTCCCTCTGAAATATTTGCTCATGGAACTGAGAGAACAATATATAAAGCATTAATTATTTTTCTCATAAAGTTATTAATAAAAAGATAAGATCAGTGAAAGGCAGAGTAAACTAGAAGCCAAGTATAGAAAATGGTATCATTCAAAGACTCATTACTGTAGTGGTGAAAACAAAACAATTTTCCAACAGCTTAAGATGCCTCAGTATTTTGGACCATTTTTAAGTAGTTAGTGTGGGCACTTAGTAAATATGTATTAAACTATAGTTCATTAATTCTTTTTTTTTTTTTTTTGAGATGGAGTTTCACTCTGGTCACCCAGGCTGCATTTTTGCTTTCTTAGTGATATATAAAATGTCGAGTTTCACAATGATGGTATCTTAGATTTGATTAAATATGGTATTAAAAAATAGCTGATCACAGAAAGTCTCTACCAGTGTGATGTAGATGGCTAAAGTATTCCACATTTGCAAACTTTTATTGACCTAAATAAGAGGTGCCCCTTGGGTTGTTTTTATTTGGACTGGGAATATTAGGAGAAAGCTTTTTCATTCAGTGTGTAAGTACAATCTACCAGAAATAGAAACCCCCATGGACGATCTATTTCTTTGATGGTACAGGACTCAGAACATTCACAAAGATTTAGTTGTTAGCGGAATAGACATCTGTATTTTATTCAAACCAATTTTCCCTTCCTAATCTGAGAACATTGTGCAATCTAAGCAGTTCTAAGCATGTTTGCTATTCGTGCAAAGTGAGAGTAAATCTAAAAGAAATTTTTTTGTGTGTTTAGGGATGGTAATAAAGTCTCTTAGTGGTTGAAAATGTTATTTCTTACAAAAGTGGAGAACATTTGCTTTTCAATACCAGAGTTTTCAGCCATTTCTGCATTCTGACCTATTGACTGGAGGTAGGTTGCCTTTGAATTCAGTAAAACTTCATGGGCAGAAACACAGTTCCTTTTCCTACTTATTTGGATATCATGATGGCCATTGCATGTATGTGTCTTTTTGTAAGTCCATGCCTCAGAACTGAGAAGTAGGAATAAAATTAGGGTCAGGGCTGGGGATGCTACTCTTTGCTGCTGAGAAACACAATGCTTCAGGTAAGTGATTCTGAAGTCCTTCACCACCTGACGGTAACCTTGGGTTGGTCCATAGGTATGTTTTCATTTTGCTTGTTCATCCATTTTAATTGGCTTCCTAGAGCATGCTTGTAGATGTAGAGCCAAATTTAGAGTAGAGCAACCCTCTGGCAAACAGGAAGAGATTAATTTTGTGGTATGCTTTTAAGGGACTTCCCAGGAAACTTCAAAAGCAGAAAAAGAAGCACTAGCTGCCTATTCCAAAATGTGTAAAACACCACTCAGCTTTTTAAAAGTAGGATAAACTCAGAGCGCGCGCACACGCGCGCGCGCACACACACACACACACACAGAGAGAACATCTCTAGTAAAAAGAAAAGTTGAGCTTTCTTAGCTAGATGTGTGTATTAGCCAGAAAAAGCCAAGGAGTGAAGGGTTTTAGAGAACTGGAGGAGATAAAGTGGAGTCTGCATATGGGAGGCATTTGAAATGGACTTAAATGTCTTTTTAATGCTGACTTTTTCAGTTTTCTCCTTACCAGACACATTGTTTTCATGACATTAGCCCCAGGCATAGACACATCATTAAAATGAACATGTCAAAAAATGATTTCTGTTTAGAAATAAGCAAAACATTTTCAGTTGTGACCACCCAGGTGTAGAATAAAGAACAGTGGAATTGGGAGCCCTGAGTTCTAACATAAACTTTCTTCATGACATAAGGCAAGTCTTCTATGGCCTTTGGTTTCCTTACCTGTAAAACAGGATGGCTCAATGAAATTATCTTTCTTCTTTGCTATAATAGAGTATCTCTGTGGGAAGAGGAAAAAAAAAGTCAATTTAAAGGCTCCTTATAGTTCCCCAACTGCTGTTTTATTGTGCTATTCATGCCTAGACATCACATAGCTAGAAAGGCCCATCAGACCCCTCAGGCCACTGCTGTTCCTGTCACACATTCCTGCAAAGGACCATGTTGCTAACTTGAAAAAAATTACTATTAATTACACTTGCAGTTGTTGCTTAGTAACATTTATGATTTTGTGTTTCTCGTGACAGCATGAGCAGAGATCATTAAAAATTAAACTTACAAAGCTGCTAAAGTGGGAAGAAGGAGAACTTGAAGCCACAATTTTTGCACTTGCTTAGAAGCCATCTAATCTCAGGTTTATATGCTAGATCTTGGGGGAAACACTGCATGTCTCTGGTTTATATTAAACCACATACAGCACACTACTGACACTGATTTGTGTCTGGTGCAGCTGGAGTTTATCACCAAGACATAAAAAAACCTTGACCCTGCAGAATGGCCTGGAATTACAATCAGATGGGCCACATGGCATCCCGGTGAAAGAAAGCCCTAACCAGTTTTCTGTCTTGTTTCTGCTTTCTCCCTACAGTTCCACCAGGTGAGAAGAGTGATGACCATCCTTTTCCTTACTATGGTTATTTCATACTTTGGTTGCATGAAGGCTGCCCCCATGAAAGAAGCAAACATCCGAGGACAAGGTGGCTTGGCCTACCCAGGTGTGCGGACCCATGGGACTCTGGAGAGCGTGAATGGGCCCAAGGCAGGTTCAAGAGGCTTGACATCATTGGCTGACACTTTCGAACACGTGATAGAAGAGCTGTTGGATGAGGACCAGAAAGTTCGGCCCAATGAAGAAAACAATAAGGACGCAGACTTGTACACGTCCAGGGTGATGCTCAGTAGTCAAGTGCCTTTGGAGCCTCCTCTTCTCTTTCTGCTGGAGGAATACAAAAATTACCTAGATGCTGCAAACATGTCCATGAGGGTCCGGCGCCACTCTGACCCTGCCCGCCGAGGGGAGCTGAGCGTGTGTGACAGTATTAGTGAGTGGGTAACGGCGGCAGACAAAAAGACTGCAGTGGACATGTCGGGCGGGACGGTCACAGTCCTTGAAAAGGTCCCTGTATCAAAAGGCCAACTGAAGCAATACTTCTACGAGACCAAGTGCAATCCCATGGGTTACACAAAAGAAGGCTGCAGGGGCATAGACAAAAGGCATTGGAACTCCCAGTGCCGAACTACCCAGTCGTACGTGCGGGCCCTTACCATGGATAGCAAAAAGAGAATTGGCTGGCGATTCATAAGGATAGACACTTCTTGTGTATGTACATTGACCATTAAAAGGGGAAGATAGTGGATTTATGTTGTATAGATTAGATTATATTGAGACAAAAATTATCTATTTGTATATATACATAACAGGGTAAATTATTCAGTTAAGAAAAAAATAATTTTATGAACTGCATGTATAAATGAAGTTTATACAGTACAGTGGTTCTACAATCTATTTATTGGACATGTCCATGACCAGAAGGGAAACAGTCATTTGCGCACAACTTAAAAAGTCTGCATTACATTCCTTGATAATGTTGTGGTTTGTTGCCGTTGCCAAGAACTGAAAACATAAAAAGTTAAAAAAAATAATAAATTGCATGCTGCTTTAATTGTGAATTGATAATAAACTGTCCTCTTTCAGAAAACAGAAAAAAAACACACACACACACAACAAAAATTTGAACCAAAACATTCCGTTTACATTTTAGACAGTAAGTATCTTCGTTCTTGTTAGTACTATATCTGTTTTACTGCTTTTAACTTCTGATAGCGTTGGAATTAAAACAATGTCAAGGTGCTGTTGTCATTGCTTTACTGGCTTAGGGGATGGGGGATGGGGGGTATATTTTTGTTTGTTTTGTGTTTTTTTTTCGTTTGTTTGTTTTGTTTTTTAGTTCCCACAGGGAGTAGAGATGGGGAAAGAATTCCTACAATATATATTCTGGCTGATAAAAGATACATTTGTATGTTGTGAAGATGTTTGCAATATCGATCAGATGACTAGAAAGTGAATAAAAATTAAGGCAACTGAACAAAAAAATGCTCACACTCCACATCCCGTGATGCACCTCCCAGGCCCCGCTCATTCTTTGGGCGTTGGTCAGAGTAAGCTGCTTTTGACGGAAGGACCTATGTTTGCTCAGAACACATTCTTTCCCCCCCTCCCCCTCTGGTCTCCTCTTTGTTTTGTTTTAAGGAAGAAAAATCAGTTGCGCGTTCTGAAATATTTTACCACTGCTGTGAACAAGTGAACACATTGTGTCACATCATGACACTCGTATAAGCATGGAGAACAGTGATTTTTTTTTAGAACAGAAAACAACAAAAAATAACCCCAAAATGAAGATTATTTTTTATGAGGAGTGAACATTTGGGTAAATCATGGCTAAGCTTAAAAAAAACTCATGGTGAGGCTTAACAATGTCTTGTAAGCAAAAGGTAGAGCCCTGTATCAACCCAGAAACACCTAGATCAGAACAGGAATCCACATTGCCAGTGACATGAGACTGAACAGCCAAATGGAGGCTATGTGGAGTTGGCATTGCATTTACCGGCAGTGCGGGAGGAATTTCTGAGTGGCCATCCCAAGGTCTAGGTGGAGGTGGGGCATGGTATTTGAGACATTCCAAAACGAAGGCCTCTGAAGGACCCTTCAGAGGTGGCTCTGGAATGACATGTGTCAAGCTGCTTGGACCTCGTGCTTTAAGTGCCTACATTATCTAACTGTGCTCAAGAGGTTCTCGACTGGAGGACCACACTCAAGCCGACTTATGCCCACCATCCCACCTCTGGATAATTTTGCATAAAATTGGATTAGCCTGGAGCAGGTTGGGAGCCAAATGTGGCATTTGTGATCATGAGATTGATGCAATGAGATAGAAGATGTTTGCTACCTGAACACTTATTGCTTTGAAACTAGACTTGAGGAAACCAGGGTTTATCTTTTGAGAACTTTTGGTAAGGGAAAAGGGAACAGGAAAAGAAACCCCAAACTCAGGCCGAATGATCAAGGGGACCCATAGGAAATCTTGTCCAGAGACAAGACTTCGGGAAGGTGTCTGGACATTCAGAACACCAAGACTTGAAGGTGCCTTGCTCAATGGAAGAGGCCAGGACAGAGCTGACAAAATTTTGCTCCCCAGTGAAGGCCACAGCAACCTTCTGCCCATCCTGTCTGTTCATGGAGAGGGTCCCTGCCTCACCTCTGCCATTTTGGGTTAGGAGAAGTCAAGTTGGGAGCCTGAAATAGTGGTTCTTGGAAAAATGGATCCCCAGTGAAAACTAGAGCTCTAAGCCCATTCAGCCCATTTCACACCTGAAAATGTTAGTGATCACCACTTGGACCAGCATCCTTAAGTATCAGAAAGCCCCAAGCAATTGCTGCATCTTAGTAGGGTGAGGGATAAGCAAAAGAGGATGTTCACCATAACCCAGGAATGAAGATACCATCAGCAAAGAATTTCAATTTGTTCAGTCTTTCATTTAGAGCTAGTCTTTCACAGTACCATCTGAATACCTCTTTGAAAGAAGGAAGACTTTACGTAGTGTAGATTTGTTTTGTGTTGTTTGAAAATATTATCTTTGTAATTATTTTTAATATGTAAGGAATGCTTGGAATATCTGCTGTATGTCAACTTTATGCAGCTTCCTTTTGAGGGACAAATTTAAAACAAACAACCCCCCATCACAAACTTAAAGGATTGCAAGGGCCAGATCTGTTAAGTGGTTTCATAGGAGACACATCCAGCAATTGTGTGGTCAGTGGCTCTTTTACCCAATAAGATACATCACAGTCACATGCTTGATGGTTTATGTTGACCTAAGATTTATTTTGTTAAAATCTCTCTCTGTTGTGTTCGTTCTTGTTCTGTTTTGTTTTGTTTTTTAAAGTCTTGCTGTGGTCTCTTTGTGGCAGAAGTGTTTCATGCATGGCAGCAGGCCTGTTGCTTTTTTATGGCGATTCCCATTGAAAATGTAAGTAAATGTCTGTGGCCTTGTTCTCTCTATGGTAAAGATATTATTCACCATGTAAAACAAAAAACAATATTTATTGTATTTTAGTATATTTATATAATTATGTTATTGAAAAAAATTGGCATTAAAACTTAACCGCATCAGAAGCCTATTGTAAATACAAGTTCTATTTAAGTGTACTAATTAACATATAATATATGTTTTAAATATAGAATTTTTAATGTTTTTAAATATATTTTCAAAGTACATAAAATCTGGGGGTTCTGGGTTTTTTTCTCTTTACTGTAAAACAAACATGAAAACGTGTTTTATTATAAATACGTGTGTTCCTTGCTTTAAGACTAATCTGACTAGTTTTAGTAATTAAACAGCCCTCCAGAGAGGATACTTATTTGAAAGCCTGGGAGGCCAATCCTGCAGTCTGTGAGCTTCTGAGAAGTTGTAGGATTGGATCTGTCTTCCATGGTGGAAGATGGGAGTGTCATTTTCTCGGACACTTGAAAGTTTTACCCCTTTGAAGTGATATACTTTCATCAGATACCAAACCATGTATCCTAGCAACATCAGGATCCACGAATCACGGCTGGCTGGCTGGCTCTATTTGACTATAAAATAACTGTTAAAAAAAATCAAAGTAGGTTTACTTAGGGATAATGAGAATAAATTGGCCCAAATTTAGAAAGTCAAGTACTGGGGAAAAAAGTAAAAAAAGAAATTCAATATTTGGAGACAGGTCACATATCCTCGGTTTGGAAGTGGTGCCATTTGCAGTATGTATTTGTATCCATAGCACTGATTTAATTTTTGTACGTGGAGCACACAGATTTTATATCATAGTACCCACAATCTAACAGATTGCTAGGATTTCTAAAAGGATTTGCCTCCGTGATGGCTGCCAAGCCGCTGGGTAATTTAGTTAAAGTGTTTAAAGTTATCACTAAATCTTAGGGAAATAAATGGAAGGATTTTAAATCAGAGAAGGGGCCATTAAGGAAAAAAAGCATCTGTTCTTACTCTTCAGCCTCCCCATTTGAACACTGACAACCCATCCCATAACGTGGTGAACTATATCTGTGCAATGTATCATTTCTATTTCTAAACATACACACATGGTTTCCTCTTGTATTGTCTTATAAATAAGGATCAGGAAAGTCATAACAAACATTGACTTGTGTTGTGTATATGGAAAAACAGATCGAATGAGATGAATTACTCTATCCTAATCTGTCCAGTGAACTTGAAAAGTACTCTAAGAGAAGCCCTTGACTGCCAGTCATGACAGCCCAGCCATGGACTTAGAACTTTGATAAACTTCAGGCTTGACCAATTTTCATAGTCAGAGGACTAAAATATTTTTTAAATGGTTGAGTAAAAAAAGTAAAAATTAAACATGACATCCAAATTACTTGAAGTTAAACGAGTTTGGTAAACATGACTGAAAGTTTTCATTAGAAGATGAGGTTGGAGAAAAAAACAAAATAGAGACATCTACTAAATTATCCTACTTGGAGTTAATAGGAGTAACCAATGTGTACTGCATTCATTGAGTAAGCAGTTAAACTTGTTTAATTACTAAGATGCCAGGAAATAACTCAGATCATTGCTTTGATCTGTTGTTTTTCACCATACTGATAAGCCTCTGTGGTCATTAGCTGTGTCTATGAAATCTTTTTATGAGCTGTACTAATTCAGTGAATAATAAGACAGTTCGAAATGAGAATCTGAACTAAGTCTTAGAATGGGTCAGTGTTAAATTGTTCCTCATTCATTTAAGTGACTTCTAGATCTGGATAAAATGTCAAACACTTTTTGAACTGCAACAAATGGCTTCAGGCATTGCCTCAGTTCAGCCAGCACTCCCAATAGTGTTAAGGTTTAAGGTTATTGTAAAACATACTTGTCTCCATCATGTTCTAACATCAAGCCTGGTCTACAAGTTAAAGTAGAAATGGCTGCATATTTTGATAAGCCATTGTTAAATAAAGACTGTTAATTGGGATAAGAAACAATATACGTGTACATAAATTTAGGAAGATGAAGCATTTAGCTTGCAAAAAGCCATTCACAGATTTGATCCAACCTCAGAATGTTGACCAGCAAAATTAGTATTTTATGGAACATAGGCCATCCTTTTAGCTGTGGGTTTTTAAACTGTGGTTTTAAAGGTTGGTTGGCTGCTTGGTTTGGTGACAAGCGGGGGTAATGGTTGGGAATCTGACTTTTGTTGGTTACATTGAACTAACTGGTGGTTGGTGAACTCCCCACCTAATAGCTAAACTTAGCAACTAGAGTAGGTGAAGCCACTCCAAACCAGCCCATGTTTATGGACATTCCTTCTAATAAACACACTGCCTGCATGTCTATCCCCAATCTTGTGAGTATGATCATCCATTCTCTCAATTCTGGCCACCATTTGAATTATTTGTAGGGAAAAAAAAGCAAACTCCTTGCTTTTTAATATGTGATTATTTGCAGTAAATTACTTGAAGACTATGTTTAAATATTAACAGAAAAAGCACTGTGATCTTACACATTATCATAATTGAGAAGACCCATTTCTGTGGCACTCTGTAGGATTTCCATAGGCCTTTACCTCACCCCCACACCCTAATTATTTACAAGGCACAGACCACCAGATTAGGAGCTCCCCAGCCTGGCATTTGCTTTTCTAACAACAATCCTGTGTGCTTGGTAATGTCAGTAGCATGGAATTGTAAAAAGCAGGCCTTCCAATTAAACCTCACCACACAAACAATAAACAAGACCTTTGCATTTAAGTGTGAGCTGCTATTTTATATCTGGAAAAACAAAAGTCCTTTCCTTTAGAAAAATAAGCTTATCTGTCCTGAAAAAAGCCTCACACATAATGTTGTAGTTAATGACAGGACTTGTCTCAAGCCTGTAAATGACCAAAAAGTGTTAGTTGAAATCCTGAGCTTGAGGTGTATGTTCTACATTTAGAAAGGACATAAAGATGCTTCTGCAGCTCTGCACTTTGGTACTGTACTCTATTTCAAATGGTTCCTTAGAAACCAGGGGCTGGTCTGCATAGAATGGCTGAACCCAGGGGAAATATTTTTGTCTGGCTTAAGTGCTCACAATTTGAAAAAATCCATGTCAAGTACTGCAGTACACATTTAAATTTATTTAGTGAAGCTGCATTCTCCATTGAGCCCTAACATTTAAAAAATAGTTGCTCAACTGGGATTTGGTGCATATCAGGAAGGAAAGAGGAAAAAGACATAAAATAGAAACCTTACCCAGCAGAGACCTGCTCCAACAGATACCAAGCAGTGTTTACTTGGAGATAACAGTACCCATACTCTCCTCCAGTTAGACTCATGGAATGATCTCAAAGTGTGTTCTGCAACCAGCATCTGCATCTCTGGGAACTTTTTACAAATGCAGACTCTCAGTTCCCATCCTAGACTTACTAAATAAGAAGCTCTGGGGGTAGAGTACAACAGTCTGAGTTTTAACAACCCCTCTAGGTGATTCTGTGCCCACTCAAATTTGAGGATCATTGGACTAAGGGGATTAAACAGCCTTTCACATGTTCTAGATAATAGGAAGATAGCACAACCCAAGAATTTGAAACTGTAGATCTGATCCCAATCATGTCACTACCTATTTGCTTGGCCCTGAAAACATCAAACTATCTATGTTTGCATTTCCTAAACAACACAAAAGTGATGGGTGCTCGCAGGTGGAGCAAGGCTTAGTGTTGTAAGAGAAGAGTGCACTGATGGTTTGAAAGTGAGCATGCAAATGTGAGCCAGGAAAGCTCAGTGCCCTTCATAGTCAACAATTTTTTTTTCTTTCAAAGCAACAGCAGTAGTGGATTCAGGACCCAGAGCACGTAGTCGTTTGTAACACATTTGGAACGACTGTGAGAAATGAGAAGCAACATGCAGCAAATTAATAAGGAAAAGATTATTCCATCTGGGGAGCTGGTCTCTGCACATGCCAACACAGCCCATTCTCTGTGAAATAGCGTTTTATAGGTCACAAATTAAATCAGCATCCTGAATTAATCAGCTATTAACATCCAGCTGAGGAAATCTAGGTTCACACCTCTAGAATGACCAGACTATAAATACAAAGGGCTTCCTCAGACTTTGTGGCAAAGCTTTTCTATATTGTAGGAACTGGTTTCTGGAAATGAGGACCTGAACATAGCTATTCCCATCTCTGTGTGTATGTGTATGTGTGTGTGCACACTCCTGCACATTTTACAAGGCAAATTGCATTAGAAGATTTTTCTATTTCTAGGATGGAGGGGAGGGTGTCCAAATGTATTACCCATCCATTAGGCAATACAGAAGCCTGAATTCTAACAAGCCTACCTTGGGAGCCAGGTATCTTGGTAGTTCAATCATCAGGTTGGCCAACCCTTTCCGGTATCTGAACCTCCATGCCCTCAACTGTCAGAGGAAGAGGGTGAACTTGGGGGATCTCCCAAGAGGATGGTCTTGGAGGTAAATTTCAGTTTTAATATTACAATTTCATTCTTCCTACTTCATTATTTGCCATAAAAAGAGATTAAAGAGGTTTCTGAAGCACTTAAAGGCTGGGAAGCATTCTGAGATAATTCACTGTGCATCTCCTGCCTCCCTCCATAGCTGGTGTCCTTATATCATGGTACTTGCCACAAGATTAAAAGCAGGAGGCACCTTGGGTTAGTGTGGCGGTTGGGGAGGATGTGACCAAAGGAAGGTTTCTACTTCATATGCAACTATAAAAATATTACCAACTGTCTGACAAGCAGGCAGAAAATACCTTGGGGAAGGTGCCCATATATTCCTCAAGATGCAAATTTTCTACCAGGGTCTAACCTTACTTTCAAAGCCAGGCAATGTATTTACCTTTGTTTTATGTCACTCATTCTTACTGTATTACATGGTGCCTGGCAAGGAGAGATTCCTTGTGTTTTGCCAAGTTGCAGGGTCAGGAAACTCTGCATGAAACTGCTGGATTAGCATCCTGTAGAGTCACTGTTAACAGAGCTCTTTGAATGAAATGGGTTTGCATCTCTGTTCTTTGGGGCTTTATAAATTCACCAAGGATGTACGGTTCCCAATCTGTTTCACCACCACCTCCCGAGTACTCTGGATAGTTCCTCCTCCTGAGAGGATGGCCTTGAGAACAAAAGTATCTCATAACAAATCACAGCAACACCACATTCAGCAGCAGATTTCCTCAGAGAAACAGCAGATATTTCAGAATGGTAAAGAGGTCATTCTGAGTGGAGCTTTGGCTAGCTTAGGAGACAAACCTCACTGGCATGCCAGTGTTTGAAACTCCTCATTTCAGCAATCCAACTTTGGTTTATTCCTGGCCCTGAGTCCTTTGTGCCTGAATCTCTGAGAAATCTATGTTTTTGTTCAATCCACCTCTGCTCCCACTTCATGCCCTGCTTTCCTTCCTGATGACCTCAGAGCTCTGCTTCCTCTGGGATCCAACATCTCACCACTCAGGGGGCACATAATATAGTAAAGAGTGGAGTCTGAATCCCAACTCTGCTACAAGAGCTGTGTGACTGTAGGCAAGTCACTTAACTTCTCTGTGCCTCAGTTCCTCACCTGCAAAGGACAGGTAAAAATATTCCCACTTACCTCATGGGATTTTGTGACAATTAAATGAGGTAATACATATAAAGCACTTAGGAAAGTTACAGACCCATGAGAAAGCCTCAGAAAATGTTTACAAACTCTTGGAAGTCACTCTGCTGACTGGTAATAAGCTGGGCTCATCTAGTACACACTTCAGAGACTCTTTTCTCATATTCAGACTCCTGGAAGAGATCCCATCTCATCTGTGCCATTAGCATCCAGGGTCACTTTGTCTTTTCTGGAAGACTCAGAGAGATAACTCTTGTTTACCCACTAGCAATAATACTGCTTGGCAGTTAAACTGTGGCCACTACATACACTCAAGCAAATGGAAGAGATATACTACAATAAAGGGTGTTTTTCTAGACTGTACATTCCAAATGAAGCCCATTATTCCTAAGTGTCTATCCCAGCTGAATGGCAATGACTGAAGCCAGGGTGAAATGGATGAACTCACATAGTCTGAAAGAAACAAGGGGCCACAGTCACATTTCTAAAAATAGACATGGCACATCAGGAAAATCCTACCTCAACTTCTGCCCCATGTCCTTGACATACATTTAACCCATTGCACAATTATAGTGACTAGTACTTACTATAAGCAGGCAGTGTTCAAGGCATCTTATGCAGATTTTCTCACTGCACAACAATCCATAAACTAGGTGGTAGTTTTAGTACTCCCATTTTAGAGATGAAAAAAACTAAGGCACAGAGAATTCAATTAAGTTGGCAAAGGCTGCAACACTTGTGAGTAGCAGGGCAGCCTGGATCTGGAGCCACTCTTAAACCACTGAAAAATTTAAAAGTGCAAAGGGCATTGAGAACATACAGAAGGAAAAAAAAAAAAAAGGCCGTGGTTGTGGGGAGGGGGGTGGAATAGCTAGTTACATGTCCAAGGGATTTGGCTTCCTTCAAAAAGGGAGACCACCAGTGGTGCTTAGAATTTTTAGCTTTCAGAAGAGTCCTGGATTGATCTTTTAAGGTTAACATGCAAACAGTCTTTCATTGCATGGAGGCCTTTCCAAAAGTGGATACAACCCTACTCTGTGCTGAAAAACCTGAATGTAGGGTTTCTAGAGCTTCATGTCAGCTATTTCCAATACTTGGATATGGGGCAGTTGTCACCCCTTTAACCTCATGGACAATCTGATGAGCTTCCTGTGAATTGCTGGGATTGGGCAGATAGGCAGAGTGTTGTGGAACCACTTGCAAGACCCAGGAGTGCCCAATCCTCCCTAGGTCAATACTTTACAGTTATTTTGTGTTTGGGATTGGTGGAGAAGAGAAAGGATAATGACTCAGGCCTGCTGGGTCTGCAATAGCCCTGGCCACCAGCGCCAGCCTTCTCTCCCCCATTCTTCCATGTATGGCTGACATCACTTGTAAGTCTTTGCTGCACCTCAGCCTCACAAGTCATGTCAAGGTCATGCTCCACTGCCAACTGAATTGAATTGAACCAAAAGATGAACTCAGTTTGCTATCTTGGCTTTCCCACTTTCTTAAGAACAGATCCCATTGGTGATGGGGTAGATCAGGTAGTAAAGTCAAGGTGCTGAGGACTGATGTGTCCCTTGAGTTCAGCAGAAGTTAGATGCGAAAGGGTGAAGAATGTTCTATAATGAGTATAAAGAGTTCTATCGATGGGTTTCAGACAGACGATCCATATGCAAAGAATCATATGTAAATCAAGTAAAGGGTAAGATTACCCTAGCAATTGGTTGAACACAAGGACAAGTGTTTGGCAATAGGCAATACTGTTACATCCCTATTTTGTACCAGATGCCATGCTAAATGCTTTCCATGCTATCTAAAATAATCATGAGATAGATGTAATTTGAGAGACAAGAAAACTGACAACACAGTAGCCTAAATAACTTGCCCAAGGTCATACAGTTAATAAATGATATAGTCAGATTTGAAGCCACATCTATATAATCCCAAGGTCTCGAATTTTAACCACCAGACTGGTGGCTCTCAATCCTGACCTGTACATTTGAATCACATAGGGAATTTAAAAAATATATCTATACCCAGACGAGGTAAATCAGAATCTCTGGGGGTGGGGCCCAGGCATCTGTATTTCTTTTTTTTTTTTTTTTTTTTTTGAGACGGAGTCTCGCTCTGTCGCCCAGGCCGGACTGCGGACTGCAGTGGCGCAATCTCGGCTCACTGCAAGCTCCGCTTCCCGGGTTCACGCCATTCTCCTGCCTCAGCCTCCCGAGTAGCTGGGACTACAGGCGCCCGCCACCGCGCCCGGCTAATTTTTTGTATTTTTAGTAGAGACGGTGTTTCACCTTGTTAGCCAGGATGGTCTCGATCTCCTGACCTCATGATCCACCCACCTCGGCCTCCCAAAGTGCTGGGATTACAGGCGTGAGCCACCGCGCCCGGCATCTGTATTTCTTAAAGATCTTTCCAGTGGTTTTGTTGACCAGCCAGGGTAGAACTGCTGCTCCAGATTCTTCTTCCTCTAGGTAAACAGGAGTCAGAGGTATCAGAGATTTCTGCCCATGGGACTCAGAGCCCTAACCTGGTCCCAAACTTGGGTGTGGGATTCTAATGACTGGGAATTAACAAGACAGGACGCTAGTTCTATAGGAAATTGAATACAAGTAGGACCCTAGCCATAGAAACAAGAATAATGATTTTAGATAGTAAAATCAACATTCAGAGTCAGAATGGACCCACCAGAAAGCTCAATCTAACACTGAGCTCCTGAACGAGGCTCCTTAAATTTCTTTAGATTCCCTGTGATTAGAAACAGGAGAGGCACTAATGGCTGCAGGAGGGCTGAGTCTACAGATGAGGATCTCTCATCTACAGATGAGGATCAACTGACCCAGTGGTGAGGAGAAGAGAGCTCTATGGGCTTCTCACAGGCAGGTCGTCACCTGTCCCGCCTCCAAGCAACCTGCTCTGAGCCAACAACATGTTTCCACACATTTCACACTGCTTGGCTCATTCTGCTGGACTCCAAAGGGCTTTACTAAGTTGAAGCAAAGAGAAAAAAAAACAATCCATGTTGACTGTTTGGAGTGTTTTCTCTGTTTTCAGAAGTGACTGTTAGATTAGTATTTGGTTTTATCTTCTGCATCTTCTAATATTTTTATCTCCTCCCCATCCCTACCTCAAACTGCCAAGCAGTGATTCCTGCTTGACAGTAGGAAAAAACATCTCCGAGTCTCGCAGCCCCTTCCTGGAGGGCTTGTTTTAGAAGCAGTGCAGGACATGCCCAGCTTAGCCAGGCCACGGGGCTAATCGAATTTGGCAGATGCTCTGCGTCAGCAGGCACCAGGGTGCTAATGCCCTGGGTCAGCTGGTGAGAGGGTAAGTGGGCAAATGCCTGGCTTCTTCCCCGTGTTTTCAGGACAGGAATCTGAGTCCCAGTAATCACTAGCCTATGGGACCAGAGGCTATTTTGGGCCTTCTTTTATCCAATGGAAAGTTAGGGGTGGTGACATCTGAAACTGCCAAGGAGCATCCAGTTTCACCCTTATCCAGGACATGTCCCTAGAGGAAATGGAAGCAATGTCAAGGAGACCAAAACGCGGGTGTCAGAACTTCCCTTTGTTTTTATTTCTGTGCCGTTTGTTTTCATCCATTCCTTTCACTTTCAGCTCACCTTTCCACTACTCTGGTTCAGGTCTTCATTGCATCTCGCCTGGGCTATCACAGCAGCCTTCCAACCCATCTCTCTACCCCCAATCTCTCTACCCCAACCCACTTCCAACATCCTCCCATGATAGCAGAATGATCTCTCTGAAGGTTCAATGACAATAATGAACATGAAAACACTTCGTAATACGTTACACAAATAGCAACACCTACCTATACACAAATGTACCGATGTGGCAGGAGAGACAGAAATGCTGTCTTTAATCACTGTTGACTATGCAGGTGTAAAGGCCAGTGCATTGCAAGGGAATGAAATCGATAGACTAAGAGGAATGTTTCTGGGAAATAATGGTCTAAGTTGGCACACACAGTATTGGAACCCTCAAACGAGTCAAAAAGGCATTCAAGGTGGACTTGCCTGCTTGGCAATTGTATGTCACTGTGATAAACCTGATGAGAGATGTAAGATGTAGATCTAATTATGCCTATTTTTCAGGTAACTGAGGCTGAGAGAGGCAGTAATTTGCAGAAGATCACTCAGTGAGCATATAGCAGAACTAGAATATAAATTCAGAGGACATATGCTTTTCAAGTGTGCCATATTGATACAGATACATTAATGTGGATGGATGGATGGATGGATGGATAGATGAATGGATGAATAGAGCATATGATTTCCCTCCCTTTAATATATCAAAGGGCTATCCATTGCTGACAGAGTAACAAATTGGTGATATTGGCATTATGGCCTTATAGGATGTAGCTTTATTTTCCTACTTTAATGTCCAGACAACTTCCAACACACTTGACAGTGCACTCCAACCCTACTTCTCCCTATTCCCTAAATGTACCTTACACTCTACCTCCTCTGCATCTTTGTCCATTCCCTGTCTCCCTCTCTGATTATAAAATCCCTACCCAACCATAACCCATAATAGGGCTGCCAGAAAAAACATCAAACCAAATGAATAATTGTTTAATATAAGTGTGTGCAAATACTCTATGGAACATATTTATAGTAAAAAATGATTTGTATTAATTTAAATTCAAATTTCACTGGGTGTCCTGCAATTTTAATTGTAAAATCTAGCAAACCCACACATCAGGCAGTTGCCCCATGTATACCCTCTGGTTTTCTTCTGCCATCTCAAGGTGGGATTTAGCACTTCTTCGAATTTTTCATACACAATTCACTCTCACTGAATAATGAGCAATGTGTATTTTATGGAAGACTTCTTAATAAATGTGAAAATGAAGTTTACATTCCATAATTGACATTTTATTTTTAACAGTTCTTATTAAAAATGGCCTTATGGCTGGGCATGGAGGCTCAGGCCTGTAATCTCAACACGTTGGCAGGCTGAAGCAAAATGATTGCTTGAGACCTGAAGTTTGAGAACAGCCTGGGCAACATAGCGAGACCCTGTCTCTACAAAAAAATTAAAAATATATATATATAGCTGGGTGTGGTGGCATGTGCCTGTAGTCCCAGTTACTCAGGAGGCTGAAGCGAGAGGGTCACTTGAGCCCACGAGTTTGAGGCTGCAGTGAGCTAAGATCATGCCATTACACTCCAGCCTGGGTGACAGATTGAGATCCCATCTCTAAAAGTCATTAAGTGTCCTTTTGACCATTTCCCTACACAGCATTTAGTGCTGATCACCTGCTCTCACTCTATTATGCAGAGAAGCTTTCACTTTTCAAACCTAGGCACTAGTCCACGGCTTGTTTGTATACCATGGTAGACTTATCAAAGCAAATTTTCGATTAGGCAGGTTTCTCTTAACAAATGAATTTTCTATGAATATAAAAAATGTTTCTATATGTTAAAGGTTCAATTGCATGAAGCCTTTAGCATTTTCTTGGGTAAAATAATTGCTCCCTTACTAAGCTGCAGTTATTTGTATAAACTCTTCTAGAGCAGTGGACATTTTCATTCACCTGTGTACCCACTGCAGTTCACCTAGCCATGTACCGGAAAGCAGTCAACAAGTGTCTATTAAATTGAATGAATGCAGTGTAAGGCCACATTATAAGTGTATTTAGCCCTAAGTGGCTACAACATTGTTTGCAGCAGCCAAGGAAGGGATCCCAGCAGTCAGGGAAAGCAACTTGATAGTTTAATTGAGTAATTCTCCACCCTAGTTGCACATTAGGCATCTGGGGAGTTTTAAAAAAATTATGAATTGTAGACCCCATCCTGCATCCCTGCATCAGGTAAATCAGAATCTCTGGGAGTGAAGCTCAGGCATCAATATTATTTTCAAAGCTCCCAGGTTATTTTACCAGGCAGGAAAGGTTAAAAATGATGAACAGTTGCTGGAGATTTGGACTAGTATTCTTCTCTGGGTCTAATCCATGACAGAAGAGAGAGACCAAGATAATCAGAGGGAGAAATACGGATTTCTTTTTGCTTTTCCCTGTTGTAGATGTTTTAGAGTTTACACTGTTCTTTCACATGCATGCACATCTTGCCACATCCCACCCCCACCACATAGTCTGGCCACTGAGCCTTGAGCTGTGTGTTCACTTTGTGAGTGTGAAGAACAACATGGCTACAGCCATTCTATGTAAATATGCAATCTTAGTTTTGGCTTGGTTGAGTATTGCTTCCCCAGGTTCCCAACTCCACTTTTACTGTTTTAGGTTCTGGTTTCACCAAGAATTCAGTAGCTGTGGTACTTCCCGGGTATGAGAGAATAAAGAACTTGTAAAGTGGAATTGGCCAGCTTTCCACACCCCTACCTTCACTGCACACCAACCTGCACTGACATCCAGAGGAGAACCAAGGGAATTGTTTCCTCCTGGTTTGGACACATTCCACTTGAAGCTCCTCCAGGCATTGTGAAGCAGAATTCCCTTCAGTATATGTGACTGCAAAGAGATGAATTTTTGAACTGGAGACTTTGAAAATAAGGATGAGCATGTACAGAGTGAAAACATGGGCCTCGAGTCAGCAGATTGAAATCCCTGACCTTGCTCTGTACGTCTCTAGCCACATAAGCTAAGCAGGTCTCCCCTCACTTCTTTCAGCTTTGGTCTTCTCCTCTGCAAAAGGAGTTTCTTCACCCATTTGTATTGTTTTAACAGAATTGCTGAGACTGGGTAATTTATAAAGAATGGAAATTTATTTCTGACTGTTCTGGAGGCTGGGAGGTCCAAGATCATGGCACCAGCAGGTTCAGCTGTCTGGTGAGGGCTGCTCTCTGTTTACAAGATGGCACCTTGATGCTGCATTTTTCAGATGGGAGGACACTGTGTTCTCACATCGAAGAAGGGATGGGAGAGTGAAAATGGGCCAAACTCTCATCAAGCCCTTTTATAGTGGCATTAATCTGTTTACCTAAACATCTCCCAAAAAGGCCCCACCTCCCAACACTGTTGCACGGGGAATTCTTTTCAACACATGAATTTTGGAGGGACCATTTAGACCATAGCCAGGACGATGCAGAATTTGAGGATCTTAAGGTTCCCTCCAGCTCTAAATACTTCATAGATTCTAAGTCCTGCAGCAGTACATGAGAAGTCTATTGAGACTCCCTAAACCATTCTCAAGAAGGTAAAGGCCCAGAGCCCTGCCTACACATGTGCTCAGATGATGCACTGAAATGAGCACTAGAAAGGAGCCAGAAAACAAGTCCAAGTCCCACTTCTGCCTTGAACTCACTCTGTGTTTTTGAAAAAGTCATGTTCTTTCTCTGAGCCTTCATTGTCTCAGCTGTAAGATGAATGTTAGAATAGATCATCTCTACTGTTCATTTCAACTCTGCCATTCTAGGGATGTTGGATGTCCTAGTGGCTGAGGGTTCATATTACAATAAATATGAAATTGAAACATAAAACAGCACTCAAAACATGAAGGAGAAATTGGGATTAAGAAATGAGAAAATACCTTTTGTCTAAGAGAGAGGAGTGAACCAAACACAAATGCAAGCGGACGGAAGGAAGGGAGAGGGGGAGGGAAGGAGGGGAACAATTCACAAATAAAATTTAAATTCTGGATCTATTTTATCCAATCAAGGAAAAATACCTATAATTGCATTTTAACTTAAATATAAAAATTATATCACATTTCAGAAAAAATGCTTCAACTCTTCAAATGAACAAGTATGTTGTTTGCAAAATCAACTTTTTTTTCTGTAAAACCTATGTGGCTTTTTCAGAAGAGAACTAACTAGGTTAATAAGCCCATATTCCGCCAATTCTTACTGACAAATAATCACCATGTCTCAAAGTCTTAGGTCTTATTTTTTCCTTTTTCCCATTTGGTCTTTTCGCCCATTTGTCTTTTAAAAAGCTATTTAAGGACCTTCAATTTTAGATGCACACTCTTTAGCTTGGTACTTGAGGCCCCTTGTGATCTGACTTCACCTAGGGAGGGTTGCAGGCCTCACCTTTCCCTGCTCTCCTGCACATATCCCAGGGTCCACTTTTATTGAACCATCTATTGCCTGTTTCCAAACTATACCTCACCCCTCTCATCCCTGGTTTTTTGTTTGTCCTTTCTCACTCCTGCTTCTGCACAAATAAATCATTCAAGACTCAAATTCCATTTCTTCCTTAAAACTCCCTCTGATTTTCTAAGCTGGAAACAATTTCCCACAGGCCCTGTTGTGAAATCCCCATCCACATTATTTCTATCTCTCTAGTGGCACTTAGTGTTTTCAGCCCTGCAATAAGGCTTCTAGAATATGACTTTCTGGAGAGCAAGGTTTGTGTCTGAGGACAGCACACAGAACAGTGTTTATGAGGCCAGGCCTGGCTGTCAGACAGACCTGGGCTTGACTTTTGGCTCTGTTGCTGGTTGCAGGGTGACCTAAGCAGGCTACTTGACCTCTTAACTTCAGTTTACTCCTCTATAAAAGGTGAATGCTACCTACTTCATAGGCTTAGGGTGAGACCCAGGGAGATAATAAATGTAAAATAACTGTTAACTATAGCACTTATTATATGTTGGACCCTGAAAGCACCTGATATTTGTTTTTTTTCCACTGTTAAAATAACTTTATCTTGCATTTTACAGAAGTCTATGAATGATTTTTAAAAAGCACCTCCTTACCCCACATCATGTTTCTCTGACAGTTGTTAAAGTAGGCAATGAGTAGGTCAACAGCTTGAGCATCAGCATCTTGCAAAGATTTCAGACTAACCAACCACTCACGAAAGAACTTGGCAGCTTTTTTATCTTGTTTTTAATACAACGGTATATCGACTCTGATGGCAAACCTGTCCAGCCACATCTCCACAACACGCTTTGCAAAATCAGTGATTAGCAAATTAGTTAGCTTTGGCAAGGAGGTTGATATTTGTTAAATTCACAACTTCACAGAAACTATTAAGTAAGCCACACTTTATACATGAAGAACCTGACTCCCAAAGAGCTTAAGGGTCTTGCTCAAAATTAATCATTCTGCTAGTAAGTAGCTAGTCTGGCTCCATAATCCATGGTCTTGTCCACTGGGCTATATTGATTCTATTCTCTTGATTGTTATTTATTTATTCATTTATTGAGATGGAGTCTCACTCTGTTGCCCAGGCTGGAGTGCAATGGTGCGATCTTGGCTCATTGCAACCTCTGCCTCCCGGATTCAAGCGTTTCTCATGCCTTAGCCTCCTGAGTAGCTGGGATTGCAAGTGTGTGCCACCATGCCCACTTAATTTTTGCATTTTCAGTAGCGATGGGGTTTCACCATGTTGGTCAAGCTGGTCTTGAACTCCCGACCTCCAGTGATACACCCCACTCGGCCTCTCAAAGTGCTGGGATTACAGGCATGAGCCACTGTACGCAGCCTGATTGTTATTTATTTTTATCTGTGAGTAATTCACATTTATTTTCTTATAGAATCTAGCACACCATTGGCATGAAGTAGATGCTCAAGAAATAATTATTTGAAGTGACTCGAAGAAACTCACCTGGTTAGATGAATTTGTGCTGTTGTAAGATTAGCCACTTGAATGACATGTTTGTAGGGAGCCAACAAACAACTGGTGAGCCTGGGGGGCTCTTCTGGTTTCCCTCCTTGGGCTCATCTCTACAGCTTCCTTAAGTGAGCCTAAGATACATTGCTCTAGCCCTGGAAAGAAAAGATTTCATTTTAAAAATTGTTCTTTTTCCAAGGAAATGTCAACAATACTAAACACACCCACATATTTCAGAGAACGAATAATGACAGAAAAAAGATTACTATTTTGCTGTGTGACCTTAGGCCAGTCATTTTGTGTCCGTTAGACGTAGTCTCCTCGTCTGTACAATGGCAGGGCTGAACATAATGATCTTTAAGCTTCAGCCTTTTGTGATTCCAGGTTGTTATATGTTTTTTTCTTCTTTTGATATCTCAACATATGTCTTAAGGCACACAGGATGCAGAAATGTAGAAATTTGATTTATATAGGCTATATTTGCACAATGCAAAGAACAAAACAGAAATAGAAGCATTTTTGCTCATAGAGTTATTATTTCCACAACTACTCATAAATTTGCACAGTATTAGTAGTAACAGCACCTCCTGTAAATTTAAAATACTTTTGCATTTATACAGGCTTTTAGAGATTTTTCAAAGCCTTTCACTCCATTGTTAAGAGGTCTCCAGACTGTTGAAAAACATCCCAACAAAAACATGAAAGACAGATGCATAGAAAGCTTGAATGTTATCTGTACATCTAGCGTTTATTAAACATCCATTATTTCTAAGTTCTGTAAAGAAACTTGAAAGACACACCCTAGACTCAAAACTCCTGCCACTTAAAAAGTAAGACATGCAAACATATGCAGCTACAAATTAAGAGTATGAAAATACTGTGCAAACAATGGCCTTCCCGAAACCGCTTTTGCAAAATGATAACTAAGGAAATTATGACAGTGAAAGATATCAGACATAACCAACTCCATCTTGCTTCCAACCTCTAAACTGTCCTTGTCCATTCCTGGGCGTAGGCTGAACTAACCTTGGGAAGGAATTTAGTTTATAGTTTAAATAATAGCCCTTCCCCAAAACTAAACTGTTCTTATAAAATGAAGGAAAGGCCACCAGCCACCAAGTTAGAATGAGAGGGGCTGGAATTCTAGATATTACCAGCCATTATTCCGGAGGTCATAAGATTTGCAACTTCCCCAGTTACTCTTAAAGGTAACATCAGCCTTTTGAGATGTCTTTTCAGGTTTCTGTATTTCTACCAACTGGACGGCCCCACCTGGACCTGCCAACCAGTTCTGTGGTCTCCACCCAGGAACTGACTCAGCATAAGAGAAGAGCTTTGACTCCCTGTTATTTCATCCCTGAGCCAACCAATCAGCACTCCTGATTCACTGGCCCCCTACCCACCAAATTATCCTTGAAAACTCTGATCCCCGAGTTTTTGGGGAGACTGATTTGAGTAATAATAAAACTCCAGTCTCCTGCACAGCTGGCTCTGGCTGAATTACTCTTTCTCTATTGCAATTCCCCTGTCTTAATAAATCAGCTCTGTCTAAGCAGTGGGCAAGGTGAATCCATTGGGTGGTTACAAATTTCGAGGCTCATCCAGGATTGCCCTTGTGGCTACCTGCCCGTGGTTCAGTAGCCCCCTCCAGCAATGGATCCAGGGGCCAGCCCAAGCAGCCACCTAGTTCACTTGGACTGGGAGTTGACTCTGGTACTCTCTCTACTGACAGGGCACTCCCGACCCAATGGGCATGGATTTAATAGAGAAACAGTCCTGGGGAGACGTCCCATAACTGTAGCCCTATCACAGGGTGTCTGTCTATAGCCCCATTGTAGGGTGTCTGGGTTGGTGAGTATCCTAGGTGCTGCCAATGTCTCCTTCCTTTTCGCAACTAGTTCTGTAGCTCCATTGTGAGGTGTCTGTAGCTACAACATGGGGTGTCTGTCTTGGTTTGGCTCCTGGGGGGTCTCGGTTGGCTCTGCCTAACTAGTAAAAAGAGTCTTGGTTCGGGAGACTTCTCCTCAATCAAGAAGATTTCAGGGAGATTTCTCAAACAGAGAATAGGAGGATAGTTTGGAAGAGATACTCTGGAATTCTTGGTTAGGAATCTTGATTTGGAAAGCCTTCTGTCTGTCTTGTCTATATGTGTGTATTTGTATATGTGGAGGAGATCTCTGAAGGAATTGCTGATGGAAGTCTAGCAGGCCTAACTCAGAGAACTCTCCTTATCTATCTGGTCACATTCAGTGAGTCCTGAAAGAAGTTTAACAGCCCTGGATCGGGTTTGTGACTGCTCTTCATCTTGCCCAGAGATCACCCATTGAATTCCCAGATGGAGGTCACCATTCCCCACTTTGTGTAGATCAAAGACAACAGGGACCAACGGGAAAAAGTTCGAGTCTTGCCAGGTCGATGTTGGGTGCTGAACAAGGTGACCAATGTCTGTAGCGTTATGTGTATTTTGCTTCCACTGGAATGGAAAATGTTAATTTGGTTCCCCATGTAGCCCATCAGGCAGCATCTTGCAACATTGAGAAGCTTTTGCCTATGGTTCCATAAAACAGAAAAGGATCATTTTCTTTTGTAATGGGGCTTGGTCCCCTCACGTCTATGGCACGGTGAACAGGGCCATCAAATGCTGCTCCATTCTTCTAGAAGCTGCAGAGAAAGGGGACCCAGAAACCTGATATGCTGGCACAAAGGGCAAGAATTCTTACCAGAAAAGTGTCTGGCCTCTCTCTCTCTCTTTCTCTCTGTCTCTCTGCATTGTGTGTCTGTGTGAGTGTGTGTGTGTGTGTGTTGGAGGGGGGCAGTGGTAAGCAATAAATGTCACTGTGTGTCTCTGCAAAGGTTTGATGAATAGTAAAAAAGGATTTGTGAGACTAGTCTTAGGCTGTGGCAAATCTGGTGCACTTTGTACTAAGAATTTGTCCTTCCGTAATGGAGAGAAGGGTGTCACAGGATAGAACATGAGTTTAGGACCCCTGTAATCCTGCTTTTCAAGCCAACCCGGCAGGCTGGTCAGTTATAAACTTTGTTGTGGGTCCCTGAAACCAATACCAGATGAAATTTCTGTCTTGTTTTGTGTCTTTAAGAGCTTAACTTTGTGACCATGTAGAGGTACTTCATCCTGGTCTCCACCATCCAGAGGACAGGAATTTGGGGGTTCATATCACAGCCCTAAGAATTATCTTGAGCACTTAAAAGCCTTTGCAAGCTTCAGATCAGCTGCTGTAGACTTCTTCGGGGGAGAGCAGTAGAAACTGCTCAATGCTGTGTAGCTCAGTAGCTAAGGTTTTTATCTCTTGACAATGGTGGCCCAGGTTCAATTCTTGGCTTACAGAATGATTCCTTTCTGGTTTGTTATTTGTGGAACTTTGCCATTTATTGAGGTTTTTTTTTTTTCACCCCATAGATAGCTTCTGATTTCCTGTCTTGAATTTTCCTTTCACTGTACTACCTTTGGGGATATTCTAAATCTTGTTTTTAAAAAAAAAAAGCTGCTTACCATCTCTTTAAAACACCTTTTGTATCCATGGTTAAGTTATAACCTTAATTAAAACTTACTAATTTCATGTGGGCGGTTACCTGGGGTAGAATTCAAAGGCCAGAAATATTGGCTGTCCTGACTAGAGTCTGGTAATAAGAGATTTAAAAGAGATTTTCTTTAAACAAAAGAGCTCTATGGTTAAAATTTGCTTAATTAAACATGAATATCCAAGCTATATATATTTAAAAGAACTTTATCTTTTTTCTCTTTGCTCTGCATTAAGTACTCTTTCTCTATTGCAATTCCCCTGTCTTGATAAATTGGCTGTTACATTTCCAAAGCATTCTGGGAACAAGGCTATAGGACAAAAAGTCATTCTAGAATTTTTCTGCCTTAATAAGAATTGAGAGAGGAAAAAGAAAGAAACCGGTCAGGCAGGCAGTTAGGATGGGCCCTGGATTGAATTTTTAGAAACAAAAGAACAGCCTGCAGGCACAGATAAGGGAACTTACACTGGGGGACTTGCCTAAGACATGCCCACAGCTGCACAGATAAGAAAGGCTACACAGGTGACTTGCCCAGACATGCCAGCAGTGGAAAATTTCATCCCCTGACACATGCATAATAAGGGCAACAAAGCAATATGGGTAACTCAAGCTAAGGGCCCACATGCACCTTAGGAGGATGGGGTGGAGCTACCAGAAAAACATGCCTTATGCAAACAAAATGCCCAGCCCTCATCAGTTTCCTATAAAAGCCTTTGCATTCAACTGTGAAAAACAGCAATCCTCTTCCAGGTCCCCTTTCTGCAACAGAGAGCTTTCTTCATTCACTTATTAAACTTTCACTCCGACCTCACCCTTTGGGTCCATACTCCTTAATTCTCTTGGTCTTGGGTGATACCTCACAAGGAGAGACTGCTACATTGTGGTGCATTGGTGAGACTGTAACAGACTCCTTTCCAAGTGTTTGGTGTCTGAGTTTTCAGAAGGTTTGACATGCATTTCTTCATTTAATGCTTAGAACAGACCACCACCAATAATAACAACTCCACATCTTATTTTTCAGATGGGGAAACTATGATTCAGAATGATAACAATTAATACAAAGCTGAAGCAAGATTCAAATCCAAGTCTTCTGACTTGAAATCCTACTTTCTTGCCACTTTTTAAACTATTTATCTGATGTTGGCAATTCATGGCAATCAGAGGATGGATGAAGGGCTCTGGAGGTTTTGGTTACAGTCAGGGAGCATTAGAAAGAACAAGTGTGCTTAGATGAGGCGGGAAAGCCCAGGTACATGAAGGAAAAGAATAATTTGCCTAAGTTGCCTAGTTTAAAATCATTTTTAATTGGAAAGGTATTTTTATCTTCATTTACAGATGTGGAAACTAAGATTCAGAATGATTATTCAAAAATCACATAGCTAGTGGCAACCTCAAGGATTGAAACCAGGTGTGTCTATCTCTAAATATAGTGATAAAAAGCATGCATTTTGGGTTGAACTCTGCTCTCCACATAGATCTTGGTCCAGCCCGCCCCCTAACCCTGGTGTCCTCATGTGAAATGAGGCTAATAATTGCCAGGCCTCTGAGCCCAAGCCAAGCCATCACATCCCCTGTGACTTGCACATATACGCCCAGATGGCCTGAAGTAACTGAAGAATCACAAAAGAAGTGAATATGCCCTGCCCCACCTTAACTGATGACATTCCACCACAAAAGAAGTGTAAATGGCCAGTCCTTGCCTTAAGTGATGACATTACCTTGTGAAAGTCCTTTTCCTGGCTCATCCTGGCTCAAAAAGCACCCCCACTGAGCACCTTGCGACCCCCACTCCTGCCTGCCAGAGAACAACCCCCCTTTGACTGTAATTTTCCCTTACCTACCCAAATCCTATAAATTGCCCCACCCCTATCTCCCTTTGCTGACTCTCTTTTCAGACTCAGCCCACCTGCACCCAGGTGATTAAAAGCTTTATTGCTCACACAAAGCCTGTTTGGTGGTCTCTTCACACGGACACACATGAAATTTGGTGCCGTGACTCGGATCGGGGGTCCTCCCTTGGGAGATCAATCCCCTGTCCTCCTGTTCTTTGCTCCGTGAGAAAGATCCACCTACGACCTCAGGTCCTCAGACCGACCAGCCCAACGAACATCTCACCAATTTTAAATCAGGTAAGCGGCCTCTTCTTACTCTCTTCTCCAACCTCTCTCACTGTCCCTCAACCACTTTCTCCTTTCCACTCTTCAATCTCTCCCTTCTCTTAATTTCAATTCCTTTCATTTTCTGGGAGAGACAAAGGAGACACGTTTTATCTGTGGATCCAAAACTCCAGCACCGGTCACGGACTGGGAAGGCAGCCTTCCCTTGGTGTTTAATCATTGCAGGGACGCCTGATTATTCACCCACGTTTCAAAGGTGTCAGACCATGCAGGGATGCCTGCCTTGGTCCTTCACCCTTAGCGGCAGGTCCCGCTTTTCTGGGAAAGGGGCAAGTACCCCAACCCCTTCTCTCCTTGTCTCTACCCCTTCTCTGCTTTTCTGGGGGAGGGGCAAGTACCCCTCAACCCCTTCTCCTTCACCCTTAGCGGCAAGTCCCGCTTTTCTGGGGGAGGGGCAAGTACCCTTCAACCCCTTCTCCTTCACTCTTAGTGGCAAGTCCCACTTTTCTAGAGGAGGGGCAAGTACCCCAACCTCGTATCTCTGCACCCCAATCCCTTATTTCTGTGCCCCGACCCCTTATTTCTGTGCCCCTACCCCTTATTTCCACGCCTCATCCCTTATTTCCATGCCCCATCCCTTATTTCTGTGCCCCATCCCTTATTTCCGTGCCCCAACCCCTTATCTCTGTGCCCCAACCCCTTTTTCCACTTTTCTGGAAGGTAAGAACCCCCAAACCTCTTCCCTCTGTTTCTCTACTCTCTTCTCTAGGCTTGCTTCCTTCACTATAGGCAACCTTCCACCCTCCATTCCTCCTTCTACTCCCTTGGCCTGTGTTCTCAAAAACTTAAAACCTCTTCAACTCACACCTGACATAAAACCTAAATGCCTTATTTTCTTCTGCAATGCCGCCTGACCCCAATACAAACTCAACAGCAGTTCCAAATAGCCAGAAAATGGCACTTTGACTTTTTCCATCCTACAAGATCTAAATAATTCTTGTCATAAAATAGGCAAATGGTCTGAGGTGCCTGACATCCAGGCATTCTTTTACACATCAGTCCCTTCCCAGTCTCTGTGCCCAGTGCAACTCGTCCCAAATCTTCCCTCTTTCCCTCCCGCCTGTCCCCTCAGTCCCAACACCAAGCGTCGCTGAGTCTTTCTAATCTTCCTTTTCTACAGACCCATCTGACCTCTCCCTTCCTCCCCAGGCTGCTCCTCGCCAGGCCGAGCTAGGTCCCAATTCTTCCTCAGCCTCTGCTCCTCCACCCTATAATCTTTTTATCACCTCCTCTCCTCACACCTGGTCCAGCTTACAGTTTCGTTCCGTGAGTAGCCTTCCCCCTCCTGCCCGGCAATTTACTCTTAAAAAGGTGGCTGGAGCTAAAGGCATAGTCAAGGTTAATGCTCCTTTTTCTTTATCCCAAATCAGATAGCGTTTAGGCTCTTTTTCATCAAATATAATAATCCAGCTCAGTTCATGACTTGTTTGGCAGCAACCCTGAGACACTTTACAGCCCTAGACCCTAAAAGCTCAAAAGGCCGTCTTATTCTCAAAATAATGTCAATCTGCTCCTGACATTAAATAAAACTCCAAAAATTAAATTCCGGCCCTCAAACCCCACAACAGGATTTAATTAACCTCACCTTCAAGGTGTACAATAATAGAAAAAAGTTGCAATTCCTTGCCTCCACTGTGAGACAAACCCCAGCCACATCTCCAGCACACAAGAACTTCCAAATGCCTGAAACTCAGCGGCCAGGCGTTCCTCCAGAACCTCCTCCCCCAGGAGCTTGCCACAAGTGCCAGAAATCTGACCACCAGGCCAAGGAATGCCTGCAGCCCAGGATTCCTCCTAAGCCGTGTCCCATCTGTGTGGGACCCCACTGAAAATCGGACTGTTCAACTCACCTGGCAGCCACTCCCAGAGGCCCTGGAACTCTGGCCCAAGGCTCTCTGACTGACTCCTTCCCAGATCTTCTCGGCTTCGCAGCTGAAGACTGACACTGCCCGATGGCCTCGGAAGCCCCCTAGACCATCACAGACGCAGAGCTTCGGGTAACTCTCACAGTGGAAGGCAAGCCTGTCCCCTTCTTAATCAATACGGAGGCTACCCACTCCACATTACCTTCTTTTCAAGGGCCTGTTTCCCTTGCCTCCATAACTGTTGTGGGTATTGACGGCCAGGCCTCTAAACCTCTTAAAACTCCCCAACTCTGGTGCCAACTTAGAAAATACTCTTTTAAGCACTCCTTTTTAGTTATCCCCACCTGCCCAGTTCCCTTATTAGGCTGAGACACTTTAACTAAATTATCTGCTTCCCTGACTATCCCTGGACTACAGCTATATCTCATTGCCACCCTTCTTCCCAATCCAAAGCCTCCTTTGCGTCCTCCTCTTGTATCCCCCCACCTTAACCCACAAGTATAAGATACCTCTACTCCCTCCTTGGCGACCGATCATGCACCCCTTACCATCTCATTAAAACCTAATCACCCTTACCCCACTCAACGCCAATATCCCATCCGGCAGCACGCTTTAAAAAGATTAAAGCCTGTTATCACTCGCCTGCTATAGCATGGCCTTTTAAAGCCTATAAACTCTCCTTACAATTCCCCCATTTTACCTGTCCTAAAACCAGACAAGCCTTACAAGTTAGTTCAGGATCTGTGCCTTATCAACCAAATTGTTTTGCCTATCCACCCTGTGATGCCAAACCCATATACTCTCCTATCCTCAATACCTGTCTCTACAACCCATTATTCTGTCCTAGATCTCAAACATGCTTTCTTTACTATTCCTTTGCACCCTTAATCCCAGCCTCTCTTCACTTTCACTTGGACTGACCCTGACACCCATCAAGCTCAGCAAATTACCTAGGCTGTACTGCTGCAAAGCTTCACAGACAGCCCCCATTACTTCAATCAAGCCCAAATTTCTTCCTCATCTGTTACCTATCTCGGCATAATTCTCATAAAAACACACGTGCTCTCCCTGCCAATCGTGTCCGACTGATCTCTCAAACCCAAGCACCTTCTACAAAACAACAACTCCTTTCCTTCCTAGGCATGGCTAGCATGGTCAGAATTCTTACACAAGAGCCAGGACCACACCCTGTAGCCTTTCTGTCCAAACAACTTGACCTTACTGTTTTAGCCTAGCCCTCATGTCTGCGTGCAGCGGCTGCCGCTGCTTTAATACTTTTAGAGGCCCTCAAAATCACAAGCTATGCTCAACTCACTCTCTACAGTTCTCATAACTTCCAAAATCTATTTTCTTCCCCATACCTGACGCATATACTTTCTGCTCCCCGGCTCCTTCAGCTGTACTCACTCTTTGTTGAGTCTCCCACAATTACCGTTGTTCCCGGCCCAGACTTCAATCCGGCCTCCCACATTATTCCTGATACCACACCTGACCCCCATGACTATCTCTCTGATCCACCTGACATTCACCCCATTTCCCCAAATTTCCTTCTTTCCTGTTCCTCACCCTGATCACGCTTGATTTATTGACGGCAGTTCCACCAGGCCTAATCGCCACACACCAGCAAAGGCAGGTTATACTATAGTACAAGCCACTAGCCCGCCTCTTAGAACCTCTCATTTCCTTTCCATCGTGGAAATCTATCCTCGAGGAAATAACTTCTCAGTGTTCCATCTGCTATTCTACTACTCCTCAGGGATTATTCAGGCCCCCTCCCTTCCCTACACATCAAGCTCCAGGATTTGCCCCACCCAGGACTGGCAAATTAGCTTTACTCAACATGGCCTGAGTCAGATAACTAAAATACCTCTTAGTCTAGGTAGATTCTTTCACTGGATAGGTAGAGGCCTTTCCTACAGGGTCTGAGAAGGCCACTGAGGTCATTTCTTCCGTTCTGTCAGACATAATTCCTCAGTTTAGCCTTCCCACCTCTATACAGTCTGATAACAGACGAGCCTTTATTAGTCAAATCAGCCAAGCAGTTTTTCAGGCTCTTAGTATTCAGTGAAACCTTTATATCCCTTACGGTCCTCCGTCTTCAAGAAAAGTAGAATGGACTAAAGGTCTTTTAAAAACACACCTCACCAAGCTCAGCCACCAACTTAAAAAGGACTAGACAATACTTTTACCACTTTCCCTTCTCAGAATTCAGGCCTGTCCTCGGAATGCTACAGGGTACAGCCCATTTAAGCTCCTGTATAGATGCTCCTTTTTATTAGGCCCCGGTCTCATTCCAGACACCAGACCAACTTAGACTGTGCCCCAAAAATCTTGTCATCCCTACTATCTTCTGTCTAGTCATACTCCTATTCACCGTTCTCAACTACTCATACCCTGCTCTTGTTTACACTGCCAGTTTACACTGTTTTTCCAAGCCATCACAGCTGATATCTCCTGGTGCTATCCCCAAACTGCCACTGTTAACTCTTGAAGTAAATAAATAATCTTTGCTGGCAGGACTATGCTGTATCTCCTTAGGCACTCTCTAATCAGATATCCTGAGTCGTCCCAATTCTTAGACCTTTTATACCTGTTTTTCTCCTTCTGTTATTCCATTTAGTTTCTCAATTCATCCAAAACCGTATCTAGGCCATCACCAATCATTCTATACAACAAATGTTTCTTCTAACATCCCCACAATATCACCCCTTACCACAAGACCTCCCTTCAGCTTAATCTCTCCCACTCTAGGTTCCCACGCTGCCCCTAATCCTGCTTGAAGTAGCCCTGAGAAACATCACCCATTCTCTCTCCAAACCACCCCCCAAAAATTTTTGCCGCCCCAACACTTCAATACTATTTTGTTTTATTTTTCTTATTAATAGAAGAAGGCAGGAATGTCAGGCCTCTGAGCCCAAGCCCAGCCATCACATCCCCTGTGACTTGCACATATACGCCCAGATGGCCTGAAGTAACTGAAGAATCACAAAAGAAGTGAATATGCCCTGCCCCACCTTAACTGATGACATTCCACCACAAAAGAAGTGTAAATGGCCGGTCCTTGCCTTAAGTGATGACATTACCTTGTGAAAGTCCTTTTCCTGGCTCATCCTGGCTCAAAAAGCACCCCCACTGAGCACATTGCGAGCCCCACTCCTGCCCGCCAGAGAACAACCCCCCTTTGACTGTAATTTTCCCTTACCTACCCAAATCCTATAAATGGCCCCACCCCTATCTCCCTTTGCTGACTCTCTTTTCGGACTCAGCCCACCTGCACCCAGGTGATTAAAAGCTTTATTGCTCACACAAAGCCTGTTTGGTGGTCTCTTCACAGGGACGCACATGAAAATAATAATAATCAATGATAAGATCTTCTTGTATGTAATAGGTGAGATAATTCCTGTGATGCACTCAATACAGTATCTGTTACATACGAAATGTCTAGTAAACATTAGCTACTAGGATTCTTTGTTAGGGTTGAGTGCAGTGGCTCATGCTTGTAATCCCAGCACTTTGGGAAGCTGATGTGGGGGGATCACTTGAGGCTAACAGTTCGAGACCAGCCTGGCCAACATGGCAAAACCCCGTTTCTATTAAAAATACAGAAATTAGCTGGTGTGGTCGTGTGCGCCTGTAATCCCAGATGCTCAGGAGGCTGAGGCATAAGAATCACTTGAACCCAGGAAGCAGAGGTTGCAGTGAGCTGAGATCACACTACTGCACTCCAGCCTGGGTGACAGAGTGAGACCCTGTCACAGAAAAAAGAAAAGAAAAGAAAAGAAAGAAAACATTATGGTTAACTTTCATTGCTTATCTTGAGTATTGCCCCTCTACTCAGTGCCTTTCCAGAAAGGTACAAGTAAATGTGAGAAAATGGGAAAAAAAAAAATGGTCAAGTAGAATGGATGTGTATGTGGCTGTCAGCTCACTGTAACCTCTCTGGTCTATCTTTGATCCTTAGACACAGACTTGGTGAATGGAACACAGTTGATTGAATCAGAGATGAACACTGACCTAAACAGAAACAATCAGGTTCTTCCTCTTGGGAATTTTAAATTGGGACTAGAAAAGTCTTGCATATTTCTGGAACTATTATATGTAAACCTGAAAAGAATGGGATGGTCATATGCCACCTTGTGAACTGGGAGTCAAAGGTAGACAGTCTGCATAAAGATACAGAGGAAGGCAGGAACAAGAGGAAGTTCACTGCCTCAATCCCTTCTTCCCAAGACCTAGCCATAATCCTTTCCTTGGGTTCCACTTCCATTTCCTCCTTGTGGCTTAAGCTGGCTCAAGGAGTCCCACCTATTGCAGTGGTGTCTGTAGCCTTATAACCGTGCTACTCAGCTTACATCAAGCAAGAATCCAAATTTCAAAATCTTTGAGTTACAGGCTTGTTTCTTTAGGAAAGAAGACAATGAAGCTGCATACCCAAGCACTTAGAGGAACACTTAAGCCAATCTGTGTCTGGGTTGAGGCTGTATGATAAAACTATTTCAGGTGATTTGGGCTTTAAGGACACAAAATTATATAAAATACTGCCACCTAAGATTTCAGGGGTTCCGGCCAGGTATGGTGGCCCCTGTCTGTAATCTCAGCACTTTCTGAGGCCAAGGCAGGTGGATCGCTTGAGCCCAGAGTTCAAGACCAGCCTGGGCAACATGGCAAAACCCCACCTCTACAAAATATACACAAAATGAGCCACACATGGTGGCATGTGTCTGTAGTGCCAGCTACTCAGGAAGCTAAGGTGGGAGGATCACTTGGGCCCAGGAGATTGAGGCTGCAGTGAGCCAAGAGTGTGCCACTTCACTCTGGAGTAGGTGAGAGAGTGAGACCTTGTCAAAACAAAAAAAAAAACAAACAAAACAAAAAAACAGAAAACAAAAAAACAGATTTCAGGGGTTCCAATTTGACTGCGAGCCACCAAGACATATCCATCACTTAGACCCAGTCATGCCCAATACAGGCAAGATAGCAAGGGTTGCACAGGGGAGTAAAGAGCCACCTGGGAGAAAACTCAGCCTAAGGGAAGAGGGTACTAGGCAGATAGTCTTGGTGCAAAAATAAAGCCTTAGTCATCAAAGGGAAGGAGCAAACCCTAGCTCAGTATTATATCTCTCAGCCCAGTTCCCCACGGCATCTCCTCTGAATCCTGTGGAGCAATGCAAAGGTATGTATGGAGGCAGAGGGATGTTGTGACAAAAACCAACCAAGCTAAGCTCCCTAAGACATGGCACTACCAGCAGTTTGGTAGCCATGTGAAACACAGACCATGAGAAAGAAACATTCATTCTACCCACCAGTGCATGCAACCCCAAATGACCTTAAACACCTCTTGGCGGCGGTGTCCAGTGGGAGATGGTGGTACCCAGCAAAAATAGTTCACAGGGAGCTTTGACAGAACAAGGTAGAAGCCATGTAGAAACCCAGAGGACACAGTGTCTGATACACATGCAGTAACCCCTGTGGGCTCTTGGAAATAATTGGGAAAGGGAAGACTTTAAAAAAAATACCAGAAGTACTGCAAGATCAATTAAGGGTAGTGGGAGGTGGGAGCAGTTAAGCACAGGTTAGAAATGGCAATAACTCATGAGACATAAATATACACTTGGGTAACCACAAAGATTGGGACCAGACGACCTGAAAGAATTTAATGAGGCTGAAAATTCAGGCCAGTGATGTGAAGTACAGATGGCTGCTGAATTGCCGAACTGAGAGTCATCGAACCTCTTTTCCCTTAATGCAAATGGTGACCTCAGTGATACACAAAGAAGTTTCTCCTACCCTATTTGAATACCACTGTACACATTCTCATTAGAGACTCAGGGAGCAGAGAGGATGCCAGCCAGCATCAGAGAAAAACAAGACTCCTCTTGAATTTTCTTGGTATCAAGAATGATGACTGGTATAACATTAACTCTTTGATATCTGACAGGGCATCAGGTGCCCTGGATATGCAGAAGCGTGAGGGCATCCTGTTAATCAAAGGGAAGCAGATTCTGGGGGAGGCCACTGTAGCAAAGTGGGATTTTGTGGTCACATGACTTGGAGTCAAAGAGACCAAACCTCAAATTTTGGTTGTACCATTTACCAACACTTTAAGCAGCTTAATTCACTTCTCTGGTCTCCAATTTATCTTTCTGCAAAACTGGATGTTTTGCGTGATATGTAAAGGAAATAGTTACCTGAAGCGCCTTTTACTTTTCCTGTTATTAACTGTGTTAGGTTGTAAGTCTTGTAACTCTATTGTTATTTTCCTTCCCGTTCCTTCTTTCAAAACTCAAATGCCCAGGGAACAAGACAGGTAACCTAAGGGAGCATGGGGTCAGGTGGGGACTGGGGCACACAGGACTGCACCTGCCCCACCTGAAGAGGCTTCCCTAGATCCAGCCTACTCTTGCCCATAGAAATGCTAGCCCAGGATTATCAGGTGTGATTTTTCAAGGGAAGCCAGAAATCTGGAGTTTCATGTGAAGTCTCCCATTTTAAATGTTGCACCTGATTCAAATTTTTAACAAACACATTAAAAGGCAAATCCATAACAGGCTTCAATCAGTCCATGACAGCTGGCTTGCATCTTCTGGCTCCATTTTGAGGAAGGAGATAACCATGAGATCCCTGCCTCAACCTCTCATCAGAAACCAGCTCAAACTTTCCAAGGCATTGCTGCCTCCCCGCAAGAAGACTCCCAGAGAAGGTCATATTGAAGGAGAAAGGAAGACATGACTCAGGGATGGTTTCTATGGCTCTCTAACAGGGCTCCTTATTATCCACATTGGACCAAGGGCTCTAAGGTTCCACCTGCAGCTCCCAGAAGTCCCAGGGGATGACACCTCCTCAGCTCCCATCTTCCCACACTAGGACTCAGATGCTATGAGGCTGACATCCCCTCATGCATGAGATTTCATGTTCTAGGATGTGTTCTAACCTCCTGATTCTCCTTTGGGTGGCCCCACTGCTCCAGGAAGAACTGGGCAATAGAGATACCCTTTCTGCAAAGCCAAGGGATTGTATTTACAAAGCTTGTAGGAGGATTGATTGATTTTGACATCATCTCTCAGGCTGCTGAAGCTCAAATGAAAAACAAATTATCTTGAGAATCAGGTAAAGGAGGAAATGTCACTGAGAGGGACAGCCACAAACAAATGCAGATGGAGGTCCCTCGAGAGAAACACTGGCGGTAGAGGAAGTCAACACATTACAAGAAGGTCATGGCCTCGGTGGATTAAAAGGCTATCAAATTCACAAAGAACATGATGATAGTTAAACTCTAGTCCAGCAGAGAGGGAGTGCTCTTCCAAGGGTTTTTTCTTCAAAAATCAGACAATTTTAAAATCTTCTATGGCTAGCATTGCAAGCAGAGTGAAAGGAGAAAACTCACATGTGTTAAACACCTACTGTATTCTATGTGTGATGATTTATATATATTCTTTAGCGAGACATGGCACAAGTTACTTAATCACACTGAAACTCAATTTGCAGCTATAAAATAAGAATCTATGGTACTTACCTTGTAGGCTAATTTTAGAAAATAAGACCAAGTATGGGAAAACCCTTGGTACTGTGCCTGCAAATATTAAGTATTCAGTAGACCATTGCTGTCATTATCTTCTTATCTTAATAATTCCTCACAACAGCCCAGGAATATTATGTGTATTTCATGATGAAAAGTTAAATGCAGAGAACTCGCTTGTCCAAATTGTTTGCCCAAATTCATCCAGCTGTTAACTCAAGTAGACTGGATTCAAATCTGGATTTGCTCTTGTTTTTCTTTTTTATATATATTTTTGACAATTTTTTTTTCTGGTTTAGTGATACTAGCAAGCCTGCATTCTAAAATATTCTAACCAGAGTTATTTTTCTTTTCAAGCAAAATTAAATGAGGCAATGTTTAATATCTGACTAAACCCTCCCAACACTCATGGTTCATCATCAATGCCTTCTTCTCCTCCATCCCCAACAGTTTCACCCACCTGATGTCCAGGGCCAGACCCTGTACTGCCAGTGTCCCCTCTGCCATGGATCTTGGTTTTGGGGTGTCCATTCCAGGCCAGCTCACTGTCATTTAATGCAGGGTAACTTCTTGGCTGGGTGTGCATCTCTGCTGAGTTCCTACTTCTCACTCTCTTGCTACTGTCACTCCATTCCTCAACTGTGTCCCCTATTGCCCATTTTGTTGGCTCCTCCATCCTGACATCTGATTTGGCATCTCTGTCTTGACCTTCCAACATGGCATCAAATTAGTTCTTCTGTCCCTTCCCACTCCTAGGACCTACCAGTCTGCCCTGCTCATACTTGATCTGGATGAGACTGATACCCTGCGAGACGCAACAGAATCAGCTCCTGGGATTGTGTTAGCAGAATGACGGGAGTGTGAGATCCACCACATGGCGAGGCACCCCAGGAACCTGTTTTCTTCTTGAAGAGCAACCGAGAACTATTTCCAAGTTATCCTTCACTTTGAGGTCTAAACCATACATTTGTCAATTTTAATACTAGAGTCTAGCATTTATTTAATAATAGCCTACTTTGTGAAAGAAAGGCAGATAAAATGAAAAACAAATCTCAGTATTTAGACTGACAACCTGATTTCAGAAATACTAAGCAGTGGTTTTGTGTGTGCGTGTGTGTGTGTGTGTGTGTGTGTGTGTGTGTGTGTTTTAAGGGAGCAGTGTTGGCAATGTATGTGTTAGGATAAAGAAAGTGTATTGTTACTACAGTTTGATGAAATTTACGTTTTACTCAGGGTCAATCTTAAAGCAAAGGTTTATTTATGAGTGAATGAAAGCAAAGTCTCTGTCTATTACTCATTAACAGAATGGCAGGTTAGGTCCTGCAAGAATTGCAGAGGACGCAGACCTGAGTAAGCCACAGTGACGCCTTCCTGGACTCACTGTCCATAGGAGAAGATAAACTTGCATATGGAAAGTGTCATCATAATGTGTTAAGAAGGGGCCTGAGCCCTTAACCCTGCCTGAAGTCTCAGGGATGCTTTCTTCAAGGCACTACCACTTGAAGTAGCTATTGAAGGATAATAAATATGATGACATTTACTGAAGACTTATTAAGTGGTAGGCACTGCCATAAGTGCTTTCCACCATTACCATTTGATCCTAACAACTGTTTAATGAGATGAGAATTATCACTATGCCTATTTCCAGATGAGGAAACTGAGGCACAGAGAGCTTAAGTAACATGCCCAAAGTCACTCAGCTAGGAAGTAGCAGAGGCAGGACACAAACATAGGAAGTCTGAGGATTTGAAATTGATCAGAAAGGGAAAGGAGTGAATACAACATGAGCAAAGACACAAAAGAGTAAAGCAACACTGGTGTGAGGGGAACTGTGAGAGTTACACAGTAGACACTGTGGCCATGCCCGCATCCCTTAGCTGTGTTCCAGAAAACTCTTTTTGCACTCTTGACCTGAAGGCTTTTCCTTAAACCAAGGCAGGCTGTTCAGCCTTTGCATGGCAGGCTAGATGTGCTGGTAATTAGCACATTAGCACATTACGGTGTGCTGATGGGATTTCATGTATAAACACCCGAGCACCCTTGATCTAAAGGCAGATAACTCTGAAGCATGGGTTTTAACGCTGTTTCTCAGCATTGCCCTTTGGGATTAAGCCCGGTGACAGCTGGCTTGATAACATACCTTATATCAGCCACCTCCCTTCCTGATCTTTCCTGCACTTTCCAAATATAAACCTCTTAAACTTGAACCCTTGTCCCTGGGTCAGCTTTTGGAGGAACACAAGCTAACACAAATGTATTATACCGTTCCAAAAATATAAAGTAGGAAACTGAAGAGGCATAGCAAAGTCAATATAGCCCAAAGTCTGTCATCAATCCACAGACAGATACTTGTTACCTGCCCAGGACAGTGTATGTTTAGGAATGCAGAGTATGTATAACAATATGTATGATATCACTTCAGGAAGTCTTTAGGAGATTATCTGTGTCCCATCTCCATTTTACATGATCTACCTGAGACCTCGAGGTGGACATGGTTTGTCCAGGGTCTCTTAGCTAGTTAGTTGTAAAGCCCAGATTATTGTTTCCTATACACTAATAATGAGAGTCCTATTCACCAAGGCTAATTAGAGAGACTTTTAGAATAATCTTTGCACCAACTCCACCAACTTTATCAAATGCATGAAGACTACGATCTTGAGAAATGCATTTTCAGGCTCTTTCTCTAAAACCAGCATATGCTAACCAACCCACCAGAGTTGGCCGGGGCTCGCAGTGCAGAGAAACAGATAACTATGCTCCTGTTTGCAAATAAACTTCTGTATTGATTCACTAGCCACTTGGTCAACCTAGTCAGTTCACTTCTAGAAAGTGATGATAGAAAAAGAACACAGAGACGTACAAGTACGTGCACAATACAGCACTGTGTGAAAGAGCAAAACAATAGAAACCACCTGAGTACCCATCAGTGGAGCAGTACCCAATGTCACAAATAAAATAAGGACACTCTAGGAAGTGTCCTTATTATTTCACATAGTATAGTGTCCACACTATACTATGTGAAAAAAAAAGCAAGCTGTAACTGCATATATATAGTACAATCCCCTTTTTGCTTAAAAAAGAAAAGCTTATGTGTAGAGAGATTTTTGCTTTATAAGCACAAGAACATTCTGGAAAGAGACTTAGAAAACGGTCAACAGTTTGTAGTGGTATAATTTTTGGAATATTAACTTGTGTTTGTCCTCCCAGTGTTTCTTCCCCTCCTCCCTTGTAAGCAGATGGTCAGGGCTTTTTGTGGCCTCCTGCCACAAGGGAGATGTTTGTCATAGGGCCAGAAGCCAAAGTTGTCTGCAAGACACTTCCGATTCTGGTACTGAATTTTGTAAAACCTAAACCCATTGAGGAGATTATGCTTGGTGTCCTGGAGGAACTGGAGAGAGAAGGGAAGGTGTTTGGAGTGTGAATGGAATCCTAGTCTGAATTCTGGAGCACTCTGATGAGGAGGAAGACCCTAGGGAGGCTGGGCTAGGGAGCTGGGAATTCCAAAGCCTCACCAAAGATTCTCCTGATTTGAAAAGCGGCAGCAGAGAAGCCAGAACCGGAAGACACCTTGTAGTCTGAGACCATGGACACCTCAGCAGTTAATATTGTAGAGTAAGTTCAATGGCTGAAGAGATCTTATTAGGGTTTGGTGCTACACAAAACCCTGAGACCCTTGTCCATCCCTGAGGGTGACAATAATATCTGAGACCAAATTCCTAATTACCTAATATGATAAAGAGAGTTGCTATAGGCTTAGAATTAATTTTATGTAAAAAGTAAAGTGGTATTTTTTTTTTGCATGTCTGAGTTTGTGGAATAAGATTCATATTTACTACAAGTAATGGAATTGGAGATTCAGAGGGGAGAAAGTCACTTATCACATTAGTGTAATTTTCTGATGGTAGGATTATGGAGAGTTTTAGGTTTTCCCTTTTTTTCCCCAACTTCTCTCCCCTCAGTATTTTAAAAATAACATTGTGTGGGTTGTTTTTTTTTGTTTTTGATTGTTTTTTGTTTTTCAAACAGGTCTCACTCCTATCCATGTAGGCTAGAGTGCAGTAGTGCAATCTTGGCTCACTGCAGCCTCGACTTCCTGAGCTCAGGTGATCTTCCCACCTCAGTCTCCTGAGTAGCTGGGACTCCAGGTGTGTGCCACCATGCCTGGCTAAATTTTTGTATTTTTATTAGATACAGGGTCTCACCATGTTGCCCAGACTGGTCTTGAACTCCTGGGCCTGCCCACCTCAGCCTCCCAAAGTGCTAGAATTACAGGCATGTGCCACCATATCCAGCCTAATAACATTGTTTTTAATGTTCATTAAGTCATCCCACCCTCTCAGTCTTGCAGAAGCCTCTCAAGAGGGACAGAATCAGTTGCAAAGTACCATTTCTGACCCTGAGACATGGATATTATTTGTTCATTTAAATGTCACCTGAAAAACCCACTCACTCAAATGGTCTGTGAAGCTTGCAAAAACAGGAATGCTTACCCTCCTGGGTCCTGAATTTTTGGTTCTCTTGGACTCTTTGAAATTCTTCTTTCTCAGAAAGGAGCCCTCTTTCTATTTCCCCTCAAAGTTGTGACTTGACCCTCACATCCCTTTCTTCTCCAGGGCCCCTTGATAAGATTCTTTTAAAATTTCTTTGGAGGGCATCCCTTTTAGGAAGAGCAAATGCCTTTTAGGATAGATATGAAAGACAGAGGATATGGTGATAGCTGGGGACAGCTGCACAGTCTGAAGTGGACTCTGTTGTAGAGTACTACAGAAAAGATGACTCAGTGTTTAAAAAATGCAATAATTCTAAGCCCCCTGCGTGGAAAAAAAAGAAGAGGCTCTTTTCTACACATCAGTTCTTGGGTCCTACCAATCCATCCAGTCTTAGTACTCACTGCTCTCTAACACAGTCTCCAGACTCAGACTCTCAGGCTCTCTCCCTCCATTCTCCCCCTCAAAAGCACAGACCCCCATCTCCTGGTCTTTGTACAAGCTGCTTCCCCTTCCTGATGGACCACCTGCATTGCACTTCTCATAGCCTAGTCCTATTTATCTCTCCATGATTCTACTTCCTCCTGGCTATAGTCACTTTCTCTGAATCCAGATGTTACATATACACATGTGTACTAGTCGAGAGGGAGAGGAGAGAGAGAGGAGATTTTAGGGAATTGGCTTATTCAGTTGTGGGGGCCAGCCAGTCCAAAATCTGTAGGGCAAGCTGGTGGTCTGAAAATTCAGATGAGTTGATGTTTCAGTCAGTGTTGAGTCCACAATCTGCAGGTCAGGCCAGGCTGGAAATTCTAGTAGGGTTTCTATGCTGCAGTTTTGAGGCCAATTTCTTTTTTCTTCAGGAAACCTTAGTCTTTGCTCCTAAGGCCTTCAATTGATTGGAGTAGACCCACCCATAATATATTAAGTAATCGGCTGTACTCAAAATTTACTGACTTAAATCAGTAACAGAGAACAGAATGACCTCATAAGCTTAGGCAGAGATACATTGATTGAAAGTCTTTATATCTGCACAGTTCCTGTGACTGTGAACTTAACCATCCAGGGACAGAAAATGTGGATTTCTCATTCTTGCTGCTACAGCCTCTAGGATTCTTGATGTAGAAATGGCGTTTTCATTGGGGATGAGTTCAACAAGGGGACAGGAAGCAACTCTCTGCTAAGCCCCGAGTCATCAACTGTCATAAAGTGCCCATAGGAGCAGACTGTTAAAAGTTGTGATCGAAATGAAATTCATGATTTTTCTCTGGATTTCTTTAAGCCATGCTAAACATAACGGCTTAAATGGTTGGTCAAATAGTTGATGAAATGCTAATTGGGTCATCCTCTCTCCTCTCTGAACCCCTGCCTTGAGAAACAGACAGCAGACAGACACCACACTCACACACGTGCACACACACACACACACACACACACACACGCACACACACACACTCTGATATGAATGAATCTTTGCCCCAATTAACTGAAGGCTGACCAATTAACTTAAACTCAAGTCTGACATATTAATCTTAGAATATATCTTCATGAAAGCTCCTGAGGATCTGAGTCAGAGAAAAGAAGGATGCCAAAAGGGGAAGCAAAAGGGACAAACGTGTCTGTCTCACAGCTTTGCCTCTGCCAGCCTCTAGAGTTAACCACAATAAATAGCACTTAAAAAAGGGTCCCCACTGCAGTTGACAGTGACCATAAGACATAGCCCTGCTTATAGATAGAATATATCTGGTATGGTAGGGTTGAAACATCTCTTGGCTGTTGTTTTTTTCCCTGAAACCTGTCATCTCCGAGAGGGATGGTATATGTAATATTTTAATATTTAATATAAAACACACACAAGTAGTATTTCATCTGCCTGTATCATGTTCCTAGAAGTATATTTAGAATTTTAAGCTGTTCCAACTATTATACATTTTGCCAAATTTTAGTCATTGAGGGAGTTGTGTTTAAACATCTGTTGACTGCAGATGTTAAGCAGTGTGAAACATTCTTTTAAGATGCCAAAATGCAATTAAAATCATAATATTTTTCCTAGTAACAAATCATGCTAATCAGTGAAAATTTAGAAAGATAAAACTCAATGAACAATGAATGGTAATAATTCTCTAAATAATCAGCTGTGGCTCATGGCAGGGGAGAACTAACTTTTAACTAAATTATGTTAAATCAATGCCAATTTTCTCAGCTCCTGAAAAGTGTTCTCTTTTTTTCTTCAAGCCAGGCAATGGTCAGGTGGAGTAAAACATAAGGAAGAACATCTTTTTGGTTCAAAGCATGAAAAAAATTGGGTAACACACCTTCCTTACATCTAGCTGGGCCATTGAACCAGAATATGCCAATGTTTAAAACACTGAAATGCCAGCTTTTCTCTTAAAGGACAGCATGGAGGTGTCTGATTTCTGCTTGGGCTGAGGATTCAGGAGAAGATGTGTGGAACACAGCCTGGACATGCCCCAACCTGGTTGATGAATTCCACCCCAAGTAGTGGAAGAAACACACCTACAACATGAGCAGAGAAGATTTTTCTTCTGTACTTTCCAGGACTTGAAGCTGCTTTGTTTTTTGGTCGCTGGGTGGGGAAGGAGGAACAATAGTATAGCTTCCAGAAGAGAGAAGAGAGATATCTCTTGAGTGTGAATTAAGCAGTACCAAGAGGCCTCAAGCTAGCTCTCTCTCCTGCTTTAAATTCTACTGTTAAGAGTTTTTCTTTAAGTTTAAAACCTTGAAAGCTCCATGATGCTCCTGAGTAGAACAATAAAGCCATTAGTAGTCAATGGCCGTCTTTAATATTTTTCTTCCATTTCAATTTTAGTTCTAATTTTATCTGACTCCTAAAAATATGTTTCATATTCTCATGAGGGCTGGGCCCATATGTGTAAATGGTTGAAACATCTTACTTTGTTGACTGAACTAGTCTAAATAGTCAGTCAAATTTTTTTTTTAGGCAAAAGTGAATTTCATCAAATTGGTTGGCCCACAATTTCTTAAATTCATCATTGATTGATTATCTGTGATGTGCCAATCCCTGTGCAAGTTCCTAGGGCAACAGAAGTAAAAATCCATAATCTCTGTTTCCAGGACTCTATCAGTTTGATAGGGACACAGGCACATAAGCAGACAATCATAATGCAGTGGTAGTAGGGATATGCCACTCTCATCCAGGCAGTGTATTGATGACCATGTCCTTGAGTTCCCAAGTACATTGAAAAAGGTGTAATAAGGAGATGCTAAATTAGCAGGTAGTACTTATATGAAGTTCTACTGTGTCTACTCCTGTGCCAGGTGTTTCGGTTGGGAATGAGTATTGGGTAAGAGGAGAATAGAAGATGGAAAGGCAGAAAACACCAACTCAGCTGATATGGTTGGGATGTTTGTCTCCTCTAAACCTCACATTGAAATGTAATCCCCAGTGTTAGAGGTGGGGCCTAGTGAAAGGTATTGGATGAGGGGAGTGGATCCTTCATGAATGGCTTAGTGTCATCCCCTTGGTGATGAGTGAGTTCTCGTTCTGTTAGTTTACACAAGATCTGGTTACTTAAAAGGGTGTGGAACCTCCCCCTCCTCTCTCTTACTCCCTCTCACCATGTGACATGTTGGCTCCCCTTCCCCCTCATCATGACTGTAAGCTTCCTGAAGCCCTTTCCAGAAGCAGAAACCGGCACCATGCTTCATGTACAGTCTGCAGAACCGTGAGCCAATTAAACCTCTTTCCTTCATAAAGCACACAGCTTCAGATATCTCTTTGTAACAAAGCAAAAACTGACTAACACATCACCCATTAAAGAGTTTACAATTTATTTAGAGGAAATAAGATGGAAGTGTAGGGAGTTATTAGAAAGCAAGACAACCTACAAATCTGTAAAGTATAAGCATCAAACTTTGTGAACAAAGAGTATGATGTAGGTATTGAGAAAAGAAAAAGTGGGATATAGGGTGGAACAGTCTCAGAAAAGTCCTCCCAAAGGACACAGGTAAGAGAAAGACATGGAAGAACTGGTCCAACTTACATTGGTAGAATCAGAGGGCTTAGGTCTTTTTTTTTTTTTTTTCTTTTTTTTTTTGAGACAGTTTCACTCTTGCTGCCCAGGCTGGAGTGCAATGGCACAATCTTGGCTCACTGCAACCTCTGCCTCCCGGGTTCAAGTGATTCTCCTGCCTCGCCTCCCAAGTAGCTGGGATTACAGGCGCCCGCAACTACGCCTGGCTAATTTTCGTATTTTTAGTAGAGATGGGGTTTCACCACGTTGGCCAGGGTGCTCTTGAACTCCTGACATCAGGTGATCTGCCCTCCTTGGCCTCCCAAAGTGCTGGGACTACAGGCATGAGCCACTGTGCCTGGCTGGGCCTAGGTCTTCTAAGCAGTGGAAATGGCAGAGGCAAGTGTCCAGAGCTGGGAATAAGGGGATGTTATGTGGGTATCATAGGGATGGGGGCAGGGGACTTCACAATAAGACACCAGCCAGTCTAAAGTTGAGTTTGTGTAGGATTTTTTACTCATATATTATTGAGGGCCATGCATTGAACTACATATTATGGATAAATAATTAATACATTCCTGCCATCTTGAAGTTTATAATCTAGTCCTACAAAGAAACTTATCAGAGAGGTTTCTCTGAGGCTTAGTGTGTTGCGGTCTATGCCTTTTCATTTCATCCTTCAAATACTGTCTACTCAATGAAATTTACCTGGCCTGTTCAGCCAAAATAATTTATAAAGGCAATAATAGCTAACATTATTAACACTCTCCTAGACCAGTGTACTGTACTAACTACTTTGCATGCCTTATTCATAATAAGTTAAGGTCTCTTATATTTTTCAGTGTACTATGCACCATGTTATGGTCTTTACAAAGATTACATAGTGTAATCTTTACACTAAACTTTGCAAGGGTGTACTACTATTATCCCCATTGTCTCTATGAGAAAGCTGAGGCTCTGCAAGGTTAAATGATTTCCCCAAGGTTCTCTTAAACTTCGTAGGGGAAGATGGAGGATGCTTAGAGAGTGGTATGAACAACATTGTGTGCCTCCTGATGTGATACAATGTGCAGCACATAGCACCGCTTTTGAAGTACTGCATGCTTGCCAAAAGAAAAATTGAACATAAACTTTCAAGTTTATTGAAAATGGAGGGTCCAGGAGTAGTGACTCATGTCTATAATCCCAGAACTTTGGGAGGCCAAGCCAGGCTGATCACTTGGGCCAGGAGTTCAAGAGCAGCCTAGCCAACATGGTGAAACCCTGTCTCTACTAAAAATATAAAAATTAGCTGGGCATGGTGGCTCATGCCTGTAATCCCAGCTACTTGGGAGGCTGAGACATGAGAATCACTTGAGCCTGGGAGGTGGAGGCTGCAGTGAGCTGAGATCACGCCATTGCACTCCAGCCTGGGCAACAGAGCAAGACTCTATCTCAGAAAAGAAAAAAAAATGAGAAAAGAAAATGGAGGGATAAAGGATTAAGATAAATGATGCCACAAAGAAGTAAACAGAAAAATTTAGAATTTTGGAGTGCAGGGACTGCAGGACAACTGACCAAATTTCTTCAACATGTCAAATATATGTGTGTTTGTGTGTGTTTATTCTATAAATATAATAAAAATATTTTTATATAAAAGTATATTATATATAAAAGAAAATTTGGATTGGATTAATGTAATGTTTACAGTTATGGTAATGGCTATGTTAATGTAATGTAATGTTAGGCCTTGTTTAGTTCCTGATTTGAACGAACTAATTTTTAAAAAGGCATTTTTTTAATAAGTAGGAAAATTTGAATATGGACTGGTTATTGGAGGGTACAGGGAAATATTCTCAATTTTCTTGGGTGTGATCATGGCACTGTAGTTATGGGAGAAAATGCTAATATTTTTTAGAGATATGCACAAATGTGTTGGGAAGTCACATCAAATGTGGGATTTGCTTAAAAATATTTAGCAACAATAACTACAACAGAAAAGAATAAGTGATGCAAACATGATGAATGCTTGCTAATTGTTAAAGCTGGGTGATGACTACATAAAGGATCATTGTATTAGTCTCTCAATCTTCCTGTGTTTGAAATTGTTTTAAATAAAGATTCATTTAAAATGCATGGCTTAAAATAGCCAATGAGGCTGAAAACAGATTCTCTTGTACCACTGAGCCCAGTTCTATGCACACAGTAGGTGCTTAATAGGTGTATTATGAATTACTAGAATTGGAGCATGGAAAACAGCTACAGGATGAATGAAAATCACCCTGTTCTCCTAAACATACAATCACAGCAGTGTGGGCTCCAGACAGAAAACCTCTCTTCTTTTTAAGTATGTTTATGCTGCATGTTGCTTTTTTTTTTTTTTTTTTTTTTGGTGGAATCTTCTCATCTCTTTGGCTTCAAGCCTTCCTTTACTGTTAATCTTCATCAAAATTCACATAGATAAAATTTTAAATGTGAGGTAGAAGGGCCTTTGCAGTGTGGTTCACCTAGTAAGTATAAATTGCTTTACTACAGAGAGCTTTGAATACAGGCTGACATTGGCCTTGTCTCCGAAAATAGCAAACTGCAGCCACAACTTAAACACAGACATGATGAAATCAATGTTTTAAGGAGATCAGTTTCCAGCTTCTCTGCTCAACATACCTCCAAAGCTGCCTTTCACAAAAGCATTTCTCTTGTATCAGGATATAGAACCACTCCCAAACCGTGATTGCAGAGGAATGAGGGCTCCCACAGGCCGAAAGACACTACCAGAACTAATCTATTGCTTTGAACATGACCAGGCTGTTTTTCCATATAAAATCCATGAGGGATATAAAAAATGACGTCAGCAAACATTCTTCCGGAAACTGATTTATTAGACCAAATATGAAATTACTGGTGCTTTTCCAAGGGGAAAGAAGATTGAAAGCTCCTGCATATAGCCTGTTTATATTAAGATATTTGTGTCTCAATTCCAGAAGCTGGCAATTGAACTCCCAGAAATAAACTGGCACCAATTCCCATGAATGAAATGACTATGAATCATTTCATTTTTGAAAATTAAACAAAGATGTGACTTAACAGGTGATGAGTTGGGTGGATGTGCAATATTTCCACAAACACTCAGCCATAATACGTGCTCATATTATTGGTATGATTCGGAACCCTTTAAACATTTCTATATCTGAGTCTTATGAGAGAGAAGAAACCCAGCCTGTCTGTTTAAACAAGCTTAGCAAATTATTTTGGCAGAAGTCTGTCTTTCAGTGTTTCCGATGAGGTGATGTGTAGTTTTAGGGCATGGAATGTCTCACATAGTCAGGACATCCTATTAGAAACAAGTGTCTGCTTGTGAATTGTCCCCTCACCTGAATGAGAAATGAGGAGAGAACCAGAATTAACAATCAATCTTTTTTTTTTCTTGTAGCGATGGAATCTCACTATGTTGTCCAGGCTGGTCTCAAACTCTTGGCCTCAAGCAATTCTTCCACCTCAGCCTCCCAATGTGCTGGAATTACAAGCATGAGCCACTGCGCTTGGCTAACAGTCCCTTCTTGACTCTCTTCTTTTACAAATCCAGAAGCCCATTTATCCATCACTTTGAGCATATAAAGCTGTGCTGTGATATACACTAATCATTAGCTACATGCGACTATGTAACCTTAAGTTAATTAAATTAAATTTAAAATTCAGGTTCTCAGTGCACTAATCACATTTCAAGTGTTCAATAATCACATGTCGCTAGTGCTACCATATTGAACAGCCAAGATTTAGAACATTTTCATTGCTCCAAAGAGAAGTGGGCTATTGACATAATCCCTATTTCTTCATTTTTTGAAGTCAGAAGAGAAGTATTTGTCCTATATTTCTCACAGAAAGATATCATAGGATCAGTAAGAATACACCTGGAATTAGTTTCTCTAAAACTCATTCTGAAACTCTGTAGCCTCAGTTTAAATAGTATAAAATTTTGACTCAATAAATCTTGAAATATTCAGTAAGAATGGCCAAACAGAAAAAATTCTGGAGTCTACTTGAATAGCTAATTGGATTTTTGATATTTGGTATAAAATAGCATTTAATTAGATCTCATTTGAAATGAACAGAGTGCATTATATGCATGTATATATTTGGAATACTGATTGGAAAAGGCCAGGCATGATGAAGACATGTTCGTGTAATACTTATCTTTTATCCTGTGTCTTGTCCTTAAGGAAAAGAAGACATCAAACAGGACACAAAGTAGCAAATGGGAGTTTCTTCTTAAATGTTATGTGAATGACTCACTTGTTAGGCAAGTGAGATGATCAAGGACGGGAGGAGAAGACAGCAGAAGAGCTGGAAGTAAAGTCACCTCCAAAGCTCTAGAGTTGGTAGTTCACGTCTATTTCCAGGAAGACTTCTAAATCTAATGAAATGATTTGAATGCAATGCTTTATCCAAAAATAAAAGCAATGTTAGATTATGCAGCACCTGTTAGCCAGTGAAGATTAATGAAAAAAAGCACTGCTGTGGAGAAAAAGTATCCACCATTATTTATTCAAAAAAAGAATGGAGCATCCACCAGTACTAATTATCGTGTTAGGTGTTTAGAGTATGTTAAGAGTAATAAGCATTCAAGAGATAATAGAATGGATAATTAATTACAACTGAAATAAATATTACAAAGGAAAAGTAAAGGGTCCCATAAAAGCACATAACAGGAGGACCAAAGCTTTTGAGAGTCAGAGGTCTTTCTAAAGAAATGACATTCAAGGAGACACCTAAAAGAGGAGTAGAGTTTATTCAGGTGAAGAAGTGGAGAAAGAGCATTTTGGGTGGAGGATATGTGTATGGAATTTCTAAAACAGGAAACAGCATTAGGCATTTGTTGTGTGGTAAGGCATAGCAAGCAAGAAAAAGGAGAATGTGACACAAGACTGGGAGGTAGGTGGACATCTGCTCATGCAGAACCTTATAGACCACGATCAGTGTATAAACTAATGAATGAAACATGCCTTCATATAAATATTGCTAGTTTGTGTTTTTATGAACAGTTATAATTCACAGAAAAAGACATAAGTATGCAGAAATATATGGTATAGAATGTTACTTAGTTATCCAAATCTATGAAAAGAAAGATTTCCAGATGGAAAGAGACAGTGTTTTCAAAGTTGTGGAGGTAAGAAAGAATATGGTGTTTTCTAGAAATAGTAAGGGGAAGGACAAGAGAAAAAGTTAAATTGTAGATGAGGCCAGATTGTCAAAATTTTCAAATGACAGGATAGGGTGAATGAACATCACCTGTTATGCAGCCAGGACTCAGACAACTTTCAGTAAAGAAGGGGCAAAGTGAGAGCTGTTTTAGGATAATAGATCAAGTGGTGGTGAATGGTTGGGGAGGGAAAAATTTAAATGGATATGAGAGTTTGGGTTTGATGTTGTGGCCAAAAGCAAGTTATGTTAGATTCTTAAAGTGGTCATAAAACCTTAATGAGGAAAATAATTCAGTAGGTAGGTGGAATAAAACTGTCACAAAAATGAAGTAAGGAAGAGTTAAGAGTGGCAGTTGGGAGGGTGGGGGTACTGGGGGGTGGATATAAAAGCCAGTGAGAATGAGTGGCTTCCCAGCCTTCATTTTCCTCTTCCCCTACTAACAGCAGCCAAATTTCCCTTTGGAGACCTACCCACCCAACTCAGCTTCATGGTAATTAGTATTGAGTAATGAATTTGGTATTTAGTAGTTAGATATTTAGAAATTGGTTCAGGAATTTACAGGTGACCCTATTTGGGCAAATAAGAAACAGACATTTGCTGAGGTTTCTCTAGGAAAGAAGTTTCTTCATGGTTTCCCAGGACCTATCAGGGGCGATGGTCTTTCTCCAGCTGAAGAGAGGAAGGTAAGGATGTGGAGACTGTAATAGCTGCAGCTTTTTATACAAGGATGAGGAAGCAGAATGCGAATGAGCCTATCAAAGCGGGGAGAGTAGAGGGAAAGGAATCACAGAGAAGTTGTTTCAATACCCTGATGACACTGAGAATCTCTGACTCAACCTCTGTGCTCCAGTTATAACTCAATACATTTCCCTTTTTCATACAGGTCAGTTTGTGCTGTAGCTTGATGCCACTACAATATTAATGACACAGGGAGAACAGATTAAAATGAGTTAATCTTTAAAAATAGAAAACCGATGAGAAATTATTGCCAGGCAGGATTAACTTTGTCCCAAATATTTGATAATATGAGAATTGGCTTAATAATCAAAAGTAGAAGGAAGAAATAAAATGAAAAAGATTATCATCTATAAATGATACAGCAGCACATGGTATTAAAACCAAAGATCTCACGTCTGGCCATGTGCTGCTGCTTTTTTTTTCCCCCAGAGTTGTTGCTTGCAATAAAGAACCATGACTGAAAAACGCTCCCTGAAAAGTGAAATCCAAAAATTTAAAGAAGAATATTTTAAACCACTGGGAATTGCTATTAACATTTAGGAATCTATCTTTCCAGCCATTTTTGTACATATGCAAATTTATTTTTAAAAGAATGGGATCCTGATGCCTACCCTGTATTACAATCTGAGTTTTTTACATAGCAATTTATAATAGACACATTTCCATGTCAATCAATGAAGATTTATATTATCTTCTTACCAGCAGTTTCACATTTATGTCTTTATAAAGAATATCGGCAGAGTGGTAAAGGGAAGGGGTTTTAAAAGCCAAAGCGCATGCTCAGATACTGGCTCTGCCTCTTGTCTCTCAAATACTCTGTGGTTCCTCATTTCTGTTTTGCAGCTTAAATGAAAAGTTACCTGTACAGTCCTGAGCACAATGCCTGGCACAGGGAATAAGGGTTACTATCATCATTTTTTAAATTACTAATATAAGGTATGCTGCAGGGGACCAAAGTGAGGAGATATAAAAGATATGTATGAGGTATGGAGATGGAATAGAATTGGGCCCTATCTACACAATACACAGTACATGACAGAAAAAAAAATCAGTAAGAGAAGCAACAAGAAATAACCAGAAATGACCATATTTTTTCATATAAAAATTACGTTACTGATTTGGGGGTCAAATAATTTTTAGAGCATAACTGATATAAAATTTGAGTGATGAGATTATTTAAACAAATGAACCTGTATGCCCCCCTATTTGATTTCTTCCCACTTTCTACAAATTAAAATGAACAGAAACATGAGTGGAGTTTATGGTCTTTATGAAGAAGTGATTTTCTCTGTGTCCTTAGGCAAAATGCCTTCAATTGACACAGGCTCCATCTGTACTCCAGGCAAAACTGCACGTTCTTCCTTTTTTAAATGTGTGTTTTTAAAATACCATTTGGCACCTACCCTACAAAGCTTAAAAATTAGATTTTGAAAAAAAAAATCACCCAAAATGTTGCCTCTCATATAGAGGCAAGCAAATTGGATTCATGTAAATGATCCTTAAGAAATGTCTTTAAGTCTGTATTCCAACAATCGCATTTTTTAAAATACACATTGATTTGCTTTTAAAATTTAGCCTCCTCATTTTTTTCTCCTGTATTAGAAAAGAATCTGCATTATGCAAGTATATCTTGCATTGAGAAACTTAGTAAATAAAAACTCTTATTTGCATCATAGAAAAATTAGGGAGTCATTATTTACCCTTTAAGATGATTTTCAAAAATAATTCAAAGTAAAATCCCTTTAAAGAGAACACTTGCCAGGGGAACTAAAAATATGATTTTAATGTAATACAACTTTTCTGAAACTCATCTACTATGTATAGTAACAAAACAATGAACATGAAAAAGTTGATTATATATCCTCCATTATATTCCCAACAGTATATGTATTTCTGTAAATATTTTGAGCTAAAAGAGATGGAAGTATCTCTAGCATGGACAGCCCTGGTGATTCAAGAAGCTGACCACATCCAGTGCAGACTGGTAAGACAGTAATAATAGGGGTTGGCCTTGCTTTGGAAGATTTTATACTTTGTATTAGTGTTCTTTTCCCTATCACATATTGAGTATTTACATTCTAAAACTTCCATTCTGTGAATTATTCAATAAATAGTGTTGTTTTGTGTTTACTGGATGACTTTGAAAAAATAAAGCAGGATTCCCTACCATACCCTTTACTATATCAAAATTAAGTCTGTATGGATCAAAGATGTGAGTGTAAAAAACATTAGTCTCCAAAGGCACTGATGAAATAAACAAACCAACCCCCAAAACAAAAAATAAATAAATAAACAAAAAAGATACCATAGACTTCTATTTCAGCAACGTGAAAACGTGAAAGACTAGGTTTTTGCAGACTTCCTCATGGTTCAGAACATCTACAAATTTGAATTAAATTAAAAAAAAATTAATGCATGAATGAGCTTTCAGGAGATTAAAGGGAATTCCCAAAGCCCTTGAGGCCAGAATCAACAATAAGGAGAAATAATCTAGTACTAAAATTCCTTACTCCTGGTAGCAAAAAGCCTTGGTTTTATTGGGGCAGACATGAGATGTGAGGGAATAAAGCAGAATGAGAAGGTAAAGCAGAGATTCTAGAATAAAGTTTCCCACAACCCAAAGGTTGACATCCTCCTTAGATGATTAATGAACTTGCAATGAGAAGAAAGTCATGGCCTGTCTCAGACTTGAGACAGTTGGAGCTGGAAAGGAGGGAGTATGGGAGGAAGGATCTCTCCTCTCACCAAATCCCTAAGCACAGGCTCCCATTTACACAAGTTGGGAGGATAAAATTAACATGACTTGTACAACCTGCCCTTTCCACTTCCCAAAAAAGCCTCTAGTCAAGATTTAGATGGAAATGATAAAATGTAGTTATTGGACTAAATAAAATTATATTTAAATAATGACCAACCATATAAGGGAAAATGAAATTGTATTTTCCTACCTTATACTATATGCAAAATATCAATTCTTGATGGTTTGATGACCTCTGAGAGAGACAAAGTTTTCAAAACTTTAATAAAAAATAAAGAAGTATATATTTTTAACCTTGATCTAGAAGAGAATTTCTTAAACAAGGTATAAAATGTGCAAACCAAAAAGGGAAAGGTTGATAGATTTGAAAATTAAAATTAAGAGCTGTTCATAAAAAGCAAAATATACAACGTGGAAAATGGCAATCTCTACATGGAGACTCTGATGAGCTTAGAAGGGAGCCTTCCAACGACTACTATAGAGCCCTTTCTTCAGTTCAATATGGGTCTCTTAACCTGTATTCTTCAGATAGAGACATTCATTTGGTTATAATGCCACTATGCTCAGGCCATCTTATCTAAAATATCATCGCTAGAGTTGCTATAAACACAGCATAAATTAAATTTCTGTGCAGCATTATATTGATCTAGTTTGACAATATCCTTTAGGAAATTCTTTTACTTGTTCACTCAATTGCTTATTCATTCATTCATTCATTCATACTAATTAGTAAACATTCATTAGGCATTTACTCTATGCCTAGCACTGCACTAACTCCTGAACATCCTCAAAAGAATCAGATCAGATTTTTAAAATTTATTCATTCCTTCATTCAACAACTATCTATTGAGCAACTACAATATACCAGGTACTGTTCTAAACACTGAAATACAGCAGGGAAATAAAGGGGAAATGTTCCTGTCCTTATGGAGTTTACCCTCTAGTGATATCTATCAATATCACATTAACATTAACATCTAAAGCTCTCTACACCCACCCCTTAGCTGTTGACTCAAGAATTCCAATCCCTTGCAAAAACTCCCCCACCGTCAATGTATTTCTGGTGGCCACCAAAGAAGTATCATTCATTCCCATAAATCAGGGCAGGCTGTCAGTTACCACTTGATTATGTCATTTAATTCTATGAGACATTCTATGTGGTCTTTAACTTTAAAATATATCAGCATAGACAGTAGTTTGTCTGTGAGAGAGTGTTTGCATACGTATTTTAATCCACATCTTAAAGTAGTTAATTACCCTAGTTAATTGCCCTAATTAAAACCACCTTAGGGTGGTCAATTAATATTCAAAGAATTCTAATCAGGAAAACACTCTCCAAAAATGACTAGCTTTTGTGAGACTATATTAGAATACAGTATTCCAGAAAGAGTTCCCACAGAACTACTTTATTCTTTAGCTATCATGATTTCTGGTCAACACCAAAGGTTTATTCATTAGCATAAAAATGTTAGAAATCATTTCTCATTGGTGAAATAAATAAAAGTGTTCCAGGCACTGCACTGTCTATAAGTATCATACAGACACACCCCCTTTACTAAAATAGCCCAATTGCTTCAAAAAAGAATCCCTAGATTTAGGATTCTGAAGAGAGGCTGGTGTTACCTAGAATCTACTAGAAATTTAAGTTGAATTCTACCTCTAAAAATTGTCCTATTAACCAATAGAGAATTACAGAGAGAGCTGGGATTTTGTCACACTTACAGAATGAGTTAGATGACTGTTTTTGTGCCTACCTATCTGGAAGAATTTGAGAATCTGGCCTGAGACTTGCTTTCATGTAGCAAGTAGCACCTGGTAGAGAAATTTTGAGGAGGAAACTGAAAGCCTTCTACCTGCAACGATTATAACATCTACCATCTACCTACCATCTACTAAAAAGAACCCAATCATAATCCTCGAAGGATCTAGTATTTGTGAATGAGCAAACTGGCTTAGGTCCATTTGCCACAAGTAGGCATTGTTATCCCACTTTAAAGAGGAGGAAACTAGTAAGATTTAGAGATGTTAAATCACTTCATCAAGTTTTCAAAATTAGTAAGTGGAGGAACTGAAATTTGAAAAGCAGATCTGTGCAATTCCATAACCTTTATTTCAAACCCTTAATCATTATATTATTATGAAATTCTGCCTCATTATTGGCCATCTGGCCATTTTTTACACTCTAGCCTTTGGAGGCAGAGATTGGCTCTCAATCCATGGGTGAGTTATAAGCACACTCATTGCAAGGTTTACCAACCAAGAATACATATTAATCCTATTAAACCTCCTGTCCACAATACCACTCCCTTGACTTTGGGCACATTTCTCTGGCACATTTTGGGGTGTACAGGTGGTTCTAGTGGACATGAAGGTCTTTTTTAGCTGTATCTGCCTCAGGAAGGCAGATGCAGGGCATCCTGAAATCCTACTACTTCCCTAAGACACTCTTCTCCAGAGGATTCTGAATGGAATCCTGTAGAGAGAAAAACTATAGGAAAGGGCCAAGTTGCTAATCTTATTAAAATAGTTCAATTGTTTGAACTCAGATGCTTGACAGCATATGAAGATGCACTGATCAGTTTACAAGCATGTAATCCAATCTAGATAATGTTCTGCCTAAAAAGGGACTACTTATACCCACTCTGGCAGCAGCCCAGACGCGGAGCTTTCTGGTTAGAGCAGCAAGATGCCCAAGCCAGTAGACTCTAGGACTTCATCGCTGCTGGGTAGGGTGGCTGCCTTCTCCCCACATTTTGATATTCCGTACATGTGCATAGGCATGCCAGGGTGACATTGCCTTTCTGTTAATTCCAGCACTGCACATCTGACTTGTGTTCTACTCAGCCCTTTATCCTTCCTCATCACCCATACAAATGGCCCCAAAGCTCCCCAACTGGTGCCTGGTGTTGAGCAGAAGGATCCACTCACTTTGGGATTAATAATATCTTAGCCCATTTGACCCTCATAACAAAATATTATAAACTGGGTACCTTATAAGCAACAGAAATTTATTTCACACAGCTCTGGAAGCCGGGCTGTCCAAGATCAAGGCAGATTTGGTGGTGTCTGGTGAGGGCCTGCCTTCTGGCTCATCAACAGTGCCACCTTGCTGTGTTCTCACATGGTGAAAGGGTGACCAGAGTTATTAGCACCTTATAAGGGCACTAATTCCATCATGAGGGCCCTATGTTCATGACCTAACCAGTTCCCCACAGCTCCACCTCCTAATACCATCACCTTGGGGGTTAGGTTTCGACATATTAATTTTGAGGGGACACAAACATTCAGTCTAGAGCAAACAATAGTAATAATAATAAAGCAATCATTTACTAAATATTTTCTCAGGGAGCAGCTGATATCCAATGACAGCTGATATGAAGATGCAAAGACCCAAGATTCTGTGATTCAATCTGGGACAACTCTGACGGCCCTTCCCAGCAACAGAGCTCGCCACAGGACAGCAAGGCCTGAGTTAGAACTGCCTTGTAGGTCAGCTTTTCCCTTTGCACAATGCAGCCTTCCTCATTTCCTTATAGCTGTATTTCCCAAGAGCACTTTCTAATAAACCTTCTGCATGCAGCTCTCCATCTCAAAGACTGTTTTCATAGAACTCAATCTAAGATAAGACACATCTTTTCAAAGGACAGATCCATTGTGAACTTTAGCAAGTAGGATCCCTCCGTGTATCACAGGGGCTTAGGGAGCCATGGAGGCTCCAAGAGGTGGGACAGCTATGAGACTGAGGCCCTGACAATTGGAAATGTTCATTAGTGAAACTATGCAGTATAATTTCATAGAAGATTATTCTATCTGGAGGCTAACAGATGGCTCTGAAGCCAAATTCGGGACTCTAATTCAACAGAGAGATTCTGCTGATGTCACCAGCACTTGAGCTGTGTGTTCCAGTGTGGGCTTTTTAAGGGTTTTGGTTGTCTTTTTTATTTTTTCTTTCCACAAACAGCCATAGAGACTTGAGAGTTAATTCAGCCTTGTAGTCACTCCAAGGCCATCTGTTGTTCAAATTAAAATACATATTTTTAACTTTAACCTTTCAATCTCTAAAGTTTTAAACCTTTGCAATAGAAACAGTCATTTTGCAACAGCTTTTCGGCTTCCTGATTCAGTGACATCAATGAAAGGGGAATGTCAGTTTTGGGAACGTCAGTAAGGATCGTTGGCAGGGCTGACATTGGTAGCGGGACATGGAGAATCTACCAGGTTATTTTCTGTTCTTGCATGACATGGTAACTAACATGCTGTGCTCTCGTTTGTTGGAGTCCATCAAAACTCTGATTAGATTTAATAAAGGATAATTTGAGAATTCACATTGCTTCTGAGGCATAAATAAATAAAAAAGGAGCTAGAAAAAAATGTTGCAGAATTTAGGCTCCTTTGTTAGTTCTATTAATCTGCTGGCATACTCTAATGAGGAAGTCAGAATAAAATATAACCAAAGTGCTAATTTCTTTTGAATGATTTTTTTTCTTATTTTAAAAGTCATGTACATTCATTGTAAAAAATAAGGAAAATGTGGAAAACTAAAAAGATACTTCTCCTGCTGTCTAGAGATTAATGCTTTTAACATCTTGGTATATTACATTCCTATTTACTTATTTATTTTTATTATTTTAGAGGCAGAGTCTTGCTGTGTTGCCCAGGCAAGACTCAAACTCCTGGGCTCAAGCAATCCTCCCACCTCAGCCTCTCAAGAAGCTTGGACTACAGCTGTATACAACCCTGTCTGGCTGTGCTCCTGTTTTTAAAGGTGAATTTAAATATCTATTTTATGCAGAGATCGGGTCACTATAATCCATGATGTGTTGTCCTTGATATTTGAATATGCTATTGCTAATCCCTGATTAAAAGGAGCATATGTTTTGAATCTGTTTGATCTTATTTCTTCTTACTAAAATGTATGATTTTTTGTGCCATCCACTTTATCTGTGACAAATGAATACATTTGCTAAAACTATTTTAAACTACACAAATTAAAATGGTATATTACCCTTCTCAGTTCAAATTAATTCAACAACCCTTTTTAAATGACAGTTACTATGTATTCTGCACTGTGCTAGAGAAAGAATAAGGATGGAGTTGGAACAGGGAGATACAACTGTGAAGACCACACAGTCCCAGACTCTAGGAGCTCGTATTTCCTTATTCATGCAACAAATATTTATTGAACACCTACTTTGTGCTGGCCATATGGTCATGAACAATAAGGACACGGTCCCTACCTTCATGGGGCTTACCTTCTGTTAAAGTAGACAGACAAAAATAAATGAGATTATTTCATATAGTTTGTATTAATCATATTTTTTTATTTTGTATATCTTATGACATTTTGACACCTGAAAAATCTTGTTGTCTGGAAAGAGACTTTTCCTGCAACACTAGCCAATTCTTAGAGATAGTTAAAAGCTCAGGATTGAGCTCTTATGAAAGGCATTCCTTTCACATGCCAACCAACCTATCCAGAGTCTATATCCCCAACTACCCCCTTTATCTAACCCTCACACACCAAGCTAATATTTTCCCTGCCCTAAATTATCCTGGAACCACGTATGAGGCAATTAGAGACCACCTTTATAGCCCAAAGCCCACAGAAATTATCAAAACTAGCCAGTCCTAAAGTATTTATTCTGCCCTGTCTTGACTTTCCCATGGAATCTCTGATAAAGACCGTGGCCTAGACTCTCCCCTTTCTGGCTTCTGCCTCCTACCAAAACCTGGTGCTTTCTCTGTGGCCCTGCGTGGTGTCGTATATCCCCTTCTCTTGGGAAATGTAAGTAATAAGTCTTGTTCCAATGGCATTGACCTCTCCATGTTGTCACCTCCATTAACTAAAATCACTGAGACATAGTGGTAAATACACTTGGCCCTCCACATTCGTGGGTTCTGCATTCATGGATTCAACTGCCTGCGGGTCAAAAATGTTCGGGAAAAAAAAGTTCCACAAAGTTCCAAAAAGCAAAACTTGAATTTGCCACATGCCAAGTGCTATGTTTAATTCAAGCAAATGAAATGATGTGTAAGCATTGTATTAGGTATTATAAGTAATCTAGAGATGATGTCAAGTATACAGGAGGATGTGTGTATGTTATATGCAAATACTATGCTATTTTACATAAAGGACTTGAGCATCCTAGGATTTTAGTATCCTCCAGGGGTACTGGGACAAATCTCTTACAGATACCAAGGGAAGACTGTACAATGAAGGCAAAAAAAAAAAAAAAAGTATGTTCTAAAAAAAAGCTGAGGGCTGCTACTTCATAGAAGGGATGAAAAAATGCTTCTCTAAGGAGGGGGTTTTTTGGCTAAAACCTGTATGGGGAAAAAACCCCCCCAACCAAAGGATTTTCTAACCAAAAGTAACACCAAGGGCAAATATCCTGAGGCAAGGCTACCTTTGCTGGTTCAGGAAACAAAAAGGCCAGGTTGGCTAAACCAAAAAGGAACAAAAAAAAATGGAAAAGGCAGGGGGGCCAAATTTCTTGGAGGCCCTAGGAATAAAACAAACCAAACCCCCTTGCAAATAACCTTGACAATGCTTTATGAACAGAACATATTTTTTGCACTTCTTTCAAAGTCTTTGGGGATACAATACTGGGGTATCCACAAGTTTAAATCTCTGAGGCAATTCCAGGAACTGTGTCACAGCAAAATTGGTGACACTTTCAGGTGGATGTATTTGATAGCATTCATTAATCTGTACTCTGGCCTTTCTCCTACATTTCCTGTAAAGTGCGTTTTTGTAAATTGAAAGAGGACTGTTTTCATCCAGCAGTGCTGAGTGAAGTAATAAATGTTACACTGTGCATAATAAGGTCAAAAACCTAGTGCAAGGTGCATATCCCTTTGTGGTTTGTGGGTGGGGATTGAGGGTGGTAATAAGTGGGGGGTGGGAAGAGGGTGGTTCTCCTTAATTAAGTTCTTTGTTGAAGCCCAGCTTACCAACTGTTGGGTTCAGAGCCTGCACATGACTCACGATTCACAAGCTGGCCCTGAATCCTCATTAGAATGAAATCTAGGTGGCTTAGACCTGACAGCTTTTAAAGTCAGATGCAAAAAGATGCATTCGCCTTTTCAGTTTGGTGTGACATAATTTTGTTTTCATTTACCTGCCAAGTTGATAAGAATATTTAGTTTCTAGGTTCATAAAACAGACTCCAGGTATCATAGAGAAGGGATTTTTTAAAAATTCCCCTTTTCCCATAATGCAAAATATTTTCTTTTGAGTAAAGCTTGGGCTGCAGATTTACTCAAATGAAAGGGAGTGGGTGGAGAATAGTTTATTAACAACAATAACACAAGCCAAGCTTTAAGCTTAGGGCTATACAACTTTATACATTCATTGTTATTACAACCCTGTTCTGTAGCTACTATTATTTTCCCCCACTTAATAGATGAGGAACCTGGGCTCGGAGAGTTTAAATGACTAGGCCAAGGCCAGACAGGGAGTGTGGACCCAGATGCTTGGTGGACCTTGCATTCAACCCAGGTCTGTTTGGCTTCAGCCTGCATTTCCCACTGTACAACACCATCTCCCCATGTGCCATCTCACCATCTGCAGAACAGGAGCCAGCCTACCCCACCTTTCATGGTTGTTGTCAAGAACACAGGAGACATATGGTGGCTTCCAGAAGACTCTACAGATGGCCATTTTAAAACAAGAAAATAAAAGGAAGCCATATATTGGGCTGTACCCTAACTCGTTCACAGGCCTCACCTCAGTGGTAAAGCCAATGGCTTTCTTAGTGCTGAATAGGAAAGAACGTGCATCCTGTGAACATGAACTGTGCAGCAACTCCTGGTGAGTTCTCCTTTTTATGGAACTGGGAGGCTGAGGTGGGAGGATCACTTGGGGCCAGGAGTTCAAGACCAGCCTGGGCAACACAGTGAGACCTCCCATCTCTACAAAAAATTTAAAAATTAGCCAGGAAGCATGGTAGCCCATGGCTGTAGTTCCAGCTACTTGGGAGGCTGAGGTGGGAGGATCACTTGAGCCCAGGTGTTTGAGGCTGCAGTGAGCTATGATTGCACCACTGCACTCTTGCTTGCTTGGGCAATGAAGCAAGACCCTGTCTTTAAAAAAAAAAAAAAAAAAAAAAGATTAGATGTGATTAAGGCAAATTTTAAGCCAAAGGTGATGTTTATAGAGAAAGTTTTGGTCTCAATAAAACAAAGATTTTTCTAACAACAAGGCTGTCCCAAACCACAGTGGGCTACTCAGGTGAGGGTAGGCATGAGTGGTCTTGAGCTCCCATCCCTGCAGTGGCTCCAGCAGAGGCTTTATGCCTGCCTGTTAGGGACTGACAGTGCAGGGAGCACATGGGGAATCAGTGTTGATGTGCTACTATAGCGCCACCTCACTCTGCTCAGGCAACCATTTCACAAGAGCCCTTTGGCATGAATGCCAATCAAGTGTCACTACACAAGGGAAAATTCTCCTGGTCTGCTGGGTGTAAGTTCAGAAGGACTTTCATGTTCTTTAGTTATACCATAGAAGAAGCCACCATGCCCATATAACCTTACCTCCTGGGACAACCAGGCTCTGATTATAGGTTCTTTCCAAACTTTTCTTTTTAGATTGCTGTTTAAAGGTTTTCCCCAAAAATCACTGAATTATATCTCTATATTTTAAAGCTTAAGGGCATTTTTCACTGAATTTGAATACTGGGAAACTTTTTACCATTAAAGCAGCCTTATATTTTAATCTACTCTGGTCCCATAGTGGTTGTCTCCACCAAGAAGAGCAGTTGAGGCTGGAATAGCAAGGAGAGGAAAATAAGAAGAGCAATTTTTCAGCCTGTGTGCCTCCTCCCAAAGGGACTCCTTTCAGCATTTTCAGTGTAATATATGTTGACAGTACTGTTACTAAAATGATCATTAAAAAGATATTGGGGAAGAAAAGTAAATGCAGGAGCATAGAACAGATAGATAAGATTACCAAAGGCTTGGACACAGGGACACAAATGTTCTGTGTTCTACATCACCCCAAGCCAAGGTGCAGGCATCCCCTGACTCCCCACTGCATTCACCTCACCTATAGGTTAGAACAGAGTGTTACTTGTGCCAATGAACACACGTGTCAAACATCCCCTTTGTGCAAAACATGTGTTGGACACTACCTTTAAGGAGCTTATTGTCTTATTGAAGATGAAAACTATGAATGTATTTAAGCTGCACACTGCTCATAAAATAATTAAAGGCAGTTTACAGAGAAAACAAGGGCAACAACATAAAATTGGCTAATATAAAAATGGAAACCGTAGATGAATAGATAAACAAAACGTGGAATATGGAATATATATAAATCAAATATTATTCAGCCTTAAAAGGAAGGAGGTTCTTACACATGCCACAACGCTGACGAATCTTGAGGACATTATGCTGAGTAAAATAAGCTAGACGCAAAAGGACAAATGGTGTACAATTCCTCTTACATGAGGTATTTGGAGAAGTCAAATTCATAGAGACAGAAAATAGAATGGTGGTTGCCATGGGCTGGGGAGAGGGGAGTATGAGGAGTTATTGTTTAATGGTATGGAGTTTTCTCTTGGAAAGATGAAAAAGTTCTGCTGGTAGATAGTGGTGATGGTTGCACAACAATGCGAATGTACTTAATTTCAGTAAACTGTATACTTAAAAATGGTTAAAAGGTCAATTTTATGTTATATATGTTTTACAACAATAAAAAACAGATTGGACTCTAAAGGTTTAGTACAAAAAAATGAAAAATATCTCATTAATACTTTTTTTCTGCATTGATTGCAAGTTGATATGATAACATTTTGAATACGGTGGGTTAAATTAAAAATATTATTCTTAAAAATTTTTTTAATGCAAGCTATAGAGGAAGAATAATAAAATCAAAGAACTTCAAGGGGGCCAGCGTGTGCATACATATATGAAGTGACAAGTGATGTTTACAACAGGGGGTGAGTATGTTTGAGGCAACCAAGACTCTATGCCCAACCTCAATGCATTCAGGTTAATTTATTTTATTTATTTATTTATTTTCTTTTTGAGACGGAGTCTCACTCTGTCGCCCAGGCTGGAGTGCAGTGGTGCAATCTTGGCTCACAGCAACCTCCAGCTCCTGGGTTCAAGCAATTCTCCTGCCTCAGCCTCCAGAATAGCTGGGACTACAGTCATATGTCTCCATGCCTGGCTAATTTTTTTGTAGTTTTAGTAGAGATGGGGGTTCACCATGTTGGCCAGGATGGTCTCGATCTCCTGACCTCGTGATCCACCCACCTCGGCCTCCCAAAGTCCTGGGATTACAGGCGTGAGCCACTGTGCCTGGCCCAGGTTAAATTTTTAAGAAACCCCATGTGTTGGTCTGTTCTCATGCTGCTAATAAAGACATAACCAAAACTGGGTAACTTATAAAGGAAAGAGGTTTAATGGACTCACAGTTCTACATGGCTGGGGAGGCCAGACAATCATGGTAGAAGACAAAGTCAGAGAGCAAAGGGACATCTTACATGGCAGCAGGCAAAAGAGCTTGTGCAGGGGAATGCCCCTCTATAAAACCGTCAGATCTTCTGAGACTTACTTACTACCATGAGAACAGTATGGGGGAAAGTGCCCCCATGATTCAGTTATCCCCCCCGGCTCCATGCTTGACATGTGAGGATTATTACAACTCAAGGTGAGATTTTGGTGGGGACACAGCCAAACCATATCAACACACTTAAACAAACAATCACGTCCTCAGTCTCAATGACCTGGAGGCAACAGTTACTGGCATCTGACATAGTATGTTACACATTTGCTAAGGGTGTGCAAGTTTGGCTTGAGTTATCCAGCAGCCAATGTGAAAAGAGAAATTTAGCCAGTTGCACAGTTCACAAGGTAGTGAGATAAAAACCAAGCAGTTATTCAGAAGCACATGTGGTATTGATATTGAGATAGAAAAGAAATATCTCCTGAGGGTCTTGTAGAAAGAACACTGCAATGTAGTGAACAACATCCTTAGAGGTTGGGACAAAGTCCCATGGAATTTTTCTCACCCCATCCTTCATTTGAGACCCATTATTTCATAAAACAGTGTCACAAAAAACAGTTCTGCCAGAGGCCAGCCATCCAGTGGAAGACAAAGTAGTGCTGGACGAATGGTAGAGGTGATGAGGAATGTGAGTGCTATTGTCATTCAAAGGAGAGCAGACTTCATAAGGAGTCATGTGCGAAGAAAGGCAGTGGGCTGAAGCTTTAGGAAAGGGAGGGTTTAGATTCTTGCCTGATCCATGGTGGGTACACTGGAAGTATTTGTCGCACGAATGACTGTATAGATGTCCTAGTCCATTCAGGATGCTGTAACAAAACACCTTAGACTGGGCAGTTTATAAACAACAGAAATTTATTTCTCACAGTTCTGGAGCCTGGGAAGTCCAAGTTCATGGTGCAGCAGATTCAACGTCTGCTTCATGAACTACGCCTTCTACCTGTGTCCTCATGTGGCAGAAGGAACAAGGGAGTCCATTGAAGGCTGTTTTATAAGAGTGCTAATCTCATCCATGAGGGTGGAAACTGCATGATTTATTTATTCACTTCCCAAAGGCTCCACCTCCCCCCACCTTTTTTTTTTTTTTTCCTGAGGTGGAGTCTCGCTCTTGTTGCCCAGGCTGGAGTGCAGTGGCATGATCTCAGCTCACTGCAACCTCCGCCTTCTGGCTTCAAGCAATTCTCCTGCCTCAGCCTCCTAAGAAGCTGGGATTACAGGCGCCCACCACCATGTCCCGCTAATTTTTGTATTTTTAGTAGAGATGGGGTTTCACCATGTTGGTCAAGCTGGTCTCAAACTCCTGACCTCGTGATCCACCTGCCTCAGCCTCTCAAAGTGCTGGGATTACAGGCTTGAGCCACTGCACCTGGCCAAGGCTGCACCTCTTAATACTATCACACTGGTTTTCCAGTTCCAACATATGAATTTGGAGAAGGCACCAACATTCAGACCTTAGCAGTAGAGAATAACACACACACACACACACACACACACACACACACACACACACACGTATTTCAAAACCAAAAGGATAGAAGAGTATTCTGGAGGGCAATCTGGCTGGCTGAAGGATATCAGTCAGGATGTTCATAGCAAGTGACAACAATCTAACTTGACCTTGATTTTTAAAAAATGGAAATGTATACCATCCAGGACATAGGCATAGGCAAAGACTTCATGACTAAAACACCAAAAGCAACGGCAACAAAAGCCAAAATTGACAAATGAGATCTAATTAAACTAAAGAGCTTCGGCACAACAAAAGAAACTATCATCAGAGTGAACAGGCAACCTACAGAATGGGAGAAAATTTTTGCAAACTATCCATATGATGAAGGGCTAATATACAGAATCTATAAGGAACATAAACAAATTTACAAGAAAAAAACAAACAACCCCATCAAAAAGTCGGTGAAGGATATGAACAGACACTTCTCAAAAGAAGACATTTATGCGGCCAACAAACATGAAAAAAAGCTCATCATCACTGGTCATTAGAAAAATGCAAATCAAAACCACAATGAGATACCATCTCACACCAGTTAGAAGGGTGATCATTAAAAATTTAGGAAACAACGGATGCTGGAGAGGAAGTACAGAAATAGGAATGCTTTTACACTGTTGGTGGGAGTGTAAATTAGTTCAACCATTGTGGAAGACAGTGTGGCGATTCCTCAAGCATCTAGAACCAGAAATACCATTTGACCCAGCAATCTCATTACTGGGTACATACCCAAAGGATTATAAATCATTCTACTATAAAGACACATGCACACGTATGTTTATTACAGCACTGTTCACAATAGCAAAGACTTGGAACCAATCCAAATGCCCATCAATGATAGATTGGATAAAGAAAATGTGGCGCATATACACCATGCAATACTATGCAGCCATAAAAAAGGATGAGTTCATGTCCTTTGTAGGGACATGGATGAAGCTGGAAACCATCATTCTCAGCAAACTAACACAGGAACAGAAAACCAGACACCACATGCTCTCACTCATAAGTGGGAGTTGAACAATGAGAACACACGGGCACAGGAAGGGGAACATCACACACTATGGCCTATGAGGGGGGTGGGGGGCTAGGGGAGGGATAACATTAGGAGAAATACCTAATATAGATGATGGGTTGATGGGTGCAGCAAACCTCCATGGCACATGTATAGCTATGTAACAAACCTGCACATTCTGCACATGTATCCCAGAACTTAAGTATAATCATAATAAAAAAAGAATGCGAAAAAACAAAAAAAAAGGAAATGTATTGGAAGCATATTGGAATATCTCACATCATTAAAAGAAGTTGAAGATCAAACATGTTGAAGGCAGGGTAAAGGTGGGCCTACATGGTGGACATGGAGAAGTGCCGCTCAGATACCCTTTCACAGAACAATATGTTTTCCCAGATGCTGGCCATGTGGTCAGTAGACAGCCTTCATCTATCATCTACTTCAGGGTTTGCCTCAGATGCTGAGAGTTGCCTTGTCCAAGAGCTTGCCCTTCCCTGGGTAGCCCATATCCAGTGACTAATCACTGTGGAAGTATAAAGGCCAGAACATCTCAGCTCATGCAGCACAATTTCAATGGGCCATTTATGCTCAATGGACTTATTATGCTCAATAATTCTCTGTGGAGTTGTCAGACTTGCATTGAGTTCAGTTTCTTCCTCTTCCCAATCTTGCTTTCTCTTCCTCCTTCCCATAAGTGCTGGTCCCTAATAAATATCCTACACCACAAATTCTATCACAGGGACTGTTTCAGTAAAACCCAACCTTCGACAGCCTTGGAAATGAACTCAAATACCAGTAGGATGCTCTCTCTGTCTCTCATATCTCCATCTTTCTGGATCTTTGCTTCTGACTCTTCCACTCTAGTTTGCTTCTCCAAACACTGGGAAATCTGATCATGAAGAGTTTCTCTTAATGTTAGCCACCGGGGGAAAAACGTTAGCCACAGAAATGATCAGATTGTTATTGCTTGGTTTCTGATAAAAACTGTTTAAAATCCCAGGAAAGGATAACAAATGGCCCAGCTGGGGTCAGGTATCTACCCACAAACAAATTCAGGCCTGGATGTCAAGACATTATAACAGGCCAGGCCTGGGTCAAAACCTATTTCTCAGGAATGGGATCATATACTAACAAATATGGCAGCCCCATAGACCCATGGGGTTTTGGAGAGGATTGCTGGACAAAAAAACATTTAACAAAAAAAAAACAGCAGAAGCAACAACAACAACAACAACAAACCACATTATATTCTCTGTATTTTGGGGAGTACTAGCAGGTTCCTTTGAAAGATTAATTTAGGATTTGTATGTTAGGTGTACGAGTTAAAATATTTTTAGTTAATTGGCTTTCAAATACTTAGAGCAACAGGACTCTTTTTCAGACAAAACTTACTCAAAACACCTACATAATAAGCAGATAATAATGGAGCTGCTGATTTGATAGGAAGTAGGAGCCCCAGAATCCAATTTCTTGTCTTTCTCTAATTCCATTTCCCAGCAACCAATGAGCCACCTCGTTCACTCATTCAACAAATATTCATTGAATATTTCTGCCTCCACATTGTGCTAAGTGATAGAAAGATATTCGTTGAGTAAAAACAAACATAATCTCTCTTTCTGGAGCATTCTATGTATGATCGTAGGACACAGTTTGAAACCCACTATTCTGGGTAATATTGGGGGGTTGGGGAGAAGGACAATGAAGGATTAAGATAGAAAAGTGTTGTTTTAGAAATACTGACCTGGTGGTTTTAGATGTTGTTAACCCAATTTGGGGAATACTAGTCATGTTGATTAACTGGAAAACTATTGAAATAGCCAAGACATGAAATGTGTGGTCCAAACTAGAGAAAAGGCAGAGGAAATGAAGAGTGAATACAAGAAATATAAGGTAAGAAAAATTGATGAGTCTTGGTGACAACCTCTTAATGGATCTGGCTAGTATCTATTAATGCATGATATTAAAACAATCCCACATACATTTAGAGGCACTAAGTCTCCCCTCCCACTTTTCCCACTCAATCAAATTTGCAATATATTCCAATCCACATCACTGCACTTACACATTAATCATTCATGCATTCTTGACAGCCCATTTCAGTCCTATTCTTTCAGCACCCTGACCACTCACACATGTTTCTTATGGTTCCAAGTACAACAGTCTCTCCTGGCTGATGGCAGCCCATCACATTCCTCATGTCCTCTTTGCATATAACTGTAATCAATATTAAATTCCTAAAAATTTACAGTTCAACTAACATCAAATACTCCTTTAGCCAAGATATCATTCTCTGGCTTCTCAGGGACTTGTTTTGTGTAATATGCAAAAAATTTTTAATTTCCCTTTACATATTTTAAGTTCAGTGTGTGGTTATATAAGATAAGGTCTATTTTTCTGGCCTTGGTGATGACTCAGTATTTTTGAAGCATCTTGGGCTGAAGATGCTTGCACCATTACCCCCTTGTACATTCACTTTGCAATTTAGATTTTTCTAAGAATTTTGCAAGATTACCTCTAGAAAGATCCTTTTGAATTATTGCTCCCCACTAACTTGTCACAGTTGAGGGAAACTGAAGAGACTACATTCTGGACTTTTAAGCTGCAGCCTTGTGTTCTTTTGCTACTAGAAGATACAAGAAAAGGCAGGGGCACATATACTTTATGACAACTCACCATAAAGGAGCAGGGTAATTTTTATTGGTCACTGAAATCCTATTCACAGGCAAATCACTGCAGGCAAAGATTCAAACTTAATTTCTGCTTCAGTGCCTTTTTTCTTTGTGTATTAGAGTTTTGTCTGCATATTACTAAGTATCTACCTAGGCCACAAGCAACTTGAAAACAGAGACTGTGTATTGCATGTCCTAATATCTCATACACTACTTTATTGGGCACACAGATTCTAGACCACATTTCATTTATGTATTTATTCATCTCACAAAAATTTATTGAGTACTTACTATACACCAGGCACTGTTCTAGGTGCTCGGGTTACGGAAATAATTAAGGAAAACATGGTCCCTACCCTCATGGGGCATACTGCATAACAGAAAAATTAGAAATTGAACAGGGAGGATCTGATAGAAAAGACAATATTGAACAACTAATAGAAGTATGATGAGGTTTCTAAAAGGGAAGTGCAAAGTCTGAAAGAACAACTATCGGGAGATTACCACCCCTCCCTCACTTATCTTCTGAACATCCCTCCTCCCCTGCCTCATCCCTCCCTTGATCCATGAGTGAAACTGGCATCGGGGACACAAAGCCTGAGTGTCACCATTCTGTGACTTCTGTGTCTCTTGGGGCCCCTATTGGTTAACATATTTTGGCACATCAAAGCAAGTGACTCAAGCACAAGCTTGATAGTAGCTCCCAGGAGGGAACAACTGAGAGTGACAAACCTACATTCATTCATTCATTCATTCAGCAAACATTTATTGAGCATTTATTCTGTGCCAGGTACTATGAGCAAAACAGTCACTGCCATCATTAGAGTACTCATGTGCTGAGAAAGATGTATTTTAAGCAAAGGATCACACAAATAAATGTAAAATAAGTCCCACATCATGCTCTAGAGGGTTAGGAGTATATATAATGGAGGGATTTGACTTCTGTAATATATTCAACACAAGTAACCCATGATCTTATGATCCCAAAGCCTGAACTCTCAATGTCTATGTCACACTGAAAAGTCAGCAAGTGCATGATCGCTGCCAGGCCATTTTCCCCCATATTTAGGCAACTCTGATTATTAGAAGAGTTCTTCCTTCTATGGAACCTGAGTTGGCACTCTACACAGTATCATTGTTCTAACCACAGGAATCACACATAAAAAGTTGACATGACTTTTTTTTCGAACGTTAAAAACAACAACAACAACAACAACAACAAAAAACTAGCAAAACTTCTTCCATCCCAATCCTGGATTTCAAACCTTCCATTCCATGGCATGCTTATAAAGTTCCCACCCCATCTTTGTCACTTCCCTTTGGACTTGTTGTATAGCCCAAGGTTGACTGACAGATAGCTGACACACCCCATTTCCCTATCTTCATACTCATGGAAAACATTGCATATTGATCCCTATGTACTTTACTAATATGCCCAGATGAAGTCTTGTAATCAATTTCAGCACAGCTCTCTAGCTCTGATCAATCAAGTAGTGTTAACAAGAGGGTGAAATCTTGTTGCTATCCAAGCCTAGCCATGTCCCTCTAAAAGTGAAGTGTGCAGAACTAAATACAAGGCTCAACACTGGGTTCTAATACTGGATCTAAGCTAACCACCATTCTAGCCTCATTCTGAAGATTTTAAACTTTATTATCAATGCTTCCTTCCCTAGATGTTCCATTACCTGGCATGCTCTTGCAAATAATATATGGAGTGGTGACATACAGGCACATAAATTTATATCCTGCCTTCACTATTGACCACTTTCTATTTATTTAATACTTAAGGCTCATTGTAACCATTTGTAAAATGTAGCTAACAATGCCTGCTTCACAGAGTGGTTGTGAAGAACTTTGAGACAATGTAAGCATATTTACCAGATCTTTGATACATTTTCTAGTGTATTTTTTCTTTCCTGACCACTTATGGCCTAGGACAGTCTTTTCCTAGTTCTAGATCAACCAAAAGACTCCACAAAAAATTGTAAATTACTCCAGAAAAACTAAAATAAAATCAAATAAAATGTTCTTGGTTTAGGTAAGTGAACAGTATAAAGATGTCAGTTTTCTCACTGCTGAAAGAAATCAAAGATTACACAAACAAATGGAAAAACATTCCAACCTCATGGATTGGAAGAATTAATATTGTTAAAACGGCCATACAGCTCAAAGCCATCTGCAGATTCAGCACTTATTCCTATCAAACTACCAATGTCATTTTTCACAGTATTAGAAAAAAACTATTCTAAAATTCACGTGGAACCAGAAAAGAGCCCAAATAGCCAAAGCAATCCTAAGCAAAAAAGAATAAAGCCAGAGGCATCACATTACCTGACTTCAAAGGTACATTACCTGACTATAAGGCTACGGTAACCAAAGCAGCATTGTACTGGTACAAAAACAGACACATAGACCAATGAAACAGAATAGAGAACCCAGAAATAAAGCTGCACACCTACAGCCATCTGATCTTCAACAAAATCAACAAAAATAAGCAATGGAGAAAGGACTTCCTGTTCAATAAATGGTCCTGGTATAGCTAGCTAGCCATATGCAGAAGAATGAAACCAGTCTGCTACCTTTTACCATTTACAAAAATTAAAATGAATTAAAGATTTAAATGTAAGACCTCAAACTCTAAGAATCCTAGGAGAAAACCTAGAAAACACCATTCTGGACATCAGTGTTGGGAAAGAATTTATGACTAAGTCCTCAAAAGCAATTGCAACAAAAACAAAAGTTGACAAGTAGGACCTAATTAAACTAAAGAGCTTCTGCAAAGCAAAAGAAACTATCAACAGAGTACAGAGATAACCTACATAATGGGAGAAAATACGACAAACTATGCATCCAACAAATGCCTAATATCCAGAATCTATAAGGGACCTAAAAAACTCAACAAGAAAAAAAAAACTCATGAAAAAGTGGGCAAAAGACATGGACACTTCTAAAAAGAAGACATATAAGTGGCCAACAAATAAACGGGAAAATGCTCCACATCAGTAATCATCAGAGATAATGCAAATCAAAACCACAATGAGATACCATGTCATAGCAGTCAAAATGGCAATCATTAAAAAGTCAAAAAACAAATGCTGGCAGGGCTGTGGAGAAAAGGGAATGCTTATACACTGTTGATGAGAATGTAAATTAGTTCAGCCACTGTGGAAAGCAGTTTTGATATTTTTTTTTAAATATGGAATCTCACTCTTTTGCCCAGGGTGGAGTGCAGTAGCATGGTCTTGGCTCACTGCAACCTCCGCCTCCCGGGTTCAAGTGATTCTCCTGCCTCAGCCTCCTGAGTAGCTGGGATTACAGACATGTGCCACCACACCCAGCTAATTTTTGTATTTTTGTAGAGATGGGATTTTGCCATGTTGACCAGGCTGGTCTGGTCTGGAACTCCTGACCTCAAGTGATCCGCCTACCTTCAGTGTCCCAAAGTGCTGGGATTACAGGCGTCAGCCACTTTGCCTGGCCGAGATTTTTCAAAAAACTTAAAACAGATCCACCAATCAACTCAGCAATGCCATTACTAGGTATATATCCAAAAGAAAATAGGTTGTTCCACCAAAAAGACATATACACTTGTGTGTTCATCGCAGCACTATTCACAAAAGCAAAGACATGGAATCAAACTAGGTGTCCATCCACACTGAACTAGATAAAGAAAATATAGTACATATATACCATAGAATACTATACAGTCATAAAAGGAATGAAATCACGTCCTTTGCAGCAACATGGATGCGGCTGGAGGCCATTATTCCAAGAGAATTAATGCAGGAACAGAAAACAAAATATCATGTTCTCATTTATAAGCTCAAATCACTGGAGTAAAGATGGACACTCTTAAACAAATGGTCCTGGGTAGTCATTTGGAGAAAGACAAAATTAGATCCATCTCTCACATCATCCATATTAATAAACTTCAAATAAATTAGGGATCTAAATATTTAAAAATAAAACTGTAAAAGTACTAGAAGAAACTATGAGTAAACTCATTTTTAATCTCAGTGTAGGGAAAAGTTTTCTAAGGATGACTCAAAATCCCAAGGCAATAAAAAATAAAAAAAATCAGAGGCAATAAAAAACAAAATTTATAAATTTTACTACTTGAAAATAAAAAATATTTTATATAACAAAAGCACCACAAAGAAAGTCAAAAGCGACTGATAAAACTGAGAGAAAAGATTTACAGCATATACCACAGACAAAGGGCTAATAGTTTTAACATATGAAGAACTCTTAATAACTGAGACACAAAAGACTGAAAACTCAATTTAAAAAAATAGGAGGACAGGCGTGGTGGGTCATACCTATAATCCCAGCACTTTGGGAGGCCAAGGAAGGAGGATCACTTGAGCCCAGGAATTCAGGACCAGCCTGGGCAAAATAGTGAGACCCCCATCACTACCAAAATAATAATAATAATAGAGCATGGTGGTATGTCCCTATAGTTCCAGCTACTGGGGAAGCCGAGGCAAAATGATCACTTGAACCCAGGAGTTGGAGGCTGCCACGAGCCATGATCACACCAGGGCATTCCAGCGTGGGCAATAGAGAAATTCTGTCTCAAAAAAAAAAAATTAAAATTAAGAATATAAAAAATGGGAAAAGACATGAATGGGCAATTCACAAAAACTGGACATTAAAAATGGCCTTCAGATATATGGGAAAATGCTGAAATTCATTCATAATTAGAGAAATACAAATTAAAACACAGTAAGTATCATTTCTCACCAGACTGGTTAAAGTTTAAAAACTTGACGACACATTCTGTTGGTGATGCTGTGAGGAAAAAGTCATTTTTATGGGTTTTATGTACCAATTATACAAATGGTACAACCCTTCTGGAAATAAATTTGGCAATACCTAACAAAACTACATACATTTTTACCTTTCAACAGCAATCCCACTTCTAGGAATCTACCCCAAAGATATACTTTCAACTACGCATTAATACATATATGCAAGGTTATTCATTGCAGCTTTGTTTGTAGCTGTACAATACTGGAAGCGACCCAAATGCCCATACATAGTAAAGTGGTTGAATAAACTATGATACATCCACACCATGAAATACTATGCAGTGGTAAAAAAAGAATGAAGAAGGTCTCTGAACAGGCATGGCATGATTTCCAGGACATACTGTTAAGTGAAAAAGGCAAGGCCCGAAAGAGTATCTCTAGGACATAAGAAGAAGATAGAAAATACCAAGGTGTCTGCTCTTTTGTGCAAAAGATCTAAAAGAAGGATAAATAGAAGCTTAGTAGTGTGGTTACCTAAGGAAGCAAGTGGAAAAAGAGAAGAAAAGAGGTGAATGGAAACAGAGTTTTAGGGATGAGGAGGGAGTCACACTTCTCCAAGTACTATTTTTGTATAGCTCTGACTCTTAGAACCACAGTTTCACAAACCCTTCACATATCCTCAAAATAAACAAAAACTTAAAATCAACCAGGATGCAAGGAAAGGAGAACCCAGAACCGAGTAGAAACACTAACAAATGAACCTAATCATACACAAATGAATAACATAACCACACTGAAATGGATGGGTAACTAACCTAAGTAAATATGGGAGATAGTGTCTCGATAGGCCACTGTGTGGCTAAAAAACATTAATTTGGCCTAACTGATCAGACACCGACTTAAAACAACTGATCAAGATAAAGTCCTCCAGCAATAAGACATATCAAGATCATTACTCCTGGATAATGATACCTTGAGAAAGATATAGGTGTATTTTTGTAGTGCTCTTGCCAAAAACACACAGCCTCAATCCAATCATGAGAAAACATTCCAAATTGAATGACATTCTACAAATTAACTGACTGGTACTTATTAAAAGTGTGAATGTCACAAAAAAAAAAAAAAGGAAAGACTGAGGAACTGTTATAGACTTATAGACTGAAAGAAACTAAGGAGAAATAAATAAATGCAATCTGGGATCACTGTTAGCATCCTAGCACAGAAAACAGGCATTAATGGAAACATTGATGAAATTCAAATAAGGTCTTCTGTTTAGTTGCCAGTATTGTACCAATGTTAATACCCCGTTCCTGATCATTTTATTAGGCTTATGTAAGATGTTAACTTTAAGGAACATGGGGTAAGGAATATAAGGAATTCTGTACTACTTTTACTATTTCATAAGTCTAAAATTGGTTTAAAATTTTAAAAGTATTTTTTAAAAGACTTCAATGGGAAGTAGAGAGGGCCATTGGGTCTTATGATGTTGGGAACCCCCAGCAGAGCAGGTATCCCAGTCCTTGAAAGTCTGTGGCCTTTTGTGCCTAGAGTTCATATGAGAGCCTAGAGCTCATATGTCAACCTCACCACTAGAGTTGAGGTAATGCTCTTCAACCCTGTGGCCTGTGGCCCAAACTAGGGGACTGGTTAATAACTCACGGTATATTCATACACTGAGATGCCAAAGGCCAATTAAAAACAAAGTTGTAGACTATTTAATAATTCTATATCATGTTTTCCAGAAATTAAATAGGTTAATATAGATAGATAGAGACAGAGAGAGAGAGAGAGAGAGAGAGAGAGAGATTGACAGAGAGAAAATTTGGAAAAATATTCTCCCAAAAGTTAATAGTAGTTACCACTGATTGGTGACCATATATCCTCTGCTAAATAAATAAAAAAGAGTTATTTTAAAATTAAGCAAGGAGACTTCTGGTTTTAAAATGGTGGAGTAAAAACATCTGTCTCCTTTCTCTTCTCCAAAGTCACACTGCAACAAGCAGAAGAAGGAAAACAGAATGCAAGTTCCATCCTTGAGAAAACTAGGAAATGACTGTAAATCTGAAGCATGCTATGAGGAAGGGGCTGCCTAATGTAGAGTCTACTGGGAAGAGCCCAGTGGGAAGAGCCCATTAAATTGGCCCATGAGGAAGACAAAGCCAGGACCCACCGGAAAATGCAGAGCCCAGACAACCCTGCAGAGCATGTGCTCTCCTAAGAAGTGGGACAGCAACCACCAATTCCTTGTCTAAACAATGGTGCTGGAACATGCAGGCTTAGAGGGGAAACTTCTTTGGTGCTTGTTTGGCACCTTAGAGAAGTAGGGAAGCTGGGACTGAAAGCAGAACCGCACAGACATGACATTTCAACAGGAAGCAAGTTATTGGTGAGATGAGGCAGGATAGAGGAAGATCCTGAACTCCAAGCTGGCACTTTTGGTAAGCAGTGAAAAAATAAAGGCAAAGCGATTCTCTTGCATACCCACGTACTCACACTAACACAACTCTGTGTTATAAAAAGCTTTATTACCATATCAGTTAAGATGAAGTTCAACTACGTATCAAAAAAACCCAAAAAACTTTAACATGATTATTTTTCTCTCATTTAAAAGAATTTCAAATGTTCTAAAATTGATTGTGGTGATGGTTGCACAACTCTGTGAACAAACTAAAAACCATTGGATTGTACACTTTCAAGGGGTGAACTGTATATATAAGTTATATCTCAAAAAAGCTATTTTTTGTTTTAAAATTTCGAGGAATAAGATTTGTATAGTGGCTTCATGGTGTCATCAGGAAGCCAGGCTCCTAACTTTCTGCTCTGTTACCCTCCGTACATGGCTTCCATCTTCAAGCACGCCTCATGGTTTTAGATGGCTTCTGGAGCTCTGGTCATTAAATCCATATTCTAGGCTGCAGAGATGAGGAAGAAGGCTCCATTTCCCTCTCACATTTAAGGTACTTACCTAAAAGCCAACTCAACACTTTTTCTTTACATATTCTTGGACGAAGATCAGTCACATGGCTATAACCCCCTGCAAGGAAAGTTGAGAATTTTAGGGCTATAGCTGAGCACAGTGACAATGAATAGAACCTGGTTTCTATTGTTTTAGAAGAAAGGAGAAATGAGTGTTGAAAGATACAATTAGTAGTTTATGCCACAACTATGAACCATAGAAAATTCTTTACAGCTCAAAACATAACCCTGTCCTATCTCCTGCAAATAGTCAGAAAGAACTTATCTCATTGAAAGATAAACAGTGATTAAAAAGAAACCAGTATACAAACTATGTAAAGATATTGCAAGAAAAAAAGGAGGAAGGAAACAGAAAAAACAAATGGCAGATGAAGAAGGAACATTTGTTTTTTTAAAAAAAAAAATGTTGTCACCAGGCAGACAAAATTATGATCAAGCATATTGTCATATATTTTAAGAATTTTTAACAATCTTAAAGCAGAGATACAAGAGCCAGGGAAAAGATGAATAGGCATTACTGAAAATACTATAAGATACACAGAATACGGGGCTAAAAAAGTAAGCAATAGGAATATATATGCAAAAAGATAGAACTATACAAGCCCATCAAAGTTAAATGAAAATGTAGATAACTGGCATCCTTGGATTATAGGTGTTCAAAACAACATTCAAAAATAACAAAAAAGAATCAAATGTACAGTGTGATAAGAAAAACTGATGAAGAATGAGTGACACTAAGATTAGCCTAAAAGTTATGAGATTTCAGAGATAAAGGAAAAAACCCTTTAATCATGCAAAAAGACCAAGTCATTAATGTAGGTAATGGAAGTGTAGGTGGGAATCAAGTTGACCTCTGGTATCTCTACAGCTTTATTTACCTTTAGAAGATAGAGGCGCAATGCTTACAAATTTCTTGCAGTCCAGAGAGTTTAATTAGCTAATCAGTTAGAAAACTTTTAAAGTAAAGGACCAGATGGTAAATATTTTCAGCTCGTACAATCTCTGTCACAGCTACTCAATTCTGCTGTTGTGCCTGAAAGCAGCTGTGGACAACATATAAATCAAAGGGCATGGTTGTGTTCTAATAAAACTTTATAAAGACAGGCAGCTTATTGCATTTGGCCCTTGGGCCATAATTTGCTGATCCCTGAGCTAAACTATCATTCAAATATAAAGGCAAAAGAGAAGCATTTTTGAAGTTTGACATCTTCAGGCATGTAATCCACATAATCTAAAGTGTTAGAAGACAAACTTTAGTGCACAAAAGATAAATGAAGAAAGTGAAGCAAGAATACTGGCAAGAAATAAAAAGCTAAAATATGCTCTACTACCTGGAGAACAGAAAAAGAGGCATACCTTCCGGCTCCTTTGGCAGCAAGTGCCTTAGAAGCCCCATGACGTGAAAGGATAATTCAAGAAACCAAGACATCTGTTGGAAGCCATAAAAATTATGATCAGTTCTAAATAAAGAAGGTGATGTCACATTTGCAGAGCCCTTTTAAAAACATCTAGAGATTCACAGAGATATTTAGATTGTTAACCCACAGTAACAGCTAAGTAAGAGGGGCCTCAATTTTCTCAGATGTGAAACACCAGGGTTGAATTAAATCAGAGACGCCTCAGCCCTGACTGCTCATGAGAATCACCTGAGGCATTTTTTTTAACGTCTATGCCTGGGTTCCATCCCAGACCACTTAAATTAGAATTTCTGGAGATAGAAAAGACAGTATTTTTTTAAAGCTCTCCAAATATTCAGATATGCAGCCAAGGGGGAAAACCACCAAATTAGATGGTTTGTGAGGTAATTATCAATTCAGATATTCTATAAATATATATGTATATAATGTATATATAAAGAATTATCCAAAACTTAAAAATTTAGAAATTGCTACATAAAAGAGGCAAAACTACTTAGTCAATTTTGGATGCATGTTTCTATTACAGAACTTTGAATTATGGTCCATACTGGTCTACGTCACAGGGGCTTCTAAAAAAAAAAAAACCTAAAGACTTAATGCCATCCTGATGTACATAAACTAGTACTTATTTGTGAATAAAGAAAAAAGTAGGTAACTTCTTCTGACAAGGTAATCAATTCCTTACTTTTAAAAGAAAAGTGTCCATGTCAAGTATTTGTAAAATGTCAAATGTTCCTTAGTTTTGAAAGTCTAAGGTTTTGGCATGGCGTTTGTTCGCTTTTAAAGAGCATTTCTTTCCTTTTTTTTTTTTAATAAAGTTTTATTTTTCCAAATGTACAGTTGGTTGGACCTATTCATGCATCTTCACCAGCAGCTGCAGCATCTCCGCCCTTGGTATTTCTGGTGTAAATTACTTTAGCTCTGTGCTTTGAAACCAGTTTGATAAGTCCTTTACTAAGGAGCTCCTGAAGGGCTGCCCTGGCCAGGGAGCCTCGAATCTTCAGTCTCTCAGAGACCACAGCTGGGGTTATAAGTTTATAATTGGGAACTTCCTTACAGAGTTTGTCATAGGTAGCTTTGTCAAACAAGACTAAGTTATTGAGCTTGTCCCGAACTTTGCCTTTGGACCACTTCTTCTTTTTGGCCTTGCCCCCGGATTTGTTAACTGGGTCTTTGTCTTTCTTGGCCGACTTTCCAGCATCCTTCTTCTTGTCATCCTTGGGTGGCATTGTGAAGCTCGGACAGCAGCAGCAGACACCGCAGCCTCGCTGAGATGTCGGACAAAAAGGACTAAAGAGCATTTCAATAAGACTGATCTCTAATCTACTTACTGAACTGCTTATTTCCAGAAATTAGCAAACTCAAAAAGAGATTTAAACACATGAAGAAAAATAAATGAATCTCAATACAGAAACAAAATATTTTCCTAGAGAAGCCAGATAATCAGTAATGATTAGGGTGACAATAGTCTCAGTTTGCCCAGGGCAATCCTGATGTGCACCTGTTATTCCAGAGTAATTATTAATAGTGTTCCCTTTCACTCTTACATATTTTCTGATGTAGGTAAGAAATTATATGGTAACTCTACTTTTGATGCTAACAATAATAAACGAGTTGTATCTCTTCATTAGAGCAGATACAAAGATCCATGCTTGGAAATATATTAACGATGAACAATGAGGCCGGGTGCAGTGGCTGACGCCTGTAATCTCAGCACTTTGGGAGGCAGAGGCGGGCAGATAACCTGAGATCGGGAGTTCAAGCCCAGCCTGGCCAACATGGCAAAACCTCATCTCTACTAAAAATACAAAAATTAGCCAGGTGTTGCGGCGTGCGCCTGTAGTCCCAGCTACTTGGGAGGCTGAGGCAGGATAATCGCTTGAACCCGGGAGGCAGAGGTTGCAGTGAGCCGAGATTGTGTCGCTGCACTCCAGCCTGGGCAATAGAGCGAGACTCCATCTCAACAACATCCACAACAACAAAAAACAAACAAACAAACGAACAAACAAAAACAATGTATCCTCACAATTAGGAACCAAATCTTTACCAGCAGTGCATAATTGGTAATCAGTCTTAGTCTGTGGTGTGGGAGGCGGAGCTAAATCATGCAGTAGAGGCAACAATTAATGTTTTCACAAAGGGATGTCAAGAGATATTTAAAGATAGATGCTAGAAATCCAGTTGGAATTGTTGGTAATGGGAGCAGAAGAGTTTGGGTGGGAATCAGAAATGACTTGCTAAGACGCTGGGAGGAAAGCAGATCCAAAGACCAGGGTCCCAGGGACCAATTCTGATGAGGAACAATAAGGGGAGGGAAAAACCCCAGACAGGAGCCAGGGAGGGTCTGGTATAGAACAATTGTGCGAAGAAACTTCTGGCTGTTTTCTCCAGCTTTTTATTGACCTAATCTCACCACAAGGATGTCACTCAGAGAATTAAATTCCTGGCACTTTTGTAATTTCTACAAAAAAAAAATTAAATGAAGTCTATTCTGGCAGATTTTGTTAATTCAGACTTTTAATTAATTCAAACTGCTCAATTACTTAAAAAAAATTTTTTTTCAAGTCAGTAAGCCTGACTTTCAAAGAAAACCAATCAAATGGTTTTTGAAGATAATTATCCTGGACTAGTGTTATTTGATCTTCTAAGATTTTCATGTGTTAGGTGGAAAATTAAAGTCTGCAAGGAACACAAAGATAAAGTGTCAGATCAGTCACATCAATCCTGCCCAGGGCAATACTGATGTGCATAATCAGTCAATGGGGGAACAAATGTCACTGTCACATCTTCATGTAAAAGAAGGAATGTGACAGCATTCTAAAAGTGAGTTATAATACTTATTCATTCAACAAATGTTTACTCATCTTCTATTATGTACATGGCAGCATGCTTACGTGGCAAATTACGGGTGTTTGTGAAAACGTGAAAAATGAACTACGACAGCAATAAATAGGTATATAATGGTAATGGAAAGACACCTCATGGCATCCTTGATCTATTCATTCTGAGAATGGTTCATTACTTATGGCTCCTAAAAAAGGCATGGACTTAATCACTAAGTTAGTAATCTATGACCCCTCAAAAGCAGAGCAACACGTCAAGCTCTTGGCTTTCCATGTGCTGGGTTCAGATCCTCAAAAGTCTCAGCTTCATTTCTTATCCTAGGGTTTAATAAGCCATCCCCATTCCCTTCCAATAAATTCTTCATTTACTTAAATTAATTTCAGTGGATTTATGTTTGTTGCAAATAAAGACCTTAAGACAGATAACAAGGGTGAATTTGATATTTTAATATAAGAAAGTAACAATTAATAGTGTTCCCTTTCACTCTCACACATTTTCTGATGTAGGTAAGAAATTATATGGTAACTCTACCATTGATGCTAACAATAATAAATGAGTTATTATTAATATTTGGTATAATTCCAGTGAAGAATATGACAACTAAAGAGAATTTCTTCTGGAAATGAATGGATTAAATATAAAAGGAAGGGGGAAAGCCCAGTGATACATAAGATATAATCTTAATGGGAATTCTTAAACTTGTCACCAGGAGCATAGTGAAGACCATTTGGGTTAAGACAAAGTGAGAGAGAAACAGAGTTAATCATTATAGAAGAATGCTACAGCCTATTCAATCAAATAAAAATTACAGATAATTAATTCATTTTTAAAATATACTGGCAGCCCTGAGTTTTCATAATGACATATTTATACTCCTAAATTTACTTTAATACTTGAATTTGGACATTCATCCATGAACTTTTTAAAATTTTTAATTTAAGTTCCAGGATACATGCGCAGGATGTGTGGGTTTGTTACACAGGTAAACTTGTGCCATGGTGGTTTACTGCACCTGTGAACCCACCACCTAAGTATTAAGCTATCCATGAACTTTTGAAAAATGTTTCAAGCTATCATTGGGTGAAATTGGCCATTGGTTGGCCAAAACAGCTTAGTTTTAACAATGTAGCCACCTTTGACCTTAATACAGTGTATATGCAATTATGAGTATCTATTATATCTCTGTAGTTATTTTCTAAAATATGAGTGTGGAATAAAAGGGTGAACATATTAATGCTACTAATAAAGAATATATTTTCCTAAACTTATTACAATTAAAACCAAGATTGAGGTCATTAGGTATGTCAAAAGTAGCCCATCCCAGCCTGGGCAACATAGTGAGACCCTGTTTCTGCAAAAAATTAAAAATTAGCCTGGGGTGGTGGCACATGCCTGTAGTCCCAGTTACCCTGGAAGGTGAGGTAGGAGGATCACTTGAACCCAGGAGGTCAAGCCTGCAGTGAGCTGTGATCATACCACTGCACTCCAGCATAAGTGACAGAGTGAAATCCTGTCTGAAAACAAAAATAGCAGAGCCTTTGCCATCAACTGAGGTCATTGGGGTCAAGACGCCAAACTGATGCTTGGTTATAAAGGAACAAACTAATATTAAAGAAATTGAATTAAAAAGTAGAACATCATCAACTTTTATTTTATCTTTTCTTTCACTCTGTCATCCAGGCTGGAGTGCAGTGGTGCAATCATAGCTCACTGCAGCTTCAACCTCCCAGGCTCAAGCAATCCTCCCACCTCAGCCTCCCAAGTAGCTGAGACTACAGGAATGCACCTCCATGCCCATTTGCTTTTTTTTGTAGAGATAGGGTCTTACCATTGATCAGGCTGGTCTCGAACTTCTGGGCTTAACCAATCCTCTCATCTCAGCCTCCCAAAGTGCTTGGATTACAGATGTCAACCACTATGTCCTGTCAACTTTTGTCTTTTCTAAAAGTTGTGGTATAATTAAGGATTCTTTATTCTTCTGGAAACAGAGTCCTCCATTATAATGCCTAAGTCTACGATTCAATATGTGTGGATCTGATTTCCTGCACAGTCTTGGGGACATTCATGTACTAAATATAATGGACTGCTTCTATGACAAAACTGGCACAGAGGTAAGCTATATGTTCATGGGAAACTCTCACAACATTTACTAGAAGTCTTTGCAGCTCAAAGTAAAGTAGTTAAAAACTGTTTTACTTACCTTACTGACAATATCATCTCTGAAATGATAGCAGATACAGCAAAGAGACTGCTATTTTTGGACCAATTTCTGTCTTACAAGGAAGAACTGAATGGTTACCATGTCATCTTGGAATTTGTAATAAGAAAGAAAATATAGGGCAGAGGCTGGCATGTGCTGAAGATGTTAAGAAAGCAGATGTCAAGAACTTCAAAGGAAAGGAAGGAGCTATAGCACAGAGGGTAAAAGCTCAGACTATAGACTCAAGAAACATATAAGTTTGAATCCCAGGTGCGAGACTTACCAGTTGTGTGACATTGAGCAAGATATTTAACCTCTTTAAGTCTCAGAGTTTTCCTTTGTAAAGCAAAGGAAAGTGCCTAGGAAAATCACTTAACCTAAGCTTGTTGTTTTCACTTGGAAAAATGAAGGAAGTAATAGTATATACCATGTAGGTTTGTTGGGAATATTAACTAAGAAAATGCACATAAAATACCTAGCACTGAGTTTAACAAAAAGTGAACATTTTTAAAGACACACACACACACACACACACACACACACACACACACACATTATTTACAGTATTTCATGGACTCTAAAATTCTAAGAAAGAAGTAAGAAATTCATGAAAGAAACTAGTCTGCCTAGCTCCGATTTAAAATAAATATAAAGTGAAATAAAGGAGGATACAACTAATAACACAAAAGGATATCATTGCTATTATTATCTTCTAAGAATAAAGTTTTAAAAAGCTATTGCTCAGAAAGAAATGAGGTTGGCCGGGCACAGTGGCTCACACCTGTAATCCTGTACAGTGAGCCGGGCACAGTGGCTCACACCTGTACTTTGGGAGGCTGAGGCAGGTGTATTACCGGAGTCCAGGAGTTCGAGACCAGCATGGGTAACATGGCAAAACTCTGTCTCTATAAATAACATAAAAATTAGCTGGGCTTGGTGGTGTGTGCCTGTAGTTGCAGCTACTATGGAGGCTGAGGTGGAAGGATCGCTTTGAGCCCAAGAGGCCAAGGCTGCAGTAAGCTGAGATCGCACCACTGCACTCCAGCCTGCGTGACAGAGTGAGACCCTGCCTCAAAAGGAAAGAGAGTGAGAAAGGAGGGGGACAGGGAGGGAGGGAGGGAGACGGGGAGAGAAAAAGAAAGTAAAAGATTATATTTCTCAAGACAAAATGATTTCCTCAGCATTCAAATACTTCTTGGGAACATCTATGCATAATTACCAGATGAAAAGAAGGCAAGGCTGCATAATTTCTATTTGAGGTCTACATTTTCCAGCAAGAATGGTCCTCAACTGGCTATGGAAGAAGAAGCCAGGCAGAGTGTATGTATCAACAGGCGTATGTTAACAGAGAGAAAGGGAAGACACAGTTCCTACTTTACATGGATTCAGGTCTCCAGACCTCTACACTAGGTGGTATCTCAAGACTTTTTGCAGGATAATAAATGCAATTGTTTGGAATAAAAAGATTTGTTGGAACAATGAAGATCTGAAATTATTCCGTCAAAGAAGCATATATAAAGATAGAGATATGTTTATTTAAATAAATTGGCCATCTAGATTCTTCATGGATTTTATTGTGCTTTATAAAGCACACATAGTTTACTTTGATGCATTCTTATGTAGAATATTTAATTATTTAAGCCAAATAAGATGTTTCTAAAGCCAGTCAACCATTAGTAGTTATTATCCATTACAAAAATTTGCTCCATCATTCTTAGGACTGACAAGGAGGTCAGTGAAACTAATTCTTAATCATCCAACAAGGTTTTGAGTACTTATTATGTGCCAAGCGAACTGGGAATATAAAAAATGATCCCTTTTTTATATGGGGAGGTACCCAACTATGTGAGCAGGTTGGAGTTCAAAACATAGTTTGACATACTAAGCATAGGGGCAAGAAAACTGCTGCAGGAACACAAAGATAAATTCTGAGTCAAAAGATAAAAGAAAAGGAAGGTTGTAGGTAGGGTTGATAGAAAAACCAACAAGTTATATGGCACCACAAATCAGAATGGGCCTCCAACAAAGCAGAACACACTTGGGTTGTAAGTACTCAGTAAAGGAATACTTACAGGTGCTAGCTGAAAGCTAGCCCTAGTTAGAGGGGAGGCCTCAAAAGAGTAACAAAATTTTGATAAGTGTAGAGTGGAGGGTTGGGAGGGACTCTAATTTGAGGGAAGAAAATAGACCAAAAAAAGTATTGCATAATATGCAACCAAGGACTTCAAGTTTTTTGATAGGTTGTCATGGCTGATCCACAAGATTTGCATAAAGATGTACGAGATGTGGCTGAAAAAGCTATTGAGGATCATTAGTAACTTTGAGTACCAGAATAAGAGTTTGAATTTAATTACATAATAACCACAATAATAGCTATGATTTATTGAGCACATACTATGTAACATAATCTTTACATGCATTATCTCATTTAATTCTCACAATAACCCTATAAGGAAGGGAAAATTATAATCTCTGCTTTACAAACTGAGGCTTAAAGATGTTTATTCACTGCCCATGTTCATAAAGTTAGTTAAGTGTTGGAATTTAAATTCAAATCCATAGCTCTCTAAATCAAAAACTCGTAGCCCAAATGACAAAGCTATACTCCCTTGACAGTGGAGAAAACTGGGAGCAATGAGAATTTTTAAAGGGGGAGATATAATCAAAACTACATTCTATAAGACAGAATACAGTGGATATAGGGGCAGTGGATTTCCTGGAGAAGTGAAAAATTGAAAATGACAAGACTAGTTAGAAAGTTATTAGTTCAGGTGAGAGACATGAAGACATAAATGAGGGCCATAGTAATAGAGAAAAGGGGATAGATAAAGACACTGGAAGGGGAGAATGAAGAGAACTTAATGTGTTAGTTTTCTATGCTGCATAGCAAGCTAATGCAAGTGTAGTCAGTTAAAGCAACATACATTTGCTATCTCACAGTTTGTGGGTTGAGTTCAGGTGTGGCTTAGCTAGGTGTCTGCTCAGGTCTCACAAGGCTGCAGTAAAGGTTTCAGTTGGGTTACATTCCTATCTGAAGGTTTGACTAGGGAAGAATCTGCTTCCAAGCTTAATTGGGTTGTTGGCAGAATTCATTTTTTTTTGTAGTTATATGACTGACTTCCCCATTTTTCTTGGTACTTACTGGCTGGAAACCACCTCTTAGCTCCTAGAGGTCACTCTCATATTCTCACCGCATGCTCTTTCTTCTGATCACATTACAGTTTATTTCTTCAGAACCAGCAAGAGTACATCTGCTACTCCAAATGTCTGGACTCAGGAAGGCTAAATCCCTGTTTTAAAGGGCTCATCTGATTAGGTCAGGCCCACCTAGGATAATCCACTTTGATTAAGTCAAAATCAAGTGACTAGGGACCTTAATTCCATCTGTGAAATCCCTTTGCCTTTGCCATATAATGTAACCTAATCGCTAAAGTGACATCATCATATTCATAGGTCCCACCTACGCTTAAAGGGAAGAAATTATATAGAAAGTGTTAAACCAGGTTGCAGGAATCTTGGGGACCATCTTAGAATTCTGCCTACCACATTTAACAGCTGGTTTGATATAAAGAGAAGACAAAAATAAGTCAAAGTTTTTAGCCTGAGTAATTTAGAGGATAGTGATAATATTAACTGAGATATGAACTGAGATATGACACATAAGAGGAAAAGAGATTTAATGAGAAAGATTATGAATCTTGCTTATGAGTATTCATCTTGCAGTAACAGTGGTACAACCATTTATCCTAAACCAATTCCATCCATTTGTTTCAACAGTACCTAATGTTTAATTAAATGGTGTGGAGAAGAGGGGTTTCTTACATCTGAAAGTAATTCTATCATAATGTACATAATTATTTTTAAATGTTACAAATGGCCATGAACTTGAGAAACAATTAGTAATTTATTATGTTGTAGATTCATGTCTTCTTCCTTTAATCCAGCAACCAGTCACAGAGATTTTTTTTTAGTTGTTTTGATAAATGCTCCTTTCAAGCTCCGTTATTTCTGAGAAATAGCCAAACATCTTTTTCCTCCAGGAATGTTTATTCTAAAATACACCCAGTAATAGCTGAATGAGTTGTTAGGCAAGTAGATAAGTGAAATACCCAAAATAACCAAGGCAATATTAGGGTTAGTACTAATATAAATTAGAATAAATAATCTAAACTCTCATTTTAAACTATCTGAATTATCCCATGGCTTTTGGGTTAAGGCAGATCACACATTCCATGGTACACACGGTAAAATGCAGAACGCTATTATTGCTTGGAAAAGTGTAGAAAATAAACATTTACTGGGTGTCTTCCTAATGCCAAGCCTTATGCTAAAACTTTCACATATGCTATGCTATCTCATTTCATTCTAACAACTCTGAAATAGGGATAATATTAGCCTCATTTTTTTAAATAGATAAGGCAGTTGAGGCTGAGAAGTTAAACATTTTACCCAAGCTAAGAGGTAGGAATGGCCAGGTTTCCAACCTAAATATAGCTTATTCTTCATGCCTTATTCTTTTCACTATTATTCTCTCTTCAATCCTCAGATTAGTTGTAACTTCCTCTAAGAAGCCTTCTGTAACCACCCTCTGGGACTTCCAAGACCATGCCAGATGTACATTCCCACCACCATGTTTTCCCATAGCAACCAATTAGTGTCAAAGTTAAGTGCTTGAGTTCTAGGACTGCACAAACAGGATTCAAATTCCACAGGCCAGGATTCAAATTCCAGCTTTACACTTGCTAAGTTTATGAACTTGCAAAATTGACCAAGCCTCAAGCTTTTTCAGTAAAACAGGAATAAAATTACTACCTAGCTCAAGGGATAGTTGAGAGAATGACCTAAGAAATACATCCCTATTATTGTTATAATTATAATCAGAAGATGTATTCTACTTATTACACTGAGTTGCAATTGCCTGTTCACTTTTCTGTATTCCATACTGGAATGTAAAATCATCCCTGAAACACAGGCTGCATGTCGTTAGTTGTGATTTCCCCAGAGCCTAGCACAGTGCCTATCTGGCACATGGCAAGCACTTGAAAACCTCTGCTGAAGGAAGGAATGAAGAAAGGAAGGGAGGGTGGGTCGGAGGAAGATATGACACTTCCCATTAAATGGATGTTCTTGCTTTTCCCTGGCATAGTCTCAACAAAGGCATGAGAATGCATGCAGATGAAAATAAACCATTACTTCTCTTGATTATATTTAAGGATCAGAAACCTTAGAAAGTGGAGTTTGTTATGACATCCTTAATGCCAAGTATGATCTAGAACTCCTAATAGTTAAATGGTGCCTGGAAAAGGACAAAGTCCAGGCAGGCTTTCAGTAAGTGAACATTCTCTCTCTACGAGATATGAGCATCACCCTTACCCCCATAGCCTGAGAATAATGTGCTAAATGTGAATGACTTCCACATAACTTCAAAGCCACACACAGGACAGTCCCTCCTCCCAGCCAACCACTAACTCCAGGGCTGTTATGAAAAATGCCCAAGGCTCCCATTTTTTTTTAATTTATCTCAGCTATGCCTATTTCCACTTTCTCATCTTCAGCTGGTAACAGACTTTATTCTTCTGGTGGAAAGAGCACATTTAGATTTAACTGTATATTATTTGCACCCATTTGAAACCCTACATACAGGGAGAACAAAATATCCAAAAAAGTGTATTTAATTCATATAGGGTCAAACAGTTTGGGCACTCATAGGCCATGATAATAAAAGAGGATTCTTCATATTTTTCACATTTCTTATAGGCAAAGTGACAGGTAAAAACGCAAATTAGGAAGAAGTAACCACAGAGAAGAGAGATGAATATAAAGACAAAGAACTCTATTCATTTGTGATGCAAAAATCCATTATTAGGAACAAATCTTCTCCGACAGTCTTGTGGATGCTGCATAATTCAGAGAGCCCAACTGTACTTAGGAAGTGATGGTTAAATATTGAAAATCTGATTGGAAGACGGAGGTGGCTTCCTGCTCTTTCCTGTAATTGCCTTGTCTGATTTTTCTCATGAACAATGTATCACTGGAATTTTTGACTATGATAGAGTGCACCTCCTGAGAGTTCTGCCCTGAAGGCTAGGACTCCAACTCTGCAGGAGCTATCTGATGGAGAACTTCATATATCTCCTCTGCACCTGTCATTCCTCTTCCCTTGTGAAGCCCCAGGGTGTTGTGTGGAACTCACCAGCCTCTCCCCAGCCCATCTCCCTTCACCCTACCACCTCATGCAGCCTAATGAGTTGGAGAGACACAGCCAGCCCAGGCTTCTTATTACAATCACATTCCATTTTCTTCAAATAAACCCTGCTCAGAACAAAGGCTTCTGGGCACAGCCTTTGTTGTGGATGTTTAAATCATAACATTTTGGTGGGATCCAGAATATCATGATTATTGCTTTCAAGTAATTTGTAATATACATGCTTAGCAGATGATGTAACCGCATATTGCTGCTGTGCTTTTTGCTCCATTGCTTCATGCGGCGTAGTTTTCTACGACAGTATACTCCACAAATGCAAACAGATGTATTTCCCATGACCTTAACCCCAACAAACAAAGTTGTTTTATGTATTTCCCGGTTCACATTTTTGAGGGCTTCAAAATGCAGTCTCCTAAGGTCTTTCAATACTTGTGCTTTTCATGCTTTTAACCATTTTAGGTATTTCAGGAATGTAATAACACTAATGAGATATCAGAGCAAGAAAAATAACAAAAAGCATGTAGTCTCCAACCCTAAAAAGTTTATTTTAAACATGTTGGTTTCCTTTAAGCTTTGCTTTCAATTAACTGACTAAAATGATAGAAAAGAGCTTTGTGAAGTTAAAAATATTAACAAAAAGAACACCCAAGAGAAAAACATCTAGAGTAAGGTGATTTGAAATACTGATGTGAAAATCTACCAAAAAGAATTCATAACACATTTTGAGATCACTGAACAACGAAGTGGGATTTAACCTAAAAGAGTTAAAATGGTATATAAGGTCTATTAAAATCATCCCACCTCAAATGTTATAGTTATCTCAGTTAGCCATTTCTTGTTTTGTGCTTTTTTATTTTAGGGTTTAAGGAGACAAAAATAATTTTGAATAGCTAGGAGTGTCCCTTATTTGTGCCTGCTGACATAGGCATTTTTCTAAGGGATCTTTACCATGTGGTGTAGTGGTTTAATCACACTGGCTTTGAAGTCAGACAGGCTTGAGGCTAGAACATTTTTTAAAATTTCTTACAACTGATTTTTTAAAATTATAACTCTTACTTTGAAATAGTTTTAGATGCAAAAGTAATTCCATATATAGTACAGAGAATTTTCATGTACCCCTCATTCAGCCTTTCCTAATGATAATATCTTGCATAACCATAGAACGTTGTCAAAAGTAAGAAACTGACATTGTTACATACAATACAATAATAATGTGTATCACAACAGTACAATACATTATTTGGATTTCACCAGATTTTGTGTGGACTTCTTTTGGGGGTATGTGCATGTGTATATCGTTCTATGATTGGTGTAACCATCACCAGTCAGTATACAGAACTGTTTTATCACCACAAAGAAACTCCCTTGAGTTACACCTTAATGATCATATCCTACCCCCAATCCTAACTCCTGGCAATCATAGATCTATGCAGCATTATGATTTTGCCACATCAATAATATTATATAAATGGAATCATACAATATGCAACCTTTTGAGACTGGCCTCTTTCACTATGCATAACTCTTTTGAGATCCATCCAAGATGTTACATGAACCAGTTAATTCCATTTAATTTTTGAGCAGTATTCTATAGTATAGATGGCCCACAGTTTGTTTTTGTATTCATCAGTTGTAGGACATTTGGGTTGTTTCCAGTGTTGACCGGTACAGTATAAAGCTGCTATAAACATTCATGTACAGGTTTTTGTGTGAACATAACTTTTCATTTTTCTAAGATAAACACTGATGAAAGAGATTGCTGGGTCCTATGGTGTGTGTATGTTTATAGGAAACTGCCAAACTATTTTCCAAATTGGCTATGCCATTTAACATTCCTCATCAGCACTTGGTACTATCAGTAATTTTTATTTTGGTTATTCTAATAGGTGTGGTAGCACATATAGCTTTAATTCGCATTTTCCTAGAGGCTATTTTTTCGTATACTGATTTGCCACCAGTATGTCATCTTTAGAAAAGTGTCTGTTTAAGATTTTGACCATATTCTAATTGCATTGTTTGTTTTCTTACTACTGAATTTAGAGAGTCCTTTATATATTCTGGATATAAGTCCTTTATTAGGTAAGTAATTTGCAAGTATTTTCTCTCAGTCTGCAGCTTGTTTTTTCATCTTTGTAGCAGGTATTTTACAGAGCAAAATACTGTAATTTTGATGAAGTTTAATTTACCAGTTTTGTTTCCTTGTTAATGCAGGGCAGAGATGGAAGTCAGGGTTTCACACACAGGCTCCACCAGAGAGGGCAGGGCATTACTGCAGGACAGGGGTTCAGGGTAGTTATGGACTGAATTATATCCCCCAAAATTCATATGTTGAAGCCCTAACCCCCCATGTGATTTTCTTGTGGCTTTTTTTAAACTTGACTATATAGATATCCAAAATGAAGGCAAAAGAAATGAAACTATCTTATGAAAAGTGAAAATAATCATATTAGGAATATAGGATGAAATACTTGGAAAATATTTTTTATCTGGTCTTCCTGCCAGCCATAGGAAAAACGAAAACTCATTGGTTATCTAATTCTCCTCCTTTCTTTTTGCTTCTTTTTTTCCTCCTTTTCTACCTCCTGGGGTACTGATAAAATTTTCTATACTCCTTTTTGCTCTGTGAATTCAGAAGCTATGGAGAATATTACTCTCATTTTAATGGTTATTCTTAAGTTTTAAAATGATAAAATATGTATTTAAATAAGTTTTAAAAATATATACTTTATAATTTTAAAACTGTATCCTTTTTTCAGTGTTTTTTTTTGGAGAGTATAAAGTCATTCAGCATAGTATCTCTATCTTCCTCTCAAATAGGACAAAGATGTTAACACATTAAGTATCCAGTGAAGACTCACCTTATCTTCTATTATTGTGGTTTAGCAATTTGTTTCACTTTTTAATTGAAAAAAAAAAAACCTTATCCACTTAATTTTTTTTGAGTTTCCATTCAACTTTTTAAAAAATTTTTTCATTTCCATAGGTTATTGGGGAACAGATGGTGTTTGGTTACATGAGCAAGTTCTTTAGTGGTGATTTGTGAGATTTTGGTGCACCCATCACCAGAGTAGTATACACTGAACCCAATTTGTACTCGTTTATCCCTCAGACCCTTCTCACCCTTTCCCCAGGTCCCCAAATTTTATTGTGTCAATTCTTATGCCTTTGCATTCTCATAGCTTAGCTGCCACTTATGAGTGAGAACATATGATGTTTGCCTCTCCATTCCTGAGTTACTCCAATAATGGTCTCCAGTCCCATCCAGGTTGCTGCAGATGCCATTAATTCATTCCTTTTTGGGCTGAGTAGTATTCCATTTTATATATATATGTATGTATATATCACAGTTACCACATATATATCCATATATATATCTAGATACTAGATATAAAGATATATCTAGATACTAGATATAAAGATATATCTAGATACTAGATATAAAGATATATCTAGATACTAGATATAAAGATATATCTAGATACTAGATATAAAGATATATCTAGATACTAGATATAAAGATATATCTAGATACTAGATATAAAGATATATCTAGATACTAGATATAAAGATATATCTAGATACTAGATATAAAGATATATCTAGATACTAGATATAAAGATATATCTAGATACTAGATATAAAGATATATCTAGATACTAGATATAAAGATATATCTAGATACTAGATATAAAGATATATCTAGATACTAGATATAAAGATATATCTAGATACTAGATATAAAGATATATCTAGATACTAGATATAAAGATATATCTAGATACTAGATATAAAGATATATCTAGATACTAGATATAAAGATATATCTAGATACTAGATATAAAGATATATCTAGATACTAGATATAAAGATATATCTAGATACTAGATATAAAGATATATCTAGATACTAGATATAAATATAGATATATCTAGATACTAGATATAAATATAGATATATCTAGATACTAGATATAAATATAGATATATCTAGATACTAGATATAAATATAGATATATCTAGATACTAGATATAAATATAGAAATATCTAGATACTAGATATAAATATAGATATATCTAGATATATATATCTCACAGTTTCTTTATCTACTCATTGATTGGTGGGCATTTGGGTTGGCTTACATTTTTGCAATTGTGAACTGTGCTGCTATAAACATGTGTGTGCAAGTATCTTTTTTCGTATAATTACTTATTTTCCTTTGGGTAGATAACCATTAGTTATCCACTTAATTTTTAAGTTTCTCTACTTGGTTTTGTTTCTTGCATCTCAGTCTTCCTCCTTGAGTTCAATTTTCTTCTTGCTAAAGTACATCCTTTATAGTTCATTCCATAATAGTTTGTGAGTGGAAAAGTCTCCTAATTTTTGTATGTGAAAAAATGTTTTATTTTACTAGCAGTGATCACAAGTTAAGACTGGAATCAAATTCATGTAACACAATAGGATTTAATCTATCATTAAATTATTCAGATTTATAGAAGCATAGAAGTCAAGAAAAACAGCCTTATTACTACTTAGAGGTCCTAAAAGTATATGTATGCACAGCTTCCTTTATCTCCCCTTACCTACACAGCATGTGTACAGAAAATGGGGATGACTTCAACACATATATGGTTTCACTTAGCACAGAGAAGCTACTGCCTTAGTTTCCCACCTCTCTTATATATTGTTCCTGTCATATAGGCCCAAAACTTGTAGGCCCACATAGAATAATCTCAGTCCAGATATGCTCTCTCTAATCAGGAATTTCAGAGTAAACAAGACAGATCATTAGCTCTTAGCATGCAGTATTCCATATTTATCTTTTTGGGTTTTTTTTCTTGAGACGTAGTTTCACTCTTGTCACCCAGGTTGGAGTACAATGGTGTGATCTCGGCTCACTGCAACCTCTGCCTCCCAGGTTCAAGGGATTCTCCTGAGTAGCTGGGTATAGATGCCTGCCACCATGCCCAGCACATTTTTATATTTTTAGTAGAGATAGGGTTTCGCAATGTTGGCCAGGCTGGTCTCGAACTCCTGACCTCTAGTGATCCACCTGCCTCGGCCTCCCACAGTGCTCGGATTACAGACATGAGCCACCGTGCCTGGCCTTCCATATTTATGTTAACTCAGTAAGCATCCAAGGAAATGATGTTGTGAGAACCGATGTTTCCTTCCCGGGAAAGCCTTGTTATGTTTAGGTACCTGGCCTGATGTAACCTTTTACACATAGGTGGTTTTGCCAGGCATATAATTCTAGATTGACAGTGGCTTTCCCTCAGCAATTTGTAGATATTGCTCTATTGGACAGTTGCTAATTGGAAGTCAACTGTCTGCTAGTGGCCATGCTTTTTTTTTTTTTTTTTTTTTTTTTTTTGAGACGGTGTTTCATTCTTGTTGCCCAGGCTGGAGTGCAATGGCACCATCTCAGCTCGCCACAACCTCCTCCTCCCAGGTTCAAGCAATTCTCCTGCCTCAGCCTCCCTAGTAGATGGAATTACAGGCATGTGCCACCATGCCCGGCTAATTTTGTATTTTTATTTTGTATTTTTAGTAGAGACAGGGTTTCTCCATGTTGGTCAGGCTGGTCTCGAACGCCCGATCTCAGGTGATCCGCCCGCCTTGGGCTCCCAAAGTGCTGGGATAACAGGCATGAGCCACCGCGCCCGGCCAAGGCCATTCTTTAAGAATCTGATTTTTCCTTCAAATAGTTTTTTGTTTTGCTTTGTGTTTTATTGTGGTAAGAACATAGCATGAGATCTACTCTCTCAACAAATGTTTATGTACAAAACACAGTACTGTTAACTACAGGCACAATGTTGTACACCTGATCTCTAGAACTTATTCATCTTGCATAACTAAAACTTTATAATATTTTCTCCTTATCTTCAAGTTTACTAAGATGTATCTAAGTATGCATTTATTTTCATTCATCCTTCTTAGAACCTGGATTACATTTGTCATCTGAGACTTGTGTCTTCAACACTGAAAAATGCATAGCCAAAGTCTCTTCAACTGTTGCTACTTCACTCTTTTCTCTCTTCTTCTGGAGCTTCTGCTATACCTTTCACCTCCTCAATCCTCCTTCCCTTTCTCTGAACTGCTTTTTCATAATGTCTCAGGTCTATTTTTTTGATTTACTAATTCTCTCTTTGCTTTTGCCTTTTCAAAAGTTTATGCCATGTTATTTCTCTAATTTTTAATAAGCTATTTTTAGATCTGCCTGTTATCATATCATTTTTGCATGGTTTTGTTTTATATTTTCTTAGTCTTCATTATGAATGTTTTTCCTTTTTATCTTATCTGTGAAAGATCATAAATGTCTTATTATAAAGCATTTTTCAGATTGTATAATTATTTTCACTTCATCTGAGAAGGAATTGATGTCAATAATTTATCTTCACAGCTATTTTTAGCATTTTTTTCTTCATTAATTATGGAATTTAGATTTTCAGGTTTGTCTTGGGTAGGCGGAAGCTTTGTCAATTATTTAGGCTTTTCTTCCTCCATCTCTTTCCTCCCTTTCTGGTGGGTTTTCAATGGCCCTCAGCCAACCCTGTTAGGATCCCAAATTAGAAATACATCTTATATTGTTATATCAGTGTTCCTGCCTCATTGGGATAATTGTGACATTATCACTCGTCACTGAGCCAGAAGGCAGCTTCACAGAAGCTCTGGCTTCAAAACTGTAGCTTCATCTTTACTTCCTTTCTTGATATTCTGGTAGTATTAGACAGCAGTTTTTTGTTTTTGTTTTTTTTAAGCTTCCTTTTATGCAGTGGTACTCCACCTCAGACCCTGATTTCAAACAATGATCCAATGTCTGGTTGCCACCTGCTTGGCACTTTTAGATCCTGTCACCTTGTGAGTGCTGAACTCCTAATCATCTCTGCCTGCCTACAGTGCTACAGCCCAGCAGACACTCATCTCCAGCCCTACTGCTTTGCATTTCTGTTCTTTTCTAGTCAAAGACATATTTAGTTTGTTCCTTAAAGTGTTATTGTATTTTAAATTTTCTCTTTTGTTATTTTATCTATAGTTACTATTATCCAAAGAAGAGGGATAGCTCAGATGTTGAAACTTTGTCTTGAACAGAACTATAGTAGTTCTCATTACCCAATATAAGAAGCATGCTACTTCTTTAGAAGTTTTTTTTTTCTCAAAGACACATTAAGATAATGGAAAAATACTTTGGGGGTGATTCTTCAGTAGTAGGCATCTTTTTATCAATCCTGCACAAAATCAGAAAGCACAGGCCGGGCACCAGTGGCTCACGCCTGTAATCCCAGCACTTTGGGAAGCCCAGGCAGGCGGATCACGAGGTCAAGAGATTGAGACCATCCTGGCCAATATTGTGAAACCCCATCTCTACTAAAAATACAAAAATTAGCTGGCCCTGGTGGTGCACACCTATAGTCCCAGCTACTCGGGACGCTGAGGCAGGAGAATCACTTGAACCTAGGAGGAGGAGGTTGCAGTGAGCCGAGATTGCGCCACTGCACTCCAGTCTGGGTGACAGTGCGAGACTCCGTCTCAAAAAAAAAAAGGGAAAAAAATCAGAAAGCACATTACTTAAATGTTATTCACTGATGACATTTCTAATGGAATTAGAGCTGTGGTCCAAACGAATTTTTAACTTGTAGTCCAAACTTAGAGACTGAATGATTAGCTCCAAATATCTCTCAAATATCACTCTTTTTAGCTGAGCTTCTTGGATAGGGCTGAATATCAGTCAGTCCAAGATTGAGCTCTTTAGAGGAAGTGAAGACGTTGTGTTGATTGAAAAGAGATCCATATGCTTTGGGCATATGTTTTAGACTGTCAGGTGGCAAGGCTGACATTCCGTTATGAAAATTTAGGAGCCTGACTTGTATTCTCACCCCAGCAGAAGGCCTTCCCACCTCCCCAGTGAGCCATAACAGTGCCTGTGAAAAAGCTAAACTTTTTATTTTAAAAAAGCTTCAAATCTTCTCAAAGTCTTGGTAGAAACCTCATTTGAGGTCTTCCATAGCATAGGAGGAATTTTCTAGGAACCAGAAGGAAGATACCGACAAGAGAAAATCTTAGATCAGGAGTATCAAAAGGAAAAGACACATGTGATCCTGATTTTCCTCTTTATTTAGATTGGTGCATATTCAACAAGGACCTTCTGTGTTCCCATCTCATCCTCAGTTCTGAGGCTACTAAAATGATGGTCATTTTGTTCCTGTCCTTGAAGGATTAGATCAGAACAGGACAAGAGGCAGAGAGACAAGCCAGGAAATGACTAGTCATTATGAGACATAAAAAGACTAAACTAAGGCAGCAAGAATGTAGAAGAGATAAGGATTTTTAAAATGTATTTAAGAGACAGAATCCTGATAGATTGTAGAGTAAGGAAATAGGAAGAATTTATAACTCCAAGATGACTTCCACATCTTTTGCTTGTGTGACAGGATTGATTGGTGGGGCCATTCATTAGCACAAAGGATATGGGAAGAAGAAAAGGAAAAGGAGCAATAAGATAAAGGTTTCAGGTTTTAGACAGATTGAACCTTGAGTGTTTTGGTAACATCCAGGTGGAGGAATTCAGTGGAAGCTGGATATATGCTAGATTCTAGGACAGAAACTAGGAAGTTATCAGCATATAGGGATATAGAATAAACAAAGACAGAACCCTAGAGGGAAGACTAAAACAGAGTTATCTTTTCTCATTCCATCAAAAATTATTAATCAGTTGAGATAAGTGAATAAAAATCAAAGAATTAGCACTTTTAATATAATGAAGCCCCAGGATACCCACCTACTCTTCTTTACCTTTGGAATTGGCCCAGCACATCTCAAGTACTGTAAAAGAACCAAGCAAACTGTGAGAATTTGGATTTAGAGCTATATTCATTTCCTGGAATACACAACTGCTAGCAGAAAGTTCAGCCTGACAGAGAAATCACAGAACCTCTCACAGAGGTTTCTGCCTATAATATCAGAAGGCAATGCAAGTCCAAGTTAGCAGTATCTTCTATTGGTGGACAAAGACAAGATACATGGATCCTAATACTGAATTCCCCTAATTGCCTCACAGAGGATAGTCAAGAGGCAGCAGAGCCCTAGCAATCAGGCAAAAGTAGGAAAATAGAACTCTAATGCTCCAGTGGGGTTAGAAGAAGACCCAGACAGGAATCAGGAGACCACAGAAACAAAGAAGCAAATCCATGATCAGACTTCTAGTACCTAGAGCCTGGCGGCTGAGTGTCAGAGAAGAGGCATGAAGCACCTGATCCATTATCACGTTTTATCATTTCTACCTCCTCAATAGTTCTCAAATCCATCACCTCTCTGCATTTTCACTGTTGTTCCTTCGGTTCAGGCCACCATCACCTCTTCTCTGAATTACTGGAACAGCTTCTTATCTGGTCTCTGTCTACAGTTTTATTTTCCCACCCTGAGTCCACTCTTGTCACTACAACTGGAGTGACCTTTGAAAAGTATAAATCTGATCATATCACCCACTTTTCATTTTAAAACAATTCCTTGAATGATTTTATGGATGAGATAAAGAACTGAGAATCTTTTTCTGTAAAATTCCAGATAGTAAATATTTTTGACTTTGTAGGTCATACCATCTCTGTCATAACCTCAACTCTGCCAGTGTAGTATAATAGCAGTCATAAACAATATATAAATAAAATAGGTGTTGCTGGGTTTCAGTGAAATTTTATTTATAAAAACAAGTGGATTTGGCCCCTGAGTTAGTTTGCTGATCCCCGGACTAGAGGAAGAAAGGAATTCCTCTATTTCTGTTGGGCCATTTGTACTGAAATCCTAGGTATCAAACCCTCAGAGAAATTTCATCATTGGGAGTAAGCAGCCCTTGTACAACTGGGGAGGCTAGAAGAGTGTAGTAAGAGCAAGTCTGGGCTTTCCACAAGCATATATGCTGGTCCTCTTACATCAGCTGCAGCTGTGGGTGTAGAAGTGCAGAGATGATGGCTGGAGAAGAGGCCAGTCTCAGGGAAGTGACAGAGCCACCCTCAACCCTCAGGAGATTCTGTCACAGTTCCATTCCATGTAGAAAACAAACTATCTCAGCCTTTGAGCCCAACAATAGCAGTGCTGACATGACCAATGGAAATGAACAAACATAGTAAGGGGTTCAGGAGTGGCGGGAATAAAGAAAGGTAGTGATGGGTTCATGGGAGGTGGGAATGAACAAAGATAGGCACAGAAAAGCAGTGAACCACAAGGAGAACAGAGCATGGACAATAGCATGAAACTCAGAGAAGAAGAGAAGAGGTGGAGAAACTCAGGTAGGAAGAGCCCAAGGGATCTATTCCATCCCCATGGAAATACCCAGAAATAGCTGGATGATACTTTGAGTGGGGTCAACTTTCAAGCCACAATAATTTGTAGAGCAAAAGGAGTTGTAACTGTATTTGTTGTCACAGACCGATAAGGCAAGAGGCAGAAGGGTTATATGCATAACAGCTAAAAGCTCCCAGGAATTCAGGAGTACATTGAAATGAATTTGAGTTTTATTCATCATAACATCTATATTCATTTGGAAAGTAGTAGCACATGAAAATGCAGAACATGTTATTTACTCATACTAAGACTGGTGTGCAACTAGGTTTATGTACTTATGCTAATTTTATGTCCTCCTTTCCCCACCTCCCACCTCACTTGAGAGGCTCAAAGACTGGTACCATTTGGTGTCAGCAAAGGTCCAAAGAAATGCATGTTGATCCTATTTAGAAAGGAAACTGCTGGTGAGTGTGAGATTTAGCTAAATAAGTAAAATGCTAGCCCTCAAAGGCTTCAGAATCTGGCCCCTGCTACATGTTTAGCCTCATCTTACACCAGTGTCCATATTGCTTTTCCTGCTCTTGCTCTACGGGTCTGCTCTGTGTTCTTAGGAACCACCATTCTCTCTCATTCCCCAGGGTCTTGCAAGTGCTATTTCCTCTACTTGGAATACTGTCTTCCCCACCCATACACCCCCACCTGTGCCTAATATACTTCTAGATATCCTGCAGATCAGACAGTTCTGTTTTAGATCTCAGTGGCCTTGCAGGATAGTAGGAAAGGCCCTGATCTATAAGTTGAAAGAACTCATTTCTGGTCCTAGATCAGCTTCCATCTAGCTGTGTACTTTTGGGTTACTTTACCTTCTCTGAAAATTAACTTATTCAGAAAAACAGAACTAAAAATATCAAGTGTACCCAATCCAAAGAGTAGTAAGAGAATTATACAAGACAATAGGAAGGGCTTTGAGTAGTATAAGGCACTATATTTGGAAACCTCCACACAGGCCTTTCTGTCGCTCAACCTAGAGCTTCCCTGTCAGTCTATTCTTCACATTCTCTTTTCCTCTTTACTGTAGTTACCAGAAATCCAACTTGCTTTCCTATCCTGCAATAATTTTCATCACTCACTCAATCCCTTGAAATCATGTTGCTCAAGACTGGCTGCTCTCCCTACCCACAATAATATTTGATGACCCAAAGCACACATGTTGTTTGACTGCTAATTACCACCAGGAAACAAAACTAGCAAACTTGGTGTCATTAAACCCAGAGCTTTGGAAATATTTTATACTTCTCTTCTTCATGTTTTACTTTTCAAAATAACTGACACACCCTTGGACTTCTGCCTTCTAGCTTTCTTCTCAAATATGAAACTCAACAAA